>NC_000019.10:21522993-22985986 GCF_000001405.40 Homo sapiens
ATTTGTACAAATGTTACAGGGTGGAAATCAACCATTTTACCTCTTTCAATGACTCTTGTGTCTTCAAACCTGAAACTGATTAAGAGACCATGGAGCCAAGAAACCAAATCAGAGTAACACGTGTGCATTGAGTAGACATGTGGACATGAGAATCTCCACTTTCCCCTTCCTCCTCTTGGTAAACTGCTCACAAATGTTCAGGTAACATCTGCTACTGCTACTCCACCTATTCAGGACCTAAATCTGCAGATGGAAATTCTGAATCTAGGTCATGAGATTTGGAAAACAGAAAATCTTTTATCTGAGGAATGCAAATCCTCTTTTTAGGTCGGGGCGAAAGTTATTGCGGTTTTACCATTTAATGTAATGGCAAAAACCACAATTACATTTGCACCAACCTAATAGTTGTCAAACTCGGAGAGACATTAAAATGAGAACACAATTATGTCTTTCTCTCCTCTTTGAACCATATAGTTATCTCTTGAAATTGTTTACTATTGCCACCAGTGGCTATAAATTAAACTGATAGTGCCACACTGGACACTATAGCCCATACTCTAAACCCTAACGATGTACACTCAATCAGTAATCAATGTTAATTCTGTAAATAAATAAGAATTTCTCACAGACAACCTTTTATCAGGCCACACTCTGTCCCTCTCTCTTTGCCTTTGCAAATCCACTTGTAAGTGCTGCTAATTGAAGTGTAGATTCCAGTCAACTTGAATCTTTGCCCGCAGTTTACAATCCTCAAGCTTGGCCCAAATAAACTGCCTACTTCTGTTCATGTTGCCTCATCTTCTACCTTCTAGATAGATGTATAATCTAGAGTGTGCCAGAGCAGCCTCTATGAGGAGATCTCTCCTTTGATTGTTGTGTGCTTGCTCTAATACCCAAGGATGCAGAGCCAGGTTGATCCCATCTAGGATCTGCACATAAGGCCAGGCCTCTTCTTGGGATTTACAAGACAAGGCCACACTTTGGATTCAGAATGTAAAAAAAACTAACAGGAGGCATCTTCTGCATTGTGAGATGTCAACATGGGCATTTTAAAGACATCTTTTGAGAGTGTGGCTCTTTGAGCTTTTCAGATCTTGTCCAATGACCTGCTTCAGTTGTGTGAGAGGCTTCTGGTATAAATAGAATCTAATGTCAGATTCAGTAAGTGTAAACAAGCATCGTAGGAGTGAGATCAAGGCCACAAAGTATCCAGAGCCATAACACAACTATACCTACCTGTAAAATGTGATGCTGGGCCAGGCGTGGTGGCTCACGCCTATAATCCCAGGACTTTGGGAGTCCAAGGCAGACGGATCACGACGTCAGGAGTTGGAGACCAGCCTGACCAACATGGTGAAACCCCATCTCTACTAAAAATACAAAAATTAGCCGAGTGTGGTGGCACATGCCTGTAATCCCAGCTGTTCAGGAGGCTAAGGCAGGAAAATCGCTTGAACCTAGGAGGCGGAGGTTACAGTGAGCTGAGATCATGCCACTGCACTCCAGCCTGGGTGACAGAGCGAGACTCCATCTCAAAAAAAAAAAAAAGTGAACACTGTAGTAGAGTATTCTTGTCCTTCCTCTTACCCAAGAGCTAGCAAATCAGGACGGGTGATCCAGGTTCTGGAGCTCTGCCAGGGCAGTTCCATTTTCTATTTAGAATGAGCCTGAGTCTCTTCTGCCTTTCTTATTATTGGGCCATCAGCACAGGGTCACTGGGAACCCTCTCTCAATTAGCTAGGTATATTTCAGACATTTGATGATGTCCAGAGCAGAACTGTGTCAGGATGATAAGAGTGGTTAATTCCGCTTCTGTTTCAATGTAAGAGAAATGAATCATCTTGTGTTTGTTTCTTTCCTCATACAAGAGATGTGTTTGGTTGGTACCCAGATGAGAGTTTCTCTAGTTTTCTGGTACTTTGGGTAAAAGACGAGGAGGAGGTCTGGAGACTCAAAGCAGATAAACTAATTGCTTCATTAATATGACCATTAGAAAAAAAATGAAGCAGTCATGGTCCCTACCATCCAAAAACTCTTGGTTTAGACTATCAACTGGATAAATGGTTGAATGAAGCATCATATGGTTGGTACAATGAATACGTGTGTGCAAAAAAACTTGGGCTTTATTTGGGCCACTTTCTTTACATTGTTGTAACTTCTGATGTCATCAGCTGAAGGGATATTTATGGACAGAAGAATTTTTATTATTATTTCTATTTTTCTTACCTTGTTAAGAATATATATTTATCTTCTAATAAAATTACCCTAGAAAACCTTAAGAGATTTGCTTAAATTGCTTATTAGTATATGTTATAAAATTGACAGCACAGTAGCTAAAAAAAATTAAAATTACACAAACTCTGGAATTTAAGTTTTTCTTAGGTAAGTCTAGGAAAAACAGAACTGGAAGTACCCCCACTGGCATAGAGAACAGAATTCTACACAGGGTCCACTCTTTGGCCCAGTTCTGTTCAGATTCACCCTTTTTGGATGCCTTATTTTGGTCTGGCCCCACTCTGGAGCCTTGCCTCACAGAACTGATTAGAAGAGATCAGAGTTTTGGGTGGTATATTTTGCTACCTTTCTAGAGCTGGTGCTCTGATTTCGTGAAACTCAAAAGCAGATAAGTGGAAAAATACGTATTTTTAATTTTTTATTAAAATCAGTGCTTACCAAGACATTCCATTTAGCAACTTGTTTTCTATTCCTGCAGATCCAGTAGTTGCTCCACAAGTCACAATAAATTAAATATAAACACAATAAAAATTCCTCTAAACTACATTAAACTCTTAATTTCTGTATTCCTCTCATCTGTCTATATTTAGCTTTTATTCTATACATTTTATTTTTTAAAAATCAATGACAGAGAAACAGAAAAATTAAAATTCTGGGTCCTTTATCTAAATCCTGGGAATTATTAAACACTTAGTACCAACTCCCAGGGTGTTATGAGGATGAAATCACACAGTATGTTATGCCCAGCACAGTGCTCTGTAACATACTCTTGAGCACATAGTACCTGCTTAACAAACATTGCATTAGTACCTGTGCATATGCTATTTTTCAAATGCAGACTCATTCAGACATTGCTGCCTTCTGTTTGTTCTGTAAACTTTATTTTACTATTTTTTTCAGGTTTTTGAGAAGCTACTTTAATCTGTTATGAAAAGAGAGGTTTCTTCACTTTGACTTTTTTTTTTCCATAAGTCACTGGTGTACAGGTAGTATTTGGTTACATGCATAAGTTCTTTAGTGGTGATTTGTGAGATTTTCGTGCACCCATCACCCAAGCAGTTTACACTACACCCATTTGTAGTCTTCTATCCCTTGCCCTGCTCCCACTCTTCCCCCAAAGTCCCCAAAGTCCATTGTACCATTCCTATGCCTTTGTGTTTTCGTAGTTTAGCTCCCACATATCAGTGAGAACAGAAAACCTTTTATCTGAGGAATGCAAATCCTCTTGTTAGGTCGGGGCAAAAGTTATTGTGGTTTTACCTTTTAATGTAATGGCAAAAACCAGAATTACATTTGCACCAACCTAATAGTTGTCAAACTCAGAGAGACATTAAAATGAGAACACAATTACGTCTTTCCTCTTTGAACTATGTAGTTATCTCTTGAAACTGTTTACTATTGCCACCAGTGGCTATAAATTAAATTAATAGTGCTGCACTGTGCACTATAACCCATACTCTAAACCTTAACGATGTATATATACCCAATTAATAATCAATTTTTTTTGTAAATAAATAATTTCTGACAGACAACCTTGTATCAGCCCACTTGGGGGTGTCTCTCAGGTCCTGCAGGAGCAGTCTGCTTCCTTCAGATGGTCTGTGGGTCCTCTTGGGATTGCTAGTTTGTTCTTGCAGTCAATCTGGAGCTAAAATTCACACTGTGAACCTCCACACACTTCTCTGTCCAAGTCGGAGCTGCAATCTAGTCCTGCCTCCCATCCACCATGACTGAGCCCATTCCACTTTGGCTCTTTAAGTAAGTAGGCCACCTGTTCTGTAAACTTTAAAGAGTCAGCAAAGAATATGATACTTTAGTGTACAGATGAGTTGTCTTCATTTGTATCAGAACTTTTTGTGTTGTGACAAGAGTCCTGAGTGGAAGGGACTCTGTGCTGTGCCTGCTTTGTCTAACTAATACTAATGGTGAGCCCAGGGGGAGTTACATCAGCACCGATGGGACTTGTTTAAAACACTCATTTTGGACCCTTTTCAGACCTGCAGAATCACATTATGTAGAATGGGGTCAAAATTACCAAGTGATTTATAAGCTCATTACAGCTCGAGGGGCAATGCTTTGCCAAGTGGTTATCAGCCGGGGTTTCTAATTAGAATTCCACAGCCAATTTACAAAAATCTCTTTACTTGTGCCCTTTCAACAGGTTCTGCATAGAAGCATCCATGTTGTTTTAATTAAGTGCCTCATGTGATTCTAAGGTGAGGCCAGAATCAAGTATGAAAGCTTCAAGACACATTCATGAGAGTTCCACCTTTGCACTAAAGGGTGGTTACAGGGCCTGTTCTGTTTGGGTTTGGTAGGGACAGGGCAGTGCAGTCCATACTACCAATATTGTAGCAGAAACTGCTGTTGTCTGTGGCAGGGGAGGGCACCTGAGGACAGGAAAGAAGAAATGTGTCTCCATGGAACAGTGCATTGTTCCTAAATGTCTGTTATTAAGAACAGAAATGGGTGGACTTTTTTTGCAAGTCTTGATTCTTCTGCCTGTGGGTGTGGTGGCAGCAGGTAAACAGGTTCTGTTGACATTTTAAAAGGCATAGTCTCAAGATGCAGGTGTGATTTGTTTGGAGCATGTCATCTGAGCAGGAATTTTACAGAAATTGGAAAAAGAAGAATAAATGGCGATTTTTCAGCTAATCATGTCCCAGATCAAGAGCTGTGTCCACTCTGCCTCCTGGACTGTCATGCATTTAGTACTTGCAAGCCTTTACTTCTCTACTTGTATTTTTCCTCCCTAATGAGTTTAACTACTTTTTAAAATTCTTATGATAGTCAAGGGTCTCTGAAAAATATTTCCTTCCTACATACCAGATCTTTCTCTACATTCTCTACATCATAGCTTTTTATGTGCCATGCAGAATTCTCACCGATTATAAATTAATCTGCAATATTAAAAATGTTCTCTTGTGGCTGTGAAACAGGAGGTGTGGATACTCAAGGTTTCTATTAGGGAAAGGTGGGGGTCCTCAGTAAAGATGGAGAACATGTAATGTTGAGGTTCCATCTGTGTTCTCCATTGGCTTTATGCAGAACAGGATTTTCAAAATGCTTATTTAAACAGGATGGCATTTATCACCCAGAAAGTTCTAAAAAATAATATATATTAGGAGGTACCTGTTCTCTAGAGTGCTAAAAAAAGACTACTTTAAATCATTACTAAAAATTATAGAACACTTGACTGGGTGCAGTGGCTCACACCTGTAATCTTAACACTTTGGGAGGCCGTGGTGGGTGGATAACTTGAGGTCAGGAGTTCAAAACCTGTCTGACCAACATGGTGAAACCCCATCTCTACTAAAAATACAAAAATTAGCCGGGCGTGGTGGCAGGTGCCTGTAATCCTAGCTACTGTGGAGGCTGAGGCAGGAGAATCGCTTGAACCCAGGAGGTGGAGGTTGCAGTGAGCCGAAATTGTGCCATTCCACTCCAGCCTGGGGGACAGAGTGAGACTCCGTCTCAAAAAAAAGAAAAAAAAAATTACAGAACCCATGAGTCATCAGTACCTTAAACTTTGAATAAAACTGATGTTTCTTTATGGTTAAATTCAGACTGTAATCTACTTTTAGGTAGCAAGATCACATCAGTGAGGCTATGTCTTTCTGTATGCACCAGCACATCATAAAAATTTGTCCTAGTGCAGTTGATGTTAATGATTCACTTGGTTAAAGAACTCTCTGACAGACTGTTTTACTATAGAGTTGATTATTTTTTCTTTATTATTAACTATCTTTATGCAGCTGATGCCATCACATTTAATCTGGCAGCTGCCCTTCTTCCTTAGGTTTTCTTTGCATATATCTGTCTTTGGAAAATGAAAGCTCTCATCTTTGTTTACAGGACAAAAAAACTGGGAAAAACACAGCTTCCTTCATTTACTGAATGTTTGACAAAATATTCTTTTTGGATCAAAAACATTGGCATTACTGGTGAGCTTGTTAGAAATTCAGCAACTCAGACTTTATTCCAGATTTTCTGAAAAAATAATCTGCATTAACAAAATCTTCAGTTCATTGAACACATTAAAATGTGAGAGGTAAATTCTAACTCAACATGTCTTTTTGATCTGAAAAATATACACAACTCATTCTGTAAGATGTAAACATAGCACTCAAAAATGTATGTTTCTGTTCATGCCCTTAATTTTATACTTTATCACTTAGAAAAATGTCATGTGTACACTGATGTTGTGGATCTTATGCCACTATTTTCTCAAAGTTAGAGAATATATTAGAGAACATTTCTGTTTATAAATTAGTTTATTGAATAATTTCAGTCACTTGTATAAGTCAGAAGCAGTTCTCTTTACTCTCTCATTTCACCTTGAATTAAATAAAAAATTCTACCCATGGGCACTTGGTCAATATATTTCTCTCTCTTTCTCTCTCCTTCTGTTGGTGTGTGTGTGTTTCAGGGACCATTGACATTTACAGATGTGGCCATAGAATTCTCTCTGGAGGAGTGGCAGTGCCTGGACACAGCACAACAGAACTTATATAGAAATGTGATGTTAGAGAACTACAGAAACTTGGTCTTCCTGGGTGAGAATAACTTCAATACAACATTCCTAATATACCCTAAATGTTTCATTTCTCCTCTTTGTAGAATGTTCTTTGGTAATTTATGCTTTGCATAAATGAGTTTCAGATTCCTGCTTTTAAGAAAAGTTTGGGGCCGGGTGTCTTGGCTCACGCCTGTAATCCCAGCACTTTGGGAGGCCAAGGCGGGTGGATCACGAGGTCAGGAGACCATCCTGGCTAACACGGTGAAACCCCGTCTCTACTAAAAATACAAAAAATTAGCTGGGCACAGTGGCAGGCACCTGTAGTCCCAGCTACTCGGGAGGCTGAGGCAGGAGAATGGCGTGAACCCGGGAGGTGGAGCTTGCAGTGAGCGGAGATAGCACCACTGCAGTCCAGCCTGGGCAAAAGAGCGAGACTCCATCTCAAAAAAAAAAAAAAAAAAGTTTGGGGATTTGTTCATGTAGAAAAGAATTTCTTCAAGATGTTTTGTCTTCACCTGAACTTTCCATATTCCTGAGCTGATTTGTATTATGTACTCTTGATTAGTGATAATTTCAGGAATTTGGTGGCCTAAAATATTGTTGCCCACACCTTAAAATCTAATTGTCACAATCGATTTTTTATTAAGTAGTACTGGGCAATGAAATTAAGAACCTAAAAATTTTAAATATTTTCTAAAGATTTAGAAATTTCTCTTATAAATTGGTATTTGGGCATTAATTTACTAGAATATTATATTACATCCTCTTTACTGAGCACATTACTAAATTGGTAATTACAGAATATAAGCAAGATTCATCTTCTTTATTTTTAATAAAACAGGTATTGCTGTTTCTAAGCCAGACCTAATCACTTGTCTAGAGAAAGAAAAAGAACCCTGCAAGATGAAGCGACATGAAATGGTGGATGAACCCCCAGGTAGGTGAGAGTGAACACAACAGACAACACAGATGAGAGGTCCCAAGGCCAATAAGAAAGCCAGTCCTTAACAATGTGATTTGGGAAGCTATGTTTCAAAGAAAATATTTTCTGAAAAACTGTGTTCTAAAAAACTTTCAGCCTGGCACAGTGGTTCACACGTGTAATCCCAGCACTTTGGGAGGCTGAGGTGGGCGGATCACCTGGGGTCAGGCATTTGAGACCAGCCTGGCCAACATCATGAAACTGCATCTCTACTAACAGTACAAAAGTTCACTGGGCATGGTGTCACATGCCTGCAATCCCAGCTTCTCAGGAGGCTGAGGCAGGAGAATCGCTTGAATCTGGGAGGCGGAGGTTGCAGTGAGCTGAGATCACATCATTGCACTCCAGCCTGGGCAACAAGAGTGAAACTCCATCTCAAAAAAAAAAAAAAAAAAAAAAACCAAAAAAAAAAAAACACCCGTCTTGGTGACTGCCCTACAGAGCAAAGTCCTGAAGAATATTCATTCTGTTGAAAAATAAAATGGGGATTAACAACTACCAAAACCCCTTGTAACAAGCCAACTAAAGGTGGACCCTAGTACAGACCCCGCAGCCTTGTGACCAAGCTACAACCCCTCTCTATTACAAATCCATAGGGCATCTCAGCACCCTGGGGACCCAACAAAAGAGGCTTACCTCCTGAGGCCAGTTTATAAAAAATTGAAGAGGTGTCTGCTTCTTCACATTCACAGACACCAATGCAAAACTGTATTGTACCCATTGTTAATGCCTCTATTTTAATATAGTACTGGAAGTATGTGGCATAAATATTAGTCAAAAAAATAGAAAATAGGCTGAGCACGGTGGCTCATGTCTATAATCCCAGCACTTCAGGAGGCCAAGGCAGCTGGATCACCTGAGGTCAGGAGTTCCAGACCAGCCTGGCCAACTTGGCAAAACCCTGTCTCTACTAAAAAATACAAAAATTAGCTGAGCGTGGTGGCAGGCACCTGTAATCCTAGCTACTTGGGAGACTAAGGCAGGGAGAATTGCTTGAACCTAGGAGGCGGAGGTTGCAGTGAGCCAAGCTCATGCCACTGCACTCCAGCCTGGGTGATGGAGTGAGACTCTGTCTCAAAAAAAGAAAAAAAAAAAAAGCATTGAAATTGAAGACAAGTAAAAAGTTGCTGTTTGTAGATTATGTAATCTGACATTAAAAAACCATAAACAGTACATTAAAACCTGTCTAAACTAGTAAATGCCCTTAGTATATTAGCAACATACAAAATTAACATACAAGTATAAGTTATGGTTCCATACACTTAAACTATCTGATAGAAGAGAGGAAGAAAACAATCTTATTTACAATAGCATTAGAGTAATAAATTTCTGAAAACAAATTTAACCAAGGAGGTAAAAAGTATTTACAATTAAAAATATATCAATGAAAGAAATTTAAAAAGACGTAAATTTTAAAATATTTTGTATCTATGGATTGAAACAATAAATATTTTTGAAGTGCCATATTATTCAAAGTGATCTATAGATTCAGTGAATTCCCAATGAAAATTTCAGTGTTTTTTTTTTCACAGAAATGCAATTTTAAAATTTACATGAAACTACAATAAACTTTGACTAGCCAAAGCAATCTTGAGGAAAAAGAAAGCAAAAGAACATCATACTTCATAATGTCAAACTATATTTCAACACTATAGTAATACAAACATAGTGGAATGTGCAGAAAAATTAACAAAAAAACACTACTGGAACAGAAACCACTACTCTCAAACATTTTAGACATAATACAAAAAGAGAATCTAAAAAGTAGTTTAACAAAGAGTTTTTCAAAATTAGGCAGATACTTGTTTGTCCCCCAAAACAATGAAAAAGCAGTCAGATTATGCAGTATATTATATGCCATGAAGAGGGTTTTGGCTCACTGTAAGCTTGAACAAAGATCACTGAGGGGAAAGTAGAATCCTTAAAAAATATAAAAGCATAAGACAGAAGATGCCTCTATGTGAGAGGATTTTTTTTTTTTTTTTGGAGACGGTGGTCTCGCTTTGTCACCCAGGCTGGAGTGCAGTGGTGCAGTCTTGGTTCACTGCAACCTCGGCCTCCCGGGTTCAAGCGATTCTCCAACCTCAGCCTCCCAAGTAGCTGGGACTACAGGTGTGTGCCACCACACCTGGCTAATTTTGTATTTTTAGTAGAGACAGGGTTTCACCCTGTTGGCCAGGCTGGTCTTGAACTCCTGACAGGTGATCTGCCTGCCTCGGCCTCTCAAAGTGCTAGGATTACAGGCATGATCCACCTTGCCCGGTCCAAATTTTTTTTTTTTTCATTTCTAAGTATTTGAGAAACATAACATTTTAAAGTAATGGCTGCATTCTTGTTTTCCACAATGAACATGGGTTTCATTTTCATTGCATCATCAACAGCTTTGGTGTTTTTAAAAAAATTTACAGTTTCCATTCTTAATGGATGTGAGGTGATTTTGGTTTTCATTGTTATTTTCATGCATATCTCTACAAATTAGTGATCTTGTGTTCTTAAATGCTTTTTTTCCAGTTGTGCGTCTTTTTTGATGAAAATTTAGTTCAGTTGTTTTCCCATTTTAAAATCACATTATTCAACTTTATTGTTTAGTTTCAAGAGGTGTTTATATATTCTGAATATTAAATCATATCCATGTGATTTGCATACATTTTCATCCATTTCCTAAGAGACATTTTCACTGTATTGAACGTTTTCTCTGATGTGCAGAAATTTTTTAGTGCAGTTAAATTTTTCTATTTTCTTTCTTGCTCATACATTTAATGTTGTATCTAAGAAAATGCGGCCAAGTCCAATGTCATGTCTTTCTTCTATATTTTTTTCTAAGGGATTTGTTAGTGGTTCTTTTTTTTTTTAATGTCCAAGTATTTTATTTAAAATGTTTTTTGTATATGGTTCAAGGAAAGGACCCAACTTTATTTTACCAGTGTTTCTTTTGTTTTTTTTCAATACAGAGTCTTGCTCTGTTGCCCAGGCTGGAGTGTACCGGTGTAGTCTCAGCTCACTGCAACCTGTTTCCCGGGTTCAAGCAATTCTTCTGCCTCAACCTCCCAAGTAGCTGGGATTACAGGTGTATGCCACCACACCTGGCTAATTTTTTTGTATTTTTAGTAGAGATGGGGTTTCCCCATGTTGGCTAGGCTGTATTGATATCCAGTTTCCAATATTATTTTTTAAAGAGATTTTCTTTTCTCTGTTGTGTGCTCATGGCACACAACAGATCATATACAGAAGGGTATATTTCTGTGCTGTGTATTCTATTCTTTCATCTTTCATCTGTCTTGTCAGTACCACATTGTTTTTGTTACTGTAGCTTTTAATATGTTTTGAAATCAAAAAGTATAATGCCTCTTTATTCTTTTTCATGGGTGTTTGGCTATAGTTTATGATCAAATTTTACAATTTTAAACAATATTTCTGTAAAAAACTGTGCTATTGGGATTGTTTAGGGATTATATTAAATGTGTTTATCACTGTCTGTTGTATTGACATATTTGAAAAATTAAATTTTTGACCCCTAAGCAAGAAAATGTTGAAGAGCATGTTTTATTTTCATATATTTTTGGATTTTCCAGTTTTACTTTTGCTTTTAGTTCCTAGTTTTATTTAGTTTTGGCCACAAAACATAGTGTGTAATTTTGGTCTTTTAAATTTTATTTGTTGTTTTGAGACAGGAGCTTACTCTGTCACCCAGGTTGGAGTACAGTGGCATGATTTTGGCTCAACGCAGCCTCAACCTCCTGAGCTCAAGTGATCCTTCCATCTCAGTCTCCTGACTACAGACATGCACTACCATGTCTGGCTAGTGCAGTTTTTAATTATTTGTAGGGACAGGATTTCACTATGTTGCCCAGGCCTGGTCTCAAACTTGTGGCTCCAAGTGATCCTTCCACCTTGGTGTCTAATGTGTTGGGATTAAAGGCATGACCCACTGTACCCAGCCAATATTCCTAAATTTAGTAAGACTTGATTTGTGTCCTAACAGAATACACCAGGTGCAAATAAGGATATTTTGCTTTTGACTGGAGAGAATCTCTTGCTTTCAGCTGGAAAGTTGTTTTTTGTGTTTTTTTTTTTTTGTTCGTTTGTTTGTTTTTTTTTGAGACGGAGTATCGCTCTGTCGCCCAGGCTGGAGTGCAGTGGCGTGATCTCGGCTCACTGCAGGCTCCGCCTCCCGGGTTCACGCCATTCTCCTGCCTCAGCCTCCCGAGTAGCTGGGACTACAGGCATCCACCACCACGCCTGGCTAATTTTTTGTGTTTTTTCTTTTTTTTTTTTTTTTAGTAGAGATGGGGTTTCACCGTTTTAGCCGGGATGGTCTCGATCTCCTGACCTTGTGATCCGCCCGCCTCGGCCTCCCAAAGTGCTGGGATTACAGGCGTGAGCCACCGCGCCCGGCCTTGTTTTTATTTTTTAAAGAAGTGTATTCATGTATCATCCTAATAGTCAGTAATCACTTGCTACACCTGTTCCCTGTCTGTGGTACTGCAGTCACTCCACTCCTGTAACATTTACCTTTGGTCTCAGCAGACTCAAACTCTCATTGTGAAGTATACCACCATTTCTTTCCTTCTTTCTTTCTTTCTTTCTTTCTTTCTTTCTCTTTTCTTTTCTTTCCTTTCCTTTCTTTTCTTCTTTCTTTCTTTCTTTCTTTTTTACTTTCTTTCTTTCTTTCTTTCTTTTTCTTTTCTTTCTTTCTTTCTTTCTTTCTTTCTTTCTTTCTTTCTTTCTTTCTTTCTTTCTTTCTTTCTTTCTTTCTTTCTTTCTTTCTTCTTTCTTTCTTTCTTTCCTTCTTTTTCTTTTTTTGAGACAGAGTCTTGCTCTGTTGCCCAGGCTGGAGTGCAGTGGTACGGTCTCAGCTCACTGCAACCTCCACTTTCTGGGTTCAAGTGATTCTCCTGCCTCAGCCTTCTGAGTAGCTGGGATTATAGGTGCCTGCCATCACGCCCAGCTAATTTTTTGTATTTTTAGTAGAGACAGGGTTTCACCATGTTGGCCAGGCTGGTTTCGAACTCCTGACTTTATGATCTGCCCGCCTTGGCCTCCAAAGTGCTGGGATTACAGGCATGAGCCACCGCGCCTGACCAAAGTATACCACCATTTCTTTCAGCAGTTTATGTTGTGGGAAGCTAAATCCAGCATCTGGTAATATCCTAGAAGCCAGAAATAAAGATGTATGTGCCAATATATTTCTTGTCTTTTAAAAACAAAATGAGGAGCTGGCAATTTACTTCCAAAGGCACTGTGTTTTATTGGGGAACAGGAAGAGCTGTGTTGGGTAACTGTAACAGAAATGTTTTTCATTCTATGTGACTCTTTGCATTGTACTCACCTGGGGCGTTGTACACATATAACTTATTGATAAATTATCCACTAATATATTTTGGTTAGTATGTCTTTGTTATATTTATATGTTTATGAAGAAATTAGAATCTGGTATTTTGCTATGCTGTGTTGCTTACGTAGTTTTTATAACTTTAGAGGTTTTGTTTGTGACGTATATATATCTGAGTCTAGTAAGTGAAGTAATTTGTTGTTTTAATTTTATTTTAGTTGTGTGTTCTCATTTTGCTGAAGACTTTTGGCCAGAGCAAGACATAAAAGATTCTTTCCAAAAAGTGACACTGAGGAGATATGATAAACGTGGACATGAGAACTTACAATTAAGAAAAGGCTATAAAACTGTAGGTGATTGTAAGCTATACAAAGGAGGTTATAATGGACTTAACCAATGTTTGACACTTACCCAGAGCAAAATGTATCACTGTGATATATATGTAAAAGTCTTTTATGCATTTTCAAATGCAGATAGATACAAGACAAGACATACTGGAAAGAAACCTTTCCAGTGTAAAAAATGTGGCAAATCATTTTGCATGCTTTCACAACTAACTCAACATAAGAAAATTCATATTAGAGAGAATACCTACAGATGTAAAGAATTTGGCAATGCCTTTAATCAGTCCTCAGCCCTTACTAACCATAAGAGAATTTATGTTGGTGAGAAACACTACAGATGTGAAGAATGTGGCAAAGCATTTAACCACTACTCAACCCTTACTAACCATAAGAGAATTCATACTGGAGAGAAACCCTACAAATGTAAAGAATGTGGCAAAGCCTTTAGCAGGTACTCAACCCTTACTACCCATAAGAGAATTCATTCTGGAGAGAAGCCCTACAAATGTGATGAATGTGGCAAAACCTTTAGCATATCCTCAACCTTTACTAAACATAAGATAATTCATACTGAAGAGAAACCCTACAAATGTAAAGAATGTGGCAAAGCCTTTAACCGGTCCTCAACCCTTACTAGCCATAAGAGAATACATACTGGTGAGAAACCCTACAAATGTGAAGAATGTGGCAAAGCCTTTAACTGGTCTTCAACTCTTACTAAACATAAGGTAATTCATACTGGAGAGAAGCCCTACAAATGTGAAGAATGTGGCAAAGCTTTTAACCAGTCTTCAAGACTTACTCGACATAAAAAAATTCATACTGGAGAGGAACCCTACAAATTTGAAAAATGTGGCAGAGTTTTTACCTGTTCCTCAACACTTACTCAAGACAAGAAAATTCATACTGGAGAGAAACCCTACAATTGTGAAGAATGTGGCAAAGTTTTTACCTATTCCTCTACACTTACTAGACATAAGAGAATTCATACTGAAGAGAAACCCTATAAATGTAACGAATGTGGCAAAGCTTTTAACCGGTCCTCACACCTTACTAGCCATAGGAGAATTCATACTGGAGAGAAACCCTACAAATGTGAAGAATGTGGCAAAGCCTTTAAGCAGTCCTCAAACCTTAACAGTCATAAAAAAATTCATAGTGGAGAGAAACCCTACAAATGTGAAGAATGTGGCAAAGCTTTTATCCTGTCCTCAAGACTTACTCAACATAAGAAAATTCATACTGGAGAGAAACCTTACAAATGTGAAGAATGTGGCAAAGCTTTTAACCGGTCCTCAAGACTTACTCAACATAAGAAAATTCATACTGGAGAGAAACCCTACAAATGTAAACAATGTGACAAAGCTTTTACCCACTCCTCAAACCTTAGTAGTCATAAGAAAATTCATAGTGGAGAGAAACCCTACAAATGTGAAGAATGTGGCAAAGCTTTTAATCGGTCCTCAAGACTTACTCAACATAAGAAAATTCATACTAGAGAGAAACCTTACAAATGTGAAGAATGTGCCAAAGCTTTTACCCGGTCTTCAAGACTTACTCAACATAAGAAAATTCATAGGATGGGTGTGGTGGCTCATGCCTGTAATCCCAGCACTTTGGGAGGCAGAGGTGGGCGGATCACGAGGTCAGGAGATCGAGACCGTCCTGGCTAACATGGTGAAACCCCGTCTCTACTAAAAATACAAAAAAAAAAAAAAAAAAAATTAGCCAGGCGTGGTGGTGGGCACTTGTAGTCCCACCTACTCGGGAGGCTGAGGCAGGAGAATGGCCTGAACCCGGAGGTGGAGCTTGCATTGAGCCAAGATCACACCACTGCACTCCAGCCTGGGTGACAGAGCCAGACTCCATCTCAAAAAAAAAAAAAAAAAAAAAAGAAAAGAAAATTCATAGGCCAGGTATGGTGGCTCATGCCTGCCTGTAATCCCAGCACTTTGGGAGGCCGAGGCGGGTGGATCACGAGGTCAGGAGTTCAAGACCAGCCTGGTCAACATGGTAAAACCCCATCTCTACTAAAAATACAAAAATTAGCTGGATGTGGTGGCACATGCCTGTAGTCCTAGCTACTTGGGAGGCTGAGGCAGGAGAATTGCTTGAACCTGGGAGCCAGAGGTAGCAGTGAGCTGAGATCACGCCACTACACTCCAGCCTGGATGACAAAACAAGACTCTGTCTAAAAAATATATAAATAAATAAAAGAAAGAAAATTCATAGTAGAGAGAAACCTTACAAATGTGTAGAATGTGGCAAAACTCGTTTTAACTAATGCTCACATCTTATTGCATAGAAAAGCATTTATACCTGAAAAAAGGTATACAAATTTAAAAAATGTGGAAAAGCCATTAAAATCTGTTCACATCTTAACAACAGAGAGTTGATACTTAATAAGAGCATTGTAAGTGCAATTACTGTCAAACAATCTTGTAGAAAATATCATCCTTTAAAGTGAATGAGACTAGTCTGAGGAAAAACATTACAAATGTAAAGAGGGTTATAGTGCATTTACTTGTATCACAGATCTTGTTGTACACATTTTATACTAGAGGAAAACCCTGAAGCAGTTGCACCAACTTTGTTCAACATCAGAAATTTATATTGGAGAAAAATCCAGCAAGTGTAATAAATTTGGAAAAACTTTTTTTTCCCCAAAAACTATACCTCAGGAAACAATGGAGAGTTTATATTAACATATATTTTTGCATATGGCCATATGTATAAAAATATTTAATTCAAAATTGAATTTAAAAAGTCTACATAAATATCATACATAGATATGTATGATATTGAATACATGTATTAAATACATAGAATATGATATTTAATACATAGAAAAGTCTACATGAATATCAGAATTTACAGTAGAAACAACTAAGACACAAACACTTGAGACATTACACTAAAGTGCTGAGTATAGAAAATAAAACTAAAGTTGTTAAATTATTTGTATATAACTTTTAAAAGAGTGGAAGATATTTTGCAAAGTTATATTCAAAGTGTACTTTTTATTTATTTTTTTGAGATGGAGTCTCACTTTGTTGCCTACGTTGGAGTTCAGTGGCACAATTTCAGCTTGCTGCCAACTTCGACCTTTGGGTTCAAGCAGTTCTCCTGCCACAGCCTCCTGAGTAGCTGGGAATACAGGCATACACCAGCATGTCTGGCTATTTTTTTTTTTTTTTGTATTTTTAGTAGAGATGAGATTTCACCATTTTGTCCAGGGTGGTCTCAAACTCTTCATCTCAAGTGATCTGCCCACCTTGGCCTCCCAGAGTGCTGGGATTGCAGCCATGAGCCACTGCACCCAGCCCAAAGTATGCTTTTAAAAATATGTATATATATAAAATTTTTGAAAAGCAAATTATGATATAATTCAAGTATCAAATTACTTCATGCTGTTTCATTGTTCCTATTCACATGTGAAAGCATGTGATCAATTATTGCTGCATCACATATAGACTCATTAGGTGGAAATTATGGCCTCTTCTGTAAAAAAGTAAGGACATTAAAATGTAAGATGCTTGATGAAAATCTAAGTGGAGAGGCTCTTTGTGGTTAACTTATTGAGTGATGTATGAGGTCGATGTTCAGAGTAATATGCCTCTGTATTACAGTGATAGAAAATATTTTTTAGTTAAAAGTGAATTTATAATAAAATTGTAAATCATTTTAGTGATTGAGCTTTTATGTTATAAAATGCAGTATATTTCAAAATTTTTAAATTATATGTAAATTTGATTTTATTTGTTACCATGTTAAGACTATTGTGCATTTAATGAAGCATTATTATGCTATCAACTTTAACCTATCCCACGTTACTCAAGGGTGTAGCTAAATGAAGGTAGCAGTATGCTATTTAGTAACATAGTGGAATAGCATCTCTAGTAATCTCTTTTGCCAGTAGCTTTAACTGGCAGATAAGTTAATATTGTTCCCATAGGTTAAATATTTATCCTTTTTTTGATATTTAAATTTTTTTCTTATTTTTTTGTGGGTACATAATATGTGTATATATTTATGCAAATCTGGCATATTTTGATAGAGGCATACAATATGTAATAATTACATCAATTACATCAGGGTAAATTATGTAGCCATTACTTGTAACATTTATCTTTTACAAACAACTCAATTATGCACTTTTAGTTATTTTAAAGTGTACAATTAAATTGCTATTGACTGCATGGTTATCTTTGTGGTATAAAAATTTATATATAAGTATAAATAAACTCATTTCTGAGTCTTAAATAGATATTTTCAATTATTTGTAATATATTTTTATTTGAACATTTGGCCTCTCTGCCTGCAAACACACACAGACTTTTAGCTTTGATTTACATAGAGTTAAATGTACACATGTGTGGCTGTAAAGATAAATCTTAGATGTAAGAAAATTATACAGTTATTAAGTGTCTTTGTGTGAATACACCTAATTTTTTTGAAGAGTAATATTGGAACAAAAAGAATCATTTTATTAAGGTTGCTAATATACTAGAAAACAAAAAACCTCAAAAATGCTGAAAGCAAATCTATACTCTCTTTTTATTGAATTTATTACTGTAAAATTTTATGGCTATAGTTCAGAATCTCCCCATGCAAATTCTCTGTATTTATTTGCCTGGTACTCATGCTAGGCCCTTAATTTTTTTGTGTGTTTTATATATTTTTTGTTGTATAGTTTATGAAGTATTCATTATGTGAGCTGGTCAGAGATTATAATAAATTTTATAAAATTGAGTAATGCACACAAGATAATTTTTAGATATAATTTTAAAATAGTGTATTTACATTTTATTTAGTTAGGGCATTCCATTTTATTAACTGGAGAACCCTATATAAGCATTTTTTAAAAATTATTGCTTCTTTTCACTTTTATAAGTGACAAGTAAATTTATTAATTGAGTCAATTTGTTCAGGTAAGTACTAGGGAGACTTCATAAGTCATGAGGATGTTTTTATATATAAATGTAGCAAACAAATATGAAAGTTCCTCCTGTGTCACAGACGCTCCATAATAAGCCATAAATATTCCTGCTGGAGTTAGTTTGTATTTTCAAGTCAGAGATGAAAAATATCCATGGTGAAGAAATCTTCATGTGGCGAAGGCATTTTTGTCCAGGCTGCAAAGCTGACTCTTAATGAATTTAAAGAGAAATTTTGCTTCTCTTGTTTCTTATCCTGTTTTGTTTGTCTTATGTGTATTCCAAGGTTGTATGCATTACAATGAACTACAGTACTTCTTTTACTGTGTTATGGCAACAGTTTTCTCACTGTTGTCTTCATTTCACATGGTACTTTGAAGGTTCTAATGAGAAAGTTTTGTTTTGTTTTGTTTTGTTTGAGATGGAGTTTCGCTCTTGTTGCCCAGGCTGGAGTGCAGTGGCACGATCTCTGCTCACTACAACTTCCCCCTACCGGGTTCAAGCGATTCTCCTGCCTCAGCTTCCTCAGTAGTTGGGATTACAGGTATGCACCACCACGCCTGGCTAATTTTGTATTTTTAGTAGAGACGGGGTTTCTCCATGTTGGTCTGGCTAGTCTCAAACTCCCGACCTCATGTGATTCGCGCAAAGTGACTTGGCCTCCCAAAGTGTTGGGATTGCAGGAGTGAGCCACCACACCTGGCTGAAAGTTTATTTTTTAATGCACTGAAAAAGTGGTTTTAACTGGGGAATTTGCTTATCAATATAACTTTTGGATTGATAAAATAAGAGGCACACGTTTTTCCTGGGTGAGAGAATTACATCACTTAGCATTGTTTGTCTGTAAAAGAAAAATCTTTATGTATTTTATTTTTTTGAGATGGAGTCTTGCTCTTGTCACCCAGGCTGGAGTGCAGTGATGCAGTCTTGACTCACTGCAACCTCTGCCTCCTATGTTGCCGCAATCTCCTGAATAGCTGGGATTACAAGCACCCGCAACCACGCCTGGTTAATTTCTGTATTTTAGTAGAGATGGGGTTTCAGCCTGTTGGCCAGGCTGGTCTAGAACTCCTGACCTCAGATGATCTGCCCGCCTCAGCCTCCCAAAGTGCTGGGATTGCAGGATTGAGTCACTGTGCCTGGCTGGAAAAATCTATTAGATTCTTACACAAAGTGTGGTAAATATCAATTTTGTTAGAAACTCATTTTGTATTCCATTTTTTTGTTTGTTTGTTTCTTTGTTTTTGTTTTTTTGAGATGAAGTCTTGCTCTGTTGCCCAGGCTGGAGTGCACTGGCAATATCTTGGCTCACTGCAACCTTCACCTCCTGGGTTCAAGTGCTTCTCCTGTTTCAGCCTCCCAAGTAGCTGGGATTATGGGCCTGCGCCATCACATCCACCTAATTTTTGTATTTTTAGTAGAGATGGGGTTTCACCATGTTGGCCAGGCCGATCTTGAACTCCTGACCCCAAGTGATCCACCCACCTTGTCTTCTGAAAGTGCTAGGATTACATGCGTGAGCTACCATACCTGGCCAGGAACCATCTTTGAAGTTATATTTTTTTTTTTCCCCTTTTGAGATGGAGTCTCGCTGTATTGCCGAGGCTGGAGTTCAGTGGCATGATCTTGGCTCACTGCATCCTCCACCTCCCCAGTTCAACAATTCTCCTGCCTCAGCCTCCTGAGTAGCTGGGATTACAGGTGCTCACCACCACACCCAGCTAATTTTTGTATTTTTTGTAGAGATGGGTTTCACTATGTTGGTCAGGCTGGTCTCGAGCTCCTGACCTTGACGTGCACTCTTTGTGGACACCAGGACACAAACTCTCTGTGGAGTCAGCAAGCAAAACGACAGCGGAACACAACAGCAGAAGACCCAGAGACAGAACATGCATACAGGGTGTGAGGAGGGGAGCTCAGGTCAAACTTCACATTGTCCAGAGAGACAGCAAATTAGAGGAGGAGGAAGGTGATCAGCAGGAGAGACATCTGCAGGGAAAAAAATGTAACCCAGAGATAATTTAAAGTTTTTTAAACAAATGAAAAATATTTTAGGGCAAGTGTAAGTTAAGAGGAGGTATTTCAGCAAGACTTAGCATTAGACATAAAATCAAACTAATATGGACTGCAATAATTGTTAAAGAAATTTGTATTAACTAGTTGATAAAATCAATGTATACTGCTTGGATCTGCAGTGAACGATAGTTAACCACTTTGCAGCGTTTACTGACTACAGTTTTAGGTAAAAATTACGCTATTAGTATTCCAAATTACTAGAGGGATGGGGAAGGGAAGTTGACAGAAAAGTGGTTCTCAAGTGTATGTTAGTATTGAAGGGTAATTTGTAGAGCTTATATGGTTTAGGTTCAAATGGAGAAAGAATGATTTAAAAACTGAGAGGGGGAGAAGAACTAGGCTGTATAAAAAACTGCGGCCAGGCACGGTGGCTCAGGCCTCCCAGCACTTTGGGAGGCCGAGGTGGGTGGATCACCTGAAGTCAGGAGTCCAAGACCAGCCTGGTCAGCATGGTGAAACCCCGTCTCTACTAAAAATACAAAAATTAGCTGGGTGTGGTGGCGCATGCCTGTAATCCCAGCTACTTGGGAGGCTGAGGCAGGTGAATTGTTTGAACCTGGGAGGAGGAGGTTGCAGTGAGCTGAGATCACTCCATTGCCCTCCAAACTGGGCGACGAGCAAAACTTCTCTGAATGAATGAATGAATGAGCAAATTGAGATCCCCTGAAGCAGCAGATGCTGTGAAACTGGATGTTCTAGTACCAAACATAACAAAGGACTAATAAAGAGGGGAACAAATTTAAAATAGTTTATGTGTCGACTAGTTTATGTATCTAAAAAGTAAAAATTAGGCCAGGCGCAATGCCTCATGTCTATAATCCCAGCACTTTGGGAGGCCGAGGTGGGAGTATCACCTGAGATTGGGATTTCAAGAGCAGCCTGACAGAGAAACCCCGTCTTTACTAAAAATACAAAAATTAGCTGGGTGTAGTGGCTCATGCCTGTAATGCCAGTCACTCGGGAGGCTGAGGCAGGAGAATCGCTTGAACCCGGGAGGCAGAGGTTGTGGTGAGTGGAGATCATGCCATTGCACTCCAGCCTGAGCAACAAGAGTGAAACTCCATCTCAAAAAAAAAGATAAAAATTAGGAGTCGATTTCACCATATAGTTTAAAACAAATTCATAGTTTTTTTTTGTTTGTTTGTTTTTTTGAGACTCTCACTGTCACCCAGACTGGAGTGCAGTGGTGCAACCTTGGCTCAATGCAGCCTTCATCTCCTGGGTTCAAGTGATTCTCCTACCTCAGCTTTCTGAGTAGCTGGGATTACAGGCATGCGCTACCACACCCAGCTTATTTGTGTATATTTAGTAGAGATGGAGTTTCACCATGTTGGCCAGACATGTCTCAAACTCCTGACCTCAAGTGACCTGCCCGCCTTGGCCTCCCAAAGTGCTGGGATTACAGGCATGAGCCACTGTGCCCAGCAAGAATTTTGTAATGCATTTATCCTGAATATACCTGCTTAGCAAAATACCATAATTTTCTACATACATTTCTAAATACATTTAGGCTTATTTTCTACAAATATTATTCTGGACATCTTATAAATGCTAGGAACACTCTGGAAGAATGAATGTATTGAGTTTTACAGTATTTCAGGTATCTACCTAGAGTATTAAATATTTCTTGTTTTTTGTTTTTTTGTTGTTTTTTTGAGATGGAGTCTCACTCTGTCGCCCAGGCTGGAGTGCAGTGGCGCAATCTCGGCTCACTGCAAGCTCCGCCTCTCAGGTTCACGCCATTCTCCTGCCTCAGCCTCCCGACTAGCTGGGACTACAAGCGCCTGCCACCGTGCCCGGCTAATTTTTTTGTATTTTTTTTTTAGTAGAGACGGGGTTTCACGGTGGTCTCCATCTCCTGACCTCCTGATCCGCCCACCTCGGCCTCCCAAAGTGCTGGGATTACAGGCGTGAGCCAACATGCCCGGCAAATATTTCTTAATCAAAATCCAATCTCTAAGGAATCTATTTAGAAATTTTAGTAGATTCTAATAAAAATGTTTTCCTGGAATATTTTGTGAGGCGCATTATGCAGATCCTGGAAATATTAAGCGAATTAAAGCCTCTAAGCCTTTTTTTTTTTTTTTTTTTTTGAGATGGAGTCTAGCTCTGTTGCCCAGGCTGGAGTGCAGTGGTGCAATCTTGGCTCACTGCAACCTCTGCCTCCAGGGTTCAAGCAATTCTCCTGCCTCAGCCTCCCGAGTAGCTGTGACTACAGGTGTGAGCTACCATGCCTGGCTATTTTTTGGATTTTTAGTAGAAATGGGTTTCACCATGTTTGCCAGGCTGGTTTTGAACTCCTGACCTAAAGTGATCTGCCCACCTCCACCTCCCAAAGTGCTGGGATTACAGGCATGAGCCACCACGCTCAGCCTCCAAGCCTAAATTTTTTTATTTTCCTGAATGCAATTTAAGGAATTTTATTTCCTGAATGCAATTTAAGGAATTTTAAATTGACCATTTGTCAATTTAAAAGGGTACTAAGGCTATAAGAACTCAGTCATATGGACGCACACACAGACACACAGAAAATATTAATCAGGTAAGTTGTGACATCAAGTAGGCAAAAACCCAAATTATTTCTGAAAAGTTTCCTAGTTCGTTTTAATATTTCAATATTCTTCTGAATATTCTACTTTTTGCCATTTTTTTTTGCTTCCCTCTTTGCTATATAAATGGAAGGCAACACACATCCTATTGTTGAGCTCTTCAAAGAAGCCTTGGATAGAGAATATGAAGACTATTCCAGATTTTTCTTTGAGTGTAGACATCTTTGACAGTTTTCAAATTAAAGAAGTATACAGGACAGGTGCGGTGGTTCACATTTGTTATCTTAACACTTTGGGAGGCTGAGTCGGGTGGATCACCTGCGGTCAGGAGTTTGAGACCAGCTGGACCAACAGAGTGAAACCACAGCTCTACTAAAAATATAAAAATTAGCCAGGCATGGTGGCATGCGCCTGTAGTCCCAGCTACTTGAGAGGCTGAGGCAGGAGAACTGCTTAAACCCGGGAGGTGGAGGTTGCAGTGAGCCAAGATAGCACCACTGCACTGCAGCCTGGGAGACAGAGTGAGACTCTGTCTCAAAAAAAAAAACAAAACAAAAAAACTACAACTAGAAATACTCTATTATGTAGGATACATGGTACTGTCTTTATAACAATTATCTTTGCTTCAGTTTTTTTAAATTACTTTTATTACTAAGTTTGGAAATTTTGTTTACTTAAGTTATTGTCAGCACAGGCTAATTTCAAACTGTAATATTGGAATTAACAGAGTTTTGTAAGGATTTTTGTTTCTGCAAAATGTCCTCAATGTATGCACAAGTTTTTATATCCTAGAAACAATGTTAATTAGGGGACTTTTGTGTAAAATTGGTCTTCAACGGGGTTCAAATCGTGGTGTATATACATATATAAATATATATATATATAAATATATAGATGATTTTATTTTTTATGTTTTTAAATTTAAATTTTTTAATTTCTGTGATACATGTGCAAAACATGTAGGTTTGTTACATATGTATACATGTGCCATGGTGGTTTGCTGCACCTATCAACACATCATCTAGGTTTTAAGCCCCACATGAATTAGGTATTTGTCCTAATGCTCTCCCTCCCATTGCCCCCCACACCCTGACAGGCCCCAGTATGTGATGTTCCCCTTCCTGTCTCCATGTGTTCTCGTCGTTCAGTTCCCACTTATGAGTGAGAAAATGTGGTGTTTGATTTTCTGTTCCTGTGTTAGTTTGCTGAGAATTATGGCTTCCAATTTCATCCATGCCCCTGCAAAGGACATGAACTCATTCTTTTTTATGGCTGCATAGTATTCTGTGGTGTATATGTGCCACATTTTCTTATCCAGTCTATCATTGATGGACATTTGGGTTGGTTCCAAGTCTTTGCTACTGTAAAGAGTTCTGCAATAAACATGTGTGCATGTGTGTTTATAGTATAATGATTTATAATCCTTTGGGTACATACCCAGTAATGGGATTGCTTGGTCGAATGGTATTTCTGGTTCTAGATTCTTAAGGATTGCCACATTGTCTTCCACAATGGTTGAACTAATTTACAGTCCTACCAACAGTGTAAAAGCATTTCTCCACAGCCTCACGAGCATCTGTTGTTTCCTGACTTTTTAATAATTGCCATTCTAACTGGCATGAGATAGTATCTCATTGTGGTTTGATTTGCATTTCTCTAACGACTAGTGATGATGAACTTTTTTTCATACGTTTTTTGGCCACATAAATGTCTTTTGAGAAATGTCTCTTTATATCCTTTGCCCACTTTTTGATGGGGTTGTTTTTTTCTTATAAATTTTTTTAAGTTCCTTGTATATTCTGGATATTAGACCTTTGTCAGATGAGTATCTTGCAAAATTTTTCTCCCATTCTGTAGGTTGCCTGTTCACCCTGGTGATAGTTTCTTTTGCTGTGCAGAAGCTCTTTAGTTTGATTAGATCCCATTTGTCAATTTTGGCATTTGTTGCAGTTGCTTTTGTGTTTTAGTAATGAAGTCTTTGCCCATACCTATATCCTGAATGGTACTACCTAGATTTTCTTCTAGTGTTTTTGTGGTTTGGGGTTTTACATTTAAGTCTTTAATTTTTCTTGAGTATATTTTTGTATAAGTTATAAGGAAGGGGTACAGTTTCTGTTTTCTGCATATGGCTAGCCAGCTTTCCCAGCACCATTTATTAAAAAGGGAATCCTTTCCCCATTGCTTGTTTTTGTCAAGTTTGTGGCAGATAAGATGGTTATAGATGTGTGGTGTTATTTCTGAGGTCTCTGTTCTGTTCCATTGGTCTATATATCTGTTTTGGTAACAGTACCATGCTGTTTTGGTTACTGTATCCTTGTAGTATAGTTTGAAGTCAGGTGACGTGATGACTCCAGCTTTGTTCTTTCTGCATAAAATTGTCTTGACTATACAGATTCTTTTTTTGGTTCCATATGAAATTTAAAGTAGTTTTTTTCTAATTCTGTGAAGAAAGTCAATGGTAGCTTGATGGGAATAGCATTGAGTCATAAATTACTTTGGGCAGTATGGCCATTTTCATGATATTGATTATTCCTATCCATGAGCATGGAATTTTTTCCCATTTGTTTGTGTCCTCTCTTATTTCCATGAGCAGTGTTTTGTAGTTCTTCTTGAAGAGGTCCTTCACATCCCTTGTAA
The DNA here is from genome assembly GCF_000001405.40 of Homo sapiens. Classification (NCBI taxonomy): domain Eukaryota; kingdom Metazoa; phylum Chordata; class Mammalia; order Primates; family Hominidae; genus Homo; species Homo sapiens. The sequence goes on from NC_000019.10 coordinate 21,548,605, forward strand.
GTTGTATTCCTAGGTATTTTATTCTCTTTGTAGCAATTGTGAATAGGAGTTCACTCATGATTTGGCCCTCTGCTTGTGTATTGCTGGTGTATAGAAATGCTTGTGATTTTTTTTTTTTTTTTTTTTTTTTTGAGACAGAGTCTCACTCTGTTACCCAGGCTGTAGTGCAGTGGCATGATCTTGGCTCACTGCAACCTCTGCCTCCTGGGTTAAAGCGATTCTGTTGCCTCAGCCTCCCGAGTAGGTGGACCTCAGATGATCCACCTGCCTCAGCCTTCCAAAGTGCTGGGATTACAGGCATGAGCCACCATGACCAGCCAAATGCTTGTGATTTTTACACATTGATTTTGTATCCTGAGATTTTCCTGAAGTTACTTATCAGCTCAAGGAGCTTTTGGGTGGAGACGATGGGGTTTTCTAAATATACAATCATGTCATCTGCAAACAGAGACAAGTTTACTTCCTCTCTTCCTATTTGAATACCCCTTATTTATTTCTCTTGCCTGATTGCCCTGGCCAAAACTTCCAATACTATGTTGAATAAGAGTGGAGGAGCCAGGTGCAGTGGCTCACTCATGTAATCCCAGCATTTGGGGAGGCCAAGGCGGGTGGATCACCTGAGATTGAGAGTGCAAGACCAGCCTGACCAACATGGAGAAACTCTGTCTCTACTAAAAATACAAAATTATCCAGGCATGTTGTCATACGCCTGTAATCCCAGCTACTCCGGAGGCTGAGGCAGGAGAATCACTTGCACCCAGGAGGCAGAGGTTGTGGTGAGCCGAGATCATGCCATTGCACTCTAGCCTGGGAAACGAGTGAAACTCCGTCTCAAAAAACAAAAGAGTTGTGGGAGATGGCATCCTTGTCTTGTGCCAGTTTTCAAAGTGAATGCTTCCACCTTTTGTCCATTCAGTATGATATTGGCTATGGATTTGTCATAAATAGCTCTATTATTTTGAGATATGTTCCATCAATACCTAGTTTATTGAGAGTTTTTAGCATGAAGGGGTGTTGAATTTTATCAACAGTCTTTTCTGCATCTATTGAGATAATCATGTGTTTTTTGTCATTGGTTCTGTTTATGTGGTGGATTATTTTATTGATTTGCATATGTTGAACCAGCCTTGCATCCCAAGGATGAAGCCGACTTGGTCGTGGTGGATAAGCTTTTTGATGCGCTGCTGGAATTGGTTTGCCAGTATTTTATTGAGGATTTTCACTTCAATATTATTCAGGGATATTGGCCTGAAATTTTCTTTTTCTGTTGTGTCTCTGCCAGGTTTTGGAATCAGGATGATGCTGGCCTCATAAAATGAGTTAGGAAGGAGTCCCTCTTCTTCCATTGTTTGGAATAGTTTCAGAAGGAATGATACCAGCTCCTCTTTGTATCTCTGATAGAATTTGGCTGTGAATCCATGTGGTCCTGGGCTTTTTTTGGTTGGTAGGCTATTAATTACTGCCTCAATTTCAGAACTTGTTATTGGTCTATTCAGGGATTTGACTTCTTCCTGGTTTAGTCTTGGGAGGGTGTGTGTATGTGTCCAGGAATTTATCCATTTTTTTCTAAATTTTCTAGTTTATTTGCAAAGAGGTGTTTATAGTATTCTCTGTTGGTAGTTTGTATTTCTGTCAGATCAGTGGTGATATCCTATTTATCATTTTTATTGTGTCTATTTGATTCTTCTCTCTTTTCTTTATTAGTCTAGCTGGCAGTCTATGTATTTTGTCTATGTTTTCAAAAAACAGCTCCTGGATTCATTGATTTTTTGAAGGGTTTTTTGTGTCTCTATCTCCTTCAGTTCTACTCTAATCTTAGTTATTTCTTGTGTTCTGCTAGCTTTTGAATTTGTTTGTTCTTGCTTCTATAGTTCTTTTAATTGTGATGTTAGGGTGTTGATTTTAGATCCTTTCAGCTTTCTGATGTGGGCATTTGGTGCAATAATTTTCCGCTTAACACTGCTTTAGCTGTGTTCCAGAGATTCTGGTACTTTGTCTCTTTGTTCTCATTGCTTTCAAGGAACTTCTTTATTTCTGCCTTAATTTTTTCTTTTTCTTTTTTTTTTTTTTTATTGATCATTCTTGGGTGTTTCTCACAGAGGGAGATTTGGCAGGGTCATAGGACAATAGTGGAGGGAAGGTCAGCAGATAAACAAGTGAACAAAGGTCTCTGGTTTTCCTAGGCAGAGGACCCTGCGGCCTTCCGCAGTGTTTGTGTCCCTGGGTACTTGAGATTAGGGAGTGGTGATGACTCTTAACGAGCATGCTGCCTTCAAGCATCTGTTTAACAAAGCACATCTTGCACCGCCCTTAATCCATTTAACCTTGAGTGGACACAGCACATGTTTCAGAGAGCACAGGGTTGGCGGTAAGGTCATAGATCAACAGGATCCCAAGGCAGAAGAATTTTTCTTAGTACAGAACAAAATGAAAAGTCTTCCATGTCTATTTCTTTCTACACAGACACAACAACCATCCGATTTCTCAATCTTTTCCCCACCTTTCCCCCTTTTCTATTCCACAAAACCGCCATTGTCATCATGACCCGTTCTCAATGAGCTGTTGGGTACACATCCCAGATGGGGTGGTGGCCGGGCAGAGGGGCTCCTCACTTCCCAGAAGGGGCGACCGGGCAGAGGCGCCCCCCACCTCCCGGACGGGGTGGCTGGCCGGGCGGGGGCTGACCCCCCACCTCCCTCCCGGACGGGGCGGCTGGCTGGGCGGGGGCTGGCCCCCCACCTCCCTCCCGGAAGGGGTGGCTGGCCGGGCGGGGGCTGGCCCCCCACCTCCCTCCCGGATGGGGCGGCTGGCCGGGCGGGGGCTGACCCCCACCTCCCTCCCGGATGGGGTGGCTGCCAGGCAGAGACGCTCCTCACTTCCCAGACGGGGTGGCTGCCGGGCGGAGGGGCTCCTCACTTCTCAGACGGGGCGGCTGCTGGGCGGAGGGGCTCCTCACTTCTCAGACGGGGCGGCCAGGCAGAGACGCTCCTCACCTCCCAGACGGGGTCGTGGCCGGGCAGAGGCGCTCCTCACATCCCAGATGGGGCGGCGGGGCAGAGGCGCTCCCCACATCTCAGACGATGGGCGGCCGGGCAGAGACGCTCCTCACTTCCTAGATGGGATGGCAGCCGGGAAGAGGCGTTCCTCACTTCCCAGGCTGGGCAGCCAGGCAGAGGGGCTCCTCACATCCCAGACGATGGGTGGCCAGGAAGAGACGCTCCTCACTTCCCAGAAGGGGTGGCGGCCGGGCAGAGGCTGCAATCTCGGCACTTTGGGAGGCCAAGGCAGGCAGCTGGGAGGTGGAGGTTGTAGCGAGCCGAGATCATGCCACTGCACTCCAGCCTGGGCACCATTGAGCACTGAGTGAACGAGACTCCGTCTGCAATCCCGGCACCTCGGGGGGCTGAGGCTGGTGGATCACTCGCGGTTAGGAGCTGGAGACCAGCCCAGCCAACACAGCGAAACCCCGTATCCACCAAAAAAAATACGAAAACCAGTCAGGCACGGCGGCGTGCGCCTGCAATCGCAGGCACTCGTATTTCTGCCTTAATTTTATTATTTACCCAGTAGTCATTCAGCAGCAGATTGTTCAATTTCCATGTAGTTGTGCAGTTTGGAGTGAATTTCTTAATCCTGAGTTCTAATTTGATTGCACTGTCATCTGATAGACTGTTTGTTATGATTTCAGTTCTTTTGCATTTGCTGAGGAGTGTTTTACTTCCAATTATGTGGTTGATTTCAGAATAAGTGCTATGTGGCACTGAGAAGAATGTATATTCTGTTGATTTGGGGTGGAGAGTTCTGGAGATGTCTATTAGGTTCGTTTGGTCCAGAGCTGAGTTGAAGTCCTGAATATCCTTGCTAATTTTCGGTCTTGTTATCTGTCTAATATTGACACTGGGGTGTTAAAGTCTCCCACTATTATTGTGTGGGCATCTAAGTTTCTTTGTAAGTTACTAAGAACTTGTTTTATCAATCTGGGGGCTCCTGTATTGGCTGCATATATATTAAGGATAGTTAGCTCTTCTTGTTGCATTGATCCCTTTACCATTATGTAATGCCCTTCTTTGTCTTTTTTGATCTTTGTTGGTTTAAAGTCTGTTTTATCAGAGACTAGGACTGCAATCCCTGCTTTTTTTTTTTTCTTTCCGTTTGCTTGGTAAGTAAATATTCCTCCATCCCTTTATTTTGAGCCTATGTGTCTCTCTGCATGTGAGATAGGTCTCCTGCATACAGCACAGTCTTGACCCTTTATCCAATTTGCCAGTCTGTGTCTTTTAATTGGGGCATTTAGCCTATTTACATATAAAATTAATATTGTTATGCGTGAATTTGATCCTGTCATCATGATGCTAACTGGTTATATTGCACATTAGTTGATGCAGTTTCTTCATAGTGTCATTGGACTTTATAGTTCGATGTGTTTTTGCAGTGGCTGGTACTGGTTTTTCCTTTCCATATTTAGTGCTTCCTTCAGGACCTCTTCTAAGGGAGGCCTGGTGGTGACAAAATCCCTCAGCATTTGCTCGTCTGTAAAGGATTTTCTTTCTCCTTTGCATACGAAGCTTAGTTTGGCTGGATATGAAATTCTGGGTTGAAAATTCTTTTGCTTTTTTTTTTTTTTTTTTTTTTGAGATGGAGTCTCGCTCTGTTGCCCAGGCTGGAGTGCAGTGGCATGATCTTGGCTCACTGCAACCCCTGCCTGTCAGGTTCAAGTGATTATCCTGCCTCAGCCTCCAGAATAGGTGGGATTATAGGTGCCTGCCACCATGCCTGGCTGATTTTTGTATTTTTAGTAGAGATAGGATTTCACCATGTTGGCCAGGTTGGTCTTGAACTCCCAATCTCAGGTGATCCACCCTCCTTGGCCTCCCAAAGTGCTGGGATTACAGGCGTGAGCCCAAAAACCGGGCGTGGTGGCGTGCACCTGTAATTTCAGCTACTCGTGAAGCTGAGGCAGGAGAATCGCTTGAACCCAGGAGTTGGAGGTTATGGTGAGCCAAGATCGTGCCATTGCACCCCAGCCTGAGCAATAATCAAAACTCTGTCTCAAACAAACAAAAAAGAATATTGAATATTGGCTCCTACTCTCTTCTGTCTTTTAGTGTTTCTACAGAGTGTTCTGCTGTTAGTCTGATAGACTTCCCTTTGTAGGTAACCTGGCCTTTCTCTCTGGCTGCCCTTAACATTTTTTCCTTCATTTCAACCTTGGAGAATCTGATGATTTTGTGTCTTGGGGTTGCTCTTCTCGAGGAGTGTCTTAGTGGTGTTCTTTTTATTTCCTGAATTTGAACGTTGGCTTGTCTTTCTAGGTTGGGGAACTTCTGGATAATATCCACATCACTTTCAGGTACACCAATCAATCATAGGTTTGGTTTTTTTACATACTCCCATCTTTCTTGGAGGCTTTGTTCATTCCTTTTTGTTATTTTTTCTCTAATGTTGTCTTCACGACTTATTCTATTGAGTTAATCTCCAGTCTCATATCCTTTCTTTCGCGTGATTGATTTGGCTATTGATACTTGTGTATGCTTCGCAGAGTTCTCATGCTGTGTTTTTCAGCTCCATCAGGTCATTTATGTTCCTGTCTAAACTGATTATTCTAGTTAGCAATTCCTCTAACCTTTTGTCAAGGTTCTTAGCTTCCTTGCATTGAGTTAGAGCATGCTCCTTTAGCTCAGAGGAGTTTGTTATTACCCACCTTTTGAAGCCTACTTCTGTCAATTCGTCAATCTCATTCTCCGTCCAGTTTTTGTTTGTTTGTTTTTTTGAGACAGAGTCTCGCTCTGTCGCCCAGGCTGGATTGCAGTGGTGCAGTCTTGGCTTACTGCATCCTCTGCCACCTGGGTTCAAGCAATTCTCCTGCCTCAGCCTCCCAATTAACTGGGATTACAGGCACCTGCCACCATACCCAGCTAATTTTTGTATTTTAGTAGAGACAGGGTTTTACCATCTTGGTCAGGCTGGTCTTGAACTCCTGACCTCAAGTGATCCACCTGCCTCAGCCTTGGCCTCCCAAAGTTCTGGGATTACAGGCTTAAGCCACTGCACCCAGCCTGCTCCATCCAGTTTTGTGCCCTTGCTGGAGAGGGGTTGTGATCATTTGAAGGAGAAGAGGCATTCTCATTTTTTGAATTTTCAGTGTTTTTGCACTGGTTTTTACTCATCTTCATGGACTTATCTACCTTTGATCTTTGAGGCTGATGACATTGGATGGGGTTTTTGTGTGGTGGTCCTTTATGTTGATGTTGATGTTGTTGCTTTCTGTTTGTTAGTTTTTCTTCTAACAGGCCTCTCTTCCGCAGGTCTGTTGCAGCTTGCTAGAGGTCCACTCCAGACCCTGTTCACCTGGGAATCACAAATAGAGGCTGTAGAATGGCAAAAATTGCTTCCTGCTCCTTCCTCTGGAAGCTTCATCACAGAGGGGCACCAGCCTGATGCCAACCGGAGCTCTCCTGTATGAGGTTTCTATCGACCCCTGTTGGGAAGTCTCTCCCAGTCAGGAGGCACAGGGGTCAGGGACCAACGTGAGGAGGCAGTCTGTCCCTTAGCAGAGCTGACGTGCTGTGCTGGGAGAATCCCTCTTGTCAGGGTCACCTGCTCTCTTCAGAGCCAGCAGTCAGGAAGGATTAAATCTATGGAAGCTGTGCCCACAGCAACCCCTTCCCCCAGGTGCTCTGTCCCAGGGAGATGGGGATTTTGTCTGTAAGCCCCTGACTGGGGCTGTCTCCTTTCCATCCGAGATGCCCTGCCCAGCGAGGAGGAATCTAGAGAAGCAGTCTGGCCATATTTTGGCAGCCCACAAATCCTCCCAGCCTCCTTAGCACTAGAAAACTGCCTACTAAAGCCTCAGTAATGGGGGATGCCCCTCCCCCCACCAAGCTCGATCATCCCAACTCAACTTCAGACTGCTGTGCTGTCAGTGAGAATTTCAAGCCAGTGGTTCTTAGCTTGCTGAGCTTCATGGGATTGGGACCTGCTGAGCGAGACCACGTGGCTCCCTGGCTTCAGCCCCTTTCTAGGGGAGTAAAGGGTTCTGTCTTGCTGGGGTTCCAGATGCCACTGTGGTACAAAACAAACAAACAACAACAACAAAGCAAAACTCCTGCAGCTAGCTTGGTGTCTGCCCAAATAGCCACCCAGTTTTGTGCTTGAAACCCAGGGCTGTGCTGGTGTAGGCACACCAGGGAATCCCCTGATCTGCAGATTGCAAAAATCATGGGGAAAGGATAGTAACCTGGCCGGGTAGCACAGTTCCTCACGGCTTCCCTTGGCTGGGGGAGGGAGGTCCCCCAGCTCCTTGCACTTCGTGGGTGAAGCGATGCCCCACCCTGCTTCTGCTCGCCCTCCATGGGTTGTACCCACTGCCTAACCAGTCCCAGTTGGATGAACTGGGTACCTCAGTTGGAAATGCAGAAATCACCTGTCTTCTGCATGGGTCTCGCTGGGAGCTGCAGACTGGAAATGTTTATTTGGCCCTCTTGACCCTGTCCCCCAAATCATCTTTTATTTTTATTTCATCCAAATAGCTGCTATCTTTTTTTTGTACATCTTTGCCTAAATTATAATAAGAACAACGATCTAAATTTGCATAGCAAGTGGACCCTATATTTGGAATTTAAAGAGTTTCTGGCAAAATTTAGATTAAATTGGCTAATTAATAACACTTTTCAAATTGCTTTCCCCTGCTCCAATAATGAAGTATAACTTCTAGAAACAGCTGAAAAATGAATTGTTCTTCGGGTTATATGCTCTTAATGTTACATTGAAACAGAGTATGAAGGCTTGAAAATATCCGAAGGGAGAAAATGGAATCAGCAGTGATCCTGCTGTGACCTCACTACTTAGTAGTTATGCTTTTAGCCAATTCGTTTACTTGTCTTTAAACTGCACATTTCTGGCAGGGCAGCACTAATCACTGATCAAAACTACCTTTTTTTTTTTTTTTTTTTGAGGTGTAGTCTCGCTGTGTCACCCAGGCTGGAGTGCAGTGGCATGATCTCAGCTCACTGCAACCTCTGCCTCCCGGGTTCAAGGGATCCTCTTGCATCAGCCTCCCAAGTAGCTGGGATTAAAAGCGTCTGCCACCACACCCAAGTACTTTTTATATTTTTAGTAGAGACGGGGTTTCACCATGTTGACCAGGCTGGTCTTGAACTCCTGATCTCAAGTGATCCACCTGCCTCAGCCTCCCAAATTGCTGGGATTACATGCATGAGCCACCATGCCTGGCCAAATCTACCTTTAAAAATTGTGCAGGAGGGAAAGGCTTTACCAACAGTGATTAGTTCAAAAAACTTCAACTCTAGGCCTGGCGCGGTAGCTCATGCCTGTAATCCCAGCACTTTGGGAGGCCTAGGCGGGTGGATCATGAGGTCAGGAGATTGAGACCATCCTGGCTAACATGATGAAACCCCGTCTCTACAAAAATGCAAAAAATTAGCCGGGCATGGTGGCGGGAGCCTGTAGTCCCAGCTACTCGGGAGGCTGAGGCAGGAGAATCACTTGAACTTAGGAGGTAGAAGTTGCAGTGAGCCAAGATCACACAACTGCACTCCAGCCTGGTGACAGAGTGAGACCCCATCTCAAACAAACAAACAAACAAATTAAAAACAAACAAACAAACAAAAAACTTCAACTCTACCTCCTGGCTGGAACTCATATTGTAGATTGCAAAAGCACAGAATTAACATCATAATACTATTGAATTCAAAAAGAAATCTAGAAACTTCAGGGAATCCAGAGAAGATAGAGCAGATGGTCTGAATAGTCACCATTCACATTTTGCTTTGTTTTGGTAACTATTACTATCACTTAATTACATAGGGTGAATATAAGAAAATTGCCTTTTTCTTATTTTCAGTGCTAACCCTAAAATGGTAAAACTCTTGCAGGTTGAAATTAACAGCTTCTCAGTGGCCCTTCAACAGAAGGTTAAAGGGTAGCGAAGTTGCCTCTGTAATTTCCAGGGTGAACAAATCTGAACTCAGTTCTTGCAGTTCCCAAATTCACAGCTATCTTGGGATATGTTGATTTGTGGGCTGCAAAATATGAGAAATTCTACCTCAGAGAATTCTGTTTATAAAAACTTATTCGCATCTAATAATCTGAAGAGATATAAACACAGCAATGTTGTTACAACTACCTGTTAATTGTTAATCCTTGGAAAAAGAATTGATAATTATTTCTGAAGACATGAAAAGCTTCATATAATAAACAATAGACTCTCAAATGTAAATCAGTTTTTATTTTTAATTTGGAGAAGTTAATAATAATAAATTGCCAGCAATAAAAAATAAATCATTCATCACCGTTACCGTGTTACTAATGGCTGGTCCATATAGGTTTGCAGTGATTTTGGTTCTTCCATTCTCAAAAGAAATAATCCAGCCCAGAGACGAAGAGTGGGTTTGAAGCATAAGTGGGGGGTTGTTGAAAGGAAATAAAGTACCCTTGGGAAAGAACCAAGGGTGTGACTTGAGAGATCAAGTGCCAGAGAAAGGTCATATACCAGTTAAACTCCAATATTTGGCCTCTCAGTGTGCATGCTTGGGTGTCTTGCCCAATATTTGAGATTTTATGAAACAGCTGCTGCCCCTGAGCTCAGGATGTGTTCTGTGTTTAGGAGGTTTCCCCCTCCCTGGTACCAGCTGAGACCATTTGTCAATCCTGAGCTGACCACCTGATAATCACCTGACATTCCTGGGGCACATTCCCAGGGTCTCTACCTTACCCCACTCATTACTATCTGACTACCTGCTCTAACTGGGTGATCAAGAATATTCTTTTTTCTTTTTTTCTTTTTTTAAGATGCAGTTTCACTTTTGTTGCCTAGGCCAGAGCGCAATGGTGCGATCTCAGCTCATCACAACCTCCGCCTCCCCAGTCCAAGTGATTCTCCTGCCTCAGCCTCCCAAGTAGTGGGATTACAGGCATGCATCACCACACCTGGCTATATTTTTGTATTTTTAGTAGAGAAGGGGTTTCTCCATGTTGGTCAGGCTGGTCTTGAACTCCCGACTTTAGGTGATTTGCCCCAGGTGATTCGACTGCCTTGGCCTCCCAAAGTGCTGGGATACAGGCATAAGCCACTGCACCTACCCTAGATATTCTACTGGCCTTGGAGCTTTCGGTGTCTAAAACTTTTACCAATCAATATATGCAGTCCATCAACTTTCTTAACTTTTATTGTTAGTATGAACTTGATTTTTTTTGTTGATACACTAGTTAAGATTTTATTTTATACTTAAAAATTTATTTATTAGTGGTTTAGACAACTCCTCTTTCTGACAACTCCATCTAACTTCTAGGTATAAGGCTTCCTGAGGATATATTGTAAGTTTGGCTTTGAATATTCCACACTGAGAAATTTTGAAAGCATTCTAATTAAAAGAATTAAATTCAGGCTGGGCATGGTGGTTCACACCTGTAATCCTAGCAATTTGGAAGGCTGAGGCGGGTGGATCACTTGAGGCCAGGAGTGCAAGACCAGGCTGGCCAACATGATGAAACCCCATCTCTACTAAAAATACAAAAATTAGCCAGGCATGGTGGTGCATGCCTGTAATCCCAGCTACTCAGGGGGCTGAGGAGAATCACTTGAACCCAGGAAGCAGAGGTTGCAGTGAGCCGAGATCATGCCACTGGACTCCAGCCTGGGTGACAGAGTGAGACTCCATCTCAAAAAAAAAAAAAAAAAGAATTTAATTCAATCTCAGCTCCCTGCAGCCTCTGCCTCCTGTGTTCCAGCGATTATCCTGCCTCAGTCTCCCAAGTAGTTGGGATTACAGGTGCTGGCAATCACACCTGGCTAATTTTTGTATTTTTAGTAGAGACGGAGTTTTACCATGTTGGCCAGGCTTGTCTCAAACTCCTGACCTCAGGTGACCCGCCCACCTCTGCCTCCAAAGTGCTGGGATTACAGGCATAAGCCACCATGCCCTGCCAGGGAGTTCTTATCTTGATAAAGGATTACATGAGCCCTCTAAAAGATGTTTGTTTAAACATTATAGGTGGTGGCAGCAGTAGTGGGCAAAGGTGTAGTGTGCAGCACTTGATTATTTTACTGCTGTTTCTGCTGAGCCTGTGGCAGCCCAGCCCTGTGTGCAGCTCTCTCCCTGCCCCATGATGCCACCACATTCCACCTGCTGGCATGGAGACATGCACCTGAGGTGGACCCTAGGAGCCCGGCCTAAGATGGGCTCCTACTGCTGCTGCTTGGGCTGCTGGCCTCAGGACTGCAGGAAACTTGGGGGACACCAGGGCACTGAGAACAGCCACACTGGCATAATCAACACCTTCTTCTGGAACATCCATTGTCCCCTCCTGTTGTGAGGAGACAATGTCTACTGCTCAGAAGCTCTTGACCCAGCTGACTGAAAAGTTCGTGTTTAGCGAATATATTTCTACAGACATTGTGGAGAGTGTGGTCAGAAATTTACAGATTTAATGCTATTCCTATCAAACTACCAAAACATTCTGAACAGAACTAAAAAACACTATTTTAAAATTTACATGGAACAAACAAACAAACAAAACCCCAAATAGCCAACCAATCCTAAGCAAAAAGAACAAAACTAGAGGCATTACATTACCTGACTTCAAACTATATTACAAGGCTATAGAAACCCAAAGCAGCATGGTACTGGTACAAAAGCAGACTTACAGACCAATGTGATAGAGAGAGCTCAGAAATGCCACCCATTTACAACCATCTGATTTTTGACAAAGCTGATGAGAGGAATGTGTGAAGAATTCTCTAGTTAATAAATGGTGCTGGGATAACTAGCTAGCACTATGTAGAAGACTGAAAACGGACCGCTTCCTTACACCACATACAAAAATCAACTCAAGATAAAGACTTAAATGTAAAATTTAAAATTATAAAAAAAAAATAGGCCAGGTGTGGGGCTAACACATGTAATCCCAGCACTTTGGAAGGTCAAGGCAGGCGGATCACCTGAGGTCAGGAGTTCGCAACCAGCCTGGCCAACATGGCGAAACTGTGTCTATACTAAAAATATAAAAATTAGCCGGGAGTGGTGGTAGGCACCTGTAATCCCAGCTACTCAGGAGGCTGAGGCTGAAGAATTGCTTGAACCAGGGAGGCAGAGGTTGCAGTGTGCTGAGATTGCGCCATTGCACTCCAGCCTGGGTGACAGAGTGAGACTCCATCTCAAAAAAAAAAAAAAAAAAATTCCCTGGAAGGTAACCTAAATAATACCATTCCAGACATAGAAACTGGCAGATATTTTATGAAGAAGATACCAAAAGCAATTGCAACCAAAGCAAAAATTGACAGATGGAACCTTATTAAACTAAAGAGCTTTTTCACAGCAAAAGAAACTATCAACAGAGTAAACAGGCATCCTACAGAATAAAAGAAAATATTTGCAATCTATGCTTCTGACAAAGATCTAATATCCAGAATCCATGAACTTAAAAAAACTTATTAAAAAGTAGGCAAAGGACACAAACAGATCTTTTTTTTTTTTTTTGAGATGGAGTCTTGCTCCGTCTCCCAGGCTGGAGTGCATGGTGCTATCTCAGCTCACTGCAACCTCCGCCTCCCGGGTGCCGGTTCAAGCAATTCTCCTGCCTCAGCTTTTGGAGTAGTTGGGATTACAGCCATGCACCACCATGCCCAGCTAATTTTTGTATTTTTAGTAGAGACAGGGTTTCACCATGTTGGCCAGGCTGGTCTTGAACTCTTGACGTCGTGATCCACCTGCCTCGGCCTCCCAAAGTGCTGGGATTACAGGCGTGAGCCACCACGTCCGGCCTGAACAGATGCTTTTTAAAAAAAGACATGTGTGTGGCTAAAAGCATATGAAAAAATGCTCATCACCAATCAGTAGAGATATGCAAAGAAAAACCACAGCAAAATACTTTCTCACACCAGTCAGAATGGCTATTACTCAAAAGTTAAAAAATGACAGATGCTGGCAAGGTTGTGGAGAAAAGGGAATGCTTACACACTGCTGGTGGGAGTGTAAATTAGTTCAACCATCGTGAAAACCAGTGTGGTGATTCCTCACAGAATTAAAGACAGAATTACCATTTGACCCAGCAACCTCATAATTGGGTATATGCCCAAAGAAATATAAGTTATTCTGTCATAGACATGCATGTTCACTGTGGCACTATTCACAATAGCAAAGACATGGAATCAACATGCTCATCAAAAATGGCAGACTGGATAAAGAAAATATGGTATGGCTGGGCAAAGTGGCTCATGCTTATAATTCCAGAATGTGGGAGGTCAAAACAGATGGATTGCCTAAGTTCGAGTTTGAGACCAACCAAGGCAACATTTGTTGGTCTACAAAAAATACAGAAAGAAAAATTAGCCAGTCGTGGTGGTGTGCACCTGTAGCCCCAGCTACTTGGAGAGCTGAGGTAGGAGGATTGCTTGAATGCAAGATGTTGAGGCTTCAGTGAGCCAAGATTGTGCCCATCACAGGACAGTGGGCGCCCAGACTCCAGCCTGGGTCTCCCCCCAAAATAAAATAAAATATTTAAAAGAAAATATGGTACATAAACATCATGGAATACTGTGTGGCCATAAAAAAAGAACAAGATTATGTCCTTTGCAGCAACATGAACAGAGCTGAAGCCCATTATCCTTAGAAAACTAATACAGAAAGAGAAAACCAAACGCATGTTCTTATTTATAAGTTAAGAGATAATAACAAGAAAACATGAGGCCAGGTGCGGTGGCTCACGCCTGTAATCCCAGCACTTTGGGAGGCTGAGACAGGTGGATCACGAGGTCAGGAGATCAAGAGCAACCTGGCTAACACAGTGAAACCCCGTCTCTACTAAAAAAAAATACAAAAAAAAAAATTAGCTGGGCGTGGTGGCAGGCACCTATTCGGGAGGCTATTCAGGAGGCTGAGGCAGGAGAATGGCGTGAACCCGGGGGGTGGAGCTTGCAGTGAGCCGAGATCATCATGCCACTGCACTCCAGCCTGGGAGACAGAGTGAGACTCTGTCTCAAAAAAAAAAAAAAAAGAAAAAGAAAAAAAAAGAAAAGGAAACATGGACACAGGCTGGGCACGGTGGCTCACACCTGTAATCCCAGCACTTTGGGAGGCCAAAGTGGGCAGATCACCAGAGGTCAGGAGTTCAAGACCAGCCTGGCCAAGATGGCAAAACCTCATCTCTACTACAAATACAAAAATTAGCCGTGCATGGTGGTGCATGCCTGTAATCCCAGCTACTTGAGAGGCTGAGGCAGAATAATCACTTGAACCCAGGAGGCCAAGGTTGCAGTGAGTCGAGATGGCACCACTGCACTCCAGCCTGGGTGACAGAGCAAGAATCTGTCTTAAAAAAAAAAAAAAGAAAAAGAAAAGGAAACCATGGACACAAAGAGAGGAACAGACACTGAGGCCCACTTTGGAGTAGAGAGTGGAAGGATAAAGATCAGAAAAAATACCTGTTGGGTACTATGCTTAGTACTTCAGTGATAAAATAATCTATACCAAATTTCCATGACAGTTTTATCTATATAATAAACTTGCACATGTACCCCTGAACCAAAAATAAACATTAAAAAGTAAAAACTCCATTAGTGGGGGAGAGTCTAATGTAGGCAGAAGAACTGGTTTGTGCTATTTCTGGGTCCATGTAGACTGATGAGGTTATGAACAGGTGGCCCAGAACCCTAGGTGGAGAAAACAGGTTTCTGCTGCAGATTCAGTGTCTGGGTGTGGGGATATGCCAGACTTATAGACACTTTTGTGGGTTTTTGGCAAGAAACACTAGAATGAAAAATGCCATGGTGAAGTTCCTGATGGTGGTGTCTAGTCCGGGGAGGGGTGTGGACATGTCAATGTCTAGTGGGTATGTTTATGAGTGGGTGGGAATACTGTGGTGGCAGCTGTGGGAAAAGGGGGACTGTCATCAGAGCTCCTTAAGTTTTCATCCTCTCTCACTCTGGGAGGAGACCTAGAATCACAGGACAATGGGCAGCGTGACAGCCTGTGTACAGGAGAGCAGAGCCTCCCATTCCCAGACACCGAGCGATTAGTCCAAGCCAGGATTCCATATCTTTTCTCTGTCACCAAATGTGTAGAGTTAGCTGTACACCAAGCAATTCTGCAACACCAACTAATTGTCCAACATTTGAATTCTGACCCTACCCAGAGTCAGCACAGAACCTGATTCCAGGCTTAGTCTCAATACATTGACCTCACAGCAGATGCCAATCACAAACCCCTTGGGCCCATCTGTGCTTGTAAGCTACTGTTTAAAAATTCAGAACTCCCATAAGCTCCCTGAAGTTCAATAATTTGATAGAGCTACTCACAGAACTCAGCATGTTTACCAGTTTATTGTAAAAGCCACAACCCAGGAAAAGTCAAATGGAAAAAACATATAGGACCAAAAAAAGAGCTGGGAAAAAATGAAGCTTATACATAATCCTAGAAAATAGCTGTGATTAATAAAATTATCCATCCATCGTGTGCTCCAGGAACAGCTTATGGAAAGAAACACCCTTCCCATTATGACTTAGATGGTGCTGTCTTTTCTTACCTATCACATAGCCAGACACAGACTCTGCACATTTTCTTCTTGTTCTCAAAAAAAAGGTGCCGGACACAGTGGCTCACACCTGTAATCCCAGCACTTTGGGAGGCCAAGGCGGGTGGATTACCTCAGGTTGGGAGTTTGAGATGAGCCTGGCCAACATGGAGAATCCCCATCTCTACTAAAAATACAAAATTAGCCAGGCGTGGTGGCGCATGCCTGTAATCCCAGCTAGTCGGGAGGCTGAGGCAGGAGAATTGCTTGAACCTGGGATGGGGAGGTTGCAGTGAGCCAAGATCACACGATAGCATTTCCAGCCTGGGCAACAGGAGCAAAACTCCATCTTAAAAAAAAAAAAAAGAGGAGGTGAATTTGTCCTCAGTGGTCAAAATAAAACACTTATAAAGCAAACTTCAGTTAAGTTTATCTCCTTCCCACAGATTCCTGAACTTTGAGCTACCTTCACTTTGAGTCAACATAAAACTTCATTTTATATCCCTCCTAAGAACATGCTGACTTCAGGGAAAAACATTCTCTGATCTAAAATCTGATTTTTTTACCCTCCACTTGCCATTGCCCTCCCAACTTCTTTCTAATCTTGTTTGCTCCTCCCTATGAAAGAAAGCCCTTGTCTGCCTAAACTTTGCAATCCTTAAAGATCTTATAGTTGGTACTTCCTCCTGTTGCAATGCTCCTTTGTACACTGAATTTTCTTACATAAATCCAACTTTATTTTTAAAAGTCAAGAAACTGCCTCAAAACAGTAACAAGTTCATCTTTGGTAATATTCTCCCAGTCTCCTTTTATCTTAACCTTACTAGCATCTGCCTGTGGGTCCCCAGCTTTCCAGGGCTCTGTAGCTTCCCTCAGGATTAAGGCTTCTTTTATAGCTGGGCTGAGCAGGCTGGGACTTCTGCAGGGGAGGCTCCCCAGAAAGAACTAACTGGGCCCTTAATAACCTCCTTTTGCAGGCTCAACATTAGTTTTTTCTTGGAGTCACTGGGCTCAGGCTTTAATTTCCATGTCAGAGTTATACACTTGATTTTTGAAACTAAGTGTTTGAAAAATTCAGCAAAATTACTCAAACACAGTGTTCATACATGGAAAATAAATTATAAGGTGCTTACTTTTTTTTTTTTTTTTTTTTGAGACAGAGTCTCACTTTGTCACCCAGGCTGTAGTGCAATGGCACAGTCTTGGCTCAATGCAAACTCTGCCTCCTGGGTTCAAGTGATTGTCCTGCCTCCTCAGCCTCCTGAGTAGCTGGGACTACAGGTGCATGCCACCACACTTGGCTAACTTTGTATTTTACGTAGAGACGGGTTTCACTATGTTGGCCAGGCTGGTCTCGAACTCCTGACCTCGTGATCTGCCCGCCTTGACCTCTCAAAGTGCTGGGATTACAGGCATGAGCCATCGCACCTGGCCTACATTTTATACCTCAATAAGAACAGCAAAAGTATCTATTTCTTTCAGATAATAAATTTATTATTGTATTATTTCTATTAAAAATAATGTAGTAAACAATTAGTCATAGGGAAAAACTTCTAGGAGGTACCAAGTTTCATCTCATGAAATTTAGTATGAAACTCAGAAATCAAGATAACAGGATACAGAACAGAGATATTCACTCTCAGAAATTTACCCTGCAGAAAGAGGAACTAATGTTTTATAAATTTATGTAACTCACCAATTATCTACAATATTTCCTCGTGGAAATGTATTCATTTTCTACAGCCAAAATCGAAGGAGATTTTCCCTATTATTTTCCTTGGTAGCATTCTAAAAGCTGAGCCTTGGAATTCTGTTTGAAATCACCTACAGAAAACACACCTGAGAAAATTCCTAAACTCTCTCTGGGAAAGAAAAAGGTAAGTAAGAATTTTTAACATACGAAATATATGATTAGATATTAATATTTTTTGAAACCCACCACTTTTATGCCCTTTGTAAATGTTTTTGAACCTTTCAAGCTCTACTAATAAAATGCAATTTACAGTTTAAGAAATTGAAATCAATATAAGTGAACAAATCTTTTCAAGGTGACGAACCCAGGGTGTAGCAGTGATGATTAAAAAACAGATGTGTCTGACTTATGTGTCAAGTCAGGTCATCCAATCACGTGAGAGATTCTCCCACCCCAGCCTGCTCACTTAACTGCTCAATGACTAACCTCTCAGGAGACACTGCACTATGTTCCAGTGAGTGGCCCAGGTTTTACTTTCGGAAATTTTTGCAGCATCTCTCTGGGGTCAGGTTTTCTTTTGTTTTTTTTTTAGGGGGGATACTATTTTTTCTTTCACAAATCTTAGAGAATTCAGGGGACAGAAATTATTTCTGTTTTCCCCTTAATACCAGCCTCTGATTGGCTGACCAGCAATGTGTCACCAAGATATGAAAGCTGGGTTGGGTGAAAACAATGTTAATGTCTCAAGGGGTTACTTTTTTAAAGGAAGAGCACACCAGGAGATTTCTCTCAGCCCCAGTGCATCCATCTGCTTCCTTGAGAGGCTACACTCCATACCTCAGGCTGTCCTATGAAAGAAAATGACCCAGGACCTGAGATTCCCTAGACACTCTAGCAGACATAGCCATGGCTGATATAATGGTTTATTCACAGACAGTACTGAAACCGATGACCAAGAAAAAACTAAAGGGTGGTTGAGGACACATCACCCAATAAAGCTTCCCCCCGCCAAAAAAAAACCTTTACCCCAAAGCATTCTGGTAAGATCTCTGCCTAGGGAAGGTAAAAGGAAAAGAGGCACAGAGATTTTACACAACACAGTGTCAGGGGTTATTCTTTGCTTTCTTCTCATGGGAAATATTTACAAACAGAAAATGAATCTTTTAAAATGTGCCATCCAGTGGTTTGTAAAAAAAAATACAGTATTGAAAATATACACTAAAGGACAAATAGATGACAATGTGAACTAGGGAAACGAGGCTGGCATTTGGGATTGTCAGAAGGAACTGGAAATTTAGTATTTTACTTCAAGCCTGAGTTAGGCTGGAGGAATGGGGGATGAGGGCTAGACTTGAGACCGCACTTGGGACACATTTAAAAAATTCAGGGGAAAAAAAAAATCAGTCTCTTGTGAAGTGTGTATCCTCAAACATATATTTTTTTTTTTTGTAAATTTTTGTAAATTGCATTGGGGAAAACAAAATTTAAGCTTAACCAACTAACTATAAATGGCCAATTAAGCTCTGATTACATAACCAGAAAATTTACACACTCAAAGTGGAAATTAAGAAAGTACGTGACTCCCTGTAGTCCCAGCTGCTCGGGAGGTTGAGGCAGGAGAATCGCTTGACACCGAGAGGTTGCAGTGAGCTGAGATCGCGCCACTGCACTTCAGCCTGGGTGACAGAGCAAAACTGTCTCAAAAAAAAAAACAAAAAAAAGTAGGTAACTGTACCTAACCGATTATTGAATTTGTTTTTTTTTTTTTAATCATGGACCTTATAAAAGTCTTTCCTTCAAGTTCCTCCCATGAACCACAAACTAAAACCCATAGCTGGGTACTCTACAATTTTTGAGCCACTCTTTGATTAAATTCTTTAATCTTTTTGCGGTGACTCCATAAATTTTTAATAGATGAAAAGAGGGACTAGGAACCCCACCGACCAAAACTCTTCCCATTCATGAACCCTCACCCGAGTCGGGATTCTCCCCTGACTACCCTCCCATGGTCCCTGCACAATTGGCCAGAGACAAGGCGCTGCGGCTGCAGAGCTGCCCAGAGAGGCCTCCAGGCCAGGGGACCATCACTGGGTCACTGTGCAGACAGGACGCCCAGTGTGGGGAAAAGCAAGAGAGATCAGATTGTTACTGTGTCTGTGTAGAAAGTAGACAGACATAGGAGACTCCATTTTGTTTTGTACTAAGACAAATTCTTCTGCCTTGAGATGCTGTTAATCTATAATCTTACCCCCAACCCTGTGCTCTCTGGAACATGTGCTGTGTCAAACTCAGGGTTAAATGGATTAAGGGTTGTGCAAGATGTGCTTTGTTAAACAGATGCTTGAAGGCAGCACGCTCCTTAAGAGTCATCACCACTCCCTAATCTCAAGTACTCAGGGACACAAAAACTGCGGAAGGCCGCAGGGACCTCTGCCTAGGAAAGCCAGGTATTGTCCAAGGTTTCTCCCCATGTGATAGTCTGAAATATGGCCTCGTGGGAAGGGAAAGACCTGACCGCCCCCCAGCCCGACACCCATGAAGGGTCTGTGCTGAGGAGGATTAGTATAAGAGGAAGGCATGCCTCTTGCAGTTGAGACAAGAGGAAGGCATCTGTCTCCTCCCTGTCCCTGGGCAATGGAATGTCTCGGTATAAAACCTGATTGTACGTTCCATCGACTGAGATAGGAAAAAACCACCTTAGGGCTGGAGGTGGGACATGTGGGCAGCAATACTGCTTTGTAAAGCATTGAGATGTTTATGTGTATGCACATCTAAAAGCACAGCACTTGATTCTTTACCTTGTCTATGATGCAAAGACCTTTGTTCATGTGTTTGTCTGCTGACCCTCTCCCCACTATTGTCTTGTGACCCTGACACATCCCCCTCTTGGAGAAACACCCATGAATGATCAATAACTACTAAGGGAACTCAGAGGCTGGTGGAATCCTCCATATGCTGAACGCTGGTTCCCTGGGTCCCCTTATTTCTTTCTCTATACTTTGTCTCTGTGTCTTTCTCTTTTCCAAGTCTCTCCTTCCACCTAACGAGAAACACCCACAGGTGTGGAGGGGCAACCCACACCTTCAGCCCAGGGTCCTGCTGTCAGCGCAGCCACCATGCTATGGCTGAAGAGGACTGAGGCTGAGTTGGCCAAGGAGAACTCGGGGCGCAGACTGTGGAGCTGACTGACGGGAGACCCGAGTCCCACCACAGCCACTTGCCACCAGTTCCAATCAACTCCTTCCCTTTTCTCAGGATGTCGGACCCGGCACTCTCACCATTTCTAGGCTTCCAGGGGGTCCTGGCATCTTAGCTGTGGATCTCCCAATACCTGCAGGTCACAAAGTCACGGAGACTGGGCCTCTGAAGACTAGACGTAGAACTCCAGCTGCAGCCGGAGACAAAGGCCCCCATATTCCGGAAGCTGTCTTGCCCGCTCCAGCTGCGTGGCTGATTGGAGGGTTTCCAGCCCAGTGTTGCTGATTGGATAACGCTTAAATCCCCGCCTCCTCACATCGTGATTGACAGAAGATGTGACCAAACGCTAGGCTGAATGAAGAAAGAGTGACTGCCTAAGCTGCCGCCCGCTCAGAAAGGGCTTCGTCCCTGAGCTGAGCCAGGCCCACCCTAGAGGGTGTTTGCATGTAATCTTGTGTATAAGGTTATATGCATTTATAAATATTATACTGTATGGCTATTCACAAATGAAAAGAATATAATAATAATGATTTTGAAATTTCAGGTTTTATAACCTTCCTGGCTTTGAGAAGGCAGCATGAGATTTTTTGTCTTTGTTTTTGTTTTTTGAGACGGAGTCGCTCTGTTGACCAGGCTGGAGTGCAGTGACGCGATCTCGGCTGACTGAAAGCTCCGCCTCCCGAGTTCACGCCATTCTCCTGCTTCAGTCCCCTAAGTAGCTGGGACTACAGGCGCCTGCCACCATGCCTGGCTAATTTTTTGTATTTTTCGTAGAGACACGTTTCACCGTGTTAGCCAGGATGGCTCGATCTCCTGACCTCGTGATACGCCCACCTCGGCCTCCCAAAGTGTTGAGATTACAAGCGTGAGACACTGCATCCGTCTGTTGTAACAATTTAATTAAAGCAATATATCCAAAATATTATTTTAATATGTGAGCAATGTATAATTATGAATGAGATATATATTTATATATAACATAATTATGTATCTATATATTGCATTATGCTATGTATTTTTATCCATATTATATATAGATATTTTTATCTATATGTTGTATATTTTTATATTTATGGAACTAAATCTTTGAAACTAACTCTGCATTTTACCTTTCTTGCAAATTGCAGCTCAGACCAGCCACATTCCAGGCTCCCAGGAGTCACACATGGTCAATACCTGTCACATTGAAGTGCAGCTCTGTTGTCAGGTCTGTGAAAGGCCTGAATATCCCTTTTCTTCCTGTTAGGAATAACGCTCAAAATCATAAGGAAATTGAACACTCGAACAAAGGATTCCTAGCAAAGCAATTTTAGTTCTGCACAGAGGGGTGCGTTCTTGTCCAGTCACCATGAGAGCACACCTGAACAAAGGGGCACAAGAGCCTTTATTCCTGACACAAGTCCTGCCCCTGTACCCTTTCCCCATTGGCCAGGGTCGGGTCGTACAATCTGAACTAATCCTGGTTGGCTAAACATTTGATTTTTTTAGATAAGGTGGGCATGCAAAAGAATGCAGAGAGGAAGGGGAAGGGGTGTCTGCATTGAGCTAGAAAGTTAGTCCTCTTTCCAAATAAGGGAAGAAATGTGAGCTGGTACTGATAATGCCTGGTACTGTGGCGTGCCTGGGCATCTAACAAAGGCAGAAAGGAAAAAGGAGAAAAAGGAAAAAAAGGGGTGTGTGTGTGGGTACTATGAATTAAAGAATAAAAGATTGATCAGGCTATTTGAAGAGAAACCTCATCGTATCCCACATGCCCGACATGAGGGAACAGCCTCTTTCTACTAACATCTGTCTTCAGTTTCAAGGGTGGAACAGATAGTGGTCATAGAAAGAGCAGAAGGTAACAAGAATAAAATAACCACAGGTAGACCACTGAAGAATGATGGGGCCACAGGAGAACAAAACTCTATGTCTTCAGACCTGTCCACAGTATTGACCTCCAATTTTTAGATATGAAGAAAATAGATTAAAGGCAAACTTTGGCTATTTGGCCTTGGCCATAATGGTCAGGCTCTGGTCATCGGTTTTTTCCTGTGGTGTGGGGGACTGTGTGCATATAAGCACCAATCACATGCATACATGTCTACAAGTATTCCTGCATCAGTCAACATTGCCTTACAAGACATTTAACTTTAAATCGGGAAAAATGTCAGTACCTTTAGGGTGCCCATTGTTAGAAGGTGACTAATAATCAAACTGTCTTTAAATCTTGACACCCAATCTGCACTGGGTGCATGTATTAGTTAGGTATGGCAGCATAACAAATCATCCAAAACTTATTAGCTCATAATTGAGATGGTCCGCCATTTAGGCTAGGCTCAGTGGGGCCATTCTTCTGTTCCCAGCTGAGCTCCTTCAGACATGTATTGTCAGCTGTTTGTTGACTAGGCAGCTGTGCTTCTGGGAGTGAGCTTGTGCTTCAAGATCTGTCAACAGGGGCACCTTGCTACTCCTCCTCGTGGTATTTTATCCTCTAGGTGGCTAACATGGACTTTATTGATGGAGACAGCAGCATTCTGAAAGAAAAGCAGAAGCATTCAACACCATTTGAGCCCAGGCCCCAAACTAGCCCACTGTCATGTTCACAAGTATCTAGTGCCTTGAACAAATAAGGCCAGCCAGATCTAGGGTTGGGAAAACAGATTCTGTATCTCAATGGGAACAGCTGTAAGAGCACCTGCCAATAGGCATGGATAGGAGGGATGAAAAATTGCTACCATTTTTGCAATCAATATCATTATGCCTTTTTTGCATATGTGGTTTATACAACTCTTTCGCATCAAGAAACTTGTCCAAAGACTCACAGCTACTAAATGGCTGGCCTGAGACTCAGTACCAACTCTTCTGACTCTAAAGCCCATGCATCAAACTCTTGGCTGCTGTAGATCCTTGAAATCCTGGAGAGAGATGCTGCTACAGTAAAAGCCAGATTTTTAAAAAATGTATGCCCATATAGCACTATTTATGATTGGGAATAATCCTTTCAAGAAATTGCAGAAGCACAGGGTGCCTCACACCTGTAATCCTAGCATTTTGGGAGGCTGAGATGAAAGAATCACTTGAGTTCAGGAGTTTACGTGCAACCTGGGCAACATAGTAAGATCCTGTGTCCGTGAAAAAAAATTTAAAAATTGGCCAGTCATGATGTTGCATGTCTGTCGTCTCAGCTCTTCGGGTGGCTGAGGCAGGAGGATTGGTTGAGCCTGAAGTGTTAAGGTTGCTGTGAGACATGATTGGTTGCACCACTACACTCCACCCAGAGTGATACAGAGAGACACTGTCTCAAAAAAATTGCAGAAGCATTTGAATGGACATATAATAATTTTGAAAAATAGCTGAGGAATGAGTTTAGAAAAATCAAAGCCCAAGAACACATTATTTATTTTCATCATAGAAAAAAGAAAAAGAAACTTTAGAGAAATTAAATTTATCAGAGTTTAATTGAGAAAAGAATGATTTGCAAATTGGGTAGCCTGTGTAGGCTCAGAGAGTCTCCAGCATAGCCACATGGTGGTAAAAAATTTATGAACAGAAAAGGCAAATTGACATGCGGAAAATGGAAGCCAGGTACCGAAACAGTCAGATTGATTACAGCTTGGGAGTTGCCTTATGGTTTGAACAGTTGACGTCATTTTACTGGCCAAAACACATTGATTGGTACAAGAATGGGTACAGTCTATTTACATATCCAGGTAGGTTTCAGTTTAGTATTTTAAATAAAAACGACCAAAATTAAACGTGAAAGGGGGCAGCTTTATGGTGTAATTAATTTAATAATTTGTCCTTTTGGTCATCTTAATTTTGAGAGATAGACCAAAACTTTAGACATTGGCCGGGCGTGATGGCTCATGGCTGTTATCCTAGCATTTTGGAAGGCCGAGGTGGGTGGATCACTTGAGGTCAGGAGTTTGAGACCAGCTTGACCAACATGGTGAAACCCCGTCTCTATTAAAAATACAAACCAATTAGCCAGGCCTGTTGGTGAGTGCCTGTAATCCCAGCTACTCAGGAGACTGAGGCAGGAGAATTTCTTGAACCCGGGAGGAAGAGGTTGCAGTGGGCTGAGATCGCGACACTGCACTCCAGCATGGGCAACAGAGCGAGACTCCATCTAAAAAAAAAAAAAAAACTTGGATATTGATATTACTCTCTCACTATAAAAGAAGTACTTATTTAGTCTGAAATCCCACTGTGAAATAGCATAACTGTGGATTTTTTAAAGTAGAAACAAGGACTTCAGGTTATTATTATTTTATTATTATTATTTATTTTTAAAAGAGTAGAGGGAAACTCCTTGTGTTGAAATGTGCTGTTTACCAAAACAAACAGACAAACAAACCTCATCTGTTTTAGGATGTACCTATTTTCTTTTTTCTTTCTTTTTGTTTTTGAGATTGAGTTTCACTATTGTTGCCCAGGCTGGAGTGCAATGGCGCCATCTCAGCTCACTGCAACCTCCACCTCCCGAGTTCAAGCAATCCTCCTGTCTCAGCCTCCCAAGTAGCTGGGATTACAGGCATGTGCCACCACGCCCGCCTAATTTTGTATTTTTAGTAGAGATGGGGTTTCACTATGTTGGTCAGGTTGGTCTTGAACTCCAGGCGTCAGGTGATCCACCCACCTCAGCCTCCCAAAGTGCTGGGATTACAGGCATGAGCCACTGTGCCCAGCCCTACCTATTTTCTGAAATTTTCAATTTGATTATGTCACATTTAGCATGAGTGACTTACTTTTTTTGTTTTGTTTTTCTGTTTGAACCTAGTGCAGAAGTTAAGAATGATGGCCTCCGATAAATTTGTTTAAAAAATTCTCCCATTTTGGCAAAGTTCTCACATAGATCAGAGTGTAAAAAACTCACGATCTTAGTGCCACTGTCAATTTCCATTATTTTTGGGTTTTGTCCATATTATGTCATTCATAGGTTATGGTGTCTCCATAGTCACATATGTCTCAATTGTTGTCATTCTAGTTAAAGAGAGACCATTTGTCATTCTAGAGATGACTCATGCATGATAACATTTAAAACTTTTGAGCTGAGGTGGAAGGATTACTTGAGCCCGGGGGTGGAGGTTGCAGTGAGCTGAGATCACACCCCTGCATTCTAGCCTGGCTGACAGAGTGAGACCCTGTCTCTAAAATGCAATGCAACGCAACGCAACGCAACGCAACGCAACGCAATGCAATGCATAAAATAGCCTCAACCATGTTCCAACAATTACTTTCTTTTTTCTTCTCCAACAATAACCATAACCTTTTTTTTTTTTTTTTGAGACAGAGTCTTGCTCTGTCACCCAGGCTGGAGTGCAGTGGCGCAATGTCGACTCACTGCAACCTCCACCTCCCAGGTTTAAGAAATTCTCTGCCTCACCCTCCCAAATAGCTGGGATTACAGGCACGTGCCACCTCGCCCATCTAATTTTTTTGTATTTTTAGTAGAGATGAGGTTTCATCATCTGGGCCAGGCTGGTCTTGTACTCCTGACCTTGTGATCCTCTTGCCTCAGCCTCCCAAAGTGGTAGGATTACAGGCGTGAGCCATTGCACCTAGACAATAACCATAATCTTAAGAGTTAACATTGTAGATCAATTTTGTGTTTTTATTCAAGTGTTTTGTTACAAAAAATTAAACATATGCAAAACAACAACAACAAAAATAATTTAATAGACCTATCATGAAGCTTCAACAACTACTAATCTTGTGCCATTCTGGTTTCACCTATTCTTCTCTACTTCGGTCATCCCTGGCCAACCCATTGTCCACCCTTCATTATTTTCTTCAGTTTTGTTTTTTGTGACGTCATATGTACATACATTGGAAGGCACAAATCCTAACTGAAGATTTTTGACAAATAAATACACCCATATGACCTTCATATCTTTTAAGAATAAATAGAATGTTTCCCTTCTCTATTAATAGAATTTATAATAAAATGATAGAATATTCTTATTATTCTCAGATAATTCCCTCCTGCTTTTTTCAGACAATTTTAATCTCTACCGAGGCTACTTGGTATTTTTTTTTTTTACCATTAGTTCATTTTTCCAGACATTATACAATTTGTATTATTTTATTTCAAGCTTGTCTCAGCAGGTTTATGAGATTCATCCAAGGTGTGTGCTTCAGTTTGTTTCTTTCTATGGCTGAGTAGCCTTCTCTTGTATGAATGAGCTATGATTTGTTTATTCATCTTCCTAGACATGGACATTTGGGTTGTTTTCTGCTTTAAGCTATTATGACTAAAAGGTCTATAAACATTCTGGTACAAATACTTTTTCATATATAATTTAATTTCTTTACTAGCATTTAAATGACAACTCTTTACATTTTTTAGTGGTTTCTTTAGGGATAACCATATGCATCTTTAACATATCACAATCTACCTAGAGTTAATACTGTACAATTGTAATAAATGTAAAATATGAAGACCTTGCTATGGATGAGCTTTACTTACCTCCTTTTATTTTTATGCTATTCATAAATTTTACATCTACACATTCTATATCTCACAATACTTACAATTTCTCCTTTAGTCATAAGTCTTATAAAGAAATTAAGAGAAAATGGTATTATAAATATTTGGAGGCAGATATTTTGGGCTATGTAAATACACTGTTTCTCCTTTAAATTTTACCCACAATTTGTGCATTCTTTAATACATCTTTATCTACAGTAATTATTACTGTGGTGTCCTGGTAGTGATTTCCTATTTTGCATTATCTATCTACATTGATTAGTACTTAGAATTCTGTTAAGAAGATTTGCTTTGGCCGGGCGCGGTGGCTCACGCCTGTAATCCCAGCACTTTGGGAGGCCGAGGCGGGTGGATCATGAGGTCAGGAGATCGAGACCACCCTGGCTAACAAGGTGAAACCCCGTCTCTACTAAAAATACAAAAAATTAGCCGGGCGCGGTGGCGGGCGCCTGTAGTCCCAGCTACTCGGGAGGCTGAGGCAGGAGAATGGCGTGAACCCGGGAAGCGGAGCTTGCAGTGAGCCGAGATTGCGCCACTGCAGTCCGCAGTCCGACCTGGGCGACAGAGCGAGACTCCGTCTCAAAAAAAAAAAAAAAAAAAAAAAAAAGATTTGCTTTTTCTCTTTCTTCTTTCCTTTTTTCTTATTATATTTTGTCTATATCTGCATGGACTCATGTATAGCTCTTTTATTCTCTAGGTTATAATCCAAGGGTATTATTATTTTGTTTCTCACATTGTTTCAGCTTGGGCTGCTGGAAACTCTTTCAGGTTCACTTCCTCTGACATGTCTCTTTCTGTTGTTCATAAAGCACTTTTTAACTTTCTAGCTTTACAAAATACTCTACCTTAAGTTTGATTTTTCACTCCAGTCCCAGAATTATCTATTTGTCCAAGTAGTGTTGCTTCCTTCTATTGAAGAATAGTACTTAGGAACCATAATATGAGAGCTAGGTATTCTTATTAATACTGGGGTGTTACTGCTTCTGAAAGCTCTCAGCAGACAGAGTTTGGAAATGTACATATTAATATACACTCACATATAAAAACATCTCTTCCTTTCTCTTTCTCTGTGTCTCCCTCTCTCTGAATGAATAAATTATGAGACCTGCATTTATCCAAATATTCCTGGCTAGGGATGGTGGCTCATGCCTGTAAACCCAGGATGTTTAGCTCAGAATGATTCATCCTGACCCTCACAGCAGACCAGTCAGGTGGAAAAGGGTACAGGGAATTATGGTCCTTATTACTTGTTTTTTGTTTTGTTTTGTTTTGTTTTGTTTTTGAGACAGAGTCTCACTCTGTTACTCAGGCTGGAGTGCAATGGCGCAATCTCATCTCACCACAACCTCCGCTGCCCAGGTGCAAGCGATTCTCCTGCCTCAGCCTCCTGAGTAGCTGGGACTATAGGAGCACACCACCACGTCTGGCTAATTTTTATATTTTTAGTACAGATGGGGTTTTGCCGTGTTGGCCAGGCTGGTCTCAAATTCCTGACTTCAGGTGATCCACCCATCTCGGCCTCCCAAACTGCTAGGATTACAGGCATGATCCACCATACCCGGCCAGTCTTTATTACTTTTATTGTCTGATTGTTTATTGCTAGTTTAGTTTAAAAAGTTGACTTTTGTTTATTGAAGCTGTATGTAATGAACTTGGTAAATTCACTTGCAAATTCTTACAGATTTGCTACACAAGATAATCATTATGTGCAAATGACCGTTTTATTTTTTCCTATTAAATTTTTTTTTTCCTTACCTTATTGCACTGGCTAGGATCTCCAATGAAATATAATAGAATCAATAATAGCAGGCATCCTTGTCTTTTTCCTGATCTAGGAGGGGAAACTTTTAGTAGTTTACCATTGAGAATCATAATAACTGGCCAGGCACAGTGGCTCATGGCTGTAATCCCAGCAATTTGGGAGTCCGAGGTGGATGGATCACTTGAGGCCAGGAGTTTGAGACCAGCGTGGCCAACATGGTGAAACCCCATCTCCACTAAAAATACAAAAATTAGTAATGCACGCCTGTAATCCCAACTACTTTGGAGTCTGAAGCAGGAGAATCACTTAAACCTGGGAGGTGGAGGTTGCTGTGAGCCGGGGTCACGCTGCTGCACTCCAGCCTGGGCAACAGAGCAAGACTCTGCCAAAAAAAAAAAAAAAAAAAAAAAAAAAAAGAATTCTGATGCTTACTATAGATTGTTGAAAAGTAGGTACCTTTTATTAAATTAGGTAAGTTTTCTTTCATTCTAGATTGCTGCTTTTTAGAAAATTATGAATTGGTGTTCAATTTTTTCTTTTTTTGAGATGGAGTCCTGTTCTGTCGCCCAGGCTGGAGTTCAGTGGTGCAATCTCGGCTTACTGCAGCCTCTGCCTCCCGGGTTGTTCTCCTGCCTCAGCCTCCCAAGTAGCTGGGATTACAGGTGCTGCCACCACGCCCAGCTAATTTTTTTTTTGTATTTTTAGTAGGGATGGAGTTTCACCATGTTGGCTAGGCTGGTCTTGAACTCCTGACCTTGTGATCTGGCTGCCTCAGCCTCCCAAAGTGCTAGGATTACAGGTGTAAGCCACCGCGCCAGGCCAGTGTTCAATTTTTTTTTTTTTTTTTTTTTTAGATGGAGTTTCGCTCTTGTTACCCAGGCTGGAGTGCAATGGCATGATATCAGCTCACCGCAACCTCCGCCTCCCAAGTTTAAGGGATTCTCCTGCCTCAGCCTCCCATGGTGTTCAATTTTTAAAAATGCTTTTCCTACATCTGTTAAGATAATCTTGTAGATTTTTCTACTTATTCTGTTAATGAAATAATTTCATGAGCGGTTCTCAACCGAGGGTAATTTTTCTCCCTAGAGAGCATTTGGCAATGTCTGGAGACATTTGTGATTGGCTCAATTGGGTGTGTGTCTGTGCTACTGGCATCTAGTGGGTAGAAGCCAGGGGTGGTGACAAACATTCTACAATGCACAGAATGTCTCCCCACAACAAAGAATATTCAACTAAAATTGTTAATAGTATTGAGGTGTGGAAATCCTAATTCACATTGCTTAATCTTTGAGTGTTAAACGGAACTTCATGAGAGAGACGGGCCTATAATTTTTCTTTCATGTAATGTCCTTGTAGTTTTGTCATTAAGGATTCTTTTGGTCTCATAAAATGAATTAGAACATGTTCTCTCTTTTTCAATTTTCTGGAAGAATTTGTGTAAGATAGATGCACTCTTTGCCTTCCTTTACAATCAGACCTGCCTCTGGTCACCTTTTCAACTCCAGAAGTCATTTATGTCCTTTGACCCTAAGATATTTGCTGAACCAAACGGGATTAGTATTTCTTAAAGATCAGAACTCACCTGAGCCTACTGGATTCTAGCAGGAATGGAGACAGGTAGAAAGACTCACTTTAGCCTCAGGCTTAAATATGTTTTTATTTATTTATTTATTTATTTTAATTTTTGAGACAGAGTCTCGCTCTGTCGCCCAGGCTGGAGTGCAGTGCCGTGATCTCGGCTCACTGAAACACCCACCTCCCCGGTTCAAGCCTCAGCCTCCCGAGTGGCTGGGACTACAGGCATGTGCCACCATGCCCAGCTAATTTTTTGTATTTTTAGTAGAGATGGGGTTTCACTCTGTTAGCCAGGATGGTCTCGATCTCCTGACCTTGTGATCTGACTGTCTCAGCCTTCCAAAGCACTGGGATTACAAGCATGAGCCACCGCATCCAGCAGTATGTTTTTATTTTTTATTTTCTTGAGAAAGAGTCCCACTCTGTCACCCAGGCTGGAGTGCAGTGGTGTAATTTTGGCTCACTGTAACCTCCACCTCTTGGATTCAAGTGATTCTCCTGCCTCAGCCTCCCAAGTAGCTAAGATTACAGGTGTGTGCCAGCACACTCCACTAATTTTTATATTTTTAGTAGAGATGGTGCTTTGCCATTTTGGCCAGGCTGGTCTTGAACTTCTGACCTCAGGTGATCCACCCACCTCGGCCTCCCAAAGTGCTGGGATTACAGGCATGAGCCACCGCGCTCGACCAGGCCTAAGTTTTATACTCTACCTCAGACTTTTATCATTTTGGCAGTTATTGGACACTAAGTCAAATACTAACAAAGTGAGCCAGTGATTCGCATTTAGCTATTGTTCCTTGTCTATAGCACCTTGGGTAGGAACCCTATGGGAAGATCAAGGCAGGATAAAGCCTTCCTTGGGATGCTGGCCATAACACTATCACAGCAGCGATGAAATCTTACCTTCTACCACTCCCATCCACTGTGTCTTCTGTTGTTAACTAAACATTCAGCTCCTTTCTTGGGGTGGAATGCCTTTTAGTTTATTCTACACCTTGACTGTCACAGGGGGTCAGTAATAGGGGAGAACACAAGTTTCTGGTTAGATAAATCTGGGTCGAATTCTACTTTTGCCACTATTAGTAGAGTTACCCCTAACAAAACATTTAGCTTTTCCAGTGAAGCCTCTGTTTACTCATCTGTGGAGTGGGACTTATAATGTCTACTTGTGTGGGTTAAGAAGACAAGAATTCATTAACCTATTTCCCACTTGCCCTGAGAACACTCATGTTTCTAATCCTAATGTGACATCATATACATTTCTGTTACATTAGGACTAGAGACAAGTTTTGTTTAGAAATAACTTCACAAACAGTTTTTATATTTTATTTTCAAGATAAAAATCATTCAGATTTGCTTCAGCTTCAAGGAGGATGTTTATGTAAAATTAAATGAGCACTGGCAACCAGCTGCACCTTTTCTTCTAAACGGGAAATGGGTTAAGTGGTTTAGATGGCTCTCAGCCTCAAAGGGCTGAAGACAGAAACTCTAGGCTCAATTTCCAGAAATGGCTCTCAACACCACATAGAGCTGGTCCATCAGAGGAGCTCCTGCTTCATCCAAAGGCAGGAAGCACTAAATCAGAAGATTGCCTTAGAGTTAGGAAGTCAATGCTGGACTCAAGCCCACAAAATGTCCTCGTCCTGCCTATCTCTTTGCTCGATTCAAAATCCCATTCATGTGGAGCTAATTGGAGAAATCAAAATCACATTTTTTTTTTTTTGAGATAAAACAGACAAAAATTTCTGCTCTTGAGAAATGTATATTTTAAGATGAGACTTGTTAAAAGAGACCTCTGTCTTATTTTGTATGTATGTAGAGCCATGGAAGTCTAGAGCTTTGATGTATGATGAATATGTGTTTCAATCTTCTCTGTTCTATAATCTTGGGCAGCTATTTTAACTTCTTTGAGCCTCAGCTTTCTCAATCCTAAAGTGAAGATACAAATTCCTATCTTATCCTCAATCAGTTAAATGTAGAATTAACTATATGATCCTGCAAGTTCATCCTTAGGTTACATACCCAGGGAAAATGAAAGCATACATCCACACAAAAACTTGTATGTGAGTGTTCATAGCTGCAGTATTCATAATGGCCAAAAGTAGAAACAAGTCAAATGTCTGTCAATTAATGAATAATTAAGCAAAATGTGGTATATCCATACAATGGAATATTATTCAGCAATAAAAAGGAATGAAGTACCAACACATGTTAAGACATGGATGTACCTTTCACGTAGCATATTATGTGAAAGCCAGACACAAAAGGTCACATTTTCTATGTTTTCATTTATATAAAATGTTTAGAATGTGCAAATCCACACTCAGAAGTTAGATTAGTGATTGCCTAGGACTGGAAGCCAGGGAGTAATTAGGGTGTCATGGTTAAGGGGCGTAGAATTTCTTCTGAGGGTAATAAAACTGTTCTAAGATAGATTCGATTTTAGTAGTGATAGATGAACAACTCTGTGAATTTACTGAAAGCCATTAAATTGTACACTTTAAATGAGTGATTTTTCTAGTATGCAAATTATATTTCAAAAAAGTTGTAAGAAGAAAAAGTTCTACCATGTAGGGTTCTTTGAAGATTAAATAAGCTAGGAATACAATATACCTAGTGTACCTAGTATACATAGTGCCTGGCATTTGGTAGGTGTTCAAAATATGCTAACATTTATTCTGTTGGTAATCCTTAACAGGCTGGTTTATACAAAAGCTTACAATTATGTTCATTGTTAACATAATACTGATGTATCCTTTCGTAATCAATGTGTGCCTTGAGCAGATAGCCCTTCTTTACCCTCAGTTCCAGCCCTTTCTTTGCTTCTTGAAATTTTACGTGTATCACAACCCAGCTCAGATGTCACCTTTTCAAAGCCTCCTTGTTGGTTCAGCTAAAAATCCTGGGCTTTCTGTATAGCATCCCCAACAAGGGGCATTCAGAGGCAAGCTCTGGTCACCATCTGGCTTGTTTCCAAATTATTTGTGAATGCACCACCTGTCCCTGTGTCCTGCCCTCTGTTTCTGGCATGGTGGCACCTGGCACAGAGGGAGTGATCCTGTAAGGAATGTGTTCACAGCACATGTGCTCTGAGTCCCTTGGCACAGCACCTATGGTGGGCAGAATTCTGAGATGATTCTCCTGACCTCTGCCCCCTGGTGTTAATGCTATAATTATGTGACATGGCAAGAGAAATTTTGTGGATGTCATTAAAGTTAGTAATCAGCAGACCTTATGCTAGGGAGATGGGTGGGCCTAACCTAATCACAGAAGCCCTTTGAAAGCAGAGTCTTCTTTGGCTAGAAAAGGCCATCAGAGGTTCATAGTGGGAGACAGATTTGACTTGAGGCTGGTTTTCAGTTACTGAGTTGGAGGGGTCCCTGAGACAGAACTGAGAACAGTCTCTAGGAGCAGAGAGCAGCACCTTGGCTGGCAGCTATAAAGAAGGACCTGGGTCCGGGCGCAGTGGCCCATGCCTGTAATCCCAGCACTTGGGAGGCCAAGGCAGGTGGATCACCTGAGGTCAGGAGTTTGAGACTAGCCTGGCCAACATGGTGAAACCCCGTCTCTACTAAAAATACAAAAATTAGCCAGGCATGGTGGCAGGTGCCTGTAATCCCAGCTACTCGGGAGACTGAGGTAGAAAAATCGCTTGAACCTGGAGGTGGAGGTTGCAGTGAGCTGAGATTGGGCCACTGCACTCCAACCTGGGCAAGAGAGCAAGACTCCATCGCAAAAAAAACAAAAAAAAGAAAGACCTGGTTACTACAATTGCAAGGACCTGAATTCTGCCAATGACCTGAATGAGCTTGGAAGTGGATTCTCCCCAAGAGCCTTCAGAGAAGGGCCCAGCCCAGCCAACACCTTGACTTTGGCCTTGTGGGACCCTAAGCAGGGAGCCCGGTTAAACCCACCTGGACTTCTGACTTATAGAACTATGAGGAAGTCAATAGGGATTATTATAAACTGCTACATTTGTCATAGTTTGTTGTGCTACAGTAGAATACAAATATATCCCTCATCTCTGGAGAGCAGTTTTATTCCTATTTTACAAGTGAGGAGACCCAGAGGGGTGAAGTCACTTGCCCAAGATTGCACTGCACATGAATGACAGGGCTGAGCTACAGCCTAGGGCAGGAGTCAACAAATATTTTCTTTTCTTTTTTTTTTTTTTTGAGATGAAGTCTCGCTCTTGTCCCCCAGGCTGCAATGCAATGGTGCAATCTCGGCTCACTGCAACCTCCACCTCCCAGGTTCAATAGATTCTCCTGCCTGAGCCTCCCGAGTAGCTGGGATTACAGGTGACCGCCACCATGCCTGGCTAATTTTTGTATTTTTAGTAGAGACTGGGTTTCACCATGTTGGCCAGGCTGGTCTCGAACTCCTGACCTCAGGTGATCCGCCCGTCTCAGCCTCCCAAAGTGCTGGGATTACAGGTGTGAGCCACCGCACCCGGCCCAAACATTTTCTATAAAGTTAAATATCTTAGGCTTTGTAGGCCTAAAATATTTACAATTTGGATCTTTACAGAAAATGTTTGCTGACTCTTTTAGGATCTTGAATCTGAGAATCTTGTTTCTATTGGTGTTAAGGATGTGCTCAGGTATCTTTCTATAAAGATACTCCTGCTACAGAGCTTGCTGGGCCTTGGCTGCTCAATGCAGGCCTTGAGACATCCCTGTGGAAATGTATCATGTTCCTAGGCAGGGAACAGAGCAACCCACCATCACATCGCCCATGCTGGCCATGACATGGTGGCCTACTGTGTGCTGTTTGGAGATGGTATGGGGGTGGGGACAGGACATGACATGTGCTTACCTGCCCTCCAGATGCTGTACACAGGGGAGCCAGATATATAAGCAAATAATTAGCATGCATGGGCTATGGAAAGGTGCTCACGATGGATCACGTTCAATAAAAAACTATATGCAATGCATGCCCAGAGTTTTGTAAAATACACGTTAGGAAAAAGTTATATCAAAAATGTCACAGTGATGGGTGGTCTCTGCGTGGTAATGAGTCTTAAGTCACTGGAAAAGAACATTGGACCCCTGTCCTGGAGGAGGGAGAAAGGAGGTTCTTCCAAGAAGATCGTGGATTCTCCCATTGCTTCTCTCCTACTTACAGATTTAAAAAAAAATAGCTAATATCACTAAGCACTTACTATAAGCCAAGCACTGTCGCCAAGCATATTATATAATAACTCATTTAACCCTCATGCCATCTCTACCAGACCTATCTGATTCCAGTGCTTAGTACTTGTTTCTCCAAGTGTGGCTGCATTTAGGGGAATGTTTTTCCTTCTTTGTAGGGTTCGAAACTGTTCTTTATCTGTTAAGGGAGATATTCTGATTTCTTTTAACTGACTGATATTTTCTAATTTTTCTGCAGTTTCCAGCGTTTTTTTTTTTTGAAATGGAGTCTCACTCTGTTGCCCAGGCTGGAGTGCAGTGGGACCATCTCAGCTTACTGCAACCTCTGCCTCGCGGGTTGAAGCAATTCTCCTGCCTCAGCCTCCTGAGTAGCTGGGACTACAGGTGCATGCCACCAAGCCCAGCTAATTTTTGTATTTTTAGTAGAGATGAGGTTTCACCATGTTGGCCAGGATGGTCTCGATTTCCTGACCTCGTGATCCACCTGCCTCGGGTTCCTAAAGTGCTGGGATTACAGGCCTGAGCCACTGTGCCCGGCCTAGCTATCTTTTTTCCACTGGAAAAAAGAAGGAAGGCTTGCAGGTTTATTTTTGTCAGCATGTCGAGGGATATGATGTATGGACCTGGAAAGTCCTGTGAAAGCCTAGAAGAGAGACTGGTTCATACCACTTTAGGAAACTGAAGAGAAGTCACCCACAGAAGGTGACCTGAATTTTAAAGGAAGTGCATGAGTTCACCAGATGAAAGAACTTTTGTAGCCAAGGTGTGACATTAGACCCGGGACACAATAAACAGTGAATTTAGGTGCAGGAAGTGAGACTAGGAGGTGGCCAGGGACCTCATCACAAGGTTGTGGATGCTTAGGAACTGGGATTATTCCGAGGGCAATGAGGAGCCACTGAAAGGCACAGCCAGGGCTGGGCGCGGTGGCTCATGCCTGTAATCCCAGCAATTTGGGAGGCTGAAATGGGCGGATCTCCTGAGATCAGGAGTTTGAGACCAGCCTGGCCAACATGGCGAAAACCTGTCTCTACTAAAAATACAAAAAAATTAGCCAGGCATGGTGGTGGTGGCCTGTAATACCAGCTACTCGGGAGGCTGAGGCAAGAGAACTGCTTGAACCCTGGAGTCGGAGGTTGCAGTGGGCCCAGACTGTGCCATTGCACTCCACTCTGGTCAACAGAGTGGGTCTCCATCTCGAAAAAAAAAAAAAAGGCACAGCCAGGTGAGGGACTGGTTGGGTGCTGTTTTGGTAGCTCAAGCTGGTGCTTCATGAAGGGCAGGCAGCCTGGGGACAGAGAGGCCAGTGAGAGGCAGGAGCAGCAGCCCAGGCTGTCACTGAGGAGGGAACAATGTGGCAAAAATGGAGAAGTGCATAGGAGTCTGGAAGGTCCAGACAGATGTGGGAACCCCACCTCCTCTCCCCACTCCCCACTCACTTATTAGCTGTGAAACCCAAGCAAGGCACTGCCCTCTGAGCCTTTATGACTTAGCCACTTTTCACTAAATGTGAAAAGTGCCTGACTGGTGACCAGTAATAAGTAGGTGAAGTGGTAGCTCCTTTCCCTGCCCTGTTGAGGCGGAAGCTGGTGACCAAGGGTTCCCTCTGAGTGACCCAGCTGGTGGCAGGGAAAATCTGAGGCTGCTTGTTCAGAGAGGGTTACCACTATGCCCGGGCAGCACGGCAGACTTGCTGCTGGGACCAGTTCTGGAGGTCAGAGACCTGGAGGGCTTGGTGTCTGACGGCTGAACAAACAAGCTGGTTGAGGCGAGGTTGCCGTGAGCCGAGATCGCGCCATTCACCCCAGCCTGGGCAACAAGAGCGAAACTCCGTCTCAAAAAAAAAAAAAAATGCCGGTTTTGTCAAAGCAGCAGGTGGCAAACACTGAGTCAAAAGACTTTCCCGGCCGGGCACAGTGGCTCACGCCTGTAATCCCAGCACTTTGAGAGGCCGAGGCGGGCGGATCACAAGGTCAAGAGATTGAGACCATCCTGGCCAACATGGTGAAACCCCGTCTCTATTAAAAGTATAAAAATTAGCTGGGCATGGTGGCGGGCGCCTGTAGTCCCAGCTACTTGGGAGGCTGAGGCAGGAGAATCGCTTGAACCCGGGAGGCGGAGGTTGTAGTGAGCCGAGATCACGCCATTACACTCCAGCCTGGGCGACAGAGCGAGACTCCGTCTCAAAAAAAAAAAAAAAAAAAAAAAAAAGACTTTCCCCTCTTTGGGCCTCAGTTTCCCTTTCTGTAAAATGCAGGTGAAGAGGCATGAGCTCAGGATTCCTAAAGCCCTACGGGGCTGAGCAAGGACGGTGCTTTGCGTTTGCCTCCCTTCCCCCAGCCCGCCCGAGAGGGTTTGCTGGGGCAGGGTGGCCCCTGGGACGGGTTCCAGACAGTTCTAGGCGCTCAGGTCCGCAGCTGTGCTACCCCCGCCGCCCGGGACGCCCGGTCCCCGCCAGGGCCCTCTCACTGTAGCTTTAAGGAGGGCTGGGGCCGGGTGCAGCGGCACCTGGAGTCTCGGTGGAACCCGGCAGCGGTGGGCGCGGACCCCGGAGAGGCTGCCCCGAGCCCGAGCACCCCCTGACCGGGCGCTCACCACGGGTGTTGGGACAAGCAGCGGAGCCTGCGGGCTGGAGCCAGGCTCGGACCCTCCGCGCCGGGGCGGGCGGCCGAGCGGACGCAGCTGGCAGTGGCGGCGGGAGAGCGCCCCGGATCCGCCCGGAGCCCAACCCCGTGGCACTTCGGCTGGCTGGGCAGCGGCGCTGGGGACAACGCGGGGCCTTCTGCAACGAGCGCCTGCGTGGGACTCCAGGGGCCGGCGCCCCGCTCCGCTCCCCCCAGGCCTCAACCCCGCTGGCTACCCGCGCTGAAACCTCACCTGCCGCCGGCTGCAAACGGACTGCGCTCCAGGTGGGTGGAAACGTCCTTCTCCTACTTTCTGGGCTCACTCGGCTCCCTGTGACGCGATCCCGCTTGCACCCTTGCCCTTCACGTTGACCGCAGTGGCTGGTGGGCAGTGGGGGACACCCTGGGCTCCGCCTGGGTTTTCTCTTGCTGGTGACTTGGGCCCTGGCGCTCAGTGTCCCTGGTCGTTAGACAAGGGTGCCTTGAGCCACTTGTTGTTCAGGCGGTTTCTTCTTTACAGAAAGTGGCCCCCCACACGCCCTTCCTGGTGGCAGGAGCAGGGCAGTGGGCAGCGTTTCTGCCCTGCTCCATGGGGCTGGGGTTGGAGGCGGCTCTCCCATTCCTGCTGTCCGGACAGGAGCGGGGCCTTTCTATCCGCAGACTTTTGCTGAAGACACTGTCCCCCGCCCCCGCCCCTACGCCAGCGGCAGAGAAGAGATCCAGGCTGGCCCCGCTCCTGGTTGGTGGGCAGGGCAAGCTGGAGGGGGGGGCAGGTACTAAGTGTTGCTGTGGAAATAAAAATCATTGTAACAGGAGAATAAATGGTTTTCGTATATTTTAATTCTATCAAAAGGATATTCTTCTGCCCATTTGACAGAGGAAGGCACCACGTGGAGAAGCTTCATAACATGAGGGCCAGGG
Source organism: Homo sapiens (assembly GCF_000001405.40). NCBI lineage: Eukaryota > Metazoa > Chordata > Mammalia > Primates > Hominidae > Homo > Homo sapiens. The sequence goes on from NC_000019.10 coordinate 21,587,531, forward strand.
CCCATCCTCTGTCCATCCCTGGGTAACCTGCTTCCCTTACAGCTCGCTGTCTCACGCTCTCATCTTCATAACCTGCATCCCCTGGAGCAGAGATTCGAGCTCAGAGGTGTTGAGCAGCCTCTGCAAGGTCCCAGAGTTCAGAGGAGGAAGGACCACCATAGTGACAGGGAGTGACAGGTGGAGCCATCTGGTCAGGGAGCACCCTCCCCTGGCTGGAGGGAGGTGGGGACAGCCGCAGACAGGCTTCAGGGAAGGGGTGAAATGAGGGCCCTGGATGGGAGCAGAGGGTTCCCTGGAATGGGGCACAGGCCTAGTAGAGGCTTCCAGGTGATAGGAGTTTGGGGGGAGGGCATTTGAGGGAGGCAGGGCCACCCTCCGAGGCCCTGCATGAGTGCTAGGGTTGGGGGTGGGACTTCTCAGGGACAGGGGAGTTCCTGGCTTGCCCTGGGGTGGGCTTATGCATTCCAGGGCAGGTAACTCTTCTTTTCCTAGCAGGGTACAGGTTCTGGAGGTACACAGTGTAAGGGACCAGTAACCTGCTTCACCAATTCTCTGATATGGCTCAAGGAAATTCTTGGGGTGGGACACCCTGCTGACAGTTACTGCAAAAATAGTCACGGCAAAACAAAACAGGCTGTCCTTCATCCAGTAGACACTGACCCTCTCCACGTGCCCCTAATCCCCCAGATGGCAGGTTAGCACGTGCCCTGCCTGCCATGGGGGAGCCACATGGAAGGAGGGAGACCCACATAGAAGGAGATGACCATGATGCCACGTGAGACCATGCAAAGGACAATTGCAGGGGCTGGTCCAAGGTGTGGGAGAGGTTAAGCCAGTAAGGCAGGCAGTGCATTCCAGAGTGAGAGCTGCCTATGCCAAAGACTTAACACCTGCACCCATTCACAGCATGGCCTCAACTTTATGTATTAAAAGATAGTGGCTGGGCGTGGTAGCTCACGCCTATAATTCCAGCACTTTCAGAGGCCAGGTTGGGCAGATCATGAGGTCAAGAGATCGAGACCATTCTGGACAACATGGTGTGTTGGGAGCAAGCCCCCCAAAGTCTGGCCATAAACTGGTCCCCAAACTGGCCATAAACAAAATCTCTGCAGCACTATAACATGTCCATAATAGCCCTAACGCCCAAGCTGGAAGGTTGTAGGTTTACAGGAATGAGGGCAAGGAACACCTGGCCCGCCCAGGGTGGAAAACCACTTAAAGGCATTCTTAAGCCACAAACAAAAGCCTGAGAGATCTGTGTCTTAAGGGCATGTTCCTGCTGCAGTTAACTAGCCCAACCTATTCAATTAATTTGGCCCATCCCTTCGTTTCACATAAGGGATACTTTTAGTTAATTTAACATCTATAGAAACAATGCTAATGACTGATTTGCTGTTAATAAATATGTGGGTAAATCTCTGTTCAGAGCTCTAAGCTCTGAAGGCTGTGAGACCCCTGATTTCCCACTTCACACCTCTGTATTTCTGTGTGTGTCTTTAATTCCTCTAGCGCCGCTACGTTAAGGTCTCCCGACCGAGCTGGTCTCGGCAATGGTGAAACCTCGTCTCTACTAAAAATACAAAAAATTAGCTGGGTGTGGTGGCACGTGCCTGTAGTCCCAGCCACATGGGAGGCTGAGGCAGGAGAATCGCTTGAACACGGGAGGCGGAGGTTACAGTGAGCTGAGATCACACCACTGCACTCCAGCCTGGCGACAGAGCGAGACTCCATCTTAAAAAAAAATAGTGATAAGCTGGGCACGGTGGTTTATGCCTGTGATCCCAGCACTTTGGGAGGCCGAGGTGGGTCGATCACTTGAAGTCAGGAGTTTGAGACCAGCCTGACCAACATGGTGAAACCCTGTCTGTACTAATAATACAAAATTAGCTGGACGTGGTGGTGCATGTCTGTAATCCCAGCTACTCGGGAGGCTGAGGCAGGAGAATTGCTTGAACCCGGGAGGTGGAGGTTGCAGTAAGCCAAGATCACGCCATTGCACTCCAGCCTGGGTGGCAAGAGCGAAACTCCGTCTCAACAACAAAAACAACAACAAAAATAGTGATAAACTTGGCTGTGCACACAGGCAGGGATTTGATTCAGACTAGAGCTGGGTCCAAATCCAGCAGCAACCTTGGACAAGGGGTCACCCTAGGAGTCCCAGTGTTCTTGGGACATAACACTATTGTGAGGAATAAGTGAAGAGATGTCTGTAAAGTGCTTAGCATGGTGCCCGGCCTCTAAGTGCCCAGCACACACCTGGTGCCACCATCGTCCTGTGTGGTGTGGAGAGAAAGGGAGAAATGCACAGGGCAAGGGAGAAATGGACAAGATACTTTATATGGAGATTATGCTCATCTGTGAGAAGCAAGATTTGTGGGGATTTGTATTTTTCATTCTCATTTTCCTGTGGCTTTCTCTTTTTCCCACAATGAGCAGCAGCTATTGTATCGATAGAAAGTAAAATGTGTTGTAAGTTGCCTTGTGCAGGTGTGCCCAGATGCGAGCTCCTCTAGTGCTGATAACCCTGCTGTACCCGGCTACAGGCAAGATTCTTCACCATTTGGGGTTCAGTCTCCTCATCTGTAACATGGGAATTTTCTCCAGCCCAGCCACCTTCCCCCAAAGTGTTTTTTCCTCTTTTTTTTTTTTTTTTTTTTTTTTTTGAGACAGAGTCTCCCTCTGTCAACTGGACTGGAGTGCAGTGGCACAATCTTGGCTCACTGCAAACTCCACCTCCCAGGTTTCAACAATGCTCCTGCCTCAGCCTCCAGAGTAGCTGGGATTAGAGGTGCGTGCCACCACACCCGGCTAATTTTTGTATTTTTGGTAGAGATGGGGTTTCACCATGTTGGCCAGGCTGGTCTCGAGCTCCTGACCTCAAGTGATCCACTGGCCTCGGCCTCCCAAAGTGCTGGGATTACAGGCGTGCGCCACTGCGCCTGGCCAAGTGTTTTCTCCTCCTAACAGCCTTTCCTGGCTGTCAACTTTGAGGAGTGGCAGGTAGTCAGGTTCTTTTTCTCTCTCCATGAAAATGCTTTGATCTGGAGACAGGAAGTACTTGCCCCCAGGACAGATTCACAGGAGGCGAACTGCAGGGAATTTACAAATGGCATTGTATGTGTCCAGTAGTCTAAGGGTTCAAAGATACTGGGGTCCATTCCCAGAGCACTCCTTTTACATGTATACATTCTCTCTCTCTCTCTCTCTCTCTCTCACACACACAGACACACACACATGCACACACACACATTTGTAAACATATTTGAAACTATACCCCTTTGAAATCTAAAGTTTCACCTCCTATATCTTAAAAATGTACCATGCCTTTCACCTCCCACAGGAATATGACTTTGCACCACTGTGTATTGTCGTTTGGCTGGGCAAGCCCCATTTTGAAGGGATTGCTGGTTCCTGACATCTTCCTTAGGGTTTATGCTCCTTTGCTTCCTGCTGCACCAACTCAGCCTCTGGAAGAGCAGACAGCTGGTGTATCTGCAAATCCTCCTCTCAGCCTGCCAGAGTGCCTGCCCTTTAAGTGATAGCAGGCCCAGGCAGTTGAGTGGTTTTCCCCAGGACAAGCTGCAGAGCGAGAACCAAATCCAGGACTGCACTCCCTCAACAGTGCTGTGGCAGCTGGAATCCTGCATTCTTGCCCCTTTCTCAGCTCTTTGCAATGGTGGGGGAGGATTTTCACCCAATGAGTATCTGCTCATCCAGCAGCACTTTCCCTCATTTCAGAAGATTTACTCAATGAACATTTATTGAGCAGCTATTATGTGCTAGGCACTGGGGGGATATAGTGGTGAACAAAGCCAGAATGGATCCAGCCCTCTGGGAGCTCACAGTCTGGGATAGTGGACAGGTGTAGCAGAAGTTAGGACAGGTGCATGCTGTGGTGAGGACAGCCCAGAGGACTTGGGTGTTAAAGTGAAAAGTGTCAGCAGAGAAGGCGTCTCAGATGAGGCTGAGCTGGCCCTTGAAGAGAGATAATGGGATAACCTGGACCTAGGTTTCAGCCTCTTAGCATGGTCTGGGGCCAGGTTTTTACCCAGGTTTATCCCCCCATCCATGGTTTTCTTTACTTAATTTAGATAACACTCTATATATTTCTTGGTATACTTAAGTTGAAAAAAAGTAACATATCGTAACTGTTTTCTCCTGTTATTAAACCTTTTTGCTGAGCTTGATTTTTTAAAAACTATTAATATTAGTTACTTCATCTAGAAGTTATGTCATATTTTACTTACCATTTCTTTATAATTGGACACTTGAGCATTTTTCAAATGATAACCCTTATAAACAAGGGCATGGTGAACATCTTTTTGCACAAAGTTTTGCTCCATGTTGTTAGTTTCAGTTTCAGACATTTGAATGCTCTGTTTCAATGTTCTGTTTGCCCTAGGTCCCAGTGTCTTCTTTGTCCAGTGGAGTTAACAGCGTGGATCTCATGGGATTGTGACCACGTGAAGTAAGGCAGAGCATAGCCAGCAAACCCTGATTCTGGCAGGCCTGGTCCACCCAACAAGTATTCATTCTCCTCCCTCTCAGCTTCCCATAAGGCATCAGGGTGGGCAATCATTATTATTATTATTGTTTGAGACAAAGTCTTGCTCTTGTCCCCCAGGCTGGTGTGCGATGGCGTGATCTCAGCTCACTGCAACCTTCGCCTCCTGGGTTCAAGCGATTCTCCTGCCTCAGTCTCCTGAGTAGCTGGGATTACAGGCATGTGCTAGCACGCCCGGCTAATTTTTGTATTTTTAGTAGAGATGGGGTTTCACCATGTTGGCCAGGCTGATCTCGAACTCCTGACCTCCGGTGATCCTCCCACCTTGGCCTCCCAAAGCGCTGGGATTACAGGTGTGAGCCACCACACCCGGCCGTGGGTGGGGAATCTTAATATGCAGCAGTAGATGAGGCTCCTGAGGACTGGGGAGAGGCCTAGAGTGTCACACTTAGTTCCTACCATGTCCCAGGCGCAGTGCTGATACCCATTATCTCTGACCTTCAAAATAGTGCTGCAAAGTCCGGGACACCATCTCCATTTTGCAGATGAAGAAACTGAGGCACAGAGGTGTCAAATGACCTCTCCAAGGTTGTAAAGTGACCTAGGGTAGAGAAATACTAACACCTAGGTCTCCAGTACCTTTCATGTGACCCATTTCGTCTTCTCTCTCCTGTGTCCAGATGTGTGATGGGGGCCTCTACTATTGCATGATGGTCAGCACCATGGTGGTTCTTGTGGCTGGGACACTGCTTGACTTGGTGGAGCCAAGGGGATGCACGTGCCCAGCCTGGCCAGCTGTCCCACCCACAGAACACCCTGTGCCTGGGGACCCCAGCCCCGGCTCCAGTGGGTCAGTTCCTTCTGTTGTGGCACAGGTGGCCTGCTGCTGCTCCTCAGTCTGCTGTGGTCTGGCAGGGCCAGCACCCAGGGGTCACCTGATGGGACCCACGCCACCTTTCCAGAGGCCTGCACCACCTCACAGTGGAATCCTCAGAGGAGAGCTGCAAGTCACTGGGGCAGGGTGGGCCAGTGGTTGGGGACCACAGGTGGGGGCTTAGTCACACCATTCAGCATTTGCTTAGTAAACTCTCATGGGGTTCCTTATCTGGGCCAGCCCTTGCCCTGTACTCTGGGGACATTCTAGAAGCCAAACAGTGCAGTCCTGAGGGAATTTAAAGCACCATGACAAAGGGAGACAATGACAAACTAGAAAAGTTGGAGCTGTTAGAGATAGGCAGACATGATCTTATGGTGACACGGAGAAACCCAGGAAGGCTTTCTAGAGGAGGGGGGCAGCTGAGCTCAGCATGCAGTTTGTATTGCGAGCATTATATGTAAACATCCAGCCACAGTTGGAATGCTGACTAATTTCTTAACCCAGCTTATAGCCAGTAGAAGACTCTCCTATCTGGACCCAGACAGTTGAAGAGATGTTGGTTCTCATACCTGGGTTCAGGGCCATAGGTATGATCATGGGTTAATACCAACATAGGGACTCAGAGAGAATTGTGACTCTCATGCATACCAGTTAAAGCCTCAGGCCAGTAAGCGTCCTAACAGGGCCTAGTACACAGATGAGACTGTAACACTCATATGCACCCCCATCCCACAATAAAGATTGTCATCCACACACATGAACACAACTCACTGTTGAGGTTCTGAATCTCACAGCTGGAGACAGTTGAAAGTTTGAACATTGACTCTTGTAAGTGGATCCGGTCCACCAGTGGGTTGGCGACTCTCAGACCAAGATTCAACACACCGTGAGGCTTTTACTCCACTGAGGAGACACTGTCTACAGGAAGAATTGAGGCTCTCAGTATAGATTGTCCACCATTGTGTCTCATGTACTTAGACCCAAAATACAGGTGTTGACTTTCATACCTAAAACAAGGACATGTTCAGTATTGTTAATCTCATCCCTGGGCCTTCCTGCAGGAGTGATTTTAACATCTGCCTCTGCTCAACACTTGGGTGATTTTATTCTCCTTCCTTAGCTCAGCCCACGGATGGGATTGTGACATATCTCTTGGCCACCATCCAGCTGATGTGACTCTTCTCTTTTTGCTAGGTTCTGCTCAAGAAGAGATTCTGACATATTGTTGGACCAAACACCAAGGTTATGTCACTTTTGTGCCTTGGCCCTGACCTCAGAAGGCATTGCGACATACTGTTGGGTTAATCACCAAGGTGATGTGGGACTTCTGCCTGGACCCTGCCCACACTGGGCATTGTGACATTTAGGGCCCATCAACTATCTGGCATGGCCCTCCTCTCTTATCTGACCGTTGCCTATAGGAGAGATTGTAACACATCTCTGGATTTAGAATGTAGATGATGTGACTCTTCTCTCCTGACTGGGCCATGGCCAGAGAAGGGAGAGTGACTTACCACTGGATCCAGCACACAGGTTATATGATTCTTCTTTGTGATCTCTGCACAAAGGGGTCATTGTGAGATATCTCAGGGTTTATCACCTAGATGATGTGATGCTCCTTTTCTTCCTGGAACCTGTCTACAGTGGGCATTGTGACATATCACTTGGCCCAGCACCTACATGTTGTGACTCTGATCTCATGCCTGGGCCCTGCCCACTGGGGTGATTGTGACATATAAGCTGGGCACAGCCATGAGGTTATATGACACTCCTCTTTTTTTGAGTTCTACTCACAGGGGGCATTGTGACATACCTCTGGGCTCCTTACCTAGGTGATGTGACTCTTTCCAGGGTCCTCCTGTCAGTGGGTATTGTGCCCAAGATGTAATTGTGATGCATCACTGGTCCTAGCACCTAACTGATGTGACTCTCCTCTCCTTCCAAAGCCCTGCATTTATTGTTTATTGTGACATATTTTCAAAACCTAGGTTAGGCAACTCTTTTGCATGCGTCCTGCTAATAGGGCTATTATGACATATTTTTTTTTCACCTAGGTGATGTGACTCTCCCTTTCTGCCTAAACACTGTAAAAAGGGGAGATCGTGACATATCACTGGACCCAGCATCTAGGTGATATGGCTCTCCTTTTTCACCTTGGCTTCTTGTATTTTGGGTATTATGACATATCACTGGGTCAAACCAAAGGAGGGGGAGGCTCTTGCCTAGGCCCTGCCCACAGGAGACCTTGAGACAGATCTCTGCATCCATCACTTTGGAAGTGTGACTCTCCTCTTCTGGCTGCTCCATGCCCGCACAGAAGACTGTGATATATCTCCGGGTTCACCAACCAGGTGGTGTGTCTCCCATACCTGGGCTTTTCTTGCAGAGATAATTGTGACAAATCGTTGTGCACAGCACCCAAGTCACGTGACTCTCCTCTCATATCAAGGCTCTGCCAACTAGGGTAATTGTGACATACAGCTGGGCCTAGCCCCTAGGTTCTATGACTCTTTTGATGATTCTGAGCCCTATCTACAGAGGTCATTGGGAAATATCTCTTGGCCCATCTACTAGGTAATGGAACTCACCTGCCTGGGCTCTTTTTTTAGGAGGTATTGTGACATAGGGCTGGATCCAGACCTAGGTAATGTGACTCTCCTCTACTGCTTGGGCTTTACTCAAGGAGGAATTGTGATGGGTCACTGAACCCAGCACCTGGGTTATGTGTTATGTGACTTTCCTCTTCTGCCTGGGCCCTGCATCAATTGTGTTTTTTTTTTTTTTTTTTTTGAGATAGTCTCATTCTGTTGCCCAGGCTGGAGTGCTGTGGTGCCATCTCAGCTCACTGTAGCCTCCACTGCCCAGGTTCAAGTGATTCTCCTGACTCAGCCTCCCGAGTAGCTAGGATTACAGGCGTGAGCCACCACACCCAACTAATTTTTGTATTTTTAGTAGAAACGGGGTTTTACCATGTTGGCCAGGCTGGTCTCAAACTCCTGACCTCGAGTGATCCACTTACCCCAGCCTCCCAAAGTGCTGGGATTACAGGCATGAGCCACTGCACCTGGCCCCCTGCATAAATTATACATTGTGACTTCACTGGGTACTAACACCTAGTTGTTCTGACTCCTCAGCATGGGCCCCGCCTACGGGTGTATTATGACATATCTTTTTGTTCCTCACCTAGGTGACGTGACTCTTTTTTGTGTCTTGACCCTGCCTAAAGGGGTGATTGTGACATATCGCCGAACTCAGCACCTAAGTGATGTGACTCTCCTGTTTTGCCTGGGCCCTGCACATATTTGGCACTGTGACAAATCTCTGGAACAAATACCCAGGGCATGAGAGGCTCCTGCCTGGGACCTGCCCAAAAGGGGCCTTTTGGCATATCTCTGCATCAATTAACTAGCAGATATAACTCTTCTTTTCTGCCTAGGTTCTGCCAAAACAAGTGATTGCAACATATAATTGGACCAGCAACTAGATGATGTGACTCTTCTCTTCTGCCTGAGCCCTGGATATACTGTGTATTATGACACATGGCTGAGTCCAACATCAAGGTAATGTGACTCTCCTCAATGGGTTCTGCCCACAGAGGTATTATGACATATCTTTATATTTATTATCTAGGTTATGTGACTCTTTTCATGTGCCTGGGCCCTGCTGAAGTAGGGATTCTGACATACCACTGAACCTAGCACCTGGATGATGTGACTCTCTTTTATTGCCTGGTTCCTGCATATTTTGATTATTTTCACATGTCACTGGCTCCAGCACCTAAATAATGGGAGATAGTTGCTTGTGCCCTGCATACAGGGGGCATTGTGATATGTGTCTGGACCCATCAACTATTTGATGTGACTCTCCTCTTCTACCTGGGCTTTGCAAATAGGAAAGATTGTGACATATCTCTGGGACATATCTTGGTAATGTGAGTCTCCTCTCCTGCCTGGGCCATGCCCACAAAAGGGAGAGTGACTTCTCACTGGGCCAAGGACAATGTTGATGTGATTCTTCTGCCTGGTTCCTGCACACAAGAGCCATTATGACCTATCTCTGGGCCCATCATTTAGATGATGTGACCATCTTTTTCCTCCTGATTTCTATTCACAGGGGGCATAGTGCAAGGGTATTGTGACATATTGCTGGACCAAGCACCTAGGCGATGTGACTCCTCTCTAATGCTTGGCTTCTGACCAAGGAAAAATTGTGATATATCACTGTTTCCAGCACCTACGGGATTTGACTCTCCTGAATGGGCCCTGAATTTATTGTGTATTGTGACATATGGCTTGGTTTGACACCTACGTGATGTGACTCTCATTCATATGCCCACTGGGGTATTATTACATATCTTTTCTTTATCACCTAGGTGATGTGACTGACCACTTCTGCCTGGGCCATGCCGAAAAAAGGAGATTGTGACATATCACTGCATTCAATACCTAGATGATGTAAGTTTTTTCTTTTGCGTGGCTCTGCATATTTTTCATATTGTGACATATCATTGGACCCAGCACCTAGGTGACGATACTCTATTCTCCTGCCTTAGCACTGGAGAATAGAGTATCACTGGACGCAGCACCTAGAAGATGGGACTGTATTCTACTGCCTTGGCGCAGCATACAGAGGGTGTTTTCACATATCACTGGGCCCTGCACACAGGTTATGTGGCTCTCCTGTGACATATTGCTGGGTCCAACAAGCTGGTGACACAACCCTCCTGCTGGGGCCCTGCCTCCCTGGCATTGTGACATACCTCTGTGCCCATCACCGTGGTGATGTGATTCTCTTCTCCTGCCTGGTCCCTGATCACAGAGGGGATGGTGATATATCGCTGAACCCAACCCCTGGCTGACGTGACTTTTCTTACTAGGCTCTGCTCACAGAGGAGATTGTGTCTTTTTGCTTGGCCCAACGACTAGGTAATGTTATTTGTTTTGCCTTGGCCCTGCCCTCAGAAGGCATTGTGACATATTTCTGGGCCCAGCATAAAGGTTATGTGAATCTCCTGCTTGGACCCTGCTGACAGGGGGAATTGTGACATATCTCTGGAATTTGTCACATACAATTTATCCTAAATTCCCCTGAAAATTGGAGGTCATCTCTGGTTGCTAATTGGCTATATTCAAAGGAAAAATAAACTTATGCTTTCATGAGAGGTAGTTTGGAAACTTGGAGCCAGGTGCGTGATGAAAGTTGGCTCCTATCTTCCAACAAAAAGTGTGGAATGGAGCTCTATTTTCTTTGCTATTTACATTTTAAATAAATGATTTTCAGGTCCTAGAGAAAGACAGTCCTGAGTCAGAGATACTCACAAAAGACCTATTTAGCAGTTAGAATAATTTATATATATTTCAAGTTGGCAGAAAAATAATTTAAGTATAAAAGTTTTCTGGGCTGGGCGTGGTGACTCACACCTGTAATCCCAGCATTTTGGGAGGCCAAGGCAGGTGGATCATGAGGTCAGGCATTCAAGACCAGCCTGGCCAAGATGGTGAAACGCCATCTCTACTAAAAACTACAAAACTTAGCCGGGCGCAGTGACAGGTGCCTGTAATCCCAGCTACTCAGGAGGCTGAGGCAGGAGAACCACTTGAACCTGGATGGCAGAAGTTGCAGTGAGCCAAGATCACACCACTGCACTCTAGCCTGGGTGACAGAGTGAGACTCCATCTCTAAAAAAAAAAAAAGTTTTCTAAAGTGAATGTGTTTAAAAAAAGAGAAGAGAAAAATCTCTTTTTTCATGGACATCTGAATTCTAGTAGGTGCTGGATTCAGGCACCTGAGGGGTGACCTTGGGCATACTGTGCACATCAGAAGGGTTTATGGGGAAGTAAAAGCAGAAGAGGTTGGGCGCAGTGGCTCATGCCTGTAATCCCAGCACTTTGGGAGGCCAAGGTGGGTGGGTCACCTGAGGTCAGGAGTTCAAGACCACCCTGACCCACATGGCGAAACCCCGTATCTTCTAAAAATACACACAAAAAAATAGCTGGGCATGGTGGTGGGCACCTGTAATCGCAGCCATTTGGGAGGCTGAGGCAAGAGAATTGCTTGAACCCAGGAGTTGGAGGTTGCAGTGAGCCAAGATCCCACCACTGCATTCCAGCCTGGGCGATAGAGTGGGACTCTGTCTCAAAAAAAAAAAAAAAAAAAAAGAAAGGCAATAGAGGGAAAGGTGTTATCAAGAACCCATGAGTGGGGGACAGTACATAATAGCTGGGAGAACTGGTTTATGCTACAGACACTAACCCAGGCAGGGCTATATTCTGACATGTTCCTGTGTCCATACAGGCAGATGAGATTATGACTGGTGGTCCACAGGTCTAGGTGGATGGAGGGAAAGGTTGCTGCTGCTGTTTGAGGATCAAGGGTAGGAAAGAGCCAGGAGTCCTCTAGGAACTTGTGTGAATTTTTTGGTGAGCAATTCTAGGTGCAAAGGCCCTATAAACATAATTCCTGATAGTCAAGTCTTGTTTTGTGGAGGGTGTGGCCACATCTATTCCTAGTGGGTATGTTCATAAGTAGGTGAGAATCGTGTGGTAGCAGGTTGGGGGCAGGGGGTCTGTTCTCAGAACTCCTTTCTTCTAAGTCCTCAGTCCCCTTTTACCCTGAGAGGAGATCTGGAATCACAGGACAATGTGCATTGTGACAGACTGTGTGCAGGGGAACAGAGTTTCCCTCCTGCCTAAACCCCTGGGATATTTTTTCCTGACACCAAATGTATAGAGTTTTAACAGCAACCAATTCTCCAACACCAATTGGTTGTCCAATAATAACTCAATTCTGATACCATCCTGAGTCAACGCAGACGCCAAAAGTTCAGGGCTCAGTCCCACAACACTGCCCCCACTGCAGATCCCAGCTGCGATTATTAGGGGCCCATCTATCCTTCTGAGCTACTGCCTATAAATTGGGGGCTCCCATAACCTGCTCCTCAAGTTTAATAACTTAATATAACTACTCACAGAACTCAACAAAACACTATACATGCATTTACCAGTTTATTATAAAGATACAAGTCAGGAACAGCCAAATGGAAGAAATGTAAATGGCAAGAAAAAGCGGTGGGGGGGAATGGGGTGGGTAGGTAACAGCAACAGCTGTGATTAAAGAAATCCCCCATCCTTTGTGTTTTCCAAGAGCATTTACTGCAAAGAAACATCTTTCCTGTTTTTGATATCACAAAGCCACAGACTCTAAATTCCCTTTTTTGGGGGTCTCATAAACAATTAAATAATAAGTTTGTCTTCAGTGGTCAGAACAAAATACTTGTTAACCAAACTTTGTCTAAGTTTCTTTCCTTCCTCAGGCTCCCAAACTTTGACCTGAACTTACTCTGAGCTGACACACAACTCCTCTTTATACCCCTCTTAAGAACAGGCTAGCCAGGTGTAGTGGCTCATGCCTGTAATCCCAGCACTATGGGAGGCCAAGGTGGGCGGATCACCTGAGGTTAGGAGTTCGAGGCCAGCCTGAACAGCATGGAGAAATCTCATCTCTACTAAAAATACAAAATTAGCCAGGCATGGTGGTGCATGCCTGTAATCCCAGCTACTGAGGAGGCTGAGGCAGGAGAATTGCTGGAGCCCGGGAGGCAGAGGTTTCAGTGAGCTGAGATCACACCATTGCACTCCAGCCTGGGAAACAAGAGCAAAACTCGGTCTTTAAAAAAACAACAACAACAAAAAATACAACAGGCTAACTTCTGGGTGAAACATTCTCTGATCTGGGACCTGATTTCACCATGTTTTATTCCTCCCTCCCCCTCCTACCTTTCTTTCTGTCCTGTTTCCTCCTCCTTATGAAAGAAAGCCCTATTCTGCCTAACTTTTGAGATCTTCCAGCATCTTATAGTTGGTGCTTTCCCTTTGTTGCAATACTCCTTTAAAATCATGTAACTTCTTACCTAAATCTGAATTTGTCTTATTTTACAAAATCTAGAAATAGCCCCAGGAAAATAACGACTCCATCCTCAGAAAGAGCTTCCCAACCCCACTTTCATGCCAATCCCAACTGTGTCTGCCTAAGGATTTCCAGCTTTTCAGGGTTTTGTCATTTCTCTAAGTATAAAAGGCTCTGTCCATGGCTATTGTGAGCAGGCTAGGGCATCTGCAGGGGAGGCTCCTCAGGCAGAACTGGTTGCTCCTTCAATAATCTCCCTTTGCAGGCAAAACTATTGTTAGCTTGGGGAGTCACTGAATTCAGGCTTCTACTTCCCAGTCAGGGTTATTCACTTAGTTTTAAATAAGAAAATGCTCAATGTTTGAAGAAAAGAGCAAAATCACTCAAACACAGTGTTTATAGAATATTGTAAGGAAATTGTAAGGCACTTAGTATCTATTTCTTTCAGAAAATAAACGTGTCATTTAAATATTTCCATGATAAATAATTTAATAAATAACCATATGGGAACATTTCTAGAAGGTGCTAAGTCTCATCTCATAAAATTTAGCATTAAACTTGGACATCCAGACCACAGGATACAGAACACAGATGTCCACTGTTACAAATTCTAGACCCTGCAAAAAATGGGAGCTGATGTTTTGAAAAATATATGCAATTCACCAGTTAATCTATCACATTTGCTGTGGAAATATATCACTTTCTGTAGCCATAATGCAAGAGCGATTTTTCCTATTTATTTCCCTGGTAGCTTTGGTTTTTTTTTTTTTGTTTTTTTTTTGTTTTTTTTGTTTTTTTTTGAGACAGAGTTTCACTCTTGTTGCCCAGGCTGGAGTGCAATAGCTTGATCTCAGCTCACCGCAACCTCCGCCTCCCAGGTTCAAGCAATTCTCCTGCTTCAGCCTCCCGAGTAGCAGGGATTACAGGCATGGGCCACCATGGCCAGCGAAGTTTGTATTTTTAGTAGAGATGAGGTTTCTCCGTGTTGATCAGGCTGATCTCGAACTCCCAACCTCAGGTGATCTGCCTGCCTCAGCCTCCCAAAGTGCAAGGATTATAGGTGTGAGCCACCGCACTCAGCCTTCTGGTAGCATTTTCAAAGAAAAGCCCTGGAATTTTACTTGAAATCACCCCCCAAAAAGAACACACATAAGAAACTTACTACACTCACTCTGGGGATAATAAAGATAGATAAGAATCTTTAATGAAATAAATATATGACTAGATTTTACTGAAATCCACCTTTCTGGGTACTTGACTCTTGTAAAATGTCTTAAGTTCTACTAATAAAATGTAATTTAAGGTAATTAAAAAACTGAAGTTGAAATAAGTAAAATAATCTTTCCAAGGTGACAAACTCAGGGAGTGGCAGTGCCGATTGGAACACAAACATGTCTGACTCAACTGTCAAGTCAGACCATGGTATCACTCAAAACATTCTCCCATTCCCATCCTACCCATTCAATTACTCAGTGATCACCTTCCCAGGAGAAACTGTACTGTACTCCACTGTGGGCCTCAGGTACATTTTGTTTTGCAGGTTCTTGCATTGCCTTACTAAAATGGGTTCTTCTTAGTCCTTTGGAAAAAAATTTATTTCTTCACAAATCTGATGAATCCAAAGGGCAGGAATTATTTCTGCCTTTTCTCCTCAATATGAACCTCTGATTGGCTGATCACCAATGTGTCTACAAAGAATAAAAATTGGGGTTTAAAAAAACCCTTTTTTTAACTGCTTGCACACTTGTGCATTTTTATTTCATTGGAGGAAAATCCTAAATACATTGCAGAGTCAAGGGGTAAATTAAAAAAATAATAATTTCATTTATTTATTTTGAGATGGAGTCTCACTCTATCACCCAGGTTGGAGTGCAGTGGCGCAATCTCGGCTCACTGCAACCTCCGCATACTGGGTTCAAGCGATTCTTGTGCCTCAGCCTTCCCAGTAGCGGGACTACAGGCATGCACCACTATGCCTGGCTAATTTTCATACTTTTAGTAGAGGCGGGGTTTCACCATGTTGGCCAGGTTGGTCTTAAACTGGAATAGGAATTAAAATAAATTAAAGAATGTGTAAACAGAAACTCAGCTGTATGTAAGAAAACCCAATTCTCCCTGAGAAAGAGAAAGAGCTGGAGTCCTTTAAAAATTAACTGCCTGTTTTTCTGTGGCTAGTGAGCCTTATCTCTTCTTTCCCAGGCACTGTTTCTCTAGCTGTGCAGCTGCAAGGTCACTAGACAGATAAACTCAAGTCGTAAAACATGTTTTTCCTTGAAAAGTAAGAATGATGTAATGCATGTCTCAATTAATTGAATAACTGTCTTTCTTTCTCGCTTCTGTAATATGCTTCCCCCTGCACAGATCTCCCCCAACCCCACAAAATGCTTAAAAGATAACTTAGCTCTTTGTTCAGGGCTCAGTCCTTTGGATGTAATCCGACTAGGCCAGTGAACCTAAATAATAAATATCCTCCTCAACCCCTCGGTCTCCCTGATTCTTTAAAATATCCTGCAACATTTCTGGGGGCTTATCTGGGTTTGGAGATGATAGATTTACTGTCTCCTTTGCCAGTGTGTCTAGGGCCCCGGGGATGGGGGAGACCCAGCATCCAAGACGCACCATGAGGGGGTTTCACCTGGATGGAGACCAGCTCTCCCCATGTCCTGGTGCCCTGCCCAGCAGTGCAACAGAACTGGGGACAGAGATGCAGGACAATACCAGCACTTCAGGAACCACGATAAGGAGTAGTGGCCCAAGGCAGGAAAGCCCGTCCCATAGGGATGAAGGGGACTGACCATTAATCCAACCCAGAGTGGCTGGGGGCAGCAGGAGTGGCCTGCCAATTTGATTGAACCTCGTGTCCCCACTAACAAAGTGAAAATGGTTCACAGAATCTGGAGACAGGAACTGGGGGTGTGTGGGTGCATGTGAACCTACCTGGGACATGAGAGAGGCTCATTTCATCCGATGAGGAGTCCTGGGGTAGGAGTGATGGGTTTATGTGTGTGAATGTGGGAGCCTAACTAGGCTCACCCAGGACACAAGAGAGGTTCATTTCATCCAGTGAGGAGTCCTGGGGCAGGGGAGGTGTGTGAAAGTGTGTGAAAGAGATGGTCTCAGGAGAGGCCAACATGGGGACTGATGTGGGGAGGCACAGATCCCTTAGTGCAGGCTGTGTGCTCTGAGGCGAGTGTAGGCAAAATCAAACCTAGGATGTTGCATACGGCTGATAGGATCAGCTTTGCAGCTGCAGCAGGCTGTGACAGGGGAAGGCACATTCCTGGCTAAGCAGCATCCAAAACTCCTGTAATAGGACCCAGTCTGGTGAACCTGAGGGTGAAAATGAGAGTGAGAGTGCACTGCAAGGGAGGAAATGAGAGGGAAAGCATTGAAACCAACTCCTTTGGAGTGCACGATAAAGAATTTTTTTAAAAAAGGATTTAGAGGTGATTATGGGATGAAACTGGATGTTCAAAAGTTAAAGACATACTGTGAATTAGAATAGCCCTGTTTTAGTGTTGGATGGCTGGCCGAAGGCACTATAGAGAAATTGGCCATGTGTTTTAAGGTGGTGACTAGGATCAGAGGACAGCCAGGACATTCAGACCTAGTCTTTATATTGACTCATGGCTAAATGAATGCAGCCCTGCTTAGCAGTTTATTGTAGAACGCTCACAGCTCATGCCAAGAGAAACCAGCTGCACTGGCAGCTACAGAGTTAAAGGGAAAGTCACAGAGGCTTATAGCACCAAAAGCAAAAAGTGAAAGCCAAAAGTGAAAGTAAAAATCAGCCACCCTGGCAGCTATGGAGACAAAAGAAAAGTCTTAGGAAAAAGAAAACCAGTTTTGCAAGAACCACAGGAGGGAATAGAGACCCCTCCTCCCTACATTCCAATCTACCCCCCTTTACCAAGGCTAACTGCCCCTAAGGAGTTAAGTTCAAAGAGATACAGGCTCCCAGTCTCACCCGAGAAAGAGAAATCAGAGCTCTGGGAAGTTAAAGCGAAAGGCTGGAAAAGTCAGGCAGGCCATCTCAGGTCGAGCCATGCCCAAGTTATGCTTCTGCCTCTAAAAAGGACAAGAGGACCCCCACCAGGATGCAGATGATGCAGTCCACCTTCAGCACCCACAAAAGTGCCGAGAAGCACTTCTGCAAAGGCTAAAGGATGGTAAAAGAAAAAGGCAACCAATATAAAACATCTCAGAGGTGCTCCAGGGTGCAGATAAAAGCACCAGCCAGTTTTATGAAAGACTTTGTAAGGCATTTTGGTTGCACACTCCATTTAACCCTGAGGCTGCTGAAAATCAGTGCAAGGTGAATACGGCATTTGTAAGGCAGACCCAAGGAGATATCAGGCATAAATTGCAGAAGTTAGAAGCTCTGTAGGCATGAATGCTACTCAGCTTATTAAAGTGGCTACCAGGGTGTACATTAACGAGATCAGGAGGCAAAGAAGAAAGCTGATCAGAGGCTTAAGAAAGGCTAATTTACTAGCAGCAGCCCTTGTGGGAAGAGAAGCTGGCTTTGCAAAGAGGCATGGACGCAGGCGTGAACACAGTCACGGAAAAGGCTAGTCCGGACAGGAGTTTGAAAGCTGGCCAAGGCTAGAGAGAGATTTATGTGCACGGTGCAAAAGGAAAGGACACTAGAAGGATACACGTCAAAAGAATAAGGAGAATGGGCCGGGCATGGTGGCTGACGCTTGTAATCCCAGCACTTTGGGAGGCCGAGGCAGGTGGATCACGACGTCAGGAGGTCGAGACCATCCTGGCTAACACGGTGAAACCCTGTCTCTACTAAAAATACAAAAAAAAAAAAAAAAAAAAAAAAAAAAAGCCGGGCATGGTGGCAGGCACCTGTAGTCCCAGCTACTCGGGAGGCTGAGGCAGAAGAAAGGCGTGAACCCTGGAGGCGGAGCTTGCAGTGAGCTATCGCGCCACTGCACTCCAGCCTGGGTGACAGAGCAAGACTCCATCTCAAAAACATAAAAAGAATAAGGAGAATTGTCAAGGCCATGGTATGAAAAAAAAAAACCACCGGCCAAGGGCTACTGCACCCAGGAAAAACCCAAGACCCCCTGCACCTGCTGTGAAAGGCAGGATATAAAGTATCAGAAAACAGCTCAAATCTGCTCTAAAAGTGTCCAGTATTTAAGCTTTTATATAAACCAAGAGGAAAGATGGCTTAGTAGTAAACAAAAGCAGGCTGTTTGTGTACTTCCTACTCCAACAACCTGGTGTCAAATAAGAGAGTTCCTAAGGGCAGCAAGGTTCTGCCACATTTAGATCCCAAATTTCTTGCTCATGGCTAAGCCATTATACAAAGCCACAAAGAGGAGGAAAGAAAGAGCCTCTCCTCTAGGAGGCCAACCAGGAGAAGGCTTTTATTTATTTATTTTTTTTTGAAGCCACTCCACAAGTCACTCTATATTGCAAATTATACATAATAGTACACCTAATCAATATATAAATGTTATGGGTTAAACATCTACAACAAACAAAATAACATTTAACATCAAGAGAAAAGAAATGGGAAAAAAAGGTTAATGAACCAGTCCATGAAGAGCAACAGAGACAAAAAGAATCTCCTGGTCTGGGCCAGGCAGTCCAGTGGTCTTGCAAGGAACACCTTTGATGTGGGTAGAGCCTTTCGTGGCAGATGCCAGAGCCTTTCATGGCAGATGCCATGGAGCTTATCTTTTTTTTTTTTTTTTTTTTAAATTGATCATTCTTGGGTGTTTCTCGCAGAGGGGGATTTGGCAGGGTCATAGGACAATAGTGGAGGGAAGGCCAGCAGATAAACAAGTGAACAAAGGTCTCTGGTTTTCCTAGGCAGAGGACCCTGCGGCCTTCCGCAGTGTTTGTGTCCCTGGGTACTTGAGATTAGGGAGTGGTGATGACTCTTAACGAGCATGCTGCCTTCAAGCATCTGTTTAACAAAGCACATCTTGCACCACCCTTAATCCATTTAACCCTGAGTGGACACAGCACATGTTTCAGAGAGCACAGGGTTAGGGGTAAGGTCATAGATCAACAGCATCCCAAGGCAGAAGAATTTTTCTTAGTACAGAACAAAATGAAAAGTCTCCCATGTCTACTACTTTCTACACAGACACAGCAACCATCCGATTTCTCAATCTTTTCCCCACCTTTCCCCCTTTTCTATTCCACAAAACCGCCATTGTCATCATGGCCCGTTCTCAATGAGCTGTTGGGTACACCTCCCAGACGGGGTGGTGGCCGGGCAGAGGGGCTCCTCACTTCCCAGTAGAGGCGGCCGGGCAGAGGCACCCCCCACCTACCAGACGGGGCGGCTGGCCGGGCGGGGGCTGACCCCCCACCTCCCTCCCAGATGGGGCGGCTGGCCGGGCGGGGGGCTGACCCCTACCTCCCTCCCGGATGGGGTGGCTGCCGGGCGGAGACGCTCCTCACTTCCCAGACCGGGCGGCTGCCAGGCGGAGGGGCTCCTCACCTCTCAGACGGGGCGGCTGCCGGGCGGAGGGGCTCCTCACTTCTCAGACGGGGCGGCCGGGCAGAGACGCTCCTCACCTCCCAGACGGGGCGGCGGGGCAGAGGCGCTCCCCACATCTCAGACGATGGGGGGCCGGGCAGAGACGCTCCTCACTTCCTAGATGGGATGGCGGCCGGGCAGAGACGCTCCCAGGAGAAGGGGTTTAAAGAAATCAAAAAAGCTTGACTCAGGCCCCAGCTTTAGGACTGCCGGATAAACTAACTAAGCCTATCTTCTTGTATGTCCACAAGTGAAAGGGAGGCCATAAGGGTTCTAACTCAAGCCATAAGTTTATGGCATCACCCAGTGACATACTTATCCAGGCAATTAGACTTTGTGGCACTTGGATGGCCTCTTTGTTTTAAAGCTATTAAAGCACTAGCTGCCACTGCCCTACTGGTGCAAGAAGCTAATAAACTGACTTTAGAGACTGTGAATAGCCTAAACCTGGCTACATTGCTCCTCATCAAGTCAGTGCCAGGAGACCCCTTTCATTTCTGTGTCAACATGATAGATGAAGTTTTCTCAAGCCAGAGAGATTTGATAGCCCCTCAGGGAAACTGGACATTAAATATTTTACTGATGGAAGCAGTTTCATACTAAAGTTTTATGAAAGACTTTGTAAGGCATTTTGATTGTGCACTCCATTTAACCCTGAGGCTGCTGAAAATCAGTGATTTTCACTAAAATCACTAAAGGGAGTCTGCCGAGCTGGGTATGCAGTGGTGACTTTGGACTCAGTAGTAGAGGTGCAGTCTCTGCCTACAGAAACTTCTGCTTAGAAAGCAGAGCTAATATCTCTGACAAGAGCTCTCTGGCTAGCAAAAGACCAAAAGACAAATATTTACACAGATTCCAAATATGCTTCTGCCACTTTGCATGTTCATGAGGTGATTTACAAAGAAAAAAGACTTTTAACTGCTGAAAGTAAAGAAATAAAGTACAAGGAAGAAATTCTACAGCTCTTAAATGCTGTATAGGACCCAAAAGAGGTGGCAGTGATGCACTGCAAGGGGAACCAAAAAAGGAAGAACACTAAAGGCTAAAAAAATAAAAATAAAAAAGCAGACAAAGAGGCAAAGCAGGCTGCAATGACAACTCCACCTTCTAAAGAGGAAGTCTTAGCTATGCTTCTCTTCCCAGAGATTCCCCTCCCGGAGATCCCAAGCTATGCTCCAAGTGAAAGGGCTTGTTTTGCCCAGAAAAATAAGAACTACACTAAAGGAAGATGGTAAAAATTCTCCAGTGGGAGGCTAGCCATACCAGAAATGGTGACCTCCAGATTTGTAAAACAATTCCACCAAAGAACTCACATAAAAAAAAAAAAACAGCACTAAAGACATTATTAAGGCATCATTTCTATGCACCATGGCTCACTGCTATTACTCAAGCCATTTGTAAACAAACAGTGTTTAACTTGCACTCAGAACAATCCATGACAAGGAGGGCCTACTCCGCCCCTGGGAGTTCAGGAAACAGGAGCCAGGGAGCCGTGCCCTGTGAAAAACTGCTTATAGACTTCACCTAATTGCCCTGAGAGGGAGGGCTATCAGTACATGTTGGTGTTCATTTGCACCTTTTCAGGATAAGTCAAGGCCTTCCTCACCCAGACAGGGAAGGCACTAGAGGTGACCAAGGTGTTGTTAAAAGACATTATTCCCAGATTTGGACTGTCTCTAACTCTAAGATCAAACAATGGACCAACATTTGTGGCTGAAATAGTTCAGGACTTTACTTGACTATTAAAATAAAGTGGAAATTACATACAGCCTACAGGCCGCAGAGCTCAGGTAAAGTGGAGT
Source organism: Homo sapiens (assembly GCF_000001405.40). Classification (NCBI taxonomy): domain Eukaryota; kingdom Metazoa; phylum Chordata; class Mammalia; order Primates; family Hominidae; genus Homo; species Homo sapiens. The sequence continues at coordinate 21,609,130 of NC_000019.10, forward strand.
GCATAAACCAGACACTCAAACAGCTGCTGAAGAAATTTTGTCAAACTCATCAAAAGTAGGATCAGGTCTTGTCTGTTGTCCTCCTCCGAGTCAGGTGCACTCCCACCAAACAACTGGGTATTCGCCCTGTAAGATTTTATTCAGCCAGCCACCCCCCATCATAAGTCAGATTAAAGGTAATCTCTGTAAACTAGAAGAACTAACTTTAAGAAGGCAAATTCAGGCTTTAAGTATGGCCATGCAAAAATGCATGGCTAGGTATAGAAAAAAAATGCCTATAAGTCAAACAGACCCAGTACACCCTTTCAAACCTAAGGATTTTGTTTAAGTTAAAAAATGGAGGCAGGGTGTGGTGGCTCACGCCTGTAATCCAAGCATTTTGGGAGGCCAAGGCAGGTGGATCACATGGTCAGGAGATCGAGACCATCCTGGCTAACACGGTGAAAACCCATCTCTACTAAAAATACAAAAAATTAGCCCGGCATGATGGCGGGCCCCTGTAGTCCCAGCTACTCAGGAGTCTGAGGCAGGAGAATGGCGTGAACCCAGGAGGTGGAGCTTGCAGTGAGCTGAGATTGCGCCACTGCACTCCAGCCTCGGCGACAGAGCGAGACTCCATCTCAAAAAAAAAAAAAAAGGAAAAAAAATGGAATCCAACCACACTAGGACCCATATAGGATAGGCCCCATATCGTGATCATGCCTAGTCCCACTGCTGTTAAAGTTGCACGTTTCACACCTTGGATTCACCATAGTCGGCTGAAACCAGTGGCAGCAGTGACTCCCAACGACGAACAGTGGATTAGCCAACAAGACCCAGATTGCCCCACCCGAATAGTCCCATGGTGAAACCCAACCACCGGTAAGAAGGACAACTGCCCTGCTCTGACCACACTGGAGGCTGGTCAGTCTATGCACGGCTGAAGCTTGAGGATCCTGTAAGCTCTGCTCTAGTCACATCCTGGAAGCTGACTAGTCTACGCACAGCCAAAGCTAAGGGGACAATCTCCGGATAAGTAAATGTGGATACAATTTATAAGCCTAGTTATAATTCTGTCAATACTGATTGTTCTGTTGTTATGTTATTACTGCAAATACTGCAAACGTCTATGCCCAGAGGAAGGTTTGCCATGCCCATGTGTAGTGTAAGCATGTTTCTATTACATACACTGACGTTGTTACCATTTCTGCCTATACTAGAAGGGGAGAAATCCCTAGAAGAATGCCCACACTGTGTACACACTACCTGGATAAGGAATACCCTAGTTAAACCTCTACTGTACGTTACTGACTATGAATGTACAGGAACAAAGTTAGGAACCTGCACATACAACCGGAAACAGTCTGCAATAGTTTAACACAAGAGAGACTTAGCAGCAACAGTCCTAAACATCTGTACAGAAAACCACAAATCAGATGTCGAGACTGAACATTCAGTGGTCTATGCTAACACAGCTCCAACACTTACATTCAGGAAGGACTGCTCTGCTAATTAGTATGTCAACCAAACCAGATTGTAAGACAAGAACATACAATCCTTTAAATTTTACTATCTTAAAGCCAGAGCTACCTTCTTGGTCTACAGGACAGATGACACTATTATGAGTTGATAGACAAGGAGCAGAACTTGGAGTTCCACTACTAATTGTCAAAAAGACTAGAAGGACTCAAATGTATCCAACCCCACAATTCCAGGTCCATAAGTCATTCTATAAGCATTTTGATCAGTCAATGCTGAAGCTTCCCCCCATCAACCAAAAACTTATTTGCTCAACTAGCTGAAAACATAGCTGGCAGCTTAGGAATTTCCTCATGCTATGTATGTAGAAGAACTAATATGGAAGACCAGTGGCCATGGGAGGCAAAGGAATTAATGCCACAAGATCCCTTCACTTAACACTGCCAGTGAACCAACAGCCTCAGCCAGTGTTTGGTTGTCAACTACCTCCATAATTGGAAAGTACTGTATCACCCGATGAGGAAAGGCTTTCACAGAGGCAGTGTGAGAAACAACCTGCCTAGGGCAACAGTATTGTGATGAGACTAAAAACAAAACTCTATGGAGATCCAAACCCTTTCTCTCAATTCTCTACTCTAAGCCACACTTGGCATCAGCTAGAGGCTCCAAATTCTTGAAAGGCACCCTCTGGCCTATATTGGATCTGTGGAGCACAGGCATATCAGCAACTGCCAGCTAAATGGACAGGGGCATGTGCGTTAGGAACAATCAAGCCATCATTCTTTCTAATTCCTCTAAAGCAAGAGGAACTCTTAGGGTATCCAGTTTATGATAAAAATAAAAAAACAACTAGAAGCATAATAACAAAAAGAGACACAAATATCAAAAAAGATGTGGACATAGGAAACTAGAAAGATAATAAATGGCCTCCTGAAAGAATCATTAAATGTTATGGGCCAGCTACCTAGGCGCAAGATGGGTCATGGAGGTACCGTACCCCAATCTATATGCTCAACCGCATCATAAGGTTGCAGGCAGTCCTTGAAATTATAACCAATGAAACCTCAAGGGCACTAGATTTATTGGCAATACAAGCAACACAAATGAGGCATGCCATATATCAAAATAGGCTGGGTTTAGATTACCTATTAGCCTCAGAAGGAGGAGTATGTGAAAATTTTAATTTAACCAACTGTTGCCTAGAAATTGATGATAATGACCGAGCTGTCATGGAAATCACAGCTAGAATGCACGAGTTCACCTATGTTCCAGTTCAAACTTGATCTGGGTGGTCCCTGGATTCCTTGTTTGGAGGATGGTTCTCAACCTTAAAAAAAAAAAAATTAAAACCCTCATTGGTGGGTTCTTGCTTATTTTTGGCATCTGCCTCATCCTCCCTTGCCTTTTACCTCTGTTTATTAGGAGTATTCAGTCAACTATAGAGGCAATAGTAACCAAAAAAACTACCGTGCAGTTGATGGCATTAACAAGATTATCAGCCACTGCCAGTAGAAGAAGAAGCACAGCCCTGTGAAGAGGTGACAGATAGTGGTGCTTTCTGTTAACATCTTTGTTATAAAAAGCACCAAAGGGAGGAATGGAACAGGAATAAAAAGAAATTAAAGAATGTGTAAACAGAAACTCGGTTGTATGTATGAGAAAGAGAAAGAGCTGGAGTCCTTTAAAAATTAACTGCCTGTTTTTCTGTGGCTAGTGAGCCTTATCTCTTCTTTCCCAGGCATTGTGAAGACTCTGTTTCTCTAGCTGTGCAGCTGCAAGATCACTAGACAGATCAACTCAAGTCATAAAACATGTTTTTCCTTGAAAAGTAAGAAATGATGTAATGCATGTTTCAATTAATTGAATAACTCTCTTTGTTTCTCACTTCTGTAATATGCTTCCCCCTGCACAGATCTCCCCCTGCCCCACAAAATGCTTAAAAGGTGACTTAGCTCTTTGTTCAGGGCTCAGTCCTTTGGATGTAAATCTGACTGGGTCGGTGCACCTAAATAATAAATATCCTCCTCAATCCCTCAGTATCTCTGATTCCTTAAAATATCCCACTACAGAACTCCTGATCTCAGGTGATCTGCCTGCCTCAACCTCCAAAAGTGCTGGGATTACAGGCATGAGCCATTGCATGTGGCCTAAAAAATAATTTCTTTAAAATGGTATACTCTGCATCAACATTGACACAAAAGCTTCTGTTAAACTCTGACACCCACTCAGATGTCACCTCCTCTATAAAACCCTCCTTGATTTCCCTCACTGCTATCTCAGGGGGAGAATTAATCACTACTACCATTTGGCTGCCTCAATACCTTATATCTTTTTATGTACAAGCATTATTCTCCAGAATAAATTAATCATTTATGCATCTATCCACACTAATGGACTATAAATGGGGCAGATATGTTGAACCCTACTCATTTATGTAATCCAAATATCTGATACATAATAGGTGTTATATATGTATACACATGGAATCAAAATGCTCTCAGGGAATTATTGGAAAAGCTACCAAATTCTTTTTATTTTTTAATTTTTTTTAAGTTCTTTTAAGTTCAGGGGTACATGTGTAGGTTTCTTACATAGGTAAATATGTGTCATGGGAGTTTGTTGTGCAGATTATTTCATCATCCAGGTATTAAGCCTAGTACCCATTAGTTGTTTTTTCTGATCCTCTCTCTCCTCCTAATAGGCCCTAGTATGTGTTGTTCCACTCTATTTGTCCATGTGTTCGCACCATTCAACTCCTACTTATAAGTGGGAATATGTAGTATTTAGTTTTCTGTTCCTGTGTTAATTTGCTAAGGATAATGGCCCCCTGCTCCATCCACGTTCTTGCAAAGGACATGACCTCATTTTTTATGGCTGCATAGTATTCCATGGTGTATATGTACCACATTTTCTTTATCCAGTCTATCATTGATGGGCATTTAGGTTGATTCCATGTCTTTAATATTGTGAATTGTGCTGCAATGAACATACACATGCATGTCTTTATAACAGAAGAATCTATATTTCTTTGGCTATATACCCAATAACAAGATTGCTGGGTCAAATGGTATTTGTCTTTAGGTCTTTGAGGAATCACCATACTGTCTTCCACAGTTGTTGAACTAATTTACACTCCCTCCAACAGTGTATAAGTGTTCCTTTGAGAAAAACAAAAATCTCAATGTTCTAAGAGGTTAGTTTTTTAGGCAAATGGTATACCAAGAGACTGTCCTCAGGCCCAGGCCATCCAGCTGCTCCTCTGAGAGGCTACACTCTTATTCCTCAGACTGTCCTCTAAGAGATGACCCAGGGGATGATATTCATTAGACACTCCAAGAGATATGGCCATTATGGGCATCTTGGGTTATCCCAGACAGTTCTAATACTCATGAACAAGAAAAGACCGGAGGGCTGCTGTAAAGAGCCCTGTAATTTCTCCAAAGCAAAACTGCAACCCAAAGACATACTAATAAGGTGTGTGTGCCTAGGGAAGATAAAAGGAAGAGAGGCACACAGATTTTTTTTTTTTACAGTGAAGTGTCAGAGGATTATTTTCTACTTTTCTTTTCTACATTTGAGAATGTAGGAATGAAAGTGGAAATGTATAATTTTACTGCAAGCCTGAGTTAGGCTAGGGGAAAAGAGTGGTGGATTAGAGGCCCTGATTGCCATACATTAGGAAGACACAGAAGAAAACCAGTCCTGCTCTCCCTCTCCCTCTCCCTCTCTCTCCACGGTCTCCCTCTGACGCCCAGCCGAGGCTGGACTGTGCTGCCGCCATCTCGGCTCACTGCAACCTCCCTGGCTGATTCTCCTGCCTCAGCCTGCGGAGTGCCTGGGATTGCAGGCGCGCGCCGCCACACCTGACTGGTTTTTGTATTTTTTGGTGGAGACAGGGTTTCGCCGTGTTGGCCGGACTGGTCTGCAGCTCCTGACCACGAGTGATCTGCTAGCCTCGGCCTCCCGAGGTGCCGGGATTGCAGACGGAGTCTCGCTCACTTAGTGCTCAATGTTGCCCAGGCTGGAGTGCAGTGGCGTGATCTCGGCTCGCTACAACCTCCACCTCCCAGCCGCCTGCCTTGGCCTCCCAAAGTGCCGAGATTGCAGCTTCTGCCTGGCCGCCATCCCGTCTGGGAAGTGAGGAGCATCTCTGCCTGGCCGCCCATCATCTGGGATGTGAGGAGCCCCTCTGCCCGGCCACCCAGTCTGGAAAGTTAGGAGTGCCTCTTCCCGGCTGCCATCCCATCTGGGAAGTGAGGAGCGTCTCTGCCCGGCCGCCCATCGTCTGAGATGTGGGGAGCACCTCTGCCCCGCCGCCCCATCTGGGATGTGAGGAGCACCTCTGCCCTGCCACCCGTCTGAGAAGTGAAGAGCCCCTCCGCCCGGCAGCCGCCCCATCTGGGAAGTGAGGAGCCCCTCCGGCCGGCCGCCACCCCGTCTGGGAGGTGTACCCAACAGCTCATTGAGAACAGGCCATGATGATGATGGCGGTTTTGTCGAATAGAAAAAGGGAGAAATGTGGGGAAAAGAAAGAGAAATCAGATTGTTACGGTGTCTGTGTAGAAAGAAGTAGACATAGGAGACTCCATTTTGTTCTGTACTAAGAAAAATTCTTCTGCCTTGGGATGCTGTTGATCTATGACCTTACCCCCAACCCCGTGCTCTCTGAAACATGTGCTGTGTCCACTCAGGGTTAAATGGATTAAGGGCGGTGCAAGATGTGCTTTGTTAAACAGATGCTTGAAGGCAGCATGCTCCTTGAGAGTCATCACCACTCCCTAATCTCAAGTACCCAGGGACACTAACACTGCGGAAGGCCGCAGGGTCCTCTGCCTAGGAAAAGCAGAGACCCTTGTTCACATGTTTATCTGCTGACCTTCCCTCCACTATTGTCCTATGGCCCTGCCAAATCCCCCAAGAATGATCAATAAATACTAAAAAAAAAAAAAAAAAAAAAAAACCAGTCCTTCTGTGGAGTGTTAAAAATCATTAAAGAGCACGAACTTAGACTGAAGTGGCTCTAGTGCCCTGTGTTCATTGGTAAAAAATCTAAAACCTAACTCAAATGCATGTCTTATAAATTACTCTTAGGCAGAAACAAAATTCAGGCTTATCCAATCATAAACCTGCAATTAACCTGATTACATAACCAGGAAATTTCTACCTGGATCATACAAATAAGGTGACAACATAACTGTAACCAATTATTGAATCTGGTTTGCCTTCTGACACACTTTATAAAACCCTTTTCTTTTTTTTTTTGAGACGGAGTCTCGCTCTGTCGCCCAGGCTGGAGTGCAGTGGCGGGATCTCGGCTCACTGCAAGCTCCGCCTCCCGGGTTCACGCCATTCTCCTGCCTCAGCCTCCCAAGTAGCTGGGACTACAGGCGCCCGCCACTATGCCCGGCTAATTTTTTGTATTTTTAGTAGAGATGGGGTTTCACCGTTTTAGCCGGGATGGTCTCGATCTCCTGACCTCGTGATCCGCCTGCCTCGGCCTCCCAAAGTGCTGGGATTACAGGCGTGAGCCACCGCGCCCGGCCTAAAACCCTTTTCTTTATGCCCCTCAGGTGGACCTCAAATCATGGCTGGGTGCTTTCCATTTCACCAATCACTGTTTGCTCAAATAAACTTGTTAACGTTTTAACATTGACTCCCTTTAATTTTTAACAGGAGAGACTGAGCATGGTGGCTCATGCCTGTAATCCCAGCACTTTGGGAGACCAAGGCGGGTGGATCACCTGAGGTTGGGAGTTCGAGACCAGTCTGAGCAACCTTGAGAATCCCCATCTCTAGTAAAAATACAAAATTAGCCGGGCGTGGTGCTGCATGCCTGTAATCCCAGCTACTCGGGAAGCGGAGACAGGAGAATCGCTTGATCCCAGGAGGCGCATGTTGCAGTGAGCCGAGATCGCGCCATTGCACTCCAGCTTGGGCAATAAGAGTGAAACTCCGTCTCAAAAAAAAAAAAAGTTAATATGCAGAAACAGTGTTAATCAATAGGACAGCCCTCAGACATGGTTTGTGGTTTGGGGGCTACCAGCGGGTCTTGAAGAAAAGGCTCCTATAAGGTGTATGAGAAAGCAAAGCAAATTAAATAGCTGATTGGATACAGTTAGGTAGTCGCTTCATTTGGAGTGTCCAGGAGAAGATTTTCTGGTTATGTAATCAGGGATTAATTGGAGATTTATGGTTGATTAAGTCTGAATTTTGTTTTCTCCTAAGGTAGTAACTTACACAAAATGCATTTGAGTTAGATTTTTTTTGTTGTTGTTACATAGGCACCTAGACCACTAGAGCCATTCCAGTCTAATTACCTGCTATCTAATTATTTTAACTTTATTCAGGGGCTCTGGTGTCCCCCTACATTTTCCAAATGTGTGGCAAGCAGGTCCTCAAATCCACTACTCTGTTCTGCCAGCCTAACTTGGCTTGCAGCAAAATCTTATTTTTTATTTTTATTTTTATTTGAGATGGAGTTTCGCTCTTGTTGCCCAGACTGGAGTGCAATGGCTCAATCTCGGCTCACCACAACCTCCGCCTCCCGGATTCAAGCGATTCTTCTGCCTTAACCTCCCGAATAGCTGGGATCACAGGCATGCGGCACCATGCCTGGCTAATTTTGTATTCTTAGTAGAGATGGGGTTTCTCCATGTTGGTCAGGCTGGTCTGGAACAACCGACCTCAGGTGATCCGCCCATCTGGGTCCCCCAAAGTGTTGGGATTACAGGCATGAGACACTGCGCCAGGCCAGTAAAATCTTAAATTTCCAGTTTCTTTCAAATATTTCCCAGAGCCAACTCCTCCCCTCCAATTCACAACATTATCAACTATTTTTGTCCTTTATTTTACATTTTAGAAACAGCATTTTAATTAATCACTTATTCACAGAGCTGTGGATGGCACTCTTTAAAATACTTGTTTTCTTTCCTTTTTTTTTTTTTTTTTTTTTTTTTGAAATGGAGTCTCTCACTGTCACCTGGGCTGAAGTGCAGCAGCACGATGCGATCTTGGCTCACTGCAACCTCTGCTTCCCGGGTTCAAGTCATTCTCCTGCCTCCGCCTCATGAGTAGCTGGGATTACAGGCACCTGCCACCACGCCCAGCTAATTTTTTGTATTTTTAGTAGAGACAGGTTTCACTCTGTTGGCCAGGCTGGTCTCTAACACCTGACCTTTTAATCCACCTGCCTCGGCCTCCCAATAAAATAGTTGTTTTCTATTTGTAAATTTTTTCATGAGAGGAAAGCATAAAATCATCCCCTTACACTCCACTGTCAAAAATCTTTCTGCCTTTTCTCCTTTTATCTTCCCTAGGCACAAATGCCTTATCAGGACATCGTTGGATTGAGGTTTCCCTTTGAAAACTTGATGGGGCCATGTGTCCTCAGCCACACTCTGATCTCTTTCTAGTCTTGAGTTTTAGAACTGTCTTGGGATGGCCCAAGATACACACAACAGCCATGCCTTTTGGAAGCTTTGGTGACGACCAGCCCCTTCGTCTTCTCCTTCCAGAGGACACCCTGACATATGGGAATGTAGCTTCTCAGGAGAGCAACTGAATGCCCTGGGGCTCAGATAAATATCCTGGCTTACCCTTCCCATAAAAACAGAACCTTTTGGGATTTTAAGATTTTCTTTTCCCAATTCCAGTTCTTGCTGGTTAGCCAATCAGATGGTGGTATTTAGAGAAAAAGGCAGAAATCATGTCTGTCCTCAGAATAGTGTCATATTTGTGAAGGGAGAAAAACTATGCTGAAAGACGAAATAGACCTACCCCATGGAGGCAATGCAAGAACCTGCAAAGCAAAAAAGTACCAGGGACACAGAGTGGGGTACAGTGCAGTGTCTTCTGGGAGGGTGATCTTTGAGCACTTCGGTGAGTAGGGTAAGGGTGGGAGAATGTCCCAAGTGATAGGGTTGCCTGATTTGACACTTGAGTCAGATATGTGTCTGTTGCAATAAACACTATTACTCCCTGAGTTTGCCACCTTGAACAGATTTGTTCACTTATTTCAACTTTGGTTTTTTATTAGATGTAAATTGAATTTTATCATCAGAGCTCAAAAGGCAAAAAACATACTTACAAAGGGCATGAAAGAGGTTAATTTCAGAAAAAATTAAATATTTGGTCATATGTTTTACTTAGTAGAAATTCTTATTTACTTCTTTCTCCACCAGAGTGAGTGCAGTTAAATTTCTTTGGTCTGTCCTTTTTGGGGCATGATTACATTAGTTTCTCTTTTTTGCAAGCTGCAGAATTTTTAATATTTTGAATCTCTTTTCTGTATCTTGTCACCTGAATGTGTGAGTCTGATGCTAAATTTTGTTTTTTGTTGTTTTGAGACAGAGTCCCACTCAGTTGCCCAGGCTGGAGTGCAGTGGTGCGATCTTGGCTCACTGCAACCTCTCCCTCCCAGGCTTAAGCTGTTCTCCTGCCTCAGCCTCCCGAGTAGCTGGGATTACAGGTGCCCACCACCATGCCTGACTAATTTTTGTATTTTTAGTAGAGACGGGGTTTTACCATGTTGGCCAGGCTGGTCTTGAACTCCTGACCTCAGGTGATGCACCTGTCTTGCCCTCACAAAGTGCTGGGATTACAGGCGTGAGCCACCATGCCTGGCTGAAGCTAAATTTTATAAGATGGTACTTGGCATCTTCTAGAAGTATTTACATATTATTAACTTAATTATTTATTAAATTTTGTTTTTCAAGATGGAGTCTCACTCTGTCACCCAAGTTGGAGTGCAGTGGTGTCATCTCAGCTCACTGCAGCCTCCACCTCCAGCGTTCAAGAGGTTCTCCTGTCTCAGCCTCCCAAGTAGCTGGGATTACAGGCATGTACCACCACGCCTAGCTAATTTTTTTTTTTTGAGACAAAGTCTTGCTCTGTCACCCAGGCTAGGGTGTATTGGCGCAATCTCAGCTCACTGCAAGCTCCGCCTCCCAGTTTCACACCATTCTCCTGCCTCAGCCTCCCAAGTAGCTGGGACTACAAGTGCCCACCACCACACCCGGCTAATTTTTTTGTATTTTTAGTAGAGATGGGGTTTCACCATGTTAGCCAGGATGGTCTTGATCTGACCTCATGATCTGCCTGCCTTGGCCTCCCAAAGTGCTAGGATTACAGGCATGAGGCACTGCACCTGGTCCTTTTTTTTTTTTTTTTTTTTTTGAGGAGTCTCACTCTGAAACCCAGGCTGGAGTGCAGTGGCAGAATCTTGGCTCACTGCAACCTCCACCCCCCTGGTTCAAGCAATTCCCCTGCCTCAGCCTCCCAAGTAACTGGGATTATAGACACATGCCACCACATCTAGCTAGAATTCCTGATTAAAGTTAAAATAATTAGATAACAGCTAATTAGACTGATGTGGCTCTAGTGGTCTAGGTTTCTGTGTAACAAAAAAAAAAACTAACTCAAATGCATTTTTTGTAAGTTACTACCTTAGAAGAAAACAAAATTCAGGCTTAATTAAACATAAATTTCCATTTAATCCCTGATTATGTTACCAGAAAGTTTTCTCCTGGACACTCCAAATGAAGCGACTACCTAACTGTACCCAATCATTTATTTAATTTGCATTCCATCCTCATACACATTATAGAATCCTTTTCTTCAAGACCCTCTGGTAGCCCCTGAAGGGGTGGCCTGCCCCTCCACACCTGTGGGTATTTCTAGTCAGGTGGGACTGAGAAAAGAAATAAGATACAAAGTATAGAGAAACAACAGTGGACCCAGGGGACCGGCGCTCAGCATACCAAGGACCTGCACCAGCACTGGTCTCTGAGTTCCCTCAGTTTTTATTGATTATTATTTTCATTATTTCAGCAAAAATGAATGTAGTAGGAGAGCAGGGTGATGATAAGGAGAAGGTCAGCAAAAAACATGTGAGCAAAAGAATCTATGTCATAATTAAGTTCAAGGGGAGGTACTATGCCTGCATGTGCACGTAGGCCAGATTTATGTTTCTCTCCACCCAAACATCTCAGCGGAGTAAAGAATAACAAAGCAGCATTGCTGTAAACATGTCTTGCTTCCCACCATAGGGCGGTTTTTCTCCTATCCCAGAATAGAACAAATGTACAATCGGGTTTTATACTGAGACATTCAGTTCCCCGGGGCAGGCAGGAGACAGTGGCCTTCCTTTATCTCAACTGCAAGAGGCTTTCCTCTTTTACTAATCCACCTCAGCACAGACTCTTTACGGGGGTCAGACTGGGGGATGGTCAGGTCTTTCTCATCCCATGAGGCCATATTTCAGACTATCACATAGGGAGAAACCTTGGACAATACCCCACTTTCAAGAGCAGAGGTCCCTGCGGCTTTCTGCAGTGCATTGTGCCCCTGGTTTATTGAGACTAGAGAATAGTGATGACTTTTACCAAGTATACTGCTTGTAAACATTTTGTTAACAAGGCACTTCCTGCATAGTCCTAGATCCCTTAAACCTTGATTTCATACAACACATGTTTTTGTGAGCTCCAGGTTGGGTCAAAGTGGCTGGGGCAAAGTGGCTGGGGCAAAGCTACAAATTAACAACATCTCAGCAAAGCAATTATTCAAAGTACAGGTCTTTTTCAAAATGGAGTCCCTTATGTCTTCCCTTTCTACATAGACACAGTAACAGTCTGATCTCTCTTTCTTTTCCCTATAGCCCCCAAACCACAAACTATGTCTGGGGGCTGTCCTATTGATTAATCATGGTTTGTACATATTAACTTTTTTTTTTTTTGAGACGGAGTTTTGCTCTTGCTGCCCAGGCTGGAGTGCAATGGCACAATCTTGGCTCACCGCAACCTGAACCTCCTGGGTTCAAGTGATTCTCCTGCTTCCGCCTCCTGAGTAGCTGGGATTACAGGCAGGCATCACCACGCCTGGCTAATTTTGTATTTTCAGTAGAGATGAGGTTTATCCATGTTGCTCAGGCTGGTCTCGAACTCCTGACCTCAGGTAATCCACCTGCCTTGGCCTCCCAACATGCTGGGATTACAGGTGTGAGCCATGCCACCTGGCCTTAAATATTTTTTATAGAAATAATTAAATGACAGATTGTGGGGGATTAGTCAAAATGGGGGGAGAAATTATAGGGAAAGGAGCAGGCCTTTTGAAAGGTCAGAAGGCTCTGCAAAACTTTGTGGGAGAATAAGCTGATGGCAGCCGTTCTCTTACCCTGAGGCAGAGGGTGAGGAGTAGGTACAAGGGAATGTAGGGGAATTTATCTTAAATAGGCTTGTTTGCTCGTGTTGTCCAGAAGCTGACCTTTGATCATCCGTGCTCTTGACTGCTCTCTGAAAGGGGGAACAATAATGTTAATTACCTGCAGATTGTGTTTGCTCCAGGCTTTCCGTATTATGTCTGTACTGAATAAAAGCAAGCAGCTCCAGCTGTTCGGGGCTGCTCTCGTCTTTGACCACAAGTGCTGGCCAGTCCTCTAGCTGCTCTTACACTGCATACCTGTGTCTGAGTACTCCTTTCATTCATCAATTGGCCAGGGTCTATGGGACAGACCTGGCAGCTGGTGCCCCATGTGAACAAAGCTGCAATGGAACCCTCAAAAACAAAGGTGAAGAGACTGTGCAGTAAGTAATCAGTGCCCATTCAGGATTTCCAAGTTTGAGGGGATTTTCAAGCTAGGGTTTCATCATGGGACAACAGTTATCAGCTCAACAGCAACAGCATATAAAAGTATTGAAACAGCTGCTTCAAGCTAGTGGAGCCTCAGTTTTGGAAGCCCAATTAAGGGACCTAATGCAAAGTGTTGTTTTTCATAACCCATGGTTCCCAGAGGAAGGCACACTAGACCTAGAGCTCTGGGAACAAGTGGGGAGAAAACTTAGATGACATCATGCGCAAGGGCAACAGGTCCCAGTAACATCTTTAATGTTAGGGGGCTTTGTTATGGCTGCTTTGGCCCCGCTCTACACAGAAGTGCCTAAAAAGGGAAGGGAGGAAGAACCATCATCTACCTTACCACCTCCTCCTCCTCCCCCAGCCCTGCTGTTACCAGGTAAAGGTGCCACAGAGGAGACAGAGATTTTCCCTGTGCCCCCTCCCCCAGTAAATTGGAAAAAAGACAAGGGATACACTACAGTTATGGGACCCTGTCTTAGGCAAGCAGCATTAGAAGGGGAGCTCTTGGCATGCCCGGTGATGCAAGATCAACAAGGCAATTGGGTACATGAACCCATTACTTTTAACACCTATAAAGATGCCACAGCAGCCAACTTCCATATGACCCCATGAGACTGGCCACTACTAGCTAAAACAACTTTAGAAGCCAGTCAATATCTCCTCTGGAAGGCAGAATATGATGAGTTGTACTAACAACAAGCCAACCAGAATCAGTTGGCTGGGCAAAACATAACGGCCGCTATGCTCCAGGGGAGGGGTCCCTATGTCAATGTACAAGAACAATTAATTTTGTTCCCCAGGCCTATGCACAAGTGTCTTTGTGTGCTCGCAGGGCTTGGGACTGAATTCCTGAAGATGGAGTTCAACAGGGATCTTTTGTGAATGTTCAACAAGGGCCTAAGGAGCCATTTGTTATCAGTCGGTTAACACAGGCAATTAAGAGACAAATTAGTCACGCCCAGGCTGCTGAAATCTTATTGTTGCAATTGGCTTATGAAAATGCTAATGTAGACTGCCAGCAGGCAATGCAGGCTATTGTATTAAAGCCTCCTAAAGTGAAAAGGGAGAAAAACCCAAATTGTTTTCTATGCGGAGAGCCAGGTCATGTGAAGTGGGAATGCCCCAATAGTAAAGACCAAAGTAACTCAGGAAAAAAAAAAAAAAAACCCTTCTACATGCCCCCGATGTAAAAAGGGGAAACACTGGGCAAATCAATGCAAGTCCAAATTTGATAAAAATGTCAACCCCCTAAGCAATCAGGTGGGACATTTCATGAGGGGCTGGCCCCAGGCCCCATTCCACACTGGGGCAATGCCAGTGGCTTTCCTCGGTTAGATGGAAAGCCCACAGTCCTCTCTTTCAGAGCAGCCACCTTGGGGAGCGCAGGACTGGACTTACTCTGCCCTGACAAATTAGTGCTAAAAGAAGGAGAACACCCTAAAGGGTTGCAACAGGGATCTGGGGTCCACTGCCTCTGGGAACAGTGGGACTGGTCCTAGTGCGATGAAACCTATCCAGTAAAGGAGTCAATGTGCTCACTGGGGTAATTGATAGTGATTACCAAGATGAGATATTAATTATGATTTAATGTAAAGGTCTACATATTCTTCCCCCTAAATCTAAAATAGCTCAGTTACTACTCTTACCATACTGGGTTCCCAATGCCCAGGGAAAGGAAAGGGGACAAGGAGGTTTTGGAAACACGGAAGCCACAGGAGTATATTGGAACCAATCAATCACTGATCAGAGACTCATGATTACCTTAAAAATTGAAAATAAAAATTTTACTGGCCTATTGGACACAGGGTGAACATTTTGATCATCAGTGATGAAAACTGGCCAGAAACTTGGCCTTGGGTCACTCAGAAACAAAAAATTGTCATCATCAGGGAAGTGCACACAGCCAAGCAGAGCACACACCCCTTAATATGTCATGATTCAGAGAGAAGGAAAGCAGTTATACAACCTCAAATCATGCCCATCCCAGTTAATATTTGTGGATGGGACCTATTAGCCCAATGGGGGGTTACTCTGCAGACCTCTTTCTAATAATGGCCACTGTTGTTATTCCTCCCCTACCCCTGACGTGGCTCTCTCAAGATCCAATTTAGGTAGAACAGTGGCCTTTGAAGGGAGAGAAATTACAATGAGCCCATAAATTAGTTGAGGAGCCATTAAAAGCTGGCCATTTAGAACCATCAGACAGCCCTTGGAATTCACCTATTTTCGTCATTCCCAAAAAGTCTGGTAAATGGAAACTTGTGCATGACTTATGTGCTATCAATGCTAATTTGTAACCTGTGGGGCCCCTTCAACAGGGGCTCCCTTTCCCCACGGTGATTCCTCAAGATTGGCCTATATTCATTATTGACTTAAAAGACTGCTTTTATATTATTTCCCTTGCAGAACAGGAAAGAGAAAAATTTGCATTTACAATACCAGCTATAAATAATGAAAGGCCAGCTCCTCCAATTCATTGGAAAGTACTTCCTCAAGGAATGCTAAACAGTCCTACCGTGTGTCAGTATCATGTAAATCAGGCTTTGCTTCCCAGTAGAAAAGAATTTCCTAATTGCAATATCATCTGGATGACATCTTACTGGTGGCCCCAATGGAGCCAATACTTTTGAGTTTATATGCCCCTGTCAAAAGGAATACACAGTTAAGAGGTTTAATCATAGCACCTGAAAAGGTACAGATGTCCTCCCCTTGGAAATATCTTAGATACATACTAACTTCCCGGTCAGTAAGACCTCAAAATGTTAAATACTAGCAACTTATATACCTTAAATGATTATCAAAAATTACTAGGCAATATTACCTGGCTTCACCCCACCTTGGACATAACTACTGATAAGTTGCAGAACCTGTTTTCTATCCTAAAGGGCAATGAAACCCTGGACACCCCCAGGTATTTAACCTCCACTGCAAATAGGGTAATTGAGGAAATAGAGCAAGCTATTTCTCATAGGAAACTAGATTGCATAGACCCACAATATTCAGTCCAGTTGTTTGTTTCTCCTACAAAACATTCCCCAACAGGATTAATAGGACAGATGGCCCCAGGGCTGTGCTTCCTAGAATGGGTTTTTGCTCACACACTGGGACTAAAACACTGTCCCCCTATATCCAGCTAATTGGTAAAGTCATTTATACAGGCCACAGATGATGCAATCGATTGCAAGGTTATGACTCTGATGTCATAAGAATACCCTTAAGTAAAAAACAATTCGAAGGAGTCCTGCCCTTATCTCTAGATTTTTTCTTTTTTTTGAGACACAGTCTTGCTCTATCACCTAGGCTGGAGTGCAGTGGTGCGATCTCAGCTCACTGAAAGCTGCAAGCTCTGCCTCCTGGGTTCACGCCATTCTCCTGCCTCAGCCTCCCTGAGTACCTAGGACTACAGGGGACCACCATCACACCCGGCTAATTTTTTTTGTATTTTTAGTAGAGATGGGCTTTCACTGTGTTAGCCAGGATGGTCTCAATCTCCTGACCTCGTGATCTGCCTGCCTTGGCCTCCCAAAGTGTTGGGATTACAGGCATGAGCCACCGCACCCGACCTTATCTCTAGTTCTTTAAATAGCACTCTCTGATTATGTGGGCCATATAGAAAGTACCCTTCCCGCTGATGAACTACTCTAGCTCTTATACTCCTGTAATTATGCCTACAAAGGTAGTTCACTCCCCCATACCTAATGTGCTTTAACAGTTTTCACTGATGGCTCTGGTAAAAATGGAAAAGCAGCTATCTGGTGGGAACCGCATAACTTCCTCACTCGATCTAGATTTACTAGTACTCAGCTAAAGTTGGAGCCCTAGTATTGGTCCTGGAAACCTTTTCCACTCAGCCCATCAATATTGTTAATGACTCTGCTTACTCCATTTATTTATTGCAAAACCTTGAAACAGTCCTCATTAAGTCAACTCTTGAGCCCACTCTGTGTGCCCTTTTTCTTTGACTTAAGAAATTGCTACATTAACAAACACATCCTGTTTTTATCACACACATTTGGGCCCAAAGCTTGCTGCCCAGCCCACTAGTTCATGACAGCAATCAAGCAGACCTGCAGGTTATGACGTCACTTGCTTGACCAAGCCACCCAATCACACCAATTTTTCCACCAAAACTGGAGAAACTTAACTAAACAATTTCAATTTACCCAAAGACTAGATAAACAAATTATCCTGCAATGCCCAGATTGCCAGCTCACAGGCACATCCCCTCCTTCAACAGATGTTAACCTTAGAGGACTAGAACCTAATCAGCATGGCAAACAGATGTTACACATGTCCCTGAATTTGGAAAACTAAGATATGTACATGTATCCATTGATACCTATTCCCACCTAATTAGCGCTCATGTTCTTCCTGGAGAGTCCATCCAATATGTCATTAAACATCTTCTCTTAACTTTTGCATTTATGAGGTGGCCCCCAAAAAATTAAAACTGATAATGGTCCGGCTTATGCCAGCTCACAGTTTCACCAATTTTGTCACACATGGAACATCCTACATTCCAAGACATCCCATATAACCCCCAAGGACAGGCTATAATAAAAAGTGTCCACTCTGCCCTTAAATATGCTCAGAAAACAAAAAAGGGGAAATATGAGTAAGGACCCTGCAACACTTTTGGCACAAGCCTTATTTACCCTGAGTTTCTTAAATTTAGATGATAAATTTCAATCAGCTATAGACAAGCACCTTGCAAAAATCACTCAAGATATAAAACCTTCAGTTTTATGGAAAGATGTAAATAGTAATGTATGGTGTGGTCCAGATGATTTGCTAACATGGGGAAGAGGGTATGCTCGTGTTCACACCCCCTCAGGTCCTCTTTGGATTCCAGCACGAGGCATCAGACCTTACCATGGCTTGGCTAGGACCCAACTCGGTATCAGAAATGAAGGAAATGACACTGCAGGACCTAACAGCCCTGGACGATGTGGCTTCCTAGGACAACACAGACCCCGGACATTATGCTGAAGAAGATAACTTAGGAGGCTGAGTGAATCCTGGTCCAGACACAGACACATTCACTCCAGATAATTTGTTCCTTGCTATGCTTTCTGTTGTACATTGCAACTCTTGTAGGGTATTAACCTTTTTTATTCTCTCACTTTGCCTGCTACTGTTGGAGGCCAAAGGAATGAGGGTTGTGACCAACTCAGTATACCACTGGAGGCTATATGAGCAAACAGCAAACTGTTCTTGTTAGGAGCCAAAAGCCTGACGGTTGTGACCAACTCAGCATCCCACTGGAGGCTATACGATTAAAGAGCAAACTGTTTATCATGAATGCAGGATGTGGGCAAACTCACATCTGTGCCTGCCACCAGAAGATATGCTGAGGGCAGTCACTCCCTGGCACTGTGCTCCTTGCAGTTGTCTACTGGAACATCTGGAGTCTACTGTTCAAAGAAAGCATTCGTGCAGGCCTGCACTAAATCAAGCAGCTGATTGACAACCACCCCTTTCTCCCTATTTCCTTTACTTAATAAATACAAAGGGCTCTAGAAGCTCAGGGGCCTTGCTCCCTAGAAGCAAGGAGCCCCCTGACCCCTTCTTGAAAACATACTCTAGTGTCTTTTTCTTTATTCCCGTGTTCGTCCTCTGTTCCATTTTCCAGGCTCCATGACAAGTGGCACCAACAACAGGGACTTCAAGGACGTGACGAAGAAGGTCTGCTAGAGCAGAGGAAGTGAAATTTACCAGATGAACCGGGACCCCAGGACGAGTCTGTCAGCAGGGAATATAAGGCCAGTGCTCTAAAGAAGTACTGAGGATGGGAAGTCTCTGAATCAGGGTAACATGGGGTAGAATTTGTCTGTTGAAGAAAAACATTATGTGCAGTTGTTTAAAGTTTTATTGAACACAGTCTGGAGCTCAAGTTAATTCACAGACATTAACTAAGCTTCTGCAGGAGGTTATTACACATAACCCATGGTTTCTGCAGGCAGGCACTCTCAATGTGGAAAATTGGGACAGAGTAGGAGACAAATTGAAATGGGCTCATCAAAAAGGTCCCAAAGTAGACCCTTCTGTTTTTTCCTCTTGGGGTTTTGTTCACACGGTCCTACAGCTGTTGTCTCCTTCTTATTCTGTCACACAACAGGAGCCAGGTTCTGAGTCTCAAGATTTAAAAAAATTATTTGTTCCTCCAACTGGGCCTATTGAAAACAATGAGCAGGAGAAAGGAGAGGAGAATTGGCCCCTTGCTAAGCAGGAAACAGGAGAGGAGAATTGGCCGCTGCCACACCCTCCAATAACAGAAGTAGAAACCCCCATACAAAAAATTTTGTGCACTGCTGCTGTGGCTAGGGAACCTTTAGGAACTTGCACTTTTCCTATTACCATAAGGCCTGACCTGAATGATCCGCAAAATCTTTTAAATGAACACACTCCTGTAGAGTTTAAATTACTAAAAGAATTAAAAGCTAGTGTGGTCAATAATGGAGTGCAGGCCCGGGCACGGTGGCTCACGCCTGTAATCCCAGCACTTTGGGAGGCTGAGGCAGGTGGATCATGAGGTCAGGAGATTGAGACCATGCTGGCTAACATGGTGAAACTCCATCTCTACTAAAAATACAAAAAAAATTAGCCAGGTGTAGTGGTGGGCCCCTGCAGTCCCAGCTACTCAGGAGGCTGAGGCAGGAGAATGGCATAAACCCAGGAGGTGGAGCTTGCAGTGAGCCAAGATCACACCACTGCACTCCATTCTGGGTGACAGAGCAAGACTCTGTCTCAAAAAAAAAAAAATTATCTTGGGCTACCCTCTTTGTGTCCCCTCCCTTTGTATGGGAGCTCTGTTTTCTTTCTTTCTTTCTTTCTTTCTTTCTTTCTTTCTTTCTTTCTTTCTTTCTTTCTTTCTTTCTTTTTTGAGATGTAGTTTCACTCTTTTTGCCCAGGCTGGAGTGCAATGGCATGATCTTGGCTCACTGCAACCTCCACCTCCTGGGTTCAAGGGATTCTCCTGCTTCAGCCTCCCGAGTAGCTGGGATGACAGGCATGCACCACCATGTCTGACTAATTTTGCATTTTTTAGTAGAGACAGGGTTTCTCCATGTTGGCCAGGCTGGTCTCGAACTCCCTACCTCAGGTGATCCACCTGCTTTGGCCTCCCAAAGTGCTGGGATTACAGGTGTGAGCCACTGAGCCTGGCCTGGGAGCTCTGTTTTCACTCTATTAAATCTTACAACTGCACTCTCTTCTGGTCTATGTTTGTTACAGCTCGAGCTGAGCTTTTGATTGCTGTCCACCACTGCTATTTGCCGCCATTGCAGACCTGCCACTGACTTTCATCCCTCCAGATCCAGCAAGGTGTCCACTGTGCTCCTGATCCAGCAAGGCACCCATTGCTGCTCCTAATCAGGCTAAAGGCTTGCCATTGTTCCTGCATGGCTAAGTTCCTGGGTTCATTCTAATCAAGCTGAACAGTAGTCACTGGGTTCCATGGTTCTCTTCCATGACCCATGGCTTCCAATAGAACTATAACACTCACCTCATGGCCCAAGATTCCATTCCTTGGAATCCGTGAAGCCAAGAACCCCAGGTCAGAGAACATAAGGCTTGCTACCATCTTGGAAGTGGCCTGCTGCCATTTTGGAAGTGGCCTGCCACCATCTTGGGAGCTCTGGGAGCAAGGACCCCCCCCCCCCCGGCAACATTTTGGTGACCATGAAGCGACCTCCAAAGTGGTGAGTAACATTGGACCACTTCCGCTTGCTATTCTGTCCTATCCTTCCTTAGAATTGGAGGAAAATACTGGGCACCTGTCAGCTGGTTAAAAACAATTAGCGTGGCCAAGGGACTTAAGACTCAGGTGTGAGGCTGTCTGGGAAGGGCTTTCTAACAACCCCCAACCCTTCTGGGTTGGGAATGTTGGCCTGCCTGGAACCAGCTTCCACTTTCAATTTTCTTGGGGAAGCTGAGGGCCAACTAGAGGCAGAAAGCTGTCATCCCGAAGTCCTGGCATTAGCCAGTTGAGATTATGGCACAGCCAGAAGTCTCTACTCAACAGTCACCCATGTGTGTGCCCCCACCTTTCCTTCTGACCCATAACTCCTGGGTCCTGAGCATGACTTTCTTGAAAATATAGCCCCAAAATTCTCCTTACCTCTGAATCTACTTCCTCTGATCTCTGCCTCCTAGGTACTAATGGTTCAGATTTTCATTTCCTCTAGCAAGTTGTATCTCCAAAGGGATCTAAGGAAACTCTATGCTGCATCCTTAGGTATCTAGGCTATAAACCCAGGGAGTCTTGTCCCTGGTGCCCCTCCTGATTTAGGTATACAGCTTTCAACATGGGCAGTTATGTGGGACCTGTTCCCTACCACCCTGGCAAGGGCCCCAACTTTGTAAATGGCTAAGAGAAGAGAGACAGAGAGAGAGAGACACACACACAGAGAGAGAGAGAGAGACAGAGAGAGAAACAGACAGAGAAAGAGAGACAGACAGAGAGGAGAGAGGAAAGAGAGGCAGAGAGACAAAGAGGGAGTCAAAGAGAGAAAGAAAGAGAAAGATAGAAGTAGAAAAAAAAAGTGTGCCCTCTTCCTTTAAAAGCCAGGGTAAATTAAAAACCTATAGTTGAGAAATGAAGGTCTTATCCATGACCCTATAACACTCCAATACTACCCTGTTGTCACTGTAAACAAGGGCGTAGCCTGAAAACACTGAGACCACTGACCACCCGTAGCCTTCTTATCAAAAATCCTTAACCCAGAGACCGACTGATGGCCCAAGTGCATTCAATCTATAGTGGCAACTGCTTTCGTAGCAGTAGAAAGTAGAAAAGTAACTTTTAGAGGAAAACTCATTGTGAGCACACCTCACCAGTTCAGAATTAGTTTAAGGCAAACAAGAAAAAAGTAGCTTACTAACTCAAAAAGTCTTAAAATACGGGGTTATTCTGTTAGAAAAAGGTAATTTAACACTAACCACTGATAATTCCCTTAACCCAGCAGATTTCCTCACAGGGGATTTAAATCTTAATTACTATACAAAGGTCCAACCAGACCTAAGAGGAAATCCCTTCAGGAGAGGATGATAGATGGTTCCTCCCAGGTGATTGAGAAAAAAATAAAAAAGGGTATTCAGTAATTGATACGGAGGCTCCTGTGGAAGCAGAGTTGGAAAAATTGCCTAATAATTGGTCTGCTCAAATGCACGAGCTGTTTGCACTCAGCCAGGCCTTAAAGTACTTACAGAATCAAAAAAGACTATTTCAATCCTGACTCAAAGGGCTACCTACACCCTCTCTGAAATGAATTTGCATAAGAACGGTTGTTTATGGGAATGCATCTTGATGGGGCAGCTGGGTTGTTATGAAATACTTAGGAACCCAGCCCAGGTCTAGTACTCACCCCTGAGCACAAAAACAATGTTGGGCAATTTGGTAAAGGACCACTAGAATCCAGCAGCCTGGACCCCTTTCTTTGTGGTCAAGAGAGGTGGGAAAAGAGGTGCAGGACTGCTACATCAGTGAACATAACTAATCTGATAAGCAGAGGCCTATGGGTGGTTATGCACCCTGGAAAGGAATAAGCATTAAGAACATAGAGGCCGCTCTATGACTAATGCTTATTGGAAAATGACCAGGGGTGCTGGCATCCCTATGTTCTTTTTTCAGATGGGAAATGTTCCCCCCAAGGCAAAAATGTCCCTAAGATATATTCTGGAGAATTGGGGCCAATTGACCCTCAGACACTAAGAAAGAAATGACTTATATTCTTCTGCAGTACAACCTCACCATGATATCCTCTTCAAGGGGAAAAAACCTGGCCTCCTGAGGGAAGTATAAACTATAACACCATCTTACAGCTAGACCTCTTTTGTAAAAAGGAAGGCAAATGGAGTGAAGTGCCATATGTGCAAACTTTCTTTTCATTAAGGGACAACTTGTGATTATGTAAAAAGTACAATTATGTAAAAAGCCCTACAGGAAGCCCTCAGAGTCTATCTCCCTACCCCAGTGTCCCCCCGACTCCTTCCCCAACTAATAAGGACACCCCTTCAACCCTAATGGTCCAAAAGGAGATATACAAAGGGGTAAACAATGAGTCAAAGAGTGCCAATATTCCCCCATTATGTCCACTCCAAGCAGTGGGAGGAGGAGAATTTGGCCCAGCCAGTGTGTGTATACCTTTTTCTCTCTCAGACTTAAAACAAGTTAAAATAGACCTAGGTAAATTCTCAGATAACCCTGATGGCTATATTGATGTTTTACAAGGGTTAGGACAAGCCTAACATCTGACATGGAGAGATATAATGTTACTGCTATATCAGACACTAACCACAAATGAAAGAAGTGCCACCATTACTGCAGCGTGAGAGCTTGGTGATCTCTGGTATCTTAGTCAGGTCAATGATAGGATGACAACAGAGGAAAGAGAATGATTCCCCACAGGCCAGCAGGCAGTTCGCAGTGCAGACCCTCATTGGGACATAGAATCAGAACATGGAGATTGGTGCCACAGACATTTGCTAACTTGCATGCTAGAAGGACTAAGAAAAACTAGGAAAAAGCCTATGAATTATTCAATGATGTCCAGTATAACACAGGGAAAGGAAGAAAATCCTACTGCCTTTCTGGAGAGATTAAGGGAGACATGGAGAAAGCATCCCTCTCTGTCACCTGACTCTATTGAAGGCCAACTAATCTTAAAGGATAAGTTTATCACTCAGTCAGCTGCAGACATTAGAAAAAAACTTCAAAAGTCCACCTTGGGCCCGAGCAAAACTTAGAAACCCTATTGAACTTGGCAACCTCAGTTTTTTATAATAGAGATCAGGAGAGCAGACAGAATGGGACAAACAGAATTACAAAAAAAAGGCCACCACTTTAGTCATGGCCCTCAAGCAAGCAGACTTTGGAGGCTCTGGAAGAGAGAAAACCTGGGCAAATCAAATGCCTAATAGGGCTTGCTTCCAGTGAGGTCTACAAGGACACTAAAAAAGATTATCCAAGTAGAAATAAGCCAACCCCTCATCCATGCCCCTTATGTCAAGGGAATCACTGGAAGGCCAACTGCCCCAAGGGATGAAGGTCCTCTGAGTCAGAAGCCACTAACCAGATGATCCAGCAGCAGGACGGAGTGTTCCTGGGGCAAGTGCCAGCCCATGCCATCACCCTCACAGAGCCCCAGGTATGCTTGACCATTGAGGGCCAGGAGGTTAACTGTCTCCTGGACACTGGCACAGCCTTCTCAGTCTTACTCTCCTGTCCTGGACAACTGTCCTCCAGATCTGTCACTATCAGAGGGGTCCTAGGACAGCCAGTCACTAGAAACTTCTCCCAGCCACTAAGTTGTGACTGGGGAAATTTACTCTTTTCACATGCTTTTCTAATTATGCATAAAAGCCCCACTCCCTTGTTAGGGAGAGACATTCTAGCAAAAGCAAGGGCAATTATACACCTGAACATAGGAGAAGGAACACCCATTTGTTGTCCCCTACTTGAGGAAGGAATAATCCTGAAGTCTGGGCAACAGAAGGACAATATGGATGAACAAAGAATGCCCATCCTGTTCAAGTTAAACTAAAGGATTCCACCTCTTTTCCCTACCAAAGGCAGTACCCCCTTAAACCCGAGGCCCAACAACAACTCCAAAAGATTGTTAAGGACCTAAAAGCCCAACCATGCAATAGCCCCTACAATACTCCAATTTTAGGAGTACAGAAACCCAACAGACAGTGGAGGTTAGTGCAAGATCAACTTCACTCCCTAGCAGCAGTAGTCCTTCAAAATCAAAGAGCTTTAGACTTGCTAACCACCGAAAGAGGGGGAATTTGTTTATTTTTAGGGGAACAATGCTGTTATTATGTTAATCAATCCAGAATTGTCACCAAGAAAGTTAAAGAAATTTGAGATCAAATATAATGTAGAGCAGAGGAGCTTCAAAACACTGGACCTGGGGCCTCCTCAGCCAATGGATGCCCTGGATTCTCCCCTTCTTAGGACCTCTAGCAGCTATAATATTGTTACTCCTCTTTGGATTCTGTATCTTTAACCTCCTTGTTAAGTTTGTCTCCTCCAGAATCGAAGCTGTAAAGCTACAAATGGTTCTTCAAATGGAGCCCCAGATACAGTCCAAAGTTGATGACATCGAAGGCACTCCTCTCAAGGAAATCTCAACTGCAAGACCCCTACTACACCCCAATTCAGCAGGAAGCAGTTAGAGTGGTCATCAGCCAATCTCCCCAACAGCACTTGGGTTTTCCTGTTGAGAGGGGGCACTGAGAGACAGAACTAGCTGGATTTCCTAGGCCAACTAAGAATCCCTAAGCCTAGCTGGGAAGGTGACCGCATCCACCTTTAAACACAGGGCTTGCAACTTAGCTCACATCTGACCAATCAGGTAGTAAAGAGAGCTCACTAAAATGCTAATTAGGCAAAAACAGGAGGTAAAGACATAGCCAATCATCTATTGCTTGAGAGCACAGCGGGAGGGACAATGGTCAGGATATAAACCCAGGCATTCGAGCTGGTGACTGCTACCTTCTTTGGGTCCTCTCCCTTTGTATAGGAGCTCTGTTTTCACTCTATTAAATCTTGCAACTGCAAAAAAAAAAAAAAAAAAAAAGAAAAAAACAAAAACAAAACAAAAACAGAAAAAAAAAATTATCTCCAAAATATCATTTACTCCCAAAGAATGAACTGCTTCAGTTAAGTCTTCATCTGTTGTCCACCATGTTAGATTTCCAACATATAATGCAATTCTCTTTCCAGTATGTGTATAGACAACATTAGGTGCCACTCCTTTACCCATATCATCACCAACAGTTGGTGGGAGAGTATCCATGTAATCCCAGTCTTCTGTGGCATCTCCATTATTTGCAGATGGAGATATGACACAGTCATACAAATCTATCTGGCCATACCCACGATATTCAGCTTCCTGGTTTAACTCTTCACCCACATCTCGTAAATGTCTATGTGGTCCACGCTGTCTGCCATCTTCCCTCAGCCTCGGCCACTGCTGCTGCCGCCACCAAATAAGTACATTTTTGATGGTGACAGAGTAATATCAATGTCTAAAGTTTTGGTCTATCTCTCAAAATTGAGAAGTTGACCAAAAGGGAGAAATTGTTAAATTAATTATGCCTAAAGCTGCCCCCTTTCCTGTTTAACTTTGGTCACTAGGTTTTTTATACATAGTAAACTGAAATCTAACTGGGTATATAAATAGACCAACCAATTATTGTACAAACCTCTGTGTTTTTGCCAATAAAAGAACATCAAGTGTTCAAATCATGATTAAATAAGGCAAATCCCAACCTGTAATCAATCTGGCTGTTTCTGTATCTCACTTTCATTTTCTGTATGTCACTTTGCTTTTGCTGTTTATAAATCTATTTTCATCATGTGGCTGTGTTAGATTCTCTCTGAGCCTACTCTGGATCCACAGCCTACCCAATTTGCAAATCATTCCATGCTCAATTGATCTCTGTTGCTCACGTCTGGGAGCACTTTGGGGGGCTGAGGCAGGTGGATCACGAGGTCAGGAATTCAAGAGCAGCCTGACCAACATGGTGGAACCCTGTGTCTACTAAAACTACAAAAATCAGCTGGGTATGGTGGCGCATGCCCATAATCCAGGTACTCAGGAGGCTAAGGCAAGAGAATCGCTTGAACTGGGGAGACAGAGGTTGCCGTGAGACAAGATCACACCACTGCACTCCAGCCTGGGTGACAAAGCAAGACTCCATCTTTAAAAAAAAAAATTAATGTATCTAAAGGTTTTTTCTTTTAAAAGATTTCAAATATTTTCTATGATGAAAACTAATAATGTGCCATTGGACTTTGATTTTCTAAACTCATCCCTCAGCTATTTCTCCAAATTATTTTATGTCTTTACAAAATGCTTCTCCAGTTTCTTTCTTTCCTTCCTTCCCTCCTTCCCTCCCTCCCTCCCTTCTTTCTCTCTTTCTTTCTTTTCCTTCCTTCCTTCTTTCTTTCCTTCTTTTGACAGGGACTCACTCTGTCATCCAGTCTTGATTGCAGTGGTGTAACTACTCATAGCTCACTGCAGACTTGACCTTCCAGGTTTAAGCTATCCTCCTGCCTCTGCCACCTAAGTAGCTGGGACTATAGGCATGCACCACCATGGGTGGCTAATTTCTTCATTTTTGTCATGGAAACAGAATCTTACTATGTTGTTCAGGCAGCACTGGAACTCCTGAGCTCACATCATCTCCCATCTCATCCTCCCAAAGTGCTAAAAATACAGGTGAGAGCCACCATGTGCTTCTGCAATTTTTGTGAGGATTATTCCCAATGATAAAAAGTACTCTATGAGCACAAATCTAAAAGGAATCTGACTTCTTCTGTAGAAGTGTCACTCTCCAGGATTTCAAGAGTCTAGGGCAGGGCAGCTACTTTAGTAGTGTGATCTATGGAGGTGTATGGGCTTTGGAGTCAGATAAAGTTGATCCTGAGTCTCAGCCCAGCCACTTAGTAGCTGTAGGTCTGCACAAGTTTCTTGATGTGGAAGAGTTCTATATACCACATATGTAAAAAAGGTAGAATATTACAAATTGTAAAATGATTGCAAAATGACAACATTTTTTCATCCTACTTGTATCTATGCCCATAGCCAGGTGCTTTTACAGCTGTTTCCTTAAGATCTGGAATCTGTTTTCAAAACCCTATATCTGGCTGCCCTTATTTGCTCAGGTCAGTAGAAACCTGTGAACATGACAGTGGGCCAGTTTGGGGCCCAGGCTCAAATGGTATTGACTGCTTCTATTTTTCTTTTAGAATGCTGCCATCTCCATGAATAATGCCCATGTTAGCCAGCTGGAAAATAAGATACCATGAGGAGGAGAAGCAAGGTGCCGCTGTTGACAGGCCCAGAAGAAGAAACTCACCCCCAGAAGCAGAGCTGTCTAGTCAACAAGCAGCTGATGATACATGTCTGAAGGAGCTCAGCTGAGACTGGAAGAATGGCCCCACTCAGCTCGGCCTAAATGGCTGATCATTTCAATTATGAACTAATAAGTTTTGGATGATTTGTTATGCTGCAATAGCTAACTAATACATGCACCCAGTACAGATAGGTTGCCAGGATTCAGAGACAGGTTGACTACCAGTTGGCTTCTAACAGTGGACACCCTCTAGGTACTGATTTCTTCCCCTGATTTAAAGTTTGATGTTTTGTGAGAGAATTTGGGTAATGCAGAAATACCTGTAGACATGTATGCATGTGATTGGTGCTTAGACTCACATAGTCCCCCACACCACAGGAGAAAACAGATAAATACAGCCTGACCATTAGGGCCAAGACCAAATAGCAAAATATGTTTGCTTTTAATCTATTTTCTCCATCTCTAAATACTGGAGTTCAAGTGTGTGGACAGAACTGAAGACAGCTGTTTTTCTCCTGTAGCCCCATCATCTTTTGTTCACTATCTGGTCTCTAAAAGAAAGGTGGGCAACAGGTGACCAGCAGTTGCTTATTACCTGTGGCTATTTTATTCCTACTGCCTATATGCTCTTAATTTTATACTTTATTATCTAGAAAAGTGTCATATGTATATTGGTGTTGTGGGCCTTATGCTATTCTCTTCTCTCAGAGTTAGAGAATATTTTAGAGAATATTTCTGTGTTAAAAATTATTGGAGAATTTCAGTCATTTCTATTAATCAGAACCAATTCTCTTTACTCTGTCATTTTATTTTAATTCAAATGATAAATTCTGCTCATGACCATTTGGTAAATATATGTGTGTCTGTGTGCTTGCGTTTTTCAGGAGCCATTGTCATTTAGGGATGTGGCCATAGAATTCTCTCTGGAGGAGTGGCAATGCCTGGACAGTGCTCAGCAGGGTTTGTATAGGAAAGTGATGTTAGAGAACTACAGAAACCTGGTCTTCTTGGGTGAGAATAACTTTAATACACAATTTCTAATATACCCTAAAGGTTTCCTTTCTCTTTTTTTGTGGAATGATTTTTGGTAATTTACGCTTTGCATAAATGAGTTTCTGATCCATTTTTTCAAAAAAATCTTGAGACTTTGTCTGTGTGGAAAAGAAGGTATTCAAGATGTCTCATCTTGACCTGAACTTTCCACATTCCTGAGCTGGTCTGTATCCTTCACTCTAGATTAGTGGTAATTCCAGAAATGTAGTGGCATAAAATATTGTTGCCCATGTTTTTAGGCCAGGCACGGTGGCTCACTCCTGTAATCCCAGCACTTTGGGAGGCCAAGGTGGGCAGACCACGAGGTCAGGAGTTTGAGACCAGCCTGGCCAACAAAGTGAAACCTTGTCTCTACTAAAAATACAAAAATTAGCCGGGCATGGTGGCACATGCCTGTAGTCCCAGCTACTCATGAGACTGAGGCTGGAGAATTCATTTGAACCCAGGAGGCAGAGGTTGTAGTGACCCGAGATCGTGCCACTGCACTCCAGCCTGGGCAACAGAGCAAAACTCTGTCCCACTCCGCCCCAAAAAAAAAAGTATTTATATATAGTTGCCCGTATTTTAAAATCTATTCATCAGCATCATGAGTACCGGGTAGTGAAATTAAGGACCTACAAATTTAAAATATTTTCTAAACATTTAGAAATTTCATTAGTATTTTGAGATTAATTTTGGGAATATTCTATTACCTCCTCTTTACTAAGCATACTACTAGGTTGGTAATTGGAGAATAAGAGAAAGATTCAAGTTATTCATTTCTAATAAAGCAGGTATTGCTGTCACTAAGCCAGACCTGGTCACTGTCTGGAGCAAGGAAAAGAGCCCGAGAATATAAAGAGACAGATGGTAGCCAAATCCCCAGGTAGGTGAGAGTGAACACAACAGATGACACAGATGAGAGGTCCAAATGTCAAAAAGAAAGCTGGTCCTTAAAATGTGATTTGGGAAGCTGTGTTCCAAAGGAAATAGTTTCTGGGATGTGTGAGCTTTTTTGTTTTTTGGGAGTATTTTTTGCTGTGACATAGGGGCATCTTCTCTCTTATGCTTTTAAATTCTTTAAAGATTCTGCTTTCCCTTTGGTGATCTTCCTTCAAGTGTACAGTGAGAGCCAAAGTCCTTTTCATGGCATGTAAAAGACTGTACAATCTCCCTGCTTTTCCATTATTTGGGGGGACACACAGATATCAGCATAATTTTGGGAAACTCTATGTTAAACTATTTTTTAGTTTTCCTTTTTCATCATGTCTGAAATGTGTGAAAGTAGAGGTTTCTGTTCCATTGTTTTGTTTGTTAATCTTTCTGCACATTTCATCTGTTTTTAATTACTATATTCTTGAAATAGAGTTAAATTATAAAGTATAATACCCCTCTGGTTTGTTCTTTTGCCTCAAGATTGCTTGGGCTTTTCGAAGTTTATTGCAGTTTCTTGTAAATTTTAGAATTGTATTTTTTATTACTGTGAAAAAAATGCCACTGGAATTTTAATAGGAAGTTTTTTGAATCTGTAGATTACTTTAGATAATATGACACTTTAACAATATTTATTCTTTCAATCCATGGACATGAAATATTTTAAAATTTGTCTCTTCAATAATTTATTTCATTGGTATCTTACATCTTTTTTGTTTTGTTTTGTTTTTTGAGAAGGAGTCTCACTCTTTTGCCAGGTTGGAGTGCAGTGGTGCAATCTTGGCTCACTGCAACCTCTGCCTCCTGGGTTCAAGCAATCTTCCTGCCTCAGCCTCCTGAGTAGCTGGGACTACGGGCGCATGTCACCACACCAAGCTAATGTTTTGTATTTTTAGAAGAGACGGAGTTTCACCATGTTGGCCAGGATGGTCTTGATCTCTTGACCTTGTGATCTGCCCCCCTTAGCCTCCCAAAGTGCTGAAATAACAAGCATAAGCCACCATGCCTGGCCTATCTTATATCTTTTATTGTAAAGATTTTTTACCTTCTTGGTTAAATTTGCTCTCAGAAATTTATTATTTTAATGCTATTGTAAATAAGATTATTTTCTTTATTGTATCAGATGGTTTAAGTGTATGGAACAATAACTTATACTTGTATGTTAATTTTATATTTTGCTAATTTACTGAGTGTATTTATTAGTATAGACAAATTTCAGTGCAGTGTTTATGGTTTTTTTATATATAAGATCATATGATCCACAAACAGTAACTTTTTACTTATTTGTCTTCAATTTCAGTGGCTTTTCAAAAATGTTTTTGACTCATGATTCTGCCACTTACTTCCAGTCCTACGTAAAAATAGAAGCATTGACAATAGGCACAATATAGTTTTGCATTGGTGTCTGTGAATTTGATAGAGCAAACACTTCTTCAAGTTGTTTTTTTTGTTTTGTTTTGTTTTTTTGTTTTTTTTTTGAGACAGCATTTTGCTCTTGTTGCCCAAGCTGGAGTGCAGTGTCATGATCTTGGCTCACAGCAACCTCCGCCTCCCAGGTTCAAGTGATGCTCTGTCTCCAAAAAAAAAAAAAAAAAGGAAAATTAATGGTTGTAAAAACACATAACATAAAATTTACCATCTTAAATCTTTTTTTTTTCTTTTTTGAGACAGAGGCTCCCTCTGTCACCCAGGCTGGAGTGCAGTAGCGCAATCTCGGCTCACTGCAACCTCCTCTTCCTGGGTTCAAGCAATTCTCCTGCCTCAGCCTCCTGAGTAGCTGGGATTACAGGCACCCACCACCATGCCTGGCTAATTTTTTGTATTTTTAGGAGAGACAGGGTTTCACCATGTTCGCCAAGCTAGTCTTGAATTCCTGACCTCAAGTGATCCTTCCAACTCGGCCTCCCAAAGTGCTGGCATTACAGCATGGGCCACCGATCCCAGCCTACCATCTTAAATTTCTTTAAGTGTACATTTCAGGGCTAGACCTGGTGGTGCCTCACAACTGTAATCCCAGGATTTCGGGAGGTCAAGAAAGGAGGATCACTTGAGCCCAAAAGTTTGAAATCAGCCAGGGTAATACAGGGAGATTCCCTCTCCACAAAATTATTTAAAAAATTGCCAGGCATGGTGGTATGCACAAGTGGTTTCAGCTACTTGGGAAATGAAGAGAAGAGAATTACTTGAGCCTGAAAGTTTGAGGCTGAAGTGAGCCATAATTGTGCCACTGCACTCCAGCTTGGGTGACAGAGTGATAATGTCTCAAAAAAAAAAAAAAAAAGTTTTACAGCCCAGGCACGGTGGCTCATTCCTGTAATCCCAGCACTTTGGGAGGCTGAGGTGGGCAGACCACCTGAGGTCAGGAGTTCAAGACCAGCCTGACCAACATGGTGAAACCCCATCTCTACTAAAAATACAAGAATTAGCTGGGCCTATGACAGGTGCCTGTAATCCCAGCTACTCGGGAGGCTGAGGCAGGAGAATTGCTTGAACCCAGGAGCCAGAGGTTGCAGTGAGCTGAGATTGCCCCATTGCACTCCAGCCTGGGTAAGAGTGAAACACCATCTCAAAAAATAATAATAATAAAAATAATTGCATTTTAGCCATGTTAAGTATATTCACATTCTTATGCAAAAAACTTCTAGAAATTTTACATCTTGTGAAACTAAAACTAAACACCCATTAAGTAACAACAACCCATTTTACCCTCTCCCCAGCCTTTGGCAAACACCCTTCCACTTTCTGTTATTCTAAATGTGACTATTTAAGATATCTCATATAAGTAGAATCATACAGTGTCCATCATTTTGTTTCTGGCTTATGTCAGGCGATGTAATATTCTCAAAGTTTATCTTAAAATGTGACAAGATTTTCTTCTTTAAGACTGAATAGGCCAGGTGTGGTGGCTCACGCCTGTAATCCCAGCAGTTTGGGAGGCTGAGGCGGGCAGATCATGAGATCAGGAGATCGAGACCATCCTGGCTAACACGGTGAAACCCAGTCTCTACTAAAAGTACAAAAAATTAGCTGGGCGAGGTGGCTCTCGCCTGTAGTCCCAGATACTCGGGAGGCTGAGGCAGGAAAATGGCATGAACCAGGGGGGCAGAGCCTGCAGTGAGCCGGGATCGCACCACTGCACTCCAGCCTGGGTGACAGAGCGAGACTCCTTCTTGGAAAAAAAAAAAAAGACCTAATAATATTCCATTTTATGTATAGGTTACATTTTTGATGTGTTCATAAATCTAGAGAAACCCGGGTTGCCTCAGCCTTTTGACTTTTGTGAGTACTGGTACAATAATCATAGATGTTCAAATATGTCTTCTAGGTCTTTTGTTGCATATTTTGAATATAGATTAATGGAATTGCTGAATTTAATAATAATTATTTTTAATTGAGAAACGTAACATTTTAAAATAATGACTGCATCTTTGTTTTCTACCAACAATCAACAGAGGTTTCATTTTCATTGCATCATCAACAGATTTGGTGTCTAAAAAATTTATAGCAGCCATTGTAATGGATGTGAGGTGATTTCATTTTTTTCATTTTTATTTTTACATGTTTCTCTACAAATTGTTAATTTTATGTGCCATTTCAAATGGTTTTCCCCATTTGTGTATCTTTTTTTTTTTTTTGAGACAGAGTTTTACTCTTATCACCTGGGCTGGAGTACAATGGCGCGGCCTCAGCTCCCTGAAACCTCCATCTCCCAGGTTCAAATGATTCTCCTATCTCAGCCTCCTGAGCAGCTGGATTACAGGCATGAGCCACCACGCCCATCTAATTTTGTATTTTTAGTCGAGACAGGGTTTCACCACCTTGGCCAGGCTGGTCTCGGACTCCTGACCTCAGGTGATCCACCCGCCTTGGCCTCCCAAAGTGCTGGGATTACAGGCATGAGGCCCTGCACACGACCTTGTGTATCTTTTAGTTCAATTATTTGTTCATTTCTAAATCAAGTTATTCAAATTTATTGTTCAGTTTTAAGAGTTGTCTCTATATTCCATTTTTTTTTTTTTTTTTTAGATGGAGTTTTGCTCTTGTTGCCTAGTCTGAGTGCAATGGTGTGACCTCAGCTTGATGCAACCTCCGCCTCCCCATTTTAAGTGATTCACCTGCCTCGGCCTCCCAAGTATCTGGGATTACAAGCATGCGCCACCATGCCTAGCTAATATTGTATTTTTAGTCGAAATGGGGTTTCACCACGTTGGTCAGGCTGGTCTTGAACTCCTGAGCTCAGCCTTCTCCACCTCGGCCTTCCAAAGTGCTGGGATTGAACCACTGCACCTGGCCCAAATATTAACTCTTATCACATGTGACTTGCAAATATTTCCCCCATTTCCTATGAGGCATTTTCATTCAATTGAATGTTTTTAGTTTCTAATGTGGAGAAATTTTGAAGTATAGAGTAAATCTTTCTGTTTTTTTGTTGCTGCTCATGCATTTAATGTTGTATCTAAGAAAATGGTGCCAAGACCCATGTCATGACTTTTTTCTATTTTGTTCAAGAGATTTGTTAGTTTTTTATGAGTGTAAGTATTTTATTGAAAACATTTTTTATATATGGTTCAAGGAAATTATCCAACTTTATCAGTGTTGATATTTGGTTTTTAACATTATTGAAAAGATTATCTTTTCTCTATTGTATGTTCATGGCAGCTTTGTGGAAGATCATTTAATCATATACACAAGGGTTCATTTCTGAACTCTCTATTCTGCTCTTTCATCTGTTTATCTGTCTTTGTATCAGTACCATACTGTTTTTGTTATTGTAGCTTTTAATGTTTTAAAATCGGGAAGTATAATGCCTGTTTGTTCTTTTCATGGGTGTTTGGTTAGTTATAGTTCACAATCACATTTAAAAATTTTAAAGAATATTTCTGTAATAACTGCTATTTAGATTTTTATAGAGATTTCATTGAATTTGTTCACCTCTGTAGGTTATATTGGCATCTTAACAAAATTAAAATTTTTGACCCTTGAGCAGGAATGTGTTTTATTTTAATTTAATTTAATTTTATTTATTAGAGACAGTCTTCCTATGGTTCCTTGGCTAGTTTCCAGCTCCTGGGCTCAAGCAGTTCTCTTGCCTCAGTCACCCAAAATGGTAGTATTACAGGTGTGAGCCATTGCACTCGGCCCATGTGTTTTATTTTTAGATATTGTTGGATTTTCCAGCTTTACTTTTGCTTTTAATTCCTAGGTTTTTTTTTTTTTTTTTTTTTTTTGAGACAGAGTTTTGCTCTTGTTGCCCAGGCTGGATTGCAATGGTGTGGTCTGCGCTCACCACAACCTCTGCCTCCCAGGTTCAAGCAATTCTCCTGCCTCAGCTTCCCAAGTAGCTGGGATTACAGGCAAGCACCATAACGCCCGGCTAATTTTGTATTTTTAGTAGAGACACGATTTCTCCATGTTGAGGCTGGTCTTGAACTCCTGATCTCAGGTGATCCGCCTGCCTCGGCCTCCCGAAGTGCTGGGATTACAGATGTGAGCCACTGCGCCCAGCCTTTAATTCCTAGTTTTATTCAGTTTTGGTCAGATACCATGCAGTGCATGATTTTGGTCTTCTTAAATTTATTTGTTGTTGTTTTCAGACAGGATCATACTCCGTCACCCAGGCTGGAGTATAGTGTCATAATTTTGGCTCACTGCAACCTCAGCCTCCTTGACTCAAGTGATCTTTACACCTCAGCCTCCTGAGTAGCTGAGACTATTGACATGCACTGCCATGCCTGGCTAATTTTTTGATTATTTCTAGGGACAGGGTCTCACTATATTACTGACACTGGTCTTATACTTGTGGTCCCAAGGGATCCTCTCACTTTTGTCTTCCAAATTGTTGAAATTATACATATCAGCCACTACACCCAGCTGGTATTCTGTAATAAGACTTGTTATGTGTTCTAACAGAATACATCAGGTGCAAATAAGAATATTGTGTATTATTTTGCTTTTAACTAAAAAGTTTTGTACATGTCTCTTAAGCCTAGTTTGTCTGTGGTATGGTTTGGATGTCCATGTTCTGCAAACCTCATGCTGTAATGTAATCCTCAATGTTGGATGTAGAAGCTGGTGGGGAGGTGTTTATATCATGGGGGGCAAATTTCTCATAAATGCCTTGGCACTATTCTTTTGATAATCAGAAAGTTTACACTCCATTAATTCAAATGAGAGCTGCTTCCTTAAAAGAACCTGGCTTTTTCTCTTTTTTGTGATGGAGTTTCACTCTGTACTCTAGGCTGCAGTGCAATGGCACAATCACAGCTCACTGCAACCTCTGCCTCCCTGGTTCAAGTGATTCTCCTGCCTCAGCCTCCCAAGTAGCTGGGATTATAGGCACTCATCACCATGCCCAGCTAATTTTTGTAGTTTGTTATTAGAGATGGGATTTCACCATGTTGGTCAGGCTGATTTCGAACTCCTGACTTCATCGACTTCCCAAAGTTCTGGGATTACAGGTGTGAGCCACGGTGCCTGGCCTGAACCTGGCTTTTTCACCTCACACTTGCTCTTTTTCTTACCATGTCCTGTTTCCATTCTCTGCATATGGCTAGCCAGTTCTCCCAGAACCATTTGTTAAATAGGGAGTTCTTTCCTTATTGCTTGTTTTTGTCAGGTTTTTCAAAGATCAGGCAGTTGTAGATATACAGTCTTATTTCTGAGTTCTCTATTCTGTTTCATGGGTCTATGTGTCTGTTTTTACCAGTGCCAGGCTGTTTTGGTTACTACAGCCTTGTAGTATAGTTTGAAGTTGGATAGCTGATGCCTCCAGCTTTGTTCTTTTTGCCTAAGATTGTCTTGGCTATATGGGGCCTTTTTGGGTTCCATATTAATTTTAAAATAGTTTTCTCATTCTCCATCAATTTTTCTTTCTTTCTTTCTTTTTTTTTGACATAGTGTCACTCTATCACCCAGGCTGGACTGCAGTGGCACAATCTCCGCTCACTGCAACCTCCACCTCCCAGGTCCAAGTGATTCTCCTGAGTCAGTTTCCTGAGTAGCTGGGATCACAGGCTTGCAGCACTACACCTGGCTAATTTTTGTATTTTTAGCAGAGATGGGGTTTCACCATGTTGGTTAGGATGGTCCTAACCTCAGCTAATCTGCCCTCGTTGGCCTCCCAAAGTGCTGGCATTACAGGCGAGAGCCAATGTGCCTGGCCTGCATTGATGTTTATCAGAGATGTTGGTTTTAAGGTTTTGTTGTTGTTGTTTTTATATCTCTGCCAGGTTGGGTATCAGAATGATACTGATCTTATAAAATGAGTTAAGGAGGAGTTTCTCCTTTTCTTTCATTTAAATAGTTTCAGAAGAAATGGTACCAGCCCTTCTTTGTACCTCTGGTAGAATTCAGCTGTAAATCCGTCTGGTTCTGGGCTTTTTTTTGTTTGGTAGCCTATTTATTACTGTCTCAATTTCAGAACCTGTTGTTGGTCTATTCAGGGATTCAACTTCTTCCTGGTTCAGTCTTGGGAGGGTATATGTGTCCAGTAATTTATCCATTTCTTCTAGATTTTCCAGTTTATGTGCATAGAGGTGTTTATAGTATTTTCTGATGATTGTATTTTTAATTTTTTTTTTGACACAAAGTCTCACTCTTGGCCCCCAGGCTGGAGTATGATGGCACAATCTCAGTTCACTGCAACCTCTGCCTCCTGGGTTCAAGTGATTGTCCTTCCTTGGCCCCCCGAGTAGCTGGGATTACAGGTGCCTGCCACCACACCCGGCAAATTTTTTTTTTTTTTTTGTATTTTTAGTGGAGGCGGGGTTTCACTTTGTTGGCCAGGCTGGTCTAGAACTCCTGACCTCAGGTGATCCACCCACCTCGGCCTCCCAAAGTGCTGGGATTACAGGCATGATCCACCACACCCAGCCCTGATGATTGTATTTCTATAAGGTCAGTGCTGATACCTGCTTTATCGTTTTTTACTGTGTCTATTTCTTTCTTCTCTTTTCTTTATTAATCTAGCTAGTGGTCTATTTTATTTTATTTTTTAAACAGCTCCTGGATTCATTGATTTTTTTGAAAGGTTTTTTTGTGTCTCTGTCTCCTATGGTTCCACTCTGATCCTGGTTATTTTTTGTCTTCTGCTGGCTTTGGGGTTTGTTTGCTCTTGGTTCTCTTTTTCTTTTAGTTGTGATGTTAGGGTGTCAATTTGAGGTCTTTCTAGCTTTTTGATGTGGGTATTTAGTGCTATTTTACCCCCCTTAACACTGCTTTAGCTGCATTCCAGAGAATTTGGTTTCAAATAATTTTTTGATTTCTGACAATTATTTACTCAGAAGTTATTCAGGAGTATGTTTTCCATGCAATTGTGTAGTTTTGAGTTAGTTTCCATGCAGTCGTATGGTTTTGAGTGAGTTTCTTTCTCTTGAGTTCTAATTTGATTGCACTGTGGTCTGAGAAACTGTTATGATTTCAGTTCTTTGGAATCTGCTAAGGAGTGTTTTACTTCCAATTATATAATCAATTTTAGAGTAAGTGCAATGTGGCAATTAGAAGAATGTGTATTGTGTTGTTTTTGGCTGGTGAGTTCTGTAAATATCTATCAGGTCCACTTGACCTACAGCTGAGTTAAGTCCTGAATATCCTTGTTATTTTTCTTTCCCAATGATCTGTCTAATATTGGCAGTGGGGTGTTAAAGTTTCCCACTGTCATTGTTTGGGAGTCTAAGTCTCTTCGTAGGTATCTATGTTTTATAAATCTGGGTGCTGGCTGGGTGTGGTGGCTCATACCTGTAATGTCAGCACTTTGGGAGGCCAAGGCAGGCAGATGCCCTGAGGTCAGGAGTTTGAGACCAGCCTAGCCAACATGGTGAAATGCTGTCTCTATTAAAAATACAAAAATTAGCTGGGCATAGTCATGGGCACCTGTAATCCCAGCTATTCAGGAAGCTGAGGCAGGAGAATTGCTTGAACCTGCGAAGTGGAGTTTGCAGTGAGCCAAGATTGTGCCATTGACCTCTAGTGTGGGTGACAGAGTGAAATTCCATCTCAAAAAATAAATCAATAAATGAAAACAAATCTTAGTGCTCCTTGAATTGATCCCTTTACCATTATGTAGTGTCCTTCCTTGTCTTTTTTGATCTTTATTGGTTTAAAGTCTGTTTTGTCAGAAACTACTATTGCAACCCCTGCTTTTTTCTGCTTTTATTTGCTTTGTAAATTGTTCTCCCTTTCTTTATTTTGAGGCTATGGGTGTCTTTGCATGTGAGATGGGTCTCTTGAATACAGCACACCAGTGGGTCTTGACTCTAACCAGCTTGCCATTCTGTGTCTTTTAATTGGGGCATTTAGCCCATTTAAATTTAAGGTTAATATTGTTATGTGTGAATTTGATCCTGTTCTCATGGTGCTAGCTGGTTATTTTGCAGACTTGTTGATGTAGTTGTTTCATGATGTCATTGGTCTTTGTACTTCAGTGTGTTTTGCATTTGCTGGTAGTGGTTTCTTCTTTTCATATTTAGTGCTTCTTTCAGGAGCTCTTGCAAGGCAGGTCTAGTGGTGATGAATTCCTTCAGCATTTGTTTGTCTGAAAATGATTTCATTTCTCCTTCACTTATGAAGCTTACTTTTACTGGGTATTCTGGGTTAGAAATTCATTCTTTTAAGAATGCTGAATATTGGCCCCCAATTGACACCCTGGCTTGTAGGGTGTCTTCTTAGAGGTCCATTTTATAGTAGGTGACCTGGCCTTCCCTTTGGCTGCTCTTACCATTTTTTCCTGAAGTCTAACCTTGAAGAATCTGATAATTATGTGTCTTGAGGTTGATCTTCTCATGGAGTATCTTACTGGGGTTCTCTGGATTTTCTGAATTTGAATGTTGGCCTGTCTTTTTAGGTTGGAAAAGTTCTTCTGGATGATATCCTGAAGTATGTTTTCCAACTTGGTTACATTCTTTCCATCTCTTTAGAGTACTGCAATCAGTTGTAAGTGGTCTTTTTACATAATCCAACAGTTCTCAGAGATTTTTTCATTCCTTTTTATTTTTATTTTTTCAATCTTATCTGCCTTATTTCAGCAAGATAGCCTTCAA
Organism: Homo sapiens; assembly: GCF_000001405.40. Taxonomy (NCBI): domain Eukaryota; kingdom Metazoa; phylum Chordata; class Mammalia; order Primates; family Hominidae; genus Homo; species Homo sapiens. Next base: position 21,649,089 of record NC_000019.10, read on the forward strand.
GCTCTGAAATTCTTCTCCCTGCTTGATCTACTCAGTTATTGATACTTGTGATTACATTGTGAAGTTCTCATGTTGTGTTATTCAGTTGCATCAGGTCATTTATGTTCCTCTCTAAACTGGTTATTCGGGTTAACAGCTCCTGTAATGTTTTTCGTGGTTCTTAGCTTCTTTGCATTGGCTTAGAACATGCTTCATTACCTCACCGAAGCTGATTATTACCCACCTTCTGAAGCCTACTTCTCTCAATTTATCCATCTCAGCCTGATCCCAGTTCTGTCCTCTTGCTGGAGACATGTTTTGATTATTTGGAGGAGTAGAGACACTCTGGCTTTTTGAGTTTTGAACATTTTTTTATTGATTATTCTCATCATCATGAGTTTATCTAGCTTTGGTCTTTGAGGCTGCTGACGTTTGGATGGGGTTTTTGTGGGGACATTTTTGTTGATGCTGCTGTGGTTGCTTTCTGTTTTTCTTTTAACAGTCAGGCCCCTCTTCTGTAGGGCCGCTGTGATTTGCTTGGGATCCACTTCAGATCCTATTTGCCTGGGTTTCTCCCACACCTGGAGGTGTCACCAGTGGAGTGTGTAGAACAGCAGAGAGAACTGCCTGCTCCTTCATCTGTAAGCTTTTTCCCAGATGGGCACTGAGCTGATGACAGTGGGAATACTTCTTTATAAGTTGTCTTACAATGCCTGTTGGGGGGGTGGTCCTCACTCAGTCAGGATGCACAGGATTCAGGAACCACTTAACAAGGCACTCTGGCTGCTTCTTGGTGAAGGGGGTGTGCTTCACTGGGAGAAATTCCATACATCTGGACTGCCCAGATTTTTCAGAGCCAGCAGGGGGAAAGACTAAGTCTGCTGATCTGCAGAAACCACTTCATTGTTACACTTTTATGTGTTTCTTGTAGATATGTCTTTTCTCATTTCTTGTTTTACTGCCTTAATTTTTGTTTTAATTTTATTGTGACATGCTTTATTTTTTATTTTGTTTTGCATACTTTCCATAAGTATAATGTAATCTTGAAATACAATGTAACCATATTGAAGAACAGATTACATAAAACATCTTAAAGTTAAAACTATGTATTTTAATCTCATCACACTTCAATTAAATACAAAACTTATACTGTTATATTTTCCAGTTTGTTATTAATATTAAAAACCATATTATCTTACATCATGTATCTATTAACAGATTTATACAGATTTATATCTTGTTTTTTATATCTGTAGAAGAACTTTAAGGGTTTTATGCAGCATCATTTTGATAGTAAAAAATTCTATATGTGTCTGTATTTACATTTAATAGAGAACTTCATATTTATATATGTTTTATGATGCTGTCTAGTATCATTTTGTTTTTCAACATAATGGACTCATTTTAGCATTTCTTTTTGTTTGTATGCAGAGTCTCACTATGTTTCTCTGGCTGATCTTGAACTACTGGTCTCAAGTGATCTATCTACCTTGTCTTCCTAAAGCTGTAGAATTACAGGCCTGAGCCACTGTGCCTGGCTACCATTTAACATTTTATGTAGGACTCTGGTAGTTGTAATAAATGCCCTGAACTTTTATTTTGGAAAGTCTTTATTTTTATCTTGTTTTTGAAGTAAAATAATTTTGAATTAAGTATTAGTTAGAAATTCTTTTATAACATCAAAATTTGGGAAGTTCTCAGTCTTTTTTGTCTTCAAATAAGCTCTGTATTACTTTTTCCCTATATTCTTCTAAGATTCCTTTCATGAATATATTGATCTACTTGATGGTGTCCAATACATTTTACATTCCATATTTTAATTTTGTTTTGCAATGTTATATTTTTGTGTTATATATTTTAAGGTATGCCACTTCACACCATTTACTTGTGTTTTGGTGTTTTATTTTATATTATAATTGTGTATGACAGTGTTTAACTCTGTGCAATTTAAGACAGTCTAGCAAAATCAATATAAATCAGCCAGAAGTCTACTGCCAATATAATTACCTCTGTGTTTGTTTACCTCTATAAATGTCATCTCTGTTTATTTTATCACTTGTATATTTGTTTTGTAGGTTTGTTTTGAATGGTCGTTTAGTCTTGGCTAGGTGACCAGTTATAAAATTCTCCTAATTTCAGTATCTGTTGTGAATCTACATTACTTCTGTGTGGGAGAAATACTTTGGGATTTGAAGATAAAATTGAAACTATTATATCTTTATATATTGTTCATTTTTACTTGTCAAAAACACATAAAATATTATCTTTTTTTTTTTCTTGAGACAGCATCTCTGTTGCCCAGGCTGGGGTGCAGTTGTGGCATCTTGGCTCACTGCAACCTCCGTCTCCTGGGTTCAAGCGATTCTTTTGCCTCAGCCTCCTGAGTAGCTGGGATTACAGGCATGCGACACCACACCCTGCTAATTTTTGTATTGTTAGTAGAGATGGGGTTTCACCGTGTTGGCCAGGCTGGTATCCAACTCCTGACCTCGTGATCCACCCACCTGGCCTCCCAAAGTGCTGGGATTACAGGTGTGAGTCATCACACCTGGCCCATTATCAAATATTTTTAAATAATCTGTTTAGTCATATTAATTATAGTGATAATATTACGCAACATACACCTAGAATGTTTTTATCTTGCAAATCTAAATCTCAGTGTACATTAAACAACAACCAATTTTTCTGATTTTCTGGCACTTTGCAAACACCACTTTGTTTTCTTTTTCTAAGAGTGTAACTGCCTCATATGTCTTATACAATCTCTGTCTCATTGTGGCTAGCTCATTTTATTTTGCATAATGTCATCAAGCTTTATTTTTAGAGTTGTTAGACTATTTCCTGCTTTTTAAATCCTGGGTGATATTCCAGTATTTTTATGTCACAAATTATATGTATTGGATAATTTGGTGACAGAAAGTTGCATTGCTGCCGGGCGCAGTGGCTCACATCTGTAATCCCAGCACTTTGAGAGGCTGAGGCAGGAAGATAACAAGTCAATAGATCGAGACCATCCAGGCCAACATGGTGAAACCCCGTCTCTACTAAAAATACAAAAAATTAGCTGGGCATGGTGGCACACACCTGTTTTCCCAGCTACTTGGGAGGCTGAGGCAGGAGAATTGCTTGAACCTGGGAGGTGGAGGTTGCAGTGAGCCAAGTGTCACTGCACTCCAGCCTGTGCAACAGTGCAAGACTCAGTCTCAAAACAAACAAACAAACAAAAACAATAGAAAGAAATTTGCATTGCTTTTACTTATTGGCTTTCAGTAAAAATGCTGCAATAATTATGGGTATGAAAATAACTCTTCATATGACCATATATGTGAAACTTTATATAGGTGCTGCATTCTATTTTATTAGCCTACTTTTTACCCATTATACTCATACCAAATTGTTTTAATTCTGTAGCTTTGTAATGTGTTTTGAAATCAGGAACTATAATGCCTTCATTTTCTTTTTTTGAAGACTCTTGGGTACTTTATTGTCTCTTGACATTTTATATATTTTTGGAGTTGTTTCTATTTCCTCAAAAATGCAATGAGAAATTTTTTAAAACATTGCATTAAATCTGTAGATTACATTGAGAAGTATGGATGTTTTCAAAATATCAATTATTTCTACCTTTAAACAGGAGCATGCTCAAGAGTGTGTTGTTTAATTTCCATGTATTTGTGAATTTTTAGTTCTTTTTCTATTATTGTTTTATACTCATTCCATTTTGTTCATATAATCCATACAATTTCAGTCTTAGCAAATGCATTAAGACTTCCTTTTTGGCCTAACATATGGTCTACCAAGGAGAATGTTGTATGAGCAATTGAGAAGCATGTGTATCCTGATATTGTTGAGGAGTCTTCTCTATATATCTGTTAGAAATAATTGTTTTATACTGCCTTCAAGTCCTCTCTTCACTAACAAATATTCTGTTTTGTTTTATTTTTATTATGGAAAGTAGGGTATGGAAATGTCCTACTATAATTATATTGCTGTCTAGGTGTTTCTTCCATTCTGTCAATGTTTGCTTTATATATTTGGAAACTTAATGTGAGATACACACACACACACACACACACATACATTTGACTTAGGTTATCAGTAAATGAATCTATTATTTTTTAATGTCTTTTGTCTCTTTGCAATTTTGACTTTTAGTACATTTTATAAAATATGAAAGTTTTTCACTTAAGATATAGCTTATGTCATATTATTTTGACCTCTTCTCTCATTTGGTTAATATTTACTTGCAATATGTATATCCATCTTGCCACTTTCAGTTTTTTTTATCAGTAGATCTCAGCTTACTCTTGTAGAAAGGCAAATTGGATCTCAGTTTTTAAAATATTTAAATAAATCTCTTTATTAAAAGTATGTTTCTTGATTGCAAAGTTAAAGATATATATTTAAATAATTTTCTGAAACAGGAAGACATACTAATGTTATTTTATTGTTTTATTTGATTCTTATATCTTGGTCACTCATTTTCTCTTTGTCTTTGTGTCTTTTTAGTTTTATATTGATATGTTTCTTTTACTTATTTCTTAATTTGTTTTGTGCATCTATACACATATGTTCTTTGAGGTACCTTGGGGATTACATAAACCTCTAAAAGATAAAACAGTATATTTCAATCTGGTAAAAAGGAACTTCATTTGCATGCACAATTTTTTTCTCATTACATCTTCCCTCAAATTTGTCATTGATTTTGCTAATTATATCTTTTTATGTTGTATATTTATTAACAGATGTTTATAATGATTTCTGTGATTTTCTCTTTCAACTTTCAGATAATAATTAAAAATGTTTTCTGCACCATTATTATAATGCAAAGAAATTCCATTTTGGTGTATGTGCATATACTTAGAAGTAAAAATATATATGTGCATATAATCTTTCCCAGAAAATAAATGTAGTTTTATATGATTATGTGTTGCTTTTGTTGAATTATGTTATTTTCAGAAGAAGCAACTGCTTTCAGCACTTTTTATATGTAGGGTTTATGGAGTTCCAATATACTTTTCAGAATTTTGTTATTTTTGAAAGTTTTTTTCTTTTTATTTGGCAGGACAGATTTGCTGATGGTATTATGCTGTCTTGATCGCTGTATTTTTCAGGAGTTTGACTTTATCACACATTTCCCTTCTGGTCTGCAAAATTTTTGTTGACAATTCACTGGCTGTCTCATAAGACTATGCTTGCAAATGACGCATCACTTTTATCTTGCAGCTCCCAAGGTTCTCTTCTTGTCTGTGACTTTTGAAATTGTGCTTATATATGTGTTTGTTATAAATATCTTTGTGTGTTTCCTAGTTTGTTTGTTGAGCTTCAACATATTGCCTTATTTTGTATACATTGTAACCCTTGATTGAAATTTGGACATTAAAAAAGGCTACCTGTCACAATCTTTATAATGTAGCTTTGTCCTGGCATAGTCTGAACAATCGTCTTGGTTAGAGATTCTGGGAGTCTCTCAAACATGTTCTTAGAATGTGTCTTGTCTGAAATGTTCTTTATTTTTTAGTTAAAGGAATTTATTCATGTTTCTTCTTAATAGTAGTCACGTGCTACACCTGTTTTCTCTGTGTGGTACAGTAGTCTCTCTGGTGCTGTAACATTTACCTTTGGTCTCAGCAAACTTAAACTGTCACTCCAAAGTATACCACCATTTCTTTCAGCATTATATTTCAAGAGAGACACAAACCAGTTTTGGAAAGCTCCTAGAAGCAAGTAACAAAGATGAATGTGCCAGTATTTTACTTGTCGTTAAAACGTTGGCAATTTACTTCTAAAGACACTATGTTATATTGGGGAGCAGAAAGAGCTGTGTTGGGTAAATATAGCAGACTTTCACTTCCAGGTGGCTCTTTGCGTTGTTCTCACCATGGGCACTTCATACACTTAGCTCATTTGTAAATTTTTTTCAGATGTAATTTGGTTGGTATGTTTTTGTTACATTTACATGTCTAAAGGAATGAGGGCCTTTGGTATTTTCCTATGCCATCTTGTTTATGTAGTTTGTATAATAAGTTAGATTTGAAAACTTTGTCTGTGTCTAGCAAGTAATTTGTTATTTTTATTTCTTTCAGTTATATGTTCTCATTTTGCCCAAGACCTTTGGGCAGAGCAGGACATGAAAGATTCTTTTCAAGAAGCGATTCTGAAAAAATATGGAAAATGTGGACATGACAATTTACAGTTACAAAAAGGCTATAAAAGTGTGGATGAGTGTAAGGTACACAAAGAAGATAACAAACTAAACCTGTGTTTGATAACTACCAAGAGCAATATATTTCAATGTGATCCATATGAAAAAGTCTTTCATACATTTTCAAATTGAAATAGACATAAGATAAGACATACTAGAAAGAAACCTTTCAAATGTAAAAAATGTGAAAAATCATTTTGCATGCTTTTACACCTAACTCAACATAAAAGATTTCATATTACAGAGAATTCCTACCAATGTGAAGATTGTGGCAAAACCTTCAACTGCTTCTCAATTCTTACTGAACACAGGAGAATTCATACTGGAGAGAAATCCTACAAATGTGAAGAATGTGAGAAAGAATTTAAACGGTCCTCACACCTTACTACACATAAGATAATTCATACTGGAGAGAAACCGTACAGATGTGAAGAATGTGGGAAAGCCTTTAACCGGTGTTCACACCTCACTACACATAGAAGAATTCATATTGGAGAGAAACCCTACAAATGTGAAGAATGTGGCAAAGCTTTTCACCAATCCTCAACCCTAACTGCCCATAAGATAACTCATGCTGGAGAGGAGCCCTACAAATGTGAAGAATGTGGCAAAGCTTTTGCAAGATTCTCATACCTTAAGAACCATAAGATAAGTCATACTGGAGATAAATTCTACAAATGTGAAGAATGTGGCAAAGTCTTTAACCACTCCTCAACTCCTACTACACATAAGAGAATTCATACTGGAGAGAAACCATACAAATGTGAAAAATGTGGCAAAGCCTTTAACTAGTCCTCAACTCTTACTAAACATAAAAAAATTCATGCTAGAGAGAACCCCTGTTAGTGTGAAGAATATGGCAAAGCCTTTAATAAGTTCTCAATTCTTAACAGATATAAGATAATTCATACTAGAGATAAATTCTATAAACCAGAAAGATGTGACAGTGCTTTTGAAAACACCTCAAACTTTTCTAAACATAAAAGAAATCATAGTGTTGAGAAATCCTAGAAATGTGAAGAATGTGATAAAGTTTTAAGTGGTTGTCACACTTGATTGTAGGTAAGATAAGTTATACTGGAGAAAACTTCTACATGTGTGAACAGTGTGACAAAACTTTTAACCAGTGCTCACACCTTACTTCACAGGAAAGCATTTATACTTGAGAAATATTGTATAAATATAAAGACTGTGAAAAAGCCATTAATACATGCTCACATCTTACTCAACATCAGAGAGTTCATACTTAATAAAAACATTATAAGTGCAACTACTGTCAAAATATCTTTAAGAAAATGGAAGCCTCTAAAGTAAAGAAGATTATTTTGAAGAAGAACATTGTAGTAGGGTTGTAATATGTTTACTTGTGTCACAGATCTTATTGTACACATTTTGTATTAGAGGAAACCTCAGAAGCAATTGCTCAAACTTTGTTTAATATCAGGGAATTTATATTGAAAAAAAAACCCTGCAAATGTAATAAATTTGGAAAAATACTTTTTCAAAAACTACAGCTTAGAAAACACCACAGAGTTCATACTAAAACATATTTTTGCAGATGCAGTAAAAATTTAAAGAAATTTTAATACAAAATTAAGTCTATGTAAATATCAGAGAATTTACAGTAGAAATATATAAGGCACTGACACTTCAGATATTATACTAAATCACAGTGCTCATGATAGAAAATAATCTAAAACTAAAGTTGATAGAAAAATTATTCATATATAAGTTTAAAAGAATTTTTTGCAGAATTATAATTACATTCAAAGTATGCTTAACTTTTGGAAAACATAGATTTTTTGAAAAGTGAATAATGATGTAATTCAATTCTCAAATTATTTCCTGCTGTTTCTTCATTCCTATTTACATGTGAGAGCATGTGATGAATTGTTGCTGCATCCAAGATATGAGAGATTCTTTTTTATTAGGTGAGCATTATTTATAAACTTTGTTATGAAAATGTAAGGACATTAAAATGTAAGATGCATGATGAAAATCTAAGTGAAGAGACCTTTGTGGTTAACTTATAATATTGAGTAATGTGTGAGTTAAGTGTTCAGTCATATTCTTCTGTATTATGAGAAGAAAACATTTTTAATTTCATAAGTAAATTAAAATTTAGTATATTGTACTAATTATACTTTTATATAAAATGCAGTATATTTTGAAAATTTCAGATTATATGTGATGTTAATATATTCAACATCTTTAACATTTTAAATACTGTTGTGCATTCAGTGAAGTGTTATGTAACAAACATTAATTCCCCCTTACTCAAGGTTGTACATAAAATATGGTAATAATATACTATTTGTTAACATAATGGATTAACTTCTCTAGTACTTTTGCCAGTGGCTTTGACTGCAAATAAGTTAAACAATATTATTTCTTTAAATTAAATTTTTGTTTCTATTTTATTTAATTTTTTTTGAGAGGGAGTCTTGCTCTGTCACCCAGTCTGGAGTGCAGTGGCACAATCTCAGCTCACTGCAACCTTGCCTCCTGGGTTCAAGCAATTCTTCTGCCTCGATCTCCCAAGTAGCTGGGATTACAGGCACCCGCCACCACACCCAGCTAATTTTTGTATTTTAGTAGAGACAGGGTTTCACTATGCAGGTCAAGCTGGTCTCAAACTCCTGACCTCAAATGATCCACACGTCTCGGCCTCCCAAAGTGCTGGGATTACAGGTGTGAGTCACCATGCCCAGCCAAATTTTTATTTTATTTAAATTTATTTTTCTTAATTATTTGGGGTACATAATATGAGTATATATTCATGCAATATATGGCATATTTTGATACAAGAATACACTATATAATAATCACACCAGGGTAAATGAGGTATCCATCACCTCTAGTATTTATCTTTTTTTTGTTGTTGAGACAGAGTCTTGCTGTGCTGCCCAGGCTAGAGGGTAGTGGTGCAAGCTTGGCTCACTGCAACCTCCACCTCCTGGGTTCAAATGATTCTTCTGCCTCAGCCTCCTGAGTAGCTGGGTTTACAGGCATGCACCACCATGCCCAGCTAATTTTTGTGTTTTTAGTAGAGACAGGGTTTCACCTTGTTGGTCAGGCTGGTCTCAAACTCCTGAACTCATGATCTGCCTGCCTTGGCCTCCCAAAGTGCTGGGATTACAGGTGTGAGCCACCGTGCCCGGCTTAGCATTTATCCTTTGTATAACAAACAATCCAATTGTATGCTTTTAGTTATTTAAAGATGTACATTTAAATTGTTATTGATTACAGTGTAATTTTTATGGTCAAAATAAAAGTTATGTAGAAATATGAATAAAATCCATACATTTCTGAGTCCTGAATAAATATTTTTAAAGTTTTCTGATATTTATTTTTTGAACATGTTTCCTGTCTGCCCACAAACACATGCAGACGTTTAGTTTTGATTTACATAGAGTTCAATATATGTTAGTCTAAAGATAAACCTTAGGTGTAAGAAAATTATAGAGTAAGTGAGTTTGTGTAAGTATGAATTTGTAACTATTTTCAGAAGAAGACAATATTGAACAAGGCAAATCATTTCAACAAGATGACTACTAGAAAACTAAAAACCTTAAAAATGCTGAAAGCAAGTATATTCTCTGCTTTGTATTGAATTTATTACTGTACAATCGATGGCTTTTGGTTCTGAATCTCCCCATGCAAATTTTGTTTATACTTGTCTGGTACTCATGATAGACCCCTAATTACTTTGTATCTTTTCGATATATATATTTTATAGTTTATGAAGTATTCATTATGTGAGCTTGTCTGTGTTTATAAGAATAATTTTATAAAATTTAGTAGTGCATACAAAAATTTTAAATGTAATTCCATAATTAGTGTATTAAGTTACATTTTATTTAGTTAGAACACTCCATTTTGTTTTTAATTGGAGAACTCTATAGCCCTTTAGTTATTTTTCTTTTCACTTTTTATAATTGGCATAAGTAAATTTATTTATTGAGTTAATTTGTTCAGATAAGTACTAGGGAAGCTTTATAAGTCATGAGGATGTTTTTATATTTAAATGTAGCAGGCCGGGCGCAGTGGCTCACACCGGTAATCCCAGCACTTTGGGAGGCCGAGGCTGGCGGATCATGAGGTCAGGAGATCGAGACCATCCTGGCTAACACGGTGAAACCCCGTCTCTGCTAAAAAATAGAAAAACTTTGCAGGGCGTGGTGGCGGACGCCTGTAGTCCCAGCTACTGGGGAGGCTGAGGCAAGAGAATGGCGTGAACCCAGGAGGCGGAGCTTGCAGTGAGGTGAGGTCGCGCCACTGCACTCCAGCCTGGACGACAGAGCGAGAGTCCGGCTCAAAAAAAAATAAAAAATAAAAATAAATGTAGCAAACATACATGACAGTTCTTGCCTTGTAACAGATGCTCCGAAGTAAGCCATAAGTATTCCTGCTAAAGTTAGTTTGTAACTTCAAGTTAGAGATGGAAAACATCAGTGGTGAAGAATTCAGATTGATTCTTCATGTGGAGAGGACATATTTTCCAGGCTGCAATGCTGAATCTTGCTGAATTTAAAGAGAAGTTCTGCATCTTTTATTTCTTAATTATCTTCAGATTTGTCTGTATTTATTATGTGTATCCCAGCTATGTATGCAGCACAGCCCTTCTCCTTTTTCTGTGTTACGGCTTCAGTTTTCTCAGTGTTGTCTTAATGCCGTTTCATTTCACATGGTACTTTGTAAATTTTGATGAGAAAGTTCGCCTTTTTTTTTTTTTTTTTTTTTGCGTCAGAGTCTCGCTCTGTCGCCAAGGCTGGAGTGCAGTGGCATAATGTCGGCTCACTGCAACCTCCGCTTTCTAGGTTCAAGCAATTATCCTGCCTCAGCCTCCCAAGTAGCTGGGATTACAGGCGCCTGCCACCACACCTGGCTGATTTTTTTTTTTTTTTTTTTTTGTAGTTTTAGTAGAGACTGGGTTTCACCATGTTGGCCAGGCTGGTTTTACACATCAGGATCACCTGATGTGATCCACCTGCCTCGGCCTCCCAAAGTGCTGGAATTACAGGCGTGAGCCCCTGCACCCGGCTGAAAGTTGGTATTTTTTAATGCACTGAAAAATTGGTTTTAACTGAAGAGTTTGGTTATCAATATAACTTTCAGATCAGTTAAGATAAATAAAAACATACACTGTCCACGGGTGAGAGGATTAAATCAGCATGGTTTTTCTTTGTAAAACCAAAAAAAAAAAAAAATTGGATTCTTACACAAACTGTGGCAAATATAAAATTTGCTTCAAAACATAGAAATTTTAAAAAGAGTTATGGTAAGTGAACATGGTGGCACCTGCGCCACCATGCTCAGCTAATTTTTTATTTTTTTTTTAGTAGAGACGAGTTTTCACCATGTTGGCCAGGCTGGTCTTGAACTCCTGACCTCAGGTGATCTGCCCACCTCAGCCTCCCCAATTGATAGGATTATAGGTGGGAGCCACCGCACCTGGCAGAGTTTCTTACATATTTTTGATATTAACTCCTTGTCACATGTATAATTTGCAAATATTTTCTCTCATTTTTTAGTTGTCTCGTCCTGTTGATTGTATCATATTCTGTGCAGCAGCTTTTTAATTTGAAGTCATCTGACTCATCTATTTTTCCTTTTATTTCCTAAGATTTTGAGGTTAAATTTTAAAAAACTGGCCAGGCACGGTGGTTCACGTCTGTAATTCCAGCACTTTGAGAGGCTGAGGCAGGCGGATCACCTAATGTCAGGAGTTTGAGACCAGCCTGGCCAACATGGTGAAACCTCGTCTCTACTAAAAATACAAAAATTAGCCAGGCGCTGTGGCGGGTGCCTGTAATCCCAGCTACTCGGGAGGCTGAGGCAGAAGAATCACTTGAACTCGGGAGGCGGAGGTTGCAGTGAGCCGAGATCATGCCACTGCACCCCAGCCTGGTCGACAGTGAGACTCCGTCTCAAAACAAAACAAAAAACCAACTTACTAATGCCCTGAACAAATTTTTTTTTAGATGGCTCCTTTTTTTTTTATTATACTTTAAGTTTTAGGGTACATGTGCACATTGTGCAGGTTAGTTACATATGTATACATGTGCCATGCTGGTGCGCTGCACCCACTAACTCGTCATCTAGCATTAGGTATATCTCCCAATGCTATCCCTCCCCCCTCCCCCCACCCCACAACAGTCCCCAGAGTGTGATATTCCCCTTCCTGTGTCCATATGATCTCATTGTTCAATTCCCATCTATGAGTGAGAATATGCGGTGTTTGGTTTTTTGTTCTTGCGATAGTTTACTGAGAATGATGATTTCCAATTTCATCCATGTCCCTACAAAGGACATGAACTCATATTTTTTATGGCTGCATAGTATTCCATGGTGTATATGTGCCACATTTTCTTAATCCAGTCTATCATTGTTGGACATTTGGGTTGGTTCCAAGTCTTTGCTATCGTGAATAATGCCGCAATAAACATACGTGTGCATGTGTCTTTATATCAGCATGATTTATAGTTCTTTGGGTACATACCCAGTATCCCTGAACAATTTTATGGGGTTTTCATTCTATTTTTCTGTAGTAGTTTCAGAGTTTCAGGTCTTACATTTATTTATTATTATTACTATTTTGAGATGGAGTCTCACTCTTGTTGCCCAGGCTGGAGTGCAATGGCACGCGATCTCAACTCACTGCAACCTTAGCCTCCTGGGTTCAAGTGATTCTTCTGCCTCAGCCTCTCTCCCAAGTAGGTGGTATTACAGGCACATGCAACCATTTTGTATTTTTAGTAGGAAATTTTGTATTTTTCTACACCAGCTAGTTTTGTATTTTTAGTAGAAACAGGGTTTCACTACCTTGGCCAGGCTGGTCGCAAACAACTGACCTCAGGTAATCTGCCCGCCTCCACCTCCCAAAATGCTGGGATTACAGGCGTGAGCCACCAGGTTCATCCTAAGCCTTACATTTAAGTGTCTAATTTACTTTTAGTTGATTTTTATATATGGTGTGAGATGAGGGTCTCATTTTATTTCTCTGCCTGTGGATATAAAGTTATCTCAACACCATTTATTGAAGATACTGTTCTTTTGGCTCACGCCTGTAATCCCAGCACTTTGGCAGGACAAGGCGGGTGGATCAGGAGGTCAGGAGATCAAGACCATCCTGGCCAACATGGTGAAACCTGTCTCTACTAAAATACAAAAAATTATCCAGGTGTGGGCGCCTGTAGTCCTAGCTACTAAGGAGGCTGAGGCAGGGGAATCACTTGAACCTGGGAGGTGGGGGTTGCAGTGGCAAGATTGTGCCACTGCACTCCAGCCTGGCGACAGAACAAGACTCCATCTTAAAAAAAGAAAAAAAAAAAAGAAAAGAAAAGAAATTGTCATCTTTATTCCAAATCAGTTAGCTTTAAATACATGGATATATTTCTGGTCTCTTTTTTACTGCTCCATTGGCCTATGTGTCTGTTTTTATTCAAGTACCGTACTGCTTTAGTTACTATAGCACTGTAGAATATTTGAAAGGTATGGTAATACCTTCATGTTTTTTTCTTGATTGCTTTGGCTATTCAGGGTCTTTCGTGGTACCATATACATTTTCTATGATGTATGCCACTGGTATTTTGATAGAGGTTGCATTATACCTGTAGATCATTTTGTGTAATACAGAAATTTATTAATGGAATTCAATAAATGAGTAATATTTCATTTGTGCATTACTTAATTTATTCAATGTTATTTACAGTGTAATGTAAGGTGTTTCAACTTTTTGGTTAAGTTTATTTCAAAGTATACTACAGTTATTGAGATGGAATTATTTTTTAATTTCATTTTGAGATAGTTGTTAGTGTACATAAATGCTACTGACTTTTGGATGTTGCTTTTGTATTCTGAAAGCTTAATAAATGTGTTTATTCTAATATTTTATAGTAAATTCTTAGGCTTTTCTGTATTTCAGGTTATGTACAGCAATAAAAGATAATTATACAGGGATAATGTAATTTCTTCCTAACCTAGATGCCTTTGATTTTATTCTCTAATTTCTTTGTCATGGACTTTCAGAACTATGTTTAGTAAGACTGATTAGAATGGACATCTTTGTCTTGTTTTAGCTTTTAGAGTAAAAGCTTATAATATTTCACTGTTTAGTATGTTGTTAGCTGTGCATTTTTTTGTTATATGTGGCATTTATTGACTGAGGTGCATTTGTTCTATACCTAATTTTTTCAGAGATTTATCATAAGGGAATGTCAACTTTTGTCAAACTTTTATTCTGCTTCTGTTCTTTTCTTTTTGTTCTCTGCATCTATTTAAATATTAGGGATGTGAAATCACAACTAATCCTACATAAATACAAAAAATCATGAGAGACTACTATGAACCCCTCTATGCCGGCAAACTAGAAAATTTGGAAAAAATATGCTGGGCAAGGTGGCTCACACCTGTAATCCAAGCACTTTGGGAGGCTGAGATGGGCAGATCACCTGAGGTCAGGAGTTCGAGACCAGCCTGGCCAATATGGTGAAAACTCATCTCTACTAAAAGTACAAAAAATAAAAATAAAAAAAATTAACCAGAAATGTTGTCACACACCTGTAATCCCAGCTACTCAGGAGACTGAGGCAGGAGAATCACTTGAACTCAGGAGGCAGAAATTGCAGTGAGAGTGAGCTTAGATCGCACCACTGCACTCCAGCCTGGGTGACAGGGTGAGACTCTGTCTCAAAAAAATAAAAAAAAATTGGAGAAAATAAATAAACTCCTCGATACAAACAGCTTTCCAAGACTGAACCAGAAATAAACAGATCTCGAACAGAGCAAAAGTGTATAAAATATATAATGAAACTGAATTAGTAATAAACTACCAACCATAAAAGCCCTGGATCATATGAAATCACATCCAAATTTTACCCCACATACAAAGACATTCTGCTGAATGTACTCCAAAAAATCAAGGTAAGATTCCACCCTAACTCACTATATAAAATCAGTACTATCTAGTGAACAAAATCTAGTGAAGGCACAACTAAAAAAGAAAACTCCAGGCCGATATTTTTCATAAACATTAAAACAAAAATCCTGCATGAAATACTGGCAAGCTGAGTTCATAAGCAAATGAGAAAGTTATTTTGCCACAACCGTGTGATTTTTATTCCACATATGCAAGGATGTTTCATCATATGCAAGTTATAAGTGCGATTCACCATGTAAAAATAATTAAAAGCCAAAAATTATAAGATTAACACAATAGATGCAGAAAAAGCATTGAAGAAAATCCAATATTCATTCATGAAAATATTCTCAACAAACAAGGCATTGATGAAACATACCTCAAAGTGATAAGAGCCATCTATGACAAATCCTCAGCCAACATTATACTGAAAAGGCAATAGCTGCATGCATTCTCCATTAGAATAAAAATAAGACAAGAATACCCACTCTAACACTCCTATTCAACATAATTCTAGAAGTCTTAGTCAGAGCAATCCAACAAACTAAAGAAATAAAAAGCATCTAAACAGAAAAAAAGGAAGTTAAATTATCTTACACTGATGATATAATGCTCTACCTAGAAAACTTTACAGATTTCTGGAAGTATATAATTTTAAAATATAAATTATGGCTGTTAAATATCTTCATTTCTATACCTCTTTTGGCTAATATTAAGGTTGATTGAAAATATAAGTTGTTAGAAAATTTCTTGAATTAAGGCCATTAGTTAATTATTAACATAATTTGAGACATAATAGCAATGAAAATCAGCATTGATTAATGAAACAAATATTATCTAGCCCCTGGTAATCATTTTCTCTCCCACCCAATGTGAAAGCACTATCTTTGTGTCATCTCTCCCAGTTCTAAGAAAGAGGCTTCTGATCAAATTGATCAGCATACAAATTTGTAAAGTTTAACTTTTAGTCTAAAAATTTATTATCAGCAAAGTTTATCTTTTGATATGTAATATTTTATTCTATTTAAATTCTTCAGAAAAGTGAAACTGACACAGCTTGCATTTAACTTTTTTTGTAAGTTAAAAATGCTTAAGAAACTTTTTTTATAGAAACTAAAACAAAATAATTTTACATTTTTGGAGAACATTTCTCAAGTACTTCAAGTTATCTTTCTCTGACAGTAGATATATATTTTTCTCTATTGCTGTAATAGAGCTTTGACTGTCCTTTGTGGCCGACTCTGTCATTTTTATTCTATTTTGTTGTGTGGTGTTTATGTTATGCATCTTACATTGTAAAAGTTGTAGTCCATGCAGGCAATGTAATAATTTTTTTTTTTTTTTTTGAGATGGAGTCCTGCTCTGTCACCCAAGATAGACCGCGGTGGTGCAATCTTGGCTCACGGCAACCTCTGCCTCCCAGGTTCAAGTGATTCTCCTGCCTCAGCCTCCTGAGTAGCTGGGATTACATGTGCATGCCATCATGCCTAATTTTTGTACTTTTAGTAGAGACGGGGTTTCACTATGTTGGTCAGGCTGGTCTCGAACTCCTGATCTCATGATCTGCCTGCTTCTGCCTCCCAAAGTGCTGAGATTTCAGGTGTGAGCCCCCACGCCCCACCTGTTTTGTTTTTGAGATGAAGTCTTGATCTGTTTCCCAGGCTGGGGTGCAGTGATGCAATCTCAGCTCATGGCAGCTTCTGCCACTCGGGTTCAAGTGATTCTCCTGCCTCAGCCTCCTGAGTAGCTGGGATTACAGGTTCCCACCACCACACCCAGCTAATTTTTGTATTTTTAGTAGAGACAGGGTTTTGCCATGTTAGCCAGGCTGGTCTTGAACTCTTGACCTTAGGTGATGTGCCTGCCTTGACCTCACAAAGTGCTGGGATTACAAGCTTGAGCCGCCACACCCAGCAGCAATGTAATTTTCAAACAATTGACCAGCCTTTTTCCATGTCAAACTCTCTGCTTAATCAGTCCTTTATTTTCACTCTTCAAAGGCATTTTAACTGTGTTTTTTTGTTTTGTTTTGTTTTTGATGGACTTTCATTCTTATTGCCCAGGCTGAAGTGCAATGGCATGATCTCAGCTCACCACGACTGCTGCTTCCTGAGTTCAAGCAATTTTCCTGCCTCAGCCTCCTAAGTAGCTGGGACTGCAGGCAGGTGCCACCACATCTGGCTAGTTTTGTATTTTTAGTAGAGATGGGGTTTCTCCATGTTGGTCAGGCTGGTCTCGAACTCCCAACCTCAGATGATCTGCCCACCTTGGCCTCCCAAAGTGCGGGGATTACAGGCATGAGCTACCGTGCCTGGCCATATACATGCTTTTATGACAAATCATTTTGTGATCATTTAAAGTTTTAATTTAGCAGTTGCCAAGACCAGCTCAGCTGGGGAGACCCTAACCCAGTGGCACTAGAGGAATTAAAGACACTCACAGAAATATAGAGGTGTGAAGTGGGAAATCAGGGGTCTCACAGCCTTCAGAGCTGAGAGCCCTGAACAGAGATTTACCCAGATATTTATTAACAGCAAACCAGTCATTAGCATTGTTTCTATAGACATTAAATTAACTAAAAGTATCCCTTATGGGAAATGAAGGGATGGGCTGAATTAAAGGAATATGTTGGGCTAGTTAACTGCAGCAGGAGCATGTCCTTAAGGCCTAAATCGCTCATGCTATTGTTTATGGCTTAAGAATGCCCTTAAGTGGTTTTCTGCCCTGAGCAGGCCAGGTGTTCCTTGCCCTCATTCCCATAAGCCCACAACCTTCCAGCGCGGGCGTTAGGGCCATTATGAACATGTTACAGTGCTGCAGAGATTTTGTTTATGGCCAGTCTTGGGGCCAGTTTATAGCCAGATTTTAGGGGGCTTGCTCCCAACATGCCCCCTTCTCTGATTTGCAAATCAATAAAAACAAGGGCAGCTTTCTCACAGTGAGCTACTTCTCACAGGAGTCGGGATCTACATCTGCAGACTATACAAAGGCAAACAACACAGATTAAAACTACAGCCATCATTGAAATCAGAGAGCTTCCAAGTGTTTTTATCCATTTTAATGGGTTACTAGCTGCTAATTTGTCTGCACCTCCTTTAAACACTCCAGTTCCTGGCATTAAGGTCAGGTGTGCCTGGGATGCTTTAAATATTTGTTCTTTTAATTTTAAATCCTTATGTTAAGCTCCTAGAGCAGGCCATATCATTTGAGGTTGAGGTGCCACTATACCGTCATGGTTCCAGATAATAGGAACTTTTGCCATACTTATTATTATATCTACCATCTGACCATTTTGTTCAGATCACCTGAACATAGTGTGACCGTGGCATGCAGACTGAGAGGTGCAATTCAAGCTAAACATCCCCTTAGGGGATCAATTAATAATGATTCCATAGGAAACATTCTGCAGCACCTCTGCCTGTTCTGCAAAGCAATCTTCCTAAATAAGTACGTTCATTTTTTCTACTGGGTCCAATCCTGTTTACAAATAGGTTTTTGAGGGCAGTATGCCTCAATTATAGGAGCAGATTTATTATGGTAAATACGGAGATCAGAAAGCATGTGTAACTGTGTCATAGAGTGATTGCATCCAGGCATTATTACCAGCCCTTATTGAAGGAATACTCACAGCAATGGTGATAACCACTATCATAGCTACCATTAAGTTATTCATTGTGACTGATTGTCCTGCTTTCCTCAGGTTTTCTTCCACCATCTGTGACAGCTTCTTGATCTGTCCCCAGGTGGGTGGCTGTGTTTGACGGGTGTTGCTTGTGACAGTTGGGGTCCTCCTCAGTGTCAGCCTGGACATGGCTGCAACTGGCGGGTCCTCAGGATCCTCCCAGAATCTCTTCCTCAGCATCTGGCTCATGATAAGGTTTCAGGTGTCTTGATGGTATCCAAATCAGTTGTTGATTTTGGCCTGGAGAAATACAAGTATAACCTCTACCCCAAGTTATTATTTTACCTATTTCCCAACTTTTTGTAGTCGGATCTCTCCACCAAATCAGATGTTCTGTTCCTGTCTTTGCAGCTGGTTTCTGTAGATGCTGGTCAGCTGCTGATAACATCTGGCCTTTGG
The DNA here is from genome assembly GCF_000001405.40 of Homo sapiens. Lineage (NCBI taxonomy): Eukaryota > Metazoa > Chordata > Mammalia > Primates > Hominidae > Homo > Homo sapiens. The sequence continues at coordinate 21,668,274 of NC_000019.10, forward strand.
GAAGGTTCAAAAAATTTAAAGTTAATAATGCTAGATTCAGTTGTATCTGCAGTGTTCCATATTCTCTATTTTTCCCTTTCTACTTTTGTGACTGCTGTTTTAGGGAAAGATTCATTCTTTCCACTATGGCTTGTCCTTGAGAATTGTATGGGATGACAGTAATGTGATTAATATTCCACATAGAGAAAAATGTAGCTAGAGTTTGGCTAGTATAGCCTGGGGCATTATCTGTTTTAATAGAAGCTGGAATGCCCATCACTGTGAAACACTGCAAAAGATGACATTTAACACAAGCAGAAAACTCTCCTGTTTGGCATGTAGCCCAGACAAAGTGAGAAAATGTGTCCACACATACATGTACATAAGCTAGTCTCCCAAACGAGGGAACATGTGTCACATCCATTTGCCAAATAGAGTTAGGTTCCAGTCCTCGAGGATTAACTCCTCCTGTAAAAGATGAGGAATATACCATTTGGCAAGTTGGGCACTGCTGGATAATAGCTTTAGCTTCTTTCCAGGTGATGCTGTATCTGCATTTGAGACCAGAGGCATTAAAATGGGTTAAATTGTGAAAGTGTCTAGCATTAGATATTGCAGTAGCAACTAGGCAATCAGCCATTTGATTCCCTTCAGTCAAAGGTCCTGGAAGAGGTGTATGAGCTCTAATGTGAGTGATGTAAAAAGGGTGCATTCTACTCCTAACTGCTGTTTGCAATTGGGTAAATAAAGTCATCAGTTGTTCATCTGTATGAAACAGTAGCTGACCATTTTCAATTAACTGTGTGGAAGGAACCATGTATGAAGAATCAGAAATCACATTAATAGGCATATCAAAAGTAGTCAATACCTCAATTATAGCTACAAGCTCTGCTTTTTGAGCCAGAATAAGAAGCTTTGCTATTACTAGACCCATCTGTAAAAACATTATCAGCACCTTCAATTGGTTTACATTTAGTTATTTTAGGAACAATCCAATTAGTTAATTTCAAAAACTGAAACAGCTTCATTTTAGGAAAATGATTATCAAGAATACCCACAAAGTCAGCTAAATGGGTTTGCCAAGTAAGACTATTTATAAAAGCTTGCTATATTTGTGCCTTTGTGAGAGGGACAATACTTTTTCCAGGATCATATCCATGTAATTTAACAATCTGAGTTCTCCCAATCCCTATCATAATAGCAATTTGATCTAAATAAGGAGTTAGAGTCCGTGAATTAGTATGTGGAAGGAAAAGTCACTCTACTAAGTCCTGTTCTTGGACAATAACACCAGTATGTGAATGCTGAGTTGAAAAAATTAGCAAATCCAGAGTCTTCTCTGGATCTATTCTATTTATCTGAGCTTTACGGACTTGCTTCTCAATCAGTTGTAACTCTCCCTCAGTCTCCTTTGTTAAATGCTGTGGGCTAGTGAGACTAGGATTTCCTCTAAGGATAGAAAACAGATTACTCATGGCATAGGTAGGAATGCTTAGAGCAGGTCTATCCAATTAATATCCCCTAATAATTTTTGTAAGTCATTTAACGTTTTTAGTTGATCCCTATGTATGGTTACTTTCTGTGCCACAATGGTAGTGTCATTTACTAAGGTCCCCAAGTAGGAGTAAGGAGTAGCAGTCTGAATTTTGTCAGGAGCTTTAATTAAACAAGTGGGAGAAATTGAATTTTGCAAGTGATTATAACATTGGAGTAATATTTCTCAAGTAGGGGCAGCACAAAATATACCATCCACATAGTGAATAATGTAACACTGTGGAAATTTTTTATGAGTATGTTCAATTGCTTGCCCAACATACATCTGGCAAATTGTTGCACTGTTTAACATGCCCTTTGGCAACACTTTCCCATGATAACGCTCAGCAGGCTGCAGGTTGTTTACTGCAGGAATTGCAAATGCAAACCCTTCACAGTCTTGTTCAGCTAAAGGGATAGTAAAGATACAGTCTTTTAAATCTATGACTACTAAAGGCCAATTTTTTGGAATTATAGCAGGAGAAGGCAATCCTGGCTGTAATGTTCCCATAGGTTGCATAACTGAATTGATGGCTCTTAAGTCAGTTAACATTCTCCATTTACCTGATTTTTTCTTAATTACAAAAACTGGAGAATTCCAAGGGGAAAATATTGGAGCTATGTGCACATTTTCTAATTGTTTAGTAATTAAAATCTCTAAAGCCTCCAGTTTTTCTTTATTTAGCAGCCATCATTCTATCCAAATTGGCTTATCTGTTAACCATTTTAAAGGTATAGGCTCTGGAGGCTTAACAATGGCCACCATCAAATATTATTTCCTAATCTTTGTTGGGAACTTTGTTTTTCCACTTGAAGTGGTTCTTTCAAACCTTGCAAATTTTTTTCTAGTCCCATACCAGGGACATACCCCATTTCATGCACTGTATGTTGACTTTGAGGGCTATATAATTGTTCTGGAATTAGAAATTGTGCTCCCCATTGTTGTAATAAATCTCTTCCCCATAAATTTATAAGTACAGAAGTTATAATTGGTTGAATAGTCCCAGATTGTCCATCGGGCCCCTCACAATGCAAAATTTAACTACTTTGATATACTTCAGTGGCTTTACCAACTCCAACTATGTTAAATTGAGCAGGTTGAATTGGCCACGTGGACAGCCAGTGCTGTAGAGAAATGATTGAAATGTCTGCTCCTGTATCTGCCAAACCTTTAAATTTCTTTCCTTGAATAGTTATTTCACAGGTAGGATGTTTATCAGTAATTTGATTTACCCAAAAAGCTGCTTTGCCTTGTTTATTTCTGCTTCCAAATCCTCCTGTTTGTTTAATTTCACTTTTTCCCATTCCCACATATGGCACAATCAGGAGCTGTGCTATGCACTCTCTTGGCTCTGCTTTCCAGAAAACAGAGGTAGATATAACAATTTGAATTTCCCCATTGTAATCTGAATCCATGACTCCTGTATGTATTTGTACTTTTAAACTTAAACTAGACCTTCCTAAAAGTAATCCTATTGTCCCTGCTGGCAAGGGTCCACAGACTCCTGTTGGGACCCTTTGCAGGGGTTCCCCAGGCAGAAGGCTCACAGCTTTTCTGCAGCATAAATCTACTGCAGCACTACTGGCTGTGGTGGGGGACAGCCATTGTACAGGGGTGAGGGAATGGCCTGAGCTGGAAATGCCCCGGTTTAGAACAGGGCCTGGGACGGGACCCTCATGGCGTTTCCAGAAATTGGGTTCCCATCTTTATCAAACTTAGAATGACATTGATTAGCCCAATGTTTTCCTTTTGGACTTATTTCAGGATCAGCAGTTTTCTTTTTTCCCCTATCTGGTGGCCCGACTCGGTGATTTTTTCTAAATTCTTTTTTAGTATGACCATGCTTCCCACAGTTAAAACAAGCTCCAGGAAATGGAGTATTTCCTTTATCCACTCTCAGCCCTGCCATTGCCTGTGCCAACAAGGTAGCTTTATGCAGATTACCCCCTATACCATCACAGGCCTTGACATAATCAACTAAATGTGCTTTCCCTCAGATAGGTTCACAGAGCAGCCTGGCAATCGGGATTAGCATTGTCAAATGCTAATAATTGCAACACTATAACCTGACCAGCTGAATCTGCAATCATCTTTATAAGAGACTCCTGTAACTGAGCTATAAAATCAATGTATGGTTCTTTTGGTCCCTGTTTTATAGCACTAAAGGAAGGGTATTGTTCCCCACCTGAAGTGGTCTTTTCCCAAGCTCTAATGCACACTCCTCTAAGCTGTTCTATGACATCATCCTGCATGACCAGTTGTGCATCTAAACTAGCCCAACCGCCAACCCCCAAAAGTTGGTCTGAGTTATATTAATTTGAAGTTGGGCCTGGGCACTGTGAGCAGCCTGAATGGAAGCTTCATCTGCCCACCAAGTTTTCAATTGTAAGAAGTGAGCAGGAGTTAGACAAGCTCGAGTAAGAGCATCCCAGTCAGTAAGAATCATCTGACTGGAAACAGTAACATTCTTTAATAGTCCCATTACAAAAGGAGAACTTGGTCCATACTGATTTATAACTTGTTTTAATTCTTTGAGTAATTTCAAAGGAAAAGGCTCAAATGTAGCTGTAATATTTCCCTGTTGATCTGGGGGTTGTGTTCTAATGGGGAACTGCCAAGGCTCTAAATCACCCTCTCGTCTAGCTTGCTGAATTCCTGCCTGAATAGAACTAAGAGCGGTCGCTCGAGGTGCTGCTCGAACAGTCACTGGGGCAACTAGTTTTCACCCAGTGTCCTCTGGAAAAGAAAGATCTGAAGGTTCTTTTTCTTCAAAATAATAATGAGGGGGTGCAGAAGGGTAGGGATGAACCTCTCCTTCCTTTGCCACTTTAGCTTTAGCTGGCAAATAAACCTGGTCTGTAACCTCTACTGTTACTTTGCTATACTCTCATTCCTCCTCCTCATCATTGTGAAAAAGTTCCAAGGTAAAATGAACCAGACCCCATACCTGTCCCATTGTTACCCTGACACTTCTGAGCTCCCCTTCTTACTCACCATGGGGATTGCTTTAAGAGTACTCGGGTGTCCTCCAGCTAGTTTTCCATTCCAACCATTGCTCCGGTGACCCTTTGACCTGGATTGAAGCCCCCACAAATGGACGCCACTTGCCGAGACCAGCTTGGTCAGGGAGACCCTAACCCAGTGCCACTAGAGGAATTAAAGACACACACAGAAATATAGAGGTGTGAAGTGGGAAATCAGGGGTCTCACAGCCTTCAGAGCTGAAAGCCCTGAACAGAGATTCACCCACGTATTTATTAACAGCAAGCCAGTCATTAGCATTGTTTCTATAGACATTAAATTAACTAAAAGTATTCCTTATGGCAAACTAAGGGCTGGGCTGAATTAAAGGAATATGTTGGGCGAGTTAACTGGAGCAGGAGCATGTCCTTAAGGCCTAAATCGCTCATGCTATTGTTTATGGCTTAAGAATGCCTTTAAGTGGTTTTCTGCCCTGAGCAGGCCAGGTGTTCCTTGCCCTCATTCCCGTAAGCCCACAACCTTCCAGGGTGTGTGTTAGGGCCATTATGAACATGTTACAGTGCTGCAGAGCTTTTATTTATGGCCAGCCTTGGGGCCAGTTTATGGCCAGATTTTGGGGGGCTTGCTCCCAACAGCAGTGTTGTCTGGGTTTTAAATGTGAATGGTGACATATCAGAGAAGAAATAATAAAGAATACAAAACAAAGCATGATAGTGTTGATGGCTGTGTGAGACCTCGATTCTTCTCACTTTCAAAAAATTTAAACAAGAGACACAAAACAATGAAGATGCAGCATAGAGTGATTTATTGCAAAGTAGAAATACTATTTTAAAAGTTAGGTGAAGAATAGCCAGCATTTGCTGAGAAAGAAGGAATTCAGGGCAGGCTGCCAAAAGAATGAGACAGCAAAGACTGGAACTAGGGAGACTCCATTTATGGGAGTCTTACATAATTAATTATAAGGAGGTGGGAAGAGGTGTTAGTAGTAAGCATGTTCTGGGTGGTCCTTTTGGTGCACAGACACAGTGGCTGTACATGCTTATATGTCACATATCTCCTTAACATCTTAAATCTTCACACACGTGTGTGTTTTTTACTATTATAATGAGTAAAAGGTCAGTTAGAGGATAAGTAAAATCAAAATGTGCATGCTCTCTACAGTGCAATTTCCCTACTGAAGAGAGCTTTGCTTGAATGGCTGAAATACAGTGTAAATGCTGGGGTTTATTGTGTTGACAATATGCAGTCACCGTGCAATCACCATGGCTGCCACATCCCGAGGACATCGTCACTTTCTTGACTACCTAGCTTGCCTCAATAGTACTTGGCTTGATTTATTCCAAATTATCAACTCTAAGACTCAGATTTAGCTGTTATGTCAACATTGTCAACAGTGGGAAAATTAAAATTTTTAAATCAAACATATATGAGCTTGTTGGGTCACTAGCTGTGTATCCAAGAGAAATTATTTTACATCCCAGGAGCTTCAATCTTAATTATTAATATAAAACACTATTTCCCCTAAGGCTACTTTAATTCATGAATGGTAGCTATAACACTTGAAAGTCTCATCTAAATATTAAATATTTAAGAGTAAGAATAAAATCATTTTTATTTCAAAGATATGATAAGTGAGTGGGTGTATTTTGTCATATTTAATGTATTTTTCTTTTCTAAAAAATGCCATAATAATTGTATTTTTTCCAGAATAACAGACTATGGATATTTAAGTTATGACTTTGCCAATTTTTACATATGGTAAAACTGCTACTGTTAAATTTAGGTTAAATTTTAAACCCACTGTTTTTTAGCTTGTGTGGTTTTTGGCTCATTTGGGGAACAAAATATATTAGACGTTGACTGTTTGGGGTAACTTGGGTTCATTTCTGCTGTCTGTTATTACATCTGGGGATTTAGAAACAACTAGGATTAAAATAAGTTTGGTTTGGAATCAAGCAACAGAAAATCCCAAAAGGACTAAGGAAAATAGCTAATGGATACTGCCTTTCAGTGAGATTTATACACAAACAGAGTTTAATGAGATTCATGAAATTATTGCAAGTTTTTTAAATTTAGAAACCAATTACCTACAACATATTAGGCACTTGTCTTAATTTGTCTATGGCAACCCTATCTTGGGGAAGCTGATATTACAGAAAAGGATATTGCTACTGTAATAATATTTGGAACAAATGTTTATGTGCTTATGAACAGTCCCCTCTAATAATCTTTAGATACATGTCATTCTGGCTCAATCCTTTTGGCATGACTGTAATTCCAGAGACTCCTTCCCACCGAAGCGAAGCCATGGAGTTTTCAGCTGCTTATGCTTATTTTCAGTTAGTAAGCTTCATAGCTGACGTCATTATATTGGGGTCCCCAGGAATCCCTGAGCCTTAGAGCTGACCATCCTACCTCATCCTTCTTGCTTCTCATGGTCTGTTGTTGAGTCCCTCTCACTCCATATTTGAGCCTTCATGAGACTTCAGTTTGGAGAAACCAGAGAAATGGGTTGCCATATGTATTGAGTTGACAATCAGAATCCGTTTGAGGATAAAGACTTTACATTTATTATTCATGGTACAAAGCAGTATTTTTAAGATGTGAACATGTTTTAGTCAAATTAAATATAAATAAATTTTTTTTGTTATGACATAGTCTCACTCTGCCACCCAGGCTGGAGGGCAGTGGCGCGATCTCAGCTCACTGCACCCTCTGACTCCTGAGTTCAAGGGATTCTCCTGCCTCAGCCTCCTGAGTAGCTGGGATTACAGGCATGAGCCACCATGCCCAGCTAATTTTTGTATTTTTAGTAGAGATGGTGTTTCACCATTTGTTCAGGTTGGTCTCGAACTCCTGACCTCGTGATCCACCCACCTCAGCCTCCCAAAGTGCTGGGATTACAGGTGTGAGCCCCGGCACCTGGCCAAATATAAATAATTTTATCAGTATGCCAATGTGATTAAAATAATTTTATCAAGTTCACCAAATGTTCTGCTTTAGACTCTCCCAACACAAAGATCAATATGTATGCACTGGTGAATATTAGTTTTTTTGGTGTATGGTTTTGTTTGTTTACATTTTTAAAGATTTTTTCTACTTCATGCTGATGTTAAACTACACAAAGCTTACCAAAAGCACTCTTTTACCACATTTTTCTACTAAAAGTTTAAATACTTAAATTTTGAAAGTGACGTTCTGGATTACCCTTTTCCTTGTGATGGAGTCTGCGTTTATTAGTCCTACATTGCAGTTTCTCTTTATGTGGTGCAAGGCTACAAAAATGCCATCCAGTTGATTTTGATTTATTAGGTAACAGTAGAATCTGTTTTCTCAGGCAGTAGCATGAGAATTCTTGATATGTTACCTTTAGACGTACTGAAAGCAACTGGATAAATTTGCTGAAATTTGTCTTTATTCTTAAGGGCACTAGAGGCTAAGTCATAGCAACACACAATATAGTTCAGTCCAACTTTTTTTGTCTAAAATTTTGTGGAGCTGCATCCACCTGTATGATGTAACTCAGTAACAGCTTCTTTATACTAAGCCAGAACTCATTTTACCTGCTGGTTTTGTTTTAAATGTATGAGCTGTATTATATCACATTTAAATCAGTAAATGAAATGAATTCAGAGGTTATGGAAAGAAAAGTACAGGCACACTAAAAATGAATTTGAATCTGGCAGCTGACACTGATTAACAGGTTGAGCAGATTGGACTAGACCTGCATTCCTGTAAACAATATTGAAAGGGAGAATTGAAAACATCTTCAGCAACACGATAGGCCTATGAGATTTGAAAAGTAAATCGATTTGTTTACCCATCTTCAGTCAATACTAGGTTAAACTGGAAAATTTTGAACACATTATTCCAAAAATGAAATTAGTAAATTATTCTCAGACTTAATATGATTAAAACAAGACTTCTGGGTATTTGAAAGCACCAAATTATTGATGAAAGATATCCATTTTGAACAGATTCTTGATCTTATATATATATTACTACTAAGTAAAACCTAATACTGATAGCTTTAATATATGAAATATTTGTGAATGTCTATCACTGTAGTGAAAAATCAAGACATTATTTAAATCTAAATTTTGATTAAAATATTTGATATTTTAATTGAGTGCCAGTATTCATATAGTATGGCAAAGCACCCAGTTCTTTAGTATTCTGCAATTTTATAAAATAAGCCAGAATTTGTGGAGACATTTGTTAAAAAAACAAAAACGAAAACAATCTTTTCTAAAAAAAATCTAGACATCAGAAAATAGAGATACTAATGTTACACTATATAAACAGTTTGCTGAACCCTACAGTAATCTGTGAAGTTTTTTTGTGTGCGTACAACAATCTTAGATTACCTAAAACAAAACGAAGTTTCTTTCTTCTGCTTAACATACAAAAGTCCAAAATATATCCGGACAGACAGGAACTGTGGCTGCCACTTTAAAAAAAACAAACATTTCACCACGATACACTGTTTTGTGTATGAACAGATGGAAAACCAACCTTTGAAGTTTTCAAATCATAAGCAGAAGCATTGTGCCTCTAAGCCTTAAATATATAAAACAAATACACACAGTTTATTCTTCTTAATTTAAAATATACTGTTCTTTGAACATCAAACGACATTAGACTATCAAAAACCTCATAAGTCATACAAGTGTCAACTGTATTTTCAAAATTATAAGAACTTAGAACAAGTAAACTAAACAGCTACAGCTACAGTTTAGTTAAAAATAATAATAATAAACTACTCTGTATTTGCCCTTGTGATGAGAATCACCTTTATTCATTTTGGAACAAACAGGAAATGCTGCAGTGGTAACTTGCTGAGTGGCGACTGCGATGAGATTTACTGTCCTAGGGATGATGGGATCCAGTGGACCAGAATCGTCAGCACCTTACCATGGTCACTGCTGTCCTTTCACTCTGTCATTCATTTATCAGACTTCTTCATCAATTCCGTCTCTATCGTTGTGTGAACGGTTTTGTACTGCTTTAGCATCTGCCTTTGATTGCTGCTAATTTTCTTTGTTCATCTTTCTGGTCCATCTTGGTGGCTGCTTTGCTGTTCCTCTTTGAGGAGTTCGCGCAGCTTCACCCTCAGGTGTTCCAACAGTCCGTCCATCTGGCTCAAGCTGTCGGGCATTTTTCCTGGTTCTTCTGTTCCTGGCGTCTGAGATTTGTCAGCAGGGCCTGGTTTTCAGGGACCACGGCTACCGCCTCCTTCTGCCCGCGGGGCGGCTCCTGCACCTCTGGCGGGCACCGGTTCCAGCCACGGTTTAGCCGAGAACAGGGGGAACCGCAGCAGCAGATGGAGCGCCCACGTCCGGGGTCGCCTCGGCTCTAACCCTTGGTCATGGCTCAGCTTGGTGCGCAGAAACCCGACGTCAATCAGAGCATTTTGCGCAGCTGGGCGAGCTTTCCTCGGCATGCGGGGCAGTTCCCCCATCATCTTTATGCTGCCACCTCCGCTTTCATCAGAGAGTTACACAGGATGGTGCAGGGGCCCGGAGACACCGTGGAAGAGTCCAGGGGAGTGAGGAGGGGCTGGGCCGGGCAGCCTCAGGCCCAGCGCATGATGGCGCCCCCTCACGCCTGAGCAGAAATCAGCCACTGCCACCTCGGAGAGGACAGAGGGGCCCAGGCTTCCCCAGCCAGCCTCGCTCTGCACCAGCAGAGGAAAAAATTATTTTCTAAAAATAAATAAATAAATAAATAAACAAATAAATAAGTAAGTATGGAGAAGAACTTGCAGTTCTGACCCAATCAAATTTTCATTCTTTTTCTTTCATTTTTTTTTTGGCCGTTTTCTCTTAAATTGTGCTCTCCTGAAGTCAGATTTCATGTTCCATCCTCACGTGGCAATTTAAATGTAATTATAATGGTCCCAAATTTAGAAACTAAAAATGTTAATGTATTTTACCCATGAGTGCTAGGTTAACATTAAATTTTCAATAGTGCTTTCTCAATTCTACACTTCATTATTTTCTATTTGATCCTGTTAACTAAACTATAGAAAATAAAAATAATAAAGGTTTGATTTGCATAGTTTCACAGTTTACAAAGAATATGTATTCATTCCTTTAACCAATAAATGTGTGTTGAGCACACATGATATGCCATCATTTTGGTAGCCTTAGAAAATAAAATAGAGAAAGGAAAGTTTTGATCTCTACTCTCATGAAACTTTCAGTCTAACTTCATAAAATCCTCATGCATTCCTGAGAAGTGGATACCTCTGAAGTTTCCTATAAACCTCCTACCCCAATCTGACTTCAGGAGAGCACAATCTAAGAGGAAAAAGCAAAACAAAAAGAAAAAAAGATGAAAATGTGATTGAGTAAGATATGCAAGTTCTATTCCATAATTTTGTTAGGAAATAGTTTTCATCTCTACTAGAGCAGAGGGAGGCTGGCTGGGAAGCCTGGGCTTCTCTGTCCTCCCTGCAGTGGTAGTGGTTGATCTGATCTCTGCTCAGGTGTGAGGGGCACCACCATGCACTGGGCCTGAGGCTGCCTGGCCCAGCTCATCCTCACTCCCCCGGACTCTTCCGTGGTCACTCCGTGCCCCTGTGTCATCCTGTGCATCCTTCTGATGGTAGAGGAGGTGGTAGCAGGAAGCTGGTGGGAGGGCCTGGCTCCATAAACTGAGGAGGGTTCACCCAGCTATGGGAAATGCTCTGGATGACCTTGGATTTCTATGCAGTTAGCTGGACCTCATCCCAGGGTTACAGCCAGGGCATCCCTGAGCTGGGTGACACCAGATGTGGATGCTCTGGCTGCTGCTATTGTTTCTGTAGAATCAGCACCCACCAGAAGTGCAAGAGCCACCCTGCAGGTGGAACGAGGTGGTAGCCATGGTTCCTGAAAACCACACCCTGCTGACAAATCTCAGATGCCACAAACAGAAGAACGGAGAGAAACTGCCCAAGAGCTTGAGCCAAATGAACGGACTGCTGGAGCAGCTCAGGGTGAGGCCACCTGCACTTCTCAATCTGGTACAGCAAAGCAACCATCAGAGATGGACAAGAATAATAAAAAGTCAAAGAAAATTAGCAGAAGTTAAAGGCAGATGCTAAAGCACTGCAAAATCATTCATGCCACAATAGAAATGAAGTTCATGAGGAGTTAATACAGGAGTTCTTAAGAAATTATTTTAGGCAGTTAAAGAGGGTAAAAGAGTTCTTACTGGAATTTTCCTTTTATAAAAAGCAGCCCCCAAACCATTTTATTCCTAACAGAAAGCAGCCTAAAAACTCAATCCGCAAGCTTATAAGCAAGCTAGAGGGTTGCATATGTAAATGGAAATGCCTGTACTAAAAGCCAGGTATATTTCAACATGGCAACTTTCCCCTCTTTTCTTTTTCACCATGAGTGCAGATGTCATGGTGACAGCCAGGTAGTAGCCACGTTTGCATAATAAAAGGCTACGGTCGGGGAGCCAGTCTTTTCACTGGCTATGTAAATGGCATGCCTGTTCAACCAATACCCTGGGCCCTATGTAAATCAATCACTGCCTCCTCAAGCCTCTCTACAAAATCAATCGTGTTCTGCCCCAAACCCAGAAACTCTACTGGGCAACCTGCTTTCTCAGGATGATGTAGCTTTCTCTCTCTCTTCTTTTTGTCTATTAAACTTTCTGCTCCTCAACCCATTCCTCTTGTGTGTTTGTGTCATAAATTTTCCTGGCATGAGAAAACAAACCCCAGGTATTTACCCCAGACAATGCAGCCATTTCATTTGGAGGCTTGTCCAGGATCAGAACAAAATATAGAATCATTGGAATGGTGAGTATGGAGTGATCATCAAATCTGTCCTTTAATTTCAAGGCTCTCAGTCTCCATGTTAAAATGCTTTGGACCAGTTTCCTTTCACAGAGAATCTAACCATTGTATGAGGCTGGGAGAAGTCCTGGAACAACTGAGGTTTTCTGGCCAGGGCACATCCTGGTGTTATTCAAGGCTTCTGGACTGAATCCAGCCTTTGACAGCTCATCTACGTGTTGGTAAAGGATCTCCAACTATCTTGTCACAAAATTTTTCTTCTTTCCTGTCTGTGGTTACTGTGTCTTCTATCCTATCTGTGTATGCAATGTGCAGGAAGTCTTGGTAAATCCTGCAGTACTGGGGAGCACGTGGTATTTCCAAGCCAACAGTGCAACGAAGTGGCAATAGAAATCCTCTTCATGAGGCACATTGTCAGTCCTTTGCCATGCACTGTAGTTTCCCAACTCTCCTCCCTTTTTGCACTGCTAAAAATCAGGCTCTATGCCTCTTCTGTGAATGGGAAAGGTCTGCCTTCAACAATTAAAAGAAAAATGTCAGCCAGGCACGGTGGTTCATGCCTGTAATCCCAGTACTTTGGGATGCTGTGCCCGGTGGGTCATGAGGTCAGGATTTCAAGACCAGCCTGGCCCAGATGTTGAAACCCCATCTCTACTAAAAATACAAAAATTAGCCAGTCGCAGTGGTGGGTGCCTGTATTCCCAGGCACTTGGAAGACTGAGGCAGGAGAATCATTTGAACCCTAGAGACGGAGGTTGCAGTGAGCTGAGATCATGCCACTGCACTCTAGCCTGGGTGACAGAGCAAGAATCCATGTCAAGCCATCCCCATCAAGCTACCAATGACTTTCTTCACAGAATTGGAAAAAACTACTTTAAAGTTCATATGGAACCAAAATGGAGCCCGCATCACCAAGTCAATCCTAAGCCAAAAGAACAAAGCTGGAGGCATCACGCTACCTGACCTCAAACTATACTACAAGGCTACAGTAACCAAAACAGCATGGTACTGGTACCAAAACAGAGATATAGATCAATGGAACAGAACAGAGACCTCAGAAATAATGCTGCATATCTACAACTATCTGATCTTTGACAAACCTGAGAAAAACAAGCAATGGGGAAAGGATTCCCTATTTAATAAATGGTGCTGGGAAAACTGGCTAGCCATATGTAGAAAGCTGAAACTGGATCCCTTCCTTACACCTTATACAAAAATTAATTCAAGATGGATTAAAGACTTAAATGTTAGACCTAAAACCATAAAAACCCTAGAAGAAAACCTAGGCATTACCATTCAGGACATAGGCATGGGCAAGGACTTCATGTCTAAAACACCAAAAGCAATGGCAACAAAAGCCAAAATTGACAAATGGGATCTAATTAAACTCAAGAGCTTCTGCACAGCAAAAGAAACTACCATCAGAGTGAACAGGCAATCTACAAAATGGGAGAAAATTTTCGCAACCTACTCATCTGAAAAAGGGCTAATATCCAGAATCTATAATGAACTCAAACAAATTTACAAGAAAAAACAAACAACCCCATCAAAAAGTGGGCGAAGGATATGAACAGATGCTTCTCAAAAGAAGACATTTATGCAGCCAAAAGACACATGAAGAAATGCTCATCATCACTGGCCATCAGAGAAATGCAAATCAAAACCACAATGAGATACCATCTCACACCAGTTAGAATGGCAATCATTAAAAAGTCAGGAAACAACAGGTGCTGGAGAGGATGTGGAGAAATAGGAACACTTTTACACTGTTGGTGGGACTGTAAACTAGTTCAACCCTTGTGGAAGTCAGTGCAGCAATTCCTCAGGGATCTAGAACTAGAAATGCCATTTGACCCAGCCATCCCATTACTGGGTATATACCCAAAGGACTATAAATCATGCTGCTATAAGGACACATGCACACATATGTTTATTGCGGCATTATTCACGATAGCAAAGACTTGGAACCAACCCAAATGTCCAACAATGATAGCCTGGATTAAGAAAATGTGGCACATATGCACCATGGAATACTATGCAGCCATAAAAAATGATGAGTTCATGTCCTTTGTAGGGACATGGATGAAATTGGAAATCATCATTCTCAGTAAACCATCGCAAGGACAAAAAACCAAACACCGCATGTTCTCACTCATAGGTGGGAATTGAACAATGAGAACACATGGACACAGGAAGGGGAACATCACATTCTGGGGACTGCTGTGGGGTGGGGGGAGGGGGGAGGGATAGCATTAGGAGATATACCTAATGCTAAATGATGAGTTAATGGGTGCAGTACACCAGGATGGCACATGTATACATATGTAACTAGCACATTGTGCACATGTACCCTAAAACTTAAAGTATAATAATAATAAAATAAAAAATAAAAAAAAGAATCCATGTCAAAAAAAAAAAAGAAAAAGAAAAAGAAAAATATCCTCCATAACCAAATTTTGTTCCAATGCTATCCCATTAGCAAATAAATAAATCAATAAATAAAAGCCGTTATTCTGTCTCCAATTAGAAGAGTACTTAATTAGTAAGGCAATTTTAAGTCCAGAAGTTAATTGGAACTGTTTTCTAAGGGAAAATGTTTTAGCATGGGCCGTAATAGCAGGATATAGAGCTCAAACCAGCATACTTCCTCCATTAAGGAGGAAGGTGTAACCATTGCCTACATGCTACCATTACACAGTTTCTCCAGAGATCCTTTCTTTGGGGTGCCAGGCAGATCACACAAGTTTAGAAAGTCAAAGGGTAGTCATAGTGGATAACTAAGGCTGTGTGGGTAATTGTTGTTAAATCCCATCACTTCATTCATCCAGTTCCATGGCTTGGAGGGCCATACCTATAACCATGGGTGGCACATTTAACATGGTGCTGGGACCCAGGAACAAAGGAGAAAAAACAGTCAGGGAGATGCTTCAACTGTTTTTTCCTCCACCCTGGGTCACATCAAAAGGAGGGAGACTAAAAGAATGCTTTTATTCTCACTTATTTTACTTTTTTTTTTCCTTGAGATACAGTCTCACTCTGTTGGCCAGGCTGGAGTGCAGTGGCTTGATCTTGACTCACTGCAGCCTCTGCCTCCTGGGTTCAAGCGATTCTCCTGCTTCAGCCTCTCAAGTAACTGGGATTACAGGCACGTGCCACCATGCCCAGCTAATTTTTGTATTTTTAGTAGAGATGGGGTTTCACCATGTTGGCCAGGCTGGTCTCAATCTCCTGACCTCAAGTGATCTGCCTGCCTTGGCCTCCCAAATTGCTGGGATTACAGGCATGAGCCACCATGCCCAGCCTATTCTCAATTCTTTTTCTAGATGGGTAACAGACCAACTTCAGCAACTCTCTGGAGTGTACTCTGAAACACCAGAACTCCTTTAACCTCAGGACTTTGAAGAGAAAAGTGACTTTATTTTATTTATTTATTTTTTATTTTTTGCATGGGGCATGGTATTTATACTAAACTTTTGCAAGTGTCATAAGATTGACCCAGGTTTTTTTTGTTTGTTTGTTTTGACATTGAGTTTCACTTTTGTTGCCCAGGCTGGAGTGCAATGGTGTGATCTCGCCTGACTGCAACCTCTGCCTCCCAGGTTCAAGTGATTCTCTTCCTTGGCCTCCTGAGTAGCTGGGATTACAGGAACCCACATCCACACCCAGCTAATTTTTGTATTTTTAGTAGAGATGGGGTTTCACCATGTTGACCAGGCTGGTCTTGAACTCCTGACCTCAGGAGATCTACCCACCTTGGCCTTCCAAAGTGCTGGGATTACAGGCATGAGGCACCGTGCCTGGCTCAACCCATGTTTTTTTAATAGTCATATCAGGCAGGCTCATAGAGAATAACTCCCCCAAATTAGAAAGCAACTTCTGGTGGAACCATCTAAGAGTGTCCCTTATTTGGGGCCACCTCAACTTTCCTTCTCATAACAAGACCTTAGGCAAGTAAAGGAAGACAGGCTGATTTTCTGACAACCCCAATAGGTATATAGAAGCATTTCTGAATTTAACTCAGGTGTTTCACCTCACATGAAAGGATGTTATGCTGCTTCTAAAACAAACCCCAACCACAGCTGAAAAGCAGGCAGTTCTGCAGGCAGCAGAGGATTTTGGAGATGAGCAACAAATCTCCTATAATACGCCAAAAAGGAAAAAAGGGAGATAGGGAAAGTGAAGAAATAGCAGAAACACCATTTCCAATAGGAAGTGAAGCAGTTCCTCTTGACAACCCTTGGAACCCCAATAGCTCTGCAGATGAATGGAAAAGGAAATACTTTTTTTTTTTTTAAGATAGAGTCTTGCTCTGTTGCCCACTTGCTGGAGTGCAGTGGCCCAATCTTGGTTCACTGCAACCTCCACCTCCTGGGTTCAAGCCAATTCTCCTGCCTCAGCCTCCCAGGTAGCTGGGATTACAGGTGTGTGGGAGGACACCCAGCTGATTTTTGTCCTTTCAGTAGAGATGGAGTTTCATCATGTTGGCCAGGCTGGTCTCGAACTCCTGACCTCAGGTGATCCACCCACCTCGGCCTCCCAAAGTGCTGGGGTTACAGGTATGAACCACTGCGCCTGGCAGAAACACTTTTTAATATGCATATAAGAGGGCCTACAAATAACTCTCAAGGCCAAACCTCTCAATTATTCTAAACTGTCTATGATTGACCAAAAGCCAGATGAGAATCCTGCAGCCTTTATGGAAAGGCTGAGAGAAGCACTAACAAAGCACACCTCCTTATTCCCTGATTCAGTCGTCAGACAGCTTATTCTAAAGAACAAGTTTATTACACAGACAGCTATTGATACAGAAGGAAACAACAGAAACAAGCTATAGGACCAGATAGCACCTTAGAGAACCTCCTGAAGGTGACCACTTTGTTCTTTTATAATAGGGACCAGGAGGAGGCTCAAGAGAAAGAGAGAAAAGTCAGGAGGATAAAGCTCTAGTAGCTGCTTTGGAAGCTTGCAAAGTCCAGGATCCCTGAGGTGCATCTGCTAGTTGCCATTGGTGTGGTAAGTCAGGGCATTTTAAGAAGGAATGCCCAAACAGCAAGAAGAAGCCATCTCGACCCTGTCCAGCATGTGATGAAGGCCACTGGAAATCAAACTGCCTCCAGAGACAGAGGTCACTGGGTTTACAACTAAATTACCTCTCGAATCCAGGCCTCCCCTCTTCCCATAGCATGACTGTAAAGGGGCATCTCAGGAAAAACTGTAATATTTTTCTCAATCTCTTAGTTGCAGTTAGGAGCACTTGTTATTTACGTATGCCTCCAAGCCATTGTCACGGTAGCTGTACTAGTCAGAAAAGCCTCTAACCCTAGGAAATAACTTAACTGTTTACAACCCACGTAATGTGGCAGAATTACTGTCTTCTAGGTGGAGCCCTTAGCTAACAACCAACCAGTATAGCAATAAATACATAGGCCAGGATAAGCAGTAGTCACTGTAAATAATGTCTCTCTCCAGACACAAGTGCTCAATTAGCTGGACTAACAGCTCTTACAAGAGCACTTGAATTAAGCAAGGGAAAGGTAGCTAACATTTCCACTGACTCCAAGCATGTTTTCTTAGTTCTCCATGCTCATGCTGCCATTTAAAAGGAAAGACATTTTCTTACCACTAATGGATCTTCTATAAAATATCACCAGGAAATTAACAGGTTATTATCCTCAGTTTTCCTTCCATGAGAAATGGCAGTGATGCATTATAAGGGACATCAAAATGAACAAATAAATAGCCAAAGGAAATAGGTTAGCTAAGCAGGCAACTAAGTCAGTGGCAAGGAAGCCCCAAGGCATCAATATACTTCAAGTCCTTTTAATCTAGGAAGGCCCTATAAGAGAAATTAAACCTCAGTATTTTTCGCAGAAATAAAATAGGCCACTTTTTTTTTTCTTTGAGATGGAGTCTCACTCTTTTCATCCGGGCAGGAGTGCAGTGGCATGATCTCGGCTCACTGCAACGTCCACCTCCCAGGTTCAAGAGATTCTCGTTACTCAGCCTCCCAAGTAGCTGGAATTACAGGTGCCCGCGACCATGCCTGGCTGATATTTGTATTTTTATTAGAGATAGGGTTTCACCATGTTGGCCAGGCTGGTCTCAAACTCCTTACCTCAGGTGATCCACCCTCCTCGGCCTCCAAAAGTGCTGGGATTACAGGCATGAACCTCTGTGCCCAGCCAAAATAAGCCATTTCTTGAGGGCATACTTTCCATCCCTCAGGATGGCTACAGTCAGGGGATGGCAAACTCCATTTGCCAGCCTCCAGCCAATGGAAAGTCATTAAAATCCTGCACCAAGATTTTCACTTAGGAACTTCCAACAGTAATTAACACAACTAGAAAAAGTCCAACCTCAGGAAATAGAACCATCTCTATTTAACCCAGATTTGGTATTAGTGAAAACTCTCCCTTCTCTGCTTCCCTAAGCCAAGCTAGGAAGGGCCCTGCACTGTTCTTCTCCCTCAGCAGTAAAAGTTACAGGTATCAAGTTCTGAATACATGACACTCAAATCAAAGCCTGAAGAGCTGAGGGAGCAACCCCTGATGGCCCAGAGGAACGTCCTCAATATCAATGTGAAAAAATAGAAGAACTTAAGCTGAAAACCATAAAAGATAAGTGAGGTCTACTCATCTTACTCAGTCTCATTTACTCCTCACTAAATAATTTTTTAAATTTTTGCCCTTTTCTCTCAAAATTTACTTTAATATCTTAAAATATTAGAACATTTAAAAATGCATACATGCAGGGAGATTTTAATTATACATGGGTTTGCATTTGTAATTTCATAGAACCCCAAAGGAAAATGTTATTTCTTGGCAAGTAAAATTTTAAACAAAAATTATTGCTGGGCATGGTGGCTCAGATTTGTAATCCCAGCACTTTGGGAGGCTGAGTTGGGTAGATCACCTGAGGTTGGGAGTTCGAGACCAGCCTAACCAACATGAAGAAACCCTGTCTCTACTAAAAATACAAAATTAGCTAGGCGTGGTGTCGCATGCCTGTAATCTCAGCTACTCGGGAGGCTGAGGCAGGAGAATCACTTGAACCCAGGAGGTGGAGGTTGTGGTGAGCTGAGATCACACCATTGCATTCCAGCCTGGGCAATAAGAGCGAAACTCTGTCTCAAAAAAAAAAAATTATCTATTATGCAACTCTTGCACGAATTGTTATACTCACTCCACTATTTGCAGAACTATACACTTTGGCACCCGTAATGTGTAATTCTGATTGCAAAATTCTAATTGCTATAATACTTGGCCGAGTTATCATACTTATAACAGTATTAATAATTGCAGGATTTAGTGAAGGTTGTTTTGCTTAATTATTATCCTTGTATCAGAGGTAATAGCTACAGACAAAAGTAAGCATGAAAGTTTTACTTCACTGAGCTTGATAGGACTTTTCATTAAATATTGGTAATATGGGCTGGGTGCAGTGGCTCATGCCTGTAATCCCAGCACTTTGGGAGGCTGAGGCGGGCGGATCACCTGAGGTCAGGAGTTTGAGACAAGCCTGGCTAACATGGTGAAACCCATTGTGGCAGGCACCTGTAATCCAAGCTACTTGGGAGTCTGAGGCAGGAGAATCACTTGAACCCAGGAGGTGGAGGTTGCAGTGAGCTGAGATTGTACTGAGTGAGTTGTAGAGAAATGCCACACTTTGAGACTAATTGAGGAGTCCTTTTATTGCCGGCGACCAAGAGATGGCTAGTGCTCAAAGTTCTCTTGGCCCTGAAGAAGGGGCTAGATTTTGTTTTATATTGTGGTCTAAATAGGGGAGGGGGAGTTTAGCTGAAGCAATTTTTACAGAAGTAGAACAGGCAAAAAGTTAAAAAATTAATTGGTTACAGAAGCAGTTACAGAAAAATAAACAGTTCCAGGTGCAGGGGCTTAAACTATCACAAAGAGATAAATGCAGGGGTTTTAGGGGCCATCCACTGAGCATGTCCCCAGGAGCTGCTGGTTCAGCTTGCCTCAATACCTTATTAGTAAGTGCATTCCTGGATGTGCTTGGAGTCAGCTTGCACTAGTTATGCCCTTACGGGAGGGAGGCAAAGGGGCTGTAAGTGAAGGAACTAAAATGGAGTCTGTCTGGCTCTCTCAGTTAAGAGAGACAATTAGGTTAAAACAAGGTAGGGTATCACATTCCCCACTCGTGTTTTGGGGAATCAAATAATTGATTCCTTGGTTATAACAAGGGGGTATGTTGGGTTCTATGATACATAAGTTTGGTAGAAGTTATGTGCTGCTTTATAAAGTTAAGAAACCAGTTTAATATATGAGGCCCGAAGACTAAACCTAACAGGAAGAGGAGAAGGGGTCCTGCCAATCCAGTAATTAGGATAGTTAGCCATGGATTCCAGTTAAAGGTGCTTTTGTACCAGGGGGTGTTACTTTCTCATTCCTGTTGGCATCTATCTAGATTTTTTTGAACTTTTGGGGGTGTATCTTTTACGACTCTAGACTGATTGGCATAGAAACAACTCTCTCCCAGAGCTGCGCATAACCCTCCTTGGGAGAGAAATAGTAGATCTAAGCCTCAGCAGTTTTGAAGGGCTGCTTCAGCTAGAGACTCTACCTGGGTATGCAGTATATTTCTGGCTGATTGGAGATTGCTTAAATCTGCATCTACTTGTTGGGACAGGGACATTAGTCCAGTTTCCCCTTGAATAAGGGCAGCTGTGCTGATGGCTGCTGATCCAGCTATGCTAAGGCTGGCCAGAAGGGGCACAAGGAGTGGGGCAGCTCAGCAAAACCTGGAATGTAATTCAGGGGGAGCAATGAGAAGTTGTCCCTCTGGCCCACTGTACACATAGACCTGGGGGAGCACATGAACCAACACTCACAGGAGAGGCCCCGGTTAAGTCCCACTGATGCAGCAAGTGAGGTCAGAAGTGCAGGCCAGCCAGGTATTGTTGGGTGCCTGGTAGGAGACTGAGGTGTTTAAGGTAGTAAGTAGAGAATGATTACAGGTAGCCTGAAAGGCAGAAGCAGACAAGTTATACCCAGAGCTAATTAGACAGGAGGTGTTCTTTGACACTTCTCCTAGTGTAAGGGCATGGGGCTGTGTATGACAAGAAAGAGAGTTAACTTTGAACATGGCTTTATTCCTAACCCAACATACCATGGGGGTTTGGCCTTCAGGCACAACCAGCAATCTTGGGCTAGTTTAGGCTGGATGATATTTAGGAGGTGATGTACCCCATCCAGAATGGATATCAGGCTGGATTGGAGATGTTGTTGTTGTAACTGAGATCTGGGAACAAGGAGTGGTGGTGGGATAGTTAAATTGACCCTGTCTGGGTGTCTTTGGAACATAGGGTCACCTAAATCAGTTAAAGGCCTGGTTGACTTAGGAGGGCTCTATGGGACCAGGACCTTTTTTTGGATGGTGAACATAGTTCCAACATCAAATCCTGAGATACAAAGCCTTAATCCCCATGACATGCCATAATACCATTGAGCTGAATTAGGGTTACAGACAGTTATAGTGAGAGGGCTACAATTTTTTATAGTACACGGTCTAGGACGGGAATTGTGAGTTATGGAAAGGGTTGAGGACCAGGTTGATCCTCCAGGGTAAGTGGCTAGGGTTACACACGACCAGTGAGGGCAGAAAAACTGAAAAGAATCTCAACAACTAGAGTCAGGGTGATTTTCAAGACAGAGGTAAAAGTCAACGCCTTGGAGTCCTTTTTTTGCACCTTTAGAGCTCCCACCTCCGGTCTAGCTTCCTGTGTGTCTGAATCCTGCAGCAAGGTTGATGTTCCCCACTCCTGCGACTGGCAGATTGCACTGTTCTTCATGGGTACAGGCAGGCTCTGGGAACAAAGCACATAAATCGACTGCAAAAGAGACTTCCTTGGAGGTTCCTGCCTTCCAAGTAGTGTTTGAAAACTCACATCCTGTTGTGAAAGACGTGAGGAGAAAAGAGTAGGATGGAGCAGACGGCATAATAGGCAGAAACAAACAAAAGAGGTAAATAAAAAGGATTAATTTGATGGCTTTACTCAACTTAGGTGCAGTTTTAAGGGGACTGGCCCAGGCTTGGGGACCCATGTTTCCTGCTGGGCTTTGTTGGCTTTCTTGATGTCAGAGTGATGAATCCAAGCATGGATACCATCCACCTTTAGAGCCGTTGGCGTGGTGAGAATGACAGTATGAGGTCCCTTCCAGGCAGGAGTGAGTCCTTCTTTCTGGAACTTTTTAACATACACCAAGTAACCCGGTTGGAAAGAGTGGCAGGGTCCAGTCTGGCAGGAACCGGATTGGAATGTGCTCACCAGAAAAGTGGCTGGATGATGTCTCATACCTGTTGGAGAGACTGCAAGTACTGTAACAAATTAGCTTGTGAGATTTCTGCTAAATGGTTATCTCTTAGCTTAGGCAAGCTAGTGCACCCCTTTTATACATGATTTCAAAAGGTGAAAACCCAGCCCGGTAAGGGGTGCATCTTACTCTAAGAAGGGCTAAAAGAAGGAGCCTTACCCAATTTTCACCTGTCTCTAGGATTAATTTAGTAAGAGTGTTTTTTAGGGTGTGGTTTATGCATTCTACCTGTCCAGAGCTCTGGGGTCGATAGGCGAAATGGAGTTTCCATTGAATGTTTAATGGCTTGCTGACCGATAAGCTATGGACGAGGTGAAGGCTGGTCCATTATCAGACCCCATGGCAACAGGCAGCCCATGTCGAGGGATGATTCTATTGAGTAAAAGCCTAACTACCATGGTGGCAGTTTCATTTCTGTGGCAAATGCCTCAGTCCATCCAGAAAAAATGTCTACTAGCACCAGGAGGTATTTATACCCTGTCCGGTGTGGTTTTATTTCTGTAAAGTCAATTTTCTACTTTTCTCCTGGTGAGCTTCCCTGGAGGCCGTGGCCTGGGCTAGGCTTGGGACCTCATCTGGCATTTACCTGAGCACAAGCCATACACCAGAGAGCTGCTTGGTTAGTTAAGTCCTGAAGGTGGGGGATCTTGAAATGGCTCTTTAGAAGCTGGGCCAGTTTTATTCTTCCCAAACAGGTGGTAGAATGCAGATGATTGATTAAAGTTTCCCCAAAGGCTTGGGGGCATAAAGATTCTGGAATCAGGAAGAATCCACCAACCTTCCTGATTTTTACTGGCCTGAAGATCTGAAGCTAGTTTTTCTTCCACTGGGGAGTATTCTGGTTGGTCTGGCAAGTCAGTTTGTGGAAAGGACACTGTGGACAGCAGGGTTAAAGGGGTGACTGGGAGCAGAGCTGCCTCTTGAGCTGCAGAGTCTGCTCTTTGGTTACCACAGGCAACGGCTGTGCTCTGTCTTTGATGTCCTTTGCAGTGAATTACAGCCATCTGCTGAGGAAGCCAAACAGCTTCAAGCAGGGCCAAAATTTCTTCTTTGTTTTTAATAGTCTTTCCTGCTGTGGTGAGTAGCCCTCACTCTTGATAGATGACTCCATGTACATGTACAGTAGCAAAAGTATACCTGCTGTCAGTGTAAATGTTAATACATTTGTCCTTACCCCATCAGAGAGCCTGAGTGAGGGCGACCAATTCAGCCTTCTGTGCTGAGGTACCTGCCGGCCGTGCCTAGGCCCACAGTATATCTGTCTCTGTTGGAATGGCTGCACCAGCCTTTCATACTCCCTGTTCAAGGAAGCTACTGCCATCTGTAACCACGGTGGCATCCAACTCCTTTGGGGGCACATCTCAGAGATCAGGTCGGCCAGTTTCCATAGTCTCTAACAGTTCTTGGCAGTCATGGACAGGTGTGGTAAGGTCTGGATCAGGGAGCAAGGTAGCTGGATTTAAACACCTTGTGGGAGAGAAAGCTAAACAAGGCTGATCTAACAGTAAACTCTGATACTGCAGGATGCGAGCATTTGACATCCATTTGCCAGAAGCACTTCATAGCAAAGTTTCTATGGCATGAGGAGCTGTAAGGGTTAAATTCTGGCCTAGAGTCAGTTTATCAGCCTCCTGGACCAGGCTTGTTTTTGCTGCTGTGGCTCGCAGACAACGTGGCCACCTGGAGACCACAGGGTCTAGCTTTTTAGACAAATAGGCCACTGGGGGTCACCATGGTCCCAAAGTCTGAGTAAGTACACCTTTAGCAACTCCCTGGCTCTCATGAACAAAAAGGTGAAATGGTTTTGAGATATTTGGGAGGGCAAGAGCAGGGGCCTCAGTTAATGTCTTTTTTAGATTTTGAAAAGCCTGTTCTTCTTTGTCAGTCCAAACTAGTGGGCCATTCCCTCCGGTAGCAGTGTACAGGGGCTTAGCGATTTCTGTGAACCCCAGTATGCATAAATGACATTATCCCATGGTCCCCAGGAATTCACATACCTGTCTCTTGGTGGTGGGAGTGGGGATTCGCAGGATGGCTTCCTTTTGAGCACTGGTGAGTGCCGTTTTTCCTTTGTTTATCTTTTACCCTAGGTAGGAAACTCTGGGAAGACAAAGCTGGGCCTTCTTGGTGAGACCTGGTACCCGAGTTCCTGCAGAAGGCCAAGCAGGTCCCTAGTATGTTGCAGGCAGCTGTCAGTAATTTCAGTAGCTAATAAAAGATCATCCATGTACTGGAGAAGAGTACAGTTAGGGTGACTGGCTCAGAACGGTATGAGATCTTGTTGGAGAGCTTCTCCAAAAAGTGTGGGGGAATTTTTAAAACCCTGGGGTAACTGGGTCCAGGTTAATTGGGTGGTGTTTCCTGAGCCAGGATCTGTCCATTCAAAAGCAAAGATAGGTTGGCTTTTTGGGGGCCAGAGGAATAGCCAAGAAGGCATCCTTTAAGTCAGTGACAGTGTATACTGTATGTTCTGGTGGGAGCAGTCTGAGTAAAGTATAAGAGTTACGGACAGTTGGATGGATGGTAACTGTCCACTTGTTAACCTCTCTCAAGTCCTGTACAGGCTGGTAATCATTTGTTCTGGGTTTCTGGACTGGCAAAGATGGAGTATTCCAGGCAGACTCACATGGTGTGAATATACCAGCTTGTAACAGTTGCTGAATATGGGGATAGATTTCCCCTCTAGCCTGCTGACTCATAGGATATTGTTTTACCTGGACTAGCAAGGCAGTGGCCAGGAGTTGTACAACTACTGGCAGATAGTGCTTTGCCAGTCCTGGGGGTTTGACTCAGCCCAGACTCAAGGAAAGAGAGTCTGTAAATCCAGTAGGAGAGGATTAATTTTATTATCCAGTGCTTGTGAGGGTGAAACTAAGAGATTTTTTTTGATGGAGGGGTGGTTAGCAGGAGCTGAACAGCAGTGGGCATTGTGTCCCCTAAAGCAAGGTGAGCTTGTTGGGCCAAGAAGGAGATAGACGCCTTCAGCTTATGAAGTAGGTCTCATCCAAGGAGGGGAAAGGGGCACTCTCGGACTATGAGAAATGAGTGGGTTGCTCTTTTCTGTCCCAAACTCACCTCTCATGAGTGGGTGACAGGATATTCCTGAATAGCTCCAGTATCCCCTTGCACAGCCACCTTTTTATTAGAGACACTGCCCAAGGGCATTTGCAGTACTGAGTGTTCTGCCCTGGTGTCAATTAGGAAACGTACAGGCCGGCCCCCCACTGTGGCGGACACCATGGGTTCCCGGGGGCCAAGGGAGAGGGAGACCCAGCCCCATCAATCAGCATATTCCTCCACAGCAGGGAGGATGAGGACCTTTTTATTCTCTGGTTTTTCTTCTGGTTTTAATGGGCGTTCCTTCTTCCAGTGTCAAATCTGCTTGCAATAAGCACATTGGTTTTTTAGTACAGGAGCCTGCTCACCTTTTTGGCCTTTTTGGCAGGGACCCGAGATCTCCTGGCCAGCGCTCTGTGCTGGGGGCCCTTCCCTCCTGGCTTCTTGGATGGCAGCCACTAAGATTTTTGCCTGTCTTTTTGATGCTTTGTCAGCAGCCTTTTCAGCTGCCTGAGATGCCTCTTTTTGTTTTTCAAACTCTTGATTGTCAAAAACTTTCTGTGCTATTTCTAAAAGCTGAATGATATTCATTCCAGCAAATCCCTTTAATTTTTGTAATTTCTTTTTAATATCAGGGGCCTCCTGAGCCACAAATGCCAAATTAATAGCACGGCTATTCTTAGGAGCCGCTGGCTCAAAAGGGGTGTAAGTCCAATAGGCCTCCTGGAGGTGTTCCAAAAATGCTCCCAGTGACTCATCAGGCCCCTAGAAAACTTCAGTTGTCTTAGATAAATTTATGGGTTTTTGAGTTGCTCCTTTGATACCCACAAGGAGATACCAGTGAAAATCATCCAAAGCTGTCTTTCCCCATGAGGAGTTTGGATCCCAACTGGGCCGGGTAGAGGGAAAAACCTCCACTAGGAGGTCTTGGGCTTCCCCCTCTGGTCTACCGGCTGATGTAAGGAAATACTTCCTAGCCTCCCTTCAGATACAGTCCCTCTCTTCAGAGGTGAAAAGTGTTAAAAGGAGTTCCTGACAGGCATCCCAGGTGGGCCAGTGAGTCCGGAGCATGGATTCCATCAGTGAGGTCAAGACCTGGGGCTTTTCAGAGTAGGGGGGATTATGAACCTTTCAATTGTACAGGTCAGAAGTAGAGAAGGGGACATAAACTAAAAATGGAGCAGAGCGCTCACTGCCTGGAGGGATTTGGGCCTCTCTCAGCAGGAGGAGAGGGGCCACCTCCTCTGGCTGAGGCCGTAATTGGGTGGCTATAGGTGGAGAAGCCACAGAGCATGTAGTCAAGGAGACATGGGAAGATTCTGGGAGAGCAGGAGGGTTGTAGGGTGGCAAACATGGGTGAGGAAAACTTTCCTCTTCTTTAGAAGGAGGCAGTACAGGAGGAGCCGAGGGAGCTGAGGGTTGGGGCAAAAGTGCAGTCGGGCTCAAAAGGACCTGGGAGGTGGGATCATGAATGGTGCATGAGCAGAGCCATGGAGGAGGGCTCTGGACCAAATCTAGCCATTGATCAATGTAAGGAAACTGATTGGGGTGTCCGGGAGTTCCAGCAATGACCTGCCACACAGTCTGCACAGTTGTGAGATTCAGTGACCCTTCTAGGGGCCACCTGGTTCCAAACTGTGGCCATTCCACTTCATAAAGTGTCCAGAGTTTGCTTTCTTAAGGCAGACTCCATAATCCTCTGAGAAGCCCAGAGAGGAATTTTGTAACGTATATTGGAAGGGCTCCAATCTTTATGGGGCCAGGAAGAAGAGTTCCCCATTCTGGAGGCAATTAACAAGGTCTAGGCGAAATATTAAACTCAGCATGGACAGAGAAATTCACAATCTGGGGGGCTGTAGTATAGGAAGAACAGAAGTATTATAACCAGAAGAAGTAGGAAAACAACTATAGCCAACACTTCTTGTCACATAAGTTCTGTTTCTTTAAGCTTTGAGATCTAGGGGGAGGACAAGAGGTGGGTCTGAGGCCAGTGGGACCTATGTGATCCTCCCCTCCTTTCTGACTTATAGCCCAAATATCTTTGGTATCTCCACGACTCAAAGGCAAAAAGTTTAAAGTTGGCCCTTTCTTTTAAGGATTTTAGGAGGGAGAGTAGAGTCATTGGACGTTGGACTTGCTGTGACACAGGAAAACAAGATGGGTGGGGTAAGGGATGGGGATGAGGAGGAAAGGGGCCACTCTGATCTTTTCTAAGGTAGGAGAGTAGCCAGAGGGATAGAATAAGAATCCAGGTGGAGTAAAGCAGTATGGGCACAGGTTTCTCTGCACAGTGCCTTATCTAAGGGCATGGGAAAAGTTATGGGATGACAGAAAAGGTGAGCAAGGAGGACTGCAGGGTGGCTATTTTGAATCCACCACTGGTCTAAGGCAGAGGTGGTCCAGTCACTGGGGCATGGGGTGTGGCAATCCAAATGCTAGCAATCTTTATGGTGCCAGAAATCCCAAACGGGCAAATGTTCCCCACACGCCTCCCCGTAACAACACCTGATTTGTTTCTGACAGAAAAGGCAGGACTGGGAAGACCAGCCCAAATGACTGATGAGAAATTTGACCTCCTGTGTTAGAAAATCTGCATTCAGGACTTTAAAGAAGTTCTTGCCCAGTCATCTTCGGAAATATCGATGACCTGACATGTGAAACTTAGACAGACACCAGACAGGACAAGAGACACCGGGGTATACAAACAATTATGACAATTTTTATAGACAGACAAGGGGAGGGGGTCCCGTGATGGGATCAGCCAGATGCCCACCTGGCTGCTCCGCCGGAGGGGACTTAGGCTCCTCTTGGCATTGGCAGACCGGTATAAACCCACCGGCTCAGATCAAGCTATGCCCGATGCTGCCTTAAGCCTTATGAGGTCGCCACGGAACCACAGGTGAGGGCCCACTCCAACTCCGTAGCTTTCACCGTGGAGCTGCAAACTGGAAATTCAAGGACAAGCCCTTGAACCCCACATTCACACACACACTTACACAGAGTTTATCACAATTCTTTATTCCCATTCTAAAACAGAGGTCTCCTAGAAACCTGAATGAGAGAAGGAGAAGAGATAAAAAGAGAGAGAGAGAAAGACAGAGAGAAAGACAGAGAGAGAGAGAGAGAGAGAGAGAGAGAGAGAGAGAGAGAGAGGCTAGTCTTAACAGAGAAGGCTGACAGAAACCAGGACTCCGTCCTCCAGCATCCTGGAATATGGGCAGAGTCAGAAGGACGCCCTCGTCAGGGCCGCTTCCCTCCCAGAGAAACAGAGTCAGATCTGACTTACCTTCCCAGGACCAGAAATGCAGGACTCAGGAGTTGATTTTGGAGGGCACACACCGGCAGTCGATCCGTTCCCCTCCGGAAGACAGTGGCCTACGGGTCTCTGGAACAGCTTCAGGAGGTGCCTCCCCTATAAGCCCGCTGTCCAGCCAGGAGAGCCTGGAGCGAGTCCGGCACTCACCAGGTGGCAATTATCTTGCTGGGGCTTCCAAATGTTGTAACCGAGCGAGTTGTAGAGAAACGCCACACTCTGAGACTAATTTCAGGAGTCCTTTTATTGCCGGTGACCGAGAGACAGCTAGTGCTCAAAATTCTCTCGGCCCCGAAGAAGGGGCTAGATTTTTTTTATATCGTGGTCTAAATAGGGGAGGCGGAGTTTAGCTAAAGCAATTTTTACAGAAGTAGAACAGGCAGAAAGTTAAAAAAATTAATTGGTTACAGAAGCAGTTACAGAAAAATAAACAGTTCCAGGTGCAGGGGTTTAAACTATCACAAAGAGGTAAATGCAGGGGTTTTAGGTGCGTCCCCAGGAGCTGCTGGTTCAGCTTGCCTCAATATCTTATCAGTAAGTGCATTCCTGGACGTGCTTGGAGTCAGCTTGCACTAGTTATGCCCTTAAGGGAGGGAGGTAAAGGGGCTGTAAGTGAAGGAAATAAAATGGAGTCTGTCCGGCTCTCTCAGCTAAGAGAGATAATCAGGTTAAAACAAGGTAGGGTATCAAGAGATCATGCCATTGTACTTCAGCCTGGGGGACAAGAGCAAGACTTTGTCTCAAAAAAAAAAAAAATTGGTAATATGGTGCACTGTAAGCTACAGAAAGACAGTTATAAAGAAAGATTTTATATAAGGAAGAATCTTGTATGTTAAATTCTTGTTCTAAAAGGAGATGACTGGTTGTTTAAAGAATGGATGTTTAGGACAAGTCAGAAAGTTTGTTATAAGATGGTCTGTGGAAATAAAGAGTTGAATAATTAAAGGAAAGGCATTGCCAAGATTAACACTAAAGTTACTTTAGCCACCGGATGATGTATTTCTCCCAATCATATTGAAAGTTATAAAAATGGCCTAAACCTAAAAGTATTCCCTAATGGCAAGTCAAGGGGAAAATGTATGTTTTTCTCAAAGAAAATGTTACTTTTATATTAACGTTTCTGGTAATGTACAGCAACATCTAGTGGAGGCAAACCAGTATTACAATCCATTGGGACAACTAACAGGTGTAGAACTCTGCTATTATACCATAAGGTTGTATTACCCCACTAGCAGCGGTCATCTTAATATGAATATTCTAATCCTGTCTTCAAAACCTTCTGGTAAAAATTATCTCTTTTTTGCCTAGGTGCTGCAAACAGAGCCACACGAGGACACACCATTCTTTTTTTTTATTGTTTGTTTGTTTGATTTAAGACGAAGTCTCGCTCTGTCACCCAAGCTGGAGTGCAGTGGTGAGATATCGGCTCACTGCAACCTCCGCCTCCCAGGTTGAAGCAATTCTCCTGCCTCAGCCTCCCTAGTAGATGGGATTACAGGCACGCAACACCAAGTCTGGATAATTTTTGTGTTTTTATTAGAGATGCGGTTTCACCATGTTGGCCAGGCTGGTCTTGAATTCCTGACCTCAGGTGATTCACCTGCCTCGGCCTCCCAAAGTGCTGGGATTACAGGCATAAGCCACTGCACCTGGCCTGGACACACCATTTTTTTTCAAGAACTCTTAGATCAACCTCAGGAGGAGCCCTAACTGCTGTTCCCCAACATGATGGCCCTTTTCAGCAGGAAGTATCTTGAAAGATTCGTCATCTGACACCCCCTAACAGCAGTTAGGAATACGTCTCCTGAGGGGAGAATAATATAGGAGTTATTAAGAAATTATTTTAGGCATTTAGAGAGGGTAAAAGAGTTCTCTCACTAGAATTTTTCTTTAATAAAAAGCAGCCCCAAAGCCAATTCTTTTCTAACAGAAAACAGCCTGAAAAGTCAAGCTGCAAGCTGATAAGCAGGCTGGAGACTTTCATTTGTAAATGCAGGCGGCTGTATTAAAAGGCAAGTACATTTCAACAGAGGTGAATTCCTCCTCTTTTTTCTTTGACACCACTTGTGTGGGTGTCATGGCACCAGCCAGGTAAAGCCACGTGAGCAGGTATCATGGTGACAGGTAGAAGCTACATTTGCATAATAAAAGACTAGGGTGGGAGGGCCAGCCTTTGCATGGGTTATGTAAATGGCACACCTGGTCAACCAATCTCCTGTGCCCTATGTAAATCAATCACTGACTCCTCAAGCTTCTCTACAAAATCAATTGTGTTCTACCCGCAACCAGGAAATTTTTTAGGTGACCCTGTTTCTCAGCATGAGGAGCTTTCTCTCTCTCTGTTATTTTTGCCTATTAAACTTTCTTTTTTTTTTTTTTTTTTTTTTTTTGAGACGGAGTCTCACTCTGTCGCCCAGGCTGGAGTGCAGTGGCGCCATCTCGGCCCACTGCCAGCTCTGCCTCCCGGGTTCACGCCATTCTCCTGCCTCAGCCTCCCGAGTAGCTGGGACTACAGACGCCCGTCACCACGCCCGGCTAATTTTTTGTATTTTTAGTAGAGACGGGGTTTCACCGTGTTAGCCAGGATAGTCTCGATCTCCTGACCTCGTGATCCACCTGCCTCGGCCTCCCAAAGTGCTGGGATTACAGGCGTGTTGTCTATTAAACTTTCCACCCCAAAATCAATCCTCGTGTGTGTTCGTGTTCTAAATTTTCCTCGTGTGAGACAACAAACCCCAGGTATTTACCCCAGACAATGCAGCCATTTCAGAGTCTGGGAAATGAATCTTAGTCACAGAAAAAAAGAACAGCAATGAACATGGCAAGGTGCTTATGATTCTGGTCCACTGGATCTTCCTATCCCTAGGAAAGTAAATACCATCACAGTCAGCACCCAGCAAGTTACCACCATATAATTTCTTGTTTGTTCCAAAATAAATACAGGTGATTCTTATCACAAAGGCAAATAAAAAGTAGTTTACTTTTTAAACTGAACTGTATCAGTTTAGTTTACTCTTAAGTTCTTATAATTTTGAAAATGCAGTTGACACTTGTATGGCTTATGAAATTTTTGATAGTCTAACATTACTTGAATTGTTCAAAGAACAGTATATTTTAAATTAAGAAGAGTAAACTGTATGTGTTTGTTTCCTATATTTAAGGTTTAGAATCACAAATTACACTCCTGTTTATGATTTGAAAACTTCAAAGTTTGGTTTTTCCATCTGTACATACACAGAACAGTGTTATCGTGCTGAAACATTTGTATCTTAAGATGGCAGTCACAGTTTCCATCTGTCTGGATATATTTTGGACTTTTGCATGTTAAACATAAGAAAGAGACTTTTTGTTTTAGGTAATCTAAGACTGTTGTACACAAACTACAGATTACTGTAGGGTTCAGCAAACTATGTTTATAATGTGACATTAATATCTATTTTGATGTCTAAATCAAAACTTTTTTTAGAAATAATTTTTTTTTTACAAATATCTCCACAAATTCAGGTTTATTTTATAAAATGGCAGGATAGTAAAGAAATAGGTGGTTTGCCATAGTATATGAATACATGCACTTAATTAAAATACCAAATATTATAATCAAAATTTAGATAGCAGATTTAAATAATTTCTTGATTTTTCACTACAGGATAGAAATTCACAAATATTTTATAAATCAAAGCTATTAGTATTAGGTTTTACTTAGTAGTAATATATATATATATTCTGGGTATTTAAAAAATATATATATATTCTGGGTATTTGAAAACACCAAATTATTGATGAAAATGTCCATTTTGAACAAATTATTGATCATATATATCATACATCATACATACATATCATATATGCAATCATACATTATCATATATGTATGATGTATAATATATGATCAAGAATTTGTTCAAAATGGGTATTTTTCATCAATAATTTGGTGTTTTCAAATACCCAGAAGTCTTGTTTTAATCAGATTAACTCTAAGAATAGTTTACTAATTTTATTTTTTATGGTGTGTTCAAAATTTGATAGTTTAATATGGATTGATGATGGGTAAACTAATCAATTTCTTTTCAAATCTCATAGGCCTATTACATTGTCAAGGATGTTATTAATAAAAATTCTTTCTTTTAATATTGTTTACAGGGATTTAGGTCTAGTCTAATCTGCTCAACCTGTTAATCAGTGTCAGCTGCCAGATTCCAACTCATTTTTAGTGTGCCTATGTGACTTTTTCTCCATAGTCTCTGAATTACATTTTGATTAGTTATTGGAATATCATATAGCACAGCTCATACATTTAAAACAAAACCACCAGGTAAAATGAGTTCTGGTTTAGTATAAAGAAGCTGTCACCAAGTTAGTGTTACATACATAGATGGATGTGGCTCAACAAGATTTTAGACAAAAAAATTTGAATTGAACTATGGCAACGTGTGTTGCTATGACTTAGCCTCTAGTGGGCTTATGAACAAAGACAAATTTCAGCAAATTTATCCAGTTGCTTTCAGTATCTCTAAAGATAGTATGTCAAGAATTCTCATGCTACTGTCTGAAAAAACAGATTCTTCTCTTATCTAAGAAATCAACTGGATATATTTTTATAAGCTTGTGCAAGAAAAAACTGCAATGCAGTACTAATAATTACAGACGATATAATGTGGAAAAGAATAATCTAGAATGTCAATTTCAATATGTAAGTATTTAGGTTGGGCATGGGGACTCATGCCTGTAATCCCAGCACTTGGGAGGCTGAGTCATGTGGATCACTTTAGGTCTGGAGTTCAAGGCCAGCCTGGCCAACATGGTAAAACCCATCACTACTAAAAATACAAAAATCAAGCATGGTGGGAAGCACCTGTAATCCCAGCTACTCAGGAGGCTGAGGCAAGAGAATAGCTTGAACTCAGGAGACAGAGATTGCAGTGAACTGAGATTGAAGCACCGCATTCTAGCCTGAGTTACAGAGTGAGATTCTGCCTCAAAAAAAAAAAAAAAAAAAAAGTATTTAACCTTTCACTTGAAAAATGTGATAAAATTAAGTTTTTGGTAAGCTTTGTGTAGCTTAACATCAGCATAGAGTAGAAAAAAAATCTTTAAAAATGCAAACAAAAAGCTACACCAAAAAAACTAACATCTACCAGTGCATACATATTGATCTTTGTTTTGGGAGAGTCTAAAGCAAAACATTTGGTGAACTTGATACAGTTATTTTGATCACATTGGCATACTGATAAAATCATTTTATTTAATTTCACTGAAACATGTTCACATCTTAAAAATACTGTTTTGTAACATGAATGATAAATGTAAAGTCTTTATCCTCAAGAGGATCCTGATTCTCAAGATATATGGCAACCCGTGTCTCTGGTTTCTCCAAACTGAAGTTTCATGAAGGCTCAAACATGAAGTGAGAGGGAGTCAACAACAGAGCATGAGAAGCAAGAAGGATGAGGTAGGATGGTCAGCTCTAAGGCTCAGAGGTTCCTGGGGGACCCCAATATAATGATGTCAACTATGAAGCTCACTAGTAAACATAAACATAAAAAGCTGAGGCTGGGCATGGTGGCTCATGCCTGTAATCCCAGCACTTTGGGAGGCCTAGGCAAGCGGATCACAAGGTCAAGAGATCAAGACCATCCTGGCCAACGTGGTGAAACCCCGTCTCTACTAAAAATACAAAAATTAGCTGGGCATGGTGGCGCACACCTCTAATCCCAGCTACTCAGGAGGCTGAGGCACGAGAATGGCTTGAACCCGGGAGGTGAAGGTTGCAGTGAGCCGAGATCACACCACTGCATTCCAGCCTGGTGACAGAGTGAGACTCCATCTCAAAAAAAAAAAAAAAAAAAAAAGTTGAAAACTCCATGGCTTCTCTTTGGTGAGAAAAAGTCTCTGGAATTACAAACAGTCCTGCCAAAAGGATTGAGCCAGAATGACATGTATCTAAGGATTATTAAGGAGGAATGTTCATAAGCACATAAGTATTTGTTCCAAAACTTATTACAGTAGCAATATCCTTTTCTGTAATTTTAGCTTCCCCAAGGTAGGGTTGCTGTAGACAAACTAAGACAAGGCACTAATATGTTGAAGGCAATTAGTTTCTAAATTTAAAAAACTTGCAATTTTTTTTTTTGAGATAGAGTCTCGCTCTGTCACCCAGGCTGGAGTGTGGTGGCACAATCTCGGCTCACTGCAACCTCTGTATCCCAGGTTCAAGCAAGTCTCCTGCCTCAGCCCTCCAAATACCTGGGATTACAGGTGCCTGCCACCATGCCCAGCTATTTTTTGCATTTTTAGTAGCGACAGAGTTTCACCACGTTGGCCAGGCCGGTCTCGAACTCCTGACCTCAGGTGATCCACCCACCTCGGGCTCCCAAAGGGCTGGGATTACCGGGGTGAGCCACCACACCTGGCCCAAAAACTTGCAATAATTTTATAAATTTTATTGAACTCTGTTTCATGTATAAATCTCACAAAAAGACACTATCCAGTAGCTATTTCCCTGAGACTTTTCTGGGAATTTCTGTTGCTTGATTTCAAATCAACCTTATTAGAATCCTAGTCATTTTTGAAGCCCTAGATGTAATAAAAGAAAGAGGGCAGGAATGAAACCAAGTTTCCCCAAACAGTCAATGTCTAATATATTTTGTTCCCCAAAATGACCCCAAAAACCACACAAGCTAAAAAACAGTGGGTTTGAAATTTAACCTACATTCAACAGTAGCAGAAAACCATATGTAAAAATCAGCAAAGTCATAACTTAGAAACATTCTGTTATTCCAGAAAAAATAATAAAATTCTTATTTTGGCATTTTTAAAAAAGAAAAAATACACTAAATATGACAAAATATACCAACTCACTTATATCTTTGAAATATGATTTTCTTTCTCCTAAGTATTTAATATAATATTTAGACAAGACTTTCATGTATTATAGCTACCATGCATGAACTAAAATAGCCTTGGGGGAAATAATTTTTATTAATAATGAATATTGAGGCTCCAGAAATGTAAAATGATTTATCTTGGATACACAGCTAGTGACCCAAATGAAGCTCAAATATGTTTGATTTAAAAATTTTAATTTTGCCACTGTTGACAATGTTGACATAACAGCTAAATCTGAGCCTTAGAGTTGATAGTTGGGGAATAAATCAAGTACTATTGAGGCGGGCTAGGTAATCAAGAAAGTGGCTATGTCCTGGGGATGCGGCAACCATGGTGATTGCATGACAACTGCAGACTGCCAACACAATAAGCACCAACATTTACATTGGATTTCAGCTCATTCAAGAAAAGCTCTCTCCAGCAGGGAAATTCCCCTGTAGAGAGCACAGTTTGATTTTACCTGTCCTCTAACTGACCTTTTACTCATTGTAATAGTAAAAAACACTCACGTGTGTGGAGATTTAAGATGCTAATGAGATATGTGACATATAAAGAAACATGTACAGGTACTGAGTGTGTGTACGAAGAGAACCACCCAGAACATGGTTACTAGTAACATCTCTTTCCACCTCCTTATAAATAATTATGTAAGACTCTCATAAATGGAATCTCCTTAGTTCCAGCCTTTGCTGTATCATTCTTTTTTTTTTTTTTTTTTTAATTTGAGATGGAGTTTCGATCTTGTTGCCCAGGCTGGAGTGCAATGGTGCAATCTTGGCTCACCACAACCTCCGCCACCTGGATTCAAGCGATTCTCCTGCCTCAGCCTCCCGAGTAGCTGGGATTACAGGTGCCTGCCACAACACCAGCTAATTTTTTGTATTTTTAGTAGAGACAGTGTTTTACTACGTTGGCCAGGCTGGTCTCAAACTCCTGACCTCAGGTGATCTTCCCACCTCAGCCTCCCAAAGTGCTGGGATTACAGGCGTGAGCCACTGTGCCCAGCCTGAAGTATTTTAAAATGGAGGTTGAGAGCCTTGAGATTAAAGGTCAGATTTGATGGTCACTCCATACTCACCACTCCGATGATTCTGTATTTTGTTCTGATCCTGGACAAGCTCCCAGATGAAATGGCTGCACTGTCTGGGGTAAATACCTGGGGTCCATTGTCTAATGCCAGGAAAATGTATGACATAAACACACAGGAGGAGTGGGTTTAGGAGCAGAAAGTTTAATAGACAAAAAAGAAGAGAGAAAGCTTCCTCATGCTGAGAAAGCAGGTCACCCAGAAGAGTTTCTGGGTTTGGGGTAGAACACGATTGATTTTGTAGAGAGGCTTGTGGAGGCAGTGATTGATTTACATAGGGCCCAGGGGTTTGGTTGACCAGGAGTGCCATTTACATAGCCAGTGAAAACACTGGCTCCCCACCCTAGCCTTTTATTATGCAAATGCAGCTTCTACCTGGCTGTGACCATGACACCTACACACAGGGTGAAAAGGAAAAGAGGGGGAAGTTTCCATGTTGAAATATAACTGGCTTTTGGTACAGCTGCCTCTATTTACATATGCAACCCTCTAGCTTGCTTATAAGCTTGCAGTTTGACTTTTTAGGCTACTTTCTGTTAGGAATAAAATGGTTTGGGGGCTGCTTTTTATTAAAGGAAAATTCCAGTGAGAACTCTTTTACCCACTTAAACTGCCTAAAACAGTTTCTTAATAAATCCTGTATTAACTCCTCTTCAACTTCATTTCTATTGTGGCATGAATAATTTTGGACTGCTTTAGCATCTTCCTTTAACTTCTGCTAATTTTCTTTGACTTTTTATTATTCTTGTCCATCTCTGGTGGTTGCTTTGCTGTACCAGTTTGAGAAGTTCAGGTGGTTTCACCCTCAGCTGCTCCAGCAGTCCATTCATTTGGCTCAAGCTCTTGGACAGTTTCTCCCCGTTCTTCTGTTTGTGGCATCTGAGATTTGTCAGCAGGGCGTGGTTTTCAGGAACCATGGCTACCACCTCGTTCCACCTGCAGGGTGGCTCTTGCACTTCTGGTGGGTGCTGATTCTACAGAAACAACAGCAGCAGCCAGAGCATCCACATCTGGTGTCACCCAGCTCAGGGACACCCTGGCTGTAACCCTGGGATGAGGTCCAGCTAACTGCATAGAAATCTAAGGTCATCCAGAGCATTTCCCATAGCTGGGTGAACCCTCCTCAGTTTGTGGAGCCAGGCCCTCCCACCAGCTTCCTGCTGCCTCCTCCTCTACCATCAGAGGGATGCACAGGATGAGGAAGGAGCACGGAGTCACCATGGAAGAGTCCAGGGGAGTGAGGATGAGCTGGGACAGGCAGCCTCAGGCCAAGTGCATGGTGGTGCCCCTCATACCTGAGCACAAATCAGATCAGCCACTGCCACTGCAGGGAGGACAGAGAAGCCCAGGCTTCCCAGCCAGCCTCCCTCTGCACCAGTAGAGATGAAAACTATTTTTTTTTTTTTTTTTTTTTTTTTTTTTTTTTTTTTTTTGAGACGGAGTCTCGCTCTGTCGCCCAGGCTGGAGTGCAGTGGCGGGATCTCGGCTCACTGCAAGCTCCGCCTCCCGGGTTCACGCCATTCTCCTGCCTCAGCCTCCCAAGTAGCTGGGACTACAGGCGCCCGCCACTACGCCCGGCTAATTTTTTGTATTTTTAGTAGAGACGGGGTTTCACCGGAAAACTATTTCTTAAACAAAAGTATGGAGTAGAACTTGCATATCTGACCCAATCACATTTTCATTCTCTTTTTCTTTTTGTTTTGCTTTTTCCTCTTAGATTGTGCTCTCCTGAAGTCAGATTGGGATAGGAGGTTTATAGGAAACTTCAGAAGTATCCACTTATCAGGAGTGTGTAAGGCGTTTATGTAGTTAGACTTCAAGTTTCATGAGAGTAGAGACCAAAACTTTCCTTTCTCTATTTTATTTTCTAAGGCTACCAAAAGGATGGCATATCATGTGTGCTCCACATACATTTATTGGTTAAAAGAATGAATACATATTCTTTGTAAACTGTGAAACTATGCAAATCAAGCCTTTATTATTTTTATTTTCTATAGTTTAGTTAATAAAATCAAATAGAAAATAATGAAGTGTAGAATGCAGAAAGCACTATCGAAAGTTTAATGTTGCTCTCCCTATTCCTATTCCTATCCCTATCCCTATCCCTATCCCTATCCCTATCCCTATCCCTATCCCTCTCCACGGTCTCCCTCTGATGCCGAGCCGAAGCTGGACTGTACTGCTGCCATTTCTGCTCACTGCAACCTCCCTGCCTGATTCTCCTGCCTCAACCTGCCGAGTGCCTGCGATTGCAGGCGTGCGCTGCCACGCCTGACTGGTTTTCATATTTTTTTGGTGGAGACGGGGTTTCGCTGTGTTGTCCGGGCTGGTCTCCAGCTCCTAACTGGGAGTGATCTGCCAGCCTCGGCCTCCCGAGGTGCCGGGATTGCAGTCGGAGTCTCATTCACTCAGTGCTCAATGGTGCCCAGGCTGGAGTGCAGTGGCGTGATCTCGGCTCGCTACAACCTCCACCTCCCAGCCGCCTGCCTTGGCCTCCCAAAGTGCCGAGATTGCAGCCTCTGCCCAGCCGCCACCCCATCTGGGAAGTGAGGAGCGTCTCTGCCTGGCCGCCCATCGTCTGGGATGTGAGGAGCCCCTCTGCCCAGCTGCCCAGTCTGGGAAGTGAGGAGCGCCTCTTCCCGGCCGCCATCCCGTCTAGGAAGTGAGGAGCGTCTCTGCCCGGCCGCCCCGTCTGAGAAGTGAGGAGCCCCTCCGCCCGGCAGCCGCCCCGTCTGGGAAGTGAGGAGCGTCTCCGCCTGGCAGCCGCCCCGTCCGGGAGGTGGGGGGTCAGCCCCTGCCCTGCCAGCCGCCCCGTCCGGGAGGGAGGTTGGGGGGGCCAGCCCCTGGCCGGCCAGCCGCCCCGTCCGGGAGGTGGGGGGGCGCCTCTGCCTGGCCGCCCCTTCTGGGAAGTGAGGTGCCCCTCTGCCCGGCCGCCACCCCATCTGGGAGGTGTACCCAACAGCTCATTGAGAACGGGCCATGATGACGATGGCGGTTTTGTCGAATAGAAAAGGGGGAAATGTGGGGAAAAGATTGAGAAATCAGATTGTTGCTGTGTCTGTGTGGAAAGAAGTAGACATAGGAGACTCCATTTTGTTCTGTACTAAGAAAAATTCTTCTGCCTTGGGATCCTGTTGATCTATGACCTTACCCCCAACCCTGTGCTCTCTGAAACATGTGCTGTGTCCACTCAGGGTTAAATGGATTAAGGGCGGTGCAAGATGTGCTTTGTTAAACAGATGCTTGAAGGCAGCATGCTCGTTAAGAGTCATCACCACTCCCTAATCTCAAGTACCCAGGGACACAAACACTGCGGAAGGCCCCAGGGCCCTCTGCCTAGGAAAACCAGAGACCTTTGTTCACATGTTTATCTGCTGACCTTCCCTCCACTATTGTCCTATGACCCTGCCAAATCCTCCTCTCTGAGAAACACCCAAGAATGATCAATAAAAAAACTAAATAAATAAAAATTTAAAAAAAAAGAAAGTTTAATGTTAACCCAGCACACATGGGTAAAATACATTTTTTTTTTTTTTCAGACGGAGTTTCACTCTTGTTGCCTTGGCTGGAGTGCAATGGTGCGATGTGGGCTCACCGCAACCTCACCTCCCGGGTTCAAGCGATTTTTCCTGCCTCAGCCTCCTGAGTAGCTGGGATTACAGGCATGCGCCACCATGCCCAGCTAATTTTGTAGTTTTAGTAGAAACGGTGTTGCCCCATGTTGGTCAGGCTGGTCTCGAACTCCTGACCTCAGGTGATCCACCTGCCTCGGCCTCCCAAAGTGCTGGGATTATAGGCGTGAGCCACCTGGCCCGGCCATTAAAATTTTTAGTTTCTAAATTTGGGACCATTATAATTACATTTAAATTGCCACATGAGGATGGAACATGAAACCTGACTTCAGGAGAGCACAATTTAAGGGGAAATGGCAAAAAAAAAAAAAAAAAAAGAAAGAAAAAGAAAAATGAAAATTTGATTCGGTCAGATCCGCAAGTTCTCCTCCATACTTTTTGTTTTTTTAGAAAATAATTCTTTCCTCTGCTGGTGCAGAGTGAGGCTAGCTGGGGGAGCCTGGGCCCCACTGTCCTCCCGGAGGTGGCAGTGGCCGATTTCTGCTCAGGCATGAGGGGCGCCGCCATGTCCTGGGCCTGAGGCTGCCCAGCCCAGCCCCTCCTCACTCCTTTGGACTCTTCCACGGTGTCTCCAGGCCCCTGCACCATCCTGTGTAACTCTCTGATGAAAGGCGAGGTGGCAGCATGAAGATGATGGGGGAACTGCCCCGCATGCCAAGGAAAGCTCGCCCAGCTGCACAAAATGCTCTGGTTGACATCGGGTTTCTGCGCACCAAGCTGCGCCATGACCAAGGGTTAGAGCCGAGGCGTCCACCGGCTGGGCCACCCCGGACGTGGGCGCTCCATCTGCTCCTGCGGTTCCTGCTGTGCTTGGCTAAGCCGTGGCTGGAACCGGCGCCCGCCAGAAGTGCAGGAGCCGCCCTGCCGGCAGAAAGAGGGCATGGTCGCTGAAAACCAGGCCCTGCTGACAAATCTCAGACGCCAGGAACAGAAGAACCACAAAAATGGACGGACCGTTGGAACACCTGAGGGTGAAGTTGTGCGAACTCCTCAAAGTGGAACAGCAAAGCAGCCACCAGAGATGGACTAGAAAGATGAAAAATTAGCAGAAATCAAAGGCAGATGCTAAAGCAGTGCAAAACCGTTCACACAACGATAGAGACGGAATTGATGAAGAAGTTTGAGAAATGAATGACAGAAAGAAAGGACAGCAGTGACCATGGTAAGGTGCTGACGATTCTGGTCCACTGGATCCCATCATCCCTAGGGCAGTAAATCTCATCACAGTCACCACTCAGCAAGTTACCACCGCAGCATTTCCTGTTTGTTCCAAAATGAATAAAAGTGATTCTCATCACAAGGGCAAATACAGAGTAGTTTATTATTATTATTTTTAACTAAACTGTAGCGGTTTAGTTTACTTGTTCTATGTTCTTATAATTTTGAAAATACAGTTGACACTTGCATGACTTATGAAGTTTTTGATAGTCTAATGTCACTTGATGTTCCAAGAACAGTATATTTTAAATTAAGAAGAATAAACTGTATTTGTTTTATATATTTAAGGCTTACAGTCACAAATTTGAAAACTTCAAAGTCTGGTTTTCCATCTATTCATACATAAAACAGTGTAGCGTGCTGAAACATTTGTTTTTTTAAAGTGGCAGCCACAGTTCCTGTCTGTCTGGATATATTTTAAACTTTTGTGTGTTAAGCTTAACATAAGAGACTTCATTTTGTTTTAGGTAACCTAAGATTGTTGTACCCCCCCCCCCAAAAAACTTCACAGATTACTGTAGGGTTCAGCAAACTGTTTATATAATCTAACATTAGTATCTCTATTTTCTAATGTCTAGATTTTTTTTAGAAAAGATTGTTTTGTTTTTATTTTTGTTTTACAAATGTCTCCACAAATTCTGGCTTATTTTATAAAATAACAGAATACTAAAGAAATGGGTGCTTTGCCATACTATGTGGACACTGGCACTCAATGTCCAATGCCCACATTGGATATTTGGATAAAATACCAAATATCCAAATATTTTAATCAAAATTTAGTAAGTTTAAATAATTTGATTTTTTCACTACAGTGATAGACATTCACAAATATTTCATATATTAAAGCTATCAGTGTTAGGTTTTACTTAGTAGTAATATATATATAAGATCAAGAATCTATTTAAAATGGATATCTTTCATCAATAATTTGGTGCTTTCAAATACCCAGAAGTCTTGTTTTAATCATATTAAGTCTGAGAATAATTTACTAATTTCATTTTTGGAATAATGTGTTCAAAATGTTCTAGTTTAACCTAGTGTTGATTGATGATGGGTAAACAAATCAATTTTTTTCAAATCTCATAGGTATATTATGTTATTGAAGATGTTTTCAATTAAAATTCTCCCTTTCAATATTGTTTACAGGAATGTAGGTCTAGTCCAATCTGCTCAACCTGTTAATCAGTGTCAGCTGCCAGATTCCAATTCGTTTTTAGTGTGCCTGTACTTTTCTTTCCATAACCTCTGAATTCATTTCTATTACTTATTTAAATGTTATATAATAAAGCTCATATATTTAAAACAAAACCAGCAGGTAAAATGAGTTCTGGCTTAGAATAAAGAAGCTGTTACCGAGTTACATATACAGATGCATGCAGCTCAACAAAATTTTAGACAAAAAGTATTGGACTGAACTATAACATGTGTTGCTATGACTAAGGCTCTAATGACCTTAAGAATAAAGACAAATTTCAGCAAATTTATCCAGTTGCTTTCAGTACATGTAAAGGTAGTACATCAAGAATTCTCATGCTACTGCCTGAGAAAACAGATTCTACTGTTACCTAATAAATCAAAATCAACTGGATGGCGTTTCTATAACCTTGCACCAGGTAAAGAAAAACTGCAATGGAGGACTAATTAACGCAGACTCCATCATAAGGAAAAGGGTAATCCAGAATGTCACTTTCAATATTTAAGTATTTAAATTTTTAGTTGAAAATGTGGTGAAATAGTGCTTTTGGTAAGCTTTGTGTAGTTGAACATCAGCATTAAGTAGAAAAAAATCTTTAAAAATGTAAACAAACAAAACCATACACCAAAAAAACTAACTTGACCAGTGTGTACATATTGATCTTTGTGTTGGTAGAGTCTAAAGCAGAACATTTGGTGAACTTGATACAATTATTTTGATCACATTGGCATACCAATAAAATCACTTATATTGGGTCAGGTGCGGTGGCTCACACCTGTGATCCCAGCACTTTGGGAGGCCAAGGTTGGGCGGATCATGAGGTCAGGAGTTTGAGACCAGCCTGACCAACATAGTGAAACACCGTCTCTACTAAAAATACAAAGATTAGTTGGGTGTGGTGGTGCACACCTGTAATCCCAGCTACTCAGGAGTGAGGGTGAGGCAGGAGAATCCCTTGAACCCAGGAGGTGGAGGTTGCAGTGAGCCAAGATCCTGCCACTGCACTCCAGCCTGGGTGGCAGAGCGAGACTCCATCTTAAAAAAAAATTATTTATATTCAGTTTGAATAAAACATTTTCACATCTTAAAAATACTGCTTTGTACTTAGTATGAACAATAAATGTAAAGTCTTTATCCTCAAACGGATTCTGATTGTCAACTCAATACATATGGCAACCCATTTCTCTGGTTTATCCAAACTGAAGTC
This sequence comes from Homo sapiens, assembly GCF_000001405.40. NCBI lineage: Eukaryota > Metazoa > Chordata > Mammalia > Primates > Hominidae > Homo > Homo sapiens. The sequence continues at coordinate 21,712,492 of NC_000019.10, forward strand.
TTGTGAAGGCTCAAATATAGAATGAGAGGGACTCAACAACAGAGCATGAGAAGCAAGAAGGATGGGGTAGGATGATCAGCCCTAAGGCTCAGGGATTCCTGGGGACCCCAATATAATGACATCAACTATGAAGCTTACTAACTGAAAATAAGCATAAGCAGCTGAAAACTCCATGGCTTGCTTTGGTGGGAAGGAGTCTCTGGAATTAGAGTCATGCCAAAAGGATTGAGCCAGAATGACACGTCTCTAAGGATTATTAGGGGGGACTGTTCATAAGCACATAAACATTTGTTCCAAATCTTATTACAGTAGCAATATCCTTTTCTGTAATATCAGCTTCCCCAACGTACGGTTGCCATAGACAAACTAAGACAAGTGCCTAATATGTTGTAGGCAATTAGTTTCTAAATTTAAAAAACTTGCAATAATTTTATGAATTTCATTAAACTCTGTTTCATGTATAAATCTCACTGAAAGGCAGTATCCAGTAGCTATTTTCCTTAGTCCTTTCTGGGATTTTCTGTTGCTTGATTCCAAACCAACCTTAATTTAATCCTAGTCATTTCTAAATCCCCAGATGGAATAACAGAAAGACAGCAGAAATGAACCCAAGTTACCCCAAACAGTCAACATCTAACATATTTTGTTCCCCAAATGAACAAAAAATCACACAAGCTAAAAAACAGTGGGTTTAAAATTTAACCCAAATTTAACAGTAGCAGTTTTACCATATGTAAAAATTAGCAAAGTCATAACTTAGATACCCATAGTCCGTTATTCTAGAAAAAATTAATACAATTATGACTTTTTTAGAAAAGAATAAATATGACAAAATATACCCGCTCATATCTTTGAAATATGAATGATTTTTTCTTTTAATATTTAATACTTAGACAAGTATTATAGCTATCATTCATGAATTAAAGTAGCCTTAGGGGAAATAGTGTTTTATATTAATAATGAAGATTGAAGCTCCAGGGATGTCAAATAATTTCTCTTGGATACACAGCTAGTGACCCAACAAGCTCAAATATGTTTGATTTAAAAATTTTGACTTTTCCACTGTTGACATTGTTGACATAACAGCTAAATCTGAGTCTCAGGGTTGATAATTTAGAATAAATCAAGACAAGTACTATTGAGGCAGGCTAGGTAGTCAAGAAAGTGACGATGTCCTCGGGATGCAGCAACCACAGCAATTGCATGCTGACTGCATATTGTCAACACGATAAGCCCCAGCATTTACACTGTATTTCAGCCATTCAAGCAAAGCTCTCTTCAGTAGGGAAATTCCCCTGTAGAGAACATGCACATTTTGATTTTACTTGTCCTCTAACTGACCTTTTACTCATTATAATAGTAAAAAATAAACACGTGTGTGAAGATTTAAGATGTTAATGAGATATGTGACATATAAGCATGTACAGCCACTGTGTCTGTGCACCAAAAGGACCACCCAGAACATGCTTACTAACACCTCTTCCCGTCTCCTTGTAAATAATTACGTAAGACTCCCATAACTGAGTCTCCCTAGTTCCAGTCTTTGCTGTCTCATTCTTACAGCAGCCTGCCCTGAATTCCTCCTCTCTCAGCGAGTACTGGCTATTCTTTACCTAACTTTTAAAATAGTATTTCTACTTTGCAATAAATCACTCTATGCTGCATCTTCATTGTTTTGTGTCTCTTGTTTAAATTTTTTGAAAGTGAGAAGAATCGAGGTCTCACACAGCCATCAACACTATCATGCTTTGTTTTGTATTCTTTATTATTTCTTTCTCTGATATGTCACCATTCATATTTTAAACCCAGACAACGCTGCTAAATTAAAAATTTAAATAATCACAAAATGATTTGTCATAAAAGCATGTATATGGCTGGGTGCGGTGGCTCACGCCTGTAATCCCAGCACTTTGGGAGGCCAAGGCGGGCAGATCACCTGAGGTCAGGAGTTTGAGACCAGCCTGACCAACATGGAGAAACCCCATCTCTACTAAAAATACAAAATTAGCCAGGTGTAGTGGCGTATGCCTGTAATCCCAGCTACTCAGGAGGCTGAGGCAGGAGAATTGTTTGAACCCAAGAGGCGGAGCTTGTGGCGAGCCTAGATTGTGCCATTGCACTCCAGCCTGGGCAATAAGAGCGAAAGTCCATCTAAAAAAAAAAAAACAGTTAAAATGCCTTTGAAGAGTGAAAATAAAGGATAGATTAAGCAGAGAATTTGACATGGAAAAAGGCTGGTCAATTGTTTGAAAATTACATTGCGGCTGGGTGCAGTGGCTTATGCTTGTAATCCCAGCACTTTGAGAGGTCGAGGCAGGCACATCACCTAAGGTCAGGAGTTGAAGACCAGCCTGGCCAACATGGCAAAACCCTGTCTCTACTAAAAATATAAAATTTAGCTGGGTGTGGTGGTGGGCACCTGTAATCCCAGCTATTCGGGAGGCTGGGTGCGTGGCAGGTGTGTGACACCATGACTAGCTAATTTTTTTTAATTTTATTTTTTGTATTTTCAGTAGAGATGAGTTTCCACCATGTTGGCCAGGCTGGTCTTGAACTCCTGACCTCAAGTGATCCGCCCATCTCAGCCTCCCAAAGTGTTGGGATTATAGGCGTGAGCCACCATGCCCAGCATATTTTTTCCAAATTTTCTAGTTTGCATGCATAGAGGTGTTCATAGTAGTCTCTGACAATTTTTTGCATTTATGTAGGATTAGTTGTGATTTCACATCTCTAATATTTAAATAGATGCAGAGAACAACAGAAAAAAAAAACAGATGCAGAATAAAAGTTTGACAAAAGTTGACATTCCCTTATGATAAATCTCTGAAAAATTTAGGTATAGAACAAATGCACCTCAGCCAATAAATGCCACATATAACCAAAAAAATGCACAGCTAACAACATACTAAACGGGGATATATTGTAAACTTTTACTCTAAAAGCTAAAACAAGACAAGGATGCCCACTCTAATCAGTCTTACTAAACATAGTACTAAATGCCCATGACAAAGAAATTAGAGAATAAAATCAAAGACATCCAGGTTAAGAAGAAATTACATTATCCCTATATAATTATCTTTTATCTCTGTACATAATCTGAAGTATAGAACAGCCGAAGATTTTACTGAAAAATATTAAAATAAACACATTTATTAAACTTTCAGAATACAAAAGCAACATCCAAAAGTCAGTAGCATTTATGTACACTAACAAATATCTCAAAATGAAATTAAAAAATAATTCCATCTACAAAAACTGTAGTAACTATATTTTGAAAAAAACTTAACCAAAAAGTTGAAACACCTTATATTATACTGTAAACAGCATTACATAAATTGAGTAATGCGCAAATGAAATACTACTCATTTATGAATTGCATTAATAAATTTCTATATCACACAAATTGATCTACAGATATAATGCAACCCCTATCAAAATACCAGTGGCATACTGCATAGAAAATTTAATTTATATGGTACCACAAAAGACCCTGAATAGCCAAAGCAATCAAGAAAAAAAAGTAAAGGTATTACCATACCTTCAAAATATTCTACAAGGCAATAGTAACTAAAACAGTATGGTACTTGAATAAAAACAGACACATAGGCCAATGCAGTAGAAAAAAAGAGACCAGAAATATATCCATGTATTTACAGCTAAGTGATTTGGAATAAAGCTGACAATTTCTTTTTTTATTTTTGAGATGGACTCTTGTTCTGTTGCTAGGCTGGAGTGCAGTGGCACGATCTCGGCTCACTGCAACCTCTGCCATCTGGGTTCAGGTGATTCCCCTGCCTCAGCCTCCTGAGTAGCTGGGACTACAGGCGCGTGCCACCACACCTGGCTACTTTTTTGTATTTTATTAGAGATGGGGCTTCACCATGTTGGCCAAGATGGTCTCGATCTCCTGACCTCATGATCCACCCTCCTTAGCCTTCCAAAGGGCTGGGATTACAGGCATGAGCCAAAAGAACAGTAACTTCAATAAATGATGTTGAGAAAACTTTATGTCCACAGGCAGAGAAATAAAATGAGACCCTCATCTCACACCGTATATAAAAACCATTTCAAAATAAATTAGACGCTTAAATGTAAGGCTTGAGATGAGCCTGGTGGCTCACACCTGTAATCCTACCACTTTGGGAGGTGGAGGCAGGCAGATTACCTGAGGTCAGTTGTTCCAGACCAGCCTGGCCAAGGTAGTGGAACCCCATTTCTACTAAATATACAAAATTAGCTCGGTGTGGTTGCAGGCGCCTGTAATCCCAGCTATTCGGGAGGCTGAGGCAGAAGAATCACTTGAACCCGGGAGGTGAAGGTTGCAGTGAGCTGAGATCGTGCACCATTGCACTCCAGCCTGGGCAGCAAGAGTGACACTCCATCTCAAAAGTAATAATAACAAATAAATGTAAGGCCTGAAACTCTGAAACTGCTACAGAAAAATAGAATGAAAGCCCCTTAGACTGTTCTGGGCAGTAAGTTGGTTTTTTGTTTATTTTTTTTTTTGAGACGGAGTCTCACTCGGTCACCCAGCCTGGAGTGCAGTGGCATGATCTCGGCTCATTGCAACCTCTGCCTCCCGAGTTCAAGTGATTCTTCTGCCTCAGCATCCCAAGTAGCTGGGATTACAGGCACCCACCACCACACCCGGCTAATTTTTGTATTTTTAGTAGAGATGGGGTTTCACCATGTTGGCCAGGCTGGTCTTGAACTCCTGACCTCAGGTGATCCACCCACCTCAGCCTCTCAAAGTGCTGGGATTACAGACGTGAACCACCGTGTCTGGTCAGTTTTTTTTTTTTTTTTTATTTAACCTCAAAATCTTAGGAAATAAAAGGAAAAATAGATGAGTCAGATGACTTCATATTAAAAAGCTGCTGCACAGAATCTGATACAATCAACAGGATGAGACAACTAAAAAAATGAAAGAAAATATTCGCAAATTACATGTGACAAGGAGTTAATACCAAAAGTATGTAAGAAACTTTGCTGGGTGCGGTGGCTCACACTTGTAATCCCAGCATTTGGGGAGGCTGAGGTGGGCAGATCACCTGAGGTCAGGAGTTCCAGACCAGCCTGGCCAACATGGTGAAACCCCGTCTCTACTAAAAATACAAAAATTAGCCAGGCGTGGTGGCACGTGACTGTAATCCCAGATACTAGGGAGCCTGAGGCAAGAGAATTGCTTGAACCCAGGAGGTGGAGGTTGTAGTGAGCTGTGATCATACCACTGCACTCCAGCTGGGGCGACAGAGCAAGAGTCAGTCTCAAAGAAAAAAAACTACATATATATGTATATATATATATATAAATAAATATATGTATAATATATATGAAACTCAATTAACTATACAACAAAAACAAGTAACTCTTAAAATGAGCAAAAGGCTTAAATAATTTTCAAGAAAAGACATACTTATGGCCAACAGATATATTTAAATATGCCCAGTGTTAAGTACGATCAGGGAAAGGCAAGCCAAAAACAACTATGAGATATCAATTCACTCCTGTTAGAATGACTCTTATTAAAATGAAAAAGAAAAAAATGTTATGAAAGATGAGAAGGCATTGCGTGGACACTGTTGGTTTGAATGTAAATGAAGACGGCCGTTAGGAAAACAAAATAGAGATTTCTCAAAAAACTTAAAATCAAACTACCATGTAATACAGCTGTTGCACTATTGGGTATATTTCCAAAACAAATGAAATCAGAATGAAGAAACACTTACACTTCTATGTTGTTTGCAGCACTCTTCACAATAGCCAAAATATAGAATCAACAGTTCAGGCTGGGTGTGGTGGCTCACACCTGTAATTCCAGCACTTTGGGAGGACAAGGCAGGCGGATCACTTGGGGTCATAAGTTCGAGACCAGACTGGCCAACATGGCGAAACCCTGTCTCTACTAAAAATATAAAAATTAGCCAGGCATGGTGACGGGCACCTGTAATCCCAGCCACTCTGGAGGCTGAGTTGGGAGAATCACTTAAACCCAGGAGGTGGAGGTTGCAGTGAGCCAGGATTGCTCCACTGCACTCCAGCCAGGGTGACAAGAGTGAGACTTCATAAAAAAAAAAAAAAAAAAAATCAACAGTTCAGCATCTAATGAGTAAAGAAAGACAATGTGGTAGATATATACAGTGGAATACTATTTAAAAAAGAATTTTTTTGAGACCAAGTCTCTGTCTATACAATCTCGGCTCACTGCAACCTCCACATCCCTGGTTCAAGGGATTCTCATGCCTCAGCATCCAGAGTAGCTGAGATTACAGGTGTGCACCACCATGCCCAGTTAATTTTTTGTTGTATTTTTAGTAAAGATGGGGTTTCTTCATGTTGCCCAGGCTGGTTTCAAACTCCTGGGCTCATGCAATGCACCTTGGCCTTCCAGAATGCTGGGATTACAGGTGTGAGCCACCACACCTGGCCTTTAAAAAAAAATTCATTATTTTTAATCACATGGATTAAGCTGGAGAACATTAATTGAGATAAGGTTAATAGTTCATGATTTCACTTACACATGGATTCCAAAAAACATAACCTCATTGATGTAAAATGGTGACCATCAGAGGCCAATGTATTTAGAATGGGCTGGGCACGGTGGCTCACGCCTGTAATCCCCCAGCACTTTGGGAGGCTCATCACGAGGTCAGGAGGAGACCATCCTGGCCAATATAGTGAAATCCCGTCTTTACTAAAAACACAAAAATTAGCTGAGTGTGGTGGCACATGCCTGTAATCCCAGCTACTTGGGAGGCTGAGGCAGGAGAATCACTTGAACTGGGGAGGCAGAGATTGCAGTGAGCCAAGATTGTGTCACTACACTCCAGCTGGTGACAGAGTGAGACTGTCTCAAAAAAGAAAAAGAAAAAAGAGGGTTGGAATGATATCTGTCAAATAATACATAGAGTTGAATAGAAGAAATAAGTTCAAGAGATTTTTTTGTACAGCATGGTGACTATAGCTCATGTTTTTGTATTTTTGAAAAGTGGTAAGACAATGTCATGTGGTCTCACCACAAAAACGTTAACTATGTGAAGTATTAGTTACCTAGAACTAATCACCTGACAATGTATATACACTTCAAAATATTATGTTCTACAGAAAAAGTACACATTTTATCTGTCAAGTTAAGTTTTTAAAGCTTTATAGAAGGATAACAATGTGTCAAATACTGTCCATGTTTTTGTCATAATCTTGGTTGAATAGTATCAAAATATATAGTTTTTGTTTTTGGTTGAATAGTATCAAGATATATAGTTTTTGTGTTTTTATCATTTAATTTGTCAGTCATAACCGTAGGAACTCCGATATTTAACAGTATGTTCTGGACCCAGCACATTGCATGGAAGAAGCTTATGTCCTTTAGGATTTTTACTTTAAGCTCCGGGCACCTGGAGTTTCTGGTGCTGATGGTAATGGTATGAAAGACACTCAAAGAGCAGGTGTTGCTTATGGTCCCATGACTGGCCACTCTGTGAACACAGTAAACTAGTTTGCATGCAAAGTAACAGAAAATGTTTTAATCCAAATGCTGTCATGATGCCCAAAATTTATCCAGAAAAAATGACTAAGGAGTTGCCTGCATTTCAGGGACAGAAAATAAAAACTGTAGACTAAACTTCACCCACTTAAAAAATTATATGAGAAATTCCTCCAAATTGTAATATCAATATGGAAAAGCAATATTCTTTTAAGTTTCAAATTCACAGAGCTCATTATTTTGTAGCCTTTAGCATTCACTTAAAAATTATATGTGTTATCCTCCCGTCTCCCTCTCCCTCTCCCGTCTCCCTCTCCCTCTCCCGTCTCCCTCTCCCTCTCCCGTCTCCCTCTCCCTCTCCCGTCTCCCTCTCCCTCTCCCGTCTCCCTCTCCCTCTCCCGTCTCCCTCTCCCTCTCATGCCGAGCCAAAGCTGGACGGTACTGCTGCCATCTCGGCTCACTGCAACCTCCCTGCCTGATTCTCCTGCCTCAGCCTGCCGAGTGCCTGCGATTGCAGGCGCGCGCCGCCACGCCTGACTGGTTTTCGTTTTTTTTTGGTGGAGATGGGGTTTCGCTGTGTTGGCCGGGCTGGTCTCCAGCTCCTAACCGCGAGTGATCCGCCAGCCTCGGCCTCCCGAGGTGCCGGGATTGCAGATGGAGTCTCGTTCACTCAGTGCTCAATGGTGCCCAGGCTGGAGTGCAGTGGCGTGATCTCGGCTCGCTACAACCACCTCCCAGCCGCCTGCCTTGGCCTCCCAAAGAGCCGAGATTGCAGCCTCTGCCCGGCCGCCACCCCGTCTGGGAAGTGAGGAGCGTCTCTGCTTGGCCACCCATCGTCTGGGATATGAGGAGCCCCTCTGCCTGGCTGCCCAGTGTGGAAAGTGAGGAGCGTCTCTGCCCGGCCGCCATCCCATCTAGGAAGCGAGAAGCGCCTCTTCCCCGCCGCCATCCCATCTAGGAAGTGAGGAGCGTCTCTGCCCGGCCGCCCATCGTCTGAGATGTGGGGAGCACCTCTGCCCCACCGCCCTGTCTGGGATGTGAGGAGCGCCTCTGCTGGGCCGCAACCCTGTCTGGGAGGTGAGGAGTGTCTCTGCCCGGCCGCTCCGTCTGAGAAGTGAGGAAACCCTCTGCCTGGCAACCGCCCCGTCTGAGAAGTGAGGAGCCCCTCCGTCTGGCAACCACCCCGTCTGGGAAGTGAGGAGCGTCTCCGCCCGGCAGCCACCCCGTCCGGGAGGGAGGTGGGGGGGGTCAGCCCCCCGCCCGGCCAGCCGCCCCGTCCGGGAGGTGAGGGGCTCCTCTGCCCGGCCGCCCCTACTGGGAAGTGAGGAGCCCCTCTGCCCGGCCAGTCGCCCCGTCCGGGAGGGAGGCGGGGGGGGGGGGGTCGGCCAGCCGCCCCGGCCGGGAGGTGAGGGGCTCCTCTGCCCGGCCGCCCCTACTGGGAAGTGAGGAGCCCCTCTGCCCGGCCAGTCGCCCCGTCCAGGAGGGAGGTGGGGGGGTCAACCCCCCGCCCGGCCAGCCGCCCAGTCCGGGAGGGAGGTGGAGGGTCAGCCCCCCGCCTGGCCAGCCGCCCCGTCCGGGAGGTGAGGGGCGCCTCTGCCCGGCCGCCCCTACTGGGAAGTGAGGAGCCCCTCTGCCCGGCCAGCCGCCCCGCCCAGGAGGGAGGTGGGGGGGTCAGCCCCCCGCCTGGCCAGCCGCCCCATCCGGGAGGGAGGTGGGGGGGTCAGCCCCCCACCCGGCCAGCCGCCCCGTCCAGGAGGGGGGAGGGGGGGTCAGCCCCCCGCCCGGCCAGCCGCCCCGTCCGGGAGGGAGGTGGGGGGGGTCAGCCCCCCGCCCGGCCAGCCGCCCCGTCCGGGAGGGAGGTGGGGGGATCAGCCCCCTGCCTGGCCAGCCGCCCCGTCCGGGAGGTGAGGGGCGCCTCTGCCCGGCCGCCCCTACTGGGAAGTGAGGACCCCTCTGCCCGGCCAGCCGCCCCGTCCGGGAGGGAGGTGGGGGGAACAGCCCCCCCCCCGGCCAGCCGCCCTATCCAGGAGGTGAGGGGCGCCTCTGCCTGGCCGCCCCTACTGGGAAGTGAGGAGCCCCTCTGCCTGGCCAGCCGCCCCGTCCGGGAGGGCGGTGGGGGGGTCAGCCCCCCGCCCGGCCAGCCGCCCCATCTGGGAGGTGAGGGGCACTTCTGCCGGGCCGCCCCTACTGGGAAGTGAGGAGCCCCTCTGCCCGGCCACGACCCCGTCTGGGAGGTGTGCCCAGCGGCTCATTGGGGATGGGCCATGATGACAATGGCGGTTTTGTGGAATAGAAAGGCGGGAAGGGTGGGGAAAAAATTGAGAAATCGGATGGTTGCCGGGTCTGTGTGGATAGAAGTAGACATGGGAGACATTTTGTTCTGTACTAAGAAAAATTCTTCTGCCTTGGGATCCTGTTGATCTGTGACCTTATCCCCAACCCTGTGCTCTCTGAAACATGTGCTGTGTCCACTCAGGGTTAAATGGATTAAGGGCGGTGCAAGATGTGCTTTGTTAAACAGATGCTTGAAGGCAGCATGCTCGTTAAGAGTCATCACCACTCCCTAATCTTAAGTACCCAGGGACACAAACACTGCGGAAGGCCGCAGGGTCCTCTGCCTAGGAAAACCAGAGACCTTTGTTCACTTGTTTATCTGCTGACCTTCCCTCCACTATTGTCCTATGACCCTGCCAAATCCCCCTCTGCGAGAAACACCCAAGAATGATCAATAAAAATAAAAAAAAAAAAAAAAAAAAAAAATTATTATTAAATGTGAGAAAAAAAAAAATTATGTTATACTTTTATTATATAAGTATATATTTTAATAAAAGTATGTTACATAATAAAAAATAAATTTAAAATTGTTCACTTACCATTAACTCTTAAAAATTTAATTTCTACATTTTCTTGCAAATTTTATGTTTGCCACACTTTAAGAATCTAATTTTTTTTTTAACAAAGAACAACTATTCTGATTTAATCTTCTCACCTGTGGACAATGTATGCTTTTATCTTAACTAATCCGAAAGTTATATTGATAACCAAACTCTCCAGTTAAAAACAATTATTCAGTGCATTAAAAAATACCAACTTTCAGCTGGGTGCAGTGGCTTATGCCTGTAATCCAAGCACTTTGGGAGGCTGAGGCAGGTGGATCATATGAGGTCAGGAGTTTGAAACCAGCCTGGCCAACATGGTGAAACTTCGTCTCTACAAAAAATTAAAAAAAAAAAAATTCAGCCAGATGTGGTGGCAGGTGCCTGTAATCCCAGCTACTTGGGAGGCTGAGGCAGGATAATTGCTTGAACCTGGAAGGCAGAGGTTGCAGTGAGCCCACATTGCACCACTGCACTCCAGCTTGGGCAACAAGAGTGAGACTCTGTCTCAAAAAAAAAAAAAAAAAAAAAAACAACCAACTTTCTCGTCAAAATTTACAAAGTACCATGTGAAATGAAATGGCATTAAGACAACAGTGAGAAAACTGAAGCCATAACACAGAAAAAGGAGATGGGCTGTGCTGCATACATAGCTGGGGATACACATAATAAATACAGAGAAATCTGAAGATAATTAAGAAATAAAAGATGCAGAACTTCTCTTTAAATTCAGCAAGATTCAGCATTGCAGCCTGGAAACTATGTCCTCTCCACATGAAGAATCAATTTTATTTCTTCACCACTGATGTTTTCCATCTCTGAACTGAAGTTACAAGCTAACTTTAGCAGGAATACTTATGGCTTACTATGGAGCATCTGTTACACAGCAAGAACTGTCATGTATGTTTGCTACATTTAAATATAAAAACATCCTCACGACTTATAAAGCTTCCCTAGTACTTACCTGAACAAATTGACTCAATAAATAAATTTACTTATGTCAACTATAAAAAGTGAAAAGAAAAATAACTAAAGGGCTATAGAGTTCTCCAACTAAAAACAAAATGAAGTGTTCTAACTAAATAAAATGTAACTTAATACACTAATTGTGGAATTACATTTAAAAATTTTGTATGCACTAAATTTTGTAAAAATTATTCTTATAATCACAGACCAGCTCACATAATGAATACTTCATAATCTGTAAAATATTTATATGAAAAAAGATACAAAATAATTAGGGGTCTATCATGAGTACCAGGCAAGTATAAACAGAATTTTCATGGGGAGATTCAGAACTATAAGCCACAGAATGTACAGTAATAAATTCAATACAAAGCAGAGAATACATTTTCTTTTAGCATTTTTGAGGCTTTTAGTTTTCTAGTAGTCATCTTGTTAAAATGATTTGTTTTGTTCAGTATTGCTTTTTTCTTCGGAAAACAGGTACAAATTCATACACACAAACTCACTCTATAATTTTCTTACACTTAAGGTTTATCTTTAGACTAACATATATTTAACTATATGTAAATCAAAACTAAATGTCTGCATGTGTTTGCAGGCAGACAGGAAACATGCTCAAAAAATAAATATTAGAAAACTTTAAAAATACTTATTCAGGCCTCAGAAATGTAGGGATTTTATTATACTTCTACATAACTTTTATTATGACCATAAAAATAACACTGTAATCAATAACAATTTAATTTTACATTTTAAAATAACTAAAAGTATAAAACTGGGTTGCTTGTAATACAAAGGATAAATACTAGAGGTGATGGATACCTCATTTACCCTGATGTGATTATTATATACTGTATTCTTGTATCAAAATATGCCATATATTGCATGAATATATACTCATATTATGTACCCCAAATAATTAAGAAAAATAAATTTAAATAAAATAAACATTTGGCTGGGCACGGTGGCTCATGCCTGTAATCCCAGAACTTTGGGAAGCCGAGGCAGGCAAATCATTTAAGGTCAGGAGTTCGAGACCAGCTTGACTTACATTATGAAACCCTGTCTCTACTAAAATACAAAAATTAGCTGGGCATGGTGGTGGGTGCCTGTAATCCCAGCTACTTAGGAGGCTGAGGCAGGAGAATTGCGTGAACCCAGGAGGTGGAGGTTACAGTGAGCCGAGATCGTGCCACTGCACTCCAGCCTGGGTGACAGAGCAAGACTACCTCTCAAAAATAAAATAAAATAAAAACAAAAATTTAACCTACAGAAATAATATTCTTTAACTTATTTGCAGTCAAAGCCACTAGCAAAAGAGATTACTAGAGATGTTAATCCATTATGTTACCAAATAGTATACTGTTACCATGTTTTACGTACACCCTTGAGTAAGGTGGAATAGGTTAATGTCTGTGGCATAATAACACTTCACTGAATGCACAATAGTATTTAACATGTTAAAAAGGTTGAATATATTAACATCACATATAATCTGAAATTTAAAAAATATACTGCATTTTATATAAAAGTATTAGTAAAATATACTAATTTTAATTTACTTATAAATGAAATTAAGTTTTCTCATAATGCAGAATATTACTCTGAATGCCTAACGCACACATTGCTTAATATTATAAGTTAACCATAAAAGTCTCTTCACTTAGATTTTCATCATACATCTCATATTTTAATGTCTTTTTCATAGCAAAGTTTATAAATAATGCTCACCTAATAAAAAAGAATCTCTCATATCTGATGCAGCAACAATTGATCACATGCTTTCACATGTAAATAGGAGTGAAGAAAAGGCAGGAAATAATTTAAGAGTTGAATTACATTATTACTCACTTTTCAAAAAATCTAATTTTTTCAAAAAGTTAAGCATACTTTGAATGCAATAACTGCAAAAAATTTCTACTTTTAAAGTTATATACAAATATTTTACCAATTTTAGTTTTAGATTATTTTCTATACTCAGCACTCTGATTTAGTAAAATACCTGAAGCATCAGTGCCTTACATATTTCTACTGTAAATTCTCTGATATTTACAGACTTAATGATTAAAATTTTTAAAAAATTTTTCCTGTATCTGCAAAAATATGTTTTAGTATGAACTCTCTGGTGTTTTCTAAGCTGTAGTTTTTGAAAAAGTATTTTTCCAACTTTATTACATTCGCACAGTTTTTTTCAATATAAATTCCCTGATATTGAACAAAGTTTGAGCAACTGCTTCAGAGGTTTCCTCTAATACAAAACGTGTACAGTAAGATCTGTGATACAAGTAAACATATTACAATTCTACTACAATGTTCTTCTTCAAAATACTCTTCACTTTAAAAGCTTATATTTTCTTAAAGATATTTTGACAGTAGTTGCACTTATGTTTTTATTGAGTATGAACTCTCTGATGTTGAGTAAGATGTGAGCATGTATTAATGGCTTTTTCACAGTCTTTATATTTGTACAATATTTCTCAAGTATAAATGCTTTCCTGTGAAGGTGTGAGCATTAGTTAAAAGTTTTGTCACACTGTTCACACATGTAGAAGTTTTCTCCAGTATAACTTACCTTACCTACAATCAAGTGTGACAACCATTTAAAACTTTATCACATTCTTCACATTTCTAGGATTTCTCAACACTATGATTTATGTTTTGAAAAGTTTGAGGTGTTTTCAAAGCACTGTCACATCTTTCTGGTTTGTAGAATTTCTCTCTAGTATGAATTATCTTATGTCTGTTAGGAATTGAGAATTTATTAAAGGCTTTGCCATATTCTTCACAGTCACAGGAGTTCCCTCCAGTATGAATTTTTTTATGTTTAGTAAGAGTTGAGGACTGGTAAAAGGCTTTGCCACATTTTTCACATTTGTAGGGTTTCTCTCCAGTATGAGTTATTTTGTTTAATAAGGCTTAGGGACTGGTTAAAGTCTTTACCACATTCTTCCCATTTGTAAGATTTCTCTCCAGTATGAGTTATCTTATGTTTAGTAAGGGTTGAGGATCGGTTAAAAGCTTTGCCACATTCCTCACATTTGTAGGGTTTCTCTCCAGTATGAATCATCTTATGTGCAGTTAGTTGTGAGGACCGGTTAAAGGCTTTGCCACATTCGTCACATTTGTAGGGTTTCTCTCCAGTATGAATCATCTTATGGGTAGTAAGGTTTGAGGACTCATTAAAAGCTTTGCCACATTCTTCACATTTGTAGGGTTTCTCTCCAGTATGAATTCTCTTATGTTTAGTGAGGGCTGAGGACCAGTTAAAGCCTTTGCCGCATTCTTCACATTTGTAGAATTTCTCTCCAGTATGACTTGTCTTATGTTTAGTAAGGTATGAGAATCGGTAAAAAGCTTTGCCACATTCTTCACATTTGTAAGGTTTCTCTCCAGCATGAGTTATCTTATGTGTAGTAAGGGTTGAGGACTGGTTAAAGGCTTTGCCACATTCTTCACATTTGTAGGGTTTCTCTCCAGTATGAATTATCCTGTGTGTAGTAAGGTGTGAGGACCGGTTAAAAGCTTTGCCACATTCTGTACATTTGTAGGGTTTCACTCCAGTATGAATTCTTTTATGTGTAGTAAGGTGTGAAGACCGGTTAAAAGCTTTCCCACATTCTTCACATCTGTATGGTTTCTCTCCAGTATGAATTATCTTATGTGTAGTAAGGTGTGAGGACCGGTTAAATGCTTTCCCACATTCTTCACATTTGTAGGGTTTCTCTCCAGTATGAATTCTCCTGTGTGTAGTAAGGGTTGAGAACCAGTTGAAGGCTTTGCCACAATCTTTACATTGGTAGGAATTCTCTGTAATATGAAATCTTTTATGTTGAGTTAGGTGTAAAAGCATGCAAAATGATTTTTCACATTTTTTACATTTGAAAGGTTTCTTTCTAGTATGTCTTATCTTATGTCTGTTTGAATTTGAAAATGTATGAAAGACTTTTGCAGATGGATCACATTGAAATATGTTGCTCTGGGTAGTTATCAAACACTGGTTTAATTTGTTATCATGTTCTTTGTGCACTTTACACTCATCCACACTTTTACAGCCTTTTTGTAACTGTAAATTGTCATGTCCATATTTTCCATATTTTTTCAGAATCGCTTCTTGAAAAGAATCTTTAATGTCCTGCTCTGCCCAAAGGTCTTGGGGAAAATGAGAACATATAACTGAAAGAAATAAAAATAACAAATTACTTTACTTACTAGACACAGATAGTTTACAAATCTAACCTCTAATATACAAACTACATAAATAAGATGGCATAGGAAAATACCAAAGGCCCTCATTCCTTTATAGACATATAAATGTAAAAAAAAAAAAACCAACCAAATTACATCTGAAAAAAATTATAAATGAGTTAAGTGTGTGAAGTGCCCCTGGTGAGAACAATGCAAAGAGCCACTTAGAAGTAAAAGTCTGTACATTTACCCAACAGAGCTCTTTCTGCTCCCCAATATAACATACTGTCTTTAGAAGTAAATTGCCAACTTGTTTTTAATGACAAGTAAAATACTGGCACATTTATCTTTATTACTTGCTTCTAGGAGCCTTTCCAGACACTGGTTTGTGTCTCTCTTGAAATATAATGCTGAAAGAAACGGTGGTATACTTTGGAGTGACAGTCTTAACTTTGCTGAGACCAAAGGTAAATGTTTCAGCAACAGAGAGACTGCTGTACCACAGACAGAAAACAGGTGTAGCACGTGATTATTATTAAGAAGAAACATGAATAAACTCCTTTAACTAAAAGAGAAAGACAAAATCTCAGACAAGACACATTCTAAGAACATGTTTGAGAGACTCCCAGAATCTCTAACCAAGACGATTGTTCAGACTATGCCAGGACAAAGCTACATTATAAAGATTGTGACAGGTAGCCTTTTTTAATGTCCAAATTTCAATCAAGGATTACAATGTATACAAAATAAGGCAATATGGTTCCATAAAAATATAAAATTTTAAAAAAGAAACTATAAAAAAGATGTATACACACCGATTTTAAAAATTGAAAATAAATTGAATAATACTCAGTGAGTGAAACAGGAAGACAGAGAACTATAGAAAATCAGAAAAATGAAGATAAGAACATAAATATTTAGAATATCAAAAAAACAAATTGTGGAGGTAATAAATATAAAAAAGAATAGCTGAAAAATATTGAAAGAAACGATGTAAAGATGAAGAAGCTCAACAAACAAACTAGGAAACACACAAAGATATTTATAACAAACACATATATAAGCACAATTTCAAAAGTCACAGACAAGAGAACCTTGGGAGCTGCAAGATAAAAGTGATGCGTCATTTGCCAGCATAGTCTTATGAGACAGCCAGTGAATTGTCAATAAAAATTTTGCAGGCCAGAAGGGAAGTGTGTAATAAAGTCAAACTCCTGTAAAATACAGCAATCAAGTAAGCATAATACTATCAGCAAATCTGTCCTGCCAAATAAAAAGAAAATAACTTTCAAAAGTAACAAAATTCTGAAAAGTATATTGGAACTCCATAAACCCTACATACAAAATGTACTGAAAGCAGTTGCTTCTATTGAAAATAACATGATTCAACAAAAACAACACAGTCAAATAAAAATACATTACTTTCGGGAGGGGGGAGGGATAGCATTAGGAGAAATACCTAATGTAAACGACGAGTTAATGGGTGCAGCACACCAACATGGCACATGTATACATATGTAACAAACCTGTACATTGTGCACATGTACCCTAGAACTTAAAGTATAATAATGAAAGAAAAAATAAAAACAAAACAAAACAAAAACAAAAAACAACAAAAAAATACATTACTTTCTGGGAAAGATTATATGCACATATATACTTTTACTTCTAAGTATATGCACATACACCAAAATGGAATTCCTTAGCATTATCATAATGGTGCAGAAAACATTTTTAATTATTCTCTAAAATTTGAAAGTGAAAATCAGAGAAATCATTATAAACATCTGTTAATAAATATACAACATAAAAAGATATAATTAGCAAAATCAATGACAAATTTGAGGGGAGAAGTAATGAGAAAAAAAATGTGCATGCAACTGAAGTTCTTTTTTACCAGATTGAAATATACTGTTATATCTTTTAGAGGTTTACGTAATCCCCAAGGTCCAAAAAAGAACATGTGTGTATAGATACACAAAACAAGAAAGAAGTAAAAGCATATCAATATAAAAATAAAAAGATACAAAGACAGAGAGAAAATGAGTGACCAAGATATAAGAATCAAATAAAACAATTAATAAAATAACATTAGTATGTCTTTCTGTTTCAGAAAATTATTTAAATATATATGTTTAACTTTCCAATCAAGAGACATACTTTCAATAGAGACTTATTTAAATATTTTAAAAACTGAGATCCAACTTGCCTTTCTACGACAGTAAGCTGAGATCTATTGATTAAAAAAAAACTGAAAGTGGCAAGATGGATGTAGATATTGCATGTAAATATTAACCAAATGAGAGAAGAGGTCAAAATAATATTACATAAGCTACATCTTACGTGAAAAACTTTCATATTTTATAAAATGTACTGCAAGTCAAAACTGCAAAGAGACAAAGAAGGGCATTAAACAATAATAGATTCATTTACTGATAACCTAAGTGTGTGTGTGTGTGTGTGTGTGTGTGTGTGTGTATCTCACATTAAGGTTCCAAATACATAAAGCAAATATTGATAGAACTGAAGAAACATCTAGACAGCAATACTATAGTAGGACATTTCAATAACTTACTTTCTGTAATAAAAATAAATCAAAACAGAATATTTGTAAGTGAAGAGAGGACGTGAAGGCAGTATAAAACAATTATTTCTAACAGAGGTATAGAGAAGATTCCTCAACAATATCGGGATACACATGCTTCTCAATTGCTCATACAACATTCTCCTTAATAGACCACATGTTAGGCCAAAAAAGAAGTCTTAACACATTTGTTAAGACTGAGATTGTATGGATTATATTACATGAACAAAATGGGAGTATAAAACAATAATAGAAAAACAATTAAACATTTACAAATATATGGAAATTAACACACTCTTGAGCATGCTCCTGTTCAAAGATAGAAATAATAGATATTTTGAAAATGTCCATACTTTTCAAAGTAATCTACAGATTTAGTGCAATGTTGTTAAAAATTTCTCATTGCATTTTTGAGAAACTAGAAACAACAACCCCAAAAGTATATAAAATGTCAAGAGACAATAAAGTACCCAAGAGTCTTCAAAAAAAAGAAAATGTTGAAGGCATTATAGTTCCTGATTTAAAAGCACATTGCAAAGCTACATAATTAAAACAAGTTGGTATGAGTATAATGGTTAAAAAGTAGACTAATAAAATAGAATGCCACATCTATAGAAACTTTCACATATATGTTTATATGAAGAGTTATTTTCATATCCATAATTATTGCAGCATTTTTTACCAATAGCAATGCAAGTTTCTTTCCTTTTTCTTTCCTTTTTTTTTTATTTTTTATTTTTTGAGATGGAGTCTTGCACTGTTGCCCAGGCTGGAGTGCAGTGGCATGATCTTGGCTCACTGCAACCTCCGCCTCCTGGGTTCAAGTGATTCTCCTGCCTCAGCCTCCTGAGTAGCTGGGACTACAGGTGTGTGCCACCATGCCTGGCTAATTTTTGTATTTTTAGCAGAGACAGCATTTCACCATGTTGGCCAGGATGGTCTCGATCTCTTGACCTTGATATCCGCCTGCCTCAGCCTCTCAAAGTGCTGGGATTACAGGCATGAGCCACCGTGCCCGGCAATGCAACTTTCTGTCACCAAATTATCCAATAGATATAATTTGCAATATAAAAATACTGGAATATCATCCAGGATTTAAAAAGCAGGAAATATTCTAATAACTCTAAAAATAAAGCTTGATGACATTATGCAAAATAAAATGAGCTAGCCACAATGAGACAGAGATTGTATGAGACACATGAAGCAGTCACATTCTTAGAAATAGAAAACAAAGTGGTGTTTGCAAAGTGCCAGAACATCAGACAAATTGGTTGTTGTACATTGAGATTTAGCTTTGCAAGATAAAACATTCTAGGGGTATGCTGCATAACATTATCAATATAATTAAGAGGAATAAACAGAATATTAAAAAATATTTGATAATGGGCCTGGTGCCGGGACTCACATCTGTAATCCCAGCACTTTGGGAGGCCAAGGTGGGCGGATCACAAGGTCAGGAGTTCGAGACCAGCCTGGCCAACACAGTGAGGCAAAAGAATCACTTGAACCCAGGAGGCGGAGGTTGCAGCGAGCCAAGATCCCGCCACTACACCCCAGTCTTGGCGACAGAGCGAGACTCCGTCTCAAAAAAAAAAAATTGCTAATATTTTATGTGTTCAAGTAAAAATGAACAATTAATACCAAGAAAGATACAGTTACAATAGTTTCAATATTATCTTCAAATCCCAAAGTGTTTCTCCCACATAGAAGTAATGTAGATTCACAACAGATATTGAAATTAGGAGAATTTTTATAACTGGTCACCTAGCCAAGATTGAACGACCATTTACAACAAACCTACACAACAAATATACAAGTCATAAAATAAACAGAGATGATATTTGTAGAGGCAAACAAACACAGAGGTAATTATATTGGCAGTAGACATATGGCTGATTTATATTTGATTTGGCTAGACACAGTCTTAAATTGTACAGAGTTAAACACTGTCATACACAATGGCAATATAAAATAAAACACCAAAACACAAGCAACTGGTGTTAGGTGTCATACCTTAAAATACATAACACAATATAAAATATATATATATATAATATATGTAAAATATATAACACAAAATTAAAATATGGAATGTAAAACGTATTGGATGCCATCAAGTAGATCAATATATTCATCAAATGAATCTTAGAAGAATATAGGGAAAAAGTAATACAGAGGTAACTTGAAGACAAAAAAGGCTGAGAACTTCCCAAATTTTTATGTAACAAAAAAATTTCTAACCAATATTTAATTCAAAATTATTTTACTTCAAAAACAAGATAAAAATAAGGACTTTCCAAAATAAAAATTCAGGGCATTTATTACAACTACCACAGTCCTACATAAAATGTTACATGGTGGCCAGGCACAGTGGCTCAGGCCTGTAATTCTACAGCTTTAGGAAGCCAAGGCAGATAGATCACTTGAGACCAGTAGTTCAAGATCAGCCAGAGAAACATAGTGAAACTCTGCATATAAACAAAAAGAAATGCTAAAATGAGTCCATTATGTTGAAGAACAAAATGATGCCAGAAGTATCAAAAAAATGTATAAATATAAAACTCTCTATTAAATGTAAATACAGACACATATAGAATTTTTTTACTATCATAATGATGCACATAAAACCCTTACAGTTCTTTAGATATAAAAAACAAGATATAAATCTGCATAAATCTGTTAATAGATACACAATGTAAGATAATATGGTTTTTAATATTAATAACAAATTGGAAAATATAACAACAGAGGTTTTGTACTTAATTGAAGGTGTGATGAGATTAAAATACATTGTTTTAACTTTAAGATGTTTTATGTAATCTGTTTTTCAATATGGTTACATTATATTTCAAGATGATTACATTATACTTCTGGAAAGTATGCAAAACAAAATAAAAAATAATCAAAGCAAGTCACAACAAAATTAAAACAAACAAAAATTAAGGTAGTAACACAGGAAATGAGAAAAGACATATCTACAAGAAACACATAAAATAGTAACAATGAGGTGATTTCTGCAGATCAGCAGACTTAGTCTTTCCCCCTGCTGGCTGAGGAATCTGGGCAGTCCAGATGTATGGAATTTCTCCCAGTGAAGCACACCCCCTTCACCAAGAAGCAGCCAGAGTGCCTTGTTAAATGGTTCCTGAATCCTGTGCATCCTGACTGAGTGAGGACCACCCCACCAACAGGCATTGTAAGACAACTTATAAAGAAGTATTCCCACTGTCATCAGCTCAGTGCCCATCTGGGATAAAGCTTACAGATGAAGGAGCAGGCAGTTCTCTCTGCTGTTCTACACACTCCACTGGTGACACCTCCAGGTGTGGGAGAAACCCAGGCAAATAGGATCTGAAGTGGATCCCAAGCAAATCACAGCGGCCCTACAGAAGACGGGCCTGACTGTTAAAGGAAAAACAGAAAGCAACCACAGCAGCATCAACAAAAATGTCCCCACAAAAACCCCATCCAAAGGTCAGCAGCCTCAAAGACCAAAGCTAGATAAACTCATGACGATCAGAAGAATCAACCAAAAAATGCTGAAAACTCAAAAACCCAGAGTGTCTCTACTCCTCCAAATAATCAAAACATATTTCCAGCAAGAGCACAGAACCGGGAGAAGCCTGAGATGGATAAACTGACAGAAGTAGGCTTCAGAAGGTGGGTAATAATGAACTTCAGTGAGCTAATGAAGCATGTTCTAACCCAATGCAAAAAAGCCAGGAACCATGAAAAACATTACAGGAGCTGTTAACCCGAATAACCAGTTTAGAGAGGAACATAAACGACCTGATGCAACTGAAAAACAACATGAGAACCTCACAATGCAACCACAAGTATCAGTAACTGAGTAGACCAAGCAGGAAAAAGAATTTCAGAGCTTGAAGACTATCTTGCTAAAATAAGGCAGATAAGATTGAAAAAATAAAAATAAAAAGGAATGAAAAAAATCTTCAAGAACTATTGGATTATGTAAACAGACCAAACTTACAACTGATTGCAGTACACTAAAGAGAGGGAAAGAATGGAACCAAGTTGGAAAACATACTTCAGGATATCATCGAGAAAAACTTTTCCAACCTAACAAGACAGGCCATCATTCAAATTCAGAAAATCCAGAGGACCCCAGTAAGATACTCCATGAGAAGATCAACCTCAAGACACATAATTATCAGATTATTCAAGTTTAAACTTCAGGAAAAAATGATAAGGACAGCCAACCGGAAGGCCAGGTCACCCAGAAAGGGAAGCCCATCAGAGTAAAAGTGGACCTCTAAAAAGATACCCTACAAGCCAGAAGACATTGGGGGCCAATATTCAGCATTCTTAAAAAAAATGAATTTCTAACCCAGAATATCCTGCAACTAAGCTTCATAGTGAAGGAGAAATGAAATCATTTTCAGACAAACAAATGCTGAGGGAATTCATCACCACTAGGCCTGCTTTGCAAGAGCTCCTGAAAGAAGCACTAAATATGAAAAGAAGAAACCACTACCAGCAAATGCAAAACACATTGAAGTACAAAGACCAATGACACTACAAAACAACTACGTCAACAGGTCTGCAAAATAACCAGCTAGCACCATGAGAACAGGATCAAATTCACACATAACAATATTAACCTTAAATTTAAATGGACTGAATGCTCCAATTAATACCAGAACTTTTGGAGGCCGAGGTGGGTGGATCATGAGGTCAGGAGATCGAGACCATCTTAGCTAACACGGTGAAACCCCGTCTCTACTAAAAATACAAAAAATTAGCAGGGCGTGGTGGTGGGTGCCTGTAGTCCCAGCTACTCGGGAGGCTGAGGCAGGAGAATGGCATGAACCCCGGAGGCGGAGCTGGAAGTGAGCCAAGATTGTGCCACTGCACTCCAGACTCCAGCCTGGGCGACCGTGTAAGACTCTGTCTCAAAAAAAAAAAAAAAAAAAAAGGCACAGAATGGCAAGCTGGTTAAAGAGTCAACTCACTGGTGTGCTGTATTCAAGAGACCCATCTCACATGCAACGACACACATAGCCTCAAAATAAAGGGAGAAGAATTTACCAAGCAAATAAAATCAGAAAAAAAGCAGAGGTTGCAATCATAGTTTCTGATAAAACAGACTTTAAACCAACAAAGATCAAAAAAGACAAGGAAGGACACTACATAATGCTAAAGGGATCAATTCAAGGAACACCCAGATTTGTTTTTATTGCTCGCTTGATTGATTTTTTTTGAGACGGAGTCTTACTCTGTCACCCAGGCTGGAGTACAGTGGCATGATCTTGGCTCACTGCAAGCTCTGCCTCCCGGGTTCACACCATTCTCCTGCCTCAGCCTCCTGAGCAGCTGGGACTACAGGTGCCCGCCACCACATTCGGCTAGTATTTTGTATTTTTAGTAGAGACGGGGTT
Source organism: Homo sapiens (assembly GCF_000001405.40). NCBI lineage: Eukaryota > Metazoa > Chordata > Mammalia > Primates > Hominidae > Homo > Homo sapiens. The sequence goes on from NC_000019.10 coordinate 21,735,985, forward strand.
TCACCTTGTTAGCCAGGATGGTCTCGATCTCCCGACCTCATGATCTGTCAGCCTCAGCCTCCAAAAGTGCTGGCATTACAGGCGTGAGCCACCATGCCCGGCCTTATTGATTTATTTTTTTGAGATGGAATCTCACTCTGTTGCCCATGCTAGAGTGCAATGGCGCGATCTTGGCTCACTGCAACCTTCACTTCGCAGGTTCAAGTGATTCTCCTGCCTCAGCTTCCTGAGTAGGTGGGATTACAGGCACCAACCACTATGCCCAGCTAATTTTTGTATTTTTAATAGAGACAGAGTTTCACCATGTCTAGGCTGGTCTCAAACTCCTGACCTCAGGGGATCTGCCTGCCTTGGCCTCCCAAAATGCTGGCATTACAGGCATGAGCCACACATCCAGCCAGCACTCAGATTTATAAAACATACTTAGATACCTACAAAGAGACTTAGACTCCCAAACAATGACAGTGGGAGACTTTAACACCCCACTGCCAATACTAGACAGATCTCTGAGAGAGAAAAATAACAAGGATATTCAGGACTTGGACTCAGCTCTAGGTCAAGTGGACCTGATAGATATTTACAGAACTCACCAGCCAAAAACACAATACACATTCTTCTAATTGCCACATGGCACTTACTCTAAAATTGATTACATAATTGGAAGTAAAACATTCCTTAGCAAATTCAAAAGAACCAAAATCATAACAGTTTCTCAGACCACAGTGCAATCAAATTAGAACTCAAGAGTAAGAATCTCACTCAAAACCACACAACTGCATGGAAATTTAACAACATACTCCTGAATGACTTCTGAGTAAATAATAAAATTAAGTCAGAAATAAAAAAATTCTTTGAAACCAATGAGAACAAAGAGACAATATACCAGAATCTCTGGAATGCAGCTAAAGTAGTGTTAAGGGGGAAAATATAGCACTAAATACCCACATCAAAAAGCTAGAAAGATCTCAAATTGACTTCCTAACATCACAACTAAAAGGAAAAGAGAACCAAGAGCAAACAAACCCCAAAGCCAGCAGAAGACAAAAAATAACCAGGATCAGAGTGGAACCATAGGAGATAGAGACACAAAAAAAACCCTTCAAAAAAATCAATATATCCAGGAGCTGTTTAAAAAAAATAAAATAAAAGAGATAGACCACTAGCTAGATTAATAAAGAAAAGAGAGAAGAATGAAATAGACACAATAAAAAATGATAAAGCAGATATCAGCACTGACCCTACATTAATACAATCATCAGGGCTTGGCGTGGTAGATCATGCCTGTAATCCCAGCACTTTGGGAGGGTGAAGTGGGTGGATCACCTGAGGTCAGGACTTCTAGAGCAGCCTGGCCAACAAAGTGAAACCCTGTCTCTACTAAAAATAAAAAAATAAAAAAAATTAGTTGGGCATGGTGGCTGGTGCTTATAATCCCATCTACTCAGGCGGCCGAGGCAGGAGAATTACTTGAACCCAGGAGGCGGATGTTGCAGTGAACCGAGATTGCACCATCACACTCCAGCCTGGGGGACAAGAGTGAGACTTCATTCCAAAAATAAAAAAAAAGAAGAAAAAAAAAAAAGGAAATACAATCATCAGAAAATACTATAAACACCACTATGCACATAAACTGGAAAATCTAGAAGAAATGGATAAATTACTGGACATCTACACCCTCCCAAGACTGAACCAGGAAGAAGTTGAATCCCTGAATAGACCAACAACAAGTTCTGAAATTGAGACAGTAATAAGTAGGCTGCCAACCAAAAGAAGCCCAGGACCAGATGGATTTACAGCTGAATTCTACCAGAGGTACAAAGAAGAGCTGGCACCATTTCTTCTGAAACCATTTTAAATGAAAGAAAAGTAGGAACTCCTCCCTCATTTTATAAGATCAGCATCATTCTGATATCCAACCTGGCAGAGATATAAAAACAACAACAACAAAAACTTAAAACCAATATCCCTGATAAATATCGATGCAGGCCGGGCACAGTGGTTCTTGCCTGTAATCCCAGCACTTTGAGAGGCTGAGGCGGGCAGATCAGCTGAGGTTAGGAGTTCAAGACCAGCCTGGCCAACATGGTGAAACCCCATCTCTATTAAAAATACAAAAATTATCTGGGTGTGGTAGCGCACGCCTGTGATCCCAGCTACTCAGGAAACTGAGTCAGGGGAACTGCTTGAACCCAGGAGGTGGAGGTTGCAATGAGCCGAGATGGTGCCACTGCAGTCCAGCCTGGGCGATAGAGTGACACTATGTCAAAAAAAAAAAAAAAAAAAAAAAAAAAAAAAAAAAAAAAAAACTGATGGAGAATGAGAAAACTATTTTAAAATTAATGTGGAACCCAAAAAGGCCCCATATAGCCAAGACAATCTTAGGCAAAAAGAACAAAGCTGGAGGCATCATGCTATCCAACTTCAAACTATACTACAAGGCTGTAGTAACCAAAACAGCCTGGCACTGGTATAAAAACAGACACATAGACCCATGAAACAGAATAGAGAACTCAGAAATAAGACTGCAAATCTACAACTGCCTGATCTTTGAAAAACCTGACAAAAACAAGCAATAAGGAAAGAACTCCCTATTTAATAAATGGTTCTGGGAGAACTGACTAGTCATATACAGAGAATGGAAACTGGATGTGGTAAGAAAAAGAGCAAGTGTAAGGTGAAAAAGCCAGGTTCAGGCCAGGCGCAGAGACTCACGCCTGTAATCCAAGCACTTTGGGAGGTCGATGAGGTCAGGAGTTCGAAACCAGCCTGACCAACATGGTGAAATCCCATCTCTACTAAAAAACTACAAAAATTAGCTGGGCATGGTGGCGGGTGCCTATATCCCAGCTACTTGGGAGGCTGAGGCAAGAAAATTGCATGAATCAGGGAGGTGGAAGTTGCAGTGAGCCGTGATGGTACCATTGCACTCCAGCCTAGACTACAGAGTGAAACTCCATCTCAAAAAAATAAAAAAGGCCAGGTTCTTTTAATGAACCAGCTCTCATTTGAATTAATGAAGTGTAAACTTTCTGATTATCAAAAGGCTGGTGCCAAGGCATTTATGAGAAATTCGTCCCCATGACCTAAACACCTCCCTACCAGGTTCCACATCCAACATTGGGGATTACATCGCAGCATGAGGTTTGCAGAACATGTTCATCCAAACCATATCACAGACAAACTAGGCTTAACAGACATGTACAAAATTTTTCAGTTAAAAGCAAAATAATACACAATATTCTTATTTGCACCTGATGTATTCTGTTAGAACACATAACAAGTCTTATTGAAGAATACGTAGTGGCTGATACGCATAATTTCAACAATTTGGAAGACAAAAGTGAGAGGATCACTTGGGACCACAAGTATAAGACCAGTGTCAGTAACATAGTGAGAGCCTGTCCCTAGAAATAATCAAAAAATTAGCCAGGCATGGTAGTGCATGTCCATAGTCTCAGCTACTCAGGAGGCTGAGGTGTAAAGATCACTTGAGTCAAGCAGGCTGAGGTTGCAGTGAGCCAAAATTATGACACTATACTCCAGCCTGGGTGACGGAGTATGATCATGTCTGAAAATGACAACAACAAATAAATTTAAGAAGACCAAAATCATGCACTGCATGGTATCTGACCAAAACTGAATAAAACTAGGAATTAAAAGCAAAAGTAAAACTGGCAACTCCAACAATATCTAAAAATAAAACACATGGGCTGAGTGCAATGGCTCACACCTGTAATACTACCATTTTGGGAGGCTGAGGCAAGAGACCTGCTTGAGCACAGGTGTTGGAAACTAGCCTAGGCAACATAGGCTAGTCTCTAATAAATAAACTGTCTCTAATAAATAAAATAAAATAAAATTAAATTAAAACACATTCTTCAACATATTCCTGCTCGAGGGTCAAAAATTTTAATTTTGTTAAGATGCCAATACAACCTACAGAGGTGAACAAATTCAGTACAATCTCTATAAAAATCTCAATAGCACAGTTATTACAGAAATATTCTTTAAAATTTTTAAATGTGATTGTGAACTATAACTAACCAAACACCCATGAAAAGAACAAACAGGCATTATACTTCCCGATTTTAAAACATTAAAAGCTACAATAACAAAAACAGTATGGTACTGATACAAAGACAGATAAACAGATGAAAGAGCAGAATAGAGAGTTCAGAAATGAACCCTTGTGTATATGATTAAATGATCTTCCACAAAGCTGCCATGAACACACCATAGAGAAAAGATAATCATTTCAAAAAATGTTAAGAACTAAATGTCAACACTGATAAAGTTGGATCATTTCCTTGAACCGTATATAAAAAATGTTTTCAATAAAATACTTACATAAAAAAACTAACGAATCTCTTAGAACAAAATAGAAAAAAGTCATGACATGGGTCTTGGCACCATTTTCTTAGATACAACATTAAATGCATGAGCAACAACAGAAAAACAGAAAAATTTAACTACACGCTACTTCAAAATTTATCCACATTAGAAAAAAAAAACATTCAACTGTGTAAAAATGCCTCATAAGAAATGGGTGAAAATATTTGCAAGTCACATGTGATAAGAGTTAATATTCGGGCCAGGTGCAGTGGTTCACACCTGTAATCCCAGCACTTTGGAGGCTGAGGTGGGCGGATCACCTGAGGTCAGGAGTTGAAGACCAGCCTGACCAAATTACAAATTAATAATTTGTAGAGAAACACGTAAAAATAAAAATGAAAAATGAAATCACCTCACATCCATTACAATGGCCACTATAAATTTTTTAAAGACGCCAACTCTGTTGATGATGCAATGAAAATGAAACCTCTGTTGATTGTTGGTAGAAAACAAAGTTGCAGTCATTATTTTAAAATGTTACATTTCTCAAATAATTAAAAGTGGAATTATTATCAAATACAGCAACTCCATTAATGAATCTATATTCAAAATATGCAACAAAAGACCTAGAAGACATATTTGAACATCTATGATTATTGTACCAGTACTCACAAAAGTCAAAAGGCTGAGGCAACCCGGGTGTCTCTTGATTTATGAACACATCAAAAATGTAACATATACATAAAATGGAATATTATACAGACTTAAAGAAGAAAATCTTGTCAATTTTAAGACAAACTTTGAGAATATTATGTCATCTGAAATAATCCAGAAACAAAATGATGGACACTGTATGATTCCACTTATATGAGATATCTTAAATAGTCACACTCATAAAAACAGAAAGTGGAAGGGTGTTTGTCAAGGGCTGGGGAGAGGGTAAAATGGGTTGTTGTTACTTAATGGGTATTTAGTTTTAATTTCACAAGATGTAAAATTTCTGTAAGTCTTTTGCATAACAATGTGAATATACTTAACATGGCTAAAATGCAATTATTATTATTATTATTTTTTTTGAGACGGTGTTTTGCTCTTGTTGCCCAGGCTGAAGTGCAAGGGGCAATCTTGGCTCACTGCAACCTCTGGCTCCCAGGTTCAAGGAATTCTTCTGCCTCAGCCTCCCGAGTAGCTGGGATTACAGGCACCTGTCACAAGGCCCCGCTAATTTTTGTATTTTTAGTAGAGATGGGGTTTCACCATGTTGGTCAGGCTGCTCTTGAACTCCTGACCTCAGGTGGTCTGCCCACCTCAGCATCTCAAAGTGCTAGGATTACAGGCATGAGCCACCACGCCTGGCATGTAAAACTTTTTTTTTTTTTGAGACAGTCTCACTCTGTCACCCAAGCTGGAGTGCAGTGGCACAATTATGGCTCACTTCAGCCTCAAACTTCCAGGCTCAAGTAATTCTCTTCTCTCAAATTTCCCAAGTAGCTGAAACCACTTGTGCATACCACCATGCCTGGCAATTTTTTAAATAATTTTGTGGAAAGGGAATCTCCCTGTGTTGCCCTGGCTGGTCTCAAACTTTTGGGCTCAAGTGATCCTCCTTTCTTGACCTCCCAAAATCCTGGGATTACAGCTGTGAGGCACCACCATGTCTGGCCTTGAAATGTACACTTAAAGAAATTTAAGATGGTAGGCTGGGCGCGGTGGCCCATGCTGTAATCCCAGCACTCTGGGAGGCTGAGGCAGAGCGATCACTTGAGGTCAGGAATTCAAGACTAACCTGGAGAACATGGTGAAACTCTGTCTCTTCTAACAATAGAAAAAATTACCCAGGCGTGGTGGCGGGCACCTACATTCCCAGCTACTCGGGACGCTGAGGCAGGAGAATTGCTTGAACCCAGGAGGTGGGGGTTGCAGTGAGCCGAGATTGCGCTATTGCACTCCAGCCTCGGCGACAGAGCAAGACTCTGTCCCCCACCCAAAAAAAAAAAAAAAAGATTTAAGATGGTAAATTTTATGTTACGTGTTTTTACAACCATTAATTTTTCTTTTTCTTTTTTTTTTTTTTTTTTTGAGACAGAGAATTGCTTGAACCCGGGAGGCAGAGGTTGCAGTGAGCTGAGATCGCGCTATTGCACTCCAGCCTGGGCAACAACAGTGAAACGCCGTCTCAAAAAACAAAAAACAAAAAACAAAAAACAAAAGTTGAAGAGGTATTTCCTCCATCAAATTCACAGACACCAATGCAAAACTATATTGTGCCCATTGTCAATGCTTCTATTTTAACGTAGGACTGGAAGTAAGTGGCAGAATGATGAGTCAAAAACATTTTTAAAAAGCCACTGAAATTGAAGAAAAATAAGTTACTTTTTGTGGATCATATGATCTTATATATAAAAAAACCATAAACACTACATTGAAATTTGTCTAAAGTAATAAATACACTCAGTAAATTAGCAAAATATAAAATTAACATACAAGTATAAACTACTGTTCCATACATTTTAACCATCTGATACAATAAAGAAAACAATCTTATTTACAATAGCATTAAAATAATAAATTTCTGAGAGGAAATTTAACCAAGAAGGTAAAAAAAATCTTTACAATAAAAGATATAAGATAGACCAGGCACAGTGGCTCACGACTGTAATCCCAACACTTTGGGAGGCCGGGGCAGGCAGATCAAGAGGTCAACAGATCACGATCATCTGGCCAACATGGTGAAACCCCATCTCTACTAAAAATTAAAAAAATTAGCTTGGCGTGGTGGCATGTGCCTGTAGTCGCAGCTACTCAGGAGGCTGAGGCAGGAAGATTGCTTGAACCCAGGAGGTGGAGGTTGCAGTGAACCAAGATCGCGCCACTGCACTCCAACTTGATGACAGAGCGAGACTCCGTCTCAAAAAACAAAACAAAACAAAAAAGATATATCAATGAAATAAATTATTGAAGACACAAATTTTAAAATATTTCATGTCCATGGATTGAAAGAATAAATATTGTTAAAGTGTCATATTATCTAAAGTAATCTATAGCTCCAATAAACTTCCTATTAAAATTCCAGTGGCATTTTTTTCCACAGTAATAAAAAATACAATTCTAAAATTTATAAGAAACTGCAATAAACTTCAAATAGCCAAAGCAATCTTGAGGCAAAAGAACAAAGCAGAGGGGTATTATACTTTATAAGTTCTAACTATATTTCAAGAATATAGTAATAAAAACAGGATGGAATGTGCAAAAAGATTAACAAACAAAACAACGGAACAGAAAACACTACTTTCACACATTTCAGACATGATGAAAAAAGAGAACTAAAAAATAGTTTAACATAGAGTTTCCCAAAATTATGCAGATATCTGTGTGTCCCCCCAAATAATGGAAAAGTAGGGAGATTGTGCAGTCTTTTATATGCCTTGAAAAGGACTCTGGCTCTCACTGTAAACCTGAAGGAAGATCACCAAAAGGAAAGTAGAATCTTTAAAGAATTTAAAAGCATAAGACAGAAGATGCCCCTACGTGACAGCCAAAAAAAAAAAAAAAAAAAAAGCCCAAAAAACAAAAACACTCAGGCATCCCAGAAACTATTTCCTTTGGAACATAGCTTCCCAAACCACATTTTAATGACCAGCTTTCTTTTTGACCTTTGGACCTCACATCTGTGTCATCTGTTGTGTTCACTCTCACCTACCTGGGGGTTTGGCTACCATCTCATGTCTCTTTATATTCCAGGGCTCTTTTCCTTGCTCCAGACAGGTGATCAGGTCTGGCTTAGTGAGAGCAATACCTGCTTTATTAGAAATAAATAACATGAATCTTTCTCATATTCTCCAATTACCAACCTAGTACTATGCTTAGTAAAGAGGAGGTGATAGAATATTCTAGAAAATTAATCCTAACGTACTAATTAATGAGAGAAATTTCTAAATATTTAGAAAATATTTTAAATTTGTAGGTTCTTAATTTCACTACCCGGTACTCATGAATCAAAAAATTGGTGGTGATGAATGGATTTTAAAATATGGGCAAATATATATGTACATATATATACATTTATTTATTTTTGAGACGGAGTCTCGCTCTATTGTCCAGGCTGGAGTGAAGTGGCATGATCTCGGCTCACTACAACCTCCACCTCCTGGGTTCAAGCAATTCTCCTGCCTCAGCCTCCTGAGTAGCTGGGACTACAGGCGCCTGCCACCATGCCCGGCTATTTCTGTATTTTTAGTAGAAATGGGGTTTCACTTTGTTGGCAAGGCTGGTCTCAAACTCCTGACCTCGTGACCCGCCTGCCTCAGCCTCCCAAAGTGCTGGTATTACAGGAGTGAGCCACCATGCCCGGCCTAAAAACATGGGCAACAATATTTTATGACACTAAATTTCTGGAATTACCACTAATCTAGAGTGAAGGATACAGATCAGCTCAGGAATATGGAAAGTTCAGGTCAAGATGAAACATCTTGAATACATTCTTTTCCACACACAGCCTCAAGATTTTCTTGAAAAAACGGATCAGAAACTCATTTATGCAAAGCATGAATTACCAAAAATCATTCCACAAAAAAAGAGAAACCTTTACGGTATATTAGAAATTGTGTATTAAAGTTATTCTCACCCAAGAAGACCAGGTTTCTGTAGTTCTCTAACATCACTTTCCTATACAAACCCTGCTGAGCACTGTCCAGGCATTGCCACTCCTCCAGAGAGAATTCTATGGCCACATCCCTAAACGTCAATGGCCCCTGAAAAGCACAAGCACAGAGACACACATATATTTACCAAGTGGCCATGGGCAGAATTTATTATTTGAATTAAAATGAAATGACAGAGCAAAGAGAATTGGTTCTGATTAATAGAAATGACAAATTTTCCAATAATTTTTAACACAGAAATATTCTCTAAAATATTCTCTAATTCTGAGAGAAGAGAATGGCATAAGATCCACAACACCAGTGTATATATGACACTTTTCTAGATAAAGTATAAAATTAAGAGCATAAACACAAACATATACATTTTTGAGTGTTATTATTTATATCATAAAGAATGAGTTGTGTATATTTTTCAGACAAAAAAGAGATGTTGAGTTAGAAGGCACCTCCTGAATTTTAATGTTTACAATAAACTGGAAATCTTGTGCAGATTTTTTTTCAGAAGATCTGGAATGAAGTCTGAGTTTCTGAATTTCTTTCTTTTTTTTTTTTTTCTGAGACGGAGTCTCGCTCTGTCGCCCAGGCCGGACTGCGGACTGCAGTGGCGCAATCTCGGCTCACTGCAAGCTCCGCTTCCTGGGTTCACGCCATTCTCCTGCCTCAGCCTCCCGAGTAGCTGGGACTACAGGCGCCCGCCACCGCGCCCGGCTAATTTTTTGTATTTTTAGTAGAGACGGGGTTTCACCTTGTTAGCCAGGATGGTCTCGATCTCCTGACCTCATGATCCACCCGCCTCGGCCTCCCAAAGTGCTGGGATTACAGGCGTGAGCCACCACGCCCGGCCGAGTTTCTGAATTTCTAACGAGCTCACTAGTAATGCCAAAGTTTTTGGCCCCAAAAGAAAATTCTGTGAAACATCCAGTAAGTGGAAGAGCCTGTGTTTTACCAGATTTTTCTGGCCTGTAAAACAAAGAGCCTTCATTTTCCAAAGACAGCTACATGCAAAGAAAACATAAGAAAAAAGGGCAGCTGCCAGATTAAATGTGATGGCTTATGCACATTAACTGCATAAAGATGCCTAATAATGACAAGAAAAATAGTTAACTCTGTAGTGAAAGAAATATCAGAGAGCTTTTTAACCAAGTAAATTATTAATATCAACCATAGTAGGACGAATTTTTATGTTGTGCTTATGCACATAGAAGAACATAGCATCATTGCCTAGATATTGCCCCTCCAAAAGTAAATTATATTCTGAATTCAATCATACAGAAACATCAGTTTTATGCAAAGTTCAAGATACAGGTATCTCCAATGTTCTGTAATTTTCAATAATGATTTTAAGTAGTCTTTCTTCAGCACCCTATATAGCAGGTATCTCTCAATCTTTTTTCAGAACTTTCTGGGTAATAAATGCCATCCTATTTAAGTAAGTATTTTCTTAATCCTGTTCTGCATAGAGCTAATGGAGAACACAGATGGAACCTCAACATTACATATTCTCCACGTAAACCCCAGCTTTCCCCAATAGGAATCTTGAGTATCCACATCCTTCCATGTTCAACAGCCACAATGGGAACATTTTTAATAGTGCAGATCATAAATTCATGGTAGGAATTCTGCATGGCATATAAGAAGCCATGATATTGAGAATGTAGAGAAGGCTCTAGTACATAGGAAAGAAATATTTTGCATAGACCCTTGACTATCATTAGAATTTTAAAAAGTAGTTAAACTCATTAGTAAGGAAAAACACAAGTAGAGAAGTAAAGGTTTGCAAATACTAAATGCATGAGACTCTAGAAAAGAGTGGACAAAGCTCTTGATGTGAGACTTACTTAGCTGAAGAAAAAAAAACATCATTTTTCCTCTTTCTCCTTCTTCTCTTGGAATCCTTTTCAGATGAAATTCTCTAAAGAAGTAACATCTACATCTTGAGAAAACTGCCTTAAATGTGTCAGCACCACCTTCTTACCTGCTAGCACCACGCCCACAGACAGAAGGACCAAGACCAAAAAGTCCACCCATACCTCTCCCTTATAACAGAGGAGATTCAGGAAAAATGTGCTGCTCCATGGATGTAAAAATGTAAGTTTCTCCTTTCCTGTCTCAGGTGCCCTCCCCTGCCACAAACACCAGCAATTTCTGCTACAGTAATGAACATATGGGCCACACTGCCCTGTCCCTACCAAACCCAAACAGAACAGGTATCGTAACCACCCTTTAGTGCAAAGGTGGCACTTAACTCTCATGAATGTATCTTGAAGCCCTCATACTTCATTCTGGCCTCACCTTAGAGTCACATGAGGCACTTCATTAAAATAACATGGATGCTTCCACCCACAACAATAAACAGAAGCTGTGGGGAAGGCACAAGAGATTTTTGCCAACTGGTCATGTGATCTTAATGAGAAGCCTGGGCTGATAACCACTTAGCTAAGCATTGCCTCTCAAGCTTTAATGAGCTCAAAAATCACTTGGTAATGTTGGTCCCACTTTATGTAATGTGATTCTGCATGTTTGGAAAGGGTTCATGAATGGGTGTTTCAAACAAGTCCCCTGCCAATGCTGATGTTGCTCCCCCAGGCTCATCATTAGCATTAGTGAGAGAAAGCAGGCACCGCACAGAGTCCCTGACATTCAGCACTCTTGTCACAACACAAATACTTCTGGTACAAATGAAGACAACCACACTCCATCCTGAAGTTTTATATTATTTGCTGGCTCTTTAAAGTTTACAGAGGAAACAAAAGGCAGCAATGTTGGAATAAGTCTGCATTTGGAAAACAACATGTACACATGTACTAATGCAATAATTATTAAGCAGGTACTATGTGCTCAAGAGTACAATATAGAGCACTGTGCTGGGCATAACATATTATGTGATTTAATCCCCATAACACATTGGAAGTTGATACTAAGTGTTCAGTAATTCTCAGGATTTAGATAAAGGGCCCAGCATTATTACTTCTTCCTCTGTTTCTCTGTTATTGATTTTTTAAAAAAATGTACAGAATAAGGCTAAATATAGACAGAGGAGGGGGCATAGAAAGAGTTTAAGAAATTTTTTTCTATTTATATTTACTTGTCTGTGACTTGTGGAGCAACTACTGGATCTGCAAGAATAGAAAACAAGCTGCTAAATGGAATGTTTCTGTAAGCACTGGTTTTAATACAAAATTTAAAAAAATAAGATGTTAAAATGTATAGTTTATTTTTCTTATTTATCTGCTTTTGGGTTGCAGGAAATTGTAAGCACCAGCTCTAGAAAGGCAGAAGGATTTACCGGCCAAAACTCTGACCTTTATAAATCAGTTCTGTAAGGCAAGACTCCAAAGTGGGCCAGACCTAAAGAAGGCCTTCAAAAAGGGTGAATCTGAACAGAACTGGGGCAGGGAAAGGACCCTATGGAGAATTCTGTTCTCTGCCACTGGAGTATTTCCAGTTCTGTTTTTCCTAAGCTTACCTAAGAAAAACTTAAATCCTAGAGTTTATGTAACTTTAATCTATTTTTGCCACTGCTCTGTCAATTTTATAACTATACTAACAGGCAATTTAAATGACTCTTTTAAAGTTTTCTGGAATAATTTCATTAGAAGATAAGTATGTATTCTAACAAAGTAAAAGATACACAAATAATACTAACAACTCTTCAGTCCATAAATATCCCTTCAGGTGATAACCTCAGAAGACACAACAATATAAAAAGAAGTGGGCAAAGTTTTTTTGTTTTGTTTTGTTTTTGAGATGGAGTTTCATTCTTGTCACCCAGGCTGGAGTGCAATGGCACAATCTTGGCTCAACGCAAACTCTACCTCCTGGGTTCAAGTGATTCTCCTGCCTCAGCCTCCCAAGTAGCTGGAATTACAGGCATGCACCACCTCGCCTAGTTAATTTTTTGTATTTTTAGCAGAGACAGGGTTTCTCCATGTTGTTCAGGCTGATCTCGAACTCCCAACCTCAGGTGATCCGCCTGCCTCGGCCTCCCAAAGTGCTGGGATTACAGGCGTGAGCCACTGCTCCCGACTGAAGAGGCCAAAGTTTTGTTTTGCTTTGCACACATCTATTCACCGTACCAACCATATGATGTTTAATTCAACCGTGTATCCAGTTGCTAGTCTAGAGCAAAAGTTTCTGGATGGTAGGGACCGTGACTGCTTCATCTATTTTTTGAATGACCTTATGAAATGGAAGCAATTAGTTTATCTTTTGAGTCACCGGACCTCCTCTTTGTGTTTCACCAAAGTAACAGCAAACTAGAGAAACTCTCATCTGGGTACCAACCAAAGTTATCTCTTGTATGAGTATGAAGGGAGAAAAAAAAAAAACAGAATGACTCATTTCTCTTACACCGAGACAGAAGCAGAATTAACCACTCGTCAGCCTGAAACAATTCTGCACTGGACATCCTCAAATGTCTCAAAGACATCTAGGTGATTGTGAGAAGGTTCTTACTGACCCTGGGCTGATGGCCCAGTGATAAGCCAGGCTGAGAGAGATTCATGCTGATTCTAAATAGAAAATGGAACTGCCTTGGTGGAGCTCCAGAACCTGCATCACCTATCCTGACTTGCTAGCTTTTGGGTAAGAAGAAGGACAAGAATACTCTACTCCAGTATCATATTTTACAGGTAGGTATAGTTGTGGTCATGGCTCTGGATACTTTGTGGCCTTGATCTCTCACTCTTAAGATGCTCGTTTACACTTACAGATTCTGTCATCAAATTCTATTTATACCTGGAGTCTCTCACATAACTGTAGCAGGTCACTCACTAAACAAGATCTGAAAAGCTTGAAGAGCCACACTCTCAAATGGGGGCTTCAAGATTTCTACACTGACATCTCACAATACAGAAAATGCCTTCTGTTGGTTTTCAGTACATTCTCAATCCAAAGTCTTCTGGCCCTGTCTTGTAAATCCTAGGCAGAGGCCAGACCTTATGTGCAGATTCTAGGTGGGATCAATCTGACTCTGCATCCTTGGGTGTTACAGCAAACAGACTACAATCAAAGGAGAGCTCCCCTCATAGAGGCTGCTCTGGCACATTCTAAATAATATGTCTAACTAAAAGAAAAAACTGAGGCAACATGAATATAAGTAGAGAGTTCATCTGGGCCAAGCTTGAGGACTGTAACCTTGGAGCAAAAATACATCTTCCAAAGACTGAACAAATAAGAAATTGAATCCCTGAATAGACCAATAACAAGTGCCAAAACTGAATTGGTCTTAAATGGCCACCAATCACAAATAGCAAAGAACCAGACAAATTTACAGATTAATTCTACCAGATGTACAAAGAAGAGCTGGTACCACTTCTAATATTATTTCAAAATATTGAGAAAAAGGGACTTCTTTTTCAGCTCATTATATAAAAACAGCATCATTCTGATACCAAAACTGGGAAGAGACACAATAAAAAAAGAAAACTTCAGACCAATATCCCTGAGGAGCACTGATGTGAAAAACCTCAATAAAACACTGGAGAACCGAATCCAGGAGCACATCAAAAAACTTATCCACCTCTATCAAGTCGGCTTCATACCTGGGATGCAAGGCTGGTTCAACATATGTAAATCAATAAATGTAATCCATCACATAAAGAGAACGAAAGAGAAAAACACATAATTATCTCCAGATGAGTCAGCTTGGGGAGGCGGAGGCAGCGGCAGCGCGGCGAGCGTGCAGGGAGGCCGGAGCCCTGCCCGGGGCGGGTCGCGGGGTGGGCGGGTGAACTGCCAGCGAGGAGGCACCTGCTTGCGCGGGTGCAGCCTGGGCTGCGCCATTGTTGGGGGAGGGGCGGCTGCTGAGGGCGGCGAGTAGGGGGCTAGAGAAGGCGCCAGCCCCGGCCCAGAGGAGCAGAGACGCCCCATGGGGAACACGCTGACCTATTGCGTGTCCCCCCAGTACCAGCCTCAAGCTGGGCCGGTGCGTGGTGCCAGAGCTGTACTGCGCAACCGACATCTACGAGGCGGCACCCGGGGATGCGGTGGCGGTAGCGCCCGCTTCTGTGGAGCCTACCAGTTGGATTTCGCAGCGGGCGAGGGCCACCACCTGCAGCACATCAGCGACCACGAGATGCCCTAAGATTTAGCTTTGGAGTCAAACCCTTCTGACCATCCAAGGGCAAGCACAAGTTTCCTGAGCAAATCTCAAACCGATGTGCGAGACAAGAGGAAGAGCAACCACTTAAATCATCTATCTCCAGGGCAGCTTACTAAAAAGTATAGCTCATGCTCAACAATATTTCTAGGTGACAGAACAGTCAGCCAGCCTAACCTTAGAACCACAGTAAAATGTGACCTTAGAAATATATTACCACATAAAGAACAGAGATGCAAACAGATCCCTGGATATTTTTGATGAGAGATCACATCCCCTCACACGAGAAAAAGTTCCACAGGAATAGTTTAAGCATGATCCTGAGCACAAATTTATTTACAGATTTGTTCATACTCTTTTTAGTGCTGCACAGCTAACAGCTGAATGTGCAACAGTAACTCTGGTTTACTTAGAAAGGCTTTTAACTTATGCTGAAATCGACATTTGCCCCACTAACTAGAAAAGGATTGTTCTGGGAGCCACTCTTCTTGCCTCCAAGGTTTGGGATGATCAGGCTGTATGGAATGTGGACTACTGCCAGATCCTCAAGGACATTACAGTTGAGGACATGAATGAAATGGAAAGGCATTTTTCGGAGCTTCTTCAGTTTAATATTAATGTTCCTGCTAGTGTTTATGCCAAACACTACCTTGACCATCGCTCCTTAGCAGATGACCACCTGAATTTTCTATTTGCTCCTCTTAGCAAAGAAAGAGCACAGAACCTAGAGGCTATTTCTAGATTATGTGAAGACAAAGACTTGTGTGGAGCAGCTGTAAGAAGGTCTTTCAGCGCTGATCAACTTCATTGGTATTCAGCACTCTAAAGCCATCCTCTCTTAAAGGGAGAAATGAGGGGTTATAATGTCACGGGACCTTCATCTACAAAGACTGGAGAAATACCACCTTTCCTGCTCAAAAACCAGCAAAATTAGTGTTTTCATCAAAAGGAAAGATCTCAAATTCAAGAGACGCACGGACAACAAGGATCATACTCCATAGAAAAGAATGGGACCTTGTCAATGCAACAAAACACTCTTCTGTCCTTTTTAATGTAAACAGAGTCACCAAAACCACTCCAAAGTGAAGGCTCCCATCCCACACACAGATATTTGCTTACAATGTGGGCCAGTAACTGAACTATGTTAGGTTTTTTAAACAATAGTTTAAATTTTTAGACTTTAAAGACATTAACCATATAACTTTTATGTTTCTTCCAGTTTTTCTCCCCCTGCTCATTTTGCTGCATATGCCTTTAGAATCAATGCAGTATTGCCCTTAAAACAAGGGACTCTAACTAAAGCCACTTAGGAGCAGACTGCAGCATTGTTAGGTATTGAAGGGTTCTTCCTCCCTACTGTTACCATTAAAGCTGCTAGTCATTGGCAATCATTTTAAACCAAAAAGCTGATGGATAACATTTGTCATTCATATTCTTTGCAAGCATTACTTTAGCATTTTAGCATGTCTGCGGTCATAAACAAAGGAAGTATCAGTTATGATATCTACTTCTATTGGGGTCCATGTTGCATTTCTTGTGAACTATAAATGGTACTTCTCATTTTCTGATAATTTTTATCTTATTAAATAAATGTATTAAAAGATATTTTCATAATGCCAATGAACATGGTGGTTCAGTGACAGTGAAAAAAAAGTAAAGCAGTTTTAAGCTTTAATATAGTTTGGGCCCTCCAAGGTACTGCAGCAGGAGTATAAATGCTATAAACCTTTGAAAAACATCATTTGAGAGTTTTGTTTTTTTTCTTTAAGAGATGGGGGTCTTGCTGTGTTGTCCAGGCTGGAGTATGGTGGCTGTTCACCAGTGCAGTCATGGTGCACTGCAGCCTAGAACTTCCTGGCTTCGCGCCATCCTCTAGCCTCGGCCACACGAGTGGCTGGGACTGCAGGCGCACCCTGCATTTGTCTCCTGAATGTTAGGCTTTTGATTTTTTGTTTCAGTCACTCTTGAAGTCACTCTTGACTGAAGCAAAAAATTAAAAGCTTTATATTCAAAATTCTCAAAATGAAGCTGGGTGTGGTGGTGCACACCTGAGGTTCCAGCTACTTGGGTGGCTGGAGGATTGCTTGGGGTCAGGTATTGGAGGCTGCAGTGTATCGTGATGGTGCCTATAGAAATAGCTACTGCACTTCAACCTGGACAACATATCGGGACCCCATCTCTTAGAAAAATGCAAAATTAAATGCAAAAGAAATGCACCGGGCATAGTGATTCATGCCTATAATCTCAGTACTTTGGGAGGCTGAGGTGGGAGGATTACTTGAGCGCAGCAGTTCAAGACCAGTCTAGTCAACACAGTGAGCCCCTGTCTGTAAAAAATAATAATAAATAAAAATAATTAGCTGGATATGGTGGCGTATGTCTGTAGTCCCAGCTACTCTGGAGGCTGAGGTGGGAGGATCACTTGAGCCTGCGGGGTCAAGGCTGCAGTGGGCCATGATCATGCTACTGCACTCCAGTCTGGGCGACATCCAGACCCTATCTCAAAAGAAGGAAAAGAAAAACATTCAGGCAAGGTTTTATGAAGGTTTGTAGCACTTCTACAAGTATCAAAGCTTAAAATTACATTAAACCTTTGGAATATCTTGTATCTCCATAAAATGCCCTTCTCTTTTTAAAATGAATTACTTGCAGAGCTGTGCTCTATATGCATTGATCACCGAAGTTTCTTTAATTTAAAGGAAGATTTTGAAGAGCACTGTTAATTAACATGTAATAAAAGGAACTGGGCCCTAATGATAGAAGGTGATATGAACAGCTGTTTTATCATCCTACATGCTACCAACCTGTAGGTGTCCCATTAAGTCCTGCTATTTAAGAAATAACTTACATAACCCTTAGGAACACTTACTTCAGGCTTTAAAAGGCAAGGAACAAATAATTTTAGGAGACTGATAATGCCATCTAAATTTGAAAAACTAAAAGGAGATTAGTGTTCTCAATTATGTGAAATCTATTTCTCCTACTTACTCAAATCTAATCCTAGGAATCTTGCTTATAAACAAAGCATTCCTGGGCCAGGAATACTTCCTCTACTATAGCAATATTTCACATCATATTGTGCTGCAATTTCCATCATTTTTAAAGGGCAGAGAAATAAATGATAAATAATGGTATAAAAATATTACAATCTACCACCTCAAAAAAAAAACAACAAAACATTGTTTATGGAGTTCAGAGCTTGGAGAGTCAAGTATTGATAGCTGTTTTATTTTAAAAAGAATGTTACAATTTATGTGGTTTTTATTTCTCATGTTTATATTAAAAGTTAATAAACTCTTTTAATTAAAAACATATCATTATTTCAATAGAAAAAAGCCTTTGATAAAATTCAGCATCCCTTCATGTTAAAAACCAATGGAACAGAACAGAGACCTCAGAAATACCACCACACATTTACAACCATCTGACCTTTGACAAACCTGACAAAAGCAATGGGGAAATGATCTTCTGTTAAGTAAATGGTGCTGGGGAAACTGGCTAGCCATATGCAGAAAACTGAAACTGGACCCCTTCCTTACAAAATTATACAAAAATTAACTTATACAAAAAGTAACTCAAGATGGGTTAAACACTTAAATGTTTAACCATAAAAACCCTAAATGAAAACCTAGGCAATACCATTCAGGACAAAGGCATGGGAAAGACTTCATGACAAAAACACCAAAAGGAATCGCAACAAAAGCCAAAATTTGACAAATGGGATCTAATTAAAGAGCTTCTGCACAGCAAAAGAAAACCATCATCAGAATGAACAGACAACCTACAGAACAGGAGAAAATTTTTGCAACCTACCCATCTGACAAAGGTCTAATATCCAGAATTTATAAGGAACTTATACAAATTTAAAAGAAAGACAACCCCATCAAAAAGTGGGCAAAACATGAACAGATACTTCTCAAAAGAAGACATTTATGTGGCCAACAAACATGAAAATACACTCAGCCGAGCTCACGCCTGTAATCCCAGCACTTTGGGAGGCCGAGGCGGCTGGATCACCTGAGGTCGGGAGTTCAAGACCAGCCTGGCCAACATGGAGAAACCCGTCTCTACTAAAAATACAAACTTAGCCAGGCATGGTGGGGCATGTAATCCCAGCTACTCGGGAGGCTAAGGCAGGAGATTCGCTTGAACCCAGGAGGCAGAGGTTGCAGTGAGCCAAGATCGCACCATTGCACTCCAGCCTGGCCAATGAGAGTGAAAGTCCGTCTCAAGAAAAAAGAAAAAAAGAAAAAAAAAAAAGCTCAACATCACTGATCATCAGGGAAATGCAAATCAAAACCACAGTGAGATACATCTCACACCAGTCAGAATGGTAATGATTAAAAAGTCAAGAAACAGATGCCGGTGAGGCTGTGGAGAAATAGTAACACTTTTACACTCTTGGTGGGAAGGCAAATTAGTCTAACCATTGTGGAAGACAGTATGGTCATTCCTCAAGGATCTAGACCAGAATTACCATTTGATCCAGCAATCCCATTACTGGGTATATACCCAAAGGAATATAAACCATTCTACTATAAAGACACATGCACATGTATGTTTACTGCAGCACTATTTACAATAACAAAGACATGGAGCCAACCCAAATGCCCATCAATGACAGACTGGATAAAGAAAATGTGGTACATATAAGCCATGGAATACTATGCAGCCATCAAAAGGAATGAGATCATGTCCTCTGCAGGAACATGAATGAAGCTGGAAGCCAGCATCCTCAGCAAACTAACACAGGAACAGAAAACAAAACATTGCATGTTCTCACTCATAAGTGGGAGCTGAACAATGAGAACACATGGACACAGAGAGGGAAACTACACCCACAGGGCCTGTTGAGGGGTGAATGGTGAGGAGACAGAACATAGAGGACGGGTGAATAGGCGCACCAAACCACCATGGCACACATACCTATGTAACAAACCTGCATGTTCTGCAAGTGTATCTCCCTGCTTTTTTAGAAGAAATTTTTTAAAAGAGGAAAAAAATGTTACTTATCACATAAACCAAAACTAAAGACAAAAACCACATGATTATTTCAATAGATGCTAAAAAAGCCTTCAATATAATTTACTATCCTTCATGTTTAAAACCCTCAACAAACTAGGCATTGAAGGTACATACTTCAAAATAATGAGTCATCTTTCACAAACTTACAGCCAACATACTAAATGGACACAAGTGAGAAGCATTCCTCCTTGAAAACTGGCACAAGACAAGGATGCCTTCCCTCAAAACTCCTGTTCGACATAGAATTGGTACAGTCTCAGCAGAAAAGCTCTTTAAACTGAAAAGCAAGTTCTGCAAAGTTTCAGGATACTAAATCAGTAGCATCTCTGTACATCAACAACATCCAAGCCAAAAGCCAAATCAAAAACATAATGCCATTCACAATTGCCACACACACACACACACAAATATCGAGGAATACAGCTACCCAGGAATGTGAAAGATCTCTATGACAAGATGATCAAACACTGCTTAAAGAAGTGAGAGATGACATAAACAAATGGAAAACCATTTTATGCCATGGATAGAAAAGATTAGCATCACTAAAATGTCAAAACTACCCAAAGAAATTTACTGACTTAATGCTATTCCTATCAAACTACCAAAAACATTGTTAACAGAACTAAAACTTAACTATTTTAAAATTTATATGGAACTAAAATAAGCCTGAATAGCCAAGGCAATTTTAAGCAAAAAGAACAAAGCTGGAGGTATTACATTAACCCTCTTCAAACTACACTACAGGGCTACGATAACCAAAGCAGCATAATACTGATGCAAAAAGAGATGCATAGAAAAATGCAACACAATAGAGAGGCCAGAAATAATGCCACACACCTCCAACTATCTGATCTTTGACAAAGCTGACAAGAGGAATGAGGAAATAATTCCCTATTTAATAAATGGTGCTGGAACAAGCTGGGAGAGGTGGCTCACACCTGTAATTCCAGCACTTTGGGAGGCCAAGGTGGGTGTGGATCAGTTGAGGTAAGGAGTGCGATACCAGCCTGGCCAACGTGGTGAAACCCTGTCTCCACTAAAAATACAAAAATTAGCTGGGCAAGGTGGCACATGCCTATAATTCTAGCACTTTGGGAGCCCAAGGCAGGTAGATCACTTGAGATCAGGAGTTTCAGGCCAGCCTGGCCAATACTGCAAAACTTCATCTCTACTAAAAATACAAGAATTATCAGGGCATGGTGGTGCATGTCTGTAGTTCCAGCTACTCAAGAGGCTGAGGCATGAGAAATGCTTCAACCCATGAAGCAGAGGTTGCACTGAGCCAAGATATGCCACTGAACTCCAGCCTTGGTCACAGAGTGAGACCCTGTCTCAAAGGAAAAAAATAGTCACTAACAGATACTGGCAAGGTTGCAGAGAAAAGGGAATGCTTTTATACACTGTTGGTGCGAGTGTAAATTAGTTCAACCATTGTGAAAAGCAGTGTGGCGATTCTTCACAGAACTAAAAACAGAATTACCATCGGACCCAGCAACCTCTTAACTGGGTATATATTCAAAGAAATATAAATTATTCTACCATAAAGTCACATGCACATGCATGTTCATTTCAGCACTGTTTACAATAACAAAGACATGGAATAAACCTAAATGCCTATCAGTGGTAGCCTAGATTGAAAAAAATATGGTATGGTCAGATGACAGAGCTCATTCTTGTAATCCCAGCACTTTGGGAGGCCAAGGCAGGTGGATTGCCTTAGCTCAAGAGTTCAAGACGAGTCTGGGCAGCATGGCAAAACCCCATCTCTACAAAAAATAAAAATAATTAGGCAGACATGGTAGTGTGTGCCTGTAGTCCCAGTTACTTAATGGGCTGAGGTAGGAGGACCCCTTGAGCCTTGGAGGTTGAGGCTGAAGTGAGCCACAACTGTACTGCACTTCAGCCTGTGTGACAGAGTGAGACACTGTCTTAAAAAAAAATAAAGAAAAGATTTAATAGAAACAAAATATGGTACATAAGCAACATGGAAGACTATGTGGCCATAAAACAAACACCACCAAGATAAAGATCTCTGCAGCAACACGGATGGCGCTGGAGACCATTAGCCTTAGAAAACTCATGCAGAACACAAAACCAAATGCATGTTATCATTTGTAAGAGCTAAATAATAAGAACACATGGACACGAGGAACAGTCACGGGGCCTAGCTGAGAATGGAGGATGAAAGGACAAAGAGGATCAGAAAAAAATACCTCTTTGGTGCTATGCTTAGTACCTCAGTGACAAAATAATCTACACCAAACCCCCATGACACAATTTTACCCATATAACAACCCTGCACATGTACACGTGTAGAAAAAGAAAATCCATGGGTGGGGAAGAATGCAGTGTAAGTGGATTGTTTGTTCTACAGACAGTGGCCCAGGTGGCGCTGTACTCTGATTTATTTCTGGGTCCATGCAGGCAGAGAAGATTATGAACAGGTAGTCCAGGACCCTAGGCTGGTGGAGAAAACAGGTTGCTGCTGCAGATTCATTGTCTGGGGGTTGGGATATGCCAGGAGACTTGTGGACACTTTTGTGGCTTTTTGGCAAGAAATACTAGGATCCACAACGCTGTAGTGAAATTCCCAAGTGTGGTGACTAGTCCTGGGAGGGGTGTGGACACGTCAATGTCTAGTGGGTATGTTTGTGAGTGGATCAGAATCCTGTGGTGATAGCTGTGGAACAAGGGGGTCTGTCATCAGAGTTCCTTTCCTCTAAGTTTTCATCCTCTCTTACCCTAGAAGATCTGGAATCACACGACAATGAAAGGCTTTGTTCTCCTTTAGACGAGAACAGAGCCTCCCACTCCAAGACACCAAGAGTTCCATTCCAGGCCAGGTCTCCATGATATCTTTCTTCTACCACCAAAACTGCAGAGTTTGCTGAATACCAAGCAATTCTCTAGCACCAACTCAATGTCTAACATTCGAATTCTGACACCATGCAGAGTCAGCAAAGACCCTGATTCAAGGTTTAGTCTCATAACATTGCCCTCTTTGCAGTTGCCAGTCACAAACCCCATAGGCCCATCTATGTTTCTGGGCTACTGTTTAAAAACTGAGGACTCCTGCGACCTTCCTCAAGTTCAATAATTTGATGGAGCTACTCACAGAACTCAGCAAAACACTGCAGCTATGTTTACAGATTATAAAAGATACAACCCAGGAAAAATCAAATAGAAGAAATGTATAGAACAAAAAGAAGAGGTGGGGAAAGATGAAACATATAGATAACCCTGGTAAATAGCTGTGATTAATAAAATTTTTCATCCTCTGTGTTCTCCAGGAACAGTTTATGGAAAGAAACACTCTTCCATTATGAATTACACAGTGCTCTCTTTTCTTTTTTATCACATAGCCACAGACTATTGAACTAGAGCAACTCGATTTTGAATATGGCTGAGTAAAATAAGGCTGCAACCACTGGGCTACATTCCCAGATGGTTAGGCATTCTAAGTCACAAGATGAGACTGGAGGTCAGCACAAGATACAGGTCATAAAGAGCTGGCTGATAAAACAGTTTGCAGTAAAGAAGTGGGATAAAACCCACCAAAACCAAGATGGTGATGAGAGTGTCCTGTGGTCATCCTCACTGCTACACCCCCACCGGTGCCATGACGGTTTACAAATGCCATGGAAACATCAGGAAGTTACACCATAATGGTCTAAACAGGAGAGGCATAAATATTCCACTTCTTGTTTACCATAAAATTAAGAAATAACCATAAAAATGGGCAACCAGCCTATGGAGAAAGCCATTCTCTTATATCTCCACTTTCTTAATAAATGTACAGGCCAGGTGCAGTGGCTCACGCCTGTAATCTCAGCACTTTCGGAGGCCGAGATGGGTGGATCACCTGAGGTTGGGAGTTCGAGACCAGCCTGACCAACATGGAGAAACCCCATCTCTACTAAAAATATAAAATTAGCTGGGCGTGGTGGCACATACCTGTAATCCCAGCAACTCGGGAGGCTGAGGCAGGAGAATTGCTTGAACCTGGGAGGCAGAGGTTGCACTGAGCCAAGATCGAGCCATTGTACTCTAGCCTGAGCAAAATAGTGAGACTCCGTCTCAAAAAAAAAAAAAAGGAAATTGCTATTATTCTAATATGACTAAGTGTATGTTATTAATAATTACACTTTGGGAGGCTGAGGCTAGCGAGTCACCTGAGGTCAGGAGTTCAAGACCAGCCTGTCCAACATGGTGAAACCCCGTCTCTATTAAAAATACAAAACTTAGCCCTGCATGTGATGGCAGGTGCCTGTAATCCTAGCTAGTTGGGAGGCTGAGGCGGGAGAATCGCTTGAACCTGAGAGGCGGAGGTTGCAGTGAGCCAAGATTGCACCACTACACTCCAGCCTAGGGGACAAAGCAAGACTCCATCTAAAAAAAAATAAAATAAAATAATAATAATAATTACATTGTTACCTAAAATCATTGTATGCCACAGAGCTAACCAAATTTCCTTGTCAATTTTTTTTTTACTGTAACTGCCCTAAGACTTTGCCATCCAGACAATCATCTTGTGTTGATCCTCTTCAAAAGATGATTTGTAGTCCACTATAAGACAATGATAGGTGTTCTTAAATGCAAGTTTCTGATAACATTAGAAATTGTGACATTAGAATAGAGGAAGAACTTTCTTGTTTTTTTTTTTTTTTTTTTTGAGATGGAGTCTCACTCTGTCGCCCAGGCTGGAGTGCAGTGGTGCGATCTCGGCTCACTGGAAGTTCCACTTTGCAGTTTCATGCCACTCTCCTTCCTCAGCCTCCCGAGTAGCTGGGACTACAGGTGCCCGCAACCATGTCCCACTATTTTTTTTTGTATTTTTAGTACAGACAGGGTTTCACCATGTTAGCCAGGATAGTCTTGATCTCCTGACTTCGTGATCTGCCCGCTTCAGCCTCCCAAAGTGCTGGCATTACAGGGGTGAGCAACCGTGCCCGGCCTGAGGAAGAACTTTCAATACTAATGGAGAACTAAAATGGTCATGACTATCAAACAGAACAGGAATTAACTGAGTGGACTGAACTAATAGAAGACTGAAGTAATATTTTTTGACTTCGCCTAAAACATCACTGATCCTTTGTTTTGTTTTTCAGAGTCAAAAAAACTATTCTTTTGAACTATTCACACCTTTTAACAATTGAGTAAAGTATACACCTGTGAAAAAAATTTGGAAAATATTTGTGAGTATTCTGAACTTAAAACAATTTAGTTATTTATATAAGTGCAATAAGAAACTGTTTTCTTTTACAACAGGACACAATTAGAGAAACTTGTTATTTTACCAAGGCTTCTGACTAGAATGACATACTTTGCTTTAATGAACTAAACTTGACTTGTAGAACCAATAAAGCTCCATGGGAAAACTGGTATTATACCTTGTCTACACAGCCCCTGTACAGGGTTCCTGGCTAGCGGTAAATAAAAAAATTTCTTATCTGAGATTCCTTTTATGAAACAAGGTTCCATCAAACCCAATTTAAAAGGCCTATGTGAAAAATAATTATTCTTGCTACACTTTATAGAAATAATCGGGCCAAGTATAAGACTAAAACTTTTTTTTTTTATGTTCACACTTCACATTGTCTTATGTTTATTTGCAGTTATTTTTGAACTTGAAGATGGCATATCTTCCAGCCATAGCAGTTCACTTCTTCATGTTAATTTGGTGGCTAACACAACAGGTAATATCCACCACCCACTCCCAACCTACATCCTGCTGATCTTGCTTTGCTCACATCTTGGAGACAATAGAGTTCACAGAGTTGAGTCTGTGGCTAGAGCCGGTCAGAAAGCATGAATCTGAAAGATATTTTTAAAATAGCACTAGTAGGCCAAGCACAGTGGCTCACCAGCACTTGGGAGACCAAGGCAGGCAGATCACTTGAGGTTAAGAGTTAGTGAAAATACAAAATCAGCTGGGCATGGTGGTGTGCACTTGTAATCTCAGCTACTCAGGAGGCTGAGGCAGGAGAATCACTTGAACTTGGGAGGCAGAGGTTGCAGTAAGCCAAGATCATGCCACTGCACTCCAGCCTGGGGAACAAAGCAAGACTATGCCTCAAAAAAAGAAAAAAAAATAGCACTCCTAAACAAAACAGTCACAAAGCTTAGCTTTCTCTTTCTACTACTAACAGTGTCATAAGATGGATTATGTAAAAATCTGGATTACTGTTTGAATTATGAAGACATGACAATCAGCCACGACTTCCTATCAGCTTGGTTCCAACAAATGCCCAGTTCATGAAAAGCTTTCTTAAGTTTCCTTGGAAGAATTTTGCTTATTTTGCTTTACTGTTGTAGAATATATTGCCATTCTACTCCTTGTGTAGAAATGCAGAATAAACTTACTGGGTGTTTTCTTAAAGTGAACACTTATTAATCTTCCAGATATCACCTATTGTTGGAACTGGGAGTTAGGAATGGCCGTCATCAAACTGATGCTTTCTGATTGAGCTCCTCTCTACCTCAAATACAAAAGACGCTAATAGGCAAGAATATCATCACCTCTATTCAGCATGAAGTAGTAACAGAAGATTGATCTTCGTCCCACTACAACCCTTAGGATTAAGGGTTTCCTTGTTTAAAAAAATAACAATAATAATAGAGGGGGAAAATGTCAGAGGCATATTGAACCAAAGCAAATCCATTTTGAATAGGGCCTGGGTAAAACAGGGCTGAGATCTACTGGCCTGCATTCCCAGATAGTTAACCATTCTAAGTCACAGGATGAGACAGGAGATCAGCACAAAATACAGGCCATAAAGACCTGGCTGATAAAACAACTTGCAGTAAAGAAGTGAGATAAAACCCTCCAAAACCAAGATGGTGATGAGTGTGACCTCTGGTCATCCTCACTGCTACACTCCCATCAGTGCTATGAGAGTTTACATATGCCATGGAAACATCAGGCAGTTACCCTTTAGGGTCCAAAATGGGGAGGCATAAATACTCCACCCCTTGTTTAGCAAATAATCAAAAAATAACCATAAAAATGGGCAACCAGCAGTCCTTGGGGCTGCTCTGCCTGTAGAGTAAACCATTCTTTTATTTCTTATTAATAAACTTACTTTCACTTTATGGACTCACCTTGATTCTTGAGTGAAATCCAAGGACCCTCTCTTGGGGTTTGGATTGGGACCCTTTTCGGTAAAATCTCTGCACATATTTTTTCTTTTTCTCATGAAAAAAAATTGGCTAAGGCTGGCGTGGTGGCTCATGCCTGTAATCCCAGCACTTTGGGAGACCGAGGTGGGCAGATCACAAGGAGATTGAGACCATCCTGGCTAACATGGTGAAACCCCGTCTCTACTAAAAACACAAAAATTAGCTGGGCATGGTGGCACGCACCTGTATTCCCAGCTACTTGGGAGGCTGAGGCAAAGGAATCGCTTGAACCTGGGAGGCAGAGGTTGCAGTGAGCCGAGATTGCACCACTGCACTTCAGCCTGGCGACAGAGTAAGACTCCATCCCGGGGGGAAAAAAATCAGCTAAATTTGTCTTCAGTGGTCTAAGTAAAATTTTACGTGGGCTCCTGAACTTTGAGCTACCCTCAATCTGAGCTAACTTAAAACTTCATTCTGTGCCCCTCCTAAGAACATGCTGACTTCAGGGTAAAACATTCTCTAATCTAAAATCTAACCTTTTCAATCTCCAACTGCCATTCCCTTCCCACCTTCTCTCTAATCTTTTTTGCTCCACTGTATGAAAGAAAGCCCTCGTCTGCCTAAACTTGGCAATTCTTAAAGTTTTTATAGTTGGTATTCCTCCTGTTCTAATACTTTTTTGGAATTCAAATTTTTTAAATAAATTGAACTTGGTTATACATTACAAAGTCTAGAAACTGCCTTAAAACAATAACAACTTCATCATCAGCAAGACCCTCCCAATCCCCTTTTATGTTAACCTTAACTGCATCTGCCTGTGAGCCCCCAGCTTTCCAGGACTCTGTAGCTTCTCTCAGCAGATAGGCTTCTTCCATGGCTGCAGTGAGAAGGCTGGGACATCTGCAGGAGAGACTCCCCAGAAAAAACTAACAAGGCCGTTATTAAATTTCTTCTGCAGGCTCAATATTAGCCTTAGCTCTGAGTCACTGGGACCAAGCTCTAATTTCCATGTTAAGAGTTATTCACTTGGTTGTTGAAATTAAGTGTCTGAAAAATCCAGCAAAATGCAGTGTTCATATAAGGGAAGGGAATTTTAAGGTGCTTACATTTTATACCTCAATAAGAAAAGCAAAAGTATCAGGCCGGGCATGGTGGCTCATGCTTGTAATTCCAGCACTTCGGGAGGCCAAGGCGGGCAGATCGCGAGGTTAGGAGTTTGAGACCAGCCTGACCAACATAGTGAAACCCCGCCTCTACTAAAAGTACAAAAATTAGCCGGGCATAGTGGTGCGCCTCTAATCGCAGCTACTCAGGAGGCTGAGGCAGGAGAATCACTTGAACCCGGGAGGCGGAGGTTGCAGTGAGCCAAGATGGTGCCATTGCCCTCCAGCCTGGGTGACAGAACCAGACTCCGTGTGGGGAAAAAAAAAAAAAAGCAAAAGTATCTATTTCTTTCAGACAATAAACGTATTACTTTATTAATTCCATTTAAAATTATTTTGTAAACAATGAGTCATATGGGAGCACTTCTAAACAGTACCGAGTTTCATCTCATAAAATTTAGCATAAAACTCAAAAATCAATGTAACAGGATCTGAACACAGATATTCACTGTCACAAATTTACCCTGAAAAAAAAGAAACTGATGTTTTAATGAATCTATGTAACTCACCAATTATCCACCACATTTTCTTGTGGAAATGTATTCATTTTCCAAAACTAAAATTGAGAGATTTTGCCTGGGAGCATTCTAAAAGCTAAGCCTTGAAATTCTGTTTGAAATCACTCAGCCATAAAAAAAACACACCTGAGAAAATTCCTAACTCACTCTGGGAAAAACAGTAAATGAGAATTTTTAACAAATTTTTGACAAATGAAATACATGATCAGACATTTTTTTCTGAAACCCACCTCTTTCATGACCTTTGTAAATATTTTTCTACCTTTCAAGCCCTACTAATATAATGCAATTTACAGCTAAAAAACTGAGGTCAAAATAAGTGACAAATATCTTCAAGGTGACAAACCCAGGTAGTGGCAGTGCTGATTAAATAACAGATGTGTCTGACTCATGTTTCAAGTCAGGTCATTCAATCACTGGAGAGATTCTTCCACCCACTCCTGCTCACTTATGTGCTCAAGAACCACCCACTCAGAAGACACTGCATTATGCCCCAGTGACTGCCCCAGGTGCATTTTACTTTGCAAGCTCTTACACCATCTCACTGGGGTCAGTTCTGTTGTTGTTTGTCTTTTGGAATACTTTTTGGTAACAAAATTTTCACTTTTTTTTCCAATATTTTTCTTTATATTTATTTCACTATTTTTCTGCCCCCCTTAGATGATCCAGGGAGCAGAAATTATTTTTGTGTTTCCCCTCAATACCAGCATCTGATTGGCTGACCAGCAACGTGTCTCCAAGAAATGAAAGCTGGGTTGGGTGAAGACAATTTTAATGTCTCAAGGGGTTACCTTTTCAAAATAAGACTGCACCAGAAGACTCCTCTCAGCCCCAGGGCATCCACTTGCTCCCTTGAGAGGACACATTCCATACCTCGGGTCATCCTACGGGAGAAAATAAACCAGAAGCTGACATTCACTAGGCACTTTAGCTGACAGAACCATGGCGGATATCTCGGTTTATCCACAGATAGTACTGAAACCCAGGACCAGGAAAAAACTAAAGGGTGGCTGAGGACACATCACCCCATAGATTTTTCCAAATCAAAACCTTGACCCAAAAACATTCTGATAAATCTCTGTGCCTAGAGAAGGTAAAAGGAAAAGAGACACAGAGATTTTCTACAATACAGTGTCAGAGGATTAGTCTTTGTTTCCTTTTCGTGGGAAATATTTACAAGCGGATAACACATCTTCTTAAAAGCGCCATTTAATGCTTTGTCAAAAACAATTAATTAAAATATGGTATAAACAAGTACACTAAAGGACAAATAGGTGATAATGTGAATTAGGAAGGAAAAGTTGACATTTGGGAACGCCAGAAGAAATTGGAAATTTAGTATCTTACTGCAAGCCAGAGTGAGGCTGGAGAAATGGGGGACGGGGGTTAGACTTAACAACCTGCTTGGGACACAGGTGAAAAATGCAGCAGAAAATCAGTTCCCCGTGGAGTGTGAAAATAATTAAGAGACAGGCAATTCCACTGAGGTGTCTCTAGTCCCTGGGTTCCTACTTAAAAAAAAAAAAAATCTAACTCAGGTGCATTTTTTTTTTAATTACTACATTCAGAGAAAATGTAGGCTTAAACAACTATAAACTGTTAATTAACCTCTGATTACACAACCAGGAAATCTTCACCTGTATTGTACAAATCAAGAAACTACGTTACTGTAACCAATTACTAAATTTAGTTTTCTTCATCATACATTTTATAAATGACTTTCCTTCAAGCCTCTCCCATAGACAACAAACTACAAACCATAGCTGGATACTCTATGATTCTTGAATCACTGTTTGATTAAATTCTTTAGGCCAGGCGCGGTGGCTCACGCCTGTAATCCCAGCACTTTAGGAGGCCAAGGCGGGCGGATCACGAGGTCAGGAGTTCAAGACCAGCCTGGCCAACGAGGTGAAACCCCGTCCCAACTAAAAATACAAAAAAATAAGGCCGGCCCAGTGACAGGCGCCTGTAATCCCAGTTACTCGGGAGGCTGAGCCAGGAGAATCTCCAGAACCCGGGAGGCGGAGGTTGCAGTGAGGGGAGATCGCGCCACTAAACCCTAGCCTGGGCGACAGAGCGACTCCGTCTCAAACAAACAAAAAAATCGTTAATATTTGTGCAGTGACTCCCATACATTTTTAATAGGAGAAAAGAGGAACTGGGAAAGCCACGGACCAAAGATCTTCCCATTCATGAACCCGCACCCCGAGTCAGGATTTTCCCCTGACGACCCTCCCGTGGTCCCTGCACAATCTGAGAGAGACGCGGCGCTGCGGGTGCAGAGCTGCCAAGAGAGGGCTCCAGGCCAAGGCACAGTCACTACGCAGGGAAGAGAAAGGACGCCTGGGGTCCTGGCTGTCAGCGCAGCCGCCATCTTATGGCCGAAGGGGACGGAGGCCGAGCTGGGCAAGGCGCAGATTGTGAAGCTGACTGCGGAGAGGCCTGAGTCCCGCCACAGCTACTTCCCACCAGTTCCAACCAGCCCTTTCGCCGTCTCTCGGGATGTCGGACCGGGCACTCTCACCATTTCTAGGCTTCTAGGGGGTCCTGGCGTCTTAGCTGTGGATCTCCCAATATCTGCAGGTCAGAGGGCCACACAGGCTAGGCCCCTAGGAGCAGAAGACACAGAGAAGTGAGAGCAAAACCTGGAGCTCCGGCTACAGCGAGAGACAAAGACCCCGCCAAACCCGGAAGCCGTCCAGTCCGCTCCAGCTGCATGCCTGATTGGACGGTTTCCAGCCCAGCGTCCCTGGTTGGATAATGCTTAAATCCCCGCCCTGTCAGGCTTTGAGTGACAGAAGATGTGATCAGATGCGGGTTCAATGAAGAAAGAGTGACAGCCTAGACTGCCCCCTCTTCTGACAGGGCTTCCTCCCTCAGCTGAGCTAGGCCCATCCCAGAGAGTATTTGCCTTTAAATTTGTGTATAAGGTCATATGTATAAATAAATAATACATTATATAGCTATACACAAGTGAAAAGAATATAACAATTATTTTAAAATTTCAGCTTTTATGACCTTCCTGGCTTCTGGCCCTTTGAGCAGGCAGCCTGAGATTTTAGAAAAGAGAAAATCATCTAAAATGAATGTCAGCCACATGTGGATTTGAAATTTTCTAGTAGCCAAACTTTAAAAAGAAACAAGTTGAACTGATTGTTAACAATGTAATTCACCCATTATATTCAAAATATTATCATTTTAATGTGTGAGAAATATGTAATTATTGATAAAATATATAAATATTTGGAACTAAATCTTTGAAGCTGACTTTGTATTTTACCTTTCTAGCATATCGCATTTCAGACCAGGCACATTGTGGGAACCCAGTAGCCACACATGGACAATAGCTGTCACATTGAAGTGCAGCTCTGATGTCAGCGGTGTGAAGGGCCTGAACATCTCTTTCCTGCGAGAGTGA
Organism: Homo sapiens; assembly: GCF_000001405.40. Lineage (NCBI taxonomy): Eukaryota > Metazoa > Chordata > Mammalia > Primates > Hominidae > Homo > Homo sapiens. The sequence goes on from NC_000019.10 coordinate 21,768,321, forward strand.
AAGAAGAGACTCTCCCTACAAACATCTCTCTTTGGTTCCTAGGGTGGACCAGATAGTTCCCATAGAAAGAGCTGAGGGCAGTAGGAATAAAATAGCCACAGGTAATAAACAACTGCTGGCCACCTGTTGCCCACCTTTCTTTTAGAGACCAGATAGTGAACAAAGGATGATGGGGCCACAGGAGAAAAAACAACTATGTCTTCAGTTCTGTCCACACACTTGAACTCCAGTATTTAGAGATGGAGAAAATAGATTAAAAACAAACATAGTTTGCTATATGGTCTTGGCCCTAACAATCAGGCTGTGTTTATCTGTTTTCTCCTGTGGTGTGGGGGACTATGTGAGTCTAAGCACCAATCACACGCATACATGTCTACAGGTATTTCTGCATTACCCAAAATTCTCTTACAAAACATCGAACTTTAAATCAGGGGAAGAAATCAGTACCTAGAGGGTGTCCACTGTTAGAAGCCAACTCTTAGTCAACCTGTCACTGAATCCTGGCAACTTATCTGTACTGGGTGCATGTATTAGTTAGCTATTGAGGCATAACAAATCATCCAAAACTTATTAGTTTATAATTGAAATGGTTGGCCATTTAGGCCGAGCTGAGTGGGGCCATTCTTCTGGTCTCAGCTGAGCTCCTTCAGACATGTATCATCACCTGCTTTTTGACTAGACAGCTGTGCATCTGGGGGTGAGCTTCTGCTCCTGGGTCTGTCAACAGGGGCACCTTGCTTCTCCTCTTCATGGTATCTTATTTTCCAGCTGGCTAACATGGGCATTATTCATGGAGATGGCAGCATTCTAAAAGAAAAAGAGAAGCAGTCAATACCATTTGAGCCTGGGCCCCAAACTGGCCCACTGTCATGTTCACAGGTTTCTGTTGACCTGAGCAAATAAGGTCAGCCAGATATAGGGCTTTGAAAACAGATTCCAGATCTTGATGGAAACAGCTGTAAAAGCACCTGGTTATGGGCAAAGATACAAGAGGGATGAAAAAATGTCATTTTGCAATCAGTATCATTCTACCTTTTTTGCATATGTGGTATATAGAACTCTTCCACATCAGGAAACTTGTGCAAAGTCCTACGGCTACTAAGTGGCTGGGCTGAGACTCAGGATCAACTTTATCTGACTCCAAAGCCCATGCACCTCCATAGATGACACTACTAAAGTAGCTGCCCTGCCCTAGACTATTGAAATCCTGGAGAGTGACACTTCCATAGTAGAAGTCAGATTCCTTTTAGATTTGTGCTCATTTGGGAATAATCCTCACAAAAATTGCAGAAGCACACGGTGGCTCTCACCTGTATTTTTAGTACTTTGGGAGGCTGATATGGGAGATTTATGTGAGCTTAGGAGTTCCAATGCAGCCTGATCAACATAATAAGATTCTGTTTCCATGACAAAAATGAAGAAATTAGCCACCCATGGTGGTGCATGCCTATAGTCCCAGATACTTAGGTGGCCGAGGCAGGAGGATTGCTTAAGCCTGGAAAGTCAAGGCTGCAGTGAGCTATGAGTAGTTACACCACTGCAATCAAGACTGGGTGACAGAGTGAGTCCCTGTCTCAAAAAAAAAAAAAGAAAGAAAAAAATTGGAGAAGCATTTTGAAAAGATATAAAATAATTTGGGGAAATAACTGAAGGATGAGTTTAGAAAATCAAAGACCAACAACACATTATTTATTTTTCATCATAGAAAATAGTTGAAATCCATTAAAAGGAAAAATCTTTAGAGAAATTAATAAATTTTTTAAATTTATTTTTTATTTTTGAGATGGAGTCTCGCTCTGTCACCCAGGCTGGAGCACAGCAGTGCGATCTTGGCTCACTGCAACCTCGGCCTCCCCAGTTCAAGCGATTCTCCTGCCTCAGCCTTCTGAGTACCTGGATTATAGGCATCCGCCACCACGACCAGCTAATTTTTGTATTTTTAGTAGAGACGGGGTTTTACCATGTTGGTCAGGCTGCTCTCGAATTCCTGACCTCGTGATCTGCCCACCTTGTCCTCCCAAAGTGCTGGGATTACAGGCGTGAGCAGCAGAGTCCAATTGAGCATGGAATGATTTGCAGATTGGGTAGCCTGTGGATCCAGAGTAGGCGCAGAGAGACTCTAGCACAGCCACATGATGAAAACAGATTGATAGACAGCAAAAGCAAAGTGACATACAGAAAATGAAAGTGAGGTACAGAAACAGCCAGATTGATTACAGGTTGGGATTTGCCTTATTTAATCATGATTTGAACACTTGATGTTCTTTTATTGGCAGAAGCACAGTGGTTGGTACAATAATGGGTTACAGTCTATTTATATATCCAGTTAGGTTTCAGTTTACTATGTACAAAAAAACCTAGTGACCAAAGTTAAACAGGAAAGGGTGCAGCTTTAGAGATAATTAATTTAACAATTTCTCCCTTTTGGTCACGTTCTCAATTTTGAGAGATAGACCAAAACTTTAGACATTGATATTACTCTGTCACCATCAAAAGTGTACTTATTTAGTCTCAAATCCCACTATGAAATAGCAGAACTGTGGGTTTTAAAAGTGGAAACAAGGACTTCACGTTATTTGTTTTTTAGGGTTGCAGTAGAGGGGACCATCTTGTATCGAAATCTGCTGTTTCCAAAATAAAAATAAAACCTACCCTGTTTTAAGATCTACCTATTTACTTAAATTTTTAATTTGATTATTTCACATTTAGCATGAGTGACTCCATTTACTTTGATTTGGTCTGTTTGGGCCTAGTGCACAAGGTCAGTCCAGAATAATGGCCTCCAATAATTTTGTTTAAAAATTTTCCACCTTTTGGTTAAGTTCTCAAATAGGTCAGAGTGTGACTAAAACTCAGGGTCTTAGTGTCACTCTCAGTTTCTATTATTTTTGGTTTTTGTTTTTATCAGTTCATTCATAGGTTATGGTGTCCTCATGGTCACGTATGTATTTGACTTTTTGTGGTTCCAGTTAAAGAGAGACTATTTCACATTCTAGAGATAACTGCATGCAAACTTCAATAACTTTTGAGAGAATACAGTGCAGTAGGGAGACTACTATTTTGACTATCTGGGGGTAATAACCAAAAGTTTCAAGTATGCTTTTTAGTCAGGGTCCCATGAACCCACCAACTAAAATTAAATAGATCAAATAATTAGCTACATAAATGTTCTCCTCATTTCAAACAAGCAGCCTATTCACTAATCTCCTACAACTGAATCTCTGTAATACCTGGTGAATTTCTCTATGTGCAACTATAAGTATTAGCAACTTCACAGATACTTCTCTGTTTATCCAGTAAATAATCTAGAGAAATTCTATTATTTACCACAATTTTACTAAGAAAAATTAAAGTCTATTGTGTAACCATAGCCTTTACAATAGAATTTGCTATAGAGCCCTATTATGGGGAATAAATTTCTTTTTTTCTTTTTTTCTTTTTTTTTTCCGAGACAGAGTCTCACTCTGTTGCCCAGGCTGGAGTGCAGTGGCATGATCTCAGCTCACTGCAACCTCTGCCTCCAGGTTCAAGCGATTCTTCTGCCTCAGCCTCCCCAGTAGCTGGCATTACAGGCACACGCCACCACGCCCTACTAATTTTTGTATTTTTAGTAGAGATGGGGTTTCACCATGTCGGCCAGGCTGGTCTCAAACTCCTGACCTGGTGATCTGCCTGCCTCGGCCTCCCAAAGTGCTGAGATTACAGGCATGAGACACTGCGCCAGCATAGGGAATAAATTTTTAACCATTGCCTCATTTACTCTAAACCATGGGGGAAAAAAAGACCTAACAAGTGATACCCATTAAGAAGAGTACTGGCCTCCTGGCAACACTCTGTAATCTATTCTGAATAAGTTCTCTTTAACTTATAAGGTAGGTTAAGAGCAGTGGACAAATATTCCATTTTTGATATTATGAGGCAACAGATGTCCTATTAAAAATTCTCACCAGGCCGGGTGCAGTGGCTCACGCCTGTAATCTCAGCACTTTGGGAGGCTGAGGCGGGCAGATCACGAGGTCAGGAGATCGAGACCATCACGGCCAACATGGTGAAACCCTGTCTCTACTAAAAATACAAAACTTAGCTGGGTGTGATGGCATGTGCCTGTAATCCCAGCTATTCAGCAGGCTGAGGCAGGAGAATCATTTGAACCATGGAGTCGGAGGTTGCAGTGAGCTGAGATCACACCACTGCACTCCAGCCTGGGCAACAGAGTGAGACTCCATCTCAAAAAAAAAAAAAAATCTCTCCCATATTGGCCCTTCGTCTTTTACCTATCAAGGCATAAGTTTGCCCATATAGAAGGTTGGCTGCAAAATCATTTTCATGTAAAAGTGTAGCTCATGAAGGCACACAAGTGACCCCTTTTTTATTTCTGTCATTTGGAGAGCCATAAGAAAAAAACAGTGGACTAAGAGTGTCGTAATAGCAGAGATGTCTTTCTTGATTTTTTTATCTTGTTAAAAAAAAAGCTATCTATGTTAATGTTACCATCTGCTTTTGAGGAGAAGCTTCCCTGCTTAGCTTTACTTTAAGATCTCCAATGGGTATACAATTGCAAGTTTGGAGGGGCCCTTCTGAGTCATGAGATTATCAAACCAAGGTTTAAAGTCCTGAAGTCTTGCTGCAGTGTAGATGGCAGGCAGACTCAATCTCTCTGGTTTCTAAATTATAAAGGGTTTTATAGTATTCCATCAGTAAACCATTAAAAGCATTCTTTACCTAGTGAAAATATGCTTTGCCGTAATGCATTAAAGCTTTGCTGCATTTAGTCATATTAGACTTCAGTAGCAGAAGATACATGAGGTTCTTTTATCAGGTGCATAAGCCTTCCAATGACTATTTTACAATCGTCAACACATTTTTTCACTCTCAGTTAACCTGATTGTCATCAATCTGCAACTACAAAAGCAATTCTGTCAATTTAGTTAACTTTGCTCAATATTACTGTTTCTGTAATACCTTATTTAACAGTTTTATAACATGTCTAGTAAAATAAGTATCCCTATTATTGGAGACTTTTTAAGAAATGTTTCACGAGCAAAACATATTTCCTAATATTATTTTGGCTACTGTTATAACATCAAACTTTTTGCATGAGAAAACTTTTTTTTTTTTTTGAGATGGAGTTTTGCTCATGTTGCCCAGGCTAGAGTGCAATGGCACGATCTCGGCTCACCACAACCTCTGCCTCCTGGGTTCAAGCGATTCTCCTGCCTCAGTCTCCCAAGTAACTGGGATTGCAGGTATGTGCCACCATGCCCTGCTAATTTTGTATTTTTAGTAGAGACAGGGTTTCTCCATGTTGGTCAGGCTGGTCTTGAACTCCCGACCTCAGGTGATCCACCCACCTCGGCCTCCCAAAGTACTGGGATTACAGGCGTGAGCCACCATGCCCGGCCTGAGAAAACTTTTATTCTACAGACATGAATTAAAAATGACAATTAAATAAAATTTCTTTCCTTTTTTTTTTTTTTTAAAGCAGAACCTCGCTCTGTCACCCAGGCTGCAGTGCAGTGGCATAATCTCAGCTCACTGCAACCTCTGCCTCCTGGGTTCAAGCGATTCTCCTGCCTCAGCCTCCTGAGTAGCTGGGATTACAGGTGGGTGCCACCATGTCCAGCTATTTTGTATTTTTAGTAGAGACAGAGTTTCACCATGTTGGCCAGGCTGGTCTCGAACTCCTGACCTCAAGAGATCTACTCACCTCTGCCTCCCAAAGTGCTGGGATTACAGGAGTGAGCCACTGCACCCGGCCTAAAATTTCTTTACAAATGTTTAAATAGCCCATTGGGTAGCAGAAATGTACATGAAGTTTTGATTGTCTTCTCGGGATTCTGTTTGACAAAAAAAAAAAATTGGTCCTAACCTATTTTAGTAATTAGAATAATCACCAAACACACACACACACATACACACACACACACTCAATTTATATTTAGCTTAATTTATTTTTTATCTCTTCTGTGATGAGTAATTAAATGCAGTGATTTTGATAGAGGAAACTTTAAGAACTCAGAAATAAACAAGTGGCTGTTGGCTGTCTAGGTTCTCCATGAGTCCACACACAACATTAAATTTATGTCCTCTTCAATATCTGGTTTGTTTCTTCAATTCAGGTGCATAGCACTGATAACTGAGAAGTTATCATACATAATTTGACTTGTACCACAGAGTTTATTCAAACGGCATATCTAAAACAATTTTAGTACTGGCTAATTTAGTATAAAAATGTGGTAGAGTATTTTCATGATGTTCAATTAATTTTTGTTTTGCCTGGATTAGTAGTTTCATAAGAGTCATTCTCTTCATTAGAATTCTCACAATTCTTACCCAGTCTAAACAGTTTGATTGTAAAATTATCAGAAACTTGTACTCAACTTGTCTGGGTCCTTTCCATCTTTTCATAAAACTATGCTAAAATTAATTCATTAACTGTGGAAATAACTTAAAATAGTTATAAAGAAACAAATGAAAAAATTGATTTTATCTGTGTCCTACAATAACCTATCATAATAACCATAATTATGACTAATAGCATATACTCAGAAATTTCATACAATTTTCAAATAAATGCTAATAGCACTTATTAAAATATAAGTTGAAGGTCAGACATCATTTTTAATGTTATGATGCCTTCCATGTAACTTAACATATCAAATAATTCTGATGATTACTCTTCTGGATGTTGCATTAGCCCTCTGCAGCATCTAAAAGTTAAGGGTCAAAGAAAAGACAATTATTAAGCGGAAATTTCATTCTGGAAAACCTGTCAAATATGTCAAAGGGTTAAAACACTTGACCAGATATATAAAAATTGGCTCTCCCTCTCCCTCTCCCTCTCCCTCTCCCTCTCCATCACCCTGTCCCTCTCCCCACGGTCTCCCTCTCCCTCTCTTTCCACGGTCTCCCTCTGATGCCGAGCCAAAGCTGGACTGTACTGCTGCCATCTCGGCTCACTGCAACCTCCCTGCCTGATTCTCCTGCCTCAGCCTGCCGAGTGCCTGCGATTGCAGGCGCGCGCCGCCACACCTGACTGTTTTTCATATTTTTTTGGTGGAGACGGGGTTTCGCTGTGTTGGCCGGGCTGGTCTCCAGCTCCTAACCGTGAGTGATCCGCCAGCCTCGGCCTCCCGAGGTGCCGGGATTGCAGACGGAGTCTCGTTCACTCAGTGCTCAATGGTGCCCAGGCTGGGGTGCAGTGGCATGATCTCGGCTCGCTACAACCTCCACCTCCCAGCCGCCTGCCTTGGCCTCCCAAAGTGCCGAGATTGCAGCCTCTACCCGGCCACCACCCCGTCTGGGAAGTGAGGAGCGTCTCTGCCTGGCCGCCCATCGTCTGGGATGTGAGGAGCCCCTCTGCCTGGCTGCCCAGTCTGGAAAGTGAGGAGCATCTCTGCCCGGCCGCCATCCTGTCTAGGAAGTGAGGAACGTCTCTGCCCGGCCGCCCATCGTCTGGGATGAAGTGAGAAGCGTCTCTGCCCGGCTGCCCATCGTCTGAGATGTGGGGAGCGCCTCTGCCCCGCCGCCCCGTCTGGGATGTGAGGAGTGCCTCTGCCCGGCCGCGACCCCGTCTGGGAGGTGAGGAGCGTCTCTGCCCGGCCGCCCCGTCTGAGAAGTGAAGAGACCCTCCGCCCGGCAGCCGCCCCATCTGGGAAGTGAGGAGCGTCTCCGCCCAGCAGCCACCCCGTCCGGGAGGGAGGTGGGGGGGGTCAGCTCCCTGCCCGGCCAGCCGTGCCATCCAGGAGGTGAGGGGCACCTCTGCCCGGCCGCCCCTACTGGGAAGTGAGGAGCCCCTCTGCCCGGCCACCACCCCGTCTGGGAGGTGTACCCAACAGCTCATTGAGAACGGGCCATGATGACAATGGCGGTTTTGTGGAATAGAAAAGGGGGAAAGGTGGGGAAAAGATTGAGAAATCGGATGGTTGCCGTGTCTGTGTAGAAAGAGGTAGACATGGGAGACTTTTCATTTTGTTCTGTACTAAGAAAAATTCTTCTGCCTTGGGATCCTGTTGATCTATGACCTTACCCCCAACCCTGTGCTCTCTGAAACATGTGCTGTGTCCACTCAGGGTTAAATGGATTAAGGGCGGTGCAAGATGTGCTTTGTTAAACAGATGCTTGAAGGCAGCAGGCTCGTTAAGAGTCATCACCACTCCCTAGTCTCAAGTACCCAGGGACACAAACACTGCGGAAGGCCGCAGGGTCCTCTGCCTAGGAAAACCAGAGACCTTTGTTCACTTGTTTATCTGCTGACCTTCCCTCCACTATTGTCCTATGACCCTGCCAAATCCCCCTCTGCGAGAAACACCCAAGAATGATCAATAAAGAAAAAAAAAAAAGAAAAAAAAAAAAAACACTTGACCAAAATAGAACCACAAGTTCTCATAAAATAATAGTCACTTATTTAGCCAAAGTGATAATTAAAAGATTAAAAAAAAAAACCACCAAAATCTTGGGCTGGGTGCAGTGGTTCATGCCTGTAATCCCAGCACTTTGGGAGGCCAAGGCAGGTGGACCACAAGGTCAGGAGTTTGAGACCAGCCTGGCCAATATGGTGAAACCCCATCTCTACTAAAAATACCACAATTAGCCAGGAGTGGTGGTGGGTGCCTGTAATCCCAGCACTTTGGGAGGCCAAGGCAGGTGGACCACAAGGTCAGGAGTTTGAGACCAGCCTGGCCAATATGGTGAAACCCCATCTCTACTAAAAATACCACAATTAGCCAGGAGTGGTGGTGGGTGCCTGTAATCCCAGCTACTTGGGAGGCTGAGGCAGGAAAATCGCTTGAACCTGGGAGGTGGAGATTGCACCACTGCACTCCAGCGTGGGTGACAGAGTGAGACTCCCGCCTCAGAAAAAAATAAAATAAATAATCTTTTATTGTTTGATACAGGAGATTCAGTTTTTCAATCAAAAGACCTGAAAAAGCCAGCATGAGAAAAGTCCTATTTTTTCTGTTTTTCCTTTTCAATTTATTCAGAAGATGAACAAAAATATTTTCCTGTGTCATATTAATAATACATACACTTTTTGTTCAGGATTAAATCAGCTTTTACATTTTTGGAGCCTCTGATGTTAAATCCTTGATGGCAAAAGGAGATTGATCTGACTCAAACATGGACCTCTGTGGTTCCTCTTTCTACAATAAACATGAGTCTCAAAAAGAGGCCACAAATAGGTCAAAGTCTCCTAAAACACAAACTTAAAACTTTTACAGTAATAATAACATCACTATTGAAACATGCAAACAACCACAAAAGATACAAGTATAAGACATTTACAGGATAGCCTCAAATATAGTATCTGAAAATATTACAGAAGGCATGGAAATTTTAATTAAAAATAAAAATTCTTTATTTTAAAGTTATAAAAATGTGAAATCTTATCATTATGAATAAATCCACAGTCAGAATGGTGGCATGAAGACCCCAGGGCACAGCTGCTATGTTTGGAAGTTTAGTCCTGTGCCTTTGAAGACCTCCCAAAACCCTTGCCCAAAATTGCAGCCAAGAGCGCCTTCCAGGGAGCACATAAGAACCCCCACAATCCCAGATGCTAGCTTGGAAACAGGACCCTGTTCCTGGAAAAAGAAGCTGCCTGTAGAAACATGGGGAGCTGCTGAAATCCTGACCCTTACACTATTTCCTCTGCCTGATCTCATTGCAGGTGGCCATGTTCCCCTGGCAGTGGCAGCAGCAGGCTCCAGGCTGGGCAAAGGGTGGGAGCAGGCAAAAGATGTGCGTACAGCCCTCACGATGAGTGGGTACTGTTAGTGGCATTTCTGGGGCAGAGCCTGGCCCCATGGGAAACTTCAGCAAACTCAAGGGTCTGTGTCCTGCATAACCTGCTGTGTTCCCTTGTGGCTCCCCCCATATCAGGGACCAGCAGCAGCCATGGGCCTGCTGGCTGAGGCCCCACTGGCTACCCCTTCACTGCCTTCATTTATTCCAGCCTCTTAGAGCTTCAGGGCTGAAGAAAGTGGATGTGGCAAATGCTACGTGGTACAGTATACATTATTTACTCTCTGCTTTCTTATAAAAAGTTTGCCAATACCTGTTCTTGAGAAGTCATTAAAAAAAAACCCTCTATATTCTTAGAGTTATATTTAATAAAGTAAATTTTTAAAAAATGTTTCACTTGAAATAAACTTTTTTGGGTAAAGGTAAAACTGTGTCCATTACTCTCAGTCATCTTGGTTAGAATAAACCCTGAGACACCAAGCATCCAATTATTAATGCCCTGGAAATGGGAATCCACCTGCTGCCTTTTTTTCTGTAACAAATATCAAATTAGTTCAACTAGAATATGTCACTCATTAAAATTAGCATCAAACTAGACCATCTGACAGAGATTTTTTCCTGCCTTAAAATGGGGTATCTTAAGCTATAAAAACATATACTTTGAATCTTGGTTTGTAGACATCCCTCGTGACTATGGCAGTGTTTCTGATCAAGGGAGCCTCCACGGGAATGCAACCCTAAGTGGTTCTTTAACTCTCCCACAGCTGGTTATTTAGAATCCTCACATTTTGGGTAAATACCGTAATTTTAGGCTCATTGAAATTTAAACTCTTGAATCTTTTCAGTGCCAGACTTTGTATCTATATTTTACGAACTTTAGTCCTTTTACTCTGGGCATTTACAAGCAGGCAAATTTTGTCAGAGAAAAAACAGCCATATTTTAGCTAAATACACATTGTCAACATGGCAAACAGCAAAAGGCTTACTTTTAAGGTATTTTGGTGTGACTTGCTTAGTGAATCTAATAAAATAGAAGCCTATCTAAGTAATGAATTCAGGGGTAGTTCAACCAGAATTTTTATATATGTACAAATGTTTCTGGTAAAGCAAAGATATTTTAGAGTAACTTACAGACATTTAAGAATATTGGGCTTGAGCCTGGGCGCAGTGGCTCACGCCTGTAATCCCAGCACTTTGGGAGGCCGAGGCGGCCGGATCACCTGAGGTCGGGAGTTCAAGACCAGCCTGGCCAACAACATGGTGAAACTCCGTCTCTAGAAAAATACAAAAATTAGCCAGGCATGGTGGTGGGTGCCTGTAATCCCAGCTACTCTGGAGGCTGAGGCAGGAGAATCGCTTGAACCCGGGAGAGGGAGGTTGTGGTGAGCCGAGATTGTGCCATTGCACTCCAGCTTGGGCAATAAGAGCAAAACTCCATCTCAAAAAAAAAAAAAAAAGAATATTAGGTTTGTATAATTTTTTCTTATATTGTTTTATCTTTAGATTTTTAGTGGTTTGATTATGATATGCCTAAGATGTGCTTTAATTTGTATTTTCCTTGTCAGGTTGTTAATCTTCTTAGATCAACATAATAAGGTTTTACCAATTGCTAAAGTTTTCAGCTATTAGTTGTTGATGTACTTTTCTATCCCATGTAATTTTTTTTCTTGTTTTTTGTTTGTATATTTGTTTGTTTGTTTGTGACAGAATCTCCCTCTGTCACCCAGGCTGCAGTGCTGTGGTGAGATCTTGGCTCACTGCAACCTCTGCCTCCCGGGTTCAAGTGAGTCTCATACCTCAGCCTCCCAAGTAGCTGGGATTACAGAGGCCCGCGACCACGCCCAGCTAATTTTTGTATTTTTAGTAGAGACGGGGTTTTGCCATATTGGCCAGGCTGGTCCTCGAACTCCTGACCTCAGGTGATCTGCCCACCTCAGCCTCCCAGAGTGCTGGGATTACAGGCATGAGCCACCTGAGATACTCTGTCTCAAAAAAAAAAAAAAAAAAAAAAAAAAAAAAAAAAAAGATTGCAGGCCGGGCGTTGGGGCTCAGGCCTGTAATCCCAGCACTTTGGGAGGCCGAGGCAGGTGGATCACTTGAGGCCAGGAGTTCGAGATCAGCCTAGCCAACATGGTGAAACCCTGTCTCTACTAAAAAATAATAATAATAATAATACAAAAATTAGCTGAATGTGGAGGTGTGCACCTGTAATCTCAGCAACTTGGGAGGCTGGTGAAAGAGAATGGCTTGTACCCGGGAGGGGGAGGTTGCAGTGAGCCTAGATCACGCCATTGCACTCCAGCCTGGGCAACAGAGTGAGACTCTGTCTCAAAAAAAAAAAAAAATTACATACCATAATCAAGTAATATTTTTTCACAAAATAAGTGTTGGCTTAATATTTAATAAATATTCTCTAACATATTACAAAATATTATTTGCCCCCATTTTCTGCATCTGCTCACCCTGTTCAGAACCCAAGGTGCCATGCTGCTTCTGCATCTCTAAGAAGCCAGGTGCCCGACCATGAGAACTAGGAGGAAGGGAGTTGAAGGAGCCAGAATAGGAGGCGTGCTGTGGAAGCAGGAGTGACCAGACCTCCAGGCACAGGATACCCAGGACAGAGGGGACAGCAGGGCTGGGAGCTCCATGGGTCAGGCAATAACAGGTGCCAGAAGTTGCCACCATTTCACACCTCAGGCAGGGGCACTGGGGCAAATCTGAAGGCACTCACGGACTGGGTGCTCCAGAAATGGACAAAGCAGTAGCTCCAGCTTGGCATTGCATGGCCATTATCATGACCAAACAATGGGGAGAAAAACTGACTCTCCAACAAATGGTTCAGAAAACTCAATATTTAAATTAAAAAAAAAAAAAAAAAGCTCTCTTTCTCTGAACATTATACAGAAAAAGCCTATGTATGCAAAGCAGGAACTAGAAGTAATATTTGCACACCCATGGTTATAACAGTATTATAAGAGCCCCAATATATATATGACTGATGCTGCCATCTGTGTCCTCACAGTGATGCAATGACAGCATCCTGTGTACACACACAGAGCTAATACCATGAATTCACTCACTGAGCCCATGACTTAATCTGAAACCTAGACAACTGGTACTGAAATTCTCCCCGCTCAGTGAATCCATAGGGAATCACTTGACTTTAATATCTTGTTGGGTTTGGGTTTGCATGCAATAGCTTAAGAAGTCTTTTTTTTTTTTTTTTTTTCTTTTTGCTATTTCATAGGACTTTTTCAGAATGTGGAAAACAAAAACAAATCCAGAAGACTTTCCCACTGTCTGCTACCTTTGCCCCAGACTATCTTAAACTTATATGCTTATATTTTATTAAACAAAACAGGTGCTCTCTACAATCTCTGTGATAATTATGAGGTATTTGAAGCAAGATATAAAGAGTGGTTTCATGTTTTAACTTAATCTTTTTTGAGGTTGGAATGGTTCACTTTAATGAAAGATTTTTTGTTTTAATGTTCTCTGTTGTTTTAAAATGTGAACTTGTGCACACATGTGCAGACTCAATGTTCTTGCTAAAAACATAAACTACATAATTAATATAAACAACATAATACACATAATTAATAAATATATAAACAACATAATAAATAAATACTAATATAAAGATTCTTATAGTCACTAGGCCTTCTTTTTTTCTTTTCTTTTTTTTCTCTTTTTTTTTTTTTTGTTTTTGAGACGGAGTTTCGCTCTGTCGCCCAGGCTGGAGTGCAGTGGTGCGACCTTGGCTCACTGCAATCTCCGCCTCAAGGGTTGAAGCGATTCTCCCGCCTCAACCTCCTGAGTAGCTAGGATTACAGGTGCCTGCCACCATGCATGGCTAATTTTTGTATTTTTAGTAGAGACGGAGTTTCACCATATTGGTCAGGCTGGTCTTGAACTGACCTCAGGCGATCTGCCCGCCTCGGCCTCCCAAAGTACTAAGATTACAGGCGTGAGCCACTGCGCCTGGCCTTTCTTTCTTTCTTTTTTTTTTTTTGAGATGGAGTTTTGCTCTTGTTGCCCAGGCTGGAGTGCAATGGCTTGATCTCGGATCACCGAAACCTCCACCTCCTGGGTTCAAGCAATTCTCCTGCCTCAGCCTCCTGAGTAGCTGGGACTACAGGCGCCCACCACCATGCCTGGCTAATTTTGTGTTTTTAGTATTTTGTATATTAGGGGTTTCTCCGTGTTGGTCAGGCTGGTCTCAAACTCCTGAACTCAGGTGTTCGATACAGGCGTGACCCACCATGCCCAGCCACCAGTCCGTGTTATTGTTAAGTGTCAGTGGGCATCAGTTGCTAAAGTTTGTAATACTTGCTGAGTCAGTTCAAGCCATATTTTGTCATCTAATCTCTCATAAGCTGACCCCTTATTTTTGGCATTATTCCTGTTGATTCCTAGTGTTGACCATTGACCTCCACCTATTCAAACTTACTGTGGCCAGTGGACAGAAAGACATTCAGTGCTCTGGACATAGAGTGTTTCACTAATCTTACCTTCCATAATTCAGTCTATAGAAGATTAGAAATAAGGCTTCCTTCCTTATTCAAGAGAATGCTTTCATGTGCACTCTTGATTTTCTGTCAGTAAGGGCAGATAAGTACACACAGTCTTCAGTCATATATATTAAAAAAAAAAAAAAAAAAAACTAGAGGGCGGGCGCAGTGGCTCACGCCTGTAATCGCAGAACTTTGGGAGGCCGAGGCGGGCGGATCACGAGGTCAGGAGATCGAGACCATCCTGACTAACACAGTGAAACCCCGTCTCTACTAAAAATACAAAAAATTAGCCGGGCGTGGTGGTGGGCACCTGTAGTCCCAGCTACTGAGGAGGCTGAGGCAGGAGAATGCTGTGAACCTGGGAGGTGGAGCTCGTAGTGAGCCGAGATCGCACCACTGCACTCCAGCCTGGGCGACAAAGCGAGACTCCATCTCAAAAAAAAAAAAAAAAAAAAAAAAGGAAAAAATTAAAAAAATAAGGCACCCAAGACCATACAAAAATGGGAATTTTCTAAGTCTATACGAAATACATTTCCTATAATTGCTGAGCTTTTATTTATTTATTTATTTTTGAGACGAAGTCTCGCTCTGTCGCCCAGGCTGAAGTGCAATGGTGCGGTCTCAGCTCATTGCAACCTCCGTCTGCCGGGTTCAAGCGATTCTTCTGCCTCAGCCTCCTCAGTAGCTGGGATTACAGGCATGCACCACTGTGCCAGGCTAATTTTTGTATTTTTAGTAGAGATGGGGTTTCACCATGTTGGCCAGGATGGTCTCGATTTCTTGACCTCGTGATCTGCCTGCCTCGGCCTCCCAAAGTGCTGGGATTACAAGTGTGAGCCACCGCGCCCCATCTACAGTACTTTTTTAGAGTAAAATTTGAAATACATAATTATCTCGAGATTAACGTAGAATTTAATAGATTATCTAATAGTCCTGACTAATTTTAGTAGTTCTAGCTCTATTCTTACTGAATTTTATTACCTTATAGTCCCTAAATAAGCCAACTTTAAGAGAAATATAGTAAACTTCCTAGATTTTGAGAAATGTTTGAGTCATTACCTGATGCAAATAATAGACATAGACATGAACGAGTTACAAAAGAGGAATAATATTTTTGATGTGCATAAAAACTTTTTAAAACTGAATCTTTTAGTACTCTCTCTATGTAGATGAGTCTAGGAAACAGAATAGGAACTAATAAATTGCAATTTTCTGCAGTGGAAGATATCTGCAATCACTAGAAGCAACTGAATCAGAAAAGCTGAAATGGCCTGCGGCAACCTCAGAAAGCAAAAAACAGGCTTGTGTGGACAGAATGCATACTCACTAATAGCAGAATGACAGAGAGATTACTTTTTAATGAATATCTGTGACATTAATTCTTTTGCATCAGAACTTGATTTTCATTCTAAACTTTCCCACTATGCAAACATGTATATACAAACAGGCACACACACATCCTCACATTCTTACACTCATGCAAATTCAACCAGATTTTCTGCAGCCAGGATATCTTTAAGTACACCAGATTAAACTAGATAATTTAGGGATTATCTGAACCCACCAGAGCAATTGCTTGTTTACTTTCTCTGTAAATGTAACATCAGTATTTCCTAGATGTCCCACTGATATCTTAATTACAACTTTCTGATAAACTACTAGTGAGAAAGAATTTGAAACAGACCCTTTTTCTAGACATATTTTATGACTCTAAAATTTATTTCTATTATAGAATATAGAAGACATTAACTTATTTGGCAAAAAAGAATCACAAGTCACAAACTTGCAAAAATTAAATTAATGGTGCAGATAAAGTTGTAAAATTAAATTAATGATGCAGATAAAGTTGTTAAATATCTGAAATTACTAGAATTGAATTCCAGAAACCCCTGACATCTAAGTTAATATATCAAAAAGGTTAAATAATTTAAACAATTTATATTCCTGGATAACACCTTGATTTCTAGTGTCTTTAAATTATTAAAAACATTTCAGCCAAGTATGGTGGCTCACACCTGTAATCCCGGCACTTGGGGGGGCTGAGGTAGGTGCATCACCTGAGGTCGGGAGTTGGAGACCAGCCTGACCAACATGGAGAAACCTTGTTTCTACTAAAAATACAAAAAATTAGCCAGGCTTGGTGATGCATGACTGTAATCCCAGCTACTTGGGAGGCTGAGGCAGGAGAATCACTTGAACCTGGGAGGCGGAGATGGTGGTGAGCTGAGATCACGCCATTGCATTCCAGCCTGGGCAACAAGAGCAAAACTCCGTCTCAAAAAAAAAAAAAAAAGAAAAAAAAGATACCATTTCTTTGTAAGTCTGGCTCTGTTTTCAAAGTGAATATTGTTGTAAATCATTTATATTCTTCTCCTCAAATGCTTTACTTCCCATTTTTGTCTTAGGGAATCTGAGCATATCTTGAAAAAAAGGTCTATGGGAACAATGACCCTACCAGAGGTTTCTTATGGTTTCGCACAGTTTTGTGATTAAGGAAGGGAATGATCTTAGCAAAATGGCAGAAACATTGACAATTCAAAACTGATACTGAAAGGCATATTTCCAGGTGGAAATGCAAGACAGAAGTAGAATGATTGAGAATGTGGAAAACAGCACTTGCATAGAATGCTGTTTTGAGCTTTAAGTGTAAAGAATTCCTGCTTTGAATCATTAAGGGATTTTTACGTTATTCATCTGGTGTAAAACACAACACAGATAAAGAGAGTCAGTAAATGGAAGGTTGTTTTTATTTTACCAAAATCTTATATTATTTTCTAATATTAATTTACTTAGTTCCTGACAACTAAATAACTATTTTGTGCAATGAATGGTATTTAATGTTGATGGGTGCAAAGCTTAAGACAAAGAACAAGGAACAAAAATTTCTGCAGCTTGTTACTATTTACAAAGCACAAAATTCAAATGCATTTTTAAATTTAATACTCAAACAACCTTATAAAATTCTTTTTTTTTTTTTTAGACGGAGTCTCACTCTGTCGCCCAGGCTGGAGTGCAGTGGCGTGATCTCCGCTCACTGCAAGCTCCGCCTCCCTGGTTCACGCTATTCTCCTGTCTCAGCCTCCCCAGTAGCTGGGACTACAGGCGCCCACCACCATGCCCAGCTAATTTTTTTTTTGTATTATTAATAGAGGCAAGGTTTCACCATGTTAGCCAGGATGGTCTCGATCTCCTGACCTCATGATCCACCTGCCTCAGCTTCCCAAAGTGATGGGATTACAGGCGGGAGCCACCATGCCCAGCCATAAAATTCTTAATAAACTCTTTATTCTATTTTTTTTTTTCACATGGAGTCTTGCTCTGTCGCCCAGGCTGGAGTGCAGTGGCGTGATCTTGGCAAACTGCAATCTCTGCCTCCCAGGTTCAAGGGATTCTCCTGCCTCAACCACCTGAGTAGCTGAGGTTACAGGCACGTACCACCACACCCAGCTAATTTTTGTATTTTTAGTAGAAACAGGGTTTCACCATGTTGGTCAGGGTGTTCTCAAACTCCTGACCTCATGATACCCCTGCCTCGACCTCCCAAAGTTCTGAGTCTGTTACTGAACTCGATCCCTGGTGGACTGAAGAAAGGAGGGTGAATGTGGAAAGAAAGACAAAGACAAAAGAGTATGTTTGAAAGAAGGGGTCGGGGGCACCTTGTCTCTAGTAGACAAGGGCCCAGATTTTCCACAGCCCTTCGTATTTATTGGTAAAAGAGATAGTGAGAAGGGGGATGGAAGAAGAGGTCATTTGCTCAGTCCAGAGTAGGCCTGCAAGACTGCATTCCTTGAACAATAGGCTCTAGATGTCCCAGTAGATAACCTCAAGGAGCCCAGTGCCAGGGAGTGACCACCCTCAGCAAACCTTCTGGTGGCAGGCGCAGTTGTGAGTTTGCTCACATCCTCCATTCATGACAAACAGCTTGCTGTTTGATCATATGGCCTCTAGTGGAATGCTGAGTTGGTCACAATCCCTTTGGCCTTTTTGGCTCTCAACCTCTCCCACTTTGTGTTTATGTATTAATTAAAACAATGTAAGGCCAGGGTGGGCAGCTCTCATTTTCCAATTGGCGTTCCATCTGATTTTACAGACTGTGAACAGAAGACAGAGACAAAACAACATTATTCCAAGAACTACATACAAGATGTTAGTTAACGTGGTGCTTTAGATAGTTCCAAGGGTTGAGGCTCTCCAGGCCTTGCTGGAATTCAGTCCAGTCTTCTAAAGAAGGCTGAAACTCTTGAGTTTGCCTATTTAAATAAGAATTTTGTTTTGTAATTCACCAATATCAAAGGTGATGTTGGATGTGAAAGCTCCCTGCAAATGGGCTTTCACAAGGCCCCATGGATACTCACTTTGGTTATATTCTAAGTTGGTTACACAAACATGAGTGTGACTAAAATGACAACGCAATTGCTCCTGCAATTGTAAGCTTTGTACTTGTTCTCCTAACCATAGAACCATGAATTTTAACATTGCCACTTCAGTTTGAAACTCAGTGTTAATTTTATTCTGAAGTAGCCATGCTTGGTCAGCTGTGCGCGTCCAGTTCTCCACATACTGAGCAGTTTGAATAGAACTATGCAAAGCTACAGAGGACATCACAACAGAAGTTATTAGTGTGACCAAGGAAACAATAGTGAAAATTATCATGCCTAAGGCTCTATGGACATGATGAGTAAGCTGAGTTAGAAGAAGCTTCACAAAATGCAAAGGAGGTGTGAGAATACAAGGCTTGGACAGACTGACAGGAATCCATAGCCCAGGGATGCGATCTAAAATCATCAAAGTAGAGACACTGTGTGTTTGCAATGTGCTATGATTAATGCAGTGATATAATTGGCAAGATTTACAGGTCAGTTGGGTATTGTTTACCTGGAGCTGGTCCTTCTTAGCTGCCAAAAAAACGTGAAGATTAAAAACACAAACTGTAGACCAGGCACAATGGCTCACACTTGTAATCCCAGCACTTTGGGAGGCCGAGGCAGGTGGATCACAAGGTCAGGAGTTCAAGACCAGCCTGGCCAACATAGTGAAATCCAATCTCTACTAAAAATACAAAAATTAGCTGGGTGTGGTGGCACATGCCTGTAGTCCTGGCTACTCGGGAGGCTGAGGTGGGAGAACCACTTGAACCCAGGAGGCAGAGGTTGCAGTGAGCTGAAACCATGCCATTGCACTCCAGCCTGGGTGACAGAGTGAGACTCTGTCTCAAAAAAAATGAAAACTAACAAAAAAACAAAAAAAAAAACTGTAAATTGAGTGGTGATATTCTTTACAAATGCAACATTAAGACTGTGTCATTTACTATTGCTATTATTGGATAATATACCAACCCAGATGTTGCCATTCATAAATGGGAGTGCTGCCTTCCATATCGTCTCTCGAATTGGTCCTTTCCTCCCTAGATAATGCCGCTGAGGAAGAGATGGGCTAAAGCCTGCTCCATGCCAAGCAATCTGGGTGGCAGATGGATTGGATTCCAGTGTTGTATAAAGAAGAAGCATTAAAAGCTTGCCATCAATGCCAGCAAAGTTTGTGCCATGATTTCCGATTTTCATCTTTTCCATCTAACTGAACTTTAGGTCCCCAATCCATAATGTCTCCAGTTAACATAGATTGTTTTCTAGGCACTGGGCCAAGACACTGGGTCCAAGGAGGGGGGTAGGAACTATTGAAGGGAATCCATTCTGTAGAGCAGCACAATTAGGACAATTGGGCTGGGAATGGTTGGTTAGCACACCAGTTACATTAATAGAACTAAGACTTAATAAGGACATGATTTTTCTATAGTGACTCAACCATATTTGAGCTTGAATTGTAAGACACCTATGGCTGAGTGACATCTTTGTGGTGATACACATGAGAAGTCCTTCCAGTGGAGCGATATAATTAATGACATTATTCTGAGAGTCTAACTGTTCTATGTCAGGGGGAGTTAGGGGTCCTGAAGCCCATGCTCCTTGATCATGATAAATCTCAGGAGGAGTGTCACTCCAAAGTATAGGTTGTACTGCTGGGGAATTGGGAAGATATGCACGATATGTTTTTGCCTCTGCACATGGAAAACATACCGCACAGGACATTATGGCTAACATGGCCATGAACATGTAATTAGGGGTTTTTGTCTGGTTTTGATGCTCCACTTGTTTCTCAGCTTCCTGCATGGTTTTCTTGAGTTGCCCCCAAGTTATTGGGTTGATGTCGTCGTGACTCTAGTCAGCCTTCTCCCTGTCTTCACACTCAGGCTCAGCTGGCTCATGGCTCATACCAAGGGGCGAAGCCCATGGTTGGCCACCCTGGGTTCCTCCAGTCTCCCATTCCATGGTCTCATGCACCTTGAGGGCATCCACACGGTTTGTCCATCTCCTGTAAAAACACGAGTATAACCTTGTCTTCTCATCAGTAAATCCACTGGATCTTTCCATTGTCCTTCTTCTGGGGATTTCCATAAAACTTTTGGATAAACTTTCCTCTTTTCCTCTAACACTTGCCAATGTCTTTCTGCTGGAGCCTTACCATCTGTACCAGAAGTCAAAAAATTTAAAGTAAATAAGGCTAAATGTAGTTTTGACTGAGGTGGTAGTTGGCCTCCTATACCCCCTTTTTGTGTTTTCAACATGTGTTGTAATGTTTGATGTGCCCACTTTATAATGCCTTGTCCTCTAGGATTATAAGGAATTCTTGTTTTATGGGTTATAGCTCAAAGCTGTAAGAAATTTTGAAAAGCATGACTAGTATAAGCAGGTCCATTGTCAGTTTTTAATTGTTTATGTATCCCCATATGAACAAAGGATGACAATGTCACTGTACATGACCAATTGTCTCACCTGTTTGGCATGTATCATGCAGCATATGAGAATAAGTGTCTATAGTCACAGAAATATAGCTAAGCTTACCAAAGTTTGCTATGTGTGTAACATCCATTTGCCAAATTTCATTTGGAGCCAAACATCATGGGTTACAGCCTTCTACAGGTGTGGCTCCGGGGACATGCTGGCAAATAGGACAGGCTTGTATTATAGCCCTAGCTTGGCTGCGAGATAAATGGAACATGTGAGTAAGGGCGGAAGTATTTTCGTGCAGTAGCGCTTGCTGAAACACAGAACCAATCAATTTATCTGCTTTATCATTTCCTAAGGATAATGGTCCAGGAAGTTGTGTGTGAGAACAAACATGAGAAATATGAAAAGGAGCTGCACAAGAATAAATATCATGTTGAAATCTTAAAAATAAATTAAGCAGTTCCAGGTCTAGTGTACTTTTAATTGTAGCAGTTTCTATGCAACTGGCTACATTTACAACATAAGCTGAATCACAGAAAATGTTGATAGGATCTGAAGCTGTGAGCTGTAAAACCTGAATGACTGCAATTAACTCTGAGCATTGAGCTGAAACCCCAGAGGTCATTAATGGTTCAGTATGTTTAGGTCCATAGACAGTGGCACAGCCTTTGGAACAGCCATCAGTAAAATAATTCTGGCCACCTGGAATAGGCTTGTGATGAGTAATCACAGGAAGAATGAAAGAATGCATTTTATAAAACTGCAAAATTTTGTCTGAGGGATAATGATTTTTCTATTATTCCCACAAAGTCTGCAAAAGCAATTTGCCATGCAATTGACATTTCCCAAGCTGTGGCCTGTTGCTGGGAGTCTAAAGGAACAATAATTTTGTCAGGGTGATATCCCGTAAGCATTTTTGACCTATGCCTGCCCCTAGTCACCATTTGTGTAATTAAAGAAAGATAAACTTGCAAGGTACTGATGGTTTGATTAGGTAGAAAGAGCCATTCTATTACTGTTACAGACTTGTCTATGAACTGGCCCAAAAGTCCTACTAGAGAGTGGGGGGTAGGAAGAATAAACAAAAGCAAAGGTTTTTGCAGTTGTAGCTGTGAGGCATGTCTCTGCTGTAACATTTGCTCTACAAGCCATAACTCAGCGTCTTGCCTCTTTAGTTAATTGCCTTGGGGAATTTAAAGAAGAATCTCCTTGCAGGGTTTGGTAAAGATGTGTAAGTTGATAGGTACCAATACCTAACATTGGGCATAGCCAATTAATATCTCCTAATAATTGTTGAAAATCATTTAAAGTCTATAACCTGTCTTTACAAAGAACTACTTTCTGAGGCCATACACTCCTCTCTGTAACAATAGTTCCTAAGTATTGGTATGGAGAAGTTGTTCGTACCTTCTCTGGAGCAATTTTGAGATTCCAATTAACAAGAGCTCACTTTACTTCTCTGAATAATTGATGCAATACTTGATCTGTAGGAGTGGCCAAAAGAATATCATCCATAAAATGAATGATGTAAGCAGTAGGAAACATATTCCGAGGCTCCTTTAATGCCTGTCCTACAAAATGCTGACATAGCACAGGACTGTTAAGCATGCCTTGGGGTAAAACTCTCCATTGATAATGAGAAACAGGTTCTCTTTGATTAATAGAAGGCACGGAGAAGGCAAATCGAGGCTTATCCTTCTCGTGTAAGTGTATGGTAAAGAAACAATCCTTAAGATACATTAATAGCCTCTGGAGATGGTACACCTTTCTGTAAGGTGCCCATCGGTTTAATTTTTGCATTAATAGTTCTCAAATCTTACAGCAGTCGCCATCTTCCGGACCTTTTTGGAATAAGGTCCTGTATCCAATTGTTCTTTTACTAGCTGCTGATGTTGCATCAGCTTCTCCTGAGATAGGGGCCATTGATCCACCCATATGGGTTTGTCACTAAGCCATTCTAATGGTAAAGCAGAGGGTGGAGGAGAAATATCAATGACCCCCATCAGAAATCCTGACATTCTAGCCCTTTTCTATCTGTTTTTCCAGTTATTGATATCGGGTTAGGGTTTCCTTGTAGGAACCTCCCCAAACCTTTTCCTTTCTGATATCCCATGTTCTTCAACATTTTAAATCCTGGGTCATCAAAGTTTTCATTTGTAAGTCTCATATCCCATGCTGTAAGTCTCAACCCCATAAATTGATAGCTATATTTGCAACATAGGGCTGAAAAGTACATGACTGTCCATCCAGACCAAGACAAGGTAAAATCTCAGCACTGTGTTGAACACTTTGAGCTGTTTCTACTCCCACTAGGGATGTAGAAGTTAATTGCAAGGGCCAGGATGGGAGCCATTTGTCTTTAGATATTACTGACACATCAGCTCCTGTATCCATAAGCGCATAAAATTTATTTCCTTTAATTTATACTACACAGGTGAGTCTATTAGAGGCTAGGGTTGGCTTAGATAGATTTCCCAGGTGATTGTGCTTCCCAAAACCTTTATTTCCTCATTTCTCCTTTCATGGAGAAGGGTGTAATTTATAGGGAATAAGCAATAATTGAGCAATATGTTCTCCTGGTTCAAAAGCCCAAAGATCTTGTGACATTAAAACTACTTGAATTTCTCCTTCATAATCAGAGTCAACAACTCCTGGGACTACACTAATGCCCTGTAAGTTAAGACGGCTTTTGCCTAAAATTAGTCCCATGTATCCTGCTGGTGAAGGTCTCCAAATGCCAGTGGGATTCTTGGTGGGTTTGTCTTCCCCAACTAATGTAACCCTTTCTCTGGCCATGAGATCTAATCCTGCACTTCCTGGTGTTCCTGGGGTGAGGGAATCAATGTGCCTCCGGGAACATCTTGTGTGATAGAAACCTAAGCTCTTAGGGTATGGTCTCACAGTTGGCAACATAACTGATTCTTTTAAGGGTATGTTTTGGATGATGCGGGCAATCACAAGACCAAGAAATCTTACAGGCTGCAGCCTATTGTGACACTTCTCTTTTGGAAAATAAACTCTGTCATCAGTGGCAATAATATGTACAAAATCAGGACAGAGAATAAAGACTCAGCAAATGCAACTAATTTGATGCAAGGAGAAGCATAATAGAGGAACATCAGTATTCAAATGTGTGTCAATTCTAGTGATAAAATTTTTTTTACAACCTCTAGGAAAAAATGGAAAGAATATTACTACAATTCTACCAGGAATTTGATGGGTCTAATCAAGGTAGCTCACCTTTCCAGGATTTCAGCATTGGTAATTATTGGCAGTCTTGGTGCTCATTTGCATCAGTGGCCAGTATCAGTGAAGGAAAGTCCATGAGTTCTTGAACTCATGGAAAATCTTCTCCCTCCTACCATGTCCACATTGTCTTCCATGGACCCATTAAGCAAACATTGTGAAAGGTATGGAAAAAGTCTAATATCCAAAGCCCAGTCATCCATTTGGCCATATATATATATACACACATATTTTTTGTTTGTTTGTTTGTTTTGAGATGGAGTCTTGCTCTGTCACCAGGCTGGAGTGCAGTGGCGCCATCTTGGCTCACTACAACCTCCGACTCCCTGATTCAAGCAATTCTCCTGCCTCAGCCTCCAAAGTAGCTAAGATTACAGGCACGCACCACCACGACCAGCTAAATTTTGTATTTTTATTAGAGACAGAGTCTCAACATGTTGGCCAGGATTGTCTCTATCTCCTGAACTCATGATCCACCTGCCTCAGCCTCCCAAAGTGCTGGGATTACAGGCGTGAACAACTGCACCTGGCCCTATTAGCCCTATTATTGGTAGCTTCTCATACTCACAAAAAGCATTCACATAGGAAACAAATATTCCCATGTTCATTCCAACTGGTCAATCATATACCTCATTGCAGACTCATTATTGCTGAATCTTTTGTTTATATCAAAGTCTACAGTTCCAGACTTATGGCCATTAGCAATAAATACATGCAGATGCCTATCTCTAAATGATGTAAACAAAAACTATATGTTGTTCAAATTTCTGCCATTTGGAAAGCTATCTTTTCCCCAGGTTTTTTTTTTTTTTTCAGGGCCAAATAACTACCAGCTTAAATTATACTGGAAATAGCATATTGTACAGAATCATCTGTGGATAGGTAAATTATTTCCCCCATTGGTTACCTGTTAATAAGAAACACCAATAGGGCCTCAGTTGTGGGTTGAAAGGTGGCAATGCATGGAGGTAGGTGCCATGGAGGTCTGAGTCACCTCTACATGCAACCTTTTTGTGCCCATAGCACGTGCTTCAGCTTGATGGCCTATAGACCAGTGTTCCTTACTTGTCTACAGCAACTGTGTATACCATGCTATTTTCCAGTAGATCTCATAACATGCAATTCATAATGGATATTTCAGGTCTTGTTACATCATATCCCATGATCAGTTGTTCAATCTCTAAAGAAGTGCAGTGGCAAGCCAAGACCTATTTCCAATACATTTGTCAAAACTAGATTTTTTTTTACATCCCTGGAATTCTGTACTGTGGTTGTCAGTTGGGCTTGCCAACTG
The DNA here is from genome assembly GCF_000001405.40 of Homo sapiens. Classification (NCBI taxonomy): domain Eukaryota; kingdom Metazoa; phylum Chordata; class Mammalia; order Primates; family Hominidae; genus Homo; species Homo sapiens. Next base: position 21,793,904 of record NC_000019.10, read on the forward strand.
TCAGTTCTGCAGTAGGTCACAGCACCGTGACCTGCTGCAGATGCTTCAGCTCCATCCTGTGTCCTCTACTGCAGAGCTGCCTTCCCTCCAGCCACACCAGCTGCAGAACTGCCTCTTGCTCTGGGCTTCAGTAAAGATAGGCAGCTTTCTGGGTCACTCTGTACATGTGTTGAAGCAGCATTCTCAAATGTGGCATATTTTGTCTCCAAAATATAAAGAGATTAACAATGGTTGTGCCCCTTTTGCAGAAATAGGTGATTTCAGTTCCATGAGCTTTTCTTACATGTTGAATAGGCTGTCTTGACAATCTGCAGACCAGAGCCCCTAGAGATTGACCTGGTGCATTAATCTCTGCAGTGGCAAACCAAGCAAATTCAGTTGAGCTATAACAGAAATTCAGATCTTTAGTCTAATGTCAGAGCAGCAGAAGTGATGTGTTCTTCACTCTGTCTGGAATGCTCTTATCTGAAATACAGACATGGCTCTTTTATTTATTTTGGGTCACTGTTCAGATTTTCTGAGCCTGAGACTTTCATTTAGAAAATGACACACCACTATCACTCTCCAAGTCTTTTACTTTGCTTTTTGCTTTTCTTATATAATCATATGGGTGGGTGGTGTATATATAGATATTTATTGTGTGTATATAAATTTATATATAAATATCTATATATACACACACACATATCAATTTGCTGTGGTTATTTATTTACATTCTTGTCACCCCAAAATAAAAATTCTTTTTACATAGAAACCTAAGTGTATTTTAATTTTGTTCTACCTATTCTGAAATCCTCAGCTCCCAAAATAACGCATGGTACACAGTAGGAGCTCAATAGACGAAAAAATCCAGTTTTGAATAAAATTATCATAATCATTACAGAAGGTGAAGAGGCAGCAGGCATACTTCACTTGGCCAGAGCAAGAGGAAGAGAGTAGGGGGAGGGAGGTGCCACACACTTTCCAACAACTAGATCTTGAGATAACTCTATCTTGAGAACCGCACCAGAAGGAGAAATTCGCCTCCATGGTTCATTTACCTCCTAGCAGGCCCCACCTTAAACATTGGGGATTACAATTTGGCAAGAGATTTTGGCAGGGACACATATCCAAACCATATTACCATCAAATATAAAAGGTAGAATACATTTACTTTTAGATATCCAAGGTCTTTAAAAATGTACCTAACATGCACACTCTCTGGATACCAGGATGCAAACTGTCTGTGGAATCAGCAAGCAAAACAAGAGCAGAACCAAACAGAAGGAGACTCAGAGACAGGGAAGCCATTTGAGGGAGTAAGGAGGGGAGGCTTAGGTCACAGCTTTACACTCTTCAGAGAGAAACCAAATCAGAGGAGGAAGAAGGCAGGCTGCAGGAGAGACATCTGCAGGGAAAGAAAAAATGTAACCCAGAGATAATTTAAAGTGCTATAAACAAATGAAAAACAATTTTGGGGCAAGTGTAAGCTAAGTGGTAGTATTTTAGCAAAACTTAGCAATAGGCAAAAAGAAAATCAAACTAATATAAAGTGAAATAACTATTTAATTCAAGAAATAAATTTGTATTAAAAAGGTAATAAAAGGGCGGGTGTGCTGGCTCATGCCTATAACCCCAGCACTTTGGGAGGCTGAGGTAGGCAGATCATTTGAGGTCAGGAGTTTGAGACCAGCCTGACCAACATCGTGAAACCCCATCTCTACTAAAAATACAAAAGAATTAGCCAGGCGTGGTGGCCCACACCCGTAATCCCAGCTACTTGGGAAGCCGAGGTAGGAGAATTGCTTGAACTTGGCAAGCAGAGGTTGCAGTGAGCCCAGATCATGCCTCTGTACTCTAGCCTGGGTGACAAAGTGAAACTCCGTCTCAAAAAGAAGAAAAAGAAAAAAAAAGGTAATAAAATCATAGTATACTGCTTGGGTGTTTAGTAAATAATATTTGATTAATCACCTTACAGCATTCGCTGACTACAAGTTTAGGTAAAAATAATGTTATTAGTATTCTGAATTGCTAGAATGGTGGGGAAGGGCAGTTAACAGAAAAGTGGTTTCCAAGTATCTCTCAGTATTAAAGGGCAGTTTTTAGAGTTTATATGGTTTAAGGTCAAATAGATGAGGAAAAAATTAACTGAAAGAAGGAGAAAAACTAAACTTTACAAAAAAAACTCTTCATATTTATTATCTTCATTAAAATAATAATTTTCTCAAGGATAAATCTCAAGAATTAGCAAATTCAGGGTCCCAAAAGTAACAGATGCTGTGGAACTGGATGCTCTAAAACCAAGTATAACAAAATCTCAGGAAAATAAGCTTCTCAACGAAAAACTTGATTCACATGCAAGCCAACTAGAAAAAAAGAAAATACAGCTTTTTACCATCAACTGAAAGGACTAATAAGGAGGGGAACAAAGAAAAACTACTTTATATGTCTGCTAGTTTATGTACCTAAAAAGTAGAGATTAGGGATTAATTTCATCATATTGTTTACAAAAATTTGTAATTCGGCTGGGTGCGGTGGCTCACGTCTGCAATCCCAGTACTTTGGGAGAAAAAAATATTAAAACTTTTGTTACTGCAAACCTATGAATTTTGTACAAATCTAAACAGTGCTAATTTTAAAAGACCTGGGCTTGGAGTGGTGGCTCATGCCTGTAATCCCAACACTTTGGGAGGCCAAGGTGGGCAGATCACCTGAGGTCAGGAGTTCGAGACCAGCCTGGCCAACATCATGAAACCCCATATCTACTAAAAATACAAAAATTAGCTGGTCATGGGGGCATATGCCTGCAATCTCAGCTACCCAGGAGGCTGAGGCAGGAGTATTGCTTGAACCCGGGAGGCAGAGGCTGTAGTGAGTTGAGATTGCACCACTGCATGCCAGCCTGTGCAGCAGAGCAAGACTCCATCTCAAAAAATATATATATATAATTCATTTATCTTGATTATATCTGCTTAGCATAATACCAATATTTACTATATAATATATTTAGGCCTATTTCCACAAATATTATTTGGGGTATCTCTTATTATAAAGTCTATGAACACAGTAGAAGACAATGAAAATGTTTATTCACTGAGTGTTACAGTATTTCAGGTATCTTTACCTAGAGTATTAAACCTAATATTTCTAAACCAAAATCCAATCTATAAAAAATCAACTTAAAATTTTTTTTAGATTTTGATGAAAATATAATCCTGGAATATATTGCTAGGAACATTATGCAGATGTAGCAAATATTTGTTGAGCTGAATTAAAGTCTCCAAGCCTATAATTTTAAATTTTTCTTGATGCAATTTCAAAAATTTCCTAAGGCTATAAGAACTTAGTCATACATACAGAAAATATTGATTTCAATAGGTAAGGTGTGGCCTCAGGCAGGCAAAGCTCAAATTATTTTTGAAAAGTTTTCTAATTCTTTTTAACATTTTTATATTATTTTAAATGTTCTACTTTTTGTAATTTGTTTTTTGATTCCTTCTTTGCTACATAAATGAAAAGTAACACACAAACCATTTCTGAAATCTTCAAAAAAGCTTTGGATAGAAAATCTGGAGATTATTCTGGCTTTTTTAGTGTAGACATCTTTGAAAGTTTTCAAATTGAAGAAATATACAAATAGAAATATTCTATTAAATAGGATACATGATACTGTCTATAGAATAATTACCTTGGCTTTAGTTTTTGTAGCTAATAATTTTTAAGATTACTTCCCCTACATTTTATTACTTCGGCTAGAAATCTTGTTTATTTAAGTTATTGTTAGCTTAGTCAAACTTCAAACTGTAATATTGGAATTAACAGAGCATTGTCAGAATTCTGCAAAAAGTCATCTGTATATTCTCAAGTTTTTATATCATAGAAAGGCCTTTGCCAGGTGTGGTGGCTCATGCCTGTAATTCCAGCACTTTGGGAGGCTGAGACGGGCAGATCATGAGGTCAGGAGATCGAGACCATCCTGGCCAACATGGTGAAACCCCGTTTCTACTAAAAATACAAAAATTAGCTGGGCGTGGTGGCAGGTGCTTATAATCCCAGCTACTCAGGAGGCTGAGGCAGGAGAATAGCTTGAACCATGGAGTCGGAGGTTGCAGTGAGCAGAGATTGCGCCATTGCACTCCAGCCTGGCGACAGAGCGAGACTCTGTCTCAAAAAAAAAAGGGGGTTCAAATCCAGTACTTAGAGCTTTCTAGGTGTTTCTAGCCAAATTCAGATTAAATTGGCTAATAATGTCTTTCAAATTGTTGTACCATGCTCCAATATTGAAGTATAACTTCTAGAAACAAATGAAAAACAAGTTGTTTTCAAATTATATGTTCTTAGTTACACTGTAACACAGTATGAAGCCTTGAAAATATCTGAAGAGAGAAAATGGAATCAGCAATGATCCAGCTGTGACCTCACTACTTAGTAATTGTGCTTTTAGCCAACTTATTTACTTATCTCTGAACTGAGCACATTTCTGGCAAGGTGGTACTAATCACTGATCAAAACTACCTTAAAAAAAATTCAGAAATCTCAGGGTATCCAGAGAAAATAGAGCAGGTGCTCTGAATAGTCACCATTAACATTTCACTTTGTTTCAGTATCTATTTACTATCACTTAAGTACATACAAAGAATACAAGAAAATTGCCCATTTCTCATTTTTAATGCTAACCCTAAAACAATAAGGCTTTTGCAGCTTGAAATTAACAGATTCTGGCCAGGCAGGGTGGCTAACATCTGTAATCCTAGCATTTTGGGAGGGAGTGGAAGGTGGATCACAAGGTCAGGAGTTCGAGGCCAGCCTGGCTAATATGGTGAAACCCCGTCTCTACTAAAAACACAAAAATTAGCTGGGCATGGTGACATGCACCTGTTCCCAGCTGCTCGGGAGGCTGAGGCAGGAGAATTGCTTGAACCTGGGAAATGGAGGTTGCAGTGAGCAGAGATCATGCAACTGCACTCCAGCCTGGGCAACAGAGCGAGACTGTCTCAAAAAAAAAAAAAAAAGAAAAGAAAAGAAAAGAAAAGGAGAGAAAAAAGAAATTAACAGCTTCTCACTGGTCCTTCAACAGAAGGTTAAATGATGATGGAGTCAGCTGCAATGGAAAACACTCCAAATTTTCCATGGTAAACAAATCTGGCCTCAGTTCTTGCAGTTCCCAAATTCACAGTTCTTTTGGGATATGTTGATGCATGAGCTGCAAAAGATAAAACATTCCACACCAGAAGATTTTGTTTATAAAAACTTATTCCCATCTAATAATTTTAGGAGATATAAACACAGCAATGTTAATGACTACCTATTAATTGTTAATTCTTGGAGAAAAATTGACAGTTATTTCTGAAAACATGAAAAGCTTCATATAATAATTAGAACCTTACATGTGAAATTCTATTTATTATGGAGAAGTTAATAACTAATATGTTACCAGCAATAAAATATAAATCATTTCTCACTGTGTTACCAATGGCCAGTCCGCACAGGTTTGCAGTGATTTTGGTTTTTGTCTTCTCAAAAGAAAGTATCTAGCCAAGAGACAAAAAGCAAATTTGAAGCAAAAGTTGGACTTTATTGAAAGAAAGCAAAGTAGCTTTGGAAAGGGACCAAATGGGTGACTTAGAGATCAAGTGCCCTACCTGGCCCTTGGCTCCAGTTTCTTACACATTCACTTATTTTCTAGTATTATGGACTCCTCCCCTGGTCCCTTTGGCATGATTAATGCCTCACTGTTGCTTGTGCGGTACTTGCCAGCAGTAGGGAAGTCGTCTGCATGCTTCATGAGTGTTCTGAGGTTCTATGCTTGCTCTATTGGAGATATTATTTTTACCAGTTGAGCACCTCCAGAGAAAGGCATATATTGGTTAAACTCCACTATTTTGCCTCTCACTGTCCATGCTTGGATGGTCTTGCCAAATTTTTGAGATTTTATTAAGTTGTTGCCCAAGCACTCAAAATGTTTTCTATTTGTTAGAAGGGTGCCCCTACTTGTCACCAGCTGAGACCACTTATCAATCCTGAGGTGACCACCTGATAATCACTTGACATTCCTGGGGCACATTCCCAGGGCCTCTACCTTACCCAACTCATCACTATCTGACTACCTGCTCTAACTGGGTAATTGGATATTCTATTGCCTGTGAAACTTTTGGTATCTAAAACTTTTACCAGTCAATATATACAGCCCATCAACTTTCTTCACTTTAATTGTAATATGAGTTTCATTTTCTTTTGCTGATACAGTAGTTAAGATTTTATTTTATACTTACTCATTTATTAATTTTGAAAGCATTATAATTAAAATAAAATTTATATGGCTGCCATCTAATATGTTTGTAGATGTTAGCCAAAAGTCTGGCACGGGAAAAGAAGGAGAAAAAAAAGTAGCAGGAGGGAGTTTTTATCTTTCTAAATGATTATATGTGCCTCCTAAAAGGTGTTTACCTATAAATTATAGGTGGTGGCAGCAGTAGCAGACAAAGGTGTGGTATGCAGCCCTTGATCATTTCAATGCTGCTCCTGTTGAGCCCATGGCAACCCAGCCCTGTGTGTAGCCCTCATCCTGCACTATGTCATCACATCCCCCCTGCTGGCATGGGCACATGAGCCTCAGGCAGACCGCAGGTGCGGGGCCTGAGCTGGCCTCTCCTGCTGTTGCTACTGCTGCTGCTTGAGCTGCTGGCCTCAGGAGTGCAGGAAACATGGGGTCACTGGGGAACTGAGAACAGCCACACTGGCATAGTCGACACCTTTTGCTGGAGCATCCATAGCCTGTTGTGAAAAGGCAATATCTGCTGCTCAAAAGATCTTGACCTGGCTCACCAAGAAGTTTGTGTTGGGAGTACATATGTTTCTACAGACATTGTGGAGAGTCTAGTAAGAGGTTTTGGATGTTCTTGGACTTGACATCTCCAACCTGTCCCAGCATTGCAACCCAGCCTCAGTGGCCAGCAGCCTAGCCTAGGCCCTTCTTTTGGTCAGTGCCAGCTGCTTGGCCTACTGATTCTAGTTTCTGACCCTGGACATAACCTTCAAAGCACTGCATCTGGTGTTCAGCACTTCTTCTGGATCGTGTGGACCATCCTGTTCTCCAGGTCCTGCAAGCACATTCTGCACAAGGATAAGGGTGAGGAATGAGGTGCTCCCTGTGCTTCACAGTAAAGTCCACCTTATGACCTGGCCCATGGGCTTTTACAGGCATGGCAGCTCTACTGTAAATAAGAAGCTGGAGCACCTGAGAACAAGGTCAGACTTTTCAACATTTGCCTCAACAGGGGGCTAAAAATTCTCCACTGCTCCAAAGAAGCGTAAAGGTTAGCCAACCATAAGTGCCAGTTTCTTTTTTCTTTTTTTTTTTTTTGAGACGGAGTCTCACTCTGTCACCCAGGCTGGAGTGCAATGGCGCGATCTTGGCCACTGCTACCTCCACCTTCTGGGCTCAAGGGATTCTCCTGCCTCAGCCTCCTGAGTAACTGGGATGACAGGCATATGTCACCACGCCCAGCTAATTTTTGTATTTTTAGTAGAGGCAGGGTTTCACGATGCTGGTCAGGTTGGTCTCAAACTCCTGACTTCAAGTGAACTGCCTGCCTTGGCCTCCCAAAGTGCCGTTACAGGCATGAGCCACCACACCTGGCCCATCAGTGCCAATTTCTACCAGTGCACTGTCTCAAAAAAACAAAATGGAGGGAAAAGAACAAACACCAGACCCCAAACAAAAAAAAAATGGCTGAGCAAGTAGGGGCAAATAGTAAAGATTTTTTTTTTTTTTTTTGAGACTGAGTCTCACTCTGTCACCAGGCTGGAGTGCAGTGGGGCAATCTCGGCTCACTGCAACCTCAGCCTCCAGGGTTCAAGCGATTCTCCTCCCTGAACCTCCTGAGCAGCTGGGACTACAGGTGCGCACCACCACACCCAGCTAATTTTTGTATTTTTAGTAGAGACGGCATTTCACCATGTTGGCCAGGATGATCTCCATCTCTTGACCTCGTGGTCCGCCAGCCTCACCTTCCCAAAGTGCTGGGATTACAGGCGTGAGCCACCGCACCCAGCCGCAAAGATATTTTTATCCTTTTATTAGTTCTTGGGACAGCTCTTTTTATTCCCAGAAGAATAAAAACAGCATTTGTGTAGATCTACACATGAAGTGTCATTAGTAGAAAAGCGTTTTTAAACAATGTATATAACCACATTTGTCTGTAAAGTAAGAGAAATTTGTGAGTAGAGAATAAAGTTAACTTTTCCTAGCATTTAAATATATTTTTGAAAGGGTAATTCATAAAGGCAGATTAAAGCTTCTTAAAACTTTACACTGAGGAAAGAATATGCTAATTTGACATTTTAGAAAAGTTTAAATGCAGGCCGGGCGCGGTGGCTCATGCCTGTAATCTCAGCACTTTGGGAGGCTGAGGTGGGCGGATCACGAGGTCAAGAAATCGAGACCATCCTGGCCAACATGGTGAAACCCCGTCTCTACTAAAAATACAAAAAATTAGCTGGGTGTGGTGGCATGCACCTGTAGTCCCAGCTGCCCAGGAGGCTGAGGCAGGAGAATTGCTTGAACCCGGGAGGCAGAGGTTGCAGTGAGCCGAGATAGTGCCATTGCACTCCAACCTGGTAACAGAGTGAGACTCCATCTCAAAAAAAAAAAAAAAAAAAAAGTGTAAATGCAAGTGTTTGTTTTTGCAGCTTAGGGTTTGTTGGGTAAGATCTGTGCAAATTATATTGACTTAGTTCGTGAATGTTGTCATTTCTAAATGTGGACAGTTGGGCTGGAGGATTAAACTCAACCTCTTTTGAATTCTGGTGGCCCTCTGCCAACACTCCATCATTCAGATTTCTAAATGAAACAATTATTTTTAGAAGACCTAAGATTTTTTTCCCTCTGTACTTTGATGTATTTTAACCTCAATATTTTGAATAGGAAAAGGAATGGAAGAGATGCCAAGGGGTTTGATGCCAAGAGCTATCTGGGTAACCGCTGAAGATCATTCAAGACTCAATTTAAAGTCCAAATGTTACTGCTAGCCAGCTAGGCCTATATACAAAAGCTATATCCTGGAAGGCTTTTTGTTGGTTTCATTTTGGTTTTGGTTAATGCGGGACATGAGAAGGAAAACAAACAGTAGTGGCTAATGACATTCTCAAATCTATTGCTGCTTAGAAAGCATTCTCACGAACAGTAAGCAGCAACAGACAAGCCTTGGAGAAAATCTGAATGGTTTTCTTTGAAATACTTATAGTAGGGTTGTTAGGTGCTTTTTCTGAGGCCTATTCTGCTCTCATTTTAGGTGGCCTCTATCAGCAGAGACTGAGACATACATAGTGGACAGCTGTGAGGACCCTGGGCAAGGGAGATTCAGAAGGCATGGGTCAGGGACTGGTGGAAACACTAGTCTGCTAGAACTCATTAGGAAGTGAAGCCCAGCATTTGCATAATGCAGCTGTGAAGGCGTCTGGTGATCATAAATGTCTCCATGGCCCTTCTCAGCCCACCAATGTGCTCCAGCAGCCACTCACACAGCCCTGCATGCAGGTTTGTAGGTAGTCCTGTCAGATCTGCTAGAATCAAGACCTTATAGTCCAGGTCTCAGTTTGAAGAAAACAGCTGTCTACCCACTCTTGTGAAAAGATTCTGTGAAATTTAACTTTGCATTGCAAGTGTTTGGGAAACAGGTGTAGATTTCTTTGAGGATGCTTACAAAACTACAGTTGTTTTTTTTGAGATGAAGCCTCACTGTCGCCCAGGCTGGAGTGCAATGGCGTGATCTCGGCTCACTGCAACCTCTCCCTCTGGGGTTCAAGTGATTCTCCTGCCTCAGCCTCCTGAGTAGCTGGGATTACAGGTGCATGCCACCACGGCCAGCTAATTTTTGTATTTTTACTAAAGATAAGAAAAATGTTCTCTCCACAGTAAGAATCAATATTATTTCATCACTGATATTTTCCGTCTCTGACTTGAAGCTACCAACTAACTCCAGCAGAAATGTTTTTGGCTTATTATGGACAATCTGTTACACAGCAAGCACCATCATGCTTGTTCACTATATTTATGTATAGAAACATCCTCATAAGGCCAGGCGCAGTGGCTCATGCCTGTAATCCTAGCACTTTGAGAGGCTGAGGTGAGCACATCACAAGGTCAGGAGATGGAGACCATCCTGGCTAACATGGTGAAACCTTGTCTCTACTAAAAATACAAAACAGAAAATTAGCTGGGCATGGTAGTGTGTGCCTGTAGCTACTCAGGAGGCTGAGGCAGGAGAATTGCTTGAACCTGGGAGGCAGAGGTTGCAGTGAGCCGAGATCATGCCACTGCACTCCAGTCTGGGTGACAGAGCAAGACTCTGTCTCAAAACAAAACAGAACAAAAAAACTTCAGAACTTATGAAGCCTCCCTAGTATTTACCTGAACTAATTAGCTCAATAAATTTACATATGTCAATTATAGAAAGTGAAATGAACAATAGCTAAAGTAGGTTTATATAGAAGTCTCCAATTAAATAAACAAAATCGAATATCCTAACTCAATATAACTTAAAACACTAATTGTGGAATTGCACCTAAAAATTATTTTGTGTGCACAACTAAATTTCATAAAAATCATTCTTATAATCCCCAGTGAGCTTACATAATACCTCATAAACTATAAAAGAAAAAATAATAAAAAAGAAAATTATGGGTCTAGCATGAGTACCAAGCAAGTAAAAAAAAAGTTTGCATGGGGAGATTCTGAACCATAAACCATAAGATCTTACAGTAATGAATTCAATAGAAAGCAGACAGTATAGATTTCCTTTCAGCATTTTTGAGGTTTTTAGTTTTCTAGTAAATTAGTCACCTTATTAAAATTACTTGTTTTGCTTCAATATTGATTTTTTCTTCCTAAAATAGGTAGACACTCATACAAGAACAGTTACTTACTCCATAATTTTCTTACACCTAAGGTTTATCTTTAGAGTAATGTATGTGTATATTTAACCCTATGTAAGTCAAAACTAAAACTCTGTATGTGTTTCAGGCAGAGCGGCCACATAGTCAAAGAAAAATATATACCAATGTTTATTCATGACTCAGGAATGTATGGACTTTATTTATACTTCTATATAATTTTTATAATTAAAATGACCCTGTAGTCAATAACAATTTAATTGTACATTAAAATAATGAAGTGTAGAATTGGCTTGTAATACAAAGGATAAATGCTGAAGGTAATAGATACTTTATCCTGATGTGACTAATACATATTATATGCCTGTATCAAAACATGTTATATATTGCATAAATATATACACATTTGGCCAGGTGCAGTGGCTCATGCCTGTGGTCCCAGAACTCTGGGAGGCCGAGGCAGGCAGATCATGAGGTCAGAAGATCGAGACCATCCTGGCCAACATGGTGAAACTCCATCTCTACTAAAAATACAAAAATTAGCCTGGTGTGATGGTGGACGCCTGTAATCCCAGCTATTCGGGAGGCTGAGGCAGGAGAATCACTTGAACCGGGGAGGTGGGGGTTGCAGTGAGCCAAGATCATGCCACTGTACTCCAGCCTGGGTGACAGAGCGAGACTCCATCTCCAAAAAAAAACCCAAACAAGTAGTGGGCGCCTGTGGTCCCAGCTACTTGGGAGGCTGAGGCAGGAGAATGGAGTGAACCTGGGAGGCGGAGCTTGCAGTGAGCCAAGATCGCGCCACTGCACTCCAGCCTGGGCGAGAGCAAGACTCTGTCTCAAAAAAAAAAACCAAACAAACAAAAAAAATTATGAATAGCACAAAGAATAAAATAAGGTAATTAAAATCATACTATGTACCCACAGAAATTAAGAACAGTAAGTTTAAATAAGACAAAAAAGAATATTTAACCTATAGAAAAATATTCTTTAACTTATTTGCAGTTGAAAGCCACTGGTGAAATAGATTAATAGAAATGTTAGTCCATTATGTTACCAAATAGTATATTGTTACCATCTTTTACATACACTCTTGAGTAAGGTGAAATAGGTTAAAGTTAGAAGCATAATAATGCTTCATTGAATGTACAATGGTCTTAACACATTTTTTTAAAAGTTATATTTACATGTAATCTAAAAATTTAAAAATGTACATTTAATTACATAAAATTACAATAAGTAAAATGACTTACTAATTTAACCAATTTTAACTAAAATAAAAAACTTTTGTCACTATAATGCAGAAGAATATTACTCTGAAAACCTATCTCCTGCATCACTCCTTTATAAGTTAACCACAAAGAGCCTCTCCAGTTACATTTTCATCACGCATCTTTTTTTTTTTTTTTTTTCTTTTTGAGATGGAGTTTGACTTTTGTTGCCCAGGTTGGAGTGCAATGGTATGATTTCGGCTCACTGAGACCTCCACTTTCCAGGTTCAAGTGATTCTCCTGCTTCAGCCTTTGAAGTAGCTGGGATTATAGGTGCCTGGTAAATTTTTGTATTTTTAGTAAAGACAGGGTTTCACCATGTTGGTCAGGCTGGTCTCAAACTCCTGACCTCAGGTGATCCACCGGCCTCAGCCTCCCAAAGTGCTGGGATTATAGGCATGAGCCACCATGCCTGGCTGCATCTTACACTTTAATATCCTTACTGTTCCATAAAAAATGTTTTAAATAATGCCCACCTAATAAAAGAATCTCTCATATCTTTGGTGCAGCAACAATTGGTCACATGCTTTCACATGTGAATATAGCAGGAATGAAAAAAGAGCATAAAGTTATTTGAGAGTTTAATTACATCATTATTCACTAATTTAAAAATCAGTAATTTTTTCAAGATAAAAGTATACTTTAATTGTAATTATAACTGAAAATCTTCTACTTCTTTTAATGTTATATACAAATAATTTATCCACCAAGTTTTATTTTGTGTTGTTTTCTGTACTTAGCACTGATTTAGTGTAATGTCTGAAGTGTCCGCGCCTTAGATATTTCTACTGTGAATTCTCAGATATTTACATAAACTTAATTTCGGATTAAATTTTTTTCATTTTTACTGCATCTGCAAAAACATATTTTAGTATGAACCCTGTGGTGTTTTCTATGCTGTGGTTTTTTTAAAAATGTTTTTCCAAACTGATTACATTTGTAGGGTTTTTCTCCAATATAAATTCCCTGATGTTGAATAAACTTTGTACTATCAACCAAGCATTATAGACCCTCATGTTTTATAAGCTGTAGTTTTTCAAAACTGTTTTTACAAATTTATTACATTTTCCAGGGGTTTTTTCCAATATAAATTTTCTGATGTTGAACAGTATTTGAGCAACTGCTTCAGGGTTTTCTTTAGTACAAAATGTGTACAATAAGATCTGTGATGCAAGTAATGGTACTACAACCCTCTTAATATTTGTAATGTTTGTCTTCAGAATGAATTATCTTCTTCACTTTAAAGGCTTTTATTTTCTGAAAGATCTTTTGACACTAGTTGCATCTATAATGGTTTTATTAAGTACAGACTCTCTGATGTTGAGTAAGATATGAGCACATATTAATGGCTTTTCCACATTCTTTGTGTATATACCTTTTTCCAAGTAAAAATTCTTTCCTGTGCAATAAGGTACGAGCATTAATTAAAAGTTTTGCCACATTCTTCACACTTGTAGAAGTTTACTCCAATGTAAATTATCTTACCTACAATCAAGTGTGACAACCATGTAAAGCCTTTATCACATTCTTTACATTTCTAGAATTTCTCACCAGTATAATTTATTTTATGTTTGAAAAAGTTTGAGGTGTTGTCAAAATCACTGTCACATCTTCAGGTTTGTAGAGTTTCTCTCCAGTATGAATTTTGTTATGTGTAGTAAGGTTTGAATATTGGTTGAAAGCTTTGCCACATTCTTTACATTTGTAGGGTTGCTCTTTAGTATGAATTCTCTTATGTGTATTAAGGTGTGAGGAATAGTTAAATGCTTTGCCACATTCTTCACATTTGTAGGGTTGCTCTCCAGTATGAATTTTCTTATGTTCAATAAGGTTTGAGGATCGGTTAAAAGCTTTGCCACATTTTTCACATTTGTAGGGTTTCTCTCCAGTATGAATAATCTTATGTGTAGAAAGGGTTGAGGACAGTTTAAAAGCTTTGCCACATTCTTCACATTTGTAGGGTTTCTCTCCAGTATGAATTATCTTATGTTTAGTAAGGGTTGAGGACCACTTAAAGGCTTTGCCACATTCTTCACATTTGTAGGGTTTCTCCTCAGTGTGAATTATCTTATGTTTAGTAAGAGTTGAGAACTGGTTAAAAGCTTTGCCACATTCTTCACATTTGTAGGGTTTTCCTCCAGTATGAATTTTTTTATGTGTAGTAAGGTTTGAAGATTGGGTAAAAGCTTTGCCACATTCTTCACATTTGTAGAATTTCTCTCCAGTATGAATTTTCTTATGTGTAGTAAGGTTTGAGGATTGGGTAAAAGCTTTGCCACATTCTTCACACTTGTAGGGTTTCTCTCCAGTATGAATCCTCTTATGTTTGGTAAGGATTGAGAAATGGTTAAAAGCTTTGCCACATTCTTCACATTTGTAGGGTTTCTCTCCAGTATGAGTTATCTTATGTTCAGTAAGCTTTGAGGACCACTTAAAAGCTTTGCCACATTCTTCACATTTGTAGGGTTTCTTTTCAATGTGAATTTTCTTATGTTTAGTAAGGTTTGAGGACCGGCTAAAAGCTTTGCCACATTCTTCACATTTGTACGGTTTTTCTGCAGTATGAATTCTCTTATGTGTAGTAAGGTTTGAGAACTGGTTAAAGGCTTTGCCACATACTTCACATTTGTAGGGTTTCTCTCCAGTATGAATTCTGTTATGTTTAGTAAGGGTTGAGGGCCAGTTAAAGGCTTTGCCACATTCTTCACATTTGTAGGGTTTCTCTCCAGTATGAGTTAACTTATGTTCAGTAAGCTTTGAGGACCACTTAAAAGCTTTGCCACATTCTTCACATTTGTAGGGTTTCTTTTCAGTATGAATTTTCTTATGTTTAGTAAGGTTTGAGGACCGGCTAAAAGCTTCACCACATTCTGTACATTTATAGAATTTCTCTGCAGTATGGATTCTCTTATGTGTAGTAAGGTTTGAGAACTGGTTAAAGGCTTTGCCACATTCTTCACATGTGTAGGGTTTCTCTCCAGTATGAATTCTCTTATGTTTAGTAAGAGTTGAGGGCCAGTTAAAGGCTTTGCCACATTCTTCACATTTGTAAGGTTTCTCTCCAGGATGAATTTTCTTATGTTCAGTAAGGTTTGAGGATTGGTTAAAAGCTTTGGCACATTCTTTACATTTGTAGAATTTCTCTCCAGTGCGAATTATCTTATGGGTAGTAAGGATTGAGGACTTGTTAAAAGCTTTGCCACATTCTTCACATTTGTAGAGTTTGTATCTAGTATAATTTTTTTTATGTGTAGTAAGGCGTGAGGACCAATTAAAGACTTTGCCACATTCTTCACATGTGTAGGGTTTCTCTCCAGTATTAATTCTCTTATGTTTAGTGATGATTGAAGGGCAGTTAAAAGCTTTTCCACATTTTTCACATTTGCAGAAATTCACTCTGGTATGAATTATTTTATGTTGAGCTAGATGTGGAAGCATGCAAAATGATTTGCCACATTCTTTGCATTTGAAAAGTTTTTTTTCAGTATGGCTTATCTTATGTCTGTTTGAATTTGAAAATTTATGAAAGGCTTTCACACATTTATCAAATAGAAATATTTTGCTCTGGGTAGCTGGCAAACATTGGTTAAATCCATTATAACCTCCTCTGTGCACCTTACACTCATCCACACTTTTATGGTCTTTTTTTAAATGTACATTTTTATGTTCACAGTTTTTATATCTTCTCAGTGTCGCTTTTTGGAAAGGATCTTTTATATGCTGCTCTGGCCAAAAGTCTTGGGTAAAATGAGAACACATAACTGAAAAAAATAAAAATAACAAATTATTCCACTTGCTAGACTCAGAGATAAATATACTTTATGTAACATATAAAATCACACAAGCTACATAAGCAAGATGTCATAGAAAAATACCACAGGCCCTAATTTATTTATAGACATATAAATGTAACAAAAACATACTGATCAAATCAGTGAAAAATTTACAAATAAGTGTGTGCAGTGCCCCAGGTGAGTCCAATGCAAAGAGCCACATAGAAGGAAAATATAAATTGGTTACATTTACCCAACACAGCTTTTTCTGCTCTCCAACATAACATAGTGCCTTTAGAAGTAAATTGCCAACTCCAATTATTTTGCATATAGCGGAATACCTGAGAGTGGATAATTTATAAAGAAAAAAGGCTTATTTTGCTCACAATTTGGCAGACTGTACAAGAAGTGTGTGTCAGCATCTGTTTCTGGTGAGGGTCTCAGGAAGCTTACTGTTATGGTAGAAGGCAAAGAGTAACTGGAAATGTCACATGGTAATAGGGAAAGTGTGAGGTGAAGGAGCCAGGTTCTTTTAATGAACCAGCTCTCTTTTGAATTAACAGAGTGTAAACTTTCTTATTACCAAGACTATGGTGCCAAGTCATTCATGAGGAATTCACCTCCATGACAAAAATACCTTTTTCCAGATCCCACATCCAACACTGAAGATTATACTGCAGCATGAGGTTTGGAAACATGGACATCCAAACCATATCACAGACAAAGGAGACTTAACAGACTCATACAAACCTTTCCAGTAAAAAGCAAGACAATATACAATATTCTTCTTTGCATCTTGTGTATTCTGCTAGGATAAATACCAAGTCTTATTAAATTTAAGAATACCAGCTGGGTGCAGTCGCTTATGCTTATAATCCTAAAATTTTGGAAACAAAAGTAGGAGGATCACTTGGGGCCACAAGTTTGAGACCAGCCAGGGCAACATAGTGAGACTCTGTCTCTACAAATAATAATAAAAAATTAGCCAGGGATGGTAGTGCATGTCTGTACACCCAGCTACTTAAGGGGCTAAGGTTGACTTGAGCCCAGGAGGTTGAGGCTGCAGTGAGCCAAAATCATGTCACTGCACTCCAGCCTGGGCAAGAGTAAGATCCTGTCTCAAAACAACAACAACAACGACGACGACAAATAAATTTAAGAAGACCAAAATTATACACTGTGTTTTTCGACCAAAATTGCATAAAACTAGGAATTAAAAGCAAAACTGGCAAATCCAAAAATATATCAAAATAAAACACACTCTTCAACATATTCTTGCTCAAGGACCGAAGAATTTAACTTTTCCAAAGTTGTCAATACAAGCTACAGTGGTGAACTAATTCAATATAATCTCTACATAAAATTCAATGGTACAATTTTTCACAGAAATATTCTTCACAATTTTAAAATTTGATTAAAAACTATAGCCAAGCCAGGCATGGTGGCTCACACTTGTAATCCTAGCACTTTGGGAGGCCAAGGCAGGTGGATTTCCTGCTGAGCTCAGGAGTTCGAGACCAGCCTGGGCAACATGGTGAAACCCTGTCTCTACTAAAATACAAAAAATTAGCTGGGCATGGCTATATGTGCCTGTAATCCCAGCTACTTGGGAGGCTGAGGCAGGAGAATTGCTAGAACCCAAGAGGCAGAGCTTTCAGTGAGCCAAGATCATGCCACTGCACTCCAGCCTGGGCAACAGAGCGAGACTCTGTCTCTAAAAAAAAAAACAAAAAAAAAAAACTATAGCCAAGCAACTATGAAAACAATAAAGAGGCATTATACTTTCTGATTTCAAAACATATTAAAAGCTACAATAACAATGTGGTACTGACACAAAGACAGATAAGTAGATGAAAGAACAGAATAAAGAGTCCTAAAATGAACCCTTCTGTGTATGATCAAATGAACTTCTACAAAGTTGCCATGAGGAAGCAATAGAAAAAAATCTCTTCAAAAAATGATGCTGAAACGTGGATACCAACACTAATAAAATAAAGTTGGATAATTTTCTTGAATTATATATACAAATATTTTAAATAAAACACATAGAAAAAAGGAACTAACAAATCTTTTAAAAAGAAATATGGAAAAAAGACATGACATTGGTCTTGGCACCATTTTCTTAGACACAACCTTAAATGCATGAACAGCAAAGAAAAGAACAGAAAAATTTAACTACACTATACCTCGAAATTACTGTACATCAAAGAAAACATTCAATAGAGAGACAATGCCTCCTAGAAAATGAGTGAAAGTATTTGTAAATCACATGTGATATTCCTTAATATTCATAATATACAAACAACTTTTTTTTTCTTTTTTTTTGAGACGGAGTCTCACTCTGTCACCCATGCTGGAGTGCAGCGGGGCGTTCTCAGCTCACTGCACACTCCATCTCCCGGGTTCACACCATTCTCCTGTCTCGGCCTCCCGAGTAGCTGGGATTACAGGCGCGCACCACCACGCCCGGCTAATTTTTTATATTTTTAGTAGAGACAGGGTTTAACCATGGTCTCGATCTCCTGACCTCGTGATCCGCCCGCCTCAGCCTCCCAAAGTGCTGGGATTATAGGCGTAAGCCACTGCTCCTGGCCTATAAACAACTCTTAAAACTAACAATAAAGTTGAATAATCTGATTTGGAAATGGACAAATAATTGAACTAAATTTTTACCAAAAATATACACAAATGGGAAGAAGCATTTAAAAAGACACAAAATTACAATTTGTAGAGAAATGCATAAAAATCACAATGAAAAACAAAATCACCTATCACCCATTTAGAATGGCTACTATAAATTTTTTAAAAATACAAAATCTGTTGATGATGCAATAAAAATAAAACCATCCAGGTAGGTACAGTGGCTCACATCTTTAAACCCAGTGCTTTGGGAGGCTGAGACAGGTGAATCACCATAGGTCAGAAGTTCGAGATCAGCCCGGCCAACATGGCAAAACCCCATCTCTACTAAAAACACAAAAATTAGCCGGGCATAGTGGTGGGTGCCTGTAATCTCGGCTACCCTGAGGCTGAGGCAGGAGAATTGTTTGAACCTGGGACATGAGAACAAATCACTGCACTTCAGTCTGGGTGACAGAGTGTGACTCCATCTCAAAAAAAAATAATAATAAAAAATTACAAATTAAAAAAAAAAACCTATGTTGACTGTTGATGGAAAACAAGGAGGCCGAGGTGGGCAGATCGCCTGAGGTCATAAGTTCGAGACCAGCCTGATCAACATGGAATAACTCCATCTCTACTAAAAATACAAAATTAACCAGGCATGGTGGCACATGCCTGTAATCCCAGCTACTCAGGAAGCTGAGGCAGAAGACTCACTTGAACCCAGTGGGGCAGAGGTTGCAGTGAACTGAGAGCACGCCATTGGACTCCAGCCTAGGCGACAAGAGTGAAACTCTGTCTCCAAAAAAAAAAAAAAATTATAAATGTTTCTCAGATACTTAAAAATGAAATCATCAAATACAAAAATCTCATTTATGAATCTATATTCATAACAGAAAATGCAGGACCTGAATGACATATGAACATCCATATTTTTTGTATCAGTATGCACAAAAGCCAAAAGGCTGAAGAAACTTAGATGTCCCTTGATTTATAAATACATCAAAAAATTAATATAGATCTACAATGTAATATTATTCAGCCTTCAAATAGAAAATCTTGCCTCATTTTAAGATAAATTTTGAGAATATTATGTCACCTGAAATTAGCAAGTAATGAAATTATGGATACCATATGACTCAACTTATTTGAGATATCTTAAGTAGTCACACTCATAAAATCAGCAAGTAAAACGCTGTTTGTCAAGCGCTGAAAAGAGGGCAAAATGAGCACTTGTTACTTAATGTGTATTTAGTTTCACAGGTGTAAAATTTCTAGAAGTTTTTTGAATAACAATGTAAATATTTTTATCATGAGTGAAAAGTACTTTTTTTTTTTTAAGACAGGTTCTCACTTTGTCACCCAAGCTTAAGTACAGTGGCACAATTATGGCTCACTGTAGACTCTAACTTCAAAGCTCATGTAATCCCTCCCCCTCAATCTCCCAAAAAGCTTGTACCATGGGTGCATACCACCATGCCTGGCTATTTTCAAAAATTATTTGTAGAGAGGGAATCTCCATATATTGCCCAGACTAGTCTCAAACTTTGGCCTGAAGCAATCCACCTGTCTTGGCCTCCCAAAATCCTGGGATTACAGATGTGAGTCACCATCATGCCTGAAATGTACACTTCAATAGATTTAAGATGGTAAATTTCATGTTACATGTTTTTACAACACTAACATTAAAAAAAAACAAAAAAATACAGCATTATAAACTTTTTAAAAAATTACCCTCAAATTACAAAAGTGTTTCTCTCATACAAAGAAAATATACATTCATCATTAAACACATGGTGAAAATAGACTATTTCCATGACTACTAACTTAGAGAAGACAAAACAACCATTAAAAATTAGCTAAAAAATAATATATACAAGATAAGCTTTAACCAAAATTGGGGTCATATATTTATAAACACACACACACATATATAATATGATTGTGATAGACATTTGGTGATTGATCTCTTTTTTTTTTTTTTTCTGAGATGGAGTCTTGCTCTGTCGCCCAGGCTGGAGTGCAACGGCACGATCTGGCTCACTGCAATCTCCACTTCCCGGGTTTGAGCGATTCTCCTGCTTCAGCCTCCTGAGTAGCTGGGACTACAGGTGCGTACCACTATGCCCGGCTAATTTTTTGTATTTTTAGTAGAGACGGGGTTTCACCGTGTTAGCCAGGATGGTCTCATCTCCTGACCTTGTGATCCATCTGCCTCAGCCTCTCAAAGTGCTGGGATTGCAGGCGTGAGCCACCGTGCCCGGCCAATTAAAGCCCAATATGGGATTTAATTATCTCTTAATTAAAGCATACAGAATTGAAAATTGTCTGAAATTATAATACATAGGTAAAACCAAAAAACACAATAAACTGATGTTAAGAAACCTACACTGAAGAAATACACTAATATGAAACTGGAAAACAATAATAAGAGAAATGTTTACTCATAAAATCTGGTATGCAAGGCCAGGCACAGTGGCTCATGCCTGTAATCCCAGCACTTTGGGAGGCCGAGGCAGGCGGATCACCTGAGGTCAGAAATTCAAGACCAGCCTGACCAATATGATGAAACCCTGTCTCTACTAAAAATACAAAAATTAGCTGGGCATGATGGCAAATGCCTATAATCCCAGCTACTCAGGAGGCTGAGACAGGAGAATCGCTGGAACCTGGAGGGGCGGAGGTTGCAGTGAGCCGAGATCATGCCATTGCACTCCAGCCTGGGCAACGAGAGCAAAACTCCATTTCAAAAAAAAAAAAAATCTGGTATGCAACATTGATGCACCATTAAAGAAGAATTTGTTTAGATAACTACAATATTTGTAACTTTGTACTTCTGCATCATTGGCATGAACTGTACAGCAGTAAAATTTTAGAGAAAATGCAGTATAATCATAAATACAAGATTGTAATGAGAAACTTTTAATAAACATTTAAAAGAAACTATAGATAATTTTTATATTTTAAGTAGATGCTATACTTACAAAAAATGAAACTGCTGTAATCCAACTTTAGAGGCAAAGAATAGCCTTACAACTAAATTACATATATATATATATATATATATTTTGCAGAATACGGTTACAGCCTCTGATATATAAAACAAATATTTGGGAATAAATTATATTATTTATAATTAGGGTACAAAAGTAGGTACAAATCCTATCATTCTCTTTTACCTACAGCAAACTTAAATTTATAACTATATTAGTAAATATGGAGTGCTTACTGATTATCTAATTTACTTCAGACATAATATGTAAATTCTAGTATAATTGTCCTAAATGTCTGAATCCAAAATTACAGACAAATTTGGAAATAAAAAATAGAAACTGGGTCAGGCATGGTGGCTCATGCCTGTAATCCCAGCACTTTGAGAGGCTGAGATGGGTGGATCATTTGAGGTCAGAAGTTATAGACCAACCTGACTAACATGGTGAAATCCCATCTCTACTTAAAATACAAAAAAATTAGCCAGGTGTGATGGGGGACACCTGTAACCTCAGGTACTTGGGAGGCTGAGGCAGCAGAATCAGTTGAAACTGGGAAGTGGAGGTTGCAATGAGCTGAGACTGTGCCATTGCACTCCAGCCTGGGCAACAGAGCGAGACTCTGACGCAAAAAAAAAAAAGAAAAGAAAAGAAAAACTAAAAACTAAAAATGTATAGGGAGAGTGACAACAGTAAGATGGAAAAATAAAAGGTGCCCTACTTGCTTATCCCCACAGAGCAAGAACGTTTCTCAGCCATCCTAGACAAAAATGCCTTTATGAGAGCCAGGAGGCATCATGGCTCACACTTGCAATGACAGCTACACGGTACATTGAGGTAGGAGAATTGCTTCAGGTCAGGAATTTAAGATCAGGCTGGGTTATGTAGCAAGACCCCATCTGAAAAATAAGTTCCTTTAAAAGAGCTTTGAGATCCAGGCAGGCAGTTGTAAAACTCACATAAAGCCCAAGATTAAGGAGTTTTCTTTTTCAGAAGGCAGGCTCTCATTCAGGTGGCAAACTACGGGACCCCTGTTCTTAACTACAGACCAGAAAATGGCCCACCCAACTTGGTCCCACAGAAAATTCTGAACTTACTCTGTAAGCATCCCAAACTGCTTCCAGCCACAGTTTGGGAGAGGTCCTGTTCTTCAAAAGGCCTGGAGGAAGATACTGGTTTATAGTGATGCAGGCCTTTACTGTGGACCCTGAAGCAGTTCAATGACTGTTCCAGCTCCCTGAGCCATGGTTTATGGCCAGTTCTGCCTAACTAGAAACCCACACAGTTACCTGGGGAAATCCTCTCTGGTACTCAGTGAAAACCGCACTCATCCACAACCTGATATAAAGCCCACCATATGCAGACCCGACTGCAAAAAACTGCCCTAGTGTTCTGCCCTACAGAGGAAAGTCCAAAAATAAAATGGAAATTACAACTACCCAAGCCCCTTGTAACAAGCCAACTAAAGGCGGACCCTAGTGCAGACTCAGCAGCCTTGTGACCAAGCAACGACCCCTCTTCACTACAGGCCAGGGGTGGTGGCTCATGCCTGTAATCCCAGCAATTTGGAAGGCCGAGGCAGACAGATCACCTGAGGTCAGGAGTCTGAGACCAACCTGGCCAAACATGGCGAAACCCTGTCTCTACTAAAAATACAAAAATTAGCCAGGCATGGTGGCATGGGCCTGTAATCCCATCTACTCGGGAGGCTGAGAGAGAAGGCAGAGGTTGCAGTGAGCCGAGATTGTGCCACTGTACTCCAGCCTGGGTGACAGAGCAAGCCTCTGTCTTTAAAAAAAAAAAAAAAGCCACGGTATCCAAAGTGATCTATAAATTTAATAAACTTTCTATCAAAATTCCAGTGGGATTTTTTTCACAGTAATGGACAATGCAATTCTAAAATATACATGAAACTAGAATAAACTTTGAACAAAGCAATCTTGAGGAAAAAGAACAAAGCAAAGAAACATCATAATTCATAATTTCATATTATTTAAAGGCTACAGTAATAAAAACAGGATGAACTGTGCAGAAAATATACAAAGAAATCCAATGGAACAGAAAGCACTACTCACACATTTCAGACATGATGTAAAGAAAGAACTTAAAAAATAGTTTAATATACAGTTTCTCAAAAGTATGCAGATATTTGTGTGTCCCCCAAAAGAATGGAAAAGCAGTCAGATTGTTCAGTCTCTTAAATGTCATGAAGAGGACTTTGGCTGTCATGGTAAACTTGAAGGAAGATCACCGAAGGGAAATAAGAATCCTGAGAGAATGTAAAAGCATAAGACAGAAGATACCCTTGTGTGAAAGCAAAATGAAAAAACTCAGGCTTTCCAGAAACTCTTTCCTTTGGAACACAGCTTCCCAAGTCACATTTTAAGGACTGGCTTTCCCCTTAACCTTTGGACTTCTCATCTGTGTTTGTTGTATTCACTTTCACTCTCACCTACCTGGGGGTTTGGCTACCATTTCATGTCTCCTCATAGGCTCCCAAGGCTCTTTTTCTTGCTCCAGACAGGTGATCAGGTCTGGCTTAGAGACAGCAATACCTGTTTCAATAAAAAATAAATTACGTGAATCTTGCTCATATTCTCCCATTATTAACCTAGTAATGTGTCCAGTATGAAGGGTGTGATAGAATATCCTAATCATTAATCCCAAAATACTAATTTTTTTTTTTTTGGAGATGGAGTCTCAATCTGTCACCAAGGCTGGAGTACAGTGGTGCGATCTTGGCCCCCTGCAATCTCCACCTCCGGGATTCAAGCAATTCCAATGCCTCAGTCTCCCAAGTAGTTGGGATTACAAGCGTGTGCCACCATGCCTGATTAATTTTTGTATTTTTAGTAGAGACAGGGTTTTGCCATGTTGGTCAGGCTGGTCTCAAACTCCTGACCGGGTGATCCGCCTGCCTTGGCATCCCAAAGTGCTGGGATTACAGGCATGAGCCACCGTACCTGGCCCCAAAATACTAATTTTTAACAAAAATTTCTTCTTGTTTGAGACAGAGTCTCACTCTGTTGCCCAGTCTGGAGTGCAGTGGCACGATCTCGGCTCACTGCAACCTCCACCTCCTGGGTTCAAGCCATTCTCCTGCCTCAGGCTCCTGAGTAGCTGGGATTACTGGCATGAAACACCACACCTGGCTAATTTTTGCATTTTTAGTAGAGATGCGGTTTTGCCATGTTGGTCAGGCTGGTCTCAAACTCCTGACCTCAGGTATCTGCCTGCCTCGGCCTCCCAGAGTACCGGGATTACAGGAGTAAGCCACCATGCCTGGCCTTTAACAAAAATTTGTAAATATTTAGAAAGTATCTTATTTTGTAGGTTCTTAATTTCACTACCTGGTAATACTGAATCAAAAATTAATGTTGGCAATTAGATTTTAAGTTGTGGGCAACAGTATTTTATGCCACTTAATTTCTGGAATTACTACTAATCTGGAGTGAAAGATCAGCTCAGAAATGTGGAAAGTTCAGGTCAAGATGAAACATCTTGAAAAAAATTCTTTAGTGCGCCAACAAATCCCAATTTTTTTGAAAACAGGAATCTGAAACTCATGAATGCAAAGTATAAATTACCAAAAAAACAGTCTACAGAAAACAAAAATGAAATCTTTAGGGTATATTAGGAATTGAGTATTGAAGTTATGCTCACCCAGGAAGACCAGGTTTCTGTAGTTCTCTAACATCACATTCCTATATAAATTCTGCTGTGCAATGTCCAGGCATTGCCACTCCTCCAGACAGAATTCTATGGCCACATCCATAAATGTCAATGGTCCCTAAAAAAAACAACACATACACACACAAACACACACATTTACCAAGTGGCCACAGGCAGAATTTATAATTTGACTCAAGGTAAAATGAGAGAGTAAAGAGAACAGGTACTGACTTATAGAAGAGACTGAAATTATCCAATAAAATAATTCTTTTCATGGAATTATTCTCCAATGTATTTTCTACCCCTGAGAAAAGAAAGTGATGTAAGATCCACAACATCAGTGTATATATAATACTTTTCTGGATGATAAACTGTAAAATTAAGGGCATGAACACAAAAGTAAATTTTTGAGTTCTCTATTTGCATCATACAGAATCAGTTGCGAATATTTTTCAGATAAAGACATGTTGAGTTAGAAGGGACCTTTAAAATATTAAGGTGTACAATAAACTGAGGATCCTGTTAATGAAGATTATTTTTTCAGAAGATCTGGAATAAAGTCTGAGTTTCTAAGTTTCTAACAAGCTTACCAGTAATGCCAATGATTTTGGCCCAGAAAGACTATTTTGTCAAACATCCAGTAAATGGAAAAGTCTGTGTTTTTTTTCTAGTTTTTCTGGCAAGTAAACAAAGATAAGAGCTTTCATTTTCAAAAGACAGATAAATGCAAAGAAAACCTAAGAAAGAAGAGCAGCTGCCAGATTAAATGTGATGGTTTACGTACATCAGTTGCATAAAGATTCTTAATAATATGGCCGGGCATGGTGGCTCACACCTGTAATCCTAGCACTTTGGGAGGCTGAGGCAGGTGGATCACCTGAGGTCAGGAGTTTGAGACCAGCCTGGCCAACGTGGAGAAAACCCATCTCTACTAAAAATACAAAAATTAGCCAAGCGTGGTAGCACATGCCTGTAGTCCCAGTTACTCAAGGGGCTGAGGCAAGAGAATCGCTTGAACCCGAGAGGTGGAGGTTGCAGTGAGCTGAGATCACATCATTGCATTCCAGCCTGGGTCAAAGAGCAAGACTCCATCTCAAAATAATAATAATAATAATATATATATATAATATATACATATATATTAATATATTTTATATATATACACACACATATACATTTAAAAAAAAGACAAATGGCTGGGCATGGTGGATCACACCTATAATCCCAGCACTTTGGGAGGTCAAGGTGGGTGGATCACGAGATTAGGAGTTCGAGACAAGCCTGGCCAAGATGGTGAAACCCCGTCTGTACTAAAAATACAAAAATTAGCTGGGTGCGGTGGCGGGTGCCTGTAATCCCAGCTACTCAGGTGGTTGAGGCAGGAGATTTGCTTGAACCCAGGAGGCAGAGGTTGCAGTGAGCCAAGATGGCACCACTGCACTATAGCCTGGGTGACAGAGAAAGACTCTGTCTCAAAAAAAAAAAGAAAGAAAAAAGGAAAATAATTATTTAGGGAAAGAGTCTGTCAGAGAGCCCTTGATAATCAAGTGAATAATTAACATAAAATGTACTAGAACAAATTTTAAGATGTGCTGATGCACGCAAAAAGACACAGCATCACTGCTGTGATATTGCCCCCAAAAAGTAAATTATAATCTAAATTTAACCATAAAGAAATATCAGTTTTATGCAAAGTTCAAGATACAGATGTCTCCCATGTTCTGTAATTTTTTTTTTTTTTTTTTTTTTGAGGTGAAGTTTCTCTTGTTGCCCAGGCTGAAGTGCAATGGTGCGATCTCGGCTCACTGTAACCTCTGCCTCCCAGGTTCAAGCAATTCTCCTGCCTCAGCCTCCTGAGTAGCTAGGATTACAGGCATGTGCCACCACACCTGACTAATTTTCTTGTGTTTTTAGTAGAGATGGGTTTCATTATGTTGGTCAGGCTGGTCTCAAACTCCTGAACTCCAGTGATCCACCCACCTCGGCCTCTCAAAGTGGTGGGATTACAGGCATGAGCCACCACACCCGGCTGTAATTTTTTTTTTTTTTTTTTTTTTTTAAGATGGAGTCTCGCTCAGTCGCCCAGGCTAGAGTGCGGTGGCGCGAATCTCCGCTCACTGCAAGCTCCTCCTCCTGGGTTCATGTCATTCTCCCGCCTCAGCCTCCAGAGTAGCTGGGACTACAGGAGCCCAGCACTACGCCCTGCTATTTTTTTTGTATTTTTTTTCGTAGAGACGGGGTTTCACCGTGTTACCGCGCCTGGCCAACCAGGCTGTAATTTTTAATAGTAATTTTTAGTAGTCTATCTTTAGCACCCATAAAGCAAGTATATCCTGATAGTATTTTTCAGAACTTTCTGCTTTATAAATGTCTTCTTGTTTAAACAAGCATTTTCTGAATCCTATTCTGCATAGAGCTAATAAAAAACAGACTGAAACTCAACATTACATGTTCTCCATTTTTAGTAAGGACCCCAGTTTTCCCCAATAGAAATCTTGAGTATCCACACCTTCCCATGTTCAACAACCATGAAAGGATCATTTTTAATATTGCAGTTCATAAAGTCATGGTGAGAATTCTGCATGGCATATTAGAAGCCATGATGTAGAGAATGTAGAGAAGGCTCTGTTATATAGAAAAGAAATATTTTGCAGAGACCCTTGCCTATCATAAAAATTTAAAAAGCAGTTAAAACAAACTCATTAGGGAGGAAAAACACAAGTAGCAAAGTACAGGTTTACAAGTACTAAACACATGGCATTCCAGGAAGCAGAGTGGACACAGCTCTTGATCTGAGACATGTTTAGCTGAAAAAAAGCCATTTTTTTCTCTGTCTCTGGGAATCCTTTCCAGATGAGATTCTCTGGACAAATTACACCTGCATCTTGAGAATATGCCTTTAAAGCTGTCAGCACCACCTATTTGCCTACTACCACCACACCCACAGGCAGAAGGACCAAGACCTGCAGAAAAAGTTCACCTATTTTTGTCCTTTATAACCGAAGAGATTCAGCAAGAATGAACTGCTCCACGGAGATGCTAATATGAGTTTCACCTTTTCTATCCTCAGGTGCCCTCCTCTGCCATGGACACCAGCAATTTTTGCTACAGTAATGGAAATATGGGCCACACTGTCCTGTCCCTACCAAACCCAAACAGAACAGGCCCTGTAACCACCCTTTAGTGCAAAGTAAAACTTAACTCTTGTGTATGTATCTTGAACCTTTTATACTTGATTCTAGCCTCATTTTGGAGTCACATGAGGCACTTAATTAAAACAACATGGATGCTTCCACGCAGAATCTGAACCAAATTATAAACAGAACAATAAGCAGGCCTGACCTAAATAAGGCCTCCAAAAGGGGTGAATCTGAACAGAAAAAAAGCAGAGAGATGAACCTATGTAGAATTCTGTTCCGTGGCCGGGCGCGGTGGCTCACGCCTGTAATCCCAGCACTTTGGGAGGCCGAGGCGGGTGGATCACAAGGTCAGGAGATCGAGACCATCCTGGCTAACACAGTGAAACCCTGTCTCTACTAAAAATACAAAAAATTAGCCGGGCACGGTGGCGGGCACCTGTAGTCCCAGCTACTGGGGAGGCTGAGGGGGGAGAATGACGTGAACCCAGGAGGCGGAGCTTACAGTGAGCCGAGATCGCGCCACTGCACTCCAGCCTGGGTGACAGAGCAAGACTCCGTCTCAGAAAAAAAAAAAATAAAGAATTGTGTTCCCTATGCCACTGGGTTATTTCCTGTTCGGTTTTTCCTAAGCTTACCTAAGACAAAATTAAATTCCAGAGTTTGTGTAATTTTAATCTTTTTTAGCCGCTGCCCTGTCAATTTCATAACATATACCAATAAGCAATTTAAACAAATCCCTTAAGGTTTTCTAGGAGAATTTATTATTGTAAGATAAATATGTATTCTTAGCAAGGTAAGATGAATAGAAACAGTACTATTTTTTCAATAAACATTCCTTCAAGTGATGATATCAGAAGTCAGAACAATACAAAGAAAGTGGACAAATAAAGCCAAAGTTTTTTTTGCACACATCTACTCATTGTACCAACAATATAATGCTAAATTCAACCATGTATCCAGTTGCTAGCCTAGACTAAAAATTCCTGGATGATAGGGATGACTGCTTCATCTATTTTTTTAATGGCCATAAGAAATGGTAGAAATTAGTTTATCTGTTTGAGTCTCCAGATCTCCTGTTTTTCACCCAACTACAAGAAAACTGCAAAAACTCTCATCTGGGTACCATCTTACACAAGATGAGAAACAAGAACAGCATGACTAATTTATCCTAGACTGAGACAGAGCAGAATTAACCATTCTTGTCAGCATGACACAATTCTGTTCTGGACATTTTCAAATGTCGCAAAGATGTCTAGTTGATTGTGAGAGGATTCCAGTGACCCAGAGCTGACTGCCCAATGATAAGCCGGGCAAGAAAGAATCAGGCCTTTTTTTTTTTTTTTTTTTTTTTCGTGAGATGGAGTTTCGCTCTTGTTGCCCAGGCTGGAGTGCAATGGCACAATCTCAGCTCACTGCAACCTCCAAGCGATTCTCCTGCCTCAGCCTCCCAAGTAGCTGGGATTACAGGCATGTGCAACCACACCTGGCTAATTTTTTTTGTATTTAGTAGAGATGGGGTTACACCATGTTGGTCAGGCTGATCTCAAACTTCTAACCTCAGGTGATCCATCCATCTCGGCCTCCCAAAGTGCTGAGATTACAGGTGTGAGCCACCACATCCAGCCTCAGGCTGATTCTAAATAGAAAATAGAACTGCCTGGCCAGGCGCAGTGGCTCACGAATGTAATCCCAGCATTTGGGGAGGCTGAGGTGGGTGGATCACGAGGTCAGATCAAGACCATCCTGGCTAACACGGTGAAACCCTGTCTCTACTAAAAACACAAAACAAAAAAAAATTAGCCGGGCGTGGTGATGGGTGCCTGTAGTCCCAGCTACTCTGGAGGCTGAGGGAGAATGACATGAACCCGGGAGGCGGAGCTTGCAGTGCACCAAGATCGTGCCACTGCGCTCCAGCCCAGGGCGACAGTGAGACTCTGTCTCAAAAAAAGAAAATAGAACTGCCCTGGTAGAGCTCCAGAACCTGCATCACCTGTCCTGATTAGCTAGCTCTTAGGTAAGAAAAAAAGACAAAAATACCCTACTCCAGTATCGTATTTTATGGGTAGGTATAGCTGTGGTCATAGCTCTGGACATTTTGTGGTCTTGATCTCTCACTCCTAAGATGCTTGTTTACACTTACAGATTCTGCCATTAGATTCTATTTACACCTGGAGCCTCTCACGTAAGTGTTAGCAGGTCACTGAGCAAAATCTGAAAAGTTCAAAAAGCCACACTCTCAAAGGGGTCTTTAAGGTGTCTATGTTGATTTCTCACAATGCAGAAAATGTCTCTTGCTAATTTTCTGTACATTCTCAATCCAAAACCTGGCCCTGTCTTGTGAATCCCAGGCAGAGGCCAAACTATATGTACAGATTCTATGTTGGATCAACCTGGCTCTGCATTCTTGGGTGTTAAAGCAAGCAGGGTACAATCAAAAGAGATCCCCTCATAGAGGCTGCTGTAGCACATTTAAAATAATATGTTTACCTAAAAAAAAAAAAAAAAAAAGAAAAAAGAAAGAAAAAAGAAATCTGAGGCAACATGAATATAAGTAAATCATTTATTTGGGCCAAGCTTGAGGATTATAACCTGGGAGCAATGATTCAAGTTGTCTGGAATGTAAACTTTAGCAGCAGTTACAAGTAGATTTGTAAAGGCAAAAAAGAGGGGCAGAGAGTGGACTGGTACAAAGTTGTTTGTCAGCCACTTAGGCTGGGCACGGTGGCTCATGCCTGTAATCCTAGAACTCTGGGAGGCCAAGGCAGCTGGATCACCTGAGGACAGGAGTTTGAGACCAGCCTGGCCAACACAGTAAAACCCTGTTTCTACTAATACAAAAAATTAGCCGGGCATGTTGGCATATGCTTGTAATCCCAGCTACTCGGGAGGCTAAGGCAGGAGAACTGCTTGAACTTGGGAAGTGGGGGTTGCAGTGAGCCTAGATTGCACCATTGTACTCCAGCCTGGGCAACAAGAGTGAAACTGTCTCAAAAATCAAACAACCCAACCAACCAAAAAAAAAAGTTGTCAGGAAGTCTTATTTATTTACAGAAATAACACTGATTATTGATTGGATATACATTGTTAAGGTTTAAGGTATGGGTTATAGTGTCCAGTGTGACATTATTAGTTTAGTTTATAGCTACTTGTGGCAATAGCAAATAGTTTCAAGAGATAAATACATAGTTCAAAGGGAGGAGAAAGAAATAATTGTGTTCTCATTTTAATGTCTCTGAGTTTGAAAAAAGGACTTGCATTTCTCAGATTAAAGTTTTTTTTTATTTCTCAAATCTCAAAACCCAGAATCAGAATTTGGGGCTGCAGATTTAGTGGAGCTAAATCTGGTGGTGTGGCAGCAGGTTTCACCTACACAGTTTAGGGCATTTTTAGCAAGAGGAAGAAAGTGGAGATCCTCATGTCCTCATGTCTACTCAATGCACACGTTACTTTGATCGGGTTTCTGGGCCCCATGGTCTGTGAATCACTTTCAGGTCTGAGGATACAAGAGTCATTGAAAAAGGTAAAATAGCCTGGGTCAGTGGCTCACGCCTGTAATCCCAGCACTGTGGGAGGCCAAGGCAGGTGGATCAGGAGGTCAAGAGATCAAGACCAATCCAGCCAATATGGTGAAACTTCGTCTACTAAAAATACAAAAATTAGCTGGGCATGGTGGAACTCACCTGTAGTCCCAGCTACTTGGGAGGCTGAGGCAGAAGAATCGCTTAAACCCGAGAGGCAGAGGTTGCAGTAGGCCGAGATGGTGCCACTGCACTCCAGCCTGGGCAACAGAGCAAGACTCCATCTCAAAAAAATAAAAAATAATAAATGAAGAGGTAAATGGTTGGTTCCTTCTCTGTGAAGTTTGTAGAAATTTTGTCTATCCTTTCTAGAAGCGACTACAGTTAATTACATATACCAAATAGGCAAAAAAACAATTCCACCTGCATATTTAGGGGACATCATACACTTTGCAGCACAATTGTGAATAGATGGGAAGCCTGAAAGAAAAAGTTTCCTCTAGATTAAAGGTTAGTTGGCACCTTATGTGTTTATATTATGTCTGGTAATTCAAGACAGTGTTTGGAAATGGAATTTAAAAAAAATTTCTGCAGCCCCAGAGAAACTCCAAAATGATAGAACAGAAATAAAATTGTTTATTACACAATTAAACCAGAATGTGAGCAGCATGACAGTAAATCTGCTTAAGAGATTGCAAAGACAGAAAGAGAGTTCAGCAGGCTCACTAAGCCTGAGCAGTGATTCAGGCTCAGTTTCTACTTACAATGGTGACATGGAAAAAATACTGCTGGGTTTGGCTGAGTGCAGTGGCTCACACCTGTAATCCCAGCACTTTGGGAAGGAGGCAGGCAGATCACCAGGTCAAGAGATCGAGACCATCCTGGCCAACATGGTGAAACCCCATCTATACTAAAAATAGGTAAATTAGCTGGGTGTGGTGGTGCATACCTGTACTCCAAGCTACTAAGGAGGCTGAGGCAGGGGAATCACTTGAAACCAGGAGGCGGAGGTTGCAGTGAGCCGAGATCGCGCCACTGCACTCCAGCCTGGCGACAGAGTGAGACTCTTTGTCTCCAAAAAAAAAAAACTGTTGGGTTTTCAGCATGAGTTCAGATGATGATAACTCCGAGAGTTTTCATCGTGCATTCACAGGCACCATGGGACACTAACAGAGCTTCTGAAACAGACACCCAAAGCATTAGAAAGAAAAACAGCTCTCCATTTGAGTAACACTGTATTGAGAAAAAAAAAAAGAAGTTCAAAGCATCTTAAGAAAAAACTTAGATTAGATGAAAGATTGATCAAGTCAACCAAAAATACTCCCCTTAAACAAATTTCTCTCTAAACGAAGTGCACAGCTACTCTCAGCACAAGAAACATGAGCATTATGAAAAAAATATATATTCTCAGCAGAATTTTCTAAGGTTTCTCTTCCATGTCTGCTGCTGTCTCATCTCCTAGCCATTGGATGGGAGTTCCATATTGGAATACATCTCACAATTTCCACATGCACCTTTTGATGAAGAATTGAAATCTTGAGTTTATTCATATAGTGTAATATATTCAAGCTTGCAACACTGCTAACTGAAGAGCTACTATGTGGTTTTTTTTTTTTTGAAATGAAGTTTCCCTCTTGTTGCCCAGGCTGGAGTTCAATGGTGCGATCTTGGCTCACTGCAACCTCCGCCTCCCAGGTTTAAGTGATTCTCCTGCCTCAGCCTCCCAAGTAGCTGGGATTACAGGCATGCACCACCATACCTGGCTAATTTTTCTATTTTTGGCAGAGACAGGGTTTCTCCATGTTGGTCAAGCAGGTCTTGAATTCCCAACCTCAAGTGATCCACCCACCTTGGCCTCCCAAAGTGCTGGG
Source organism: Homo sapiens (assembly GCF_000001405.40). Lineage (NCBI taxonomy): Eukaryota > Metazoa > Chordata > Mammalia > Primates > Hominidae > Homo > Homo sapiens. The sequence continues at coordinate 21,827,633 of NC_000019.10, forward strand.
ATTACAGGTGTGAGCTACTGCGCCTGGCCATTTTTTTTTTTTTTTTGAGATGGAGTTGAGCTTTTGTTTCCCAGGCTGGAGTGCAATGGCACAATCTCGGCTCACTGCAACCTCCGCCTCCCAGGTTCAAGCAATTCTCCTGTCTCAGCCTCCCAAGTAGCTAGGATTACAGGCATGCACCACAATGTATGGCTAATTTTGTATTTTTAGTAAAGTTGGAGTTTCTCCATGTTGGTCAGACTGGCCTTGAAATCCCAACCTCAGGTGATCCACCCGCCTCAGCCTTCCAAAGTGCTGGGATTACAGGCGTAAGGCACCGTACCCAGCCTCTGAAGAGCTACTATATTTTTTGAGTGGCCACCTGACCTGTTTTTATCTGTCCTGTAATAGCAGCATTCCAATTTAGTTAAATGAAAGACACTAAAATTAAGCTTCCCTGTAATTATCCATATTGGATAAATTAATAAGCATGTCAGACTAATATCTATTGTAACAATTTGGTAGTGACTTTTCTTTGGATATTAGATATAAATATCTAAGTATAACCAACTTTAATGTACTAGTCATAATGTATGTAGTATTCTAAAAAATTGTTTGTAACCATATTTCAGTTAAAACTACTTTATATTTCAAAGTATGAGTAAGAATATTAAAATAACTATTTAGGCTAGGCATGGTGATTCATGCCTGTAATCCCAGCACTTTGGGAGGCCAAGGCGGGCATACCACAAGGTCAGGAGATTGAGACCATCCTGGCTAACACGGTGAAACCCCATCTCTCATAAAAATACAAAAAATTAGGCCAGGCGCGGTGGCTCATGCCTGTAATCCCAATACTTTGGGAAGCTGAGGCGGGTGGATCACCTGAGGTCAGGAGTTCGAGACCAGCCTGACCAACATGGAGAAACCCTGTCTCTACTCTAAAAGTACAAAATTTAGCCAGGCATGGTGGCACATGCCTGTAACCCCAGCTACTCAGGAGGCTGAGGCAGGAGAATCACTTGAACCCAGTAGGCGGAGGTTGCAGTAAGCTGAGATCATGCCATTGTACTCCAGCCTGGGCAACAGGAGTGAAACTCCGTCTCAAAAAAAGTAAATTTAAGGAAAAAAAAAAAATACAGCCGGACGCGGTGGCTCACGCCTGTAATCCCAGCACTTTGGGAGGCCGCAGCGAGCAGATCACGAGGTCAGGAGATCGAGACCATCCTGGCTAACACGGTGAAACCCCGTCTCTACTAAAAATACAAAAAAATAGCCGGGTGCCCTGGCGGGCGCCTATACTCCCAGCTACTTGGGAGGCTGAGCCAGGAGAATGGCGTGAACCAGGGAGGCGGAGATCGCAGTGAGCCAAAATGGCGCCACTGCACTCCAGCCTGGGCGAAAGAGAGAGACTCTGTCTCAAAAAAAAAAAAAAAAAAAAAAAAAAAAAAAAATTAGCCGGACGTGGTGGCACGTGCCTGTAGTCCCAGCTACTCCAGCTACTCAGGAGGCTAAGGCAGGAGAATCGCTTGAACCCATGAGGCAGAGGTCACAGTGAACCGAGATCGTGCCACTGCACTCGAGCCTGGGTGACAGAGTGAGACTCCATCACAAAGGAAAAAAAAACAAAAAACACCACACACAAAAAAAACTACACAGACTCCAAGGTTGAGTTTACACACTGAACTGTTCTTGCTTTTGCAGTGTAAGTACTTCAGCCTGCAAATATTAGATTACCTTGGATTATCAGTTTTCTGTCAAAGAAATTTATTCAGTATTTTTTAGTTTTTACCATTCTGTATTTCTAAATTTAATTCGTTCTTCGTACTAAACTTCTGTGTGCTCTTAAAATGAGCTTTAATCTAAACAAATCTGTGTCTACTTTAAAAGACTAAAAAAAAAATTAAATTTTCCCAAATCAAGGATAAGCAATGAATCTGAGGTCTTAAATAAAGACAATCTTGAGTCAAAAGAATGCCAAAAGATTTGGCTGTTAATATGATTTAAATATATTTCAAAAAAGCAATAAAAATATCTCCATATAATCTAAATGCTTTAAGATAAAAGAGTTGAACAAGATAGTCTCTCTTATTTTCAGGTAGGATAATAAAGCCTCTGATTTATATTTTCTTTTACAACAGCCAGGTCTCTGGACATATTGAACTCTTGAACATCTGAATTTCAGTAGACATTGGATTCATTGAGCTCCGTCTCAAAAAACAAAAAAACACAAAACCTGACATCATAAAAGAACAAGAGAAGAAAAAGCAAACTGACCTCTAAGCTAACAGAGGACAAGAAATGAAAATCAGATCTGAACTGGAGAGTTAGACAAAAAAATGATAAAAATATGGAGAAGGCTGGGTGCAGTGGCTCACCCCTGTAATCGCAGCATTTTGGGAGGCCGAGGTGGGCAGATCACTTGAGGTCTGGAGTTCGAGACCAGCCTGGCAAAATAGTGAAACCCGGTCTCTACTAAAAATACAAAAATTGGCCATGTGTATTGGTGGGCACCTGTAATCCCAGCTACTCAGGAGGCTGAGGCAGGAGAATTGCTTGAACCAGGGAGGCGGAGGTTGCAGTGAGGCGGAGGTTGCAGTGAGGCAAGGTTGTGCCACTGCACTCCAGCCTGGGCAATAGAGAGAGATTCTGTTTCAAAAACAAAATGAAAAAAAAAAACAAAACAAAAAACAAACAAACAAACAAAAAAAGAAATCCAGGAGTAAAATCTTTGAAAGAATTAATAAGATAAATAGCACTCTAGAGAGATTAATGAAGAAAGAGAAGATCCAAATAAACACGATTAGAAATGACAAAATGGCCATTAACACTGACCCAACAACAACAAAATAATTATTCAAGTCTGTAACGAACACCTCTATGTAAACAAACCGGAAAATCTAGAATAGATCAATTCCTAGACACGTACATCCTCCAAAGACTGAAAAAAAAAAAAAAAGTATCCCTGAAGAGACCAACAAGATTCAAAATTGAAGTATAATAAATAGCCTAGAAACCAATAAAAAACCAGAATCAGACATATTCACAAAAGAATTCTACCAGATGTACAAAAAAAAAAAAGCTGATACCATTCTTACTAGAGCCATTCCAAAAAATTGAGAAGGAACTCTTCCCCAACTCATTACATAATAGCATTATTCTGATACCAAAACCTGGTATAAAACAAAAAAAGAAAACTTCATGCCAATGATCTTAATAAAAAATGATGGAAAAATTCTCAACAAAATACTGGCAAACTGAATCCAGCAGCACATCAAAAAGCTAATCTACTATGATCAAGTAGCCTATATCCCTGGGATGCAAGGTTATTTCAACATACACAAATCAATAAATGTGATTAATCACATAAACAGAACTAAAGACCAAAACCACAAGATTATCTCAATAGATGCAGAAAAATCTTTCAAGAAAATTTAACATTCTTCATGTTAAAACCCTCAACGAACTAGGCATTAAAGGTACATACTTCAAAATAATGAGTTATCTGTCACAAACTCAAAGCCAATACACTGAATGGACACACAGAAGTTGGAAGCATTTCTCTTTGAAAACTGGCACAAGACAAAGATGCCTTCTCTCATCACTCCTATTCAACATAGCATTGGAAATACTGGACAGAGCAATCAGGCAAGATAAAGAGAAAGAAAGTCAGACTACTCTTGTTTGCAGGTAGCATGATTCTACACCTAGAAAACCCTATAGCCTCAGCAGAAAATTTTTTTTTTTTAATTTTTATTTTATTTTTTTGAGACGGTGTCTTGCTCTGTCACCCAAGCTGGAGTGCAGTGGCACAATCTCAGCTCACTGAAACCTCCACCTCCTGGTTTCAAGCAATTCTCCAGCCTCAGCCTCCTGAGTAGCTGGGATTACAAGCCACACAACAACGCCTAGCTAATTTTTGTAATTTTAGTAGAGACAGGGTTTCATCATGTTGGCCAGGCTGACCTCGAACTCCTGACCTTGTGATCCGCCCACCTCGGCCTCCCAAAATTGCTGGGATTACAGGCATGAACCACCACGCCCGGCTCCAGAAAAGCTTTTAAACTGACAAACAACTTCAGCAAAGTTTTAGAATACAAAATAAATGCACAAAAATCAGTAACATCTCTGTACATCAACAATATTGAAGCCAAAAGCCAAATCAAAAACAATCCTATTTGCCACAAAAAGAATCAAATATCCAGAAATATAGCTAACCAGGGAGGTGAAAGATCTCTATGACAAGAATTTTAAAACTGCTTCAAAAAGTAAGAGATGATACAAACAAATGGAAAACCCGTTTATGCTCATGAATAGAAAAGGTATCATTAAAATGGCCAAACTGCCCAAAGAAATGTACAGACTTAATTCTGTTTCTGCCAAACTACCAAAAACATTCTTAACGGGACTAAAAATAACTATTTTAAAATAAATGTGGAACTAAAAGAGAGCCTAAATACCCAAGGCATTCCTAAACAAAAAGAACAAAACTGGAAGCAGTACATTACCTGACTTCAAACTATACCACAGGGCTACAGTAACCAAAGCAGCATGGTACTGTTATAGAAACAAACTCATAGACAAATGCAACAGAATAGAGAGCCCAGAAATAATGCCACACACCTACAACCATCTGATCTTCAACAAAGCTTACAAGAGAAATGTAAAAAAAAATTTCTATTTAATAAATTTGCTAAAATAACTAGCTAATACTACGTAGAAAACTGAAACTGGATGCTTTTCTTACACCATATACAAAAATCAACTCAAAGTGAATTAAAGTCTTAAACTTAAAATGTAAAATTATTTTTAAAAAAACTTTGGAAGGTACCTAGGAAATCATTCTAGACATAAGAACCAGAAGATTTCATGATGGAGATACCAAAAGCAATTGCAACAAAAGGAAAAATTGACAAATGGGACCTAATTAAACTACAGAGCTTCTGCACAGCAAAGAAAACTATGAACAGACTAACTAAACAAGACAACCAGCCAGGCGCAGTGGCTCACTTTAGGAGGCCAAGGCAGGCAGATAACAAGGTCAGGAGTTCGAGACCAGCCGGGCCAATATGGTGAAACCCCATCTCTACCAAAAATACAAAAATTAGCTGGGCGTGGTGGCACACGCCTGTAATCCCAGCTACTCAGGAGGCTGAGGGAGAAGAATTGCTTCAACCTGGGAGATGGAGGGTGCAGTGAGCCGAGATTGTGCCACTGCACTCTAGTGGGGCAACAGAGTGAGACTCCATGTCAATTGAAAAAAAAAAATTATGTGGTAAACAATTAGTCATATGAAAACACTTCTAGGAGGTACCAAGTTTCATCTCATAAAATTTAGCATTAAACTCAGAAATCAAGATGATAGGATATAGAATACAGATAATCACCTCTACAAATTTACCCTGCAAAGAGAGTAACTGATGTTTTTATGAATCTGTGTAACTCACCACTTATATACCACGTTTTCTTATAAAAATGTATTAATTTTGTACAGCCAAATAAAATAGATTTTCCCTATTCTTTTCCTTGGTAGCATTCTAAAAGCTAAGCCTTGGAATTCTGTTGAAAATCACCCAGCCATAAAATAAAAGACACCTGAGAAGATTCCTAAACTCACTCTGGGAAAGAGAAAGGTAAATGATAATTTTTATTTTATTTTATTTATTTATTTTTTAAACAGAGTTTCCCTCTTGTCGCCCAGGCTGAGTACAATGGCGCGACCTCAGCTCACTGCAACCTCGGCCTCCCAGGTTCAAGCGATTCTCCTGCCTCTGCCTCCCGAAGTAGCTGGGATTACAGGCGCCTGCCCCTGCACCCAGCTAATTTTTTTGTATTTTTAGTTGAGACGGGATTTCACCATGTTGGCCAGGCTGGTCTTGAACTCCTGACCTCAGGTGATTCACCCACCTCGGCCTCCCAAAGTGTTGGGATTATAGGCATGAGCCACTACACCCAGGCTGTGACACTGTAGCACACATAGCCATGGTGGTTATCTTGGTTTATCCCTAGACAGTACTGAAACCCAGGATCAGAAAAAAAAAACAAAAACAACAAAATGAAGTGTGGCTGAGGAAAAATCACCCACATTTTTCGAAAGGAAAAACTTGACCTAAAAACATTCTGAAAAAGTCTCTGGCTGGGTGTGGTGGCTCATGCCTATAATCTCAGCACTTTGGGAGGCCGAGGCAGGTGGATCTCCTGAGGTCGGCAGTTTGAGAACAGCGTGACCAACATGGGGAAACCCTGTCTCTACTAAAAATGCAAAATTAGCCAGGCGTGGTAGTGCATCCCTGTAGTCCTAGCTACTCGGGAGGCTGAGTCAGCAGAATCGCTTGAACCCAGGAGGCAGAGGTTGCAGTGAGCTGAGATGGCTCCACTGCAGTCAAGCCTAGGCAACAAGAGCTAAACTCCATCTTAAGGCGGGGCGGGGGAAAAAAAAGAGTCCTGTGCCTAGGGAAAACAAAAAGAAAAAAGAGGCCAGGCATGGTGGCGGAGGCGGGTGGATCATCTGAGGTTAGGAGTTCGAGACCAGCCTGGTCAACATGGAAAAACCTTGTCTCTAACAAAAATACAAAAATTAGCTGGGAATGGTGGTAGGTGCCGGTAGTTCCAGCTACTGGAGTGGCTGAAGCAAAAGAATCACTTGAATCAGGGAGGCAGAGGTTGCAGTGAGCAGAGATCACATCACTGCACTCCAGACTGGGCAGCAAAGCAACACTGTCTCAAAAAAAAAAAAAAAAAAGTAAAGAAAAAAAGAAAAGGAAAAGAGGCACAGAGATTTTTATTTTTTACAAACAGTGTAAGGGGATTATTTTTTGCTTTCTTTTCAATATGGAAAATATTTTCAAATAGAAAACAAAATTTAGGCCGGACTCGGTGGCTCACGCCTGTAATCCTTGCACTTTGGGAGGCCAAGGCGGGTGGATCACAAGGTCAGGAGTTCGAAACCAGCTTGGCCAACAAGGTGAAACCCTGTCTCAACTAAAAATACAAAAAAATTAACCAGGCACGGTGGCAGGTGCCTGTAATTCCAGCTACTCGGGAGGCTGAGGCAGGAGAATCGGTTGAACCCGGGAGGTTGCAATGAGCTGAGATTGCACCATTGCACTCCAGCCTGGGAAACAAAGCGAGAGGAAGGATGGAAGCAAGGATGGAAAGATGGAAGGAAGGAAGGAAGGAAGGAAAGAAAGAAGAAGGAAAGAAGAAAGGAAAATTTATTTAAGTCCATCCAATGATTTTTCAAAAAATAATTAAAATATCTGTATCAAAAATATACAGATATCTAAAATATCTTTATCTAAAACGTATCTCTGTATCTAAAATGTACACTAAAAAAAAAAAAAAAATAGCCCGGCTCGGTGGCTATTTTTAAGTGCTGTAATCCTAGCACTTTGGGAGGCTGAGGCGGGTGGATCATCTGAGCTCAGGAGTTCGAGACCACCTGGCCAATATAGTGAAATCCCGTCTTTACTAAAAATACAAAAAAAATTAGCTGGGTGTGGTGGCAGGCACCTGTAATCCCAGCTACTAAGGAGGCTGAGGCAAGAAAATCGCTTGAATCCGGGAGACGGAGGTTGCAGGGAGCCGAGATAGCACCATTGCACTCCAGCCTGGGCAGCAAAAGCGAAAGTCCATCTCAAAAAAAAAAAAAAAAAGAAAAAAAAGAAAAAATAGTTGATAACGTGAATTGCGGAGAAGAAGGTGGCATTTGGGAATGTCAGAAATAAAGGAAAATCTAGTTTAGTTTTTTTTTTTTTTTTTTTCCAGAGGGAGTTTCACTCTGTGGCCCAGGCTGGAGTGCAATGGCGCGATCTCGGCTCACTGCATCCTCCGCCTCCTGGGTTCAAGCGATTTTCCTGTCTCAGCCTCCCTAGTAGCTGCGATTACAGGCGCGCGCCACCACGCCCAGCTAATTTTTGTATTTTTAGTATAGACGGGGTTCACCATATTAGCCAGGCTGCTCTCGAACTCCTCACCTCGTCATCCACCCACCTCGACCTCCCAAAGTGCTGGGATTAAAGGCGTGACCCACCGCGCCCGGCCGACTCTCCTGTTTCTAATAGACCAAAAGAGGGACTAGAAATGCCACGGACCAAAGCTCTTCCTATTCATGAAACTGCATCACGAGTCAGGATTCTCTCCTGACGACCCTCCTGTGGCCCCTGCACAATTTGGGAGAGACGCCGCGTTGCGGCTGCAGAGCTGCCCACAGAGGGCTGCAGGCCGGGACACAGTCACTGCGCAGAGAAGAGACAGGACGCCCGGGGCTGCCTCCCAGAGCAGCCGCCATCTTATGGCTGAAGGGGATTGAGGCCGAGCTGGGCAAGAACTCCGGCACGCGCAGATTGTGGAGCTGACTGCGGGAAGGCCTGAGTCACGCCACAGCCCCTTCCCCCTCTCGGGATGTCGGACCGGCACTCTCACCATTTCTAGGCTTCCGGGGGGTCCTGGCGTCTTAGCTGTGGATCCCCCAATACCCGCAGGTCACAGAGCCACAGAGGCTGGACCTCTAGCAGCAGAGGACACAGAAGAACGAAGACGAGACGCAGAGCTCCAACTGCAGCCAGAGACAAAGGCCCCGCCACATCCCGGAAGCCGCCCTGTCCTCTCCTGCCCCGTGCCTGATTGGACGGTTTCCAGCCCAGCGTCCCTGATTGGATAACTTCTAAGGTCCTGCCCCCGCAAACCCTGAATGAAAGATGTGATCAGACGCTGGGCTGAAAGAAGAAAGAATGACAGCCTAGGCTGCCGCCTTTTCAGGCAGGGCTTCCTCCCTGAGCAGAGCAGGCCCAACCCAGAGGGTATTTGCCTTTAACCTTGTGTATAAGGTCATCTTCACTTATAAGTAATATACTATATGGATACTAAAAAATGAAAACAATTGTTTTTGAATTTCAGCTTTTATGACCTTCCTGGCTTCTGGCCCTTTGAGTAGGAAGTATTACAAACATTGAATATTTTATTATTTATCCTCTGTGGGGTTTTTCTTATTCTTGAGAGGGAGTCTCTGTTACCCAGGCTGGAGTGCAGGGTCATGACTGCAGCTCACTGCAGCCTCAGCAATCTAGGCTTGAGCAATTTACCTGTCTCAGCCTTCTGAGTAGCTGGGACCACTGGCATGTGGCCCCATGCTCAGCTAATTTGTTATCATATTTTTATTTGTAGAGATGAAGCCTCACTAGATAGCCCAGAATGGTCTCAAACTCTTGGGCTCAATGAATCCTACAAAGTCAGCCTCCCAAAGTACTGGGATTATAGGCATGAACCATCACATTCAGACTGAATTATTTTATCAAAAAATTTTTTTAAAGCATTGAGGTCCATTAATAGAATTCAAGGAAATGTTATGCACATGTTTTAAAAGCAAATTAAAAAGCATATACAAAAAGAGAACATTTTTTAAAAAACTAAATATAGGTAATGTTACCAGAAAAAGTTTAGATCTCCTGACTTTAAGTTGCAGTATGCTAATGGAATATTCTTAGTGGATAGTATTCCATTTTCATAAGAAATTCAAAACAAGATAATTTCCAGGTTTTAGAAACTGATGTAAAACATAAAAATATAGAAAATCTCTAATGTGTTCCCATGATATAGTATTACTTGAAATATAAACTGGGCAAACTCAGCAAAAGACAATTTAATCTCAAATTTCAAAATAGGTACAGAAGTTCTAATGGAATAATAAATGGAATCCAGGATTTTATTCATAAAAAGGCTAAAAAGTGACCATTCTCTGTGATTTTGAAAGTAGGAATTTGTGTAAACAGATGTGTATTTGCATCTACATTTGCCTACACTTACTTTTTTTTTTTTTTTTTTTTTTTTTTTGAGACGGAGTCTTGCTCTGTCGACCAGGCTGGAGTGCAGTGGCACAATCTCGGCTCACTGCAACCTCCGCCTCCCAGGTTCAAGCGATTCTCCTGACTCAGCCTACCAAGTAGCTGGGGATACAGGTGCATGACCCCATGCCCAGCTAATTTTTTTATGATATATTCATTTATTCAGATTACTCGATAATTAAAAATTATATTTTCTATGAATACCAGCTAATTTTTTGTATTTTTAGTAGAGACAGGGTTTCACCCTGTTAGCCAGGATGTCTCCTGACCTGGTGAACTGCTCGCCTTAGCCTCCCAAAGTGCTGGGATTACAGGTGTGAGCCACCATGCCCAGCAGCTTTTAAACATTTTAGGAAAGCATGAGACATCAATCAATATGTATAAGATCTTCCTTCCCTACCTTTTTCCTTCTCCACCTCCTCCTTCCTCTCTCTCTTTCTTGGTTTGATCCAGTAATGCAGGACAACTTGAGGTGAGGGCTTCCAGGTCATAAGTAAATAAGAGATAAAAGTCTGGATTCTTGAGTCCTTGATAAGCATTCAACTGAATACAATTTAGTCTGGCTCAGTGAACCTGCATATCTAAATTAACAGCAGTGCAGAGGAAGCAATCAGATGTGCATTTGTCTCAGGCGAGGCTCAGAGAAATGACTCTGAGTTCTGTCTGTCTTTGGTTCTCAAGGAATTTCCTTGTTGGCTAATTGTAAAGAAAGTATGTAGCTTTTTTATCTTTGTAGCTATCTTATTTAGAAATAAAATGGGAGGCAGATTTGCCTGACATAGTTCTCAACTTGACTTTTCTAGTGGCTTAGTAATTTTGGCATCAAGAGATTTATTTTCCTTTAGCAGTGGAAACCTCTTTCATTATCAAGTGTAGAGGTTAATAAAAAAAACTCATAAACACAAATATAATTATTGCTACATCTTTCAGAATAGCCCATTCTAAATTTTTTTTTTTTTTTTTGGAGATACAGTCTCGCTCTATTACCCAGGCTGGAGTGCAGTGGTGCAATCTCAGCTCACTGCAACCTCCGCCTCCTGGGTTCAAGCAATTCCCCTGCCTCAGCCTCCCGAGTAGCTGGGATTACAGATGTGCGCTACCACACCTGGCTAATTTTTGTATTTTTAGTAGAGACGGGGTTTCCCCATGTTGGCCAGGCTGGTCTCAAACTCCTGACCTCAGGTGATTCGCCCGCCTTGGCCTCCCAACGTGCTGGGATTACAGGAGTAAGCCACCGCACCCAGGGTAGAATAGCCCATCCTAATTTAATTCTCATTTACTCTAGACTTTTTTCATAATTTTATAGTGGATCTTAATGTTGGAGGCATTCAAACCAGAGCAACTCAATCTTGAATAGCAGCTGTGTGAAATATGCTGAAACCTACTTGGCTGCCTCCCCAGGTTAGGCATTCTTAGTCACAGGATGAGATAGGAGGTCAGCACAAGATAAACAAGATACACTGCACTTAGAAATTTGTCGTAATCTTCTCTGTTAGCAGGGTGCAGGCAGAAACACAGAATCACATATTTAGATCATGGATGCAGAGATATGTCACAAAGCTCCTGTGGTTAGGGTCAAGAAAGGAGCTTCCCACCCCCTAGATGTTGGTCTCAGCAATATATCACAATACCCAAATTATGTGAGACCCAGGCAAAAAGGAGAGTCACATCACCTAGGTGCTGGGTCCAGTGATATTTCACAATTATCCTTTGTAGCAGGTTCTAGTCAAAAAAGGAGAGTCACAACATTTAAGTGATGAAGAAAAAAGAATATGTCATAATACCTTTCTGAACAGAGCCCATTCAGGAGACTCATAATACCTAGGTGTTGGACCCAGCCATATATATCACAATACAAAATGTATGCAGAGATCAGGCAAAAAAAAAAAAAAAAAAAAAAAAAGAGATCACATAACCTAAGAGCTGGGCCCAGCTACATATCACAAGCACCCCAGTGGACAAGGCCAAAACATGAGAGAAGAGTCACATCACATAAGTGCTTGACTAAGCGATATGTTACAGTCCAAACTGTGAACACATCCCAGGAATAAGAGGAGTCACATCATCTAAGTAATGGGCCCAGAGATATGTCAAAGTAACTCCTGTGGAGAGGAACCAGGCAGAAGAATCACATAGCCTGTGTGCTAATCGCAGCAATAAGTCACTCTCTTTTATGGGAGCATGGCCATAGCAGGAAAGAAGGGTCAAATTATTTGGTTTCTGGGCTCAAATATATGTCACAATCTCTCCTATAGGGAAAAGCCAAGTAAGAAAGTCACATTATATGGATGATGGGTTCACAAATATGTCACTATGCCCACTATGGGCAGGGTTCAGGCAGGAGGCTCACATTACCTTAGTTCTGGGCCAAACAATATGTCACAATGCCTGATGAGGAAAGTGCTGAGGAAAAACGTAACTTCATTTTTGGTGTTTAGCCCAGCAGTATGTCAAAATCTACATTGTGAGCTGAATGTAGGTAGAAAAAGAAGCATCACAACAGCTAGGTGCTGGCCCAGTGATAGGTAACAATTCTTTCTGTAAGCAGCAACCTGGTAGAAAGAGAGTCACATTACTTGGGTGATGGATGCAGATAGATTATAATGCTTCCTGCAAGCAGGATCCAGCAAGGAAAGTTACATCACCTGGATGTTGCACATAGCAATGTCACAATGGCCCATGAAGATAGGGCACAGGCAGAAGAGTCACATAACCAGGGTGTGGGGTCCAGTGATATGTCACAATGCCCCCCTGTGGGCAGTGCTGAGGCAAAAGTACAGAGTCACACCACCTAGATGTTGGATTCAGCAATGTGTCACAATCCGATCTGTGCACTAGGCACCAGGCAGGAGAGTCAAATCACTCAGGTGCTGGGCAAAGGTGTATGTTACAATCACAGTCACAAAAAAATGTAGGAATGAACAATCCCACACATCCCATTTCTTAGTATTAGAGTCAACACATGTTGTATGTTGAGTCCAAGTACACAAGTCACAATCTCAACGGTGGACTGGATACATCCATGAGAGCCTCAATCTTTGCCGTGGACTGTGTCCCCTTAGTGGAGTCACAGCCTCACAGGTATGCTGAATCTTGGTTTGAGAGTCACCAGCCCACGTGTGAACCGAATCCACGTTTGAGAGTCAATTTTCCAACCACCTCCAGGTGTGAGATTCAGAACTTCAACAGTGAGCTGTGTTCATGTGGAAAGTTGTCAATTTTCACTGTTGGCTGGGTTTGCATACGAGTGTCACAATGTCACCTGGGTGCTAGGCCCTGTTATAGAACTCTCTATACTACCTGAGGGCTTTATACAATATCCATGATGGTCACAATTTGCTCTGAGACTTTTTTTTCTAATACAAACTCATAATCATACCTGTGGACCTAGGCTCATGCATTAGAGTCAACATCTCTCCAATTGGCTGGGTCTAGAGAAAAGAGTTCTCACCTGCCTATGAGCTAGGTTTAGAAATGAGTCACCATCTTAACTGTTGTCACATGATTACATATGACAGTCACAATTTTTACTGTGGACTCCATTCACGTGTGAAATTCGTGTGAGGGTGACAATGCTAACATTTGGTAGGTTGTGCATTTGAGAAACAGTCTCACCTGTGTGCTTGGCCCTATGATAACACTCTCTGTACCGTCCAAAGACTTTATACAAAATGTGAAAGAATGGTAATCCAGGACTTTACCTGTTTCTCTAAGTCTAGCTACCAGCACCAGTATCTCTGCTATGGACTGGTTTGTGGTATGAGTATCATCATCGCAACTGTGAACTGGGCTAAAGTGTATGTCACAATCTAACCTGTGAGTAGAAAGTAAATGGGAGAGTAACATCACCTGCATGCTGAGTCGGAAATATGTCACAATTTTTCAGGACAAGGACCAGGCAGGAGAGTCATATTACCTGGTTGCCTGTCCAGGGTTATGTTACAATTCCTTCTCGAAAGCAAGGCACAGACAACAAAGTCACGTTACTTGGTACTGGACCCAGCTATGTCACAATTCTCTCTGCAGGCAAGGCCTGGGCACAAGAAACACAGCACCTGGTTGCTGAACCCAGAGATGCAACACAATCTTTCTCTGGGCATGGTGCAGATGGAAGAGGAGAGTCACACCTCCAAAGTAATGGATGCACAGATATGTCACAAGGTGCTTCCCACAGACAGGGCCCAGGCAAGAGCTCTTTACCCATTTGGTTTGAGCCACTGATGTGTCATAATACCCACAATACAAGGGGCCCAGGTTAAAGAGAGTGATATCACCTAGATACAGAGTCCAGTGATATGTCACAATCCTCCCCTTTTACAGGGTTCAGGTAGAAGTTACATCACTTAGGTGATAAACAAATGACATGTCATAATTCCTCTATTAGCAGGTGAAGAGAGTCCCATCACCTAGGTGTTGGACTAGCCATATTTTAATATATACAATACACAATTCACCAATACCTAGGTGAAACAAATTGTGTATATTGAAATATGGCAGGGTCCAACAACTAGGTGATGTGACTCTCCTGCATGGGCCCTGCTAATAGGAGAATTATGACATTATCTTTCTGTTTATCACCTAAGTGACGTGACTCTCCTTTTCTAACTGAAACCTGTAGTAGGAGAGGAGAGTCACATCACCAAGGTGCTAGGCCCAGTGAAAAATCACAATCCCTGGCCAGGCATGGTGGCTCACACCTGTAATCTCAGCACTTTGGGAGGCAGAGGCTGGTGGTTCACCAGGTCAAGAGAACGAGAGCATCCTGGACAACGTGGTGAAATCCTGTCTCTAATAAAAATACAAAAATTAGCTAGGTATGGTGGTGCATGCCTGTAGCCCCAGCTACTTGGGAGGCTGAGGCAGAAGAATAGCTTGAACCCGGGAGGCAGAGGTTGCAGTGAGCTGAGATCGTGCCACTGCACTCCAGCCTGGCAACAAAGTGAGACTCCATCTCAAAAAAAAAAAAAAACAATAAAATAAAAAAATCACAATCCCGCCTTGGGCAGAAACCAAGCAGTAGACGAGGGTCACATCACCTTGTTACTAGGTCAAAAAATATGGCACAATATTTTCTGAAAAAAAGGGGACCGTGCAGCACAGTCACCTCATCTAAGAGAGGGCTCCAGAGATATGTCAAAATGCCCTATGTGGGTAAGGCTCATAAAGAAGAGTCACATAACCTAGGAATTGAGACTAGTTATATGGCACAATCACCCCAGTGGGCAAGACTGAGGCATGGAACAAAATTCAGATTATGTAGATCCTGAGAAAAGTGGTATGTCAAAATCTCCACTGTGGACAAGTTTCAGAGACAAAAGGAGAGTCATATAATCTAGTTTATGGGCCCAGGCAAATGTCATAATGTCCTCTCTGGACAGGGACCAGGCAGAAAAATCACATAACCTGTGGTCAGGGCCTAGTGATACGTCACCCCCTCTTCTGTGGTCAGGGCCCAGGCAGGAGAGAAGAGTGAGATCATGTAGGTGCTTGGCACAGATATGTTACAACGTCTCCTAGGGAAAAGCCCATGTAAAGGTGAAGAGTAACATTAAATAGATGGGTCCAGAAATATGGCAAAATGTCCCCTGAAGCCAGGGTCTAGGTAGGAGATTCATATCATCTGGGTGTTAGATCCAGTAATATGTTACAATAGCCCATTTGGGCAGGGCACAGAAAGGAGAAACACATTACCTGGGTGCAGGGACCAGTGATATGTCACAATGCCCTCTGCGACAGCACCAAGGCAAGAGTATAGGGTCACATGATCTACATGCTGGGTCCAGCGATATGTCACAATCCCATCTGTGTACTGGGCCCAGGCAGGAGAGTCAAATCGCTCACATTCTGAGCAGAGGTATGTGTCACAATCACACCTGCAGAAAGACCCAGAAATCAGATAAAACAGTTCTTCACGTGTCTTCATTCTAGGTATGAGTCAATACCATTTGGATATTGGGTCTAAGTACACAAGTCACCATCTCAATGTAGATGAATCCATGCATAACAACCTCAATCTCTTCTGCGGACTGTGTCTCTTAGTAAAATCATAGCCTTGGCCAGGCGTGGTGCCTCACACCTGTAACCCCAGCACTTTGGGAGGCCAAGGCAGGTGGATCACCTGAGGTCAGGAGTAGAGACCAGCCTGGCCAACATGGCAAAATCTCATCTCTACTCAAAATACAAAAATTAGCTGGATATGGTGGCGGGCGCCTGTAATCCCAGCTACTAGGGAGGCTGAGGCAGGAGAATCACTTGAACATGGGAGGTGGAGTGAGCCAAGATCATGCCATTGCACTCCGGCCTGGGCAACAAGAGCGAAACTCGGTCTTAAAAATAAAAAAATAAAACAGCCTCACAGGTGTGCTGAATCTTGACCTGAGAGTCACCAATCCATCTGTGGACCAGATTCACCTATAAGAGTCAATTTTGCAATTTTCCACTGCCTCCAGGTGTGACATTCAGAGCTTCAGAAGTAGGTTATGTTTATGTTAAGGGATGACAATATTTACTGTTGGCTGGTTGCGCATATGAGTATAACAATGTCACCTGTGTGCTGGGCCATGTAAGGGCACTCAGTGTATTACCCGAGGGCTTTATACAATATACAGGAGAGTCAAATCCACTCTGAGATCTTTGTGATTGTATAAAACCATGATCGTACCTGCGGCCCTAGGCCCAGACTGGGGCAGGTGGATCATGAGGTCAGTAGTTCAAGACCAGCCTGACCAACATGGTAAAACCTTATCTCTACTAAAAATACAAAAAAGCCGGGCATATCCCAGCTGCTCAGAAGGCTGAGGCAGGAGAATCACTTGAACCTGGGAGGTGGAGGTTGCAGTAAGGTGAGCTCGTGCCACTGTACTCCAGCCTGAGTGATAAGGGAGACTCTGTCTCAAAAAAAAAAAAAAAAAAAAAAAAAGATACACAAAACACAATTTCATCTGTGTTTTTGGCTTGTGATGACACTCTGTGCCACCTGAGAGCTTTTTATAATATCTGAGAGAGTGGTAATTCTCCATGACCTTTGCAAAAAAAAAGGAAACTTAGAATCATGTTTGTTTTCTCAAGCCTAGCTAGGCAAGGTGTATCTCTTTTATTGCCTGGTTCAAGGTATGAGAATCATCATAGTAATTTGTAAGCTCAGGCAAAATATATGTGACAAGGGCCGGGAAGGTGGCTTACACCTGTAATCCCAGCACTTTGGGAGACCGAGGCAGGCGGACCATGAGGTCAGGAGATCGAGACCATCCTGGCTAACACGGTGAAACCCCGTCTCTACTAAAAATACAAAAAACTAGCCAGGCATGGTGGCAGACACCTGTAGTCCCAGCTACTTGGGAGGCTGAGGCAGGAGAATGGCATGAACCCAGCAGGTGGAGCTTGCAGTGAGCCGAGATTGCTCCACTGCACTCCAGCCTGGGCGACAGAGCAAGATTCCGTCTCAAAAAAAAAAAAAAAAAAAAAAAAAATATATATATATATATATATATATATGTTACAATGTTACAATTACACCTATGGGTAAAGAGTGAGCAGGAGAGTCACATCACCTGGGGCTGGTCTAGAGATATGTCACAATCTTTTTTGAGTGCAAGGACGAGACAGGAGAGTCACATCACCTAGGTGCTTGGGCAGGGATGCCTTAACATCTCTTCTTGTAAGATGGGCACGGGCAGCAAGTTACACCACCTGGGTGCAGGGCCCAACAATATGTTACAGTGCTCTCTATGAGCAATACCCTGAGAGGTGAGACACATTATCTGGTTGCTGATCCCAGTGGTATGTTACAATGTTTTTGGGGGGCATGGTGCATGTAGGTGAGAAAAGTCACATATTATAATTGATGGATGTCAAAATATGTCACAAGGCCCCCTGTGGGCAGGCCCAGGCAGGGACCTCCCATCCCCTAATGTCAGACTCAGTAATATGTAACAATACCCAAAATATGCAAGGTCCAGGCAAAAGATGAGAGTTACGTCATCTAGGTGCTGGGTCCAGTGATACATCACAATCCTCTTTTGGCAGGGTGCAGGCTGAAGAAGAGTCACATCACCTAGGTGATGAATGAAAAGATATGTCATAATACTCTCGTGACCAGGGCTTATGTAGGAGACTCCTTGGTGATAGACCCAGGTACATGTCACAATATGTATGCAGGGGCCAGGCGCAGTGGCTCACGCCTGTAATCTTAGCACTTTGGGAGGCCGAGGCGGGCAGATCACCTAAGGTCGGGAGTTTGTGACCAGCCTGCCCAACATGGAGAAACCCTGTCTCTACTAAAAATACAAAATTAGCCAGGTGTGGTGGTGCATGCCTGTGATCCCAGCTACTTAGGAGGCTGAGGCAGGAGAGTCGCTTGAACCCAGGAGGCAGAGGTTGTCATGAGCCGAGATTATGCCATTGCACTCCAGCCTGGGCAACAAGAGCGAAACTCTGTCTCAAAAAAAAAAAAAAGGATGCAGGGCCCAGACAAGAGAAGAGTCCCATCATGTAGGTGCTGGGCCCAGTGATACATCTAAATCTTTTTTTGTTCAGAGTCCAAGCAGTAGAGAAGAAGTCACATTACCTAAATGCTGCATCCAGCAACATGTCACAATACCCGGATAAGGAGAGCCCAGGCAGAAAAGTCACATCACCTAGGTGAAAGGCCCAGGGGTATTTCCTAGTGCTACTTGTTTGCAGAGCTCAGGAAGAAGACAAGAGTCAGATAACGTAGGAGCTGGTAGCACAATCACTACAGTGGGCAGGGTCTAGCTATGAGAGGAGAGTCACATCGCATGGGTGCTGGGCCAAGCGATATCTCACATTTCTTACTGTGGACAGATTCAGAAATAAAAAGGAGACCTATTATTTAGGTGATTGGCCCAGAGTTATGTCACAATGACCACCTGAACAGGGACCAAGCATAAGAATCACATCACCTGTGTGCTGGGCCAAACAATAAGTCACTCTCTTTTCTGTTAGCACAACCCAGGCTCAAAGATATATTACAATCTGACCTATGGACAAAGCCCAGATAAAAGAGGAGAGTCAAATAAAATAGTTGATGAGCTTAGATATGTGTTAAAATGTTTTCTGTAAGCATGGTCCAGGCAGGAAACTCACATCACTTGGGTGTAAAACCCAGCAACATGTCACAATGTCTTATGTGAGCAGGGCCAAGAAAAAAATAGAGTAACATCACTTTGATGCTGGGTTCACCAATATTTCACAATCTTCCCTGGAGGAAAAACTAAGAAAAAAAAATCAAATCAGCTATGTGCTGCAAAATGTCACAGAACTTCCTGTAAGCAGAAACCAGGTAAGACAAGAGAGTCAAATCACCTGTGTGACTGGTGCAAAGACATTTCAAAATGCCACCCCTAGGCAGGGTCCAGGCATAAAAGTTATATCACCTGGCTGTTGGACCCAGCAATATGTCACAATGGCCCAAGTGGCCAAATCGTAGGCAGAAGACTCACATGTCAGTGCAGGGCCTAGCAATATTTCATAATGTCTGCTGCAGGCAAAACCTAAAACCAGGGAAAAATCCCATCAGGTAGGTGCTGGGCGTAGCAATATGCTACAATGTTCCTGTAAGCAGGGACCAGACAGAAGAAGACTGTCACATCACCTGGATGCTGGGCCCAGAGATATGTCAACCATCATTTCTGTAATAAAGACCCATGCAGAAAAAACACAGCATCTGGTTGCTGGCCACAGCAATGTGCCTCAATTTTCCCTGTAGGCAGGGTGCAGGCAGAAGAGGAGAGTCACATCTCCTAGTTGATGAATGCAGGGACATGTCACAATGCTCCCTGTGGGAAGGGCCCAGGTAGGAGACTTCCGACCTTTAGGTGTTCAGCTGAGCATTATGTCACGATACACAAATATGAAGGGCCTAAGAAAAATAAGAGTCACATCACCTTGATGTTAGGTCTCTGTGAGCAGAGACCAGGCAGGAGAAGAAAGTAACATTACTGGTCAGGCGCGGTGGCTCACACCTATAATCCCAATACTTTGGGAGGCTGAGGAGGGTGGATCACTTGAGGCCAGGAGTTCGAGACCAGCCTGGCCAACATGCTGAAACCCCATCTCTACTAAAAATACAAAAATTAGCTGGGTGTGGTGGCACATGCCTGTAGTCCCAGCTACTCAGGAGGCCAACGCAGAAGAATCACTTGAACCTGGGAGGCGGAGGTTGCAGTAAGCCAAGATCACAACATTGCACTCCAGCCTGTGCAACAGAGTGAGACTCCGTCTCCGAAAAAAAAAAAGAAAGTAACATCACCATGGTGACGGGCATCATTGAGTTACATCACAAAGCTCCATGTAGGCAGGGTCCAGAGAAAAGGTGTTACATCCCCTGGGTATTGGACCCAACAATATGTAACAATTTCTTTTTTATTTTTATTTTTTGAGACAGAGTCTCGCTCTGTCACCCAGGCTGGAGTGTAGTGGCGCATCTTGGCTCTGCAACCTCCATGTCCCGCAATTCTCCTGTCTCAGCCTCCCAAGTCACTGGGACTACAGGCACACACCACCATGCCCGGCTAATTTTTGTATTTTTAGTAGAGACGTTTCACCATATTGATCAGACTGGTCTTGAACTCCTGACCTCAGGTGATGCACCCGCCTCAGCCTTCCAAACTGATGGCATTACAGGCGTGAGGCCACTGTGCCCGGCCTTATATGTAACAATTTGTTGTTGTTGTTGTTGTTGTTTTTTGAGACAGAGTCTTGCTCTGTTGCCCAGGCTGGAGTGCAGTGGTGTCATGTCGGCTCACTGCAACCACTGCCTCCCAGATTCAAGTGATTCTCTTGCCTCAGCCTCCCAAGTAGCTGGGATTACAGGCATGCGCCACCACACGTGGCTAATTTTTGTATTGTTTTAGTAGAGATGGGGTTTCACCATGTTGGCCAGGCTGGTCTTGAACTCCTGACCTTAACTGATCCACTCATCTCAGCCTCCCAGAGTGCTGGGATTACAGGCATGAGCCACCATGCCCGGCCATATGTGACAATTTCTAATGTGACATATTGTGCCATAATATGGCACAACATGTAGGGCACAGGTGAGAGAGTCACATAACATGGGTGCAGGATTCAGTACTATTTTACAATACCCAAAATTTGTGAGGTCCCATAAAAAGAGGAGAGTCATATCACCTAGGTGCTGGGACCAGTGATATGTTACAATTTTACCTTTGGGCTGGGACCAGACAGGAAACTGAAATCACTCAGGTGCTGGCCAATGTCACAACCACACCTGCAGAAAGGTCCAGTGATCAATTAATCCCGTACAGGTCCCAGTTCTAGGTATGAGAGTCACCACATTCTCTATGTTGGGTCTAAGTACGCTAGTGACAATTTCACCAATGAATTGAACCTGTGCATAAGAGCCTCCATCTCTCTTGTGAGCTGTGTTCGCTCTGGCCCTCAGCCCAGGTATGAGTCAACATGTCCTCAGGAAGGTAGACTTCTCATTGGTTCAGATTGAAAAATTCTCACCTATGAACTAGATTTAGAAATGAGTCATTTTTCAAACTCCTGCGGAATGTTCACATATAACAGCCACAATTTTAACGGTGGACTGTGTCTGTGCATGAGATTCAGGACCTCACCAGTGGGCTCCATCACTGTGTGAGGGTGACAATTCTAACGGTTGGTGGGGTGGGCAAAGAAGAAACACAATCTCACCTGCTTGCTGAACTCTATAATGACACTCTCTGTACCACGAGAGATTTATATAGTATTCAAAACAGTGGTAATTTGGCTGGGCACGGTGGCTGGCGCCTGTAACCCCAGCACTTTGGGAGGCCGAGGCGGGTGGATAACCTGAGGTCGGGAGTTCTAGACTAGCCTGACCAACACTGAGAAACCCCGTCTCTACTCAAAATACAAAATTAGCCAGGCGTAGTGGCACATGCCTGTAATCCCAGCTACTCAGGAGACTGAGGCAGGAGAATCGCTTGAACCCAGGAGGCGGAGGTTGCAGTGAGCCAAGATCTCGCCATTGTACTCCAGCCTGGACAACAAGGGCAAAACCCTGCCTCAAAAAAAAAAAAAAAAAAAAAAAAAAAGTGGTAATTCTCAGTTGGGCATGGTAGCTCATGCCTGTAATCCCAACACCTGGGGAGGCCGAGGTGGGTGGATCACCTAAGGTCAGGAGTTCAAGAGCAGCCTGGCCAACATGGCAAAATCCTATCTCTACTAAAAATATAAAAATTGCCCAGGAGGCGGAGGTTGCAGTGAGCTGAGATTGCACCACTACACTCCAGCCTGGGCAACATAAACGAAACTCCATCTCAAAAAAAAAAAAGTAATTCTCTATGACATTTGTACAAGAAAGAGACCCAGGATAATACTCATAACCCTAAGCCTAGCTATAAGAGGCAGCATCTCTCTTACTGGCTGGTTGAGGGTAGAAGAGTCATAATTGCACCTGCAAACTGGGCCAAGCTATATTTCACAATCCCACCTGTGAATAGGGAGAGAGGAGTCGCATCACGTGCGTTTTGGGTCAGGAATATGTCACAGTCTTTTCTGAGGGCAGAGACCAGACAGGAGTATCACATCACCTGAATATTTAGCCAGGAATATGTAACAAACTTCCTCTGAAAGCAGGACACAGGCAGCAGAGTCACATCACCTGGGTGCTGAGCCCAGCAATGGATAACAATGCTCTCTGTGGTCCAGGCCCAGGCAGGAGAGACACATTACCTGAGTCTAGTGATAAGTCAAAATTTTTCCTGTAGGCAGAGTGCAGGCAAAAATGGAGAGTCACTCTCCTAGGTGATTGATGCAGAGATATGTCACAAGGCCCTCTGTAGAAAGGGCCTGGGCAGGGCCAGACACGGTGGGTCACACCTGTAATCCCAGCACTTCGGGAGGCCGAAGCAGGTGGATCACGAGGTCAGGAGTTCAGACCAGCCTGGCCAACATGGTGAAACCCCATCTCCACTAAAAATACAAAAATTAGCCGGGCATGGTGGCAGGCACCTGTAATCCCAGCACTTCAGGAGACTGAGGCAGGAGAATCATTTGAACCTGGGAAGCGGAAGTTGCAGTGAGCCGAGATCGCACCACTGCACTCCAGCCTGGGAGACAAGGCGATTCTCTGTCTCAAACAAACAAAAAAAGAAAAAGAAAGGGCCTGGGCAGGAGCCTCTTATTGTATAGGTGTTAGACCTAGTAACATGTCCTAACGTCCAAAATATTCAGGGACTAAGGAAAAAAGGAGAGTCACATAACCTGAGAGCAGGGCTTAGCAATATGTAACAATGCACCTTGTGGACAGTGCCAAGGCAAGAAAAAAGACTCCCATCACCTCAGTGAAAGGCCCAGCTATGTGTCACAATGCCATCTGTGGGCAGCACCAAAGCTGGAAAAAAGTCACATCTTCAAGGTGCAAAGTCAAGCGATATGTCACAATCTCCATCTGTGGGCTGGGCCAAGGCAGGAGTCAAATCACTAAGGTGCTTAGTAGATGCATGCAATCTTACCTGCAGGAAAGTCCAGGAATGAGATTAGAAATTCCACACATGTCCAGGTTCCAGGTATGAGGGTCAACACCTCCTGTATGTTGGGTCTGTCTAAGTACGTGAGTCACAATCTCAATGGTTGACGGTATTGCAAGAGAGCCACAATTTTGTCTGCGGACTGTGCTTTTCAGTGCAGTCACAGCCTCACATGTGTACTGAATCTTGGTCTGAGAGTAACCAACCCACCTGTGGACCAGGCCCGCATATGAAAGTCAATTATCCAACTTTTGACAGCCTCCGAGTGTGAGATTCAGAAATGTTCCTAAGAGGCCGGGCGCGGTGGCTCACGCCTGTAATCCCAGGACTTTTGGGAGGCTGAGGCGGGCGTATGACCTGAGGTCTGGAGTTCGAGATCAGCCTGGCCAACATGGTGAAACCCCATCTCTAGTAAAAATAAAAAAATAAATAAATAAAAATTAGCCGGGCCTGGTGGTGCGCACCTGTAATCCCAGCTAATCGGAAGGCTGAGGCAGGAGAATCGCTTGAACCTGGAGGCGAGGTTGCAGTGAGCCGAGATCGCGCCACTACATTTCAGCCTGGGCGACATAGCAAGATTCCCTCTCAAAAAAAAAAAAAAAAAAAAAAAATTAACAACAGAAACTGAAGACCCCAGGGCCGCAGCTCCTCCTGCGCACACACCGAGTCGGGATTCTGCCCCGATCATCCGCCGGGCATCCCTGAACAATCTGGGAAATACTCGGGGCTGCTGGTGCAGAGCTGACCAGAGAGCTCCAGACAGGGTACCGCGCAGGAATGGGGCGGGACGCGGGAGGCTCGGCTGCGGGCCCAGCCGCCATCTTGCGGCCAGAGGGGCCTGGGGCGGAGCTGCGCCAGCGACCAGGACTCAGGAGCGGACTGTGAGGAGGCCGGTCCCGCCACTTTCACAGCCTGCTCTCCCCTCTCGGGATGCCTAACCCCGCACACTCACCATTTCCCAGCTTCCAGGATGTCCGGGCATCTTAGCTGTGCGTCTCCCAGGACTTGCAGATCACAGGGTAACGGAGGCTGCGACAAAGTCACCGGGGATTCCCGAGTTGGAGAACGCGGAAAAGCAGAGGCGGGTCCCAAGGTCTAGCGGGAGCTGGAGACAAAGGCCCCGCCAAAAGCCGGAAGCCACGGCCCCCTCTCCAACTGCGCGTCTGATTGGGTGGTTCCCACGCCAGCGCCACTGATTGGATAAAGCTCCAGGACCCACCCTCCCTAGCGTTTGCGCATTTTATGGACAGGGAAACAGGCTCAAGTAGGCGGGGCACATGCCCAGGGAATTACAGCTAATCAAGTGAGCTGAGCCTTGAAATGCACTTGCTTTTTTCCTTCCCTGGGTCAGCTTGTATAGTGCATCTTAGTAGCTACTGAAGGGGAAGAAACAGAACATTTGGATACCCTTTTAACAACTTTTTAATTATGTTGACAATGCAGCAAAGACCCTCGTCCCATCCCTGAGGGTCTCTCTCACCGTGCTGTACCACACTGCTGTACACATCTTGGGATGACCATTAGGAACGGGGAAGCAGCTGGGGCTAGGGATAGATAAACATGAATTATGTTGCCTAAATTTGCTCATTTTAGAAAAACATCTAAACCAATCTCTGTGAAGTGGCTATTATCAGGGTAATTGTGCCCTGACTGTGCTACATCTCAATCTGACTTCTCTTTTTTTAAAATAACTGCATTACTCTCATTAACGGGGTTATTTCACTTTCTATTGGAAAATCGCCAATTGTCCTCTGTAGGTGTCCTGATGTAATTTGCTAGTTTAGACCCTGGAGGTAGGGATAAGAAAATACTTGAGCTACATCAGAACACCTAACTCAACTGGAGGATATATAGAAATTCCTTAATAATATCTAACAGTTTTCTCAATACCCATTATATTTAACAGTGATAGCTTGGAGGGCTGAGAGGTGAAACAGATGACACAACCTTAGAAGTTCACTTTTGTTGCCGGCGTGGTGGCTCACGCCTGTAATCCCAGCACTTTGGGAGGCCGAGGCGGGCGGATCACGAGGTCAGGAGATGGAGACCATCCTAGCCAACATGGTGAAACCCCGTCTCTACTAAAAGTACAAAAAAATTAGCCGGGCGTGGTGGAGCATGCCTGTAATCCCAGCTACTCGGGAGGCAGAGCCAGGAGAATCCCTTGAATCAGGGAGTTGGAGGTTGCAGTGAGCCGAGATCGCGCCACAGCACTCTAGCCTAGCGACAGAGCGAGACTCCGTCTCAAAAAAAAAAAAAAGATTGTCTTCATCCAAGCCAGTTTCCATTTCTTGGACACACATTGCTGGTCAGCCAATCAGATGCTGGTATTGAGGTGAAAACAGAAACGATTTCTGCCTCTGGATTCTCTGAGATTCGTGGGAAAAATGGTATCCCTAAAAAACAAAGCAAGACACAAAAACCTGACCCCGGTGAGATGGTGCAAGAACTTGCAAAGTAAAATGCACTTGGAAACTCCCTGGGACATAGTGCAGTGTCTCCTGAGAGGTCATAAAAGAGGTGGGTTTCAGAAAATAAATCTAATCACGCATTCCATTTGTTTAAAATTCTCATTTACCCTTTTTTTTTTTTTCCTGTAAGGTGTGTTTTTTATGGCTGAGTGAATTTCAAACAGAATTCCAAGGCTTATCTTTTAAAATGCTACCAAAGAAAAGAATAGGTAAAATATATTTTCCGTTTTGGCTGTAAAAAATGCATACATTAAAAAAAAAGTGGTAGATAATGGGCAAGTTACAAGATTCGCAAAAACATCAGTTCCTCTTTGTGCAGGGTAAATTTGTGACATTGACTATACCTGTTCTACATCCTGTTATCTTGATTTCTGGGTTTAATGTCAAATTTTGTAAGATGAAACTTGGAACCTACTAAAAGTGTTCCCATATGACTAATTACTACATGATTTTTAATGGAAATAATATAATAACACACTTATTGTCTGAAAGGAATAGATACTTTTGCTTTTCTTACTGAGGTATGAAATGTAAGCACCTTAAAATTTCCTCTTTTTTTTTGTGGCAGAGTCTCGCTCTGTCGCCCAGGCTGGAGTGCAGTGGCACAATCTCGGCTCACTGCAACCTTTGCCTCCCGGGTTCAGGCAATTCTCCTGAGTAGCTGAGATTACAGGTGCCTGCCACCATGCCTGGCTAATTTTTGTATTTTTAGTAGAGATGGGGTTTCGCCATGTTGTTCAGGCTGGTCTCGAACTCCTGACCTCAGGTGATCCACCCTCCTTGGCCTCCCAAAGTGCTGGGATTACAGGCATGAGCCACCGCACCTGGTCTCCTTTTTTTATATAAACACTGTTTGGGTAATTTCGCTGGATTTTTCAAACACTTAAACTTCCAAAAACCAAGTGAATAACTCTGACATGGAAATTAAAGCTTGCACCCAGTGACTCCAAGCTAAAGCTAATATTGATCCTGCAATAGGAGGTTATTAAAGGCCCAGTTTGTTCTTCCTTGGGAGCTTCCTGGGCAGATGTCCAAGTCCTGAAAGAAGACTATATACTGAGAGAAGCTACAGAGCCCTGGAAAGCTGGGGACCCACAGGCAGATGCATTTAAGGTTAAGATGGAAGGGGACTGACATACTCTTTTTTTTTTTTTTTTTTTTTTGTGAGACAGAGTTTTGCTCTTGTTGCCTAGGCTGGAGTGCAATGGCGCCATCTCGGCTCACTGCAACCTCTGCCTCCTGGGTTCAAGTGATTTTCCTGCCTCCTGAATAGCTGGGATTACAGGCATGCACCACCACGCCCAGCTAATTTTCTATTTTTAGTAGAGACGGAGTTTCTCCATGTGGGTCAGGCTGGTCTCAAACTTCTGACCTCACGATCCACGTGCCTCGGCCTCCCAAAGTGCTGAGATTACAGGCATGAGCCACCGCGCCCGGCCTGAAAGATTCTTTTTTTTTTTTTTTTTTTGAGACAGAGTCTCGCTCTGTCACCCAGGCTGGAGTGCAGTGGCACACTCTCGGCTCACTGCAACCTCCACCTCCCGGGTTCAAGTGATTCTCCTGCCTCAGCCTCCTGAGTAGCTGGGACTACAGGCGCGTGCCACCACGCCCAGCTAATTCTTTGTATTTTTAGTAGAGACGGAGTTTCACAGTGTTAGCCAGGATGGTCTCGATCTCTTGACCTTGTGATCCACCCGCCTCAGCCTCCCAAAGTGCCGGGATTACAGGTGTGAGCCACCGCACCTGGCCCCCTGAAAGATTCTTCCTGAAGATAATATTGTTCTTGTTTTGAGGCCGTTTCTAAAAGTTGTAAAATAAAACAGATTTATGTAGAATAATTTAAAATCCAAAGAAGTATTGAAACAGGAAGAAGTACTAATTATAAGAGCATTAAGGATTGCAAAGGATAGGCAGACCAGGGCTTTCTTTCATAGGGAGGAGCAAACAAGATTTAAAGATAAGGTAGGAGGAGAATGGCAAATGGAGAGTGAAAAAAATCAGATTCTGGTTCAGGAGAATCTTAGGAGGGACATAAAATGGGATTGTATTTTGGCTCAGACTGAGGGTAGGGTAGCTTAAAGTTCAGGAGTCTGTGGGAAAGAAATAAACTTAAGTGAGGTTTGATTTAGAAGTAGTTTATTTTGACTGCTGAAGACAAATTTAGCTGATTTTTTAATGAGAACAAGGAGAAAATGTGCAGAGCCTATTTCTGGCTATGTGGTAGCACCCTGTAATTCATAATTGGAAAGGAATTTATGTTCTTCGTCTTTCCCCACCTTTTTTTTATTCTGTACATTTTTTCCATTTCAGTTTTCCTGAGTTGTATCTTATATAATTAACTGGTCACCATAACTGCAGTGTTTTGCTGAGTTCTGTGAGTAGCTCTATCAAATTATTTAACTTGAGGGAGGTTATGGAGGTCCTCACTTTTTCAAAAGTACCTCAGAAGCATAGATAAGCCCGTGGGGTTTGTGAGTGGCATCTGCACTAAGGAAAAACTTATGGAACCGAACCCTGAATCAGGGTCTGTGTTGATTCTGGGTGGTATCAGAATTCAAATGTTAGACAATAGGTTGGTGTTGGAGAATTGCTTGGTGTTCAGCAAACTCTATAGGTTTGCCAGAAAAACAATATAATAGAGACCTGGCCTGGAATAAAACTCTGGGTGTCTGGAAATGGAAAGCTCTGCTCTCCTGTACACAGGCTGTCACACTGCCCATTGTCCTGTGATTCCAGGTCTACTACCAGTATGAGAGAAGACTGAAAACTTAGAAGAAAACTACTTTGGCCAGGCACGGTGGCTCATGCCTGTAATCATAGCACTTTAGGAGGCCGAGGCAGGCGGATCACGTGAGGTCAGGGGTTCAAGACCAGCCTGATCAACAACATAGTGAAACCCTTCTCTAGAAAAATACAAAAATTAGCCAGGTATGGTGGCGGGTGCCTGTAATCCCAGCTACTTCAGAGGCTGAGGCAGGAGCATCACTTGAACCGGGGAAGGTGGAGGTTGCAGCGAGCCGAGATTGTCGTACCTGAGCGAGTTAGCAAAACGCCACACTTTGAGACGAATTAAGAGTCCTTTATTCAGCCGGCGGCCAAAGAGACTGCTAAAGCTCAAAATTCTCTCGGCCCCGAGGAAGGGGCTTGATTAACTTTTATACTTTGGTTTAGGAAAGGGAGGGGAGCTTAAATGCAACAACTCTTCAGAAGTAAAAACATGCAAGAAATTAAAAGGACAAATGGTTACAGAGAAACAAACAACTTAAAAGACAAATGGTTACAAAAAAAGCAAAGGTACCAGGTGCGGGGATCTAAATCCTTCATAAGAGTTAGATATGGGCACTACTCCGGACACAAACTCAAGGCTTTATGGTGTTATCTTTTGAGCAAAATCCTGGGAACTTCATACATGGTTTGTTTCGGTACCTTATCAGTTAATTGAATTCTTTTGATATGTTGAGAATCTGTTTACACAAGTTAACTCCTTGAAGAAGGGGGTGGGTAAGGAGTCCTTAATGTCTTGTAAATCACGGGGGCCAGATGGAGTTCGTCCAGCTTTTCTCAGCTAAGGGAGAGTTTATTCATGTGGAAACAAGTCTAGGTGATTAAGGGAGCAAAAGAGAGAGTCTAAAAACAGGGTTAGTAAAAACAAGGTTGGGCATTATAACACTTGGCTGTAGGGTGGACCCAGTGCACCACTGCCCACAGCCACTGGCTGGCTTCTCAGTTGAGCCACCAGTTTGATCACATATGGGCTGTGAGCTGCAGGTGTTACACTTGGCCACCAGCTCCAAATATTGAAGGTCGACCTTAATATTTAATATCAAACATTTAAATATTTACACGCAGTAGTGTCTCCTAGGTCCAGCAGAGGGCTGTGATCATGGCTCGCTGAGGCCTCGAACCCACTCCCCTGCCCTAGGGCTCGCCCACGTGGGCCTCCCATTTCCCTCTTCTGAGGAGCTGGGGCCCCAGTGATCTTCCTGTGATTTTTTTTTCTAGTTCCACTTCCATTTTCTTTTTGCATCACTTTAGTTGTTGTTTTCCTTTGTTCTCTGTCTCTTTATGCTCCTTCCTGCACACTAAAGTTGTTGTTTTAATTTCTTTCTTTCTTCTTCTTTTTCTTTCTTTTTTCTGAGTGAAGTCTTCTCACTGTCATGCAGGCTAGAGTGCAGTTGGGCAACCATAGCTCCCTGCAGCCTCGACCTCCCTGGTCTCAGGGGTTGCTCCTGTCTCAGCCTCCCAAGTGGCTGAAACTACAGGGATAGCTTGATCACGCCACTGCCCTACAGCCTGGGTGACAGAAGAAAACCCTGCCAGAGGGAGATGGGGGGTACAGTTAATTAGGATCTTATTTACCTTTGTTCACTCCGTTAAAAAAATTTTAATATTGTTTGTTCTTTCTTTGTCACTTGTTACTGTTTGTTTTTATTATTATTATTATTTATTTTTATTTTTAGACAGGTTCTCACTTTGTCACCCAGGCTGCAATACAGTGGTGTGATCTTAACTCACAGCAGCCTCAACCTCCCAGGTTCAAGCAATCCTCTCATTTCAGCCCCCACACTCCCCAGTAGCTGAGAGTACAGGCACACACCACCCGCCACTGGCTAACCTTACTTTGTGATTTGTACATTTTATTTTTGTAGAGATGGGGTTCTGTCAGGCCTCTGAGCCCAAGCCTGCACATATACATCCAGATGGCCTGAGGCAACTGAAGAACAATGAAAGAAGTGAAAATGGCCAGTTCCTGCCTTAACTGATGACAATCCACCATTGTGATTTGTTCCTACCCCACCCTGACTGATCAATTAACCTTGTGACATTCCTTCTCCTGGACAATGAGTCTCAGAAGCTCCCTTACCGAGCACCTTGTAATCCCCCCCACCCCGCTGCCTGCAAGAGAAAAATTCCCTTTGACTGTAATTTTCCACTACCTACCCCAATCCTATAAAACTGCCCCACCCCTATCTCCCTTTGCTGGCTCTGTTTTCAGACTCAGCCCACTTGCACCCAAGTGAAATAAACAACCTTGTTCCTCACACAAAGCCTGTTGGTGGACTCTCTTCACACAGATGTGTGTGTCATTTGGTGCTGAAGACCTGGGACAGGGGGAATCCTTTGGGAGACTGGTCCCCTGTACTCACCCTCACTCCATGAGGAGATCCACCCATGACCTTTGGTCCTCAGACCAGCCCAAGGAACATCTCACCAATTTTAAGTCTGGTAAGCGGCCTCTTTTTTTTCTCTTCTCCAGCCTTTCTCACTATCCCTCCTTTCCCTTCCTGGTAGAAACAGAGGAGAGGCATTTTATTCGTGAACTCAAAACCCTGGCATTGGTCACAGACTGAGGAAGACAGTCTTCCCTTGGTGTCTAAGTCACTGCAGGGACACCTGCCTGATTATTCACCCACATTTCAGGGACGTCTGATCACTGCAGGGATGCCTGCCTTGATCCTTCACCTTGGTGGCAGGTACCACCTCCCCTTGGTGGCAAGTACCACCTCCCCTAGATGGCGAGTACCACGCCCCCTCTCTCCATGTCTCTACCCTCTCTTTTCTCTGGGCTTGCCTCTTTCACTATGGGCAACATTCCATTCTCCATTCCCCCTTCTTCTCCCTTAGCCTGTGTTCTTAAAAACCTAAAACTCCTTCGACTAACACCTGACCTAAAACCTAAACATCTTATTTTCTTTTGTAATACTGCTTGGCCCCAACAGAAACTCGATAATAGTTCCAAGTGGGCAGAGAATGGCACTTTCAATTTGCCTATCCTGCAAGACCTAGACAATTTTTGTCATAAAATGTGCAAATGGTCTGAAGTGCCTGACTTCCAGGCATTCTTTTACACATCAGTCCCTCCCTAGTCTCTGCTCCCAATGCGACTCATCCGAAATCTTTCTTCTTTCTCTCCTGTCTGTTCCTTCGATCTCCACCCCGAGCTCTGAGTCCTTGGAATCTTCCTTTTCTATGGACCCATCTGACATCTCCCCTCCACCCCAGGCCGCTCCTCACCAGGCTGAGCCAGGTCCCAATTCTTCCTCAGCTTCCACTCCCCAACCCTATAATCCTTCTGTCACCTCCCCTCCTCACACCCAGTCTGACTTACAGTTTCATTCCATGACTAGCCCTCCCCCAGCTGCTCAACAATTTCCTCTTAAAGAGGTGGCTGGAGCTAAAGGCATAGTCAAGATTAATGCCCCTTTTTCTTTATCTGACCTCTCCCAAATCAGTTAGTGTTTAGGCTCTTTTTCATCAAATGTAAAAACCCAACCCAGTTCATGGCCCATTTGGCAATAACCCTTAGACACTTTACCCCCCTAGACCCAGAGGGGTCAGAAGGCCATCTTATTCTCAATGTACATTTTATTATCCAATCCACTCCCAATATTAGAAAAAGCTCCAAAAATTAGATTCCAGCCCTCAAACCCCACAATAGGACTTAATTAACCTCACCTTTGAGGTGTACAATAATAAAGAAGAGGCAGCCAAATGGCAACATATTTCTGAGTTGCAATTACTTGCCTCTGCTGTGAGAGAAAAACCACAGCCACATCTCCAGCACACAAGACCTTCGAAACACCTAAACCGCAGCAGCCAGGCATTCCTCCAGGACCTCCTTCCCCAGGATCTCCTTCCCCAGCATCTTGCTTCAAGTGCCAGAAATCTGGCCACTGGGCTAAGGAATGCCTGCAGTCCAGGATTCCTCCTAAGCCCTGTCTCATCTGTGTGGGACCCCACTATAAATTGGACTGTCCAACTCACCCAGCAGCCACTCCCAGAGCCTCTGGAACTCTGGCCCAAGACTCTCTGACTGACTCCTTCCCAGATCTTCTCAGCTTAGCAGCTGAAGACTGATGCCGCCCAACTGCCTTGGAAGCCTCCTAGACCATCACAGACACTTTGGGTAACTCCTACAGTGGAGGGTAAGTCCATCCCTTTCTTAATCAATACAGAAACTACCCACTCCACATTACCTTCTTTTCAAGGGCCTGTTTCCCTTGCATCCATAACTGTTGTGGGTATTGATGGCCAGGCTTCTAAACCTCTTAAAACTCCCCAACTCTGGTGCCAACTTGGACAACATTCTTTTATGCACTCCCTTTTAGTTATCCCTATCTGCCCAGCTCCCTTATTAGGTCAAGACATTTTAACTAAATTATCTGCTTCCCTGACTATTCCCGGGCTACAGCCACACCTCATTGTCACCCTTTTCCCCAGTTCAAAACCTCCTTCACATCCTCCCCTTGTGTCTCCCTACCTTAATCCACAAGTATGGGATACCTCTACTCCTACCTTGGTGACTGACCATGCACGCCTTACCATCCCATTAAAATCTAATCACCCTTACCCGACTCAACACCAATATCCCATCCCACAGCAGGCTTTAAAAGTGTTAAAGCCTGTTATCACCAACCTGTTACAACATGGCCTCTTAAAGCCTACAAACTCTCCTTACAACTCTCCTATTCTACCTGTCCAAAAACTGGACGAGTCTTACAGGCTGGTCCAGGATCGTTGCCTTATCAACCAAATTGTCTTGCCTACCCATCCTGTGATGCCAAACCCATATACTCTCCTATCCTCAATACCTCTCTCCACAACCCATTATTCTGTTCTGTATCTCAAACATGCTTTCTTTACTATTCCTTTACACCCTCCATCCTAGCCTCTCTTTGCTTTCACTTGGACTGACCCTGACACCCATCAGCCTCAGCAGCTTACCTAGGCTGTACTGCCACAAGGCTTCAGGGACAGCCCTCATTACTTCAGTCAAGCCCTTTCTCATGATTACTTTCTTTCTATCCATCTGCTTCTCACCTTATTCAATATTTTGCCGACCTTCTACTTTACATCCCCTCCTATGATTCTTCCCAACAGGAGACCCTCCTGCTCCTCCAACATCTATTCTCAAAAGGATATCCTCCTCCAAAGCCCAAATTTCTTTATCTTCTGTTACCTATCTTGGCATAATTCCTCATAAAAACACACATGCTCTTCTTGCTGATTGTGTCTGGTTAATTTCCCAAACCCCAACCCCTTCCACAAAGAAACAACTCCTTTCCTTCCTAGGCATGGTTAGATACTTTTGCTTTTGGATAGCTGCTTTTGCCATCCTGACTAAACCATGTAAACTCACAAATGGAAACCTAGCTGACCTCATAGATCCTGGATCCTTTCCCCACTCCTCTTTCCATTCCTTAAAAACAGCCCTAGAATCTGCTCCCACACTAGCTCTCCCTAACTCATCCCAACCCTTTTCATTAACACAGCCAAAGTACAGGGCTGTGCAGTCGAAATTCTTACATGAGAGCCAGGACTGCACCCTGCAGCCTTTCTGTCCAAACAACTTGACCTTACTGTTTTAGGCTAGCCCTCATGTCTCTGTGCAGCAGCTGCTGCCGCTTTAGTACCTTTAGAGGACCTCAAAATCACAAGCTATGCTCCACTTACTCTCTACAGTTCCCATAACTGTCAAAATCTATTTTCCTCCTTGCACTTGATGCATATATTTTCTGCCCTCTGGCTCCTTTAACTGTACTCACTATTTGTTAAGTCTCCCACAATTACCATTGTTCCTGGCCCAGACTTCAGTCTGGCCTCTCATCTTATTCCTGATACTACACCTGAACCCCATGACTATGTCTCTCTAATCCACATGGCATTCTCCCCATTTCCCCATATTTCCCTCTTTCCTGTTCCCCACCCAGACTGCGCTTGGTTTATTGACAGTAGTTCTTCCAGACCCAATCGCCAATCACCAGCAAAGGCAGGCTATGCTATAGTGTCTTCCATCTATCATTGAGGCTATTTCCCTGTCCCCTTCCACTACCTCTCAACAAGCTAAACTCATTGCCTTAACTTGAGCCCTCATTCTTACAAAGGGACTACATGTCAATATTGATACTGATTCCAAGTATGCCTTCCACATCCTTCACCTCCATGCTATTACATGGCCAGAAAGAGGTTTCCTCACTACACAAAGGTCTTCAATCATTAATGCCTCCTTAATAAAAACTTTTCTTAAAGCTGCTCTACTTCCAAAGAAGCTGGAGTCATTCACTGCAAGGGCCATCAAAAGATATCAGATGCCATTGCTCAGGGCAATGCTTATGCTGATAAGGTAGCTAAAGAAGCAACTAGCATTCCAACTTCTGTCCCTCATGGCCAGTTTTTCTCTTTCTCATCGGTCACTCCCACCTACTCTCCCATGGAAATTTCCACCTATCAATCTCTTCCCACACAAGGCAAATGATTCTTGGACCAAGGAAAATTCTTCTTTCCATCATGACAGGCTCATTTCATTCTATTGTCCTTTCAAAACCTTTTCTATGTGGGTTACAAGCCACTAGCCCACCTCTTAGAACCCCTCATTTCCTTTAAGACATTTGCCCTGCATTTCACTCCATCATTGACTACCTTCCCCTTTTTCTTCCGACTCTCCTCCCAGCCCCCTTTCTTGTTTGCTTATACCCAACCCTATGAATAGCAATGAAAGGTTTCTTGTAAACAGTATGCACTTTCTCATACACCATAAAAATTGAACCTCCCCCACTACCCAGTTGCCTTATCAGTCCCCATTACAACCTTTAATGGCTGCTGCCCTCACTAGATCCCTAAAAGTCTGGGTGCAAGATACCTCTTTTGGTGCTCCAATTTTGCCTCACAACGGTCTCTTCTTCCTCTGTGGCTCCTCCGCCTACATGTGTCTACCTATTAATTGGACAGGCACATGTACGTTAGTTTTCCTTATCCCAAAAAAATCAATTTGCAAACAGGACCGAACAACTTTCTGTTCCTCTCATGACATCAACACTTCACCACAATTTTCTTTTATTTTTCTGATTAATATGAGAAGACAGGAGTAGGCCTCGGCTTACTTACTGCTGAAAAAGGAGGACTCTGCATATTTCCAAATGAAGAATGTTGTTTTTACCTAAATCAATCTGGCCTGGTATATGACAACATACAAAAACTCAAGGATAGAGCCCAAAACTTGCCAACGAGGCAAATAATTATGCTGAACCCCCTTGGGCACTCTCTAATTGGATGTCCTGGCTCCTCCTAATTCTTAGTCACTTAATACCTGTTTTTCTCCTTCTCTTATTCTGACCTTGTGTCTTCCATTTAGTTTCTCAATTCATACAAAACCACATCCAGGCCATTACCAATCATTCTATATGATAAATGCTCCTTCTGACAACCCCACAATATCACCCCTTACCACAAAATCTTTCTTCAGTTTAATCTCTCCCACTCTAGGTTTCCACACTGCCCCTAATCCTGCTTGAAGCAGCCCTGAGAAACATTGCCCATCATCTCTCCATACGACCTCCAAACATTTTTGCCACCCCAACACTTCACCACTATTTTGTTTTGTTTTTTCTTATTAATATAAGAAGACAGGAACGTCAGACCTCTGAGCCCAAGCTTGCTTGTATACATCTAGATGGCCTGAGGCAACTGAAGTATAGCCAGATTTTAGGGAATCAGAGAGACTGATGAGGTTCAGGAGGATATTTATTAATTACTTTGGTTCATCAGCCCAGACGGATTAACATCCAAAGGACTGAGCCCTCAACAAAGAGTTAAGTTAGCTTTTAGGCATTTTGTGGGTGGGGGGAGATCTGTGCAGGAGGAATCATACTACAGAAGTGAGAAACAAAGACAGTTATTTTGTTGAGACATGCATTACATCATTTCTTACTTTTCAAGGAAAACCATGTTTTGCGACTTGAGTTTATCTGTCTAGTGACCTTGCAGCTTCACAGCTATGGAATCAGGGTCTTCACAATGCCTGGGAAGTGAGGAAAGATAAAGCTCACTAGCGATGGAAAAACAGGCAGTTAGTTTTTTTTTTTTTTTTTTTTTATGTTCTGATCTTATTTATTTATTTATTTATTTATTGTTGTGGGTACATAGTAGTATATATATTTATGGGGTCCATGAGATGTTTTGATACAGGCATGCAATGAGTAATAATCACATTATGGAGAATGGGGTATCCACCCCCTCAAGCATTTATCCTTTGTGTTATAAACAATCCAGTTACACACTTTTAGTTATTTTAAAAATGTACAATTAAGTTATTATTGACTATAGTCACCCTGTTGTGCTATAAAATAGTATGTTTTATACATTCTTTCTAGCTATTTTTTTCTGTACCCATTAACCATTCCCACCTCCCTCCCACCCCCACTACCCTTCCCTGCCTCTGATAACCATTTTTCTACTCTCTATGTCCATCATACATTCTGATTTTAAAACGGTTTTCCTACATTTCATACATAAGTCACTCAAGTACACAGAATTATTATTTTTTTTTTAAATTTATTTTTTTATTGATAATTCTTGGGTGTTTCTCACAGAGGGGTATTTGGCAGGGTCATGGGACAATAGTGGAGGGAAGGTCAGCAGATAAACAAGTGAACAAAGGTCTCTGGTTTTCCTAGGCAGAGGACCCTGCGGCCTTCCGCAGTGTTTGTGTCCCTGATTACTTGAGATTAGGGATTGGTGATGACTCTTAACGAGCATGCTGCCTTCAAGCATCTGTTTAACAAAGCACATCTTGCACCGCCCTTAATCCATTTAACCCTGAGTGGACACAGCACATGTTTCAGAGAGCACAGGGTTGGGGGTAAGGTCACAGATCAACAGGATCCCAAGGCAGAGGAATTTTTCTTAGTGTAGAACAAAATGAAAAGTCTCCCATGTCTACTTCTTTCCACACAGAC
Organism: Homo sapiens; assembly: GCF_000001405.40. Taxonomy (NCBI): domain Eukaryota; kingdom Metazoa; phylum Chordata; class Mammalia; order Primates; family Hominidae; genus Homo; species Homo sapiens. Next base: position 21,865,159 of record NC_000019.10, read on the forward strand.
ACGGCAACCATCCGATTTCTCAATCTTTTCCCCACCTTTCCCGCCTTTCTATTCCACAAAGCCGCCATTGTCATCCTGGCCCGTTCTCAATGAGCTGTTGGGTACACCTCCCAGACGGGGTGGTGGCCGGGCAGAGGGGCTCCTCACTTCCCAGTAGGGGCGGCCGGGCAGAGGCGCCCCTCACCTCCCGGACGGGGCGGCTGGCCGGGCAGGGGGGCTGATCCCCCCCCACCTCCCTCCCGGAGGGGGCGGCTGGCCGGGCGGGGGGCTGACCCCCCCACCTCCCTCCCGGACGGGGAGGCTGGCCGGGCGGGGGGCTGACACCCCCACCTCCCTCCCGGATGGGGCGGCTGGCCGGGCGGGGGGCCGACCCCCCCACCTCCCTCCCGGACGGGGCGGCTGGCCGGGCAGAGGGGCTCCTCACTTCCCAGAAGGGGCGGCCGGGCAGAGGCGCCCCTCACCTCCCAGACGGGGCGGCTGGCCGGGTGGAGGGCTGACCCTCCCACCTCCCTCCCGGATGGGGCGGCTGGCCGGGCAGAGGGGCTCCTCACTTCCCAGTAGGGGCGGCCGGGCAGAGGCGCCCCTCACCTCCCCGACGGGGCGGCTGGCCGGGCGGAGGGCTGACCCCCTCACCTCCCTCCCAGACGGGGCGGCTGGCCAGGCGGGGGGCTGACCCCCCCACCTCCCTCCCGGACGGGGCGGCTGGCCAGGCGGGGGGCTGACCCCCCCACCTCCCTCCCGGACGGGGTGGCTGGCCGGGCTGAGGGGCTCCTCACTTCCCAGTAGGGGCGGCCGGGCAGAGGCGCCCCTCACCTCCCGGACGGGGCGGCTGGCCGGGCGGGGGGCTGACCCCCCCCCACCTCCCTCCCGGACGGGGTGGCTGCCGGGCGGAGACGCTCCTCACTTCCCAGATGGGGTGGCTGCCGGGCGGAGAGGCTCCTCACCTCTCAGACGGGGCAGCTGCCGGGCGGAGGGGCTCCTCACTTCTCAGACGGGGCGGCCAGGCAGAGACGCTCCTCACCTCCCAGATGGGGTCTCGGCCGGGCAGAGGCGCTCCTCACATCCCAGATGGGGCGGCAGGGCAGAGGCGCTCCCCACATCTCAGACGATGGGCGGCCGGGCAGAGACGCTCCTCACTTCCTAGATGTGATGGCGGCTGGGAAGAGGCGCTCCTCACTTCCTAGATGGGATGGCGGCCGGGCGGAGACGCTCCTCACTTTCCAGACTGGGCAGCCAGGCAGAGGGGCTCCTCACATCCCAGACGATGGGCGGCCAGGCAGAGACACTCCTCACTTCCCAGACGGGGTGGTGGCCGGGCAGAGGCTGCAATCTCGGCACTTTGGGAGGCCAAGGCAGGCGGCTGGGAGGTGTAGGTTGTAGTGAGCCGAGATCACGCCACTGCACTCCAGCCTGGGCACCATTGAGCACTGAGTGAACGAGACTCCGTCTGCAATCCCGGCACCTCGGGAGGCCGAGGTTGGCGGATCACTCGCGGTTAGGGGCTGGAGACCGGCCCGGCCAACACAGCGAAACCCCGTCTCCACCAAAACCAGTCAGGCGTGGCGGCGCGTGCCTGCAATCGCAGGCATTCGGCAGACTGAGGCAGGAGAATCAGGCAGGGAGGTTGCAGTGAGCCGAGATGGCAGCAGTACAGTCCAGCTTCGGCCCCGCATGAGAGGGAGACCGGAGGGAGAGGGAGAGGGGGAGGGGGAGGGGGAGGGGGAGGGGGAGGGGGAGGGGGAGGGGGAGGGAGAGCTAGTTTTTAAAGGACTCCAGCTCTTTCTCTTTCTCAGGGGGAGTTGGGTTTTCTTACGTACAACTGAGTTTCTGCTTACACATTCTTTAATTTCTTTTAATTCCTGTTCCAGAAGAACCACAAAAGAAGTGAAAATGTCCAGTTCCTGCCTTAATTGATGACATTCCACCACTGTGATTTGTTCCTGCCCCACTCTGACTGATCAATTAACCTTGTGACCTTCCTTCTCCTGGACAATGAGTCTCAGAAGCTCCCCCACCAAGCACCTTGTAACCCCCGCCCCTGCCCACAAGAGAAAAACCCCCTTTGACTGTAGTTTTCCACTACCTACCCAAATTCTATAAAACTGCCCCACCCCTATCTCCCTTTGCTGACTCTCTTTTCGGACTCAGCCCACTTGCACCCAAGTGAAATAAAAAGCCTTGTTGCTCACACAAAGTCTGTTGGTGGACTGTCTTGACATGGACGCACATGACAGGTTCCACCATGTTTTCTGTGCTCAAGCAGTCTGCCCACCTTGGCCTCCCAAAGTGCTGCAATTACAGGTGTGAGCCACCATGCCTGGCTTGTTCGTTCTATCTATCTATCTATCTATCTATCTATCTATCTATCTATCATCTATCTATCTATCTATCTACCTATGTATCTAACCATCTTTTTAGCAGAGATGTGGTCTCACTATGTTGCCCAGGGTCTGCTCATATATATTTCTTTTTTAACATTATTGTTATTTTGTCTCACTGTATCACCCAAGCTGGAGTGCAGTGGTGGGATCTCAGCTCACTGCAACCTCTGCCTCCCTGTTCTAAGCAATTCTCCCACCTCAGCCTCCCAAGTAGCTGGGACTACAGGTGCACCCCCCGCCCCCCAGATGATTTTTGCATTTTTAGTACAGACGAGGTTTCTCCATGTTGGCCAAGCTGGTCTGGAACTCCTGACCTCAAATGATCCACTCATCTCGGCCTCCCAATGTAGTGGGATTACAGGCATGAGCCACCATCTCCATCCTGGTCATTTTTTTTTTTTTCCTTGAGACAGAGTCTTGTTCTGTCACCAGGCTGGAATTCAGTGGTGTCATCTTGGCTCACTGCAACCTCTGCCCCCTGGGTTCAAGTGATTCTCCTGCCTCAGCCTCCCAAGTAGCTGGTATTACAGGCACATGCCACCACACCCAGCTAATTTTTGTATTTTTAGTAGAGATGGGGTATCACCATGTTGGCCAGGATGGTCTCGATCTCCTGACGTCGTGATCCACCTGCCTTGGCTTCCCAAAGTGTTGGGATTACAGGCGTGAGCCACTGCACCTGGCCTCCAGTCATATCATTTATGTGTTGATTTTTTTCAGTTTGTGTTTCAGTCCAGATGCGTAGTGATAGTACCGGGATTGAGAACAAAAATGTTGAAACAGATCAATCTCAGGAACCTGTTTTTTTTTTTGGTTGGTTGGTTGTTTTTAGGGGCACAAGCGCCACTGAGTGAAGTGCTCCTAATCTCTGTTGGTTTTGAATATTGTAGAAAGCATTACAGTATTTAATTTTGTGCACTAAAGATTTTTTCTAGTTCTAGAATACAGATAAATCTAGATGTATGATTCTTAATCAATCACAAGAGGCTCAATAAGCCTTTTTCCTCATTCTACTTCTTTCTTGAAGGGGAGGGCCTTGATTTGCATTTGCTGCCTACAGAGAGCAATTTGTCCATATTTTTTTCTCTTCTTTTTCTTATCGGGAGGGAAATGAGCCTGAGAAAGCTGCAGGACCATGAGTTGTTAGAAGATTACTTCCAATGAGAGGAAAGGAAGTGTGTGCGACAACACATTCAGAGAGAAATCTGGGGAGGTAGCAGAGCAGGAAGCACCAGTCATCTGTCTCCCCTCCTAGGCAAAAGGGAGGCTGGCAGAATCTGTCTGATGGAGCGATTTGGGAACACTGGAGTCTATGGGAGGCCTGCTGCTGCCAGGGGGAAGCCTGGAAGATACACTGTGATCAATGCCAGTTCAAGTTAGCTTTGTTTCCCAACCCCACACTTTCTATGCCCCCCTCAGGCCAGAATCACAGTGGTGGAAAGGCTTCTAAGGAGAGGTATGTGGGATGGTGCTCCTACAACAAGTCAGGATCTTTAAGCTAAGCCTGTTTTATTTCTGGTCTCAAGTTCACCAGAATAAAAAAGGTATTCCTTGACTTAGCAATGAATGATATCATGGCTTTAGTTTATTTTCTGCTCACAGGTTTGAGCCATAAAAAATAATTTTTCTTGATATGCAATACATGATAACTATGTATGTCAGAACATGCTTCTATTAGTGTACTCTTGAGGATATAGTTTAAATGGCAAATAAAATTTTGCATATATGGAAGTTTCTTTTTATGTTACTAACAGTACAAATATCTATCAATACATTTACCTCTTATGTCTCTACTCTGAATATAAAGAGCATGATAATTAGATCTGGATATAGATGTTTGTAAGTAGATACAGGCAAGCATAAAATTATATGGGTTTGTCTATGTAAATATTTATGTATACAAAATATGTTCAAGAGACATCCTCCTCCAGCCAAAACTGATGTTGAGGCATAGACTTACATTCAAATATATGGTTGTATAGCATCTCAGGCTGGAACCCAGCTAGCTATACAATAACATTGAGGGACACAGCCTGAGAAGTAAGTTCCAGTACTGTTATGTAAGGTTTTATGGAAAACTTGGAATCTGAAGGCCCTGCTTTTTTCTTTTCACTGCATGCCTGTTATTTATATCCATCACTGGGGGCCTTCCTTGATGCTTCTTCTTTCCCAAACTAGCTAATTGGCTGATTATATTTACCTGGGCTGAGCTAATTTGGCTGATTAAAATCACCTGAGCTTAGCTAATTGGCTTATTGAATTCACCTGGTCTGGATGAGCAGGCAAGGAAAATGAACTTTGATCTACTTTCCTTCTGAGGCTTTTTTACCTGGCATAAGCACAAATGGACTTTACCTAGATACACCTATGTGAACCATTCTGGGTGTATATGTTTCGCTATCCACATATCTTATATCTATAAATACATGTACAGAACTAAATGAAGCTAGGTCAGAGGTCATTTTTATTTGCATTCTTTCCAGACCAGGTGAATCAAGTCAGCCTAATAGGCTGATTGCTCAGTCGTGATTTACCAAATCCAAGCTACATATCACATCACATTATTCTTATAAATGTGTAAATGTTCTTGTTATCTGGCACCCGAGTGTTTTTAATTCAGGGTCTAATCAAACTTGCTCAGTGGAATCCTAACCACACAGCTAGGACAAGCCAGAAGTGCCTGACACCAGGGACTCTAGCCTTTCTCACAAAGATTTAGCCTGGAGAATAAGAGCCACCACTAACACTTCAGCACATGTTCGCTATCACTTGGTTGAAATATGGCCAGGGTCCAGCTTTGCATGACAATGAATGACTCCCTTGGCCTTAGTGCATTTTTATTTCCTAGAAGAAAGAAACTAGAAACAATGCTTTCTTCATGTATGTTAAATGCAGCAGGTTGTATTTAAGAACAACCTCCCGTATGTGTGATTCTGGATATAGTTTATAAGGCAGTTAAGATTATACATGTATAAAAGTCTTTTTTATACCATTATTAGAATCAATACCTATCAATATTTCCACTTTCCACATTTTTTTCTGTATGAATATACATACAAAGCTAAATATGTTTGCATATAGATATACATAGGTAGAAAGGTAAACAAAAACCCATACAGAATTATGTATGTTTATGTGAACATTTATGTATACAAAGCATGTTCTGAAAAGACATTTTAAATGCTCTAGTATATATTAAGAACACAAATGTATAGTAACTTCGGTACTCTGTGGCACAATAACATCTCATAATGAAACAGAGCCAAGCAATGTTGTTTGTATAAGTGTAAACAAAGCTTCAGGTTCAGGGAATAAGTCTAGAAAGTAAGCTGACAGTACAGCTATGTAATGCTATATTTCCAGGCTAGCATTTCAGGCTATTGCTTTGTTTCTCACTGTATCAACATGCTATTTACATTCACTATGTTAGGCCTGACTTGATGAATCTGCAGTCCCTATTTAGACAATTGCATAATTGGATCCACCTGAGTCGAGCTAACTAGCTTATTAAAGTCACCTGGACTGAGCTAATTGGCTGACTGGATTCACCAGAGCTGAGCTCATTGACTGAATGGATTCACTGTTTCCAAATAGAATGTGTAGAAAAATGACTTCTGATTTAATTTTATTTTGGGGCTGTTTTACAAAAAAGTGCTCACAGATCAACATTATATAGACATATTTACATAACCCTGTGTGTTTGTATATGTTTATCTATCTATATATGTCATATTTAGATCAAAATCTACAGAGAAATGTGTCCAATAAAACTAACATTTTTTTTCCAGTATTGAAGTAAATGCTCAAGTTACAGCCCTTGGCTTTTATTCTCTTACCCAAAAAGTCACTACTTCAGCAAAGAAAACAAAAATACAAGGATTGATTCCTGTGTCACACGTTTGAAAAAGATTCTTTAAATTTATGAAAGCTTTAAAGACAATTATTCAGCACTTTCACATTTGGGTGAGGGCCTTTAAGCTGAGGCTATTTTATTTCTGGTCCTATGTTTACCAGAAAGAAAATGGTCACCCTTGACCTGGCAATGAATGTCTTTCATAACCTTAGCATATTTTTATTGTTCAGAAGTGAGCAACAAGAAATGATCCTTTCTTGTTAAAAGCAGAAAGATGTATGTGGGAGCATAGTTCCATTTTTGTACTATTTTTTGAATAGTTTATGGGGAAGTTAAGTCTATACATATATAAAAGCATCTTTTTATGTCACTATCATTACCAATATCAATCAATATTTCCACTTTATACATCATTATTCTTATTTTTTTATTGAGACAGGGTCTCACTCTGTCACCAAGGCTGGAGAGCAGTGGTGCCATGTAGGTTCACTGCAACCTCTGTCCCCTGAGCTCAAGCAATCCTCCCACCTCAGCCTCCCAAGTAGCTGGGACTACAAGCACATACCACTACACCTGGCTCTTTAAAACTCGAGCTCAAGCAATCCACCCACCTCAACCTCCTGAAGTGCTAAAATTACAGGTGTGAACCACCGCACCTGGCTATACATCATTATGTTTTATAAATATAGATACAAAGATGGATGCATCTGAATATAGACATACATAGATAAACATACACACACATATAGGATTATATGACTACATATGTGTAAATATTAATGTATACACATTATGTTGGCCAAAAGACATTTTCAATACCCTAGTATATATTATAGATAAAGATGTAGAATTACTTCTCTACTCTAACACAATAGTATTCCAGAATGAAACATAGACATACGATGTTGTTTGTTTAAATGTAAACAAAGCTTCTCCTGCATGAGAAAGATTTGGGAAGATCACAGTACACGAACTAATAGTTTATGTTCAGATTAGCATTTTATGGCCCTGCTTTTATTTTCAATCTATGCATGCACTACTCCCATCAACCATTGTAACTCTGCCTTGAGAAATTCACTGTTGATATTTTGATAATTGACTGATGGGTCTAACTTCTTTGAGCTAACTGGCTGATTGGAATCACCTGGCCTGAGCTAATTGGCTGATTTTATTCACCTGGGCTGAGCTAATTGGCTAATTGGAGAACCTGGGCTGAGCTAATTGAATGATTGAAATCACCGGGGCTGACCTAATCAGCTGCATCAATTAACCTGTCTTGAGGGAAATGAGTAGTAAAATGACATCTTTTATTTTGAGGCTTCTTTGCAAGACACACTCACAAATGGAAATTACATAGACATATTTGCATAACCCTGTGATTTCTATGTGTTAATTCATCTATGTATTTTATATCTGTATCTAAATCTACAAAAAAATCTATCCAAAGAAAACTTAATTTCCTTTCAGTGTAGCAGGCTAACTTTGAGTCATAGACTCCAATTTTTTTTTCTCTACCTTAAAAAGTTACTTCTTTAGCCAACAAAACAAAAAAATCCCCAAATTATCATGCTATGTCATATATTCATACAAAAGAGCCCCTGAAGTTTAAAGATAATTATTTCTGGAAGTATATTTCTGGGCTGAGCTGGTTGGCTGATTGTATTCACGTGTGTTGAGAAGCAAGGGTAGGGTAATGACCTCTGACATACTTTTATTTTTTTTCCAAGACATACTCATAAATGGTCATTGAATAAACATATTTATATAACCCTGCATGTTATATATATATATATAAAACAGAAGAAAGTGTCTAGAGAAAACTAAAATTCACTGTCAGTACAGCAATGTATCTTCAAGTCACAGACCTCAACTATTCATTTCCTACCAAATAAAGTTGCTTCTCCAGCCAACAAAATGCAATACAATAATTTATTTTTTTGTCCCATGTTCAAAAAAAAGAATTACCTCAATTGGTGGAAGCTTTAAATAAACATTTTCAGCATTCGCACATTTGGGTTAGGGCTTTTCAGCAGAGGCTAATTTAATTTTGGTTCTGTGTTCACTAGAATAAAAAGGGTTATCCTTGATTTGGCATGAATGACTCTCATGGCCTTAGTGAATTTTTATCTCCCAGAAGTCAGCAACAAGGACCAATGCTTATTTTGTATAAGTTAAATGCAGATGGATGGACGTTATAGCATGCCTCCATTTGTGTACTACTCTAGATAGAGTTTATTGGTCAGAACGCTTTATACATCTATGGAATTATTTTTATATATCAGTATCAGTATCAATACCTATCAACCCTTTCACCTTCTGCATCTTTACTTTTTATGAATAAAAATACAAAAATGAATATATCTGGATATAGATATACACAGGTAGATGTACATCTATGTAAATATTTAGATAGATAAGTACATCTATGTAAATATTTAGGTGTACACTGGATGTTCACAAAAAGGCATTTTCAATACCTTAGTATATAATCAGGATGCAGATACGGACTTATTACCCTACTGTATGCCACAATACAAACCCAGGATTGTACATTGCCGTACAATGTTGTCTACATAAACACAAACAAAGCTTCACTTTCAAAGGTGAGGTCTTTGAAGTAAGCTGACAGCATAGCAATTTAATGCTTTATGACCAGATTAGCATTTCAGGAACCTGCCTACCTTCTCAGTGTAGGAATGTGCTGTCACGTCCACTGTTTTGGGCCTGACTTGATGAATCTGCAGTCGCTATTTAGATAACTGTTTGATTGAATCCAAGTTTGCTGAACTAATTGGCTGATTCTTTGGCCTGGGCCCTGCCTGCAGAAGTCATTGTGACATATCTATGGTCCCATCAGAGATGCGACTGTCCTCTTATGCCTGGACCCTGTCCACAGTGAAGATTTCAACATATGGCTTGGCTCAGCACCTAAGTAATAAGACTCTCCTATTGTGCTTGGGCCCTGCCTGCAGGGGTTATTATGACATAAAGCTGAGCCCAGCTCCTATGTTATGTGACTCTCTTCTTTTTCCTGAGCCCAACCTACAGGGGGAATGTTTATATATCTCTGGGCTAGTTAAACCTATCTCTCTGCCAGTTAAACAGTTTTCTTCTGTTCACGTCTAATGGAAGGCTATAAATGGCATTACTTAGTGAATGGAATAGCTTTCTAAAAGCTCAGGTGCTACTGAGAAGCTGAGGCTTGCAGGATTTCAGCACACTTAATTCTAATCAAGTCACAGGACTCAACCTAGGAAGAAGCAGTTGGGGAAAAGAACCTGGGCGATGTGACTCTCCATCTGGGCACTCCCATTAGGGAGTATTGTAGCATATCTTTGAGCCCATCGACTGTTTGATGTGACTCTCCTGTCTCACCTGGGCTTTGCCCATGGGCAAGATTGTAACATATGTATTGGGCCATAACCCAGGTGTTGTGACTCTTTTCTCCTGCCTGACAACTGCTCCCAGAGTGGATTGTGGCATATGGTTGGCCTCAATACCAAGTTGGTGTTGCTCTTTTGCCTTGGCCCTGCACTCAGGAGACACTGTGCCATTTCATTGGGCTCAGCACCGAGGTGATGTGAATCTCCTGCCTTGAATCTGTTCGGGGGGGACATTGTGACATATCTCAGGGCTCATCAACTTACAACATATTTGAGATGCCTCTTTTATCTGATGTGGGCTTTGCCCATTAAAGTAACTGTGACATATCTCTGGGCCCAGCACACAGGTCATTTAACACTTCTGCGTTGGCCCTGTCCACATGTTCATTGTGATATAACTCTGGGCCCATGCCCTAGGCAATGTCACTCTCCTCTTTTGCCTGAGCCCTCTCCTTAGTGGGGATTGTGACGTATTGCTTCTCCCAGAACCTAGGCGATGGAACTTCCTCTCATGCCCGGGCCCTGCCTATGTGAGTGATTGAATAGATAGCTAGACGCAGCCTCTATATTATGCCACTCTCTTCTTCCTGAGCTCTACCCACAAAGGTATTGTAACATCTCTAAGCCCCTCTCCTAGGTGATTTGATGCTTCTTTCTGAACCCTTTCCTCAGGGGCTGTTGTGACCTATTACTAAACACAGCACCTAGGTGATCTGACTTTTCTACACTGCTTGGGTTCTGCCCACAATATAGATTTTAATGTATAGCTCAGAGCAGCACCTAGGTGATGTTACTCTCCTATCCTGCCTGATCCCTGGATACATTGTGTATTGTGACATATCACTGGGTCCAACAGTTAGGTGATGTGACCCTCCTGCATGGGCCCTGACACCAGGAGTATTATGGGATATCTTTGATTCATCACCTTGGTGATGTGACCTTCCTCTTCTGCCTGGGACATGCTAAAAACGGGGATTGTGACACATCCCTGTACCAGCACCTAGGCGATGTGACCGTTCTTTTGCCCGGGCCCCATATACTTTGAGTATTTTAACATATTGCTGGGCTCAACATCCATGGGATAGTACACTCCTGCCTGGGCCTTGCCCACAGGGAGACTTGTGACATATCTCTGCATGCATCACCTAGATGTTGTGACTCTTCTTTTCTACCTGCACCCTGCCAACAGGAAGGATTGTGACATATCGCTGGGCTTAGCAACTAGGTAATGTGTCTCTCCTGCATGGCCTTTTCCACAGGGGTCATTGTGACCTATCGCTGGGCCCAGCACCCAGGTAATGTGATTCTTTTTGCCTGTGTCCTGCTCACAGAGTAAATTGGGACATATCACTGTGCCCAACACCCAGGTGATATGACTCTGCTGCTTGTGCCCTGCTTTCAGGAGAAGATTGTGACATATCTTTGGCCAAGCACCCAGGTGTTGTGGCTTTTTTTTCCTGTCTGCACCCTGCCCACAGTGAAAATTGTGACATGTCACTGGACCAACACTCAGGGGATTTGATGTCCCTTCTCACTCTCTATGCACAGGTGGTGTTGTGACATATAGTTTGGCCAAGTTTACAGGTGTGATGATTACTCTCATACTTTGAACCAGCTGGTAGGAGAGATACTGTCTTTTGTAGCTTGGCTTAGCAAAACAGTAAGAGTCTGGGTTATTTCGTTTTACAAAAATCACAGGGGATTATCATGCTCTTGCCTATCACATAAAGCCCTTGGGTGGTACAGAGTGTCATAAAGGGGCCCCAGCACAAAGTTGAGATTGTGTCTCTCATATGCAAACTTTGACAACAGTTAGGATGGTCATCGTCACAAGCGGACAGAGGCCACTCGTGAGGTCCTAAGTCTCATGAAAAGATGCAGTCCACGGTTAGAATTGTGACAGTCGCATGCAAATATCCAGATAGAATTGGGATGGTGACTCATTTCTAAACTAAGCTTATAGGTTCATTGAGCACCCTCACATCTGGACCCAGCCAATTGGAGAGATGTTGATGTGGGCTTATGGCCACAGGTAAGATCATGGGCCCATACCAGCCTGAAGGTATCAGAGCAGATCGTGACTCTCACACATACCATAAAAAGCCCTCAACTGGTACAGAGAGTATCCTAACGTGACTCAGCACACAAGTGAGATCGTGTCTGCTGTACACATGCCCAGATGACAGTAAAGATTGTCATCCATTAACACTAACACAGCCCATTGCTGAGGTCCTGAATCTCACACCCAGAAGCAGTTGAAAGTTGGAAAATTGACTCTCATATGTGAATCCGGTCCACAGGTGGGTTGGTGACTCTCAGACCAAGACTCAGCACTCTCGTGAGGTTGTGACTCCGCTAAGGAGACAGGCTGCGGGACGGATTGAGGCTTTCACGCGTGGCTCCGGTCCACTGTTGAGACTGTGAATCACGTACTTAGACTCAACATACAGGAAGTGTTTCCTCTCATACCTGTAATTGAGAAATGTGCAGGATTGTTAATCTCATCCCTGGCCTTTCATGCAGGTGTGATTGTGCCCTCAAAAGGCATTGTGAAATATTGGTGGGCCCAGCTCAAAGGTGATATGAAATATGCCTCTCCAGCATTTGAGTTATTTTACTTTTCTGTGAGAGCCCAGTCCACAGATGGGATTGTGACATTGCTAGACCCAACAACTAGGTAATGTGACTCTATTCTCCTGCATTGGCATTGTCCAAAGAAGGCAAATAACACATTACTTGTCTTCGCACTCAGGTGATGACTCTTCTCCTGCCTTGGCACTGTGCACAGGGGGCATTGTGACATATCACTGGGCTCTACACCCAGGTTATGTAACTTCCATGCCTGGTCCCTGAGCATAGTGGCCATTGTGACATATTTCTTGCTCTAAAACCCAGGGGAAATTACTCTTTTGCCTTGCTCCTACCTGCAGAGGGCATTGTGACACAACTCTGTGAGTGATGTGACCCTTCCAAAATGGGATTATGGCTGAGCACAGTGGCTCATGCCTGTAATCCCAGCACTTTGTGAGGCTGAGTCAGGTAGATCACCTGAGGTCAGGAGCTCAAGACCAGCCTGGCCAAAATGGTGAAACTCTGTCTCTACTGCAAATACAAAAATTAGCTGGGTGTGGTGGCACATGCCTGTAATCCCAGCTGCTTGGGAGGCTGAGGCAGGAGAATCACTTGAGCCTGGGAGGCAAAGGTTGCAGTGAGCTGAGATCATGCCATTGCACTCTAGCCTGGGTAACAAGAGTGAAACTCTGTCTCAGAAAAACAAAAAACAAAACAAAACAAAAAACAAAGTGGGATTATGACTTATGACTGATCCCAGCACCTAGCTGATTTGACTTTTCTTTTTTTTCCAGGTTCTGCCTGCAGGGAAGATTGTGACATATTGCTGGAAACAACACCAACATAATGTTGCTCTTTTGCCTGGGACCTGCCCTCAAAAGGCATTGTGATATACTGGTGGGCCAAGCTCGAAGGTGATGTGAGTATCCTGCTTCGAGCCTTCTCACAGAGGGCTTTGTGACATATCTCTGGGCTAATTAACTGTTTGATGTGACTTTCTTCTCTGACCTTGGCTTTGCCCATAGGGCAGAGTATGATAAACCTCTGGGCCCAGAACCTAGGTGATGTGACTCTTCTCTCTTGCCTCAACCACGCCCACAAGAAGGAGAGTAACATCACTGGGCCCAGCACACAGGTAATGTGATCCTTCTGCCTGGTTTCCCCATAGGAGACATACTCCTGGACCCATCTCCTAGTTGATGTTACTCTCCTTTTCTGCCTGTGCCCTGTACACAGTGAATATTGTGACATATCACTTGACTGAGCACCTAAATGTGTGACTCTTTTCATATGCCTGGGCCCTGCTCACTAAAGTGATGGTGACACATAGCTGAAACCAGCCTCTAAGTTATGCAACTTTCCACTTCTATTTGAGCCCTATGCTCACGGGGCATTGTGACACACGTTTAGTTTTTCTACCTAGGTGATGTGAGCCTTCTATCTGAACTCCCCCGCCACCAAGGGGTAATGTGACAATTTGCTTGACCCAGTACTAGGTGATGTGACTCTTCCCTACTGCTTGGCCTCTTCCCACAGGAGGAATTGTGATGTATCACTGGGCCCAGCATGCAGGTAATGTGACTCTCCTGCACAGGCCCTGCCCACAGGGGTGATTGTGGCAGATTGCTGATCCCAGCTCCCATGTGATGTGCTCTCCTCCACTGCTTCGGCTCTGCTTAAAAAGGGAATGTGATGTATCTCTTGGTACAGCATCGAGGTGATGTCTCTCTCCTTTTCTGCCTGGGCCCTGCATACTTTGTGTAGTGTAGCATATGGCTGAGTCTAAGACCTACTTGGTGTGACTCTCCTGCATGTGTCCTGCCCACAAGGTATTGTGACATATATTTTCATTGATTACCCAAGTAATGTGACTCTCATCTTCTGTTTGGGCCCTGTCAGTAGACAGGATTGTGACATGTCACTGGACCCAGTATCTTGACACTGTCACTTTCCTTTTTTGCCTGAGCCTGTCATATTTTGGGCATTGTGACTTAGCACTGGGCCTGACATCTGGGGGATGAGAGGCTGCTGCATAGGCCGTGCCTACAGTGCACCTTGTGACATATCTCTGCATTCATCACCTAAAACATTTGAGTCTTCTTTTTGTCCTGCACCCTGCTCACAAAAAAGACTGTGACATATTGCGGGGCCCAGCAACCAGATGATGTGTTCTTACTGCCTGGACCTTGCCCATAGAGAGCATTGTGACATATTGTTTGGCCCAGCATTCAGGTGACATGACTCTGCTGCCTGTGACTTGGTTCCAAGATAGAATTATAACATGCCACTGGCCAAGAACCAAGATGATTTGACCCTTCTACCTGGTCCTTGCCCTCCGGAAGATTGTAACATAGCCTTGGCTTATTACCCAGGTGATGTGACTCTCCTGCTTGCTCCCTACCCACAGGTGATATTGTGACATATATCTTGGCCTAGCTTACAAACGGGATGATGACTCTCATATTTTGAACCAGCCAATATCAGAGATATTGTCTCCCATAGCTAGGATTAGAGAAACAATTTGGGTTCTGTGCTTTCTTAATGTATGAATGTCATAAAGCATTAACCACTCTCTAACATGCCATATAAAGCCTTCAGGTGGTACAGAGGGTGCCATCACAAGGTGCAGTGCACAGATGAGATTGTGTTTCTTGTATGCACATTCTGCCAACTGTTAGGATTATCACTCTCATACATGGAAAGAACCAACTGGTAAGATTCTTAATTGCTCATGTGGATGCAAGTCACAGTTGGAATTGTGACTGTGATATGTGAACATCCGGCAACAATTAGGATGGTGAATCATTTCTAAACCCACATCATAGGCAGGTAAGAACTCTCCTATCTGGACACAGCCAATTAGAGACATGTTGACTTTCATTCCTGGACTTAAGGCCACAAATACTGTAGGGACCAGCCCCACAGGGTCAGTGGGTCTCTCCCTGTGTGTGGCGATGAGAGAGTGTAGAAATAAAGACACCAGACAAAGAAACAAGAGAAAAGGCAGCTGGGCCCGGGGGACCACTACCACCGATGCGCGGAGACCGGTAGTGGCCCCGAATGTCGGGCTGCGCTGTTATTTATTGGATACAAGGCAGAAGGGGCAGGGTAAAGAATGTGAGTCACCTCCAATGATAGGTAAGGTCACGTGGGTCATGTGTCCACTGGACAGGGGGCCCTTCCCTGCCTGGCAGCTGAGGCAGAGAGGGAGAGGAGACAAAGAGAAAGACAGCTTACGCCATTATTTCTGCATATCAGGGACTATTAGTACTTTCACTAATTGACTACTGCTATCTGGAAGGCAGAGCCAGGTGTACAGGATGGAACATGAAGGCAGACTAGGAGTGTGACCACTGAAGCACAGCATCACAGGGAGATGGTTAGGCCTCCGGATAACTGCGGGTGAGCCTGACTGATGTCAGGCCCTCCACAAGAGGTGGAGGAGCAGAGTCTTCTCTAAACTCCCCTGGGGAAAGGGAGACCGCCCCCCCCCCCCACCCTTTCCCAGTCTGCTAAGTAGCGGGTGTTGTTTCTTGACATCTTTTGCTACCGCTGGATCATGATCCGCTTGGTAACGGGCGTCTTCCCAGACGCTGGCATCACCGCTAGACCAAGGAGCCCTCTGGTGGCCCTGTCCAGGCATAACAGAAGGCTCGCACACTTGTCTTCTGGTCACACCTCACTATGTCCCCTCAGCTCCTATCTCTGTATAGCCTGGTTTTTCCTAGGCTATGATTATTGAGTGAGGATTATCATAATATTGGAATAAAAAGTAATTGCTACCAACTAATGATTAATGATACTCATATATAATCATATCTAAGATCTATATCTGGTATAACAATTCTTGTTTTATATTTTATTATACTGGAACAGCCCATGTCCTCTGTCTCTTGCCTCGGTGCCTGGGTGGCTTGCCACCCACATCTCCCCCCTTTTTATTAACTAGAATCGCCATCGCCATCATTGCTTGTCGTTGACTTCAGACTTGGTTTCGGACTCCTTGGAGGCATCTGCAGACTAAAAGGAGACAACATAAGCATACCAATATTAATAATGCCAGTAACAACAATGATCCTCTGACAGGTTTGAGCCATTTGAAGGGATTAAAATCAGATAATTATTTAGCTATGCCTTGAAAAATGTCTGAGCCAGGAACAGTGGATAAATGGGCTTGTGAAGCCTCAAAGATTTGCTCTTTAAGTTGTGAAATATCCAAGGTTATGTTGTCATCCCAGGCTTTTAAATGTCTTGAGACCTTTTCCAGCTATGTTGATCTTGATTATAAGCATAAGGCGTTATGCAATAATCAGAAGTATTCCAATCACACTGTAATTGCATACGGTGTTCCAAATTCATAACTCTATCTCCCAGCCAGGTTACACTTTGGCAGAGATCATTAATCTGATTAGCTAATTTTTGATCAATTTGCACCTGAGAATTCCAAAGTCTGGAGGGGTTTTTCTGCCATGCTTCAACATAGTGAGCAGTTTGAACAGAGTTGTGGATGGCAACTCCAGCAGTTGCTGCTGTTGCAGTAACCGCAATTAGTCCTGCAAGGACTGCAATAAGAGTAAAAATAAATCTCTTTGTTCTTTTAAGAATGCCTTTAAGAACTTCATTGACTATGTGAATAGAGGGGGAAGACTCCCATGGATGACATAAAGAAACTGGTATCCATACCCCCTCCCTAGCCCTTATCAAGAGAATACTGGTAGTGGGATTAAAAGTTGCATCAATGCAAGTGAACAGCTTACAGTTATGACATTCTGTAGTTTGTGCATCAGGCATAATAATTATATTTCCAACCAACAGCATGTAAGAGGGTTTGACACAGCTCCTAATAGGTATCACCCATTCAGAAATAAGGGTGATGTTGAAATGTGGATGTTTTGGTTTTAGTACGAAGGAGTTGATAGGTAGTGTTCCATATCCTTATTCCTGACAAAACTGCAGCTAATTTCCATAGTTCAGGATGTTGTGGGGTAACAAAGGGATGAATCATTTTTGGCCTAGGAGGAGCAATGCCTGTGTCCATCCATTTAAATGGGTAAGGAGACACCATTGTCTCATTGTGTAAGACTGCCATCCATGCTGTATATAATCTAAGGAATAAACTCCGAACATAAGGTATTTTTTGCTGGAGCAATCTTGCCAATAATGTCCTTTTGGAGCCTAATCAATAACAATACCCGTGGCTAGAGTTTTGAGCACAACAGCCTTGGGAGCATTACAATCATCCCATAAAATTGAAGTCACTATAAAAGGTCCCTTTGTAGGTTTCTTTGGACAGTCTGGCAGTCCTTTTGTTTTATTAGTTTTGGTAGTGAGAGGAATTCTCCATGCCTCATGTGGGGTACGTTTGACAGTGAGAAGTTGAAAAGAGTTAGTACTGAACACATTATGTACTTGATAAGAATCATTTGTAAAGGACGGTACGGTCCACATCCAATTCTGGTAAGAATAAGCTAAACAGCCAGGCGACTTCCCAATACGTAGTGGTGGATATTTATAGCCAATTGACAGATTAAAGTGCATACCTTCTTCTTCCGGTTGAGCTGGAAACCGATCATCATTAGGGATCGGCATGAATGCACTATTATTAGTGTAAACTTCTACTGGGGAGTCCATCCAGGAGACAGACCGAATTAGAGGGGGAAAAGGAACATATGCCCAATAAGTATAATTTTGAGTTGCCCCGACCGGTGGTATACTTACCGCTGCACTGACTACCATAAAGGCAGCCACAATTATATTACCGGTCGTTTGGGGGATTCTTTTTCTGTTAAGAATTTTTCTGTTTGATGAGATAACATCTTTATTTGACCCCAAGTAGGTGGAGTTGAACGAGAGGTGTTGTAGGTCACACGGCGAGATTTTGTCTCAATGTGGATGTCACGAAGGGTATGTGTCAGGCGGTGAAAGTTGCTCTTTTGTTTCCGATGGGTCTTTGCCTTTTGTTTCTGGGAGCGTTTCATCTTTGGAGTTATGGTGCAGTTTTAATTGTCGGGAGGGGACCCACACAGGTTGTAGTCCTTTTCCTGGGGAAACACAAGCAAAACCCCTACCCCAAGTTATGACCGTGCCTAATTCCCGTGTGTTAGTTTTTACGTCCTTCCACCATACCCGCATTCCTTTTTGTGGATCAAATTTATTTACAGTGAAATGTTGTTCTGCGGCTGTGAAAGGTTGATTTCTTGTTAAGTTTAAGAAATTTAGTGTGAAAAGAGCCAGATTTAATTTGGCATGAGGAGTAACAGCATCTCCCTTTAATTTAGTATCCTGTTTACGCAGTTGATCTTTGAGTGTTTTCTTGGCTCGTTCAACCAAGGCCTGTCCTCGAGAGTTATAGGGGATGCCCGTTGTGTGAGCAATTGCCCATGTCTGAGGAAGCTTTTTAAAGGCAGCACTAGTGTAGCCGGGGCCGTTATCAGTTTTTAGTTTCTCAGGACAGCCCATAACCGAGAAACAGGAAAGCATATGTCGTTTACCATGAGCTGTACTTTCTCCCGTTTGACAAGTGGCCCAAATAAAATGAGAAAAGGTATCAATAGTTACATGTATAAAAGAAAGCTTGCCAAAAGGAGGATAATGAGTCACATCCATTTGCCGAAGAGCATTCTGTGAAAGTCCTGTAGGGTTAACTCCTGAAGACAGTGGCTGTAAAATTAACACTTGACAAGTAGGACAGTGACGCACAATAATTTTAGCTTGTTTCCATGTAAGGGGGAACTTGTTTCGGAGTCCCGCAGCATTGACATGAGTTAAAGCATGAAAATTTTCTGCATCTGTAAAAATGGGAGTAACTAGTGTATCAGCTCTGGCATTTGCTGCCGAGAGGGGTCCGGGGAGGGGTGTGTGGGCCCGAATGTGAGTAATGTAGAAAGGAGAAGACCTTGCTCTGAGCACAGACTGAAACTTTTGAAAAAGAAAGGTTATCATCAGGCATAAATTGGATTAAGGCAGTTTCAATGTTGTGAGCAACATGTACTACATACGCTGAGTCGGAGACAATGTTAACTGGTTCAGGAAATTCTTCAAGGACAGCCCTAACAGCAAGCAGCTCAGCTCGTTGTGCTGAAATAGCCCCTGTGTTAAGAACACGTTCTCTGGGTCCTGTATATGCTGCTCGGCCGTTAGAGGAAGCATCAGTGAAAACAGTGACAGCTTCAGGTAATGGGGTGTTTCTAGTAACGTTAGGTAAAATCCAAGACGTGAGTTTAAGGAACTGAAATAATTTTACATTAGGACAGTGATTATCAATTATACCCGGGAAACCTGCCAAATGCACTTGCCAAGCGATGCAAGTAGCAAAAGCCTGTTGAACTTGTAATCGGGTAAGGGGAACAATGATTTTTTGGGGCTCTGTTCCCGAAAGACGAAGGAGATGAGAACGAGCCTGACCAATTAAGGTAGAAATTTGATCTAGATAAATAGTTAGCATACGTAAAGAGCTGTGTGGGAGAAAACACCATTCAATTAAATTATGTCCCTGAATAATGAGTCCTGTTGGTGAATGTTCAGTAGGAAAAATTAGTATTTCAAAAGGTAAATGTGGATTCACTCTGGTAACCTGAGACTGTTGAATGCATTTTTCTATAAGTCGTAATTCAGAATCCGCCTCAGGAGTCAAAGACCTTTTACTGCGTAAATCCGGATTGCCCCGTAATGTTGCAAAAAGATTAGACACAGCATAAGTAGGAATGCCTAGGGAGGGACGAATCCAATTAATATCTCCAAGTAATTTTTGGAAATCATTTAGAGTTTTTAAAGAGTCTCGTCTGAGTTGAACTTTTTGAGGCTTAATGACCTTATCCTCTAGCTGCATCCCTAAATAGTGATAAGGAGATGAAGTCTGAATTTTTTCTGGGGCGATAACCAAGCCAGCTGCTGTGACTGCTTGTTGTAAAGCAGAAAAACAAGATATTAATACAGAGCGTGAAGGTGCTGCACAAAGAATATCATCTGTGTAATGAATAATATAACATTGGGGAAATTTATCTCTAACTGGCTTTAATATGCATCCCACATAATATTGACAAATAGTGGGGCTATTGAGCATACCTTGAGGTAGGACTTTCCAATGGTAACGTGCTGCAGGAGCAACGTTGTTAAGGGTTGGAACAGTGAAAGCAAATTTTTCAAAGTCCTGAGGAGCCAGAGGAACGGTAAAAAAGCAATCTTTAAGGTCAATGATGATAAGTGGCCAATACTCAGGAATCATAGTGGGGGAGGGCAAACCGGGTTGTAATGTCCCCATAGGCTGAAGGACAGCATTTACCGCCCTAAGATCAGTAAGCATTCTCCACTTACCAGATTTCTTTTGGATAACAAAAACAGGTGAATTCCAAGGAGAAAAAGAAGGTTCAATGTGTCCCAATTTTAACTGTGCAAGAACCAAAATATGAAGTGCCTCCAGCTTATTTTTTGGGAGTGGCCACTGATCTACCCAGACAGGTTTTTGAGTTTTCCAGGTCAAAGGGATGGGTTCTGGAGGCTTGATAGTGACTGCTTCTAAAAAGAATAACCAAGTCCTGTAGAGTCTGCTTTAGGAGTAGGTATGATAGGCTCAGTGATGCCTTGTGCTGATTTTCCTAAACCCAGACCTTGAACAAATCCCATTTTGGTCATCATATCTTTACTCTGCTGGCTGTAATTGCCTTTAGGAAAAGTAATCTGAGCCCCCCATTGATAAAAAAGATCTCTTCCTCACAGATTGACAGGAATGGGTGTAATGAGGGGGCGAATAGTTCCAATCTGTCCTTCAGGGCCTGTGCAATGTAAAATTATGGAGCTTTCATATACCTGTGAAGCCTGACCAACACCCACTAATGCTGTGGAGGCATGCTCCTTTGGCCAGTGTCGGGGCCATTGATGTAAAGCGATAATGGAAACATCAGCGCCCGTGTCAATCATTCCCTCAAACTTCTTTCCCTGAATATGCATGGAGCACACAGGACGAGTGTCAGAAATTTTGCTGGCCCAGTAGGCTGCTTTACCTTGATAATCTGTGCTACCAGAACCTCCCTTTCTTGTACTAGAACTAGATCCCAAAGGAATGTAAGGAAGTATCAGGAGTTGAGCAATGTGGTCCCCAGCTGCTGCATTCCAAGGGACTGCAGAGCTAATGACAATACGAATTTCACCTGAATAGTCAGAATCAATTACACCAGTATGTACTTGAACACCTTTTAAATTTAAACTTGAACGTCCCACTAGCAAACCGACACTGCCAGTCGGCAAGGGACCAAAAACACCTGTAGGAACAGCAATAGGTGGCTCTCCAGGCAACAAAGAAATATCTCTGGTACAACAGAGATCTACTGCTGCTGAGCCTGTGGTGGTGGGGGACAAGCATTGTACTGAGATTGGTGTTGGGGCTGAGGCATTAGATCCTGTGGCACAAATTGCTGAAGTGGGAATTGGGGTGGAGGTTGAATGGATTGAACTGGGAAGGCTCCCGTTTGGCTGGACGCCAGGGGCTGAGAGTTGAGGAATGCCCCACTGTTTAGAGGGGCCTGGGGCCAGCCCCTCATCCTGTTTCCCCGATTTTTAAAAGGCCGTAAAGGATTGCCATCAATATCAAATCTGGAATGGCATTGAGATGCCCAGTGAAGACCCTTTCGGCATCGTGAGCATACAGTAGAAGGTGGGGCATCTTGTTGCTGAAAAGTTTTTTGTTGTTGTTGGTGGTGATGTAAAGGACAGCGACCTGCATGCCGAGGGCAATTTCTTTTTGCATGTCCCTTCTGGCCGCATATGAAGCATTGGCCAGAGGATTGTCCAGGCATTTGAATAGAGGCCATAGCTTGTGCCATAATCATTGCTGTATGGAGAGTTCCTCCCACCCCTTCACAGGCTTTAATGTAGGAGGTGAGTATATCACCACCCGGTGGAATTTTACCTTTGACGGGGCGAATAGCCGCCTGACAATCTGGATTTGCTTGTTCATAGGCCATAAGTTCTACAGCAAGTCTTTGGCCATGGCTATCAGGAATAGCCTTTTCTGCTGCGTCTTGAAGACAAGCAATAAAGTCTGGGTAGGGCTCATGTTGTCCCTGTCTGACGGCTGTGAAAGATGGGCATACTTTACCATCATCTTGAATTTTGTCCCAAGCATCTAAGTAACATTTTCGCAGTTGTTCGATAACCTCATCATTTAGTATAGTTTGGTGTCGGATTGCAGCCCATTGACTCATTCCCAGTAACTGGTCAGCCGTAACGTTAACAGGGGGATTAGAGCCCTGATTAAGACGAATGCGTTCCTGGACAGCATCAACCCACCAAGTCCTGAATTGTAAATATTGGGATTTAGATAAGACTGATTTTGCCAAAATTTCCCAATCATAGGGTACCAAACGTTTATCCTCTGCTAGGGCTTTTAATGTGGAATGGACAAAAGGAGAGTTGGTGCCATATTGTTTCACTGATTCCTTAAAATCTTTGAGGAATTTAAAAGAAAAACTTTGCCACGTAGCAGGACGTAGCTGAACCTGGCCTGGATGGATGGGGTCAGGCTGAATTACCACCTGAACAGCGGGAATGCCCGGTATTGGCTGTGCCCCAGGAGCCGGCAATTGCAGAGCCTGATTATTTACCCGAGCAGCCTGATTCTCAGGCTGAGGGGCTTGATTATCAGCCTCTTGATCTTGTTGAGCTGCGGGGTCAGCCGCCTGCTGGGCAGGATCAACAACAGGCTGTGGGTGGTTTTGTACTGCTGGGGTGGCAGGTACTGGGGGTTGTAAAATTACAGGAAATTGCCAAGCTTCAGGATCCCCATATTCCCTTGCCTGAACTATAGCCCTCATAAGCGGAGTGTCATCTTCAGGGATGTATGTAATTTGTTGCTTATGAGCGGCAATGGTAGTATTGGCAACAGCAGTTGCGACTGGACCAGGAGCAGAAAAAGAGGTAGAATTTTGAATAGAAGGAGAGTCGAAAAACTGAAAGCCAGGGTGAGAGCAGACTACCTGCTGAGCAGGTCTTTCATGGGCCTGAAAACCAGGCTGCCACGGCAAGTGTGAACCAGGCTTCAAGGGAGCCTGTGACTCTACCCGAGTCTGATTTGTAGGAAAGGAACCAGGCTTCAAGGGAGCCTGTGACTCTAAGTGAGTGCGATTTGTAGGAAGTGGACCAGGCTTCAAGGGAGCCTGTGACTGTAACTGAGTCCGATTAGGAGGAAAAGAACCAGGCTTCAAGGGAGCCTGTGACTCTAACTGAGTCCGATTTGCAGGGAATGAACCAGCCTTCAAGGGAGCCTGTGACTCTAAGTGAGTCAGATTAGGAGAAATAGGATTGAGGGCCTCATTACCGGGCCGAGAATTGGAAGCCTCTTTTCCAAGCTGTTCATATAGCAGAGCCTCTGTACCGGGCTGCATAGAAACGTAATTTGTAGACTCGTTTACAGGCTGCCTGGTCTCATCTGCTATTTGCACGGCGGCAGTGTTGAAAGAGTGAGGAGAGACAGGAGGGTCTGGCCGCAATGGCTGTTGATATGTTTCAGCTGAGTTTTGCTGATTGGGGGAGATAAGTACATTTAGGTCAGTTAAAAGATCATCATAAAGCGGCAATGGGGGTGCAGTAGCCTCTGGCGTAGGTGGTGGTGTCGCAGGCATGTCAGAGTGGAAGTCCTCCTTTGAAATTACGTTCTCAACTTGTGCGGTATCCTCAGGGGAAAGAGAGCTGAGAGCTTCCTCGACCTCCTCAGAGGAGAGGAAAGAGGGATCAGTCTCCATATTGTCCTCCTGAGTCTGTAAGGAGTCTAAGACAGAGCGAACCGAAGCCCAGATTGACCAAATGGTGGGTGGGATAAAATGTCCCCCTTTATGAGCAATTTTGAATTGTTTGCCAATCTCATCCCAATCTTTAAGTTCTAAAGTTCCCTCAGTCGGAAACCAAGGGCAAAGAAGATCTACAACCTCAAATAGTTCAATTAACTTTTCAGTAGAAACTTTAACACCTCCTTCTTTAAGAAGAGTTTTTATAAAATTTAAATAAGCCGAATACTTTGTACTGGCCTGTCCCATGGGGTCCCCGGAAAACTCTGAGTGTTCAAGCTTACCACCAAGTTTATTGACTGCAATCTTCAGGAATCTCTCGTTGAACTCCTCCGCTGATCCTGCACTCAGGGTGCAACTTCACACAGCGAGGGAGAGCCCCACGTCGGAGAGCCAGATGTAGGGACCAGCCCCACAGGGTCAGTGGGTCTCTCCCTGTGTGCGGTGATGAGAGAGTGTAGAAATAAAGACACAAGACAAAGAAACAAGAGAAAAAGCAGCTGGGCCCGGGGGACCACTACCACCAATGCGCGGAGACCAGTAGTGGCCCCGAATGTCAGGCTGCGCTGTTATTTATTGGATACAAGGCAGAAGGGGCAGGGTAAAGAATGTGAGTCACCTCCAGTGATAGGTAAGGTCACGTGGGTCACATGTCCACTGGACAGGGGGCCCTTCCCTGCCTGGCAGCTGAGGCAGAGAGGGAGAGGAGACAAAGAGAAAGACAGCTTATGCCATTATTTCTGCATATCAGGGACTATTAGTACTTTCACTAATTGACTACTGCTATCTGGAAGGCAGAGCCAGGTGTACAGGATGGAACATGAAGGTGGACTAGGAGTGTGACCACTGAAGCACAGCATCACAGGGAGACAGGCCTCTGGATAACCGCGGGTGAGCCGGACTGATGTCAGGCCCTCCACAAGAGGTGGAGGAGCAGAGTCTTCTCTAAACTCCCCTGGGGAAAGGGAGACCCCCCCCCCCACCCCCCACCACTTTCCCGGTCTGCTAAGTAGCGGGTGTTGTTTCTTGACACCTTTTGCTACCGCTGGACCATGATCAGCTTGGTAACGGGCATCTTCCCAGAAGCTGGCGTCACCGCTAGACCAAGGAGCCCTCTGGTGGCCCTGTCCGGGCATAACAGAAGGCTCGCACACTTGTCTTCTGGTCACACCTCACTATGTCCCCTCAGCTCCTATCTCTGTATAGCCTGGTTTTTCCTAGGCTATGATTATTGAGTGAGGATTATCATAATATTGGAATAAAAAGTAATTGCTACCAACTAATGATTAATGATACTCATATATAATCATATCTAAGATCTATATCTGGTATAACAATTCTTGTTTTATATTTTATTACACTGGAACAGCTCGTGTCCTCTGTCTCTTGCCTCAGTGCCTGGGTGGCTTGCCACCCACAAATACAATTATGGGTTTCTACCAGCAAGAAAATCTCAGAGAAAATAGAGATTCTCATGCATATTTTATGAAGCCCTCACATGGTATAGAGAGTATCCTATAAGGGCCCAACACACAAGGGAAATTGTGACACTTGTATGCACAAGCAGCCTACAGTATTAATAGCCATTCTCGTACATGAACACCGCTCACTGTAGAGGTTCTGAATCTAAAACCCAGAGGCAGTCAAAAGTTAAAAAATTGTCCCCCATATGTGAATCCAGTCACAGGTATTGGTGACTCTCAGGCCAATATTCAGCACACCTTTAAGACTGTGACTTTACTAAAAAGACACAGTAAGCAGGAAGGATTGAGGCTTTCATGCATGGATTAAGTACATGATTGAGATTGGGACTCATGTACTTTGACCCAACATACAAAGTGTTGACTCTCGTACCTGGAACAAAGACACACGTGAGATTGTCAATCTCATCTCTAAATCATCCTGCAGGTGTGATTGTAACATACACCTTTTCCCAGCACCTGAGTGATTGGATCCTCCTACCTCAGCCTAGTCCCCAGAAAAAAATTTTGACATATTGCTGGACTGAGCACCTAGATGATGTGACTCTATTTTCTTGGAGCTGCACACAGTGGGTAGTTTGACATATTGCTGGGCTGTGAATTCAGGTGATGTGAGTCACCTCTCCACATTCCACAGGGGGCATTGTGACATATCACTTGGCCTCACATCCAGGTTATATGACTCCTGCCCGCACCCTACACACATGAGCCATTTGTGACATAATGGCCAGCACCCAGGTAATGTAACTCTTTTGCCTGGGCCCTGTTTACATAAGACTTTTGGTCACATCTCTGCACCCATCAACCATGTGATCTGACTCTCTTCTTTTGCCTTATTTCTGCTCACAGGAAAAATTATGGCATATCATTGGGCCCAGCATCAGTGATTATGACATATCACTGGGCTCAGCCCAGCCTAGCTGATGTGGCTCTTCTCTCTCTCTCTCTCTCTCTTTCACTCTCTCTCTTTTAGATTCTGACCACAAAAGAGATTGTGACACATTGCTGAGTCCAACATCAAGATGATGTTATACTTTTAACTTGGCCCTGCCCTCAGAAAGCATTGTGACATATTTCTGATGCCAGCATTAAGATTATGTCAGCCTCCTGCTTGCTCCTTTCCAAAAGGACGCATTGTGACATATCTCTGGGCTAATTAACAATTTGATGTGAGTCTTCTCTCTTACTTTGGTTTTTCTCATAGGAGAAATTGTGACATGTCTCTGAACCCAGCACCTCGGTGATGTCACTGTTCTCTTTTTTCTTAATTATGTCCACAAAAGAAAGAGTGACTTGTCACAGAGCCCAGGACACAGGTGATGTGATTATTCAATCTGGTCCCTGCCCGAGGGGTCACTGTGACATATCTTAGGGCCATCACCAAATAATGTGGATCTCCTGTTCTTCCTGGGACTTATCCACAGTGAAGATTGTAACACATTGCTTGGGCCAGTGTTTATATGATATGACTTTCCTCTTATCCTGCTGGCTAGGGTAATTGGAACATTTAGGTGGCCCAGCCTCTAGTTTATGTAAATCTCCTTTTTTTCCTGAGCCTAACCCACAGGGGGGCATTTCAATGTATTT
The DNA here is from genome assembly GCF_000001405.40 of Homo sapiens. Taxonomy (NCBI): domain Eukaryota; kingdom Metazoa; phylum Chordata; class Mammalia; order Primates; family Hominidae; genus Homo; species Homo sapiens. The sequence continues at coordinate 21,892,192 of NC_000019.10, forward strand.
CTGGGCTTTTCACCTAGGTGATGTGACTTTGCTGCCTGGGCCCTTCCCTCAGGAGCTATTGTGACGTATTGCCAGAACAAGCACCTAGCTGATGTGTCTCTCCACTACAGACAGTGTCATCACAGGGCCAATCAAAAATATGAGATTGTGTTTCTCATATGCATACTTAACCAAGTGTTATAATTGTCACTCTTAAACATGGAAAGAATCCACTGGTGCTGTCCTTAATCTCACACGTGGGTGTAGTCCACAGTTGGAATAGTGACTGTCATATTTGACTATCCAGCTAAAGTTGGGATTGTTACTCATTTCTAAACCCAGATCATAGGCAGGTGAAGACTCTCCTATCTTGACCCAGCCAATGGGAAAGGTGTTGACTCTTATAACTTTGCTTAGTGCCACAGGTTCAAACATGAGTCCATACGAGTAAAAAGGTCTCAGAGAGAATTTGCATCTCTCATGCTTATCATATAAAGTTCTCAGATGATACAGAGAGTGTCCTAACAGGACCCAGCATACAGGTGACATTGTGCCACTTTTATGCACATCCACCCAACAGGAAAGATTAAACACAGAGCCCAGGCAAAAACCTCACACATGAACCCAGCCCCCTGTTGAGGTTTGGAATCTCAAATCCAGACAGAGTACGAAGTTAGAAAATTGACTCTCATATGTAGATGTCATCCACAGGTGTGTTAATGCCTGTCAGATCAACATTCAACACACCTGTGAGCCTGTGTCTCCACTAAAATAACACACTCTGCACAAAAAACCTAGGCTCCAATGCGCAACTGCACACCACCATTGAGATTTTGACTCATGTACTTAGAATCAACATACGGGTGGTATTTACTCTCATATTGAAAACCAGGATGTGTCCAGGAGTGTTAATCTCACCTGTGAACCTTTTTTGCAAGTGTGATTGTGACCTATGCCTCTGCCCATCATCTATTTGAGTCTTCTGCCTGGGACCAGCCAACAGATGGGATTGTGACATACGGCTGGAGCCAGCATTTAAATGATGTGACTCCATTTTTCTGCCTTGGTGCTGCCAATTGGGCCCAGAACCAAGGTGATGTGAGTTTTCTGCCTAAAATCCACCCACAGGGAGCATTATGACAAATCTTTCAGCCCATCAATTGTTTGATGTGACTTTTCTTTTACCGGAGCTTTTTCTTTTTTTTTTTTTGTTATTTTTAATTATTATAAATACATAATGGTTATACATATTTATCGGGTACATGTGATATTTTGATACAGGTGTACAACATGTATGATCAAATCATGCTCACTGGGGTATTCATCACCTCAAGCATTTATCATTTCTTTCTATTAGGAACATTCCAATTCGACTTTTAGTTATTTTAAAATACACAATAAATTATTGTTAAACATAGTCACCCTATTGTGCTATGAAATACTACATTTTATTCATTCTATTTGTGTTTTTCTATCCACTCTTTATTATCCTCTCTTTATTATCCTTTCTTTCTTCTTTTTTTAAAATTATACATTAAGTTCTATGGTACATATGCACAACGTGCAGATTTGTTATATAGATATACATGTGCCATGTTGGTTTGCTGCACCCATCAACTCATCAATCATTTACATTAGGTATTTCTCCTAATGCTATCCTCCCTGCCAGCCCCCCACCCCCTGACAGGTGTGTGATGTTCCCTGTCCTGTGTCCAAGTGTTCTCATTGTTCAATTCCCACCTATGAGTAAGAACATGTGGTGTTGGGTTTTCCGTCCTTGTGATAGTTTGCTGAGAATAATGGTTTCCAGCTTCATCCATGTCCCTGCAAAGGACAGGAACTCATCCTTTTTTATGGCTGCATAGTATTCCATCGTGTATATTTGCCACATTTTCTTAATCCAGTCCGTCATTGATGGGCATTTGGGTTGGTTCCAAGTCTTTGCTATTGTGAATAGTGCCGCAATAAACATGCTTGTGCATGTGTCTTTATAGTAGCATGATTTATAATCCTTTGGGAACATACCCAGTAATGGCGTTGCTGGGTCAAATGGTAATTCTAGTCCTAGATCCTTGAGGAATTGCCACACTGTCTTCCACAATGGTTGAACTAATTTACACTCCCACCAATAGTGTAAAAGTGTTCCTATTTCTCCACATCCTCTCCAGCATCTCTTGTTTCCTTCCTTTTTTTTTTTTTTTTTTTTGAGATGGAGTCATGCTCTGTCCCCCAGGTTGGAGTGCAGTGGTGCTATCTAAGCTCACTGCAAGCTCTGCCTCCCGGGTTTACGCCATTCTCCTGCCTCAGCCTCCTGAGTAGCTGGGACTACAGGTGCCCACCAACAAGTCTGGCTAATTTTTTGTATTTTTAGTAGAGACGGAGTTTCACCATGTCAGCCAGGATGGTCTCGATCTCCTGACCTCGTGATCCACCTGTCTCAGCCTCTCAAAGTCCTGGGATTACAGGAATGAGCCACTGTGCCAGGCTGTTTCCTTACCTTTTAATGATTGCCATTCTAACTGGCATGAGATGGCATCTCATTGTGGTTTTGATTTGCATTTCTCTGATGACCGGTGATGATGAGTATTTTTTTCATGTGTCTGTTGGCTGCATAAATGTCTTCTTTTGAGAAGTGTCTGTTCATATCCTTCACCCACTTTTTGATGGGGTTGTTTGTTTTCTTCTTGTAAATTTGTTTAAGTTTGTAGATTCTGGACATTAGCCCTTTGTCAGATGGATAGATTGCAAAAATTTTCTCCCATTCTGTAGGCTGCCTGTTCACTCTGATGATAGTTTCCTTTGCTGTGCAGAAGCTCTTTAGTTTAATTAGATTTGTTGCCATTGCTTTTGGTGTTTTAGTCATGAAGTCCTTGCCCATGCCTATGTCCTGAATGGTATTGCCTAGGTTTTCTTCTAGGGTTTTCATGGTTTTAGGTCTAACATTTAAGTCTTTAATCCATCATGAATTAATTTTTGTATAATATGTAAGGAAGGGATCCAGTCTCAGCTTTCTACATATGGCTAGGCCGTTTTCCCAGCATCATTTATTAAATAGGGATTCCTTTCCCCATTTCTTGTTTTTGTCAGGTTTGTCAAAGATCAGATGGTTGTAGATGTGTAGTGTTATTTCTGAGGCCTCTGTTCTGTTCCATTGGTCTATATCTCTGTTTTGGTACCAGTACCATGCTGTTTTGGTTACTGTAGCCTTGTAGTATAGTTTGAAGTCAGGTAGCACGATCCCTCCAGCTTTGTTCTTTTTGCTTAGGATTTTCTTGGCAATGCGGGCTCTTTTCTGATTCCATAGGAAGTTTAAAGTAGTTTTTTCCAATTCTGTGAAGAAAGTCATTGGTAGCTTGATGGGGATGGCATTGAATCCATAAATTACCTTGGGCAGTATGGCCATTTTCATATTGATTCTTCCTATCCATGAGCATGGAATGTAATTCCATTTGTTTCTGTCCTCTCTTATTTCCTTGAGCAGTGATTCATAGTTCTCCTTGAAGAGGTCCTTCATGTCCCTTGTGAGTTGGATTTCTAGGTATTTTATTCTCTTTGTAGCAATTGTGAATGAAAGTTCACAAATGATTTGGCTCTCTGTCTGTTATTGGTGTAGAGAAATGCTTGTGATTTTTGCACATTGATTTTGTATCCTGAGACTTTGCTGAAGTTGCTTATCAGCTTAAGGAGATTTGGGGCTGAGATGATGGGGTTTTCTAAATATACAATCACGTTATCTTTAAATAGGGACAATTTGACTTCCTCTCTTCCTAATTGAATACCTTTTATTTCTTTCTCTTGCCTGATTGCCCTGGCCAGAACTTCCAATACTGTGTTGAATAGGAGTGGTGAGAGAAGGCATCCTTGTGTTGTGCAGGTTTTCAGAGGGAATGCTTCCAGTTTTTGCCCATTCAGTATGATATTGGCTGTGGGTTTGTCATAAATAGCTCTTATTATTTTGAGATACGTTCCATCAATACCTAGTTTATTGAGAGTTTTTAGCATGAAGGGCTGTTGAATTTTGTCAAAGGCCTTTTCTGCATCTATCTATCGTGGTTTTTGTTATTAGTTCTTTTTATGTAATGGTTTACGTTTATTGATTTGCGTATGTTGAACCAGCCTTGAATCCCAGGGATGAAGCAGACTTGATCATGGTGGATAAGCTTTTTGATGTGCTGCTGGATTCGGTTTGCCAGTATTTTATTGAGGATGTTTGCATCGACGTTCATCAGGGATATTGGTCTAAAATTCTATTTTTTTTGTTGTGTCTCTCCTAGGCTTTGGTATCAGGATGATGCAGGCCTCATAAAATGAGTTAGGGAGGATTCCCTCTTTTTCTATTGATTGGAATAGTTTCAGAAGGAACGGTACCAGCTCCTCTTTGTAACTCTGGTAGAATTCAGCTGTGAATCCATCTGGTCCTGGACTTTTTTTTGGTTGGTAAGCTATTAATTATTGCCTCAATTTCAGAGCCTGTTATTGATCTATTCAGAGATTCAACTTCTTCCTGGTTTAGTCTTGGGAGGGTGCGTGTCTCCAGGAATTTATCAATTTCTTCTAGATTTTCTAGTTTATTTGTGTAGAAGTGTTTACAATATTCTCTGATGGTAGTTCGTATTTCTGTGGGATCGGTGGTGATACCCCTTTATCATTTTTTATCGCATGTATTTGATTCTTCTCTCTTTTCTTCATTAGTCTTGCTAGTGGTCTATCAATTTTATTGAGCTTTTCAGAAAAACAGCTCCTGGATTCATTGATTTTTTGAAGTGTTTTTGGTGTCTATCTTTTTTCAGTTCTGCTCTGATCTTAGTTATTTCTATTTCTTGCCTTCTGTTGGCTTTTGAATTTATTTGCTCTTGCTTCTCTAGTTCTTTTAATTGTGATGTTAGGTTGTGTATTCTAGATCTTTCCTGCTTTCTCTTATGGGCATTTAGTGCTATAAATTTCCCTCTACACATAGCTTTAAATGTATCCCAGAGATTCTGGTACTTTGTGTCTTTGTTCTCATTAGTTTCAAAGAAAAACGTTATTTCTGCCTTCATTTCATTATTTACCCAGTAGTCATTCAGGAGCAGGTTGTTCAGTTTCCATGTAAGTTGTGCAGTTTTGAGTTTCTTAATCCTGAGTTCTAATTTGATTGTACTGTGGTCCAAGAGACAGTTTATAGTAATTTCTGCTCTTTTGCATTTTCTGAGGAGTGCTTTACTTCCAATTATTGGCCAATTTTAGAATAGTGCGATGTGGTGCTGAGAAGAATGTAAATTTTGTTGATTTGGGGTAGAGAGTTCTGTAGATGTCTATTGGGTCTGCTTGGTGCAGAGCTGAGTTCAAGTCCTGGATATCCTTGTTAACCTTCTGTCACATCGATCTAACAGTGGGGTGTTAAAGTCTCCCATTATTATGTGGGAGTCTAAGTCTCTTTGTAGGTCTCTAAGGACTTGCTTTATGAATCTGGGTTCTCCTGTACTGGGTGCATATATATTTAGGATAATTAGCTCTTCTGGTTGAATTGATCCCTTTACCATTATGTAATGGCCTTCTTTGTCTCTTTTGATCTTTGTTGGTTTAAAGTCTGTTTTATCAGAGACTAGAATTGCAACCACTGCTTTTTGTTTTGCTTTCCATTTGCTTGGTAGATATTCCTCCATCCCTTTATGTTGAGCCTTTGTGTGTCTATTCATGTGAGATGGGTCTCCTGAGTACAGCACACTGATAGATCTTGACTCTATATAATTTGCAAGTCTGTGTCATTTAATTGGGGCATTTTGCCCATTTACATTTAAGGTTAATATTGTTATGTGTGAATTTGATCCTGTCATTATAATGTTAGCTGGTTATTTTGCCTGTTAATTGATGCAGTTTCTTCATAGCATCGATGGTCTTTACAATTTGACATGTTTTTGCAGTGGCTGGTACAGGTTGTTTTTTTCCATGTTTAGTGCTTCCTTCAGGAGCTCTTGTAAGGCAGGCCCGGTGGTGACAAAAATCTCTGTGCATGTGCTTGTCTGTAAAGGATTTTATTTCTCCTTCATTTATGAAGCTTAGTTTGGCTGGATATGAGATTCTGGGTTGAAAATTCTTTTCTTTAAGAATTTTGAATATTGGCCCCCACTCTCTTCTGGCTTGTAGGGTTTCTGCTGAGTAATCTGCTGTTAGTCTGATGGGCTTCCCTTTGTGGGTAATCCAACCTTTTTCTCTGGCTGCCCTTAACATTTTTTCCTTCATTTCAACCTTGATGAATCTGCCAATTATGTGTCTTGGAGTTGCTCTTCTTGAGGAGTATCTTTGTGGTGTTCTCTGTATTTCCTGAATGAGAATGTTGGCCTGCCTTGCTAGATTGGGGAAGTTCTCCTGGATAATACCCTGAAAAGTGTTTTCCAACTTGGTGCCATTCTCGCCATCACTCTCAGGTACACCAATCAAATGTAGATTTGGTCTTTTCACATAGTCTTATATTTCTTGGAGGCTTTGTATGTTTTTTTACTCTTTTTTCTCTTAACTTGTCTTCTTACTTTATTTCATTAATTTGTTCTTCAATCAATAATATCCTTTCTTCCGCCTGATTGAAATGGCTATTGAAGCTTGTGCATGTGTCATGTAGTTCTTGTGCCATGGTTTTCAGCTCCATCAGGTCATTTAATGTCTTCTCTACACTGTTTATTCTAGTTAGCCATTCATCTAACCTTCTTTAAAGTTTTTTTTAGCTTCCTTGCGATGGGTTAGGACATGCTCCTTTAGCTCGGAGAAGTTTGTTATTACCGACCTTCTGAAGCCTACTTCTGTCAACTTGTCAAAGTCATTCTCCATCCAGCTTTGTTCCATTAATGCTGAGGAGCTGCAATCCTTTGCAGAACAAGAGGTGCTCTGATTTTTAGAATTTTCAGGTTTTCTGCTCTGGTTTCTCCCCATCTTTGTGGTTTTATCTACCTTTGGTCTTTGATGTTGGTAACCTACAGGTGAGGTTTTGGTGTGGGTGTCCTTTTTGTTGATGTTGATGCTATTCCTTTCTGCTTGTTAATTTTCCTTCTAACAGTCAGGTCCCTCATCTGCAGGTCTGCTGGAGTTTGCTGGAGGTCCACTCCAGACCCTGTTTGCCTGGGTATCACCATCAGAGGCTGCAGAACAGCAAATATTGCAGAACAGCAAATATTGCTGCCTGATCCTTCCTCTGGAAGCTTCATCCCAGAGGGCATCCATCTGTATGAGGTGTCAGTTGGCCCCTACTGGGAGGTGTCTCCCAGTTAGGCTACAAGGGGGTCAGGGACCCACTTGAGGAGGCAGTCTGTCCATTCTCAGGGTTCAAAACCCATGCTGGGAGAACCACTGCTCTCTTCAGAGCTGTCAGACTGAGACGTTTAAGTTTGCAGAAGTTTCTGCTGGCTTTTGTTCAGCTATGCCCTGCCCACAGAGGTGGAGTCTATAGAGGCAGTAGGCCTTGCTGTGCTGTGGTGGACTCCACCCAGTTCGAGCTTCCTGGCCACTTTGTTTATGTACTCAAGCCTCAGCAATGGTGGAAGCCTCTCCCCACACCAGGCTGTGACCTTGCAGGTCAATCTCAGACTGCTGCACTAGCAGTGAGCAAGGCTCTGTGGGCGTGGGACCCATTGAGCTGGGCACAGGAGAAAGTCTCCTGTTCTGCCAGTTGCTAAGACCATGGGAAAAGTGCAGTATTTGGGTAGGAGTGTCCCGTTTTTCCAGGTACAGCCTGTTACGGCTTCCCTTGGCTAGGAAAGGAAAATCCCCTGACCCCTTGTGCTTCTTGGGTGAGGCCATGCCCCACCCTGCTTCGGCTCACCCACTGTCCAACCAGTCCCAATGAGATGAACCAGATACCTCAGTTGGAAATGCAGAAATCACCCATCTTCTGCATCGATCACACTGGGAGCTGAAGACTGGACCTGTTTCTATTCAGCCATCTTGGAATGGAATCTACCAGAGCTTTTTCTATAGAAGAGATTTTGATATATTTTGGGGCCCAGCACCTATGTGATGTGACTCTCTTCTCTTTCTTTAGCCATGACCACAGTGGGAGTCCATAACACCACAAAAGTCACAGAGTGAATTGTAACTCTCATGCATACTGTACAAAGCCCTTGAATAGCACTGTGTTTTTACAGAGATCAGCACACAGGTGACATTGTGACACTCATATGCACACCCAGAATCAGTAAAAATTGAATCTTTCCATACAGACACAGCTGACAGTTGAGATTCTGAATCTCACATCCAGAGGCAGTTGAAAGTTTGAAAATTGACTCTCATACATAGACTCATTCCAGAGATAGTTTGATGAGTTTCAGACCAAGATTCAGCACACCTGGAAGGCTGTGACTCCCCTGAGGGGACAGAGTCTGCAGGAGATATTGAGGCTGTCATGTACGTATCTATGCCACAGTTCAGATTGTGACTCATGCACTTATTTTCAACCTGCAGTAGGTGTTGACTCACATACCAAGAACTAGGAAATGTATGAAATTTATAATCTCATCCCAGAACCTTCCTTCAGGTGTGATTGCAACAAACACCTCTTCCAAGCACCTGAGTAATTTAACTCTCCTGCCTGAGCTTAGCTTGCAAATGAAATTGTGACATATCACTGGATTCAGTACCTAGGTGATATGACTCTATTCTCCTGCTTTGGTGCTGCCCATAGGGGACATTGTGACATATCAGTAGGCCCAGATTTTTTTTTTTTTTTTTGTGATTGAACAATGCTGCCTGTACCCTTCTTTCTGAAGGAGATTTTAATGTAATTATTGCTGAGCATCCAGGTGATGTGGCTCTCCTACCTGGTGCCTGCCCTCAGGAAAGATTGTCATGTACATCTTGGCACAGATCACAGATGCAATGATGACTCTCATACCTTGAACCAGCCAATAGGAAGGTATTTTTTCTCTTTAGGCTTAGGGAAATGGGTAAGATCCTGGGTCTCCTCTTTGTATGATGGTCATAAAGGATTACCACACTTTCATTTATCTTACAAAGCTCTCTGGTGGTATGGAGAGTGCCATCACAGGGCCTAGTGCACAAGTGAAATTGTGTTTATTGTATGCACACCCCATCAACCATTAAGATTGTCACCTTCACACATAGAAAGAGCCAACTGATGAGTTTCTTAATCACACAGCTATGAGGCCCACAGTTGGAATTGTGATCATCATATGAGAACATTCTGCCAGAGGTGAGATGGTAACCCATCTCTAAACCCAGGTCATAGGCAAGTGAGGACTATTTGAACTGGACCCAGCCAATTGAAGGGATGTTGACTCTGCTGCTTGGGCTTAGGGTCACAAGTATAATCATGGATTTATGTTAGCATAAAAGTCCCAGAGCAAATTGCAACTCCCACACATACCTTATAAAGCCCTCAGTGGTACAGAGACTATTTTAACAGGGTACAGCACACAGGTGTGATTGTGAAGCTTGTATACACATCCAACTGAAGTAAAGATTGCCATCTTCTTAGATGAACAAAGCCCACTGTCGAAGTTTTGAGTCTCACACCTGGAGGCAGTGGAAAGTTTGAAATTGACTTTCTGTTCCACAGAAGGGTGAGTGACTGTAAGATCAAGATTCAGCACACGTGTGAGAATGTGACTCCACTACAGAAATACAGTTCACAAGAGGGATTGAGGCTCTCACACAGATTCAGTCCAGTGTTGAGATTGTGACTGATGTACTTAGACACAACACAAAGGGCATGTTGGCTCTGTTACCTAGAACTGGGACATGTGCTGGATTCTTAATTTAATCTCTGGACCTTCCTGCAGGAGTGACAGTGACATGTGTCTCTTTCCAGCACCTGAGTGATTTGACTCTTTTGCTTGGGGCCTGCCCAAATATGAGTTTGTGACATATCACTAAAGGTAGCACCTAGGTGATGTGACTCATTCTCTTTACTTGGTGCTGGCCATAAGAGACATTTTGACATATCATGGGCCTTGCAACCTGGTGGTACGAATCTTCTCTTCTGTCTTTGTTTTTTTTTTAAGGCGGCATTGTGACATATTGCTGCCCTGCAAAAGGGTTGTGTGACGCTCCTGCCTGTGCCCTGTCCACATAGACCATTGTAACATATTGTTGGGTCTAACACTTTGGTGATGTAACTCTCCTGCCTGGTCCCTGCCTACAGAGGACATTGTGACATATTTCTCTGCCCATCACCCGGTTGATGTGACTCACTTCTCCTGCCTGGTCTCTGCTCACAGAGGAGATTGTGACATATACCTGGGCCCAGGACCTAGCTAATTTGTCTTTTGTCTTTTTACAGCTTTCTGCCAACAAGAAAGATAGTGATATATAATGGGGTTTAATTCCAAGGTATTAATAATATTGCTATTTTCCCTTGGCCCTGCTCTCAGATGGAATTGGGACATATTGATAGGCCCCAGAAGCAAGGCGATGTGAGTCTCCTGCCTGGAGCCTGTCCACAGAGGGCATTGCTGCGTATCTCTGAGCTCATCAACTATTTGATATGACTCTCCTTTTACTTGAGTTTTTTTAAATAAAAGAGATTTTGACATATCTGTGGGCCCAGCACCTAGGTGATGGAACTGTCTTCTGCCTGAGTCACTCCCACAGATGAGACAGTGACTTATTTCTTGGACCAGCACACTAGTGATGTAATTTTCCTGCCTGATTTCTGCACACAGATTTCACTGTGACATATCTCTGGCCCCATCACCTATATGATTTGACAGTCTTCTTTGTTCTGGGACCTCTCCACAGTAGGCATTGTGATATATCACTTGGCCTAGCAGGTAAGGTGACTCTTCTCTCATTCCTGGGCCTTGCCCACTAAGGTAATTGTGACATATAGCTGGGCTCAGCCCCTAGGTTATGTGAATCTCCTCTTTTTCCTGAGCCCCTGTCTTAGTCCAATTTCACACTGCTATAAAGATACTACCTGAGACTGATAATTTATAAAGAAAAGAAGTTTAACTGACTCACAGTTCCACATGGCTGGGGAGGACTCAGGTAACTTACAATCATGGAGGAAGGCAAAGAGAAAGCAAGGCACATCTTACATGGTGGCAGGAGAGAGAGAGAGAACCAGTCAGAGGGGAAAAGTCAAACACTTTTAAACCATTAGCTGTCATGAGAACTCACTCACTATCCATGAGAATGGTGTGAAAGAAACTGACCCATGATCCAATCACCTCACACCAGGAGCTCCTCCCTTGACACGTGGGGATTACAATTAGAAATGAGATTTAGGTGGGGACACAATGCCAAATCATATTATTCTGCCTCTTGCCCCTTCCAAATCTCATGACCTTCTCACATTTTTAAAACATAAACATGCCTCCCCAGCAGTCCTCAAAGTCTTAACTTATTTCAGCATTAACTCAAAGTTTCATCTGAGAAAAAGCAAGTCTCTTCCACCTATGAGCCTGTAAAATCAAAAAGCAAGTTAGTTACTTTCAAGATAAAATGAGAGTACAGGCATTGAGGAAATGTTCCTGTTTCAAATGGGAGAAATTTGTCAAAACAGTGGCGACATGTTCCATGGAATCTCAAAATCCAGCAGGGCAGTCATTAAATCTTAAAGCTTCAAAATCGTCTTCTTTGACTCCATGTTACACATCTATGTAATACTGATGAAATAAGTGGGCTCCCAAGGCCTTGGGCAGCTCCACTCCTGTGACTCTGCAGGTTACAGCTCCCGTGGCTGCTTTCATGGCCTGGTGTTGAGTGCCAGTGCTGTTTTTAAGCACACAGTGAAAGCTGTTGGAGGATCTATGCAAGCTGTTGATGGGTCTACCATTCTGGGTTCTGGAGGATGGTGGCCCTGTTCTAACAGCTCCACTAGGCAGTGCCCCAGTGCAGACTCTGTGTTGGGGCTCTAATCCTAAATTTCCTCTCTGCATTGCCTTAGTAGTGGTTCTTCATAATGGCTCCACCCCTGCAAAAGACTTATGTCTGGACATTCAGGTGTTTTAAACATCCTCTAAAATCTAGGCAAAAGTTACCAATTCTCAACTTTTGTCTTCTGGGCACCCACAGGCCCAAGACCACATGGAAGCCACCAAGGCTTGGGGCTTGCACTCTCTGAAGCAATTGTCTGAGCTGCAAGTTGGCCCCTTTTAGCGATGGCTGGAGCTGGAGCAGCTGAGACACAGGGCACCAATTCTTAAAGCTGCACAGAGCAGAAGCCTGGGCCCCACTCATGAAACTATTTTTGACTCCTAGCCCTCCAAGCCTTTGATAGGAGCAGCTGCTGTAAAGATATCTGAAATGCCCTGGAGACATTTTTCCCATTGTCCTGGCTATTAACATTTGGCTACTTGTTACTTATGCAAATTTCTGCAGCCAGCTTGAATTTCCCTCCAGAAAATATGCTTTTTAAATTTTTCTTTTTTTTTTTTTCTTGAGATGGAGTCTCACCCTGTCACCCAGGCTGGAGTGCAGTGGCACGATCTCAGCTCACTGAAACCTTTGCCTCCGGGGTTCAAGCGATTGTTGTGTCTCAGTCTCCCAAGTAGCTGGGATTACAAGTGTGCACCACTACACACAGCTAAATTTTGTAATTTTAATAGAGACAGGATTCTGCCACGTTGACCAGGCTGGTCTCAAACTACTTGCCTCAAGTGATCCGCTTGGCCTCCCAAAATGCTGGGATTATAGGCATGAACAACCATGCCTGGCTGGGTTTTTAATTTCTACTGCATGGTCAGGCTGCAAATTTTCCAAGATTTTATGTTCTACTTTCCTTTTAAACATAAGTTCCAATTTTAGATTATCTCTCTCAAGTTCAAACTTCCACAGATCTCTAGGGAAGGGGCAAAATGCTGCCAGTCTCTTAGCTAAAACATAGCAAGAATGACCTTTGCTTCAGTTCTCAACAAGTTCCTCATCTCCATCTGAGACCACCTCAGCCAGGATTTCATCATCAATATCACTATAAGCATTTTGGTCAAAAAACATTGAAAACCTCTCTAGGAATTTCCAAACTTTCTCACATCTTCCTGTCTTCTTGTGAGCCCTCCAAACTTCCAACCTCTGCCTGTTACCTAGTTCCAAATTTGCTTCCACATTTTCAGGTTAACTTTATAGCAGGACCCCACTCTGCTGGTACCAATTATCTGTATTAGACCAATTTTACACTGCTATAAATATACTACCTGAGACTGGGTAATTTATAAAGGAAAAGGGTTTAATTGACTCACAGTTTCACACAGCTGTGGAGGCCTCAGAACACTTACAATCATGGCAGAAGGTGAAGGGGAAGCAAGGCACGTCTTACATGGCAGAAGGAGAGAAAGCCAGTGAGGGGAGACCTTCCAAACACTTTTAAGCTATCAGATCTCATAAAAACTCACTCACTATCATGAGAAGAGCGTGGGGGGAGCCACCTTCATGATCCAATCACCTCTCATCAGGTCCCTTCCTTGACACATGGGGATTACATTTCAAGATAAGATTTGAGTAAAGGCACAGAATCAAACCATATCAGCCTCTCACTTAGGTGACGTGACTCTATTTTTTTGGCCCTTAACTCAGGGAATATTGGGACATAAGACTGTATTCAGCCCCTATGTCATGTGACTCTCTTCTCCTTCCTGGACTCCACATATATCATGTATTGTTACATATTGCTGGGTTCAACACCTAGGTGATTCAACCCAGTAGTATCTTTTCATTCATCACTGATATTACGTGACTCTTTCCGTCACATAATGGGTCCTCAGTCTTGCCAAATAAAGGCATTGTGATATTTCACTTAATCCTAGCACCTAGGTGATGTAACACTTCTCTTTTGTCTGGACACTTGCATATTTTTGGTAGTGTAACATATCACTTGGCCCAACACCTAGAATATAGGAGGTTTCTGCCAGGGCCCTGCCTACAGGGGGGCCTGTGACATATTTCTCCTGGCTGTGGAACCCAGTACCTAAGAAATGTACCTCTTCTGCCTGCAGTTTGCCAATAAGAAATGTTATGATATATTGATGGGTCCAGCAACCATGTGATATATCTCTCCTGCTTTGGCCTCATCAACAGAGAGCATTGTGACATACCCGCGAGCCAAGCACACAGATGATGTTATTCTGCTGCCTGTGCCCTGCTTTCAGGAGTGGATTGCAATGTAACACTGGCTGAGTACCCAGGTTAATGACACTGTTGCCTGGTCCCTGTTCTCAGGGAAGACTGTAATAGACCCCTGACCCAATATCCAGGTAATATGACTCTCTTGCTCACTCACTACCCACAGTTTTGTTTGTGACATATATCTTGGCCAAGTTCACAGGTGTAATGATGACTCTCATACTTCAAACCAGTAAATAGAAGAGATACTGTCTCTTGTTATTAGGTATTGGCAAATGAGTAGAATGCTAGGTCTCCTCTGCACAAATGTTATAGAGGTATTCCACTCTTTTAAATATGGAATAAAGCTCCTCAGTGGCACAGAGTGTTTCAGCACCCAGGTGAGATTGTGTTTTCTGCATGCACACTTTTCAACCACTTTGAATGTCACCTTCACACATAGACAGAGCCCACTTCTGAGGTCCTGAATTAATACATGACTTGTGTACTTATATCCAACATACTGAAAGTGCTTACTCTCATACCTAGAACCAGGACATGTGCAGAATTGTTAATCCTTTTACTGAACCTCCCTGTATTTTTGATTGGGACATATGCCTTTGAAAAACATTGAAGTAATTTGACTCTTGTTCTTTGACCCAGCCTTCAGATGGGATTGTTTCATATAGCTGAACCAGCACCCATGTGACTCTTTTCTCCTGCCTTGAGCTGCACACAGGGGGCATTGTGACATAATGCTGGGTCTTGAACACAGGTTATGTAAGAATCCTTTTCTATTTTGGTACATTTTGAGATGGAGTTTCATTCTTGTTGCCCAGGCTGCAGTGCAATGGCACGATCTCGGCTCACCACAACCTCTGCCTCACAAGTTCAAGCAATTCTCCTCCCTCAGCCTCCTGAGTAGCTGGGATTAGAGGCATGTGCCACTGCACCTGGCTAATTTTGCATTTTTAGTAGAAGTGGGTTTTATCCATGTTGGTCAGGCTGGTCTCCAACTCCTGACCTCAGGTGATCCGCTCACCATGGCCTCCCAAAGTGCTGGGATTACAAGCGTGAGTCACCACACCTGGCCATCTTGGTATTTTTTACAGAGGGCATTGTAACATATTGCTGGGCCCCACACTAAGTTTTCTGTGAATCTTTTGTGGCCTGGCACACTTACTGTGACATATGGCTGCGTCAAACATGCAGGTGATGTAACTATTCTGCCTGAGCCCTCTTTACAGGGAGCATTGTGACATATCTCTGTGTCTGTTACCCCAGTGATGTGACTCTCCTCTGCCTGATTCCTGCTCACAAACAGAATTGTGACATTTTTGCTGGACCCAGCCTCTAGCTTATGTGGCTCTATTCTCCTGTCTTGGTGCTGCCCGTAGGGGACATTGTGACATACTTCTTGGCCATGAACCCAGGTTATGTGAGCCTTTCTGTGCCCTGCCCATGTGGACAATTGTGACATATTACCGAGTCCTACACCCAGGCGATGCTACTCTCCTGTCTGGTCCTTGCCTACAGGGAACATTGTGACATATCTCTTTGCCATTCATCCAGGTAATGTGGGTCTTTTGGTTTTTCTTGTTTTCCCTCACAGGGGAGATTGTGACATACTGCTGGGCCCAGCATTTGGTTATGTGACTCTATATTCCTGTCTCGGAGTTACCCACAGAGGGCAATGTGCCACATCACTGGACCTTACATCCAGGTGATGTGAGTCTCTTTTTCTGCCTTGGCACTGCCCCACAAGGGTTACTTGATTCTCCTGCTTGTGGTCTGCCCTCATGGGTCATTGTGACATATTGCAGGGTCCAACACCCAGGTTATGTGACTCTCTTGCCTGGGCCAGGGGAACAGGGGTATTGTCACATATCTCTGTGTCTATCACTCAGGACTCTTTTCCTGTCTGGTGTCTGCTCACAGAGGAGATTTTTACCTATCACCGAGTTCAGCACTTAGCTGATGTAACTCTTCTCTGCTTCCTAGGTTCTGCCCACAGGGAAGATTGTGGTGAATTACTGAACGCGATACCTAGATGAAGGTACTCTTTTTCCTAGGCCATGCCCTGTGAAGACATTGTTGCATATTTCTTTGTCTAGCACCAAGCTGATGTGAGTCTCTGCCTTGACCCTACACACAGGAAGCATTGCAAAATATCTCTGTGCCCATCAACTATTTGATGTGACCCTTATCTCTTATATGACTCCTTCTTTAGGAGATATTCTAACATATTTTTTGGGCTAGCAGTGAGGTAATGTGACTCTCTTCTTCTGCTTGTTTCATGCTCACAGAAGGGAGGGTGACTTATTGCTGAACCCCTCACACAATGGGCACATCACACAAACAGATGTGTCACAATGACCCCTGTCAACAGGGGTCATGGTGACATATATTCAGGACAGTATTCTAGATAATGTGACTCTCCTCTTCTTCCTGGTACTTGTCTGCAGTGACGATTGTGACATATAGATTGGTACAGTACATAAGTGATGTGAGTCTCTTTTCATGAGCACAGACTCAGGATGTGAGTCTGTGCTTTGCCCATTGAAGAGATCATTTCATATAGCTGCTCCCTGACCTTGATTTTGTGACTTTCCTCTTTTTCCTGAGTTCTACCTGCAGTGGGCATTGTGATATATCTCTGGGACCCCCACCTAGGTGAGGTAGCCCTCATGCATGGGTCATCCTTTCAGTGGGCATTGTGACACATTTCTGGACCGAGTACTTAGGTGATGTTACTCTCCTCAATTGCTTTTATGCTGCCAATGACAGATGATGATGTTTTGCTGGGCCAGACACCTCAGTAATGTGACTCTTCTCTTTGGGCTATGCCCTGCATTCATTGCATATTGTGACATATTGCTGGGCCTAACACCTAGTTGATGTGACTCTCCTGAATGGGCCTTGCCATATTTTCACTAATCACCTAGGTGATGTAACATTCCTCTTCTGCCACGGCCTCACCAAAAGTGGGAATTGCTATATATGACTGGACTCAGCATCTAGGTGATGTGACTCCTTTTTTACCTGATCATAAGATATACTGGGTATTGTGATATGTCACTGGGCCCAACACTTATGGGACAGAAGGCTCCTGCCTCAGCCCTGCCCGGAGGGGGCCTTGTAACATTCTCTACATCCATAACCTAAAAAATGTTACTCTCCTATTCTGCCTACACCAGCCAACAGAAAAATTTGTGACACATTACTAGGCCCAGGTGACTTGCTTCTCTTGCCTGGGCCTTGCCAACAGAAAGCATTGTGAAATACAGAAAACACCAGCACACCGGTGATGTTACTCTGTTTCCTGTGCCCTGCTTTCAAGAGGAAATTTTAACATATCACTGGCCAAGCACCCAGGTGCTGTGTCTCTCCTGCTTGGTCCCTATTTCCAGGAAATATTGTGACATATTTCTGGCTGAGCAAACAAGTGGTATCACTCTTCTGCTCCCTACTTATTTACAGATAAAATTGTAGTATGTATTATGGCCCAGGTAACAGGTACAATAATGAATCTCATACCTTGAACAGCTAATAAAAGAGATACTGTCTCTCATAGCCAATCATAAGAAAAAGAGTAAGAAACTTAGTCTTTTCTTTGTACGAGTGTCATAAAGAATTACCACTCTGTCACATTTTGTAAAAGATAGCACAGAGAGAAGCATTACAGGGCACAGCACAAACATGAGGTTGTGTTTTCTGTATGTACAACTCTCCAACCATTAGGATTGTCACTCTCATATATAGACAGAATTCAGTGGTGGTGATTTGAATTCCACACATGGAATAAGTCTACAGCTGAATTTGTGACTGTTATACATGAATATCTGGCCACAGTTGGAAGGGTGACTCATTTCTAAACCCAGTTCATAAGCAAGTAATGGCTTTCCCATCTGGTCCCAGCCAGTTAGAGAGATATTGACTCCCATAGCTGTGCTTAGTAAAACAGATCCAATCTGTGGTTCATATCAACATGAAGGTCTCAAAGCAGATTGAGACTGTCATACATATCATATAAAGACCACAGGTGATACAGAGATTGTACTAACAAGGCCCAGAACACAAATGAAATTGTGACATTCACATGCACACCCAGCCAACAGTAAATATTTTTATGCTCTCACATAAACACTGCCCACAGTTGAGGTTCTGAATCCTACATCTGAAGGCAGTCAAATGTTAGAAAATTGACTTGTATACATAGATCTGGTCCACAGGTTCATTGTTGACTTTCACACTATGATTCAGCACAGCAGTGAGTCAGTGACTTTACTATGAAGACACAGGGTACAGGAGGAATCGAGGCTGTCTTGCAGTCCACTGTTGAGATTGTGATTCATGTACACCGACTCAACATTCAGGAGGTGTTGACTCTTAGACATAGAACTGGAACATGTGTAGAATTGTTAATCTCACCCCTGGATCTTTCTGCAACTATTATTGTGACATATGCCTCTCCCAGCCCCTGAGTGATTTGACTCTCTTGTTGGGGCCCAGCTGACAGATGGGACTGTGGCATATTACTAGACTCAGCACCTAGGTGAGGTGACATTATTCTTCTGCCTTGGCACTGCCTACTTGGGGCTTTATGACATATGTCTGGGTTCATAACTAAGATGAAGATTTCTCTTATCTTGCCTTGTCTTTGCTCACATGTGAGATAGTAACATATTGCTGGACTCTGTACCTAGTGGATGTATCTTTCCTTCTTCTGAGTTCTGCTCACAGGGGAGATTGTAGCATATCACTGGGCTCAATACCAAAGTAATGTTACTCTTGTGACACATTGTGACATATTGTTGGGCCCAGAACCAAGGTGATGTGAGTCTCTTGCATGGAGCCTGACCACAGGAACCATCATGACATATTTCTGAAAGCTCAACTCTTTGATGTGATTATATTCTTATACCTGCTCTTTGCCCATAGGAGAGACTATAACATACCTCTTGGCCCAGCACCTAGTTGATGTAACTCTGCTCTCCTGCCTGGGCCACACCTACAGAAGAAAGAGTGACTTCTCACTGGGCCAGCACACAGGTCATGTTATTTTACTGCCTTGATCCTTGTCCACAATAATCATTGTACATAGTTTTGGGCTCTTCTACTAGAAGACGTGAGTCTCCTCTTCTTCCTGGGATCTGTCCACAGGGGGGATTGTGACATATCATTTGACCCAGCACCTATATGATGTGACCATCATCTGATGCCTTGGCCCTTCTCACTGGGCTGATTGTGACATATAACTGGGCACAGCTTCTAGGTTATGTGACTCTTCTCTTCCTCCTGGGTCCTACCCATAGGAGGCATTGTGACATATCTCTAAGCACTTAAACTAGGAAATATGACACTTTTTTCTGGGCTCTCCCCTAAGAGAGTACTGTGACGTATTTCTGGACCCAGCACCTAGGTGATGTTACACTTCTCTCCTACCTGTTACCTGTTACTGGCAGCAAATCCATATGGGCATGGATCTGCAGCAACCTTAATTCTTACCTCCTAAGAAGAAAAAACTCAACTTAGAGGCATAAGGCAGAAGGAGAGACTGAGGAAAGTTTTAGAACAGGAGTGACAACTGTAGAACAGAAACAAAATGAAGGAAAGTACACTTGGAAGAGGGCCAAGTGGGTGACTAAAAAGGGAAGTGCACGGTTTGACATTTGACCTGGGGTTTTCTATGTTGGCATACTTCTGGGGTCTCACATTAATTCTCCCCATTGCCTAACTCCTGAGATCTTATTGGGAAGTTGCTGATTACCAGTTTTAGGTAATCCACTAATTGTCTGCTTGAGAGGAGAAGAGATGCTGAAGTTAACAGTGGGTCCCTCTTCATCCTTGGGGTTCTGGAATGAATCAGTCTTACCATGTACCCCTAACTTTTCATGCCCTTATCAAGAAGCAATGTTTATTTGAATCAGGTGGGCAAAGTGTTTCAAAAGTCACTGGAAAACTCAGTTCTGGGACATAATAGGAATAAAAAGTATACAGTAAGTCATAAGAAACTGACAGAGCCAGAGTTCAAATTGGTGCCTGTCCTGACAATGTGCCAGCAGACACGGAAGGGTTGGAGGTCATCTGAGCAGGTAGGGTAAGAACAAGTATAAATCTCAGGGGATATCCACAAGGGAGCCAGTGTCTTTGCTGCCATGCAAATGCAGTAAAAGCCATGGATGCTTAAATAACAGGGAGTTTGTGTTTAAGAAGTCACATGGCACGTGAAGTGAAAGCAAAGAGGCAGATGTGCCCCGGAAGCAGATAGTCCAGCAGGTGAGTAAGGCCATTTCTGAACACACACAGGGAACACAGGAGAATAGACAGTGCAGGTTTTGGGGAAAGAGACAATTTTAGTAGGAACCCTAAGACATTTCATGGTGTTCAGCTTTAGCCCTATTACTCTTGAGAGTCTCCTGTCCAGGAGGGCCATAAGTGCATCAGTTCTACTCAGCATGGACCCCAAGGTTCTTCCCACCCCTGCAAACCATCTGTCAGGGTGAGCAGAGAGATAGCCCATGGAAACAGAGCCACTTGTGGCTGAGAGGAATCATTCTGGGAGCTGGTTAGTAAGCCATAGAGTGAAAGGGAAAAGAAAATCATATAGAGGGGTTAGCTGCCTCTAGCCAATGAAGGTGAGGCATAAAGGTCTTTCACCACTAGGGGACATATCTGAGTCATGCACACCAAAGCATGTTAGCAGCAAAAGGTACCAAGTCACACAGCACCAAAACATGTTACCAGCAGTGAATCCGCATGGGTACGGGTCTGTAGCAACCTCATTTCTTGCCTCTTCAGAAGAAAAAATTGACTGAGGGGCTTAAGGCAGAAAGAGAGACTGGGGGAAGTTTTAGAGCAGGAGTGAAAGTTTATTAAAAAGCTTTAGAACAGGAACAAAAGGAAGGAAAGTACACTTGGAAGAGGGCCAAGCAGGTGACTTCAAAGGCAAGTGAGCGGTTTGACTTTTTGACTTTGGGTTTTATATGTTGGCATACTTTTGGGGTCTTGTGTTACTTTTCCCACCTCACCCAACTCCTGAGATCTTATTGGGAAGCTGCTGATCACCAGTTTCACGTGCTTTCTATTTAGGAGACTGTCTTTCCCTGGTGCCGGTTGTCACCAATTATTACTTTAGAGAGACAGTTAACAACTGCCTGACCATCACCTAATGGCTGACTGACACTCCTGGTGTGTGTGTTGAGGGCGGAGTCCTCTCTTGCCCTGCTCATACCTCACTGGCTACCTACTTTAACACTGCAAGCATTGTGTAATGTTGGTAAAGGAGTTAGAAAGAAATTATTTAGGCAGATAGTGAGGGTAAAAGAGTCCTCACCAGAATTTTTCTTCTAACAAAAAGCAGCCCAAGAAATTTTCTTTTTCAATCATCAGCCTGAAAAATTGAGCTGCAAAAACAGATAAGCAACCTGGAAGTTTTTATGGGGGAATGCCAGCAGTTGTGTTAATAGAAAAGGGCAACCTGGGGGCTGGGCATATCCAAAATGGGGGCTCCATCTTTCCTTCTTTGTGACCATGTATACGGTAAAGAAATCGGCAACATGGTACCCACCAGGCAAAGAACCCATATGCATAATAAAGAATTAGGGTGTGGTGGCCAGCTTTTTGTTCTCTATGCAAATGGCACACCTGGTCCAACCAATCTTTTGCACCCTATGTAAATCGGACACCACCTCCTCAAGCTTATCTATAAAACCTCCTGCATTTCACCATGGAACCAGTAACCAATCTCTGTGGGACTCCTCTCTACTGCAGAGAGCTCTTCTCTTTCTTTGCCTATTAAACTTCCACTCTTGACCTCAGTCTTGTGTGTCTGCATCCTTGATTTTCTTGGTGTAAGACAAGAAACTCTGGGTATCACACCAGACAATAAAGCTGCTTCATTGTGACTCTCCTGCATGGATATATATATATACACACACGGATATATATATATATATATAGATATATATATCCATATATGGATATATATATCGATATATATATCTATATATGGATATATATATCTATATATGGATATATATATGGATATATATATCTATATATGGATATATATGGATATATATATGGATATATATCTATATATGGATATATATATGGATATATATATCTATATATGGATATATATATGGATATATATATCTATATATGGATATATATATGGATATATATATCTATATATGGATATATATATGGATATATATATCTATATATGGATATATATATGGATATATATAACTATATATGGATATATACATCTATATATGGATATATATATTGATTATATATAGATATATAGATATATATATGGATATATATATCTATATATGGATATATATGGATATATATATCTATATATGGATATATATGGATATATATATGGATTATATATAGATATATATAGATATATATATGGATTATATATAGATATATATAGATATATATATCTATATATGGATATATATGATATATATGGACATATATGGATATATATATGGATGGATAGATAGCTAGATACAGAGAGAGACAGTCTCATTCTGCCACCCAGGCTGGAGTGCAGCAGCACAATCTTGTGTCATTGCTAACTCTACCTCCCAGGTTCAAGTGATTTTAATGCCCCAGCCTCCTGTGTAGCTGGGATTACAGGTGTGCACCACCATGCATCCATCCATCTTTCTTTCTTTCTTTCTTTCTTTCTTTCTTTCTTTCTTTCTTTCTTTCTTTCTTTCTTTCTTTCTTTCTTCTTTCTTTCCTTTTCTTCTCTTTCTTTCTTCTTTCTTTCTTCTTTCTTTCTTTCTTTTTCTTTCTTCTTTCTTCTTTTTTTCTTTCTTCTTTCTTTCTTTCTTTTTTTGTATTTTAGTAGAGATTGAGTTTTGCCATGTTTTCCAGGCTGATCTCAAACTTCTGATTACAAAAAATCCACCTGCCTCAGCCTCCCAAAGCATTGGAATTACAGGCATGAGCCATCACAGCTGTCTACAATATACTTTTACATTTATGATTTAGGTGATGTGTTCTTCTCTTTCTGTCAGGTGCGGGATGGTTAAATATCACTGGACCTAGCACCTAGGGAATGTGACTCTTGTCTTTTGCATCAGCCCCACTCGTTTTGAGAACTGTAACATATCACTGGGCCAAACACCTAGAAGATGGGAAGTGTCTGCCTATGCCCTGCAAACAGGGCTTTAGCCCTACCACTCTCAAGAGCCTCGTGACATATCTCTGCATTCATCATCTAGGAGATGTGACTCCTCCCTGCTGCCTGCGCTCTGCCTACAGGGAAGACCATAACAACATTTGGCCCAGCAACACGGTGATGTGTTTTTTCCCAGGGCCTTGCTCACAGGGAGCATTGTGACATATCACTGGAACCAGCATCCAGGGCTGTGACTCTGTGTCCTGCTGTTAGAACAGGATTGTAACATATCACTGACCAAGCACCCAGGTGATGTGACTCTTCTGCCTGGTGCCTGCCTTCAGGGAAAATTGTGACATATGCCTGGCCTAGCACCAAAGTGATGTGGCTCTCCTGCTACCTCTATGCACAGGTGGGATTGTGACATATACCTTCATTCAGCTCATAGGTGAGGTGATAACTCTCATACCACAAACCAAACAGTAGGAGAGATGCTGTCTGTCAAAGCTAAGCTTACAGAAATACACAAGATTCAGGGACTTTTCTTTGTATAAACATTATAGTAGATTACTGCTCTCTTGTATATAATATAAACTTCTCAGGTGGTACAGAGAGTGTCATCACAGGGCCCAGCGCACAGGTGAGAATACATTATTTGTATGCACGCCCCACCACCCATTAGGATTTTCACCCTCAAACATGGAAAGAGCCTACTGGTAAGGTCTTGAATCTCACACCTGGATGCAGTCTACAGTTGAAATTGTGATTGTCATAGGTGAATATCCAGCTGCAGTTGAGATGGTGACTCATTTCTAACTTAGCTCTGAGGCAGGTGAGGACTGTTTTATTTGGAACCAGCCAATTATAAAGATGTTGACTCTCATATTTGAGCTTAGTTCTACAGGTACAATCATGGGTCCATAACATCATGAAGGTCATAGAGCAGTTTGCAACTCTCATTAATACTGTAGAAGGCTCTTGGGTGGTACTGAGAGGGTCTTAGCAGAGCCCCGCACACAGGTGAGATTGTGACACTCATATGCACACCCAGCCAACAATAAAACTTTTCATCTTTCCACATGAACACAGCCCACTGTTGAGGTCCTGAGTCTCCCTTGTGAAAACAGTGCAAAGTTGAAAAATTGACTCTTATATGTGGATTTGGTTCACAGATGGGTTGGTGATGCTCAGACAAATATTCAGCACACCTGTGAGTCTGCGACTCCAGTAATCATCCACAGTCTGCAGGAGAAATTGAGGCTCTCACCAACAAATCAAGTGCACAATTGAGATTGCGACTCTTGTACTCAGACCCAACATACAGAATGTGTTGACTCTCAATTTTAAAACCAGAACATGTGTGAGATTATTAATCTGATCTCTAAACCATCCTGCAAGTGTGATTGTGACACAAGTCTCTGTTCAGTACTTGAGTGATTTGACTCCTTTGCCTGGGCCCAGTCCAAAGATGTAATTGTGACATATCACTGAAACCAGCATATAGGAGATGTGTCTCCATACTCCTGCCTTGGTGCTGCCCACAGTGGGCACTGTGACATATCACTGGGCCTTGTATCCAAGTGATGTAAGTCTCTTCTTTCTTGATACTGACCACAGGAGACACTATGACATATCCCTGGGCCTCAAGCTCAGCTTATGTCATTCTCCTATTTGTTCTCTGTCCACATGGGCCATTGTGACATACTGCTGAGTTTGGCATCCATGTGATATAACACTTCAGCCTCAGCTTTGCTCACTTGGGGCATTGTGATGTATCTCTGCACCCATCACTTAGATGATTCAACTCTTTTCTTCTGTCTCATCTGTGCTTAAAACGGGCAATTGTTACCTATTGCTGGGTCCAGCATGTAGCTGATGTGTCTCTTCTCATCTTCCTAAGGACTGCCTGCAGGGGATATGGTGACATTTTACTTTGCCCAGCACCAAGATGACTTGAATCTGCTGCCTTTGTTCTACTTTCAGAAGACATTGTGACATATCGCTGGGCCTAGCACCAAGGTGATGTGAATCTTCTGCCTGGACCTGCTCACAGAGGGAATTGTTACATATTTTTGACTTCATCAACTATTTGATGTGACTCTCCTCTCTAACCTGGGCCTTGCCCATAAAAAACATTGTGGCTTATCTCTGGGCCCAAAACCTAGGTGATGTGACTGTCTTCTTAGGGTCATGCCCACAGTAGAGAGATGCCTTATTGCTAAACCCAGCACACAGGTGAGGTGATTCTTCTGTCTGGTCCCTGCCCACAGGGGTCATGATGACATCTCTCTAAGCCCATCACCTAGATTATGTGAGTTCTCTTTTTCTTCTGTTAGCTATATAGAAGATTGTGACATATTGCTTGGCCCAGACCTCATGTGATGTGAATCTCCTCTCATGCCTTGGTCCTGTTTTTTTTTGGCCGTTGTTGTTTTGTTTTGTTTTTTGAGATGGAGTCTTGCTCTGTTGCCTAAGCTGGAGTGCAGTGGCATAATCTAGGCTCACTGCAACCTCTGCCTCCTGGGTTCAAGTTATTCTCCTGCCTCAGCCCCTGAATAGCTAGGATTAAAGGTGAGTGCCACCACACTCAGCTAATTTTTGTATTTTTAGTAGAGATGGGGTTTCACCATGTTGATTAGGCTGGTATTGAACTCCTGACTTCGTGATCAACTCGCCTCTGCCTCCCAAACTTTTGGGATTACAGGCATGAGCCACCATGCCCAGTCAAGATGATGATACATTTCTAAACCCAGGTTATAGGCAGGTGAGGGTTCTTCTACCTATACACACGTTTAAAGGGATGTTGAATCTCACACGTGGTCTCAGGGCCACAGGTACAAGCATGGGTCTTCACCAGCATGAATATCTCAGAGCATACTGCGACTCTCCAGTGTAATGTATAAAGCTCTCAGGTGGGACAGTGTCCTAACAGGATCCAGAACACAGAAAAGATGTTGATGCTCCTATGCACACCCAGGTCACAGTAAAATATGTCATTTTCCCACATAATCATAGCCCAATGTTGAGATTCTGCATCTCACACCTGAAAGAAGTTGAAAGATGGAAAATTGACTCTCTTATATAGATCTGGTCTACAGGTAGGTTGGTGACATTCAGATCAAAATTAAGTACACTTGTGAGGCTATAACTCTTCTAAGAAGACACAGCTCACAGGAGCAACTGATGCTCCTATGAACAAATCCAGTCCGTGATTGAGATTCTAACTCATGTACTTATTGTCAGGCCTCTGAGCCCAAGCTAAGCCATCATATCCCCTGTGACCTGCACGTATACATCCAGATGGCCTGAAGCAACCGAATATCCACAAAGGAAGTGAAAATAGCCGTAACTGATGACATTCCACCATTGTGATTTGTTCCTGCCCCACCCTAACTGATACGATATATTCTCCCTCTGCCCTGAAGAAGGTACTTTGTAATAGTCTCCCCCCACCTTAAAAAGGTACTTTGTAATATTCTCCCCACCCGTGAGAATGTACTTTGTACACCTATCCCAAACCTATAAGAACTAATGATAATCCCACCACGCTTTGCTGACTCCTTTTTTGGACTCAGCCCACCTGCACCCAGGTGAAATAAACAGCCTTGTTGCTCACACAAAGCCTGTTTGGTGGACTCTCTTCACAGGGATGTGCATGACACTTAGACCCAACATACAGCAGGTGTTGACTCTAATGACTAGAACCAGGACTTATGCTAGATTGTTAATCTCATCCCTGAAATTTTCTGCAGATGTCATTGGGACATACACCTGTGCCCAACAGCTGAGTGATTTGTCTCTCTTGCTTGGTCACAGCTCACAGGGGCCATTGTAAAATACTGCTGATCCTGTTATCCAGGTGATGTGAGTCCCCTCACCTGCTTTGGCACTGCCCACAGGGAACATTATGACATATGACTGGGACCTGCACCCAGGTTATGTGACTTTTATGTTTGTGCTCTGCCCACATAAGACACTGTAACGTATTGCCAGTCCAACATCCAGATGATTTAACTCTCCTGCCTGAGCTCTGCCTACAGAGAGCATTGGGACATATCCCTTCACCCATCTTTCAGGTGATGGGACTCTATGTTCTTGCCTGGTCCCTGCTTACAA
The DNA here is from genome assembly GCF_000001405.40 of Homo sapiens. NCBI lineage: Eukaryota > Metazoa > Chordata > Mammalia > Primates > Hominidae > Homo > Homo sapiens. The sequence goes on from NC_000019.10 coordinate 21,919,466, forward strand.
GGGATATTTTGACATATCACTGGGCCTAGCACCTAGCAGGTGTCTTTTCTCTTCTGCCAGAGTTCTGCCCAAAGACGAGATTGTGACATATGACTGGTTCCAACAGCATGGTGACATGACTCTTTTGTCTTGACCCTGCCCTCAGAAGACATTGTGACATATTGCTTGACTCAGCATCAAAGTAATGTGAGTCTCCTGCCTGGACTCTTCCCACAGGAGGCATTGTAACATGTCTTTGGATGCACCAATCATTTGATGAAACTCTACTCTCTTATTTGGGATATGCCTATTAGAGAGACTGTGACATATATCTGGGCTCAGCACCTAGACGATGTGAATCTTGTTCCATGCCTGAGCACTGCATATATTGTGTATTGTGACACACGGCTGAGCCAACACCTAGGTAATGCTGCTTTTCAGGATAGGTTCTTCCAACTGTAGTATTGTAACATATCTTTTCATTTATCTTCTAAGCGATGTGACTCTTTTTTCTGTCTGGGCCCTGCCAAAAAAGAAGACCATGACATATCACTGGACCCACCACCTAGGTGATGTGAGTCTTCTCTTTTACCTGGGCCTCTCATATTTTGAGTATTGTGACATATTGCTAGGCCCAACACCTAGGGTATGGGAAGCTCTTGCCTAAACCCTACTCGCAGAAAACCTTGTGACGTATCTCTTCATACATTACCTAGGAGATGTGACTTTCTTCTGCTTGCACCCTACCCATAGGAAACATTGTGACATATAGCTAGGAGCAGCACCCAGGTGATGTGACTCTCCTGCCTGGTCTCTGTCCTTAGGGAATATTGAGAAATATCTCTAGACTCAAACCCACATGGTGTGACTCTGCTGCTCACTCCCTATCCAAAGGTGGAATTGTGACATATGTCTTTACTCAGGTAACAGATGTGATGATCACCCTCATTCCTCAAACCTTCCAATAGGAGAAATACTGTCTTTTGTAGGTAGGTACTGAGAGTGTCAGCACAGGGCACAGCACAGAATTGAGATTGTGTTTTATATATTTACACTGTGGCAGTCATTAAGATGATCACCCTCACACATAGACTGAGCCCACTGGAGAGGTCCTGAATCCCAAATGCAGATGCAATCTACAGTTGCAATTGTGACAGAACAGTCAGCACCTGTTAGGATAGTGATTCATTTCAGTAGGCAAAGACTTTTCTATCTGGAATCCACCAATCGAAGAGATGTTGACCCTCATGCCTGGGCTTAAAGCCACAGGTAAAATCATGAATCCATACTAGTATGAAGGTTTCAGAACAGATTGTGACTCTCGTGCATACCACATAAAACCCTTGTGTGGTACAGAGAGTGTCCTAACAGGGCTGAGGAATCAGATGAGATTATAACACCTGTATGCACATCCAGCTGATAGTAAAAAATTGTCATCCTCCCACATGAACACAGCCCTCTTTTGAAGTTCTTAATTTCATACCCTGTGGCAGTGGAAAGTTGGAAAACTGACTATCATCCATGGATCCAATCCACAGGTGGGTTGTTTAACCTCAAACATTCAGCACACATGTGAGGCTGTGACTCCACAAAGAGGACAGAGTTTGCAGGAGGGATTGAGGCTGTCATGTATGGATCTACTCTCTCATTAAGATTGTGTGACTCCTGCTTTTAGAGCCAACACACAGGAGGTGTTGACTCTCATAAATAAAACCTAGATGGGTTCAAGATTGCCAATCACATCCCTGGACCTTCTTAGGTGTCATTGTGACATAAGCCTCTGCCCAGGACCTTAGTAATTTGACTCCCTTGCTTGGGGTCAGACAACAGACAGAAATATGACACATCCATGGACCCAGCACCTAGGTGATGTGACTTTATTCTTTTGCTGTGGCTCCACCCGTAGAGAGCATTTTCACACATCAAGGTGCTCTGTACACAGGTTATGTGACTCTTTTGCCTGTGTCCAGACAACGTTGGCCATTGTGACATATTGCAGGGTCCAACACCCAAAGGAAGTAACTCTTATGACAGGGTTCTATCTACAGAGGGCACTGTTACATATTTCTGTGCTCATCATTCAGTTGATGTGACTCTCCTCTCCTGCCTGGGCCATGCCTTCAGGAGAGTGGGAGATAGGGAGAGTGACTTATTGCTAGGCCCAGAACACAGGTGATATAATACTTCTTCCAGGTCTCCTTCTTCAAGTGTTACTATAATATATCGTTAGTCCCATCACATAGAAGATATGACACTTCCGTTTTTTTCTGCAACTTATGCACAGTGTGGATTGTGAAATATGACTTGGCTTAGCACCTACATGGTGTGATTCTCTTCTCATGACTAGGTCTTATCCACTGCGTTGGTTGTGACATAAAGCTGGGCCCAGTCACTAGGTTATGTGACTCTCCTCTTTTTCCTGAGCCCTACCCACAAGAGGCATTAAGACATATCTCTGGGCCCATTCACCTTGGTGATGTGAATCTACTCCCTGGGACACCCCCCCCAGGGGTATTATGAAATATTGCTGGACCCAGCACCTTGTGATATGACTCTTCTCTTTTGCCTGGGCATTGCATACATGTGTATTGTAATATATCGCTATGTTAAACACCTGGGTGATGTGACTTTCCTGCATAAGCTCTGTCCATAGGCATATGATGATATCTCATTTTGTTCATCACCTAGGTGATGTGACTCTACTCTTTTCCTGAGCCCTGCAAAAAGAAGAGATTGTGACATATCACTGAACTGAGCACCTTGGTGATGTGACTATCCTCTCTTGCTCAAGTGTCACATATTATTGGTATTGTGACATACCTCTGTGACCAACACCTATGGGTAGGAAAACTTCCACCCAGACTCAGCCCAAGGGACCCTCATCACTTTTTTAAAAGATATGTGACTTGAAAAATGTGACTGTCTTCTGCCTATACCCTGCCCTCAGGGAAGATTGTGGCATATTACTGAACTAGGCAACCTAGTGATGTGTCTCTTCTGACAGGGGTTTGCCCACATAGACAATTGTGACATATCACTGGGCTCAGGACCCAGGTGATGTGACTCTGCTGCCTGTTCCCAACGTTCAAGAGAGGATTGTAACATATCCCTGGCCAAGAACTCAGGTGATTTGACTCTCCTGCCTTGTCCCTGTCCTCAGAGAAGATTGTGATATATCTTCAGCCCCAAACCCAGGTCATGTGACTTCCCCACTCGCTCCCTATTCAGAGGAGAAACTATTACATATATCCTGGGCCAGCTCACAGGTGTGATGACAATTCTCATACCTCAAACAAGCCAATAGAAGAGATACTGTTTCTCATTGCTAGGCTTAGAAAAACTGGTAAAATACCTGTGTCTCTTTGTATGAAGGTCATAGAGAACTACCACAAACTTGTATATGGAATAAAACCCTTCAGTGGTACAGAGAGTGTCATCACATGTCCCAAAACAAAGAGGATATTGCGTTTCTTGTATGCACATCCAGCCAGCTGTTAGGATTGTCACCCTAACACCTGGATACAACCCATTGGTGAGGTCTTGTGTCTCACATGCAGATGCAATCTACAGTTTGATTCCTGACTGTCATATGTAAACACCTGTCCAAAGTTGGGATGCTGACTCATTTCTAGACCCAGCTCATAGACAAGTGAGGACTCTCCTGTCTGGGTCCAGTCAATTTGAGAAATATTGACTTTTCTACCTGGGCTTAGGGAGCAGTACAAAGGTCTCAGGGCAAATTGTGGCTCTCATTCCTATTCTACAATGATCTTGGGTAGTATAGAGAATGTCCTAACAGGGTTCAGCACACAGGTAAGATTGTGACAGTGATATCCACACCCAGCTGACAGTAAAAATTGACATCTTTCCTCATGAATACAGCCCACTGAATACAGCCCACTGTTGAGGCATTGAATCTCATAACCAAAGGCAGTGGAAAATTGAAACATTGTCTCTTGCTTGTAGACCCAATCCACAGGTGGATTGGTTACTCTCAGATCAAAATTCAGCACACTTATGAGGCCATCACTCCAGTAAGAAAACAGAATTTGCAGAACAAATTGAGGCTTCCATGCACAAATTCAGCCCACTACTGAGACTGTGACTCATTTACTTAGACCCAACATATAGGAAGTGTTGACTCTTATACCTAGAATTGGGACATGTGTAAGATTGTTCATCTTTTCCTTAGACTTTCCTGCAGGAGTGATGCTGACATGTTCCTCTATTTGGCATCTGAGTGATATGACCCTTGCCATGGTCTAGCCCACAGATGGAATTGTGATGTGTTGCTCTACCCAGCACCTAGGTGATGTGACTCCATTTTTCTGCCTTGACACTGTCCATAAAAGGTATTTTGACATATCTCTGGGATATGTACCCAGGTTACATGACTCTCCTGCCTGTGTCCTGTCCACAAATTATGAAATATTACTGGGTCCAACACCCAGGGATGTAACTCTCATGCCTAGGCCCTGCCAACAGGGGGCATTATGACAAATCTGTGTGCCAATAACCCAGGTAATGTGACTCTCTTTTTTTGCATGGTCCCTGCTCACAGGGGGCATTATGACATATTGCTGAACTCAGCATCTAACTGATGTGATTCTCCTTTCTACTTTTTGCCCACAGTGGAGATTGTGACATATCACTGGGCCTCAAACTAATGTGATGTTACACTTTCATTTTTGAACTGAACTCAGAAGGCACTGTGACATATTCCTGGGAACAGCACCAAGGTTATGTGAGTCTTCTGCTTGCACTTTGCCCACAAAAGGCGTTGTAACATATCTTTAGACCTGTCAACTATTTGATGTGACTTATTTTTTTAAAGTGAAAGCAAGTTTATTGAGAAGTAAATAAACAAAAGAATATCTACTCCATAGATAGAGAGGCCCTGAGGGCTGCTCATTGGCTCTTTTTATGGTTATTTCTTGATTACATACTAAACAAGGGATGGATTATTTGTGAGTTTTCCAGGAAAGGGATGGGCAGCTTCCAGAAATCAGGGTGCCTCCCCTTTTTACACCATATAGGATACCTGCTTAACATTGCCATGACATTTGTAAAGTGTCATGGTGCTGTTGGGAGTGTCTTTTAGCATACTAATGCATTACCTTTAGCATATAATGAGTAGTGAGGACTACCAGAGGTCACTTTCATTGCAATTTTTCTTTTGGTGTTTTTTTGCTGTCTTTTGTACTGCATCCTCTTTCATCAGAAAGATCTTTCTGAATGGTACCTTGTGCTGACCTCTTGTCTTATCCTGTGACATAGAAAGTGTGATGTTCTGGAAGTCAGGAATTGTGTTAATTCCTTTCTTTTTGAGGTCTCAGGATAACTTGGGACTGTTGGGCCTGTCAGAAAGTGACATTCCTTACTTACCACATGTCAGGAACCCTGCACAGGGACTTTGTAGACAATGTAGAAGGCCAATTTTCCCAAGGCCAATTTTAGAGCTTTTACTGGCTCTAAAAATCAAGTATGATTTCTCGAAGAAAAGACCATTATTCCAGTCAAAGCCTTGGTAAAATAACCTGTGTCTCCCATTGTGTCCTGTTGCAAATGAAAACATGCTTATTGCACTTAAGCAAATAACTATATTGCCATAAATTAAGAATACTCACCAATATCTTTGCACATTCTGGAGAAATCAGGGAGAGAGAAACAAATATATTCCAAATTATGTTTACAGGAGTCTATTTTCCTCCATCGTTAAAAGCTGTAAATAGCTCAAAAGTGCTCTTGACTCTGAAAAACAAAGGATCCACAACATTTTAAGCAAAAAGCCAAAAAATATTACTTCCATCTTTTATTAGTACAGTTCATGCAGTAAACTCTTGTTCTCCTTGATATTTATTAGCTTTCCATGAGAGTCTTGAAAGTTTTTCTCCTGTTCTAATTTTGCAGTCTTCAAAGTTATCAGAAATTTACATTTAAAAGCACCCATCAATGTTCCATAGCATACTATAGGTCATCTTTTGAAAAGGATTAAAACAGGACAACAATTGTCTGTGGGTGATAAAAAAGCCTTAGAACAGCCATTATTAAAACCACAATTGACGGCCGGGTACAATGGCTCATGCCTGTAATCCCAGTATTTTGGGAGGTCGAGGCAGGTGGATTACCTGAGGTCAGGAGTTCAAGACCAGCCTGACCAACATGGAAAAACCCTGTCTCTACTAAAAATACAAAATTAACCAGGCATGATGGTGCATGCCTGTAATCCCAGCTACTCAGGAGGCTGAGGCAGGAGAATTGCTTGAACCCGGAAGGCAGAGGTTTCAGTGAGCTGAGATCGTGCCATTGAACTCCAGCCTGGGCAACAAGAGTGAAACTCCATCTCAAACAAAACAAAACAAAACAACACAAACAAAAACCACAATTGACTAGAAATATTGGTTACTCTTGTGGAATAAAAAATTTTACATAACAATTATAACTATTAGTAACATACTATACACTAAGTCATATGAGACTTACAGGAGTATTCCATAATTTTAGAACACTCACCAATGACTTATTTGTACAAATACAACCCCAAGAAAGCCAAATACCATTTCATGTTTGACAATATATTCTATATAACTTTTATACCAAATAAATTGAATATGTCATTTTTGGACTTTAGGTGACCTAATATCTAAAAGATTAATTAGGTCAGAAAAGACAAAATTTATAATTTAATTTTGGAAAGTTTTTCAAATAGCAAAGGTTTAAAACATTTTACATTATAAAATCAAATCCCAGGTCACCCTATGTCATTCATTTAGCCAAAATGGTAACTTTTCTTTTTAAAAAAATTTTTAAAAGCCAGAAACCTTTACTTATTAACAGAAGAAAGACTTAGCTTTCCAAACAATCTGTCTCTTGTCTTTTTGCTGTAGTTTATTCAAAAGACAAACCAAAATCTTTCATTTTTTACATATCACATGAATATCTTGTTCAAGAGTGAAAGTCTATATTTCACCTTTGTGTTAGTATACTAATGATGCCAAACCCATTTCTTAATAAAACCTTATATACAAACATATGAAATCTTAATTAGTTTGACTATAAGGTAAGATTCTCAGAAATCTTTTAAAACCCTTTAAAATGTTTGTTGAAGAGCAAATCTGTGCTCTAAGAAAAACCTGCTGTGCTCTTATTCTAATGTTCAATTTATGGAAAAACTGAGTAACATCTATTTAACTTTAGCCAGTATGTTCACACACAGAATTTTTTATGAGATTAATTTTTTAGAAAGCTTCCAGAACTTGTTCAAACCTTCAGGTTTATTCTAATTTTAAACAAACCTTTAGATCTCTGACTTAGGAACCAAAATTAACATTCTTATGCCTTTTTTTAAATCTTAAGCTGAAAGCACATTCTACTTTTCTTACACACCTTGCATGTAAAGCTGTTTTTATTTCCCAAAGATTACTTATGTCACATGAACTAAAAGGCATTCACACATGCACACAGTGCACTGATGAGGTCTTCAACCTCATGGGTGGATGCAGTTCAGTTGGAATTGTGACTGTCATATGTGAACATCCAGCCACAATTGGGATGGTGACTCATCTCTAAACCCAGCTCATAGACAGTTGAGAAATCTATCTGAACCAAATCTACTGAAGAGATGTTGACTCTCATGAATGAGCTTAGGGTCACAGGTACAATCAAGGGTGCATGCTAGCATGAAGGTCTCAGAGCAGATTTTGACTTTCATGCGTACCATACAAATACTTTGAATGGTAGAGATGGTGTGCCCACGAGGCCCAGCACACAGGTAACATTGTGATACTCCTATGCACAGGTAGTCAATAGTAAAGACTGTCATTTTTCCACATGAATACAGCCCACTGTTGAGGTCCTGAATCTCCCACCCAGAGGCAGTGGAAAGTTGGAGAATTAACTCTCATGCGTGGATCTGATACATAGGTGAGTTGGTGACTCTCAAAGACTCCCCACGGCTGTCAGGCTGTGACTTCACTAAGGGAACACAGGTTTCAGGAGAGATTTAGTCTCTTGTGTACAAATTCAGTCCCTTGTTGAGACTGTGACTCATGTGCTTAGACCAAACCTACAGGTGTTGACTCTCATACCTGGAACTGGAACATGTGTGGGATTAATCTTATCCCTGGACCTTCCTATAGGTGTGAATCTGATGTATGCCTCTGTCCAGAATCTGAGTGATTTGACTCTCCTGCCTGGGTCCAGCCTTCAGCAGAGATCATGACATATCACGTGGTGCAGCACTTAGCTGATGTAACCTATTCTCTTGCCTTGGCTCTGCCCATAGAAGGCATTGTGATGTATTGCCAGGCCCTTCACCCAGGTTATGTGATTTCTGCCTGTGCCCTAACCACATTGGCTATATTGACATATTGCACTGTCCGATACCCAGGTGATGTTACTTTTCTGCCTGGGCCCTTCCTACAGGGGACATTATAAAATATCTCTGTGCCCATCACCTATGTGTTTTGACTTTCTTCTCCTGCATGGTTTCTGATCACAGGAGGAAATGGGACATATCCCTGGGCTCAGCACCCAGTTGATGTGACTCTTCCTTTTTTTTCTATGTTCTGCTAACACAAAAGATACTGACATATTGATGGGCCCAACACCAAGGTGATACTACTCTTTCACTTTGGCCCTACCCTCAGAAGGCATGGCAACATATTGCTGGGCCCAAAGCAAAAGAGATTTGAGTCCTTTGCCTGGACCCTCCTTGCAGGGGGCATTGTGATATATCTCTGGGTCCATTGACTGTTTGATCTGAGTCTCCTCTCTTTCCTGGGCTTTGCCTATAGTAGACACTATGATGTATCTCTGGGCTGTGCACCCAGCTAATTTGACTTGCCTCTTCTGTCTGGGCCATGACTACAGATAAGAGTGATTTATCAGGACCCAGCACACAAGTGATGTGGTTCTTCTGCCTGCTTTCTGCCCACAGGCATCATTGATACATACCTGTGGTCCCAAAAATGCAGATAATGTGACTCTTTTTTAGGGCGGGAAGGGATATGTCCACAGTGGGGATTTTGACATATTGCTTGGCACAGCATTTATGTTACTTGACTCTCCTCTCATGCTTAGGCTCTACCCACTGGGGTAATTGTGACATATATCTGGGTGCAGCCCCTAGGTTTTATGGCTATCCTCTTTTCCATGATCCCTACTCATAGCATACATTGTGACATATCTCTGGTTTTCTCACCTAGTTTATGTGACTTTCTTGTCTATGCCCTTCCATCACAGGGTATTGTGACATATTGCTAGGCCCATTATCTAGATGATGTGACTCTCTTTGCTTGCCTGTGCACCACCCAAAAGGGACATTGTGACACATCTCTGAACCAATTTCCTACATAATATGCCTCTTCATTGCTGCCTGAGAAATGCCCCCAAAGAGGATTGTGACATGTCTCTGGGCCCAGAACCTGAATGTTGTGACTCTCCTGCCTTGACATAGAGGAAATATTATGATATGTCACTCGGCCCTGCACACAAATGATGTTACTCTCCTGCCTGGGCCTTGCTTATAGAGGGGATTGAGACATTTTACAGGTGAAGAATTCAAGTGACATCATTCTCATTTCTCAGCCTTTCCTGCAGGTAAGATTGTGACATATTACTTAGCCCAGCACACAGATGAAATTTTTCCGCTTGTATGCAAACCCAGCCAACAGGGGCTATTGTCACCATAACACATGAATAAAGACCACTGTTGAGGTCCTGAATCTTATATGTGAACACATCAACAGTTGGAATCGTGACTGTCATATGTATATCTTGCCGTAAGTGGGATGGTGACTCATTTCTGGACTCAGCTCACAGGAATAGTGATGACTCTGATACCTGGACCAAGCCAGTAAGAGAGATGTTGACTCTGGGGTCAACCTAGACTTAGGGGTCTGGGTCTTTTACTTGTAGGAAGGCAACAGAAGATTATGAAACTTACACATATGGTATAAAGCTCTTGGGGAATACAGAGTGTCATTACAGGGCCCAGTCCACAGGTGAGATTGTAACCCTCCTATATACATCTGGCCAACAATTTGAATTGCCACCTTCACATATAGACCGAGCCCATTGCTGAGGTCCTGAATCTCACACATAAACCTATTTCACCATTGAAATTGTTACTGTCATATGTGGATTCAGCCACAGGTTGGATGATGACAAATTTCTGAACCCAACCCACTTGCACAATGAACCCAGCCAGCAGAAGATGTGTTGATTTTGAGGCTTAGGGCAAGAAGCAAGGTTTTGTGTTTCTCACTTGTATGAAAGTCACAGAAAATTTTCAAACTCACTCATGTTGTATAATGCCCTCAGGTTGTACGGAGAGTGTCATTACATAACTCAGCACAAAGTGGAGATTGTGACTCTCAAGCGCACACCAAGCCAAGAGTAAAAATTGTCATAGACACACATAGACAGAACCCACTGGTGAGGTCTTGAATCTCATTCTCAGATGAGTCTACAGTTTGAATTTTTAATGTCATGTTTGGATCCAGCCACAGGTGGGAGAGTGACTCATATCTGAACCCAACTAAGAGGCACAGTCATGATTTTCATACCTGGACCCAGCCAATATGAGAGGTGTTGACTCTCATACCTGGACTTAGGAAAAGAGGTAAGATCATGAGTTTATACCAGCACCAATGTCTCAAAGGGGATTGTGACTCTTGCCCAAACAATGCAAAGCCCTATGGAGGTAAAGAGAGTGTGATAAGAGGACCCAGAACACAGCTGAAATTGTGATTCTTATATGCACTTCCAGCCCACAGTAAAAAGTGTCACCCTCCCACATGAATAGAGACCACTGATGAGCTTCTGAATTGTACATCTGGATGCAGTTGAAAGCTGGAATTCTGATTCTCGTATGTGCATTTTGTCCAGAGGTAGATGATGACTCTAGGATCAGGGTTCATCACACAGGTGAGGCTTTGGCTCTGATATCAGGACACAGCCTGCAGGTGGAATTGGGACTCTCATGCATGAATCTAGTCCATCATTGAGATTGTGACTCATGTACTTGGATGCAACTCACAGGAGGTGTTGACTCTTTTACCTGAAGCTGGGACACATGTGGAATTGTGAATCTTAGCCCTGGACCTTCCCACAAGTGTTGTGACATATACTTTGGCCTAGCACCTAAGTGATTTTACTTCCCTGCCTGGACCCAGCCCTCAGAGGGGATTGTGACAGATACCTGGGTCAAACACCTAGGTGATGTGACTCTCATGCTTGAGCCCTATCCACAGAGGGTGCTGTAGAATATCACTGGGCTCAGTGCTTAGGTCATGTGTATCTTATTTTCAGCCAGGGCCCTGCCCACAGAGCCATTGTGAGATATCACTGAGCCCAGCACCTCCGTGATGTGACTGTATGGCCTGGGCCCTGCCCACAGTAGGTATTGTGACTTACCTCTGAACTCATTACCTAGGTGATGTGACTTTCCTCTTTTGCCTGCATTCTGCCCCCTCAAAATGGCCTGTGACATACCACAGGTCTTAGCACTTAGGTGATATGATTCTCCTCTGCTGCCTGGGCCCTAGCCGTAGGAGAGATTGACTCATTTTACTGAGCCGAGATTGCAGGTAATGTAAGCTTCTATCCTAGGCCCTGCCCACAGGAGGTATGGTGATATATCTCTGTGGCCATAATTTAGGTGCTGTGACTCTTCTATTCTCTTCAGGCCATGCCAGTTGAGGGGGATTGTGACATATCGTTGGACCAGCACAAGGGAAATTGAAAACTCCTGCCTAGGCCATTCCCATAGAAGGCATTGTGACATATCACTGGTCACAGCACACAGGTAATTTGACTCTCCTTCCTGGGCCTTGCCCATAGGAGATATTGTAGCATATCTTTAGCCCAGCACTTAAAATATGCGACCCTCCTAGTTGGTTTCTTTTCCACAGGTGAGAATTTTACATAAAACTGCACCCAGCACACAGGTGAAATTGTGACTCTTGGATGTTCATCCAGCCAACAGTTATGAGTGTCATCATCGCACATGGACAGAGAACTCTGGTGAGGTCCTGAATCTTGTACACGGACATAGTCCACAGTTGGAATTTTGACTGTCATGTGTAGATCCAGCCACAGGTGTGATGTTGACCTGTTTATGGAGTTAGCTCACAGGCACAGTGAGAACTCTCATATCTTGACCCAGTCAATAGAAGAGATGCTGACTCTTATAGCTAGGCTTAAGGAAATTAATAGGGTCCTGGGTCTCCTACCTGTATGAAAGTCACAGAAGATTATGACACTCATGCATATTGTATAAAGCCCTCTGGTGGTATAGAGATTAATTAACAGGGCCCAGCACACAGGTGAGATTGTGACTTTGTTATGCAGACACCGCTGACAGTACCATCACCCTCACATATAAACAGAGCCCACTGGTGAGGTCCTAAATTTCATGCCCTGACACAGTTCACAGTTGGGATTGTGACTGTGATATTTCAATCTGATCACAGGTGAGATGGTGACTCATTTCTGGATCCAGCTTAGAAAATAGTGAAGGCTCTTTCACCTGGACTCAGCCAAATGGAGAGACGTTGACTCTGTTAACTAGGCTTAGGGCAGCACATAAGGTTCTAGGTCTCCTGCTTGCATAAAGGTAGCAGAGGATTATGACACTATACATATTGTACAAAGTCCCCCATTGGTCCTGAGAGGGTCATAACAGGGTCTGGCACACAGGTGAGACTGTGACTCTGGTATGCACACAGGCAGAGTAAGGATTATCAACCTCCTACATGGACACAGCCCACTGTTGAGATTCTGAATCTCACAACCAGAAGCAGTCAAAAGTTGGAGTTGTGACTCTCATAGGTGGATGTGGTCCACAGCTGAGATGATGACCTCAGACCAGGAGGCAGCACACCTGGAGGCTGTGACTCCTCTACCGAGATGCAGTCTGCAGGTGTGATTGTGGCTGTCATGCACAAATCCAGTCCACCTTTGACATTGTGACACCCTTACTGAGACCCAGTTCACAGGAGGAGTTCACTCTGATACATAGAGCTGGGACATGTGTGGGATTGTAAATCATATCACTTAACCTTTCTGCAGGTGTGATTGTGATATATAGCTTTGCCCAGCACCTGAGTAATTTAACTCTCTTGTCTGAGCCTGGCATACAGTTAGGATCTTAACATATACCTGGGCCAAGCACCTAGGTAGTGTGACTTTTTTTTGGGCCCTGCCCTCAGGGATAATTGTTACTTATCACTAAGTTCAGAACCTAGTGATGTGACATTTCTCTACTGTCTTGGTCCTACCCACAAAATAAAATTATATCACTGGGCCCAGCATCTAGGTAATGTGCCTCTACTCTTTTTCACAGGCCCTGTTTACAGTGGGCTTTGTGTCACATACATGAGCCCTGCTCAAAAGCGTGATGATGATTCTCATACATAAACCCAGCTGATAGAAGCAATTTTTTACTCACATAGTGAGGGGTAGGACAACAAACAAGGTCTTGTGTCTTTTACTTGTACAAAGGTCACAGAACATTTTTAGCTCACCCATGTGTCATACAGTCTTAAGGTAGTAGAGAGAGTGCTGATACAAGGCCCACCTGAAGATGAGATTGTGACTCTCCTATGCACACCTCGCTGACCATTAGAATCACCACATTCAAACATGGAGAGAGCCCACTGGTGACCTAAATTTTACATGCCGATGCAGTCTGCAGTTAGAGTTGTAACTGTCATATATGCATTTGGCCACAAGTAGGATGGTGATTCATTATTGGACCCAGCTCACAGGCATGATGATGAATCTTGTATCTGGAATCAGCAAAAAAAAAAAAAAAGATATATTAATTCACATAGCTAGGCTTAGGGCAAATGGTAAGGTCCTGGTTCCCCTACTTGTATGAGGGTCACAGAAGATTACAAACATGTTTATAATATAAAGGCCTTGGGTGGCACAGAGAGTGTCACAGCAGGACCCAGCACACAGGTGAGATTGTGGCTCTCTTAAACACACCCAGCCAGCAGTTAGGATTGTCACCCTCAAACAGGAACAGAGCCTACTGGTGAGGTCTAGAATCTAAAGTGGAAACACGGTCCACAGTTGGAATTATGAATGTCATATGTGGATCTGGCCACAAGTTAGATGTTGACACATTTTTGAACCCAGCTCACAGTCACAGGGATGACTCTCATACCTGGACTCAGCCAATAGGAGATATGTTGACTCTCAGGCTTAGGGCAATGGGTAAGATCATGAGCTTATATCAGCACTATATCTTATAGGAAATTTCAATTCTTATGCATCCTGCATAAAGCTCTGGGGTGGTATAGATTGTGTCATAACAGGGCTCAGCACGAGTGGGATTGAGACCCTTGTGTGCACATGCAGCCAAAAGTAAGAACTGTCACCCTCTCACATGGACACAGCCCACTGTTGAGGTTCTGAATCTCACATTCAGGGGTATTCAAAAGTTGGAATTGTGATTCTCATAGGTAGATTTGATTAACAAGTAGGATGGTGACAGGTAGGATAGTTAGGATTGTATCTTCAGGCCAAAATTTATCACACCTATGAGGCAGTGACTGCCCCCACTGAAACACTGTCCAGAGTTGGTGTTGGCTTTCTCAGGCACTGATCCAGTCCATGGTTAAAAATGTGATTCACATTCTTGAACATAACTCACAGGAGTAGTTGACTCTCATACCTGAAGCTGGGACAAGTGTGAGATTGTAAATCTTACGTCTGGACCTTCCCGCGGGATGATCGTTACATATATCTTTGGCAGAGAACTGATGAATTTTGCTCTCCTGCAGAAGCCCTTTCTATAGTTGAGATTTTGACATACACCTTGGTGAAGTATCTAGAATATGTGATGCTCCTGCCTGGGCTCTGCCCTCAGGGGGGATTGTGACATATCTCCAGGACATATATGTAGGTTATGTGCCTCTCCAATCCTGCCTAGGCTGTTCCCAAAAAAGGCATTGCGACATGCCTGAACCCATCACCTATGTGATTTGACTCTTTTTTTCCCCTGGGCCCTGCCCTCAGTGGGGATTGTGACATGTCACTGGGCCCATCATTTCCATGATGTGACTTTTGTGTTCTGCTTTGACCCTGCTTGCAGGAGGATTGTGACATATAACTAGGCCCAGCACCTGGGTGATGTGACTCTCATTTCCTGCCTGTGTTCTGCCAACAGAATAGATTGTGACATATAGCTGGGCCAAGCACCCAGGTGATGTGACTCCTGCCTACAGTGGCCATTGTGACACATCTTCTTCCTGGGTCCTGTTTATGAGTGGGATTGTAACAAATCTTTGGCCAAGCACCAAAGTGATGTGACTCTCGTTTGGTTTCTGCTCACAGGAGGTATTGCGACATATATCTAGGCCAAGTTTAGAGGCGTAATGATAGCCCTCATACGTGGACCCAGTTGATACAGGAGATTTGGCCTCTATTTTCTAGGCTTAGGGCAATGGGTAAGGTTCTGGGTGAAGAAGCATAAGGTTCTGGGTGAAGAAAGGTCACATAAGATTATGACAAGCATATTCTCTAAAGCCCTTGTGTGACATTTAGAGATTACAGGATCCAGCACCCAAGTGAAATTACTACTCTTGTAGACAAACCCAGCTGACAATTAGGATTGTCACCCTCACACATTGACAGAGCCACTGGTGAGGTCCTGAATCTCACAGGCACAGTCCACAATTGGAATTGTGACTTTCGTATGTGTACTGGGACAGTTGATATGGTGACTTATTTTTGGAGCCAGCTTACAAGCACTGTGATGACTGTCATAAATATATCTGACCAATAAGAGAGATGTTGACACATACCTGGTAATAGAACAATGGGTACGATCATTGGTTCACACCAGCATGAAGATCTCAAAGCAGATTGTGACTGTCGCTCATACCACATAAAGCCCTTGGGTGGTACAGAGAGTGTCATAACAGGACCCAGGACACAGGTGAAATTGTGACTTTCTTATGCACACTCAGCCAACAGTAAACATTGTCACCCTCCCAAATGGAAACCATCCACTGTTGAGGCTGTGAACCTCACATGTGCAGGTAGCCGAAAGTTGGAATTGTGACTTTCGTGAATACATCTTGTCCACAGGTAAGATAGTGACTCAAAGACCAGGATTCAGCATGCCTGTGAGGCTGTGACTCGTATACTGAGAAACCTGCATTTAGAATTGTGGCTCTCATGCAGGGATGCAGTCCACTATTAAGACTGTGACTCATGTACTTAGACCCAACTCACAGGAGGTCTTGACTCTCATACCTGGAGCCAGAAAATGCGTGAAAGTTTAAATTTTATTTCTGGATCTTTTGCTGGTGTATTTGCAATATATACCTTTGTCCAATGCCTGAAATATTTGGTCCTCCTGCTGGGGAAAAGCCTGCAAATGGAATTGTGACATATACCTGAGCCCTCCATGTAAGTTATTTTACTCTACTGCATAGGTCCTCAGGGGAGATTGTGATATATCACTGGGCCCATCACCTAGGTTAAATGATTATCTTCTTTGGCTGGGCCCTGCCAACACCAAGAGTTGTGGCATATAACTGGACACATCACTTAAGTAATGTGACTCTCCTTTTCTGCTTGGGCCCTGTACACAGGGTGGATTGTGACATATTACTGTCACAATACTGTGTCCCGCACACAGGAAATGTAACTTTTCTAACTGAACCCTACCCACAAGAGGCATTGTGACATACTGTTAGGCCCAGTTCCCAGGTTATGTGACTTCACTGCCATGGCCCTGCCCAGAGAGTGGATATTGACATCTTTTTGGTCCAGCATTCAGGTGATTTGATTATCTTGCCTATTCCATTCTCACAGGTTAAATTTCAAACTATGCGTGTTTCCCAGCTCACAGGCATTATGCCCATGCTCATATAGAAAACCAGACACTAGGAGTGATTTTGACTCTCTTAGCTAGATTTTGAGCAGTGGGTAAAGTCCGAAGTCTCCTACATTTAGAAGGGTAACAAAAGTTGATAAAATGTGTGCATATTCTATAAATACTTTGAGTAATATAGACAGTATAATAAGGGCCCAGCACATAGTGAGATTGTGACTCTCATAGGCATACCAAGCCAACAATTAGGATCATCACTTCCAAACATGACAGTAGCACACTAGTGAGGTCCTGAACCTCACATGCAGGTGCAGTCCACAGTTAAAATTCTGATTGTCATATGTGGATCTGAGAACAGGTTGAATAGTGACTGATTTCCAGACTTAGCTCAGAGGCACGGACTTGCATACCCAGACCTAGCCATAGGAGATATGTTGACTCTCACAGGTAGCCTTAAAACAATGGGAAAGGTCCTGGGCTTTCTACTTGTATGAAGGTCACAAAAGATTACAAAACTCATGCAAATTTTATGACCCCCTTGTGTGGTACAGAGAGTGTCATAACAGATCCCAGCACAAAGTTAAAATTGTGATTCTCATAGGCATACCCAGCCAACAGTGAGGATTGTCACTCTCACACATCAACAGAGACCACTGACGAGGTCCTGCATATGGCATGTGGATGCAGTCCACGGTTCAAATTGTATTGTTCACACTCATCTGTCACTGGGTGCTGGGTTCATGATATATGCATTTTGTAAAAATTTATAAAGCTGTTATTTTATAATATATGTGCTTTTTATGGGTGTAAAATTAAAAACATAATTTTTGATTTTTCTATTTATCTCATGTTTCTTCCACAATCAATTTTTGTCACATACTTTTCTGGAAAATAGATAATTTCATCTAAATTTTCAAGTTTAATGTCATGACATTTTAAAAAATATTATGTTTGAATCTTGAATGTATCTCTAAATATCCTCTTTTGTCTTTTGTAAAATTTTTCTCCTCTTGAAATAGTTTATCTACTTTATTATTACATTCAAAGAACAGCACTAATTTTACTCAGATGTTATTATCCCTGAGTAACAAATGAGTCGGAGAAGTCGAGAAACTTGCCCAAGGTTACACAGGTACTCTGAGCCTGCTCTTCTAACCACTGAACACATGGTGTCATCCAGGAAACACATATGCAATACTATTTCTAAAGGTACATAAAATCACATTATACACATGCAAATATGTGTAAAGATAAAATGAACCTATACAGTGTTTACCTGCAGAAAAGTCACTGGTTGAGGGTGTAGAAGGTCACATGGAAGAAGCCTTCTCTGTTTTTACTGTTGTTTTGTTGTTTTTGTAGAGATAAGGTCTTGCTATATTGTCTAGGCTGTTCTCAATCTCAGCTCAAGCAATCCTCCTGCTTCAGACTCCCAATGTGCTCTCTGTCATATTTTTAAAATTACTTATTGGGTCAAGTGTGCTGGCTCATGCCTGTAATCACAACATTTTGGGAGGCCAAGGGGAAAAGATTGCTTGAGTTCAGGCATTTAAGACAAGCCTGGGCAACATAGTGAGACCTCATCTCAACTAAAAATAGAAAAAAATAGCTGGGCACGGTGGCTCACGCCTGTAATCTCATCACTTTGGGAAGCTTTTTCTTCAAAGATTAAAAACAAATCTTGGTGTCTGGCAGCCAGGTAAGGTGAGGGCAGGAGGCAGAAACTTGCAATCCATGGGGTGCGTTGGCTTTTTCAACATTATTTTTCTCCCCGACTACACAGAAAATTTCTTCAGTGTTTGATCTTATGCATCTTTGAATCCAAACATCTCATTCTTTGCCTTATACATATTAAAAATGTATTCACAGTTCATAAAACATAATCAATCTATCAAAAAATATTCCAAACTAAAAACATTCTTTTTATAGAACCTAGTAATGCACCTTAATTCCTTACAATTTGTGTTGAGAATTACTAGTATTATGATGTTTTCTAACATGTATCAAGTACTTTTAGATGTTTAGCACTTGAGATATATTATAAAAACCTTCTCAATATTAACCTGGGACTCCAAAGAATATGTATGGCCCAAACAGTTGTTTTCTTCCCAACACCAAGGAATGGCATACAAGATTGTCTTCAAGTTGAGGACAGGTCATAAAGAAAAATTTTTAAAAAGAGAAAAAAAAATCTGCAAACTTGTTTCTACACATGGGTCTTACATACATTTCTTCATCAATTATATTAATTCTGAATGAACCATATTACCTGAAGTTGTACAAATAATTGCTTCAAATTGTAGAATCCCCAGGAAACAGAAAGAAGCAAAAGCAAACACTCCCAAAGAAAGTTACATCTATTCCAGACCTTGATGAACCTTGCAAACAATTTTCCATTATGTGCAATGACTAGCAAGCAAGCAAGCAAATATGACAAAGTTCACAATAAATAAGATCGTGTGAAAGACACCAGAAAAAAAAAACATAACAGAAACAAATCTGCAAAGACATCCAATATTAGAATTATCAGACACAAAAAATCAAAAACAACTATGCTTACCATATCTAAAAAAGACAAATGAACGTATATGCAGGAAAGAAGAAACTATATAAAGATTCTAAAAATAAGTTGTAAAATGAATAATACAATAACTAAAATAAAAACTAACCACATTTGAACTTACATGTACAAGACAGAACCAGTAAACTAGATGCTAGATCAGTAGAAATTAACACATATGCAACAAATATCAGTGCCAGAAAAATATCTGGTAAGTATTCTAAGCATTCAAAATTTAAAACTGAAAAGCATAAGGTTGATACTATTTAACCTTTCTAAAAATTAGAATAGGTAAAAATACTGCACAACTCAATTCCTGAGTTAACATCAAAGCTTGACGGAGACAAAACAAGGACAATGATAGACAATCTCATTCATAAAGACAATTTTTTTTTGAGACTGTGTCTCACTCTGATGCCCTGGCTGGAGTGCAGTGGCCCAATCTCGACTCACTGAAACCTCTGCCTCCCAGGTTCAAGCAATTCTCCTGCCTCAGCCTCCTGAGTAGCTGGGATTACAGGCACATGCCAGCATGCCTGGCTAATTTTTGTATTTTTAGTAGAGACAAGGTTTTACCATGTTGGTCAGGCTGGTCTTGAACTCCTGACCTCATGATCCACCTGCCTTGGTCTTCCAAAGTGCTGGGATTACAGGTGTGAACCATCGCACCCAGCCAAGACAAAAATTTTTTAAACCAATTACAAACAAAGTGACTCTTTCTCGGTATAAAATGAATAAAACCATCAATAAGTTTATCTCAAGAGTACAGGATAAGTTGAACATTGTATAATCTACATGTCTACATAAAATAGGCACAGAATAAGAGCTTGGTAACTAGAAATAAAAGAATATTTTATTTTATTTTCTAAATATACAAGGTATTTCAAATAAAGTACAGCAAATGTACATAACTACTGAAAGTTTGTCTTTTAATGTCATAAACATAATAATTATGTTGGTGTTCAAGATTTTTATTAAACATTGCATCCATGGTTTCAGCCAACAGGTTAAAATGAGAAATCAGTTACACAATTATACTGGAAAAGCAGAACTAGTCAATAAACTAATAGCTAAACTATTGGTTCTACCTAGGTAGATTGGATCCTTGCAAAGCAACTAACACAAAAATTGTTCATGTATATCGAGGATTTAAAACTTCTAGGAGAGGCTCGGTGGGGTGGCTCATACCTGTAATCCCACCACTTTGGGAGGCTGAGGTGGCAGATCACGAGGTGGGGAGTTCGAGAACAACCTGGCCAATTTTATGTAGCAAGACTGAAAGTTTTATAAGAGTAAAGAGCAATATTTTTTTTCTCCATTTTATCTCCTAAAGCTAGCAAGAAGTATGGCACAACGTGTGTGCTCAACACACATTTATCATTTAAATGAATAAATACATCCCCTTTGTAAATGGTCAAGCTATGCAAACCAAGACTTTTTTAGTTATTATTGTTTAGTTGATAGAATCAAATCTAAGGTAATAAACTGTAAAATTCAGAAAGCACTATTAAAAGTTTGATGTTACCTCATCATTCTTAGGTAAAATAGAGTAAAAATTTTAGTCTCTAAGTTTGTGACCATTAAAAAATTAAATTGCCACGTGAGAATGAAAAATGAACTCTCACTTTAGGCGAGCATAATTTGAGAGGAAAAGGCGAAAAAGAAAAGAAAAACTGAAAACTCGATTGGGTCAGATATGCCAGTTCTACTCTCTCTCTCTATATATATTTTGGAAATAGTTCCCTCCTCTCCTGACGCAGAGGGAGGCTGGCTGGGGGATCCTGGGTCCCTCTGTCCTCCCCGCGGTGGCAGTGGCTGATCTCTGCTCAGGCGTGAGGGGTGCGGCCGTGCGCTGGGCTTGAGCCTGCCCGGCCCAGCCCCTCCTCACTTCCCTGGACTCCTCACGGTGTCTACGGGCCCCTGCACAATCCTGAGCGTCCCTCTGATGGAAGGGGAGGTGGCAGCAGAAAGCCAGTGGGAGAAACTGGCCCCGCAGGTCGAGGAGGGCTCGGCCAGCTGTGGGAAATGCTCTGGTTGACCTCGGATTTCTGCGCACTAAGCTGAGCCGCGACCCCGGCTTTGAGCCGAGGCATCCCCGGGCTGGGCGACCGTGGGCGTGGGCGCTCCGGCTGCTGCGGCGGTTCCTGCTGTGCTCAGCTGGGTCACGACTGGAACTGGCGCCCTCCGGAAGTGAAGGAGGTGCCCCGCAGAGGAGGCGGTAGCCGTGGTCCCTGTAAACCAGGCCTTGCTGACAAATGTCAGACGCCAAGAACAGAAGAACGGAGAGCTTCAGCCAAATGGAGGAACTGCTGGAGCGGCTGAGGGTGAAGCTGCCCAAACTCCTCAAAGTGGAGCAGCAAAGCAAACACCAGAGAAGGACAAGAAAAATGAAAGTCAAAGAAAATTAGCAGAAACCAAAGGCAGACGCTAACGCAGTGCAAAACAGTTCACATCATGATAGAAAGAGTTGATGAGTCTCGGAAACTAATCTTAGTGACAGAACGAAAGGACAGCAGTGAACATGGTAAGGTGCTGACGATTCTGGTCCACTGGATCCCACCATCCCTAGGACAGTAAATACCATCACAGTCACCACACAGTGAGTTACAACTGCACCATTTCCTGTTTATTCCTAAATGAATAAAGGTGATTCTCAACACAAGTGCAAATAAAAAGTTATTTGTTTTTTTTTAAACTAAAGTGTCATGCTTTAGCTTTTTTTTTTTTGAGTTCTTATAATTTTGAAAATGAAGTTGACATTTGTATGGCTTATGAAGTTTTTGATAGTCTTGCATTAGTTGAATTGTTCAAAGTAAGTATATTTTAAACTAAGAAGAGTCAATTGTATTTGTTTTACATATTAAAGGCTCAAAGTAACAAATAATGTATCTGTTTATGATTTGAAAAGTTCAAAGTTTGATTATTTATCCGTACATACACAGAATAGTGTATCGTGCTAAAACATTTGTTTTTTAAAAGTGGCAGCCATAGTTCCTGCCTGCCTGGATATATTTTGGACTTTAGTATGTTAAAGACAACGTAAAAAAAAAACTTTATTATGTTTTAGAAAATCTAAGATTGGTATACACAAACTTTACAAATTGCTGTAGGGTTCAGCAAACTATGTTTATAATGTGACATTAATACCTCTACATTTTGATGTGTAAATCTTTCTTGAGAAAAGATTGTTTTTTAAAAAAATGTCTACAAATTCAGGCTTCAGTTATAAAATGACAAAATAGTAAAGAAATGAGTGGTTTGCCGTATGATATGAATACAGGCATTCAATTAAAATACCAAATATTTTAATGAAAAGTTTTTAGACAATAGACTTAAATAATTTCTTGATATTTTACTACAGTAATAAATATTCACAAATATTTTATAAATCATATCTATTAGTACTAGGTTTTACTTAATAGTAGTATATATATAAGATCAAAGATCTGTTAAAAATAGATATGTTTATCAGTAATTTGGTGTTTCTAAATACCCAGAAGTCTTGTTTTAATCAGATTAGCTCTGGGGATAGTTTACTAATTTTATTTTATAAACAGTGTATTCAAAGTTTTCTAGTTTAACCTAATATTGATTGATGATGGGTAAACAAATCTCTTCTTGCTAATCCCATAGGTTTATTAAATTGTTGAAGATATTTTTAATTTAAAAATTCTGTCTTCAATGTTGTTTACAGGGATTTAGGTCTAGTTTAACCTGCTCAACCTGTTAATCAGTGTAGGTGCCAGATTCCAATTTATTTTCAGTGTGTTTGTATGACTTTTCTTTCTTTCTTTTCTTTCTTTTTTTCAGACAGAGTCTTGCACTGTCATCCGGGCTGGAATGCAATGGTGCAATCTTGGTTCACTGCAACCTCCGCCTCCTGGGTTCACACAATTCTCCTGCCTCAACCCCCTGAGTAGCTGGTATTACAGGTACACACCACCACAGCCAGCTAATTTTTTTGTATTTTTAGTAGAGATGGGGTTTCACTATGTTGGCCAGACTGGTCTGGAACTCCTGACCTTGTGATCTACCACTGCCAGCCTCCCAAAGTGCTAGGATTACAGGTGTGAGCCACCGCACCTGACCAACTTTGGTCTTTGAATAAAATGTCTATTAACAAAGACAAATTTCTGCACATTTATCAAGTTGCTTGTAGTAACTCGAAACGTAATATATCCAAAATTCTCCTGTTATTGTCTGAGAAAACAGATTCTACTGTTACCTAAAAAATCAACTGGAAGGCACTTTTATAACCTTGCACCACGTAAGAAAAAAACTGCAATGCAGTAGTAATAAGTGTAGATACATCAAATGAAAAATGGTAATCGAGAATGTCACTTTCAATGTTTGAGTATTTGGACTTTGGTTTTAAAAAATGTAGTAAAATAGAGCTTTTGGTAAGCTTTCTGTAGATTAACATTATCATAAATTAGGAAAAAATCCTTTAAAATGTAAATAAACAAAAAAATACACTGAACAACAACAACAACAAAAAACTAAGATCCAGCAGTGCATACATATTTGTCCTTATTTTGGGAGAGTATGAAACAGACCATTGCATGAACTTTATACAGATGTTTTGCCACAGTGGCATACTAATAAAAATGATTTATCTTTAATTTGAATTAACATGTCCACATCTTAAAAATACTGCTTTGTACTAAGAATAATAAATGTAAAAGTCTTTATACACAGGAGGATCCTGATCCTCAACTAAACATATGTGGCAACCCATTCCTCTGTTTCTTCCAAACTGAAGCCTGACTAAGGCTTAAATATAGAGTGAGAGAGACTCATTAACAGGACATGTGAAACAAAAAAAATGAGATAGGATGGTCATTTCTAAGGCTCAGCAATTGCCTGGGGGACCTCAATATAATGATATCAACTATGAGTCTTACTGGGTAAAAATAAACATAAAAAGCTGAGAACATCATGACTTTAATTTGGTGGAATAGAGTCTCTGGAATTATACACAGTTGTGCTAAAAGTATTGAGCCAGAATGATATGTATCTGAGGATTATTAAAGGGAATATTTACAAACACAAAAGTATTTGTTCCATATCTTGTTACAGTAGCAGTACTCTTGTCTGTAATGTCAGCTTCCCCAAGCTACAGATGCCATAGACAAACTAAGACTTAGTGTCTAATATGTTGTTTGCAGTTAGTTTCTAAATTTAAAAAACTTGCAATAATTTTATGAATTTCATTAAATGCTGTTTCATGTATAAATCTCACTAAAAGGCACTATTCAGTAGATATTTCCCTCAGTCTTTTCTGGGATTTTCTGCTCCTTGTTTCCAAACCAACCTTATTTGAATCCTAGGCATTTCTGAAGCCCAATATGTAATAACAGAAAGAAAGCAGAAATGAAGCCAAGTTACCCCAACCAGTCCATGCCTAATATATTTGGCTCCCCAAATGAACCAAAAACCACACAAGCTAAACAACAGTGGATTTAAAATTCAACCTAAATTCAACAGTAGTTGTCAAAATCATATGCAAAAATTAGCAAAGTCACAATGTAGAAACCCTTAACCTGTTATTCCACAACAAATCATCAAATTCTTATTTTGGCATTTTTAGAAAAAATAAATATATTACATATGACAAAATATACCCACTCACTTATAATAAAATATTTTGAAATATGCATGGTTTTATTCTTATTCTTAAATATATACTATATTATTTAGACAAGACTTTCAGTAAAAAATACTTACAGCTACCGTGTATGAATTAAAACAGCTATGGGAAAATAGGATTTTTAGTTAATAATGAAGATTGAAGCTCCAATGATGTAAAGTATTGTTTCCCGGGCACACAGCTAATTACCCAAATCAAGCTGAAATATGTTTGATTTAAAAATTTTAATTTTCCCACTGTTGACAATGTTGACATAACAGCTAAATCTTAGTCTCAGAGCTGGTAGTTTGGAATAAATCAAGACAAGTACTATTGAGGAAGGATGGGTAGTCAAGAAAGTGACTATGTCTTTGGGATGCAGCAAACATGGCCATTGTACAGTGGCTGCATATTGCCAACACAATAAGCCCCAGCATTCGCATTGTATTCCAGCTTATTCAAGCAAAGCTCTCTCCAATAGAGAAACTCCCCTGTAAACAGCATGCACATTTTGATTTTACCTTTCCTCAAACTGACCTTTTACTCATTATAATAGTAAAAAGCACACCTGTGGGTGGAGATTTAAGATGCTAGTGAGATGTGAAAAATGAACAAGCATGTACAGCTACTGTGTCCGTGCATCAAGAGGGCCATCCAGAACATGCTTACTAATAACACCACTTTCCACCTCTTTATAAATAATTATATAAGACTCCCATAAAAAAGTCCCTAGTTCCAGTCTTTGCTTTCTCATTCCATAAGCAACACACCCTGAATCCCTTCTCTCTCAAGATGTACTGGGTATTCTGCACCTAACCTTTAAAATAGACTTACTCCTTTGCAATAAATTACTTTATGCTGCATCTTCTTTGTGTTTGTCTCTTGTTTAAATTTTTTTGAAACTAAGGCAACAACTGAGGTTTCAGAAAAGCCATTCACACTATCATGCTTTGTTTTGTATTTTTTGTTATCAACATTTTTTCTCTTACATGTCAATATTCACATTTTAAACACAGTCAACACTGCTAAATTGAAAATTTAAATGACCACAAAATAATTTATCATAAAAGCATGTATATCTCTCATGTTTCACCTTCACCACACTATCTATTCAACTTTTTAAAAAAATTTGATGGTCAAATACATATATCAAATTTAATATTTTATTTAATAATTTGAATTCAATTCCAAAATGATTTATATGGAAGTATATTGTTATATTTACTTTTGACCAAATTTGGCTTTCCAAGCTAAGGTAAAACTAAAGCATGTTTTCAATGTGTTAAGGAACTTAACCTTACTAGCATTGAGAGACATTAGCTAGCTTGCCTTAGGTAGATAGCAAGGCAAGGGTTTATGGAGAGCCCCCAACCCCCAGGTTAGTGCCTTATCCCCACATAGCAGAAAAAGCAGCTTGGAAAAAAAAAAGCTCCAGACACTGTTAAGGGAACTAGCACAGGGGGTTGTGCCTGGACTCATGCCCTCGGATGCACAAGTAGGAGAACCTAAAGCCCATTTAGATAAAAATTTGCACACACCTCTGGCTTACTTAGATAATGGAGCAAGGCCTGACATAGAAATGTCTGCTCTTTGCATAGTCAGTGGGCTCCCAGGAAAAAGTTTTTTCTTTTTGTGGGCATGAACACAGTGGGCTTTGATGGGTTCTGTGGACACTTTCTTTTCTTTTTTAACTGTGAGTCTGGTATTTATAAATTATTACTTTAGCCCTTGATTGGTCGTGGGCCAAGGTCTTTGGCCAAGCTTTTGCATCAGCTTCTAATAGGTTCTGGGCCAACATGAGCAGCCTTTATGGATCATTACTTCAGCCCCTGATTGGTCTCAGGCCAAGGCCCCAGGCAAAGCTGAGTCACACATTCTCTAAGACAGCTCACAAACTAAGCACAATTTTTTCCCATTCCAGTTTGTAAAAACCCTGGATCACAGCCTTATAGTGGACAACCCATTCAGGCCTCCCTCTCTGCTGGAGTAGGACTTTTTTCTTTTTGCATATTAAACTTTTGTTCCAAACCTCACCCTTGTGTCCACACTCCTTAATCTTCTTGAATGTAGCACAAAGAATTCTGGGTATTATCTCAAACAACAGAGGTTGTTACATCTTGGTGCACTGATAAAACTATAACATATTTTGGTGTGTTGGCCAGGGAGAAAGGAATTCATCAGAAGGGTGATTAGGAGTGAGGGTCATTGTCCTCAGTTACTTTCTGAGGCTTCTTGTCCTAAGTTTTTGTCTCTTAGAGACAAACCTGAAAACATTGGCTCTGTTCTAATCCAGTTTCCTTTCACGAAGGGCCTACCCATTGTGTGGAACAGAAAGGAGGTCCTATGGCAACTGAAGGTTTCTGGTTGAGTCTATACCTCAGTGTTACCTAAAAGCCCTTGGACCAACTCCAGTCCCCAACAGCCAATGAAGGTGTTGGCACAAGAACTTCCAGTCTTTTTTTTTTCATTTCATTTTTTTTCTTCTTCTTCTTTTTTTTGGTACCTATAATTTCTCCTATTCATTCTTTGTATGCAATGTTGTGAATGTTTTTACAGCCTATGGATATAATCATGCTGAGTAAAGTCAGTCAGTGTCTTAGTCATCAGATATGTAACTCAGAGTTGTTGTTTTATAATTTCCTAGCAACAGGGCGAATTCAAAATATCTCTAAATTTTTACTCAGTAAGGGCCTTTCTCTCCCACAGTAATACAGTAATAAACATTCATGGCACTGTATGAGAGAATATTTCACCCTGAGTAAATACCCTCCTTTGCATTTGATTTGTTTTTTTCTCTCCATGTGAAAGCTCAGCACTATCCAATGAATCTAAACAGTTCCTTTATGAGACAAGTTCATTTTTGTTTGTTCTGGGGCATATGCTATAGGAACAGCCTATCAAAACCCAAACCTCCTTCTAACTTTTGCCTAAAAATATAAAGTTGGAGTTTTTACCTAGGATTTCTAATTTTACAGCACCCCTAGTGGAATGGGATTGTTCTCCATAGGAAGCCTTGTCAATGCTCCCTCCAAAACTTACAGTCCCCCAATTATTTTCCCTTTTACATCCCTTTATCACTGATAAGGCCTCATGCCCTATTTCTAAACAGAAAAACTCAACTTTCAACAGCTGGAAGAAGCCATGCTGACAAAACAAATCTTCAATTTTTACACATTTTTAAGGCACATGTTCTTCATCAAACTACACTGGAATTTGAACAAAAAGGAATTTTATGTTGAAGGTAAACTCATCCCATTCTCTGGGATTCTGATGTTTTCCTGGGGCCATAGCAGGGGAAGCCAAAAATGGTATTAGGGCATTCCCTCTATAAAAGTATCTTGCCTAAATCCAACTACTGCATAATCTCTCCCCAGCCACTGGAGTACCTTGAGAGTCTTTTGGGCTGAGTGGATCTAGAAAACGAGCGGGATGGAAAGCTAGGTGAGAAGGTGAGCATAACGTGTCCTGCCAACGAGCTCCTCTGGACCCATGGGTGAAGGTCATGCTCGCATCCATGGGTAACATCTATGATGGTGGCTGGGAACCAGAGGGAAAAAAGGAAGGTCGAGAAGTGGTATGCCCTTTTTCTCTTTCCGCCACACCAAAAAGAGAAAGGGGACTGAGGAAAGCCTTGTCTCCCCTTTTTCTAGATAGGTAACAAACCGTCTACAGTTTGCATTCCCCTCTAGTGCATTCTGAAACACTGGAACCTCTTTAACCCTGAAACTCTAAAGAAAAAATGGCTTATATTCTGTCGCACAAACCCATGGCCATCTTAGAGACAGGAGGCCTGGCTTTCTAAGGGAAGTATTAATTTCAACACTACCCAACAAATAGATCTTTCTTTGCCCTGTGAGACAACCCAGATCTTTGTAAGCATTGTAAAATTAAATCTGCCCTCTTGGCAGCCCTACAAAATATAATTACCAAAAGTTGAGATACAAACCCTTGGGGAACCCTAAATGCAACTTCCAGGTGCCTCACCAGCCTCCCATATTTTGGGCCCCCAATACCCATATATCATCAGCTCCTCTGGTTGTGCCACTGAAGAAACCCACATAATTGCTGTTGCCCCTACAGAAAATGCCCAATAAACATGGTGTTACTATGATTCAAGTTCCCTTCTCATTGCAGGACCTTAAGAAAATAAAGTGAGCCCCAGGAAAGTTCTCTAATGACCCTGATACATATATAGAGTCTTTCCAAAATTTAACCCAATGTTTAATGTTACATGGAGAGATGCTATGCTGCTTTTAAGCCAAACCCTAACTGTTAAGAAACAAGTAGCCTTACAGGCAGCAAAAAAACTCAAAAAAACAAACAGTAGGTTACCTAGAGCCAGTCAGAAAAGAAACTCAGTTGAAAGGGAAAAAAGAGACAGAATCCCCATTCCCAATGAGAATAAAAACAATGACCCTTAAATATTCTAATTGGAGTCCTTGTGATCCTATGGAGAAGTGGAAAAGAAAACACTTCCTGATGTGCATATTAGAAAGCTTGCAAAGAACCACAATCAAGCATGTTAATTACTCTAATCTGTCCCTGTTAAATCAGAAACCAGATAAAAATCCCCTGGCCTTTTTGAAAAGGCTGAGAAAAACTTTAGTAAAACAAACCTCCCTGTGTTCTGATATGACAAAAAAGGTTTATTACTTAGGCAGGCTCTAATATCAGAAGGAAGTTGCTAAAACAGGCCCTGTTCAAACATATTTCTAGGTTTTGTCATCCTTAAGTTGAAACTTTGCAGTATTTAAATAACACTGTTCTCTGTGCCCCAACTGAAGAGGTCTCAGGAAGGCACTAAGACTTTCCTCAATTTATTAGCTGAAAGGGAATATAGGGCCTCAAAATTTAAAGCTCAGCTCTGTCAAACTGCAGTACAGTAGATAGGTCTAGTCAGAAGATACAAGAACACCGGATAAAGAAAGAATTAAACTCATTTTCTTCTTTTCCTTTCCCAAACTCATTGGGGGGACCTTACACATTACTGGTTTTTGCAAACTCTGGGTACCTAGGAATGTTAAAATAGCCAATCTTTTATACCACCTTATTAAAAAAACTCAAGCACCTAAAAACTCACTCGCTAACTTGGGAACCTAAAACTAAAAAGCCTTTAACCAACTAAAGCA
This sequence comes from Homo sapiens, assembly GCF_000001405.40. Taxonomy (NCBI): domain Eukaryota; kingdom Metazoa; phylum Chordata; class Mammalia; order Primates; family Hominidae; genus Homo; species Homo sapiens. Next base: position 21,949,618 of record NC_000019.10, read on the forward strand.
AGCCTTACATAAAGCACCAACCCTCAGTCTTCCCATAAGGAAGGCATTTAATCTCTATGTATCAAAAAGGAAGTTAATGACCCTGGGAGTTTTAACTAAGGCTTAAGGTCCAGCTCAACAACCAGTGGGTTACCTAAGCAAGAAACTTGACTTGATGGCTAGAGGATGGCCAGCCTGCCTCTGAGCAGTTTTGGTGATGGCTTGCTGGTATCAAAGGCCACGAGGTTAACAATGGGAAATAACTATCTGCATTCCCACATAGGACTGCTGTCCTCTAATGGAAGCCTCTGACTAAAAACCACTTCCTGAAATATCAAATTTTGCTGCTAAGGTGATCTGCAGTCTGGTTAAAAACCTGCCCTTGCCTGAACTCAGCCACTTTCTCCCAGAGGAAACTAAAGAGCCTAAACAGGATTGTAAACAGGTAGTTGTGTAAACTGGTAAAAGATATAAGAAGAATCACTGCTTATATTCTCTGTAAAGTTTTAATTAATTAAATAAACATTTTTAAAGTGTACTCAACTTAATGAAAAGCGAATATCCAAGCTATAAGTATATTCAGAAAGCCTTTCTATTTTTATCTATATAAAACTTGTTTTCCTGGAAGAGGATTTTTTCTCACTTAACTAAATTACTTTTATCCACTCTTTCTTGTCACTGTTGATGCAAGCATAGAAGGCCCTAAAATAACCTCTGGTGGCCTGGGACTCCTCAAGAAAACAAAAAAGCCACCATAAATTGCATTTTAAAAGATCTCTGCTTTTTTTCATGAAACCCCTAGAATTAAAAGTAATAAGTTCCTCTCCAAATCTGTCTCTTTCTTCTAGCTATGCTTGTTTATTAGGCCCTGGAAACTATATGCCTAGCCCTGTTCTTTTTTTTTTTTTTTTATGCAGGACAGAGTCTCACTCTGTCACCTAGGCTGGAGTGCAACAGCACAATCGTGGCTCACTGCAACCTCCACCTCCTGGGTTCAAGCAATTCTCCTGCCTCAGCCTCCCAAGTAGCTGGGATTACAGGCATCTGCCACCACACCCAGCTAATTTTTTTTATTTTTAGTAGAGATGGGGTTTCACCATGTTGGCCAGGCTGGTCTCAAACTCCTGACCTCAGGTGATCCACCCGCCTCAGCCTCCCAAAGTGCTGGGATTACAGGCATGAGTCACCATGCCTGGCCCCTAGCCCTGTTCATAAAAGGCCTCAACCAGAGACCAATAATCCAATTAGAAAACTGGCAAACAAAAAATCTTATAGTTACTGAATCTTCTTCTGTTTGTCTAGATGGTTATATACGTGTTTTGTGTGATGTCTATAAAAAACCTCTAATTAATTGGTGTACAAATAAGCACTTAGATAAAATGTTAAGTCAAAATTAAAGGCTGTAGTGCCTCTTGGTTCATGCAACTTCAATATTTAAGAAATAAAAACATTCTTGTAGAATACAAACATCTTAAACATGTAAATAGGTGGTCTAAATTATGCAGGTCAAATATTAGGTTTGCTAAATGTTTTAATGTAAACTGCTTCTTTGGCCCTTGAGTACTGTCAACCTGCCAGCTTCACAATTAGTAAGGCCTAGTGACATATTAAAGTAACCATGCCCCTAACTATACTGGAAGAAGTCAGACTTTATCTGCTCCTAGCACATAATTAAAACCACTTACCAGGTTTTACATTAAAGTTAAAATTACAAAAAGTTACCATTATAACATGTAATTGAGGCTACTGAAAATGAATGTGTATGCAACGTGTGTAAAAACAGTAAAATTTTATAATAAAAAATTATAAGAAGGCATAAAAATCTACATTTTTCCTAGGAGTAAAAGATTGTCTTAAATTAAATAAAGTGAAAGTTTTAAGCAAATTTTTGAAATACCAAAAAATTAATTTTGCAAAAGAATACTCTGTGTAAAAATATTAACTAAATTCAAAGGAATATCATATGGTGTTCCTTAAAATTAAGCATTTAATGAAAGCACAACAAAGCTTTCTTAAGATGCTCATCTGTACATATCAAAATTTCTAAAAGATTATAAAAGATTTGTAAAAATCGGAGATCCATTCCAAGATGGCCAAATAGGAAGAGCTCTGGTCTGCAGCTCCAAATGTGATTGAAGAAGATGATGGGTGATTTCTGCATTTTCAACTGAGGTACATGGCTCATCTCACTGGGACTGGATGGACAGTGGGTTCAGCCCATGGAGGGTGAGCCAAAGCAGGACAGGGTGTCACCTCACCTGGGAGGCACAAGGGGTTGGGGGATTTCCCTATCCTAGCCTGGAGAAGCCAGGACAGACTGTACTTGGAAAAATGGGATATTCCCACCCAAATGCTGTGCCTTTCCCAAGGTCTTAGCAACCAGTAGACAAGAAGATTCTCTCCCGTACCTGGCTCAGCAGGTCGTGAACCCACAGAGCCTTGCTCACTGCTAGCACAGCAGTCTAAGATCAGATGGCAACGCAGCAGCCTGGCTAGGGGAGGGGCATCCACCATTGCTGAGGCTTGAGTAGCTAAACGAAGTGGCCGGGAAGCTTGAACTGGGTGGAGCCCACTGCAGTTCAGCAAGGCCTACTGCCTCTATAGACTCCAACTTTGTGAGCAAGGCATAGCTGAACAAAAGGCAGCAGATAGCTTCTGCAGATTTATATGTTCCTGTCTGACAGCTCTGAAGAGAGCAGTGGTTCACCCAGCATGGCATTTGAGCTCTGAGAATGGACAGACTACCTCCTCAAGTCAATCCCTGACCCCCATGTAGCCTAACTGGGAGACACCTCCCAGTAGAGGCCGACAGATACCTCATATAGGTGGGTGCCCCTCTGGGACAAACCTTCCAGAGGAAGGATCAGGCAGAAATATTTGCAGTTCTGCAATAATTGCCATTCTGCAGCCTCTGCTGGTGATACCCAGGCACTCAGGGTATGGAGTGGACCTCCAGAAAATTCCAACAAACCTGAAGCTGAGAGACCTGTTAGAAAGAAAACCAGCAAACAGAAAGGAATAGAAGCAACATCAGCAAAAAGGATATACACCAAAACCCCATCTGTATGTCACCAACATTAAAGACCAAAGGTAGATAAAACCACAAAGATGGGGAGAAACCAGAGTAGAAAAGCTGAAAATTCTAAAAACCAGGGCACCTTTTCTCCTCCAAAGGATGACAGCTCCTCACCAGCAATGGAACAAAGCTGGATGGAGAATGACTTTGCTGAGTTGACAGAAGTAGGCTTCAGAAGGTCGGTAGTAACAAACTTCTGAGCTAAAGGAGCATGTTCAAAACAAACACAAGGAAGCTAAAGACCTTGAAAAAAGGTTAGATGAATGGCTAACTAGAATAAACAGTGAAGAGAAGACCTTAAATGACCTGATGGAGCTGAAAACCATGGCATGAGAACACGATGCATGCACAAGCTTCAATAGCCAATTCAGTTAAGCGGAAGAAAGGGTACCAGTGATTGAAGATCAAATTAATGAAATAAAATGAGAAGACAAGCTTAGAGAAAAAGAGAAAGAAGAAATGAACAAAGCCTCCAAGAACTGTGGGACTATGTGAAAAGACCAAATCTACATTTGATACGTGTACCTGAAAGTGATGGGGAGAATGGAACCAAGTAGGAAGATGCTCTTCAGGATATTAGCCAGGAGAACTTCCCCAACCTAGCAAGGCAGGCCAACATTCAAATTCAGGAAATACAGAGAATCCCACAAAGATATTCCTCGAGAAGAGCAACTCCAAGACACATAATTGTCAGACTTACCAAGGTAAAAATGAAAGAAAAAATGTTACGGGTAGCCAGAAAGGTCAGGTTACCCCCAAAAGGAAGTCCATCAGACTAACAGTGGCTCTCTCAGCAGAAATCCTACAAACCAGAAGAGAGTGGGGGCCAATATTCAACATTCTGAAAGGAAAGAATGTCAACCCAGAATTTCATGTCCAGCCAAACTAAACTTCATAACTGAAGGAAAAATAAAATCCTTTACAGACATGCAAATGCTGACAGATTTTGTCACCACCAGGCCTGCCTTACAAGAGCTCCTGAAGGAAGCACTAAACAGGAAAGAAACAACTGGTACCAGCCACTGCAAAAACATGCCAAGTTGTAAAGACCATTGATGCTAGGAAGAAACCATCAATTATCAGGCAATTTTGTTGATCTTTTCAATAAAACAGCTCCTGGATTAATTGATTTTTTGAAGGGTTTTTTGTGTCTCTATCTCTTTCATTTCTGCTCTGATCTTAGTTATTTCTTGCCTTCTGCTAGTTTTTGAATGTGTTTGCTCATGCTTCTCTAGTTCTTTTAATTGTGATTGTAGCATGTCAATTTTAGATCTTTCTTGCTTTCTCTTGTGGGCATTTAGTGCTATAAATTTCCCTCTACACACTGCTTAAAATGTGTCCCAGAGATTCTGGTATGTTGTGTCTTTGTTCTCATTGGTTTCAAAGAACATCTTTATTTCTGCCTTCATTTCATTATTTACCCAGTAGTCATTCAGGAGCAGCTTGTTCAGTTTCCATGTAGTTAGCAGTTTTGAGTGAGTTTCTTAATCCTGAGTTCTAATTTGATTGCACTGTGGTCTGAGAGATAGTTTGTTGTGATTTCTGTTCTTTTCCATTTGCTGAGGAGTGCTTTACTTCCAACTATGTGGTCAATTTTGGAAGAAGTGTGATGTGGTGCTGAGAAGAATCTATATTCTCTTGATTTGGGGTAGAGAGTTCTGTAGATGTCTATTAGGTCCACTTGTTGCAGAGGTGAGTTCAATTCCTGGATATCCTTGTTAACTTTCTGTCTCACTGATCTGTCTAATGTTGAGACTGTGGTGGTAAAGTCTCCCATTATTATTGTGTGGGAGTCTAAGTCTCTTTGTAGGTCTCTAAGGACTTGCTTTATGAATCTGGGTGCTCCTTTATTGGGTGCATATATGTTTAGGATCATTAGCTTTTCTTGTTGCATTGATCCCTTTACCATTATGTAATGGCCTTCTTTGTCTCTTTTGATCTTTGTTGGTTTAAAGTCTGTTTTATCCGAGACTAGGATTGCAACCCCTGCTTTTTTTGGTTTTCCATTTGCTTGGTAGATTTTCCTCCATCCCTTTATTTTGAGCCTATGTGTGTCTCTGCAGGTGAGATGGGTTTCCTGAATACAACACACTGATGGGTCTTGACTCTTTATCCAATTTGCCAGTCTGTGTCTTTTAATTGGAGCACTTAGCCCATTTACATTGAAGGTTAATATTGCTTTGTGTGAATTTGATCCTGTCATGGTGTTAGCTGTTGATTTTGCTCATTAGTTGATGCAGTTTCTTCCTACCATCGATGGTCTTTACAATTTGGCATGTTTTTGCAGTAGCTGGTACCAGCTGTTCCTTTTTATGTTTAGTGCTTCCTTCAGGAGCTCTTGTAAGGCAGGCCTGGTGGTGACAAAATCTCTCAGCATTTGCTTATCTGTAAAGGATTTTATTTCTCCTTCACTTATGAAGCTTAGTTTGGCTGGATATGAAATTCTTGGTTGAAAACCCTTTTCTTTAAGAATGTTGAATATTGGCCCCCATTCTCTTCTGGCTTGTAGTTTCTGCTGAGATCAGCTGTTAGCCTGATGGGCTTCCATTTGTGGGTAACCTGACCTTTCTCTCTGGCTGCCCTCAACATTTTTTCCTCCATTTCAACTTTGATGAATCTGACGATTATGTGTCTTGGAGTTGCTCTTCTTGAGGAGTATCTTTGTGGCGTTCTCTGTATTTCCTGAATTTGAATGTTGGCCTGCCTTGCTGGGTTGGGATAGTTCTCCTGGATAATATCCTGAAGAATGTTTTCCAACTTGGTTCCATTCTCCCTGTCACTTTCAGGTACACCAATCAGACGTAGATTTGGTCTTTTCACATATTTCCATATTTCTTGGAGGCTTTGTTCATTTCTTTTTACTCTTGTTTCTCTAAACTTTTCTTCTCACTTCATTTCATTAATTTGATCTTCAATCACTGATACCCTTTCTTCCACTTGATTGAATTGGCTACTGAAACTTATGCATGTGTCATGTAGTTCTTGTGCCAAGGTTTTCAGCTTCATTAGGTCATTTAAGGTCTTCTCTATGCTGTTTATTCTAGTTAGCCATTTGTCTAATCTTTTTTCAAGGTTTTCAGCTTCATTGAGATGGGTTCGAACATCCTCCTTTAGCTCGGAGAAGTTTGTTATTACCAATCGTCTGAAGCCTTCTTCTCTCAACTCGTCAAAGTCATTCTCCATCCAGCTTTGTTTCTTTGCTGGTGAGGAACTGCATTCCTTTGGAGGAGAAGAGGCACTCTGATTTTTAGAATTTTCAGCTTTTCTGCTCTGGTTTCTCCCCATCTTTGGGGTTTTATCTACCTTTGGTCTTTGATGATGGTGATGTACAGATGGGGTTTTGGTGTGGATGTCCCTTCTGTTTGTTAATTTTCCTTCTAACAGTCAGGACCCTCAGCTGCAGGTCTATTGTAGTTTGCTGGAGGTCCACTCCAGACCCTGTTTGCCTGGGTATCACCAGCGGAGGCTGCAGAACAGCAAATATTGCAGAATGGCAAATATTGCTGCCTGATCCTTCCTCTGGAAGCTTCATCTCAGAGGGGCACCCGGCTGTATGAGGTGTCAGTCGGCCCCTACTGGGAGGTGTCTCCCAGTTAGACTACTCGGGGTTCAGAGACCCAATTGAGGAGGCAGTCTGTCCATTCTCATATCTCAAAACTCTGTGCTGGGAGAACCACTACTCTCTTCAAAGCTGTCAGACAGGGACATTTAAGTCTGCAGAAGTTTCTGCTCCCTTTTGTTCAGCTATGCCCTGCCCCTAGAGGTGGAATCTACAGAGGCAGGCAGGCCTCCTTGAGCAGTGGTGGGCTCCACCCAGTTTGAGGTTCCCAGTCATTTTGGTTACCTACTGAAGCCTCAGCAATGGCAGAAGCCCCTCCCCTAGCCTTGCTGCCACCTTGCAGTTCAATCTCAGACTGCTGTGCTAGCAGTGAGTAAGGCTCCTTGGGCATGGGACCCTGTGAGTCAGGTACTGGATATAATCTCCTGGTGTGCCATTTGCTAAGACCATTGGAAAAGCACAATGTTAGGGTGGGAGTGTCCCGATTTTCCAGGTACAGTCTGTCACAGCTTCCCTTGGCTAGGAAAGGGATTACCCCAACCCCTTGCACTTTCCAGCTGTGGTGATGTCCCACCCTGCTTCGGCTCACACTCCATAGGCTGCACCCACTGTCCAACAAGCCCCAGTGAGATGAACCCAGTACCTCAGTTGAAAATGCAGAAATCACCCATCATCTGTGTCACTCACACTGGGAGATGTAGACTGGAGCTGTCCCTATTCAGACATCTTGGGACTTCTATCAACTAGTTATAAATATTCTTAACTTGTAGCAATATAGCTGTTTGCATCAGTGAAACAAAAATCCATTTTCTATTTTTGTTTTCTTTTGAGACATAGTCTCACTCTGTCTGTGGCCAGCATGCAGTGGCACAATCTCAGCTCACTGCAACCTCTGCCTCCCAGGTTCAAGTGATTCTCCTGCCTCAGCTTCCAGAGTAGCTGGGACTACAGGCATGCACCACCATGGCCAGCTAATTTTTGTATTTTTAGTAGAGATGGAGTTTCACCATGTTGGCTAGGATGATCTTGAACTCTTGACCTCGTGATCTGCCCACCTCAGCATTCCAAAGTGCTGCAATTACAGGCTTGAGGCACCATGCCCAGCTGAAAAATCCATTTTCTTATGCAATGAAATACAACAGAAAAACGCTAGTTCTTTTACCAAGGCTCTAATTGGGAGGGTTTGTTTTCCTTTAAGAAATCAAGTTTAAGTTGCAAAGCCAGTAACAGCCTCTTGGGAAAGCTGGTCTCATACCTTGTCTACACAGTCCTCATACAAAATTCCTGGACTGTTGTGAGTAAAAAAATGTCACTTTCCAACAGACTTAGAAACACTATGCTCTTGGAACCTCAAAAATACAGGAGTTTAACCAACTCACAGGTATTTAAGGGTACAAATCCATGGCTTGGCCCAACTTTATAAAGTCTTATCTAAGATTTCTTTTGGAACAGATTTCCATCAAAGCCTATCAAAAAGGCCTGTGGAGAGATAGTTACTCTTGCTGCACTATGTTCAAATAGTTAGGCCAAGTATAATAATAAAGTCTATTTTGCAAACAATTCAGTCTATTGTGAGTAGCTTTTTTTTAAATTTTATTTTATTTTATTTTATTATTATTATACTTTAAGTTTTAGGGTACCTGTGCACAATGTGCAGGTTAGTTACATATGTATACATGTGCCATGCTGGTGTGCTGCACCCATTAACTCATCATTTAGCATTAGGTATATCTCCTAAAGCTATTCCTCCCCCTTCCCACCACCCCATAACAGCCCCCGGAGTGTGATGTTTCCCTTCCTGTGTCCATGTGTTCTTATTGTTCAATTCCCACCTATGAGTGAGAATATGCAGTTTGGTTTTTTGTTCTTGTGATAGTTTACTGAGAATGATGACTTCCAATTTCATCCATGTCCTTAAAGAAGGAATTTTGTGAGTAGTTTCTAACAAAAAAAAAACTAAAAGAAAGTAATTGTTTCAAAACTTGTCATACATTTCTCATGAACTTCTAGTCTCATTCATTGTTTCAAACGTTTTGATGACATTTTAAACCTACCCGGCTTATTCCTGTAAGCCAACCAGCAATCTCTGCCTGCAGCTCATCAAAAAAAGATAGGGATGGGTAATGTAAAAATCTAAATCAATATTCTAGTTCTAAGCAATTATTCTGCAAATCTGGCTGGGTGATAGAAATAAATAAGGTGCCAATAACCCAGAGCTTTCTTTTATCAGAAAGTAAGATCAAGGGAACTAACCAAAGCCAAGCCTCATGCACCCAAATCTTAGCAAATATAACTATAGCTACCAGTTATCAGGGTGTGTCAGCAGCCTCAACCTTTTTAGGTGTTTCCTGCCCTCCTTGTTTCATTTCAATTCATGTCCTCTACTAAACCAGATTGTTTCTTTTTCCCTAAAAACTATCAAGCTCCAAGTGGTAATGCAAATGGAATGATGCATAAACACATGTTTCTTCTGAGATACTTAAACCAGCCCTGGAAGAAATCTTAGCTGCTAGAACAGTACCCCTCTCCAGTGAGGAATAGCCAAAAATATCAATGCCTATTCTCCCTAACAGCAGTTAGGGTCTCCCCTCCTGAGAGGAGACTGAGAGGGATTAGCTAGTTAGCCTAAGGTGGACAGCAAGGGAAGGGTCCCCAGAGAGCCCCTAACCCACGAGTCAGTGCCTCATAACCACTTACCTACCAAGCCAGGCAAAATGGCACACACCTGTAATCCCAGTGACTCAGGAGGCTGAGGCATGAGAATTGCTTGAACTTCGGAGGCTGAGATTGCTGTGAACTGAGATCACACCATTGCACTCCACCCTGGGTGACAGAGACTCAGTCTCATGATTAAAAAAAAAAAGGAACTAATCTTTCATCAATATTTTAATAGTTTTATGTCTGAGCACTTAAGCATCAAGGACAGGACCCTGGATGATGAAAAGTGCATATTTAAATTTATAAAGTAAAAAATGACCATCAGATACTAATAAGTGATGAATACAGCAACATAATACTTCACAAAATCATTCTGGGTATGTTTGACAAAGAAGAATGTTACACAGAACCTTCTTGTGCTACCCATGTGAAGTGTTCTTCTCTCTCACTTTAGTCTCAATTCCCAACCTTACAATTACCACATACTCACATACACAGAAAAAGAAAAATTAACTTATTTTATTAGAAGGCCATGATTCACATTTTATTCTATTACATCTTTTCCATATCGCTGTTATAATAGTGTTGAAGTGAACCCTCTTTCACCAGAAGAATACCTTTGTGAATGTGAATAGACTGACACTGGAGAAGACCAGCTCAGCACACTCACTTGAATGATCCCTTTGTTTTTCAGGCAGTAAAAATGCCTTTGAGGGGGGAAAATAAAGTGACTGCGGATTAAGCAGACAGCTATACATGGAAAAATATTTGTCAATTGTTTGAAGATTACACTGCATGGTCTACAACTTTTAAAATATAAAATGCATAGCATAACTATTGCACAAGAAAATAGAATAAAAATGATGCAGTTGACCACAAAGGACAGCAAAGCTGTATTATAGCAATATAGAAAAATATATATCTACTGTCAGAAGAAGGTAACTTGAAGTATTTGAGAGATGTTCTCTAAGAAACTAAAAATATGTTTAGTTTTAGATTCTGTAAAAAATGTTTCTTAAGCATTTTTAATTTTCAAAAAAATTTGAGCTCATATTTTGTCAGCTTAGTATTTATGAATAATTTAAATAAAATAGAGTAAAATACACATTAAAAATAGCTTTTCTGGTAATACAGCAGTTGAATTTTTAGATTAAAAAAGTAAAATTCTACAAAATTATATGCTGACCAATTTAATCAGAAGCTTCTTTCTTACAACTGTGAGAAATGACACAAAGATTCAACTTTTATGTTGGGTGGGAGAGAAAATGATTACCAGGGGCTAGAAAATTGTTGTTTCACTAATCAATGTTGATTTTTATTGCTATATTGTCTCAAATTATGTTAATAATAATGTAATGGCCTTGATCCAAAAAATGTTTAAAAACTTTATTGTTTCAATCAGCCAAAATATTAACCAAAAGAAGGCATAGAAATAAAGGTATCTAAGTCATAATTTATAGTATAAAATTAAAATGTTTCTAGAAATAAAAAAAGAGATACATAAGTAAGAAAAGGAAAAAAAGTGGATTACTCACAATAACTAAGGTATGAAATCAACCTAAGTGTACATCAACAGGTACATGAATTTTAAAAAGTGGTATATTTACACAATGGAATGCTCTTTATTCCTTAAAAAGAAAAATGTCTTAGAGGTGGGCTCAGCACTCTGTGTCTTAGCAAGCCTTGCAGGGACTCTGATGTGTGCTGAAGTTTGAGCGTCACTGGAATGGATAGTGTCCATATGATTGCAGGGTCACCCCACCTATCCTGAATGTCAAGAACATCCTGAATGAGACCAGTCAGTATATTGTAGCTTTTTCTCCAGCCACAACCAGAAAGTCTTTGCTTCCCCTTTGCCTTCCACCATGATTGTAAGTTTCCTGAAGCCTCTGCAGCTGTGTGAAACTAGAAAAAGATGCACACTCAAAAACCTCATTTGAAATTTCCAGACAGAAAGCCAAGCGTTTGGAGAGTCTCTATGGACAGTTTTAAACACAAATGCAGAAAAGAAAGCAACCCTATTCAGTGTGAAGATGATGAGAATGAAGACCTTTATGATGATCTACTTCCACTTAATAAATAGTGATTCCTGAATCCTTGACACAGCACTCAGCTACCAATGCCAATGAATAAGAATTTGCATCACAGTTGAAATCTGTTCACCACTCCTTTTGTAGATGTTCTGAATTGTGTACCAGAAGTCAATTGTTATTGGGGGAACCCACCCCCAATATTTCAACATAGGTTCTTTCTATTTTCTGTAAGTGTCAGCTGGTCTGAGAAATAAAGAGAAAGAGTACAAAGAGAGGAATTTTGCAGCTGGGCCTCCAGGGGTGACATCACATGTCGGTAGGACTGTGATGCCCACCTGAGCCACAAATCCAGCAAGTTTTTATTAAGGACTTCAAAAGGGGAGGGGGTGTACGAACAGGGAGTACATCACAAAGATCACATGCTTCAAAGGGCAAAAAGAGAACAAAGATCACATGCTTCTGAGGAAATAGGGCAAGGACTAAAAGCAAAGATCACAAGGCAAAAGGCAAAATTAGCATTACTGATGAGGGTCTATGTTCAGCTGTGCACGTATTGGTTTGATAAACATCCTAAACAACAGAAAATTGGGTTCGAGAGCAGAGAACCAGTCTGACCACAAATTCACCAGGGTGGGGTTTTTTTCCCCACCCTAATAAGCCTGAGGGTACTGCAGGAGACCAGGGCATATTTCAGTCCTTATCTCAATCACATAAGACAGACACTCCCAGAGCGGCTGTTTATAGACCTCCCCTGAGGAATGCATTTCTTTCCCAGGGTCTTAATTATTAATAATCCTTGCTAGGAAAAGAATTCAGTGATATCTTCCCTACTTGCATGTCCATTTGTAGGCTCTCCTCAAGAAGAAAAATATGGCTCTATTCTGCCCTACCCCACAGTCAGGCAGACCTTATGGTTGTCTTCATTCGTTCCCTAAAATCACTGTTATTCTGTTGTTTTTCAAGGTGCACTGATTTCATATTGTTCAAACACACGTTTTACAATCAATTTGTACAATACTGGTCCTGAGGTGACATACATCCTTAGCTTAGGAAGATAACAGGATTAAGAGATTAAAGTAAGACAGGTGAAAGAAATTATGAGTATTATTTGGGATCTGATAAATGTCCATGAAATCTTCACAATTGATGTTCAGAGATTGAAGTAAAGACAGGCATAAGAAATTATAAGAGTGTTTTTAGGGAAGCGATAAATGTCCATATTACAATGAAATCTTCACAATTTATGTTCCTCTGCCACAGCTCCAGCCGGTCCCTCCATTTGGGGTCCTTGACTTCCCACAACAAATTGTCTCATTATTAAGATGGCTTCTAAAGTGATTCATTTTTGTGACACATAATAAGTGTTAGCTGAGGTCTAGCTGTATGGTGAAAAGGGCTGATGAAAAATGTCTACAGAGAGGATAGTCAACTTATATTAACTGTGAGTTATACTAGGAGCTATACTTAATTCATTTAGACTTTATTTGGTCAGCTTTTTTTATATTTCAAAAAAAGAACATTTTTAAAAAATTAAGTCTTTTTAAATATATATTCTGCTCAAATCACCATTTCCTTTTTTTCTGATGAAAAGGAATTTTTCATGATCTTTCAGGGATTATATTTTCTTTCACCTTCTATCTGCATTCTCTTTCTTCAGCTAATTGATTAAAAAAGAGATGCAAAGAAGACACATTTGCTTCTCATCCACACATCACTTCCACTTGCTATTAGTCATTGTGAGTAGAGCTGAGAAAAGCAGTTTTCTAGCATGACAGCAACTTCTCAGAAATAAACAACACTCGGAAACAAAACTATAAATCTTTTCAAAAGCTAATGTATTTTAAGCAAAATAAGCAGATGCATCAATAATAAAATGCTTGTGGTAGAATCGATTTGTTGATTTCAATTGAGTTCAGATAAGATTTGACCAAAATCTAGCAAACATAGAGCAGAAAAAGGAATATTATCTGAAATAAGGATATTGTAAATAAAGTTAATTTGTCAATAGAAACAATAATATTATGACCTCATGATAATAGTCTCATCTACGGTTATAAAACATCAAATGCTACTTTTTATTATAAACTGTATTTCACATAAGTATTCTATTTATATCATCCTCTTTCACTATTTGAATGCCTTCCCCACTTTATATCAGTGGAAAGCAGGCCAGCTGCTTCCAGGAAAGCAGGCAATGCTCTTCTTACTTTAACAATGATGATGAAGAGCACTTGTTTTGGTGATACTCCTGTGCCAAAAACTGTTATTTTGCCTGAAGTACTGGTTTTCTATTTTTCTCTATATTAGTAAAATAAAATTCTTAACCAAGAGGAATTTATCTCATCCAAGCTTTATGGAATTTTGTTTACATTTAGGTGTCTCTGACTTTCCTGGAATATTGAAATTTTTATGAATCTAAATTGAGTACTATAAATAAACAATCTTTTACTAAAAGACTTTTTGAAGTTGGAGTGATATTTATAAAAACTTTTCATAACATTGAAGAAATGTTTTAACCATGTTCCCAGTAATTACTCTGAACATAGAATTTTCCATTTTTAGTATTCGCTCTGAGTCACACAGGGGAAATTGATATCTTTACGAATGGGCAAAAAAAGGTGCTGAGTGGAGGTGCAACACATTGCACATCAATGCTTTTCACATGCACCTATTAGGGTCTTAATTTAATTGAACTGTCATTTGCATAGCTAGACACTTATTGAATCTAGTCATACTATTTTTTAGCAACTAATGCCATGTTTGTTACCCTTTAGTTTTATACACTTATTTGCTTGGCTGAAAAAAATAAGTCTTCTCTTAATTTACTCTAAATTGAGAGACTAGATTTACAGTCTGGGGCTATAATAGTAGTTGAATGTTTTTAATAGTATTATTGGCAAATGTTCAATTCACATTCAGAATGGATATAAACTTTATGAAAAGATAGGGAGCTGACAAAGAGTAAAAAATTTCAAATAGGTTAAGTAAGTTTTGAGACCTATTGCACAGCAGGGTAACTATAGTAAACTATAAAGTATTGCATATTTCAAAATAACTAAGAGTAAATTTCAAATGTACCACCACAAAAATGATAGGTGAGTTCATAGATATGTTACTAAACAAAACTTAATTATTCCATATTTTATACATATACTAAAACATCACACTGTATGCCATAAATATGTGCAACTGTGATTTACCAATCAAAAATACTACTAATACTTTTTTTATAAGAGAGAGTGAAGTAAGATTTAAGATATTGCACCAGAGAAAAATGTGGTTGTTCATCTTAAAATTTTAGGAAACATACACATATATACATTTTATTTCAAATGGCTTGCTCATTTATAGATGTAGGTAAGTAAACTTTAAATATCATGAACAGTCAGAACCCAGCACTCAGAAATAGACTTGATTTTTAATGTTCAAAATAATATAATACTTTGAAAGACAGACTCTAAAGCAACTGTTTAGAGTAAAATTCTCTCTAAATTTTTAAATAAATGATTTCCTTCACTTGTTAGAAAAAAATTTTAATATATATTTTTAAACTATACTGAAATTTATCAAATTAACATAAAAGTATTAAACAAGTAAACAAAAAACAATATGCCTTCTTCTCTCTAATGAAAAAACTGACAGACACTCCGCATTTAACCAAATACTTTGGTAAATGGATTCTAACAATGATATCTCTCATGACTTAAAACAGCCACTAGTTTTAACTTAGAATTATATTAAATTTTTATATTAAAATCTAGGATTAGCTTATTATTACATAGAAAATTTGTGGTCTGCATGTACATCATCATCCATTGAGTGGTCTATAGTTTCTGAGTTTCAGAAATGCTAATATAAGAATACTTCTTCCAATTGAATAATTTAAGTTTTCTCAGTGACTAAAAAAGATTGGAATTACTGATCACTCACTTACAATGGGGTTTTAAATGTTATTTAATGAAGATATATAAAGTTTCTTTTAAAAATCATTCTAACAACATTTCTTTTGCTTTTTCACTTTTGTTAGAAAATAAGTACGAAAATTTATGTTACTACAAGCCTATAAATTTTATTTAAATCTAGACATAATGCTAATCTTAAAAGATCTGTATGTTTAAGATTATGGATACTCTATTTACACTTAGAAGATAAATAACTGCTTTCCAGTAAATCAAATGAGGCAATTTTGACTGTCAATTATAAGCTATTAAAATATTAATACTATCATCTGGTAGAAATTTTAGGTGTCTGTATGTTCAGGTTTTTTAGCATATAATAAATCAGAAACTATAAATTTTTAGAAACTATAAATAATACACTAAAATAAAGTATCACTTTCGTTTTGTCAGTTTTGAAATACTGTCATTTCTAGATGAAATAACAATTACAGAGGCTGTGGCTGTTGAAATTAGAAATGTCATGGTTCATTCTTCTTTACTTGCTGCCTTTTCATTTCACACAAACACAGCAGCACAAGGAAGGCAAGAAATGCCACACCTTGATTGAAAACATGCCAGTGCCCATCTAGGGAGAATAAATGTCTGAGCATATTCACTTGAAATTCATGGCATCTTTTGTTCAACTACAGACTTTCATATGGAAATTAATAAAGAAAAGAATTTCACACTGCAATAGCGTAAGAAAAGTACTCTAAAAATACCTTCTGACCCATTATTTCTATTTTTCACAAGAATGATTGTGATGGAATGAGCATTTGCAGCACTGTGGTCTTAAATAACCCCCACTTTCTGTTGAATTATTTTTGGAATACAACCATAAGACTTTTGTGCTTTTTTTTTTAGAAAAAATGTTTTATATTTCTAATTCAGTAATTTAGCATAATTTTTAGTCTCACCCATTCACAAATAGTTCATTCTGAAAAAAAAAATGATTAATCCAATTACATTTTCCCCCAAAAGAGTACAGTAACAAATTAAGTCTATAGTGTAGTGTACAGTTAATACATAAATAATAAAGGTGTAATTTGTTTTACTTGCACACTTGAAAATAAAACACTTTTTGGGCTATAGACTAAGAAATTTCAGGTTAGCTTATAAAATGTGAGGAGACCTGGTATAGAAACATTCACCACCATGCCTTAAGGGGTGAAAAATTTGTCTTTCACCCCTAATTTCAACTATTAACCCAGCACTGGAAAAATAGAACATGTCATTATACCAAAAAACATTTTATTATTTTTATTTTATATTTAAGGTACATGTGCAGATTTGTAAAACAGGTAGACTACATGATGTTGAGGTTTGGATACTTAATAATTCCATTGCCCAAGTAGTGTACATCATACCTAAGCAGATTTTCTATGCTTGTCTCCCATCCTTCCTCCTTCTTTTTAGAATTCTCAGTGTTTATTGTTTTCATCTTTGTTTCCATGTGCGCCCAATTTTTAGCATCCATGTATGAGTGAGAACATGTGGCATTTGTTTTTCTGATGCAATAATTTGCTTAGAATGGCCTGAAGCAGAGCTGCATTCATGTTGCTGCAAAAGACGTTACTTCATTCTCTTCTGTTGCTGCATAGTATTGGAGGTTGTATAAGTACATCATTTTTCTTATCCAATAAAAGATTCATGGGTAACTGGTTAAATTCTGTTTTTGCTATTGTGAATAGTGCTGCAATGAACATGTGAGTGCTGGTGTCTCTTTGGCAAAATTATTTATTCTTTTTGGGGGCAGATATCCAGTAATCGGCTTGATTGGTCAAATGGCAATTCTATTTCTAGTTCTTTGAGAAGTCCCCAAACTGCTTTGCACAGGTTCTGAATTAATTTGCATTCCCACCAACAGTGTAGAAAGATTTCCTTATCTCTACAACTTCAACATCTTATTTATCTTACTTTTAATAAGTCATTCTTACTGGTATGAAATAGTATCACACTGTCACTTTGATTTACATCTTTCTGATAATTAGGAACGTTGAGCAATTTTTACATGTTTATTGGCAGCTCTTATGTCTTCCTTTGAGAAGAAGCTGGCTATTCATATCATGTTTGCTTTTTTATTAAATGTATTATAGATTCTGTACATTAATCCTTCATTGTCTGCAGTTTGCAAATATTTTATTTCATACTGTAGGTCATCTGTTTACTTTGCTGATAGTTTCTTTTACTGTGCAGAAGCTCTTTGGCTTAGATGCCATTTTTTATTTTTATTTTTGTTGCACTCATGTTAGATGTTAGTCATAAATTCTTTACAGAGGCCAGTATTATCTAAGTGTTATTCTAAGATTTTTGTAGCTTGGAGACTCACAGATCAAGTCTTTAATCTATATTGAGTTGTTTTTTTTTTATAGAAAAAGGTAGTACAGTTTTCTTCCACATATGACTAACCAGTTTTCCCAGTATTACTTACTAAATAGGGAGTTAATTCCCCTTTTGTTTATTTCTGTTGGCTTTGTAAAAATAACCTGATTGCAAAGTATAGCTTAATTCAGTACTCTCTCTTCCATTTCATTGGTCTAGATGTTTATTTTTGTACCAGAACCATGTTATACTGGTTATTCTGATGCAATCTTGGCTCACTGCAACCTCCACCTCCCAGGCTCAAATGGTTCTCTTTCCTCAGCCTCCCAAGTAGCTGGGATTACAGGCATGCACCACCACACCTGGCTAATTTTTTACATTTAGTAGAGATGCAGGTTTCACCATGTTGGCCAGGCTGGTCTCAAACTTCTGACCTCAGGTGATCCATCCATCTCAGCCTCCCAAAGGGCTGAGATGACAGGCATGAGCCACCATGCTTGGCCCAGATTTATTCTTTTAGTCTGAAGTTTTCTTGGCTATTTGAGCTCTTTAATTCTTTTGAATGTATTTTAGAATAGTTTTCTTTTTCTAATTCAATAAAAATCGTCATGGATAGTCTGATAAAAATAGCACTTAATCTGTAGGTTGCTTTAGGCAGAATGACCATTTTAATTATATTATTTGAATCCATGAGCAATATTTTTCCATTTATTTGCATTGTCTCTCGTTTCTTTCAGCAATGTTTTGTTGTTCTTTGTAGAGATATTTTACCCCCTTGATTTAATGTATTTCTAGGTATTTTTTTGTGTGTTTGTTGCTATTGTAAATAGAGCTGTGTTTTTTATTTTGTTCTCAGTTTGAATATTATTGGTGTACAGAAATGCTATGCATTTGTGCTGATTTTGTATTCTAAGATTTTTTTTGAAGTCTTTTTCCAGGCTTAGAACTCTTTTGGTGAAACCTTTAAAGTATTCTAGGTGGACAATTCTTTCATCAGTAAAGATAATTTGACTTTCTTTGTTTTCTGTTTGGATTCCTTTTATTCTCTGGCTAGGATTTCATAACTTCAATAGGACTGTTTAGAATGGATATTCTTATTTTTATTCTCATGGAGAATGCTTCCAGTTTTTGCTCTTTTAGTATGATGTTGGCTAAGGATTTGTCATAGATGACTCTTATTAAGATATTTTCATCAATGTCCAGTGTGTTGACAACATTTTTGAGTTAATATTGGGTTTTCTTGAATGCTTTTTCTGCCCCTACTGTTATTTTTTTTTCTTTTAATTATCTTTACATGGTGAATCACACTTATTGACTTCCATATCATGAAACACCTTCATATATATGGAAAAGCTCACATTAATGTAGCAAAATAACTTTCTGATTTGCTTTTGAATTCAGTTTGCTAGTATTTCATGGAGGATTATTATTCCAATATTCACCCAGAATATTGACCTGTACTTTCCTTTTTTTGTGGTGCCTTCACTAGATTTTAGTTTCATATATTTCACTGATTTAATATAACAAGTTAGGGTGAAATCCCACCTTGATTTTTTCGAATGCATTCAGTAGGCTTAGGTAAAACTCTTTGCAATGTGGTAAAACTTCGCTGTGATTTCATATGATCCAGGGCTTTTTATGGTTAGTAGGTTTATTATTACTTATACAATGTCATTATACATTTTATACATTTTTGCTCTGCTAAAGACTTCTGTTATTAGGCCAGGCACTGTGGCTCATGCCTGCAATCCCAGGACTTTGGGTGGCCAAGGTGGGCATATCATGAGGTCAGGAGATAGAGACCGTCCTGGCTAATATGGTGAAACCCCATCTGTACTAAAAATACAAAAAATTAGCTGGGAGTGGCGGCGGGCGCCTGTAGTCCCAGCTAATTGGGAGGCTGAGGTGGGAGAATGGCATGAACCTGGAAGCTAGACCTTGGCTAATTTCTTTATTTCTTTTTAGTAAACATGTTTAGTAAACATTTCTTTTTAGTTCCACTATGTTGGCAAGGCTGGTCTTGAACTCCTGACCTCAGGTGATCTGCCCACCTTGGCATCACAAAGTATTGGCCACAGTAAGCCAATGTGTCTGGAAAAAAAAAAAAT
This sequence comes from Homo sapiens, assembly GCF_000001405.40. Lineage (NCBI taxonomy): Eukaryota > Metazoa > Chordata > Mammalia > Primates > Hominidae > Homo > Homo sapiens. The sequence goes on from NC_000019.10 coordinate 21,969,291, forward strand.
CTGTGTTTTGAAGAAAAAAGTATACTTTAAATTTAATTATAACTCTTCAAAGATCTACTTCTTTTAAAGTTATATACAAATAATTCTTCTTTTTGCCAACTTTAGTTTTGGATTTTTTCCTATACTCAGCAGTCTGATTTAGTGTAATATCTGAAGTTTGAGTGACAGGTATTTCTACTGTGAATTAGCTGATATTTACATAAACTTAATTTTGGATTAAATATTTTTTATATTTACTGTATCTGCAAAAACATATTTTAGTATAAACGCATTTGTGTTTTATAATCTGTAGTTTTTGAAAAAATGTTTTTCCAAATTTATTAAATTTGCAGGGTTATTCTTCAATATAAATTCCCTGATGTTGAGCAAAGTTGGAACAACTACCTCAGGTTTTCCTGTAGTACAAAATGTGTACAATAAAATCTGTGATACAAGTACATGTACTACAACCCTCTTAATATTTATAATGTGTTTCCTCAAAATAAATATTCTTCTGTACTTTAACAGCTTTTATTTTCTGAAAGATCTAGTGACAGTGATTGCACTTTTAATACTTTTATTTAGTATGAACTCTCTGATGTTTAATAAGCTGTGAGAAGATATTACTGGCATTAACAAAAATTTTTTTTTCCAGACAGTCTCTCTCTGTTGCCCAGGCTAGTGTAAATGCTTTCCTTTGCAATAAGGCATGAGCACTGGTTAAATGTTTGTCACATTGTTTATTACAGTAGTTTTCTCCAGTATGAGTTATCTTACCTACAATCAAGTGTGACAGCCACTTAAAGGCTTTGTCATATTCTTCACTTTTCTAGGATTTCTCATCTGTACGATTTCTTTTATATTCAGAAAAGTCTGAGGTGTTGCCAAAAGCATTGTCACATCTTTCAGGTTTGTAGAGTCTCTCTTGTGTATGAATTAGCTTATGTCTCTTAAGAATTGAGGATCTATTAGAGGCTTTCCCACATTCTTCACACATGCATGGTTTCTCTCCAGTATGAGTTGTCTTATATGTAGTAAGCCTTAAGGACTGGTTAAGGGCATTGCAACATTCCACACAATTGTAGGAATTCCCTCCAGTATGAATTACATGAATGTTTAGTAAGGATTGAGGAATAGCTAAAAGGCTTGCCACATTCTTCAGATTTGTAGGGTTTCCCTCCTGTACAAATTCCCTTATGTTCAGTAAGCGTTGAGAATTAATTAATAGTTTTGCCACATTTTTCATATTTGTAGGGTTTTTCCTCCAGTATGAATTCTTTTATGAGTAGTAAGGTGTGAGGACCAGTTGAAGTCTTTATCACATTCTTCACATTTGTAGGGCTTCTCACCAGTATGAATTCTCTTATGTTCCATAAGGTTTGAGGACTGGTTGAAGCCTTTGCCACATTCTTCTCATTTGTAGAGTTTCTCTCCAGCATGAATTTTCTTATGTGTAGGAGGGTTGGGAACTGTTTAAAAGCTTTGCCAAATTCTTCACATTTTTAGAATTTCTCTCCAGCATGAATTTTCTTATGTTTACTAAAGACTGAGAACCAGCTGAAGGCTTTGCCACTTTCTTCACATTTGTAGGGTTTCTCTCCAGTATGAATTTTCTATGATAACTGAGGGTTGAGGACCACTTATAGGCTTTGCCACATTCTTTGCATTTGTATGGTTTCTCTCCAGTATGAATTACCTTATGTTTAGTAAGGATTGAGAACATACTAAAGCCTTTACCACATTCTTCACATTTGTAGGGTGTCTCTCCAGTATGAATTCTCTTATGTTCCATAAGGTTTGAGGACCAGTTGAAAGCCTCACCACATTCTTCACATTTGTAGGGTTTCTCTCCAGTATGAATTTTCTTATGATAACTAAGGGTTGAGGGCCACTTATAGGCTTTGCCACATTCTTCACATTTCTAGAGTTTCTCTCCAGTATGAATTTTCTTATGTTTACTGAAGACTGATAACCAGCTGAAGGCTTTGCCACATTCTTCACATTTGTAGGGTTTCTCTCCAGTATGAATTACCTTATGTTTAGTGAGGATTGAGAACGTACTAAAGGCTTTGCCACATTCTTCACATTTGTAGGGTTTCTCTCCAGTATGAATTTTCTTGTGATATCTAAGGGTTGAGGGCCACTTATAGGCTTTGCCACATTCTTCACATTTGTAGAGTTTCTCTCCAGTATGAATTACCTTATGTTTTGCAAGGATTGAGAACATAACAAAGCCTTTGCCACATTCTTCACATTTGTAGGGTTTCTCTACAGTATGAATTTTCTTATGATAACTAAGGGTTGAGGACCACTTATAGGCTTTGCCACATTCTTCACATTTGTAGGGTTTCTCTCCAGTATGAATTACCTTATGTTTAGTAAGGATTGAGAACGTACTAAAGCTTTTGCCACATTCTTCACATTTGTAGGGTTTCTCTCCAGTATGAATTCTCTTATGTTCCATAAGGTTTGAGGACCAGTTGAAAGCTTTGCCACATTCTTCACATTTGTAGGGTTCCTCTCCAGCATGAGTTGCCTTATGTTCAGTAAGTCTTGAGGGCCAGCTGAAGGCTTTGCCACATTCTTCACATTTGTAGGGTTTTTCTCCAGCATGAGTTGCCTTATGTTCAGTAAGGCTTGAGGGCCAGCTGAAGGCTTTGTCACATTCTTCACATTTGTAGGGTGTCTCTCCAGTGTGAATTTTCTTATGTTCCATAAGGTTTGATGACCAGTTGAAAGCTTTGCCACATTCTTCACATTTGTAGGGTTTCTCTCCAGTATGAATTACCTTATGTTTAGTAAGGATTGAGAATGTACTAAAGCCTTTGCCACATTCTTCATATTTGTAAGGTTTCTCTTCAGTATGAATTTTCTTATGATAACTAAGGGTTGAGGATGACTTATAGGCTTTGCCACATGCTTCACATTTGTAGAATTTCTCTCCAGCATGAGTTTTCTTATGTTTACTAAAGACTGACAACCAGCTGAAGGCTTTGCCACATTCTTCACATTTGTAGGGTTTCTCTCCAGTATGAATTACCTCATGTTTAGTAAGGATGGAGAACATACTAAAACCTTTGCCACATTCTTCACATTTGTAGGGTTTCTCTCCAGTATGAATTTTCTTATGATAACTAAGGGTTGAGGGCCATTTATAGGCTTTGCCACATTCTTCACATTTGTAGGGTTTCTCTCCAGTATGAATTACCTTATGTTTAGTAAGGATTGAGAACTTACTAAAGGCTTTGCCACATTCTTTACATTTGTAGGGCTTTTCTCCAGCATGAATTGCCTTATGTGTAGTAAGGGTTGAGACCTTACTAAAGGTTTTGCCACATTCTTCACATTTGTAGGGTTTCTCATCAGTATGAATTCTCTTATGTTTAATAAGGATTGCAGATCGGTTAAAAGCTTTGCCACATTCTTCACATTTGTAGGGTTTCTCTACAGTATGAATTTTCTTATGATAACTAAGGGTTGAGGACCACTTATAGGCTTTGCCACATTCTTCACATTTGTAGGGTTTCTCTCCAGTATGAATTACCTTATGTTTAGTAAGGACTGAGAATGTACTAAAGCTTTTGCCACATTCTTCACATTTGTAGGGTTTCTCTCCAGTATGAATTCTCTTATGTTCCATAAGGTTTGAGGACCAGTTGAAAGCTTTGCCACATTCTTCACATTTGTAGGGTTTCTCTCCAGTATGAATTACCTTATGTTTAGTAAGGATTGAGAACTTACTAAAGGCTTTGCCACATTCTTTACATTTGTAGGGCTTCTCTCCAGCATGAATTGCCTTATGTGTAGTAAGGGTTGAGACCTTAATAAAGGTTTTGCCACATTCTTTACATTTGTAGGGCTTCTCTCCAGCATGAATTGCCTTATGTGTAGTAAGGGTTGAGACCTTACTAAAGGTTTTGCCACATTCTTCACATTTGTAGGGTTTCTCACCAGTATGAATTCTCTTATGTTTAATAAGAATTGCAGATTGGTTAAAAGCTTTGCCACATTCTTCACATTTGTAGGGTTTCTCTACAGTATGAATTTTCTTATGATAACTAAGGGTTGAGGACCACTTATAGGCTTTGCCACATTCTTCACATTTGTAGGGTTTCTCTCCAGTATGAATTACCTTATGTTTAGTAAGGATTGAGAATGTACTGAAGCTTTTGCCACATTCTTCACATTTGTAGGGTTTCTCTCCAGTATGAATTCTCTTATGTTCCATAAGGTTTGAGGACCAGTTGAAAGCTTTGCCACATTCTTCACATTTGTAGGGTTTCTCTCCAGCATGAGTTGCCTTATCACATTCTTCACATTTGTAGGGTTTCTCTCCATTATGAATTACCTTATGTTTAGTAAGGATTGAGAACATACTAAAGCCTTTGCCACATTCTTCACATTTGTAGGGTGTCTCTCCAGTGTGAATTTTCTTATGTTCCATAAGGTTTGAGGACCAGTTGAAAGCTTTGCCACATTCTTCACATTTGTAGGGTTTCTCTCCAGTATGAATGACCTCATGTTTAGTAAGGATTGAGAACATACTAAAACCTTTGCCACATTCTTCACATTTGTAGGGTTTCTCTCCAGTATGAATTTTCTTATGATAACTAAGGGTTGAGGGCCACTTATAGGCTTTGCCGCATTCTTCACATTTGTAGGGTTTCTCTCCAGTATGAATTACCTTATGTTTAGTAAGGATTGAGAACTTACTAAAGGCTTTGCCACATTCTTTACATTTGTAGGGCTTCTCTCCAGCATGAATTGCCTTATGTGTAATAAGGGTTGAGACCTTACTGAAGGCTTTGCCACATTCTTTACATTTGTAGGGCTTCTCTCCAGCATGAATTGCCTTATGTGTAGTAAGAGTCGAGACCTTACTAAAGGCTTTGCCACATTCTTCACATTTGTTGGGTTTCTCTCCAGTATGAATTATCTTATGTTTAGTAAGGATTGCAGATTGGTTAAAAGCCTTGCCACATTCTTCACATTTGTAGGATTTCTCTCCAGTATGAATTACCTTATGTTTAGTAAGGATTGAGAACTTACTAAAGGCTTTGCCACATTCTTTACATCTGTAGGGTTTCTCTCCAGTATGAGCACTCTTATAATAAGTAAGGGTTGAGGACCAGTTAAAAGCTTTGCCACCTTCTTCACATTTGTAGGAATTCTCTCTAGTATAAATTCTTTTATGTTGAGATAGGTGTGAAAGCATGCAAAATGATCTGACGTATTCTTTACATTGCAAATGTTTCTTTCCAGTATGCCTTATCTTATGTCTGTTTGAATTTGAACATTTATGAAAGACATTTGCATATTTGCCACGTTGAAATACTTTGCTCTGTGTAGTTGTCAAACTCTGGTTAAGTTTATTATAACCTTCTTTGTGCACCTTACACTCATCCACATTGGTATAACCAATTTTTAAGTGTAAATTCTCATGTCCACATTTTTCATACCTTCTCAATATCACTTTTTGGAAAGAATCTTCTATGCCCTGCTCTGGCCAAAGATCTTGAGCAAAATGAGAACATATAACTGAAAAGAAATAAAAATCACAAATTAGCCTACTTATTAGACTCAGATAAATACAGTTTCTAAATCTAAACTATAAAATTATTCAAACTACATAAGCAAGATGACACTGCAATATGACACAGGCCCTAATTCTTCATAGACATATAAATCTAATAAAAACATATAGACCGAAATACATATGTGGATAATTTATACATGAGTTAAGTGTGTGCAGTGCCTGAATTAAGCTGAATGCAGAGTCACACAGAAAAAAAGAAAAGTTTGTTAAATTTACCCAGTACGACTCTTTCTGTTCCTCAATATTACCTAGTACCTTCAGAACTAAATTGTCAACTTCTGTTTGTGTTTTTTTGTTTTGTTTTGTTTTGTTCTGTTTTTAAGGAAAGTAAAATATTGGCACAAAAAATTTAATTTATGTCTTCTACAGCCCTTTCCACACACTGGTTTCTGTCTCCCATGACATAAAATGCTGAAAGATATGGTGGTATACTTAGAAATGACAGTTTGAGTCTGCTGAGACCAAAGGTAAATGCACTGCAGCAGAGCACTGCAGTCCTGCAGAGAGAGACCAGATGTACCAAGTGATTACTTTTCAGAAGAAAGATAAATAATCTCTCTCAACTAAAAGTAAATGCAAAACTTCAGACAAGAAATCTGAAGATGTTTGAGAGGCCCACATAATCTTAACCCAGACCATTGTTTTCTGACTATGCCAGGACAAAGCTACATTATAAATTTTGTGACAGGTAGCCTTTTTAAATGTCCAAATCTCAAAGATTAAAATCTATACAATATAGGGCAATATAATTCCATCAAAAATATTATACAATTTTCAGAAAGAACCCATTAGCAATGGATATACTAATTTTAAAAACTGAATAACACTCAATGAGTGAAATAGGAACACAAAAGTGTATAGAAAATCAGAAAAATGAGGATAAGAACAAAAATGACCAGTGAAATGTCAACAAAAGATTTGCAGTCCAGAAGAAAACTGTGTGATATAGTCAAAGTCCAAAAAAAAAAAAAAAAAAAAAAAAAAAAGCTATCAAGTGAGAATAATACCATCAGCAACTCTGTCCTGCCTAATGGGGGAAAAAAAACAACTTTCAAAATAACTAAATTCTTAAGAAGTATATTAGCACTGCATATGTCTTCCATAAGAAAGATGCCGAAAGCAGTTTTTACCACTGAAAATAACATAATGTAAGAAAACAACACCTAATCATATAAAAATACATTATTTTCTAGGAAAGACATGCACAGACAAAAAATTGAATTTCTAGCATTATTCTAATGGTGCAGAAAACATTTTTAATTATTCTCTAACATTTAAGAGATAAAAGCATAGGAATTATTATAAACATCTGTTAATGAATATACGACATAAATCAATAAACTTAGCAACATCGGTGACAAATTTAAGAGCAGACATAATAGGGAAGAATTTTTTATGCAACCAAAGTTAATTTTTCACCTGATTAAAATATATTGTTGTATTTTTAGGTTCTATGCAATCCCCAAGGTACCACACACACAAAATATCTGTATACATACAGAAAAGAAAACTAAGATAGTGAAAGCATATCCATACAAAAATCAGACAGAAACAAAGGAAGACAGAAAGAGAAAATGAGAGACAAGATGCAAGAATCAAATAGAATAGGTAATAAAAGTAACTCCTTCACTTTCAGAAAATTATTTAAATATATGGAAAGTTAACTTTCAAATCAACAGATATCTAATAGATTTATTAACATTTATTCTTTTGAGACAAAGTTTTACTTTTGTTGCCCAGGCTGGAGTGCAAAGACCCTATCTCAGCTCACTTGAACCTCTGCCTCCCAGGTTCAAGTGATTCTCCTGCCTCAGACTCCCAAGTAGCTGGGATTACAGGCATGCACCACCACACCCAGCTAATTTCTGCATTGGTAGTAGAGACAGAGTTTTACCATGTTGGCCAGGCTGGTCTTGAGCTCCTGACCTCAGGTGATCTACCTGCCTCAGCCTCACAAAGTGCTGGGATTACAGGCATGAGCCACCGTGCCCAGGCTATTAAAAAATTTTAAATATCAAGATCCAACTTGCCTTTCTACAAGAGTCAGTTGAAACCTAATGTTAAAAAGACTCAAAGTGGCAAGATGGAAGTAGACATTTCATGCAAATATTAATCAAATGAGAGCAGAAGAGGTCAAAATAATATTACACAAGCTAAATCTTAAGTCAAAGACTCATATTTTATAAAATGCACTTTACAGTGAAACTCCAAAGAGACAAAGAAAGATATTAAAAATAATGGATTAACTCAGAACCTGTGAAAACGTTGAATACGTGTGTGTGTGTATCACACATTAGGATTACAAATACAGAAAGCAAATACTGACAGAATAGAAGAAACACAAGGAGAGCAATACAATTATAGTAGGATATTATTACACCACACTTTCTGTAATAAAAATCAAAATAGAGGAGGCTGCCAAGATGGCCAAATAGGAACAGCTCTGGTCTACAGCTCCCAGCGCGATCGACACAGAAGGTGGGTGATTTCTGCGTTTCCAACTGAGGTACTGGTTTCATCTCATTCCAACTGGTTGAACAGTGGGTGCGGCTCCCTGAGGGCAAGCCAAAGCAGGGTGGGATGTCGTCTCCCCTGGGAAGTGCAACGGGTTGGGGAACTCCCTCTCCTAGCCAAGGTAAGGGTTTAGGGACTGTACCATGAAGAACCGTGCTCTCCAGCCCAGATACTGTGCTTTTCCCATGGTCTTCGCAGCCTGCAGACCAGGAGATTCCCTCTGGTGCCTATGACACCAGGGCCCTGGGTTTCAAGCACAAAACTGGGTGGCCATTTGAGCAGACACCAAACTAGCTGCAGGAGGCTTTTTTTCCCCCATACCCCAGTAGTGCCCAGAAGTCCAGTAAGACAGAACCGTTCACTCCCCTGGAAAGAGGGCTGAAGCCAGGGAGCAAAGTGGTCTGGCTTGGCAGTTCCCACAACCAGGGAGCCCAGCCGGCTAAGATCCACTGGCTTGAAATTCTGGCTGCAAGCACAGCAGTCCAAGCTCCACCTGGGAAGCTCGAGCTTGGTGGGGGAAGGGCGTCCGCCATTGCTGAGGCTTGAGTAGGCAGCTTTACCCTCAGAGTATAAACAAAGCCACCCGGAAGATTGAACTGGATGGAGCCCATCGCAGCTCAGCAAGACCAGACTGTATCTCAAGATGCCTCCTCTTTGGGCAGGGCATCTCTGAAAAAAATGCAGCAGCCACATTCAGGGGCATATAGATAAAACGCCCATCTCCCTGGGACAGAGCACCTTGGGGAAGGGACAGCTGTGAGTGCAGCTTCAGCAGACTTAAACATCCCTGCTGGACAACTCTGAAGAGAGCAGTGGAGGTACCAGCTCAGCATTTGAGCTCTGCTAAGGGTCAGACTGCCACCTCAAGTGGGTCCCTGACACCCGTGTCTCCTGATTAAGAGACACCTCCCAGTAGAAGCTGATAGACACCTCGTACAAGAGAGCTCTGGCTGGCACATGGCAGGTGGCCTTGGGACGAAGCTTCCAGAGGAAGGAACAGGCAGCAATCTTTGCTGTTCTGCAGCCTCCGCTGGTGATACCCAGGCAAACAGGGTCTAGAGTAGACTTCCAGAAAGCTCCAGCAGATCTGCAGCAGAGAGGCCTGACTGTTAAAAGGAAAACTAACAAACAGAAAGGAATAGAAGTAACATCTCCAAAAGGATGTTTACTCAGAAACCCCGTCCAAAAGTCATCAACATCAAAGACCAAAGGTAGATAAATCCATAAAGATGGGGAGAAGCCAGTGCAAAAAGGCTGAAAATTCCAAAACCCAGAATGCCTGTTCTCCTCCAAAGGATCACAACTCATTGCCAGCAAAGAAAGAAAACTGAATGGAGAATGAGTTTGACGAATTGACAGCTCAAATTTGACAAATTTCAGAGGTGGGTTATAACAAACTCCTCCAAACTAAAGGAGCATGTTCTAACCCAATGCCAGGAAGCTAAGAACCTTGAAAAAAGGTTAGATGAATTGCTAACGAGAATAACCAGTTTAGAGAACATAAATGCCTGATGGAGATGAAAAACACACCACGAGAACTTCATGAAGCATACACAAATGTCAACAGCTGAATCGATAAAGCGGAAGAAAGGATATCAGAGACTGAAGATTAACTTAATGAAATAAAGCAAGAAGACAAGATTAGACAAAAAAGAATAAAAAGAAATGAACAAAGCCTCCAAGAAATATGGGACTATGTGAAAAGACCAAATCTACATTTAATTCGGGTACGTGAAAGTGACAGGGAGAATGGAACCAAGTAGGAAAACACTCTTCAGGATATCATCCAGGAGAATGTCCCCAACATAGCAAGACAGGCCAACATTCAAATTCAGAAAATACAGAGAACACCACAAAGATGCTCCTCGAGAAGAGCAACCCCAAGACACAGAATCGTCAGATTCACCAAGGTTGAAATGAAGAAAAAATGTTGACGGCAGCCAGGGAGAAAGGTCGGGTTACCCATAAAGGGAAGCCCATCAGACTAACAGTGGATTTCTCTGCAGAAACCCTACAGGCCAGAAGAGACTGGGGGGCCAATATTCAACATTCTTAAAGAAAGGAATTTTCAACCAAGAATTTCACATCCAGCCAAACTAAACTTCATAAATGAAGGAGAAATAAAATCCTTTACAGATAAGCAAATGCTGAGAGATTTTGTCACCACCAGGCCTGCCTTACAAGAGCTCCTGAAGGAAGCACTAAACATAAAAAGGAACAACTGGTAAACCAGCCACTGCAAAAACATACCAAATTGTAAAGATCATTGACACTATGAAGAAACTGCATCAACTAATGGGCAAAATAACCAGCTAGCGTCATAATGACAGGATCAAATTCACACACAACAATATTAACCTTAAATGTAAACAGGCTAAATGCCCCAATTAAAAGACACAGACTGGCAAATTGAACAGTCAAGATCCATCAAAGTGCTGTATTCAGGAAATCCATCTCACGTGCAAAGACACATATAGGCTCAAAATAAAGTTATGGAGGAATATTTACCAAGCAAATGGAAAGCAAAAGAAAGCAGGGGTTGCAATTCTAGTCTCTGATAAAACAGACTTTAAACCAACAAAGATCAAAAGAGACAAAGATGGTCATTACATAATGGTAAAGGGATCAATGCAACAAGATGAGCTAACTATCCTAAATATATATGCACCCAATACAGGAGCACCGAGAATCATAAAGCAAGTTCTTACAGACCTACAAAGAGACTTAGATACCCATACTATAGTAGTGGGAGACTTTAATATCCCAGTGTCAATATTAGCCAGATCAATGACACAAAAAACTAAGAAGGATATTCAGGACTTGAACTCAGCTCTGGACCAAGCAAACCAAATAGACATCTACAGGACTCTGCCACAAATCAACAGAATATACATTCTTCTCGGCACCACATCACTCTTAAATTGACAACATACTTGGAAGTAAAATACTCCTCAGCAAATTTTAAAAAATGGAAATCATAACAAACAGTCTCTCAGAGCACAGTGCAATCAAATTTGAACTCAGGATTAAGAAACTCACTCAAAACTGTACAACTACATGGAAACTGAACAACCTGCTCCTGAATGATTATAGGGTAAATAATAAAATGAAGGCAGAAATAAAAAAGTTCTTTGAAACCAACAGGAACAAAGACACAACACACCAGAATCTCCGGGACACAGACAAAGCAGTGTCTAGAAAATATATAGCACTAAATGCCCACAAAAGAAAGCAAGACAGATCTAAAATTGACACCCTAACATCACAATGAAAAGAACTAGAGAAGCAAGAATAAACAAATTCAAACCCTAGCAGAAGACAAGAAATAACTAAGAAAAGAGCAGAACTGAAGGAGATAGACACAAAAAATCCTTCAAAAAAATCAATGAATCCAGGAGCTGGTTTTTTGAAAAGATTAACAAAATAGACTGCTAGCCAGTCTAATAAAGAAGAAAGGAGAGAAGAATCAAATAGACACAATCAAAAATAATAAAGGGGACATCACCACTGATTCCACAGAAATACAAACTACCATCAGACAATACTATAAACATCTCTATACAAATAAACTAGAAAATCTAAAAGAAATGAATAAATTCCTGGACACATACACCATCCCAAGTCTAAATCAGGAAGAAGTCAAATCCCTGAAGAGATCAATAACGAATTCTGAAACTGAGGCAGTAATTATGAGCCTAACAACCAAAAATGTCCAGGACCCGATGGATTCACAACCTTTGTACCAGAGGTACAAAGAAGAGCTGATTCTATTATTTCTGAAACTATTCCCAACAATGGAAAAAGAGGGACTCCTGTCTAACTCATTTTATGAGGCCAGCATCATCCTGATACCAAAACCTGGCAGAGACACAACAAAAAAAGAAAATTTCAGGCCAATATCCCTGATTAACATGGATGCAAAAATCCTCAATAAAATACTGGCAAACTGAATCCAGCAGCACATCAAAAAGCTTATCCACCAAGATCAAGTCAGGTTCATCTGTGGGATGCAAGGCTGGTTCAACATACACAAATCAATAAACATAATCGCTCACATAAACACAACCAATGACAAAAACCACATGATTATCTCAATAGATGCATAAAAGGCCTTCAACAAAATTGAACAGCCTTCATGCTAAAAACTTGCAATAAACTAGGTATAGATGGAACGTATCTCAAAATAATAAGAGCTATGTATGACAAACTGACAGACAATATCATACTGAATGGTCAAAAACTGGAAGCATTCCCTTTGAAAACTGGCACAAAACAGGGATGCTCTCTCTCACCACTCCTATTCAACATAGTATTGGAAGTTCTGGTGAGGGCAATCAGGCAAGAAAAAGAAATAAAGGATATTCAAATAGGAAAAGAGGAAATCAAATTGTCTCTATTTGCAGATGACATGATTGTATATTTAGAAAACCCCACTGTCTCAGCCCAAGATCTCCCTAAATGGATAAGCAACTTCAGCAAAGTCTCAGAATACAAAATCAATGAGCAAAAATCACAAGCATTCCTAAACACCAATAATAGCCAAATCATGAGTGAACTCCCATTCACAATTGCTACAAAGAGAATAAAATACCTAGGAATACAACTTACAAGGGATGGGAAGGACCTCTTCAAGGAGAACTACAAACCACTGCTCAAGAAAATAAGAGAGGACACAAAAAATGGAAAAACTTTCCATGGCTGGGCGCAGTGGCTAACGTCTGTAATCCCACCATTTTGGGAGGCCGAGACGGGTGGATCATGAGGTCAGGAGATCGAGATCATCCTGGCTAACACTGTGAAACCCCATCTCTACTAAAAACACAAAAAAATTAGCCGGGCATGGTGGCAGGCGCCTGTAGTCCCAGCTACTCGGGAGGCTGAGGCAGGAGAATGGCGTGAACCTGGGAGGTGGAGCTTGCAGTGAGCTGAGATCGCACCACTGCACTTCAGCCTGGGTGATAGAGCGAGACTCCATCTCAAAAAAAAAAAAAAAAAAGGAAGAACATTCCATGCTCGTGCATAGAAAGAATCAATATCATGAAAATGGCCATACTGCCCAAGGTAATTTATAGATTCAATGCTATCCCCATCAAGCTACCATTGACTTTCTTCACAGAATTAGAAAAAAAACCGCTTTAAATTTCATACAGAACCAAAAAAAAGCTCATATAGCCAAGACAATCCTAAGCAAAAAGAACAAAGCTGGAGGCATCATGCTACCTGACTTCAAATTACCCTATGAGGCTACAGTAAACAAAACAGTATGGTACTGGTATCAAAGCAGATATATAGACCAATGGAACAGAACAAAGGCCTCAGAAATAACACCACACATCTACAACCATCTGATCTTTGACAAACCTGACAAAAGCAAGCAATGGGAAAAGGATTCCCTATTTAATAAATGGTGTTGAAAAAACTGGCTAGCCATATGCAGAAAACTGAAACTGGACCCCTTCCTTAAACCTTATACAAAAATTAACTCAAGATGGATTGAAGATTTAAATGTAACACTGCAAACCATAAAAACCGTAGAAGAAAACCTAGACAATACTATTCAGGACATAGGCATGGGCAAAGACTTCATGACTAAAACACCAAAAACAATGGCAACAAAAGCCAAAATTGACAAATGAAACCTAATTAAACTAAGAGCTTCTGCACAGCAAAAGAAACTATCATCAGAGTGAACAGGCAACCTACAGAATGGGAGAAAAATTTTGCAATCTATCCATCTGACAAAGGGCTAATATCCAGGATCTACAAAGAACTTAAACAAATTTACAAGAAAAAAAAACCATCAAAAAGTAGGCAAAGGATATGAACAGACATTTCTCAAAAAGACATTTATGTGGCAAACAAACATATGAAAAAAAGCACATCATCACTGGTCATTAGAGAAATGCAAATCAAAACCAAAATGAGATACCATCTCATGCCAGTTAGAACGGCGATCATTGAGAAGTCAGGAAACAACAGATGCTGGAGATGTGGAGAAGTAGAAAAGCTTTTACACTGCTGGTTGGAGTGTAAATTAGTTCAGCCATTGTGGAAGACAATGTGGCGATTCCTCAAGGATCTAGAACTAGAAATACCATTTGACCCAGCAATCCCATTACTGGGTATATACTCAGAAGATTATAAATCATTCTACTATAAAGGCACATGAATACACATGTTTTTTGCAGCACTATTCACAATAGCAAAGACTTGGAACCAACCCAAATGCCCATCAGTAATATACAGGATAAAGAAAATGTGGCACATATATACCATGGAATACTAGGCAGCCATAAAAAAAAATGAGTTCATGTCCTTTCCAGGGACATGGATGAAGCTGGAAATCATCATTCTCAGCAAACTAACACAAGAACAGAAAACGAAACACAGCATGTTCTCACTCATAAGTGGGAGTTAACAATGAGAACACAGGGACACAGGAAGGGGAACATCACACACCAGGGCCTGTCAAGGGGTGGGGGCTAGGGGAGGGATAACATTAGGAGAAATACCTAATGTAGATAACGAGTTGATGGGTGCAGCAAACCCCCATGGCACGTGTATACCTATGAAACAAACCTGCACGTTCTGCACATGTACCCCAGAATTTAAATCATAATTTAAAAAAACAGAATATTAATAAGGAAACAGGCTACATAAAGATGGTATAAAACAACTATTTCTGACAGAGGTATAGAGAGCACTCCTTAACATCAGGATACACACCCTTCTGAATAGCTCATACAATATATTTCTTGATAGACCACCTCTTAAGCCAAAAAAGAAGTCTTACCAAGTTTTTTAAAACTGAAATTTTATGAATTATTTTCTGTGACTAAACTTGAATGCCAGTATACAACAAAAATAGAAAAAAACTGAAAACAAAACAAATATGCCAGGTGCGGTGGCTCATGCCTGTAATCCCAGCACCTTGGAAGGCCAAGGCTGGTGAATCACAAGGTCAGGAGATCAAGACCATTCTGGCCAACATGGTGAAACCCTGTCTCTACTAAAATACAAAAAACTAGTGAGGCTTGGTGGCACGCACCTGTAGTCCCAGCTACTCAGGAGGCTGAGGCAGGGGAATCGCTTGAACCCAAGAGGTGGAGGTTGCAATGAGCCGAGATAATGCCATTGCACTCCAGCCTGGTGATAGAGTAAGACTCTGTCTCAAAAAAACAAAAACAAACAAACAAACAAAAAAAATATATATGAATTTAACAAAACACTCGAGCATGCTCTTATGCAAAGGTTGTAATGTTAATATTGTAAAGATGTTCATCCTATTCAATGTAATCTATAAATTTAATGAAATGTTTTTCAAATTTCTCCTTGCATTTTTGAAAAAATAGAAACTGCAACCCTAAAAGTATATAGAATCTCAAAAGACAATAAAGTACCCAACAATCTTAAAATAATAATAATAAAGCAATGTTGCAGGCATTAAAGTTCCTGATTTCAAAAGACATTCCAAGCCACAGAATTAAAACAATCTGGTATAAGGATGAAAAATCAGACTAAAGAAATAGAATGCGACACATATACTTTAACATGTATAGTCATATGAGGAGTCATTTACATAGCAATAATTATTACTGTAAGCTAGTAGGTAAAGGCAATGCAAATTTCTGTCACCAAATCATTCAGTAAATATAATCTGAAATATAAATATACTGGAATATCACTCAGTTTTAAAAAAGCAGAAAATATTCTACCAATTATAACGATAAATCTTGATAACATTATGCAAAATGAAATGAGTCAGCCACAAAAAGACAAAGATTGTATGAGATAGAGAGATATAAAGCATTTAAACTCTTAGAAACAGATAAAAACAAAAAGGTCTCCTATTTGCTTAACCCCCAACAGCAAGAAAGTTTGTCAGTCATCCGTGACAAAAATATCTTAATGAGGGAACCAGGCATCATGGTTAACATCTGTAATGACAGCAACATGGTACAGTAAGGTTGGAGAATTGCTTCAGGACAAAATTTTAAGACCAACCTGGGTTATGTAGTGAAACCCCATCTCAAAAATAAGTGCCTTTAAGAGAGCTTTGAGATCCAGGGAGGCAATTGTGAAACTTTGCTAAAGCCCAAGATTGAGGAGCACCCTTTTCAGCAGGCAAGCTTTCATTCAAGTGGCAAACTACAGGACCCCTGCTCTTGACTACAGACCAGAAAATGTCCCACCCAACTTGGTCCCACGGAGAATTTTGAACTTACTCTGTAACCATCCCAAACTCCTCCCAGCCACAGTCTGTGAGAGGTCTTTGTCTTCCAGAAGCCTGGAGAGAGATACCCATTTAGAGCCATGACGGCAGGCCGGCAGACCTTGGTCCTTACTGTGGTTCCAATACCAGTTTCATGACTCAGTTCCAGTTTCCTAAGCCACGGTTCATGGCCACTTCTGCCCATGTAGAAACCTACAGTGACCTCAGAAATGCTCTCTGGTACTCAGTGAAACCATACTAATCCACATCCTATTATAAAGCCCACCATACGCAGACCTGACTGCAGAAACCTGCCCTAGCATCTGATACCCTACTGAGCAAAGTCCTGAGGGATATTTACTCTGTCCAAAAATAAAATGGGAATTACAACTACCAAAGCCCCTTATAGTAAGCCAACTCTATTGCAGAGCCAGCAGCCCTGTGACCGAGCTACAACCCTCTGAAACCAGTTTATAAAAACTTTAAGAGGTGTTTACTCCTTCAAATTCATACACCAATGCAAAAGTATATTGTGTTCATTGTCAATGCTTCTATTTTAACACAGCACTTGAAGTATGTGGAAGAAAAATTAGTCAAAAAAATTTTAATGTCATTGAAATTGAAGACAAATAAGTAAAACATTGCTGTTTGTAAATCATGCAATGTTCTCTATAAAAAACCATAAACAGTACATTAAAACCTTTTCAAACCAATAAATACACTCAGTAAATTAGCAAAATATAAAATTAACATACAAGTTATGTTTCCATACACTTAAACTATCTGATAAAATAGAGTAATAAAACAATCTTATTTACAATAGCACTAAAATAATAAATATCTGAGAACAAATTTAACTGAGGAGTTGAAAAAGTTTTCAAGTGCAAGATTTATCAATGAAAAATAATGAGAACACAAATAAATTCAAATACATTTTATGCCTATCAATTCAAAGAATAAATGGTAAAATGCCATATTATCCAAAGTGATCTCTAGATTCAATAAACTCTCTATCAATATTCCAGTGTTTTTTTCACAGTAATGAAAAATACAATCATAAAATTTACATGAAACTACAAGAAACTGTGAATAGCCAAAGCAATCTTGAAGAAAAAGAAAAAAGCAGAAGGACATCATACTTTATAATTTCAAACTATATTTCAAGACTACAGTAATAAAAACAGGATGAAATGTACAGAAAAATGAACAAAAAAACCCCAAAGATACAGAAACTACTACTCTCACACATTTCAGAGATGATGGAAAGAGAGAACTTATAAGATAGTTTAACATGGAGTATCTTAAAATCATGCAGATATCTGTGTGTCCACAAAAACAAACAAACAAAAAGATTGTGCACTCTCTTGTATGCCATGAACAGTACTTTGGCTGTCACTGTAAACTTGAAGGAAGATTACTGAAGGGAAAGAAGAATTCTTAGAAATTTTAAAAGTGTAAGACCGAAGATGCCCCTGTGTGAGAGAAAATTAAAGAATAAAAATAAAAATTAGTCTCTCCAGAAACTACTTCTTTTGGAACACAGCTTCCAGAATCACTTTAAGGACTGGCTTCCTCCTTGACTTTCGACCTCTCATCCATGTTGTCTGTATTCACTCTCACCTACCTGGGGATTCTTCCACCATCTCATGTCTCTTCATATTCCAGGACTCTTTTCCTTCCTCCAGAAAAATGATCAGGTCTGGCTTAAAGGCAGCAATACCTGTTTTATTAAAAATGAACAACATGCTTCTTGCTCATATTCTCCAATTACCAACTCAGTAATGTGCTCAGTAAAGAGGATGTAATAGAATATTCTAATAGATTTATCCCAAAATACTAAATTATAATAAGTTGGGAAAAAGGCTTATGGGGTGCCTGTATAAGCTGGCCATAAAAATATGGGACAATATGTTGTGGAAAGCCACAGGAGGCCTCCGAGGAGGAAAGCCTCCTTACTGCCATCACGTTCCCATGACCAGAGCGTGACCTGCTCTCTTACTTATAAACACTGTGCTCAAGGAGAAAGATACTCCTTTGAAGCACTGGAATGTGGCCAGATATGCAGGCTCCTAGTTAGGCCCACCCCCCAACAGCTGCTCTCCGGTAAGTTAAAGAATGAATCAGTAGTTAAGTTTATTCTGCTTCAGCACAAAGAAACTTTGCCTAAACCACCACTGCTATAGATTAGGTGTATGACACACTACCTCCCTTTCACCATTTCACCCCTGAACATCTGCTTCTTAGATCTAAGTGATTATACTCAATAAATACTGTGGAGACCAGAACTTGATGCCTTTTGCAGCCTCCAAAAGTGCAACTGGTCCCCTGGCACCCCACCCTTTGTGCACTCTTAACCTGTCTCTTCTCATTCCTTCGTCGCCACCGGACTTTCTGTACCCTACAGGTGGTATTGAAGCTGGTCCCCAACAATAACAGAAATTTCTAAATATTTAGAAAATTCTCTAATTTTGTAGGTTCTTAATTTTATCACCTAGTAATACTGAATTAAAAATTGGTGGTTGCCAGTAAACTTTTGAAATTACCATTAATCTAAAGTGAAGGACACAGATCAGCTCAAGAATGTGGTAAGTTCAGGTCAAGATGAAACATCTTGAATTTTTTTTCTATATGGAAAAACTCCTATGATTTTCTTGAAAATAGAAATCTGAAAGCATAAATTACCAAAAAGAAATTATACAAAAAAGAAATGGTGTTGGGAGCTGAAAGCCTGAGGGTCATGACCAACTCAGCATTCCACTGGAGGCTATATGATAAACAGCAAACAGTTTATCATGAATGCAGAATGTGGGCAAACTTGCTTCTGCTCCTGCCACCAGAAGGTACACTGAGGACAGTCACTCCCTGGTGCCATGCTCCTTGAAGTTATCTACTGGAACATCTGGAGAGTGCTGTTGAAAGAATACAGTCATGCAGGCCTTCATTAAGTCAAGCAGCTGACCACAACCTCCCCCTTCTCCCTATCTCCTTTACTCAATAAATACAAAGGGCTATAGAAGCTCAGGACCCTTGTTGACTAGAAGCAAGGAGGCCCCTGACCCCTTCTTCCAAATATACTCTTTTGTCTTTGTCTTTATTCTCACATTCATCCTCCGTTGTTCAGTCCAATAAGGTCTGCAGCAAAATGAAACCTGTAGTGTATACTAGGAATTGCGTATTAAAGTTATTCTCACCCAGGAAGACCAGGTTTCTGTAGTTCTCTAACATCACATTTCTATATAAATTCTGCTGTGCAGTGTCCAGGCATTGCCACTCCTCCAGAGAGAATTCTATGGCCACATCCCTAAATGTCAATGATCCCTGGAAAACACAAACACACATATTTATCAACTGGACATGGGCAGAATTTTTAATTTGACTCAAGGTAAAATGCAGAGAGTAAAGAGAGCTGGTTCTGACTTATAAGCATGACTGAAATTATTCAATAAAATAATTTTTAACACAAATATTCTCTAACATATTCTCTCTCTTTTTTCTTTTTTTAATTATTATTATACTTCAAGTTTTATGGTACATGTGCAGAATGCGCAGGTTAATTACATATGTATACATGTGCCATCCTGGTGTACTGCACCCATTAACTCGTCATTTAGCATTAGGTATATCTCCTAATGCTATCCCTCCCCCCACCCCCCACCCCACAACAGTCCCCAGACTGTGATGTTCCCCTTCCGGTGTCCATGTGTTCTCATTGTTCAATTCCCATCTATGAGCAAGAACATGCGGTGTTTGGTTTTTTGTCCTTGTGATAGTTTACTGAGAATGTTCCAATTTCATCCATGTCCCAACAAAGGACATGAACTCATCATTTTTTATGGCTGCATAGTATTCCATGGTATATATGTGCCACATTTTCTTAATCCAGTCTGTCATTGTTGGTCATTTGGGTTGGTTCCAAGTCTTTGCTATTGTGAATAGTGCCGCAATAAACATACGTGTGCATGTGTCTTTATAGCAGCATGATTTATAGTCCTTTGGATATATACCCAGTAATGAGATGGCTGGGTCAAATGTTATTTCTAGTTCTAGATCCCTGAGGAATTGCCACATGGACTTCCACAATGGCTGAACTAGTTTACAGTCCCACCAACAGTGTAAAAGTGTTCCTATTTCTCCACATCCTCTCCAGCACCTGTTGTTTCCTGCCTTTTTAATGATTGTCATTCTAACTGGTGTGAGATGGTATCTCATTGTGGTTTTGATTTGCATTACTCTGATGGCCAGTGATGATGAGCATTTTTTCATGTGTTTTTTGGCTGCATAAATATCTTCTTTGGAGAAGTGTCTGTTCATATCCTTTGCCCACTTTTTGATGGGGTTGTTTGTTTTTTTCTTGTAAATTAGTTTGAGTTCACTGTAGATTCTGGATATTAGCCCTTTGTCAGATGAGTAGTTTGCGAAAATTTTCTCCTGTTTTGTAGGTTGCCTGTTCACTCTGATGGTAGTTTCTTTTGCTGTGCAGAAGCTCTTTAGTTCAATTAGATCCCATTTGTCAATTTTGGCTTTTGTTGCCATTGCTATTGGTGTTTTAGACATGAAGTCCTTGCCCATGCCTATGTCCTGAATGGTAATGCCCAGGTTTTCTTCTAGGGTTTTTATGGTTTTAGGTCTAAAGTTTAAGTCTTTAATCCATCTTGAATTAATTTTTGTATAAGATGTGAGGAAGGGATCCAGTTTCAGCTTTCTACATATGGCTAGCCAGTTTTCCCAGCACCATTTATTAAATAAGGAATCCTTTCCCCATTACTTCTTTTTCTCAGGTTTGTCAAAGATCAGATAGTTGTAGATATCCAGCATTATTTCTGAGGGCTCTGTTCTATTCCATTGATCTATATCTCTGATATCTCTGTTTTGGTACCAGTACCATGATGTTTTGGTTACTGTAGCCTTGTAGTATAGTTTGAAGTCAGGTAGCGTGATGCCTCCAGCTTTGTTCTTTTGGCTTAGGATTGACTTGGTGATGCAGGCTCTTTTTTGGTTCCATATGAATTTTAAAGTAGTTTTTTCCAATTCTGTGAAGAAAGTCATTGGTAGCTTGATGGAGATGGCATTGAATCTATAAATTACCTTGAATCTATAAAATACCTAGTATGGCCATTTTCACGATATTGATTCTTCCTACCCATGAGCATGGAATGTTCTTCCATTTGTTTGTATCCTCTTTTATTTCATTGAGCAGTGGTTTGTAGTTCTCCTTGAAGAGGTCCTTCACGTCCCTTCTAAGTTGGATTCCTAAGTATTTTATTCTCTTTGAAGCAATTGTGAATGGGAGTTCACTATGATTTGGCTCTCTGTTTGTCTGTTATTGGTGTATAAGAATGCTTGTGATTTTTGTACATTGATTTTGTATCCTGAGACTTTGTCGAAGTTGCTTATCAGCTTAAGGAGATTTTGGGCTGAGACAATGGAGTTTTCTAGATATACAATCATGTCATCTGCAAACAGGGACAATTTGACTTCCTCTTTTCCTAATTGAATACCCTTTATTTCCTTCTCCTGCCTAATTGCCCTGGTCAGAACTTCCAACACTATGTTGAATAGGAGTGGTGAGAGAGGGCATCCCTGTCTTGTGCCAGTTTTCAAAGGGAATGCTTCCAGTTTTTGCCGATTCAGTATGATATTGGCTGTGAGTTTGTCATAGATAGCTCTTATTATTTTGAGATGCATCCCATCAATACCTAATTTATTGAGAGTTTTATTCTCTAACTCTGATAAAAGAAAGTGGTATAAGATCCATAACATCAGTTTATATGTAATATTTTTCTAGATAATAAAGTATAAACTGAGGGCATAAACACTAACATGTACAATTTTGAGTGCTATATTTACATCATACAGAATTAATTGTGTGCCAGGCATGGTGGCTTATGCCTGTAATCCTAGCACTTTGGGAGGCTGAGGCAGGCAGATCACCTGAGGTCGGGAGTTCGAGACCAGCCTGACAAACATGGAGAAACCCTGTCTCCACTAAAAACACAAAATTAGCCAGGCATGGTGGCGCATGCCTGTAATCCTAGCTACTCAGGAGGCTGAGGCAGGAGAATCGCTTGAACCCGCGAGGCAGAGGTTGCGGTTAGCCGAGATCATGCCATTGCACTCCAGCTTGGGCAACAAGAGTGAAACTCCATCTCAAAAAAAAAAAAAAAAAAAGAATCAATTGCATTTTTCAAATGGAAAGACATAGTTTTGTGTATTATTCAGATGGAATAGATGTGTTGAGTTAGAAGGTATCACTCAAATTTTAATGTGTACAACAAGCTAGAGATCCTGTTAATGCAGATTTTTTTTTTCCAGAAGATCTGAGATAAAGTCTGAGTTACTGAATTTCTAATAAGCTCATAAGTATGCCAAAGTTTTTGGCCCAAAAAGACTATTTTGTCAAATATCCAGTAATTGAATGAGCCTGTGTTTTTCTCAGTTTTTCTGGTTTGTAAACAAAGATGAGAGGTTTCATTTTCCAAAAACAGACAAATGGAAAGGAAACCTAAGAAAGAAGGGCAGCAGCCAGATTAAATGTGTTGGTTTATTCACATCAGCTGCATAAAGATACTTGATGATGAAGAGAAAAATAATTAATTCTATAGTGAAAAAATGTGTCAGAAAGCTTATCAACCAAGTGATTTATTAACATCAACTACACTAGAACACATTTTTATAATGTCCTGATGCACCCAGAAGGACGCAGCATTACTGCTGAGATATTGCCCCCTGAAAGGTAAATTATAGTCTGAGTTTAACCATAAGGAAACATTAGTTTTATGGAAAGTTCAAGATACAGATATCTCCCATGTTCTGTAATTTTTAGTAGTGATTTTAAATAGTCTTTCTTTAGCACTGTAGAAAGCGGGTATCTCCTAACAATTTTTAAAGAATTTTCTGGGTAATAAATACCATACTGCTTCAATGAGTGTTTTCTTATCCTGTACTGCAGAGACATAATAAAGAACACAGATGAAACCACAACATTATATGTTCTGTCTTCACTAAAAACCCCAGGTTTTCCCCAATAGGAATTTTGAGTGTCTACATCTTCCCATGTTCCACAGCCACAAAGGGACATTTTTAATATTGCAGATTATAAATTCATAGTGAGATTTCTGCATGGCATAGAAGAAGCCGTAATATAGAGAAGGCTCTGGTATACAGAAAAAATATATATTTTTCAGAGACTTTGATTATTGTCAGAATTTTTTCAAATAGTTAAGACAAACTCATTAGGGAGGAAAAACACAAATACAGAAGTACAGGTTTGCAAGTACTAAACACATGTTTTCTGGAGGAAGCAGACTGGACACAGATCTTGATCTGAGACATGTTTAGCTGAAAAAGAAAAGGCCATTTTTTTCTCCTTCTCCTCCTTCTCTAGGATTCTTTCTCAAATAAAATTTTCTAGACAAATTACACCTGCATCTTGAGAATATGCCTTTAAAAGTGTCAGCACCACAGGTCTACCTGCTGTCACCACATCCACAGGCAGAAGGACCAAGACAGAAAAACTCCATCCATTTCTGTCCTTTATAGCCGAAGAGATTAACAAAGAGTAGCTCCACAGAGATAAAAATATGCTTTTCTTTATTTTGTCCTCAGGAGCCATCCCCTGACACAGGCACCAGCAATTTCTGCCACAGTAATGGAAATATGGGCCACGCTGTACTGTCCCTACCAAATCCAAACAGAATTAGGTTCTTGGACCACCCTTTAATGCAAAGATGGAACTTAACTCTCATGAATGTATTTTGAATTCCTCATACTTGATTCTGGCCTCACCTTAGAGTCACATGAGCCACTTAATTAAAACAACATGGATGCTTCCACCAAGAACAATAAACAGAATCCATGGACAGGGCACAAGTAAAAAGAGTTCTGCAAAATGGCCAAGTGATACTAATTAGAAGCCTGGGCTGATAACTCCTTAAGTAAGCATTTCCTCTCAAGCTCTAATGAGCTTATAAAATCACTTGGTAATTTTGGCCCCACTCTATGAAATGTAATTCTGCAGGTATGGAAAGGGTCCATAAATGGGTCTTTTAAACAAATGCCCTGTCAATAATGATGTTGCTCCCACTGGGCTTATTATTAGCATTAGTCAGAGAAATGAGGCACAATGCAGAGTCCCTTACACGCAGCACTCTTGTCAAAACACAAATACTTCTGGTACAAATGAAGACAATCATTCTTCATCCTAAAGTATTATATTCTTTGCTGACTCTTTAAAGTTTGCAGAGGAAAAAAAAAAGCAGCAATTTCTGAGTAAGTCTGCATTTGGAAAACAACATGTGCACATGTACTACTACAATGTTTATTAAGCAGGTACTATGTGCTCAATAGGAAGTTACAGAGCACTGTGATAGCACATTATGTGATTTAATCCTAATAACACCCTTTCAGTTGATACTAAGTGTTCAATAATTCCAAGGCTTTAAAGGACCCAGCATTTTTATTTCTATTTCTGTTTAACTGTCATTGATTTTTTCAAAAAATGTATAGAACAAAAGCTAAATATAGACAGATGAAAGGGATACAGATGGAAAGAGTTTAATGCAATTTAGATACATTTTTATTGTGTTTATATTTACTTTCTTGTGACTTGTGAATCAACTACTAGATCTGGAGGAACAGAAAACAAGCTGCTAAATAAAGTCTCTTCAAGCACTGGTTTTAATAAAAAATTTGAAAAGTAAGATCCTATAATACATACTTTATATTTCCCATTTATCTGCTTTTAAGTTTCAGAAAATGTTGAACACCAGCTCTAAAAAGGCAACAGGATTCATGACCCAAAACTCTGATCTCTTCTAATCGGTTCTTTCAGGCAAGACTCCAGGGTAGGGCCAGACATAAATAAGGCCTCCAAAAAAGGGTGAATATGAACAGGGCTGGGGCAGAGTGTAGAGCCGATGTACAATTCTGTTCTCTATGCCACTGGGGGGTACTGTCAGTTCTTTTTTTTAAGCTTACTTAAGTAAACTTAAATCCGAGTTTGTATAATTTTAATCTTTTTTAGCCACTGCCCTGTAAATTTTATATTACATACTAATAAGCAATTCAAAAAAAAATCCCTTAAGGTTTTCTAGAATAATTTTTTTAGAAGAAAAATAAGTATTCTTAGCAGGGTAAAAGAAATACAAATAATAATAATGACTCTTCCGTTTATAAGTTCAGGTGTAGACATCAGAAACCACAATATAAAGAAAGTGGCTCAAATAAAGCCCAAGTTGTTTTTTGTACATATCTATTTATTGTACCCACCATATGATCCATAATTCAACCATTTTTCCAGTTGCTAGTCTAGACTACAACTTCCAGGATGGTAGCAATCATGACTGCTTATCTGTTTTTCTTTTCTTTTTTTTTTTTTTTGAGACTGAGTCTCACTTTGTTGCCCGGGCTGTGGTGCGATGGTGTGATCTCAGCTCACTGCAGCCTCCTCCTCCCAGGTTCAAGAGATTCTCCTGCCTCAGCCTCCCAAGTAGCCAGGACTACAGGCATGAGCCACCACACCCAGCTAATTTGGGTATTTTTAGTAGAGATGGGATTTCACCATGTTGGCCAGGCTGGTCTCGAACTCCTGACCTCAGGTGATCCACCCATCTTGGCTTCCCAAAGTGCTGGGATTACAGGTATGAGACATTGCACCCAGCCTGTTTCTTCTATTTTTTTATGACTATATGAAATGGAAGCAATTAGTTTATCTGTTTGAGCCTCCAGACCTCCTGATTTTTTACCCAAGTACCAGGGAACTGGAAAAACTCTCATCTGGCTACCAACCAGAGATACTTCTTGTATAACGGGTGAAACAAACACGAGATGACTCATTTCTCTCACACTGGGACAGAAGCAGAATTAATCACTCTTGTCAGCCTGACACAATTCTGTTCTGGACATTCTCCAATGTCTCAGAGATTCATAGGTAATTGTTAGACGGTTCCCTGTGAACCTGGGCTGATGGTCCAATGATAAGACAGGCAGAGAAGACTCAGGATGATTCTAAATAAAAAAATGGAACTACTTTGGCTCAACTCCAGAATCCGGGTTGTCCGTCCTGATTTGCTAGCTGTTGGGTAAGTAGAAGGACAAGAAGACTCTACTCCAGTATCACATTTTACAGGTAGGTATAGTTGTGGTCATGGCTCTGGATACTTTGTGGTCTTAAGATGCTTGTTTACACTTACAGATTCTGCCATCAGATTCTATTTACTCCTGGAGCCTCTCATATAACTGTGGCAGGTTAATGAAGAAGATGTGAAAAGGTCAAAAAGCCACACTCCCAAAAAAGGAATTTAAAATGTCTATGTTGATATCTCACAATGCAGAAAATGCCTCCTGTTGGTTTTCTGTAAATTCTCAATCCAAAGTCTGGCCCTGCCTTGTAAATCCCAGCAGAGGCCAGGTCTTATTTGCAAATTCTAGGTGAAATCAACCTCACTCTGCATTTTTGGGTGTTACAGCAAGTAGAGTGAAATCAAAGGAGAGATTCCCTCCTAGAGGCTGCTCTAGGATATTCTAAATAATATTTTACCTTAAAAAAGCTGACACAACATGAACATAAGCAGACAGTTTATTTGGGTCAAGCTTAAGTATTTTAACTTGAGACAAAATATTCAAGTTGCCTGGAATCTACACTTTCATTAGCAGCACTTACAAGTGGATTTGTGAAGGCAAAAAAGAGGAACAGTGAGTGAGCTGATACAAAATTGGTTGTGAGAAATTCTTATTTATGTAAAGAAATAACTTTAATAATTGATTGGATATACATCATTAAGGTTAAGGATATGGAATATAGTGTCCAGTGTAGAATTATTAGTTTAATTTATAGCTACTTGTGGCAATAGTGAACAGTTTCAATAGATAAATATATAGCTGAAAAAAAGGAGAAAAACGTAATTGTGCTCTCATTTTAATGTTTCTCTGACTTTAGTAACTAAAAGGACTTGCATTCCTCAGATAAAAACTTATTTTTTTCTTTTCAATTCTCAAGACTTAGATTTAGAATACGGAGCTGCAAATTCAGGTCCTGCATGGGTAAAGTAGCAATAGGTGTTACCTGAACATTTGTGGGCATTTTAGCATGAGGAGGGAGGGAGAAGTGGATTCTCACGTCTACAGGTCTACTCAGTGCACATATTTTACTCTGATTGGGTTTCTGTGCCCCATGGTCACTGAATCAGTTTCAGGTCTGAAGACACAAGTCATTGAAAGAGGTAAAATGGTTAATATCTGACCTATGAAGTTTGTAGAAATCTGTTCTAGCCTCTCTAAAAGTGACTGCAGAGGATGATAGATACCAAGTACGTAGAGACACAATTCCACCTGCATATTTAGGGTACAGCATGCACTTCACAGCACAACTGTGAATTGACTGGAAGCCTGAGTGGAAAAGGCCCATCTAGAGTAAAGCTTAGTTGGCACCTTATGTGTTTGTATTATGTCTGGTAATTCTAGACAAGGTTTGGGAAATATAATTAGAAGCACAATTTTCTTCAGCCCCAGAGGAACTCCACATAACAGAACAGAAAGAAAATTGTTTTATTACACAATTACATGTGAATATGACATGCATTATAGTCAATTTGCTCAAGAGATTGCAAAGACAGAAAGACAGTGACCATAATTTGTCTACAAGTAGAATTTACAGCACCATGTCATACATAGTTCATCCTAAATTCACATGGTAGTTGGGAAGGCCATCCATGTATGCTAATTGGTTATAATCAATGACAAAATAAACTTTTCACATCTTCATGACTGGAGGTAGTTTTGCAACTTGAACCCCGGTGCCTACTGAAGGTAGGCTTTGACTCTTCTACAAAAAGTGTTGATTCGGGTGCTATCTTTTTGGCTATTTACATTTTAAAGCAATAGCTCTCTACTCCCTGAGCACTGGGCTAGAGCACTCCTGCTTTCCCTCTCTTGGTGGCTAGTGTACTCTCTTGACCCCACCATCTGCCACTGAGGCACAGCCCACAGCACAGGGCTCACAGCTGGAAACTCACATCTTAGGTGAACCCCATTTGCCACAGCAGCACTCCAGTGGCACATCAGACAGTGAAGCCTGAGCAGCAGGAGGAGAGCCTGCAGGCCTCCTGGGTAGAATTGCACCTTCACAATAATAGAAAAGGGAGCACTGTTTCAGCCTCAGTTTTTATTTATAATGGTGACATGAAAAAAATACTGCTGGGTTTTAGCATGAGTCCAGATAGAGACAGCTCTGAGAGTTCTCACTGTGACAGCTCACGTCTTTCACAGACACCACGGGATACTAATAGGGCTTCTCAAACAGACACACAATGCATTAGAGAGAAAAAACTGCTCTCATTCTGAGAAAGATTATGTTGAGAGAAAAAAGTTAAAAGTGTCTTAAGAAAAAACTGAGATTAGATATAAGATTGATCAAGTCAGCCAGAAAATATTTCCCTAAGAAGAATTTCTCTCCAAACACCCAAAGTGCATAGCTACTCTCAGCAAGGGAAACATGAGCATTATTGAATAAAGGGGGCACATTCTCAGCAAAAAAAAAAATTTTTTTTTTTTGAGATAGAGTTCCATTCTTTTTTTTTTTTTTTTGGACAGAGTCTCACTCTGTCGCCCAGGCTGGAGTGCAGTGGCGCGATCTCGGCTCACTGTAAGCTCTGCCTTCTGGGTTCACGCCATTCTCCTGCCTCAGCCTCCTGAGTAGCTGGGACTATCGGCGTGTGCCACCACACCCGGCTAATTTTTTTTTGTATTTTTAGTAGAGATGGAGTTTCACCATGTTAGCCAAGATGGTCTCGATCTCCTGACCTCGTGATCCACCTGCCTCGGCCTCCCAAGTGCTGGGATTACAGGCGTGAGCTGCCACGCCCGGCCAAGGAGTTTCATTCTTGTTGCCCTGGCTGGAGTGCAATGGTGTGATCTAGGCTCACTACAACCTCTGCCTCCCGGGTTCAAGCAATTCTCCTGTCTCAGCCTCCCAAATGACTGGGACTGTAGACACACACCACCACACCTGGCTAATTCTGTTATTTTTGGTAGAGACGAGGTTTCACCACATTGTCCAGGCTGGTCTCAAACTCCTGACCTCAGGTGATCCACCCCCCTTGGCCTCCCAAAATGCTGGGATTACAGGCATGAGCCACAGCGCCCAGCTCTCAGCAGAATTTTAAAAGATTTATCTTCCATCTCTGCTGTTCTCTTATTTCCTAACCATTGAATGTGAGATATATTGGAATATATCTGACAACTTCCACCAGCACTTTTTTATAAAAATTGAAATCTGACTGTGTTAATATAGTAGAATATATTAGAGCTTGCAACATAGCTAACTGGAGAGCAATTACGGTTTTTGGGTAGCCATATCACTTGTCTTTGTCCTGTAATAGTAGCAAGCTAATTTGGTAAAATATATGACACTAAAATTATGCTATAATTTTATAGCATAATTTTATGCTATAATTTTATAGCATAATTTTATGCTATAATTTATAAATTATATACCTATAATTTATTCCCATTGGATAAATTAATATGCATGTCAGACTAATATCTACTATAATGATTTAATGGTAAATTTTTTTGGATATCAGATACAAATATGTAAGTATGAATAATTTTATGTACTACTCATAATGTATGTAAGATTTTAAAAAATTATCTGAACTATACTTCAGTTGAAACACTATATTTCAAAAATATGAATAATATTAAAATAACTAAGGAATTCAATCTAAGTAAATACGTGGCCTTAAATTCATACTATTGTAGAAAATACTGTTTATATGAATGCAGGTTGTCTACAAACACTACACATAACTATACTAACTGTACTGAAGTAACCCAAGTACAACAGACTCCACTGTTCAGTCTATACACTGAACTCTTCTGGCTTTTGCAGTGTAAGTATGTCAGCCAGCAAATAATCACCCTGGATAATCAGGTTTCTGCCAAAGAACTTACTCAGGATCTTTTAGTCTTTATTATTCTGTATTGCTAAATTTAATCCAATCTTTGTGCTCAACTTCTTTATGCTCTTGAAATGAACTTTACTCTGAACAAATTTGTGTCTACTTTAAAGACTAAAGACAAAAAAAAAACCAATATTTTGCCAAGACAAAAAGAAAGCAATGAATCTCAGGTCCCAGATAAAGACAATTCTGAGTCAAAAAGAATGACAAATGGTTTGTGTTATTGCTAATATGATTTACATATATTTCAAAAAGCAGAAAAAATATATACATATAATCTAAACCTTTTATAAAAATCAGCAAGTTATCCTCCCTTATTTTCACATATGAGAATAAAGCTTCTTATTTCTAATTTATATTTTGTCTTACAACAGCCAGGTCTCTGGACAAGTTCTTGAACTCTTGGACATCTGAATTTTGCACACTGTGTGCACTTGAAAGAATGTTTATGGGGGGAAAAGCAGAAGAGAGGAAGGTGTTATAAAAAAACTCCATGGGTTCACATGAATAAAGCAAGTTCTTAGAGACCTATGAAGAGACTCAGAATCTGACACAGTAATAATCGGAGACTACATCTGACAAGCACTAATGGACAGATCATTGAAGAAGAAAATTAACAACAATATTACGACTTGAACTCAACACTTGACCAAACAGTCCTAATAGACATCTACAGAACTCTTCATCGAAAAATACCGTAATATATGTTCTTCTCATCACCATGTGGCACATACTCTAAAATTGACCACACAATCAGAAACAAAACAATTCTCAGCAAATTCAAAAATCCGAAAATTATACAAACCACACACACAGATTACAGCTTAAGAAAAAAATGATTCAATACCAATAAAACAACTGGAAACTATACAATTAAATAAAAATTAAATGGCCTACACTTGAATAACTTTTTGGTAAATAATGAAATTAAGGCAGAAACCAAGAAGTGTTTTGAAACAAATAAGAACAAAAATACAACACACCAGAATCCCTGCAATACATCTAAAGCAATGTTAAAAGAAAAATTTATAGCATTAAATCCCCAGATCAAAAAGTTAAAAAGATCTCAGTTTAACAACCTGACATCATAAATAAAAGACTGAGAGCAACAAAAGCAAATCAGCCCCTAAGCTAGCAAAAGACAAGAAATAACCAAAATCAGATCTGAACTGAAGGAGATTTAGACATGAAAAATTACAAAATATCAAGAGATCCAGGTATAAAATCTATTTTTTTAAAAAAGGTAAATAAACTACTAGCTAGATTAATGAAGAAGATACAAATAAACACAATTAGAAATAAAAAAAAGAGACATTAGCACT
This sequence comes from Homo sapiens, assembly GCF_000001405.40. Taxonomy (NCBI): domain Eukaryota; kingdom Metazoa; phylum Chordata; class Mammalia; order Primates; family Hominidae; genus Homo; species Homo sapiens. The sequence continues at coordinate 22,000,872 of NC_000019.10, forward strand.
GACCCCACAAAAATATACTGAAGTCTGCTATGCATATAAACAAACAAACAAACGAAATCTAGAAGAAATGAAAAAATTCTTGAACAAACACATCCTCCCAAGACTGAACACACACACACAAAAATCAAAGCCCTGGGCTGAGTGCGGTGGCTCACACCTGTAATCCCAGCACTTTGGGAGGCTGAGGTGGGTGGATCACCTGAGGTCAGGAGTTCGAGACCAGCCTCAACCTGGGGAAACCCCGTCACTACTAAAAATACAAAATTACCCAGGCATAGTGGTGCATGCCTGTAATCTCAGCTACTCGGGAGGCTGAGGCAGGAGAATTGCTTGAACCTGGGAGGCGGAGGTTGCGGTGAGCCGAGATCGAGCCATTGCACTCCAGCCTAGGCAACAAGAGCGAAACTCCATCTCAAAACAAACAAACAAACAAACAAAAAATCAAAGCCCTAAATACATAGATAAGCTCAAAATATTGAATTAGTAATAAATAGCCTACCAACTAAATGAAGCTCAGGACCAGACATACTCACAGCTGAATTCTACCAGATGTACAAATAGAAGCTGATATTATTTTTACTAGAACAATTTCAAAAGATTAAAAAGAAGAAACTCCTCTCCAACTCATTATGTAAGAACAGCATCATTCTGATACCAAAACCTAACAGAGATAAAACAAAAAAAGGCAACTTCAGGCCAATATCCTTGAAAATTGATGCAAAAATCTTCAACAAAAGGCTGGGCCTGGTGGCTCATGCCTGTAATCCCAGAACTTTGGGAGGCCAAGGTGGGCCAATTTCCTGAGGTCAGGAGTTCAAGACCAGCCTAGCCAACATGATGAAACCCTGTCTCTTCTAAAAACACACAAAAAATTAGCTGGGCATGGTAGCACACACCTGTAATCCCAGCTACTCAAGAGGCTGAGGCAGGAGAATCACTTGAACCTGGGAGGCAGAGGTTGCAGTGAGCCAAGATTGCACCACTACACTCCAGCCTGGATGACACAGTGAGACTCCATCCCAAAAAAAAAAAAAAAAAAAAAAAAAAAAAGAAAAAAGAAAAGAAAAGAAATCTTCAACAAACTACTGGCAAACCAAATCCAGCAGCATATCAAAAAGCTAACCCACTATGATCAACTATGGTTTATTTTGGGGATTTAAGGTTTGCTCAACATACAGAAATCAATAAATGTGATTCATCACATAAACAGAATTAAAGACAGAAAGCACAAGATTATCTCAATAGATGCACAAAAAGCTTTCAATAAAATTTAACATTTTTCATGTTAAAAACCCTCAACAAACTAGGCATTGAAGATGCATACGTCAAAATAGTAAGTTATCTATGACAAACCCACAGCCAATATACTGAATGGACAAAACCTGGAAGCATTCCTTCTTGAAAACTGGCACAAGACAAGGATGCCTTCTCTCAACACTCCTATATTCAATATAAAATTGGTAGTCTTAGCCAGAGCAATCAGGCAAAAGATAAAAATAAAAGGCATCCAAACATAAAGAGAGGAAGTCAAACTATCCTTATTTGCAAACAACATGATTCTACATCTGGAAACCCATATACTCTCAGCAGAAAAGCTCTTTAAACTGACAAACAACTTCAGTAAAGTCTCAGGATACAAAAGAAATGTACAAAAATTAGTAGCAACCCTATATATCAAGAACACCTAGGCCAAATCCGAATCGAAAACACAATCCCATTCACAACTGCCACAGAAAAGAATAATATATCTAGAAATACAGATAACCAGAAAGGTAAAAGATCTCTATGACAAGAATTACAAAACAATGCTTAAAGAAGCCAGAGATGACACAAACAAATGGAAAGCAACTTTATGCTCATGAATAAAAAAGATCACTATCATAAAAATGGTCATACTGCTTAAATAAATTTACAGATGTAATGCTAATTTAATCAAACCACCAAAATATTTTTAACAGAACTAAAAGAACAAACTATTTTAAAATTCACATGGAACCAAAAAAGAGCCTGAATAGCCAAGGCAATCATAAGCAAAAACAACAAAGCTGAAGGCATTACATTACCTGACTTCAAACTACACAACAGTGCTACAGTAAACAAAGCAACATGGTACTGGTACAAAAACAAACTCATAGGTCAATGCAACAGAATAGGGAGCCCAGAAATAATGCCACACACCTAAAACCATCTGATCTTCAACAAAGGTGACAATAGGAATGTGGGAAGAATTTCCTATTTAATAAATGGTGCTAGAATAACTAGCTAGCACTATGTAGTAGATTTTTTATAACACCATATAAAAAAATCAACTCAAGGTAAATAAAAGACTTAAATGTTAATCTTAAAAAGGATATATTTTAAAAAACCCTGGAAGGTAAGAAGTGCCATTCTAGACATAGAAACTGGCAAAGATTTCATGATGAAGATATGAAAAGCAATTGCAACAAAAGCAAAAACTGACAAATGGGACCTAATTAAACTTTTTCACAGCAAAGGAAACTATCAACAGAGTAAACAGACATCCTACAAAATAATAGAAAATATTTGCAAACTATGCTTCTGACAAAGGTCTACTATCTAGAATCCATAAGGAACTAAAACAAGTTTACAAGAAAAAAAAACTAAAAAGAAGACCAAAAAAAAACATGAAAAAGACGTTTGTCTTCAAAAGGAGACAAACATGTGGCTAACAAGCATGTAAAAAAATGCTCATCACTAATCATTAGAGAAATGCAAAAGAAAACCACAACAAGAAATCATCTCAAACCAGTGAGAATGGCCATTATTATAATTCAACCATTGTGAAAAGCAGTGTGGTGATTCCTCACTAAACTAAAAACAAATTACCATTTGACCCAGTAACCTCACAATTGGGTATATACCTAAAAATATATAAATTATTCTATCCTAAAGACACATGCACAATCACGTTCATTGCAGCACTATTCACAACAGCAAAGACATGGAATCAACCTAAATGCCTATCACTGGTAGACTAGATAAAGAAAATATAGTATGGTTGGGCATGTTGGCACACGTCTGTAATCCAGCACTTCGGGGGATGAGCTAGGTGGATTGCCTGAGCTCAGGGGTTTGAGACAGGCATGGACAACATGGCAAAATCCCATCTATAAAAAAAAAAGTACAAAAATAAAAATTAGCTAAGCATGGTGGCACAGACTTTAGTCTTAGCTACTTGGGAAGCTTAGGTAGAAGAGGATTGCTTGAGCCTGAGAGGTTGAGGTTTCAGTGAGCCAAGATCACACCACTGCACTCCAGCCTGGGAAAAAGGTGAGACCCTGTCTCCAAAAATAACAAAAAAATTAAAAACTTTATTAATAAACTTAATAAAAACAAAATATGGGCTGGGTATGGTGGCTCACACTTGTAATCCCAGCACTTTGGGAGGCCAAGGCGGCAGATCACCTGAAGTAAGGAGTTCGAGACTAGCCTGGCCAACGTGGCAAAACCCCATCTATACTAAAAATACAAAAATTAGCTGAGTATGGTGGCACACGCCTGTAATCCCAGCTACTCCAGAGGCTGTGGCAGAATTGCTTGAACCTGGGAGGTAGAGGTTGCAATGCGCCGAGATCAAGCCACTGCACTCCAGCCTGAGTGACACAGCAAGATTCCATCTCAAACCAAACAAACAAACAAATATGGTACATAAACACCATGAATTCATGAAATACTGAGTGGCCATAAACAACAACAACAAAAAAAACAAGATTATGTCCTTTGCAGCAACATGGATGAAGCTGGAGATCATTATTCTTAGAAAACTGATGCGGAAACAGAAAACCAAATGCATGTTATTATTTATAAGTAAGAGCTAAATAAGAACACATGAACACAGAGGGGAAAAAAGACACTGAGGCCTAGTAGAGGGTGGAGGGTGGGAGGACTAAAAGGGTCAGAAAAAGTACCTTTTTGGTGCTATGATTAGTACTGCAGTGACAAAATAATCTGCACACCAAACTCCCATGACATAATTTTAGCTGTATAACAAAGCTGCATGTGTACCCCTGAACCAACCAAAAATAAAAGTTAAAAGAAAACAAAGTCCCTGGGTTGGAGAGAGTGCAATGCAGGTGGAAGGACTGGTTTGTCCTATAGATAGTGGCCCAGGTGGGGCTGTACTCTGATTTATTTCTGGGTCCATGCAGGCAGATAAGATTATGAACCCTAGGCTGGTGGAGAAAACAGGTTGCTACTGCAGATTCAGTGTCTGAAAATAGAGATATGCCAGGAGACTTGTAGACACTTTTGTGGTTTTTGGCCAAAAAAACCACTAGGATCAAAAATGCTGTGGTAAAATTCCTGAGGGTGGTGCCTTGTCCAGAGAGGAGTGTGGACACATCAATGTCAAGTGGGTGTTTGTGAGTGGGTAGAAATCCTCTGCTGGCAGCTGTGGCAAAAGGGGGTTTGTCATCAGATCTCTTTTAAGTTTTCAGTCCTCTGTCACCCTGGGAGGAGATCTGAAATCAAAGAACAAGGGGCAGTGTGACAGCCTGTGTAGAGGAGATCAGAGCTTCCCATTCCCAGACACCCAGAGTTTCATTCCAGGCCAGGAGTCTGTGATATCTTTCTTCTGGCACCAAATCTGCAGAGTTTGATGAACACCAACAATTCTCCAACAGCAACTCATTGTCTAACACTTGAATTCTGACACCACCCAGAGTCAGCACAGACCCTGATTCAGGGCTCAGTCCCACAACATTGTCCTCACTGCAGATGCCAGTCACAAACCCCATGGGCTCATCTATGCTTCTGACCTACTGTTTAAAAATTGGGGACTCCCATAACCTTTTTGAAATTCAATAACCTGATACAGCTACTCACAGAACTCAGCAGAACACTAGTTATACTTACTGGCTTCAAATAAAATATACAACCCCCAAAAAGTCAAATGGAAGAAAAGTATAGAACCAAGAAAAGAGGTGGGAAAAGATGAAGCATATAGATAATAAATAGCCGGGATTAGTAAAATTCTCTATCCTCTGTGTTCTCCAGGAACACTTATGAAAAGAAAAACCCTTCTCATCATGACTTAGATGGTGCTCTTTTCTTACCTACTACACAACCAGGAAAACACTCTGCATATTTTCTTCTTCTTCTCATTAAAAAAATCAGCTGAATTTGCCTTCAGTGGTCAACATAAAATACCTTTTAATCAAACTTAAGTTTATTTTCTTCCCACAGGCTCCTGAACTCTGAGCTACTCTCAGTCCGAGCCACCATACAACCTCATTTTATGCTACTGCAGATTCAGTGTCTGAAGAACACTCCTAAGAACACACTGACTTCAGGGTAAAACATTCTCTGATCTAAAATCTGATTATTTCACCCTTCATTTAAACATTCCCCTCACCTTCTTTCTAATCTTATTTGCTTTTCCCTAGGAAAAAAAGCCCTTTTCTACCTAATCTTTGCAATCCTTAAAGATCTTATAGTTGGTACTTCCTCCTGTTGTAATACTCCTTTGGAATTCAATTTTTTTTTTAATGTACGTCTAACTGGTTTATTTTAAAACCTCTCGAATCTGCCTCAAAACAGTAACAATTTACTGTTTAACAATTTAGGGCTAGGGTTCAGTTTAGGGTTAGGTTTAGGGTTCCGTAAGACACCCCCAAACCTCTTCTATCTTAACCTTAACTGCATCTGCCTGTGGGGCCCCAGCTTTCCAGGGCTCTGTAGCTTCTCTCACTATAGAGGCTTCTTCCATGGCTGCGGTAAGCAGGCTGGGACATCTGCAGGAAAGGCTTTCCAGAAGGAACTAACTGGGCCTTTAATAACCTCCGTCTGCTGGCTCAAAATTAACCTTAGCTTGCAGTCATTAGGCTCAAGCTTTAATTTACCATGTCAGAGTCATTCACTTAGTTTTTGAAATTGTGTTTGAAAAATCCAGCAAAATGATTCAAAAACAGTGTTCATATAAGAAAATTTTAAGGTGCTTACCTTTTGTACCTCAGTAAGAGAAGCAAATGTATTTATTTCTTTTGGACAATAAAGCATTATTTTATTTTTTGTATTAAAAATCATGTGGTAAACAGTTATATGGGAACACTTCTAGGAGGTACCAAGTTTCATGACATAAAATTTACCATTAAACTCAGAAATCGAAAAACAGGATATAGAACAAAGATATTTATTTTTGCAAATTCACCCTGCAAGAAAAGAAACTGATGTTTTCACGAATCTGTGTAACTCACCAATTACCTACCGCATTTTCTTGTGGAAATATATTAATTCTCTATAGCCAAAATGGAAGAAAAATTTTTATTTTTTTCCTCAGTAGCTAACATTCTAAAAGCTAGATGGAATTCTATTTGAAATCACTCAGCCATAAAAAACACACCTGAGGGCCGGGCACGGTGGCTCATGCCTGTAATCCCAGCACTTTAGGAGGCCGAGGCAGGTGGATCATGAGGTCAGGAGATTGAGACCATCCTGGCTAACACGGTGAAACCCCGTCTCTACTAAAAATACAAAAAAATTTGCTGGGCGTGGTGGCGGGCTCCCACTATTTGGGAGGCTAAGGCAGGAGAAGGGCGTAAACCTGGGAGGAGGAGCTTGCAGTGAGATCCCGCCACTGCACTCCAACCTGGGGACAGAGCAAGACTCTGTCTCCAAAAAAAAAAAAAAAAAAAAAAAAAGTAACACCTGAAAAAACTCCTAAATTCACTCTGAGAAAATAAAAGATGAATGAGAATTTTCAACAAATAAAATATATAATTAGATATTGTTTTTTGAAATTCACCTTTTTTTATGCCCTTTGTAAATATTTTCTTACCTTTCAAGCCCTACTAATAAAATGCAATTTACAGTTAAAAAACTGAGGTCAGCCGGGCACAGGGGCTCACACCTGCAATCCCAGCACTTTGGGAGGCCAAGGCAGGCAGATTACTTGAGGTCAGAATTTTGAGCTCAAACAGCACGGTAAACATGGCAAACCCCCATCTCTATTAAAAATACAAAAAGTAGCCAGGTGTGGTGGCAGGCACCTGTAGTCCCAGCTACTTGGGAGGCTGAGGCATAAGAATCACTTGAACTCGTGATGCAGAGGTTTCAGTGAGCCGAGATTGCACCACTGCAGTCCAGCCTGGGTGACAGAGGAAAGCACTGTCTTAAAAAAAAAAAAAAAAAAGGGCCGGGCGCGGTGGCTCACACCTGTAATCCCACCACTTTGGGAGGCTGAGGCAGCCAGATCACAAGGTCAGGAGTTCGAGAACAGCCTGGTCAATATGGTGAAATTCCGTCTCTACCACAAATACAAAAATTAGCCGGGTGTGGTGGTGCACACCTGTAGTCCCAGCTACTCAGGAGGCTGAGGCAGAAGAATTGCTTGAACCCGGGAGGCAGAGGTTGCAGTGAGCAGAGATCATACCACTGCACTCCAGCCTGGGTGACAGAATGAGACTCTATCTCAAAAAAAAAAAAAAGAAAAAAAAAACTGAGGTCAAAATAAGTGAACAATGCATTTAATCATTTCAAGGTACAGATATGTCTGACTCATGTGTCAAGTCAGGCCATCCAATTACTTGAGAGATTCTCCCACCCCATCCTGTTCACTTAAGTGCTCAGTAACCATTCTCTCAGGAGACTCTGAACTATGCCCCAGTGAGTGCCCCAGGTACATTTTACTTTGCAAGTTCTTGCACCATCTCACTGGGGTCAGTTTTTTTTTTTGTCTTTGGAGTGCTATTTTTTTTCACAAACTTTTTACCATTTTTATTTCACTATTTTTCTGTCCCCTAAGAGAATCCAGGGGCAAAAATTATTTTGGTTTCCCCTTCAATACCAGCATCTGATTGTCTGAACAGCAATATGTCTCCAAGAAATGGAAGCTGCGTTGGGTAAAGACAACACTAATATCTCAAGGGGTTAGCTTTCCAAAAAAACAGCACACCAGAAGATGCCTCTCAGCCCCAGGGTATTCACCTGCTCTCTTGAGAGGCTACACTCCATATCTCATGTTGTGTTATGGGAGAAGAGAGGCTACACTGTGTACCTCAGGTTGTCTTATGGGAGAAAATGACCCAGGAGCTGATATTCACTAGACGCTCTCGCAGACATAGCCATGGCGGGTATCTTAGTTTTTCCCCAGATAGTACTGAATCTCAGGTCCAAGAAAAAACTGAAGGGTGTCTGAGGACACATCTCCCTATAAAGTTTCCAAAGGGAAACCTTGACCCAAAACATTCTGATATCTATGTCTACGGAAAACAGAAGAAAAAATATTTACAAACAGAAAACAAATCTTTTTAAATGTGCCATCAAATGCTTTGTCAAAAAATGATTACAATAGGTATCAAAATGTAAACTAAAGGACAAATAGTTGATCATGTGAATAAGGGAGGGGAAATTGGCGTTTGGGAATGTCAGAAGGAACTGGAAATTAAGTATTTTACTGCAAGCCAGAGTCAGGCTGGAGAAATAGGGGGTGGCAGATAGACTTGAGGTCCTGCTTGGGACACATGTGAAAAATGCAAGGAAACAGCAATTCCTTGTGGGGTGTGAAAATAATTAAGTGGCTGGCAGTTAGACTGAGGAGGCTCTAGTTTCTAATTTCTACTTTTAAAAAATCTAATTCGGCCAGGCACGGTGGCTTACCCTGTAATCCCAGCACTTTGGGAGGCCGAAGCAGGTGAATCACTTGAAATCAGGAGTTCGAGACCAGCCTGACCAACATGGTGAAACCCCGTCCCTGTTAAAAATGCAAAGTTAGAGGGCATGGTGGTGCATGCCTGGAATCCCAGCTACTTGGAAGTCTGAGGCAGGAGAATCATTTGAACCTGGGAGGCGGAGATTGCAGTGAGCCCAGATGGCGCCACTGCACTCCAGCCTGGGCGACAGAGTGAGACTTGGTCTCAAAAAAAAAAAAAAAAAATCTAATTCAAATGCATTTTTTGTAAATTACTACATTGGGGGAAAAAATTTCAGGCTTAACACACTATAAACTGCCAATTAACCTCTGATTACATAACCAAGAAACTTCCATCTTGATGTTACAAATTAAGAAACCACAAGGCCGGGCGCGGTGGCTTACGCCTATAATCCCAGCATTTTGGGATGCCGAGGCGGGCGGATCACGAGGTCAGGAGATCGAGAACATCCTGGCTAACATGGTGAAACCCTTTCTCAACTAAAAATACAAAAAAGTAACCGAGCGTGGTGGCGGGCGGCTGTAGTCCCAGCTACTCGGAAGGCTGAGGCAGTGGAATGGCGTCAACCCGGGAGGCGGAGCTTGCAGTGAGACAAGATCGTGCCACAGCACTCCAGCCTGGGCGACAGAGGGAAGACTCCGTCTCAAAAATAAATAAATAAATAAAACAAAACAAGAAACTACGTAACTGTACCTAACCAATTATTGAATGTGGTTTTCCTCGTTATGCACCTTATAAAACTCTTTCCGTCAAACCCCTTCAATAGACCATTAACTACAACCCATAGCTGGGTGCTCTACAATTTTGGAATCACTCTTTGATTAAATTCTTTAATATTTTTGAGGTGACTTCCATAAATTTTTAATAGGAGAAAACAGGAACTGGGAGCCTCACGGACCAAAGCTCTTCCCATTCATGAACCCACACCCCAAGTCAGGATTCTCCTCTCACGACCCTCTCATGGTCCCTGCACATCTGGGAGAGACTCCGCGCTGCGGGTGCAGAGCGGCCCCAAGAGGGCTCCAGGCCAGGGCACAATCACAGCGCAGGGAAGAGACAGGACGCCCGGGGACCGGGTGTCAGCGCAGCCTCCATCTTATGGCTGAACCGGACTGAGGTCGAGCTAGGCAAGAACTCGGGGCACAGATGTGGAGCTGACTGCGGGGAGGCCTGAGTCCCGCCACAGCCACTTCCCACCGGTTCCAAGCAGCCCGGGCCACTCTCTCAGTGTGTCGGACCCGGCACACTCACCATTTCTAGGCTTCCAGGGGGTCCTGGCGACTTAGTTGTGGATCTCCCAATACCTGCAGGTCATAGGGCCACAGAGGCTGGGACTCTAGGAGCAGAGGACACACAGCAGTAAGGACGAGACCTTGACCTCCGGCTGCAGCGAGAGACAAAGGACCGACCACATCCCGGAAGCCGACCTGTCCCCTCCAGCTGCCTGCCTGATTGGACGTTCCCAGCCCAGCATCCCTGATTGGATAATGTTTAAGGCCCCGCCCTTTCAGGCCCTGAGTGACAGAAGATGTGATCAGATGCTGGGCTGAATGAAGAAAGAGAGCCAGCGTAGGCTGCAACCTTTCAGGCAGGGCTTCCTCCCTGAGCTGAGCCAGGCCCACCCCAGAGCATGCGAATATTCTATCTCTTCTTTACTCTCTCTCTTTTTAAATGTATTCGAAATGTGAACGAATATATTTTACTGCCATGTTAATAATACATAAAACTTTTGTTCCAGAGTAAATTAATTTTTACTTTAGTCATAGTGTGTTATCAATACTAAAGGCCGGGCGCGATGGCTTACGCCTTTAATCTCAACAGTTTGGGAGGCCGAGGAGGGCGGATCACTGGAGGTCAGAAGTTCAAGACCAGCCTGGTCGATAGGGTGAAACCCCTTCTCTACTAAAAATACAAAAATTAGTCGGGCGTGGTGGTGGGCGCCTGTAATCCCAGCTACTCAGGAGGCTGAGGCAGGAGAATCATTTGAATCCAGGAGGTGGAGGTTGCAGTGAGCCGAGGTTGGGCCATTGCACTCCAGCTTGCGCAACAAGAGTGAAACGCCATCTCAAAAAACAAAACAAAAAAATTAAACTTATTTTAGTAAAACCTTATAAATAAATCCATCAAATTTGTCACTTTTCCAACACTCTACATTTTCATATATATTTTATAATCTCACATTTTTTTAACTTTTTCTATTTTATTTTAATAGATTTTTTTAACTTGAAACAACCTTAAATTATTATTATTATTATTATTATGGTTGTTGTTGTTTTTTGAGACAGAGTCTTGCTCTGTCCACCAGGTTAGAGTGCAATGGCATGATCTCAGCTCACTGCAACCTCCGCCTCCTGGGTTCAAGCAATTCTTCTGCCTCAGCCTCCCGAGTAGCTGGGATTACAGGCGCCGTCCACCACACCCAGCTAATTTAGCATGGTGACCTGAACTTGTAGTTACCAGCTATTCAGGGGCTGAAGTAGGAGTATTGCCTGAGCCCAGGAGGTTGTGGCTGCAGTGAGCCCTGATCAAGCCACTGCACTCCATTCTGGGTAACAGAGTGAGACCCTTTCTTAAAAAAAAGACAAAGCATATAACCTTAAACTTATGGGAGTTTGGGGCTTTTTATTTTTGTCTTAAATTATTATATTTCAATAGTTTTGGGGTATACGTAGTATTTGGTTACATGGATAAGTTCTTTTGTGGTGATTTCTGAGATTTACGTGCACCAATCTCCCAAGCAGTGTGCACTGTACCCAATGTGTAGTCTTTCATCCCTCACCCCCTCTCCCACCCTTCCCACTGAGTGCCCAGAGTCCATTATATAATTCTTTTATTTATTTATTTATTTATTTTCTGAGACAGGGTTTCATTCTTGTTGCCTGGGCTGGAGTTCAGTGGTGTGATCTCGGCTCACCACAACCTCCACTTCCCAGGTTCTAGCGATTCTCCTGCCTCAGCGCTCCCAAGTAGCTAGGATTATAGGCATGCCCCAACATGCCCGGCTAATTTTGTATTTTTAGTAGAGACAGGGTTTCTCTATGTTGGTCAGGCTGGTCTTGAACTCCCGACCTCAAGTAATCGCCCGCCTCTGCCTCCCAATGTGTTGGGATTACAGGCGTGAGTCACCGCACTCAGACCCATTATATAATTTTTATGCCTTTGCATCTTCATAGCTTAGCTCCCACTTATAAGTGAGGACATACAATATTTGGGTTTTTATCCCCTATTTCTTTTTTTTTTTTTTTTTTGAGATGGAGTTTTTTTTTGTGATGGAGTTTGCTGTGATTACAGGCATGAGCCACTGTGCCTGGCCTATTTTTTGATGTTTTAATTATGGTCTTTTCTGTTTGTTTGTTTTTGAGATGGAGTCTCGCTCTGTCGCCCAGACTGGAGTGCAGTGGTGCGATCTCGGCTCACCGCAACTTCCGCCTCCCGGGTTCAAGCGATTCTCCAGCCTCAGCCTCCCGAGTAGCAGGCATTACAGACACACGCCATCGCGCCCTGCTAATTTTAGTATTTTTAGTAAAGGCGTGGTTTTGCCATGTTGGCCAGGCTGGTCTGGAACTCCTGACCTCAGGTGATTCACCTGTCTCGGTCTCCCAGAGTGCTGGGATTACAGGCATGAGCCACCATGCCCGGCCAATCATGGTCATTTTTGCAAGAGTAAGGTGGTATCACATTGTGGTTTTGATTTGCATTTCCCTGGTCATTAATCATTAGTGATGTTCAGTATTTTTTTTTTCTATGTTTGTTGGCCATTTGTGTATCTTCTTTTGAGAATTTTTTAAGTCCCATCTGTCTTTGTTTTTGTTGCATTTGCTTTGGGATTCTTGGTCATGCACTCTTTGCCTAAGTCAATGCCTGGAAGAGTTTTTTCAATGCTTTAGAATTCGGGTTGTTTCAGGTCTTAGATTAAAGTATTTGATCCATCTTGGGTTGATTTTTGTATAAGGTGAGAGATGAAGATCCGTTTTTTTTTATTTTTTTTTATTTTTTTGAGACAAGTCTCGCTCTGTTCCCAGACTGGAGTACAGTGGCGTGATCTCAGCTCACTGTAACTTCTGGCTCCTGGGTTCAAGCAATTCTCTGCCTCAGCCTCCCGAGTAGCTAGGATTACAGGCACCCGCCACCATACTTGGCTAATTTTTTTTTTTTTTTTTTTGTATTTTTAGTAGAGACAGAGTTTCACCATCTTGGCCAGGCTGGCCTTGAATTCCTGACTTCATGATCCAACCACCTCGACCTCCCAAAGTGCTGGGATTACAGGTATGAGCCACTGCGCCCAGCTGAAGATCTAGTTTTATTTTTCAATATGTGGCTTCCCAATTATCCCAGCACCATTTATTGAATAGGGTGTTCTTTCCCCACTTTATATCTTTGTTTACTTTGTCAAAGATCAGTTGGCTGTAAGTATTTGGGTTTATTTCTGATTTCACTATTCTGTTTCATTGGGCTACATGTCTATTTTTATACCCATACAATGCTGTTTTGGTAACTATAGCCTTGTAGTATAGTTTGAAGTCAGATAATGTGATGCCTTCAGATTTTTTTGTGTGTGTTTTTGGTTTTGTTTTGTTTTGTTTTATTTTTCTTAGTGTTGCTTTGACTATGGAGGCTCTCTTTTTAATTTATATAAATTTTAGGTTTTTTTTTTAGTTCTGTGAAGAATAATAATGTTATTTTGATGGAAATCACATTGAATTTGTAGATTGCTTTTGGTAGGTTGATCATTGTCAGAGTAAAATCGCTACTCATCCATAAGCATGAAATACATTTCCATTTGTTTTTGTTGTCTATGATTTCTTTCAGCAACGTTTTGTAGTTTTTCTTGTAAAGATCTTTCACCACTTTGGCTAGACATATTCCTAACTTTTTTTTTTGCAGCTATTTTTAAATGATGAGTTCTTAATTTAATTATTAGTTTGGTCACTGTTAGTGTACACCAGTGCCACCAATTTGTGCACATTCATTTTGTATCCTGAAATTTTACTGAATTTATGTATCAGATTGAAAAGTTGTTTTTTTTTTCTTTTTGAGACAAGGTTTTACTCTGTCTCCCAGGCTGGAGTGCAGTGGCATGATCTCGGCTCACTGCAACCTCTGCCACCCGAGTTCAAGTGATTCTCCTGTCTCAGCCTCCCTAGTAGCTGGGATTATAGCCACTCGACACCATGCCCGGCTAATTTTTGTATTCTTAGTAGAGACGGGGTTTTACCATGTTGGCCAGGCTGCTCTTGAACTCCTGACCTCATGATCTGCCCGCCTGGGCCTCCCAAAGTGCTGGGATTACAGACGTGAGCCACCACGCCCAGCTGATGCTGTTTATTTTTTGCTTTACTCTGATTGCTCTGGCTAAGACATCCATTAGTGTGTTAAATAGAAGTGGTGAGAGTGGGCATTATTGTCTTGTTCCAGTTCTCAGAAAAAATCCTTTCAACTTTTTCCCGTTCAGTGTAATGTTGGCTGTTTATAATAGAGAGCTTTTTTTTTTTTTTTTTTTTTTTTTTTCCAGACAGAGTCTCACTCAGCCCAGGCTGGAGTGCAATGTCAGGATCTCCGCTCACTGCAATCTTTGCCTCCTGGACTCAAGTGATTCTCCCGCCTCAGCCTCCCCAGTAGCTGGGACCACTAGGCACCCGCCATCATGCCTGGCTAATTTTTGTATTTTTGAACAGACGAGATTTCACCATGTTGGCCAGGCTGATCTCAAACTCCTGACCTCAGGTGATCTGCCCACCTCGGCCTCCCAAAGTGCTGGGATTACAGGCTTGAGCCACCACGCCTGGCCTGTCATAGATGGCTTTTATGACCTTACAATATGTTCCTTCTATCCCGATTTTGCTGAGGATTTTAATCATAAAGGGATGCTGGATTTTGCCAAATGATTTTTCTGCTTATATTGATATAATCATGTAGTTTTTGGTTTTAATTCTGTTTATTTGGTGTAAAACATGTATTGACTTACCTATGTTAAATCATCTCTGCATCCCTGGCATAAAATGTTCTCGATTATGGTGTACTATCTTATTAATATGCTGCTGTGTTTGGTTAGCTAGTATTTTATTGAAGATTTTTGCATTTATGCTCATGAGGAACATTGGTGTGCAGTTTTCTTTTATTATGTCTTTTCCTGATCTTGGTATTAGAGTGATATTGGCTTCATAGAATGATTTAGGAAGGATTCCCTTTTTCTCTGTCTTTTGGAATAGTTGCAGTAGGACTGGTACCAATTATCTGAATGTCAGATAGAATTGAGCTACGAATCCATCTTGTCCTGGACTTTTTTTGTTGGCTTTTTTTTTTTTTTCTTGAGTCTTGCTCTGTCACCCAGGCGGGAGTGCAGTGGTGTAATCTTGACTCACTGCAACCTCTGCCTCCTGGGTTTAAGTGATTCTCCTTCCTCAACCTCCCGAGTAGCTGGAATTACAGGCACAAACCACCATGCCTGGTTAATTTTTGTATTTTTAGTAGAGATGGGGTTTTGCCATGTTGATCAGACTGGTTTCAAACCCCTGACCTCAAGTGATCCACCCACCTCATCCTACCAAAGTGCTAGGATTACAGGCATGAGCCACTGCACCCAGCTGGCAATTTTTTATTACTAGTTTAATCTTGGTACTTGTTATTGGTCTGTTCAGAGCTTTTATTTCTTCCGGGTTTAATCTAGGAGGTTTGTATATTTCCAGGAATTTATCGAACTCCTCTAGGTTTTCTAGTTTGAGCATGTAAAGGTATTCCATGGTAGCTTTGAATGATCTTTTATTTCTAATTGAGCATATTTGGATCATAGATTCAATGCTGTCCCCATCAAGCTACCACTGAGTTTCTTCACAGAATTAGAAAAAACTACTTTAAATTTCATATAGAACCAAAAAAGAGGCTGCATTGCCAAGACAATCCTAAGCAAAAAGAGCGAAGCTGGAGACATTATACTACCTGACTTCAAACTATTGTACAAGGCTACAGTAACCAAAACAGCATGGTATTGGTATCAAAACAGATATACAGACCAATGGAACAGAACAGAGGCCTCAGAAATAACACCACACATCTACAACCATCTGATCTTTGACAAACCTGACAAAAACAAGCAATGAGGAAAGGATTCCCTATTTAATAAATGGTGTTGGGAAAACTGGCTAGCCATATGCAGAAAACTGAAACTGGACCCCTTCCTTACACCTTATACAAAAATTAACTCAAGATGGATTAAAGACTTAAATGTAACACCCCAAACCATAAAAACTCTAGAAGAAAACCTAGGTAATGCCATTCAGGACATAGACATGGGCAAAGGCTTCATAACTAAAATACCAAAAGCAATGGCAACAAAAGCCAAATTTGACAAATGGGACCTAATTAAACGAAAGAGCTTCTTCACAGCAAAAGAAACTATTGTTGGAGTGAACAGGCAACCTATGGAATGGGAGAAAATTTTTGCAATCTATCCATCTGACAAAGGGCTAATATCCAGGATATACAAAGAACATAAACAAATTTACAGCAGAAAAACAAACAACTCCATCAAAAAGTGGGCAAAAGATATAAACAGACACTTCTCAAAAGAAGACATTTACGCAGCCAACAAACATATGAAAATATGCTCATTATCACTGGTCATTAGAGAAATGCAAATCAAAACCACAATGAGATACCATCTCATGACAGTTAGAATGCAATCACTAAAAAGTCAGAAAACAACAGATGCTGGGGAGGATGTGGAGAAATAGGAACACTTTCACACTGTTAGTGGGAGTGTAAATTAGTTCAACCATAGTGGAAGACAGTGTGAGAATTCCTCAAGGATCTAGAATCAGAAATAGCATTTGACCCAGCAACCCCATTACTGAGTATATACCCAAAAGATTATAAATCACATGAACACGTATGTTTATTGCAGCACTATTCACAATAGCAAAGACTTGGAACCAACCCAAGTGCCCATCAGTAATAGATTGGATAAAGAAAATGTGGCACATATACACCATGGAATACTATGCAGCCATAAACAAGGACGAGTTCATGTCCTTTGCACGGACGTGGATGAAGCTGGAAACCATCATTCTCAGCAAACTAACACAAGAACAGAAAACCAAACATTGTATGTTCTCACTCATAAGTGGGAGTTGAACAATGAGAATGCATGGACACAAGGAGGGGAATATGACACACTGGGACCTGTCAGATTGAGGGGGGCTAGGAGATGAATAGTATCAGGAGAAATACCTAATGTAGATGATGGGTGGATGCGTTCAGCAAACCATCATGGTACATGTATACCTGTGTAACAAACCTGCACATTGTGCACATGTGTCTCAGAACTTAAAGTGTAATAATAAAAAAGAAAAAAAAAAGAATGCTGAAGGCAGTTTCTTTTACTTAAAATAAAATGACTCAAGAAAATGACACATAATCATATAAACATATATATAAACAAATTTTTTTGAGATGGAGTTTTACTCTTGTTGTCCAGGCTGGAATGCAGTGGCCTGATCTCAGCTCACTGCAACCCCTGCCTTCCAGTTTCAAGCAATTCTCCTGCCTCAACCTCCCATGTAGCTGAGATTACAGGTGCCTGCCACCACGTCTAGCTAATTTTTTAAAATTTTAGTAGAGATGGCATTTCACCATGTTGGCCAGGCTGGTCTCGAACTCCTAACCTCCTGATCTGCCCACCTCAGCCTCCGAAAGTGCTGGGATTACAGGCATGAGCCACTGCATCTGGCCAAAAGAGAAAAGAAAAAAAAGGATTACTTTCTTGGATAGACATGCACATACAAAAAAATGAAATTTCTTAGCATAATCATAATGGTGCAGAAAACATTTTTAAGTATTGTCTGTAATTTGAAAAAAATTTAGAAAATTATTAAAATTTTGAGAGTAAAATCTTTGTATGCAACTGAAATTTATCTTCTACCAGATTAAAATATATTGTTATATCTTTTAGAGGTTTTGTGTAATTTCCAAGGTACCACAAGGTACCACAAAAAAACTGTAATCTGTATAGATATGCAAAACAAAATAAGAAAAAATTAAAAGCATATCAGTACAAAAATCAAAATGACACAAAGGAAGACACAAAGAGAGAAAATTAGAGACGAAGATACAACAATCAAATAAAACAATAAAATAACATTACTAAGTCTTTCTGTTTCAGAAAATTATTTAAACATGTATATAAAATGAGCTTTCCAATTAAGAGACATACTTGTAATAAAGGAATTAGATAATTTTAAAAACCAAGATCCAACTTGCCTTTCTATAATCGAGTCATCAGAGATCTAATGATAAAAAAGACTGATAATAGCAGGATGGATGTAGATATTCCATGCAAATATTAATTAAATTAGAGCAGAAGAGGTCAAAATAATGTTACTTTAGCTGTTTATTTATTTATTTATTTATTTATCTATTTATTTATTTTGAGATGGAGTCTTGCTCTGTTGACAGGCTGGAGTGCAGTGGTGTGATCTCGGCTCACTGCAACCTCTGCCTCCCAGGTTCAAGAGATTCTCCTGCCTCAGCCTTCCAAGTAGCTGGGACTACAGGTGCATGCCACCACAGCCAGCTAATTTTTGTATTTTTAGTTGAGACGGGGTTTCACCATGTTGGCCAGGATGGTCTCCATCTCTTGACCTCATCATCTGTCTGCCTTGTCCTCCCAAAGTGCTGGGATTACAGGCATGAGCCACTGCACCCAGCCTACAGTAGCATATTTCCATACCCCAATTTGTATAATAAAAACAAAACAAGACAGCATAATAGTAAGAGAACAGAGAACTTGAAGACAAGTATAAAACAATCATTCCTAACAGAGGTACAGAGAACACTCCTCAACAACATCAGGATACACAGCCTTCCCAACAGCTCATAAAACATTGTCCTTGATAGACCATCTGTTAGGCCAAAATAGAAGTCTTAACATAATTTTTAAAACTAAATTTATATGGATTACTTTCTATGACCAAAATGAAATGAGAGCATGAAACAATAATAGAAAAAAACTGAAAAAGTTATAAATGTATAGAAATTAACACACTTAGGAGCATGCTCCTGTTCAAAGGTTGAGATAAATATTTTGAAGATATCCATACTCTTCAATGTAAACTACAGATTCAATGGGATGTTCTTTAAAAGTTCACACTACATTTTGAAGAAACAGAAACAGCAACTCCAAAAGTATACGGAATCTAATGAGACAATAAAATACCCAATAATCTTCAAAAAAAGAAATAATGTTAAAGGCATTACAGTTCCTGATTTTAAAACTCATTACAAATCTACAAAATTAAAACAATTTGGTGTGAGTATAAAAGTAAAAATGTAGACTAATAAAAACCAATGCAGCACATATATAAAATTTAACATATATAGTCATATGAAGAATTATTTACATACTCATAATAATTGCAGCATTGTTACAAATTTTTAGTAGAGGCCAGGTTTCGCCATGTTGCCCACGCTGGTCTCCTAGGCTCAAGTGACCCACCCATCGCTGCCTTCCAAACTGCTGGGATTATACGTGTGAGCCACCTCACCCGGCCCAATTTATTTTCTTTTTTTAAGGTTTTTTTTCTGAAAATTTTATGATATTTTGGATGGGAATGTATTGCCCTGTTTTGTATACATTGTAATCTTTAATTGATATTTGGACATTTTTTAAAAAGCTAGCTGTCACGATCTTTTATCATGTAGCTTTGTCCTGGTATAGTCTGAAAACAATTGTCTTTGCTAGAGATTCTGGGAGTCTTTCGAACATGTTCTTAGTATGTGTCTTGTCTGAAATTTGGTGTTTTTTTTTTTAGTTAAAGAAGTTTATTTGTCTTTCTTCTTAATAGTCTTCACTTGCTACACCTGTTCCCTGTCTGTGGCACTGCAGCCTCTCTGCTGCTGTTACATTTACCTCTGGTCTCTGCAGACCCGAACTGTCATTCCAAAGTATACCACCATTTCATTCAGCACTTTGTCACTTTGTGACCTCCATCTCTGCCACCATGACCACTTTGTTCATGGGCCTATTGGGCAATGACGGGGTGGCTGGGGAAAGACGCTGAGTGATGTCAACAAAACAGGTCATCCTATCCACTTGATTATTAAAAATCTCCTCTGCTGAGGTCACCCATTGGTGAGCACTCACATGGGATACAAATATCTTCACAGTTTTTGACCACTCAGGAGGTTCATTCACATACCTCTTCCCCAAATTTCTTTGTCACCAATTTTTCAATCATGCTTCTTCCAAGTACCTGGCAATCCAGCCAAACAATTGGCTAAAGCCCATGATTCAGTATGTAATCACACATCTGGCCATTTCTCCTTCCATGCAAAGTGCACAACCAGGTGCACTGCTCAAAGTTCTGCCCACTGGGAAGATTTCCCTTCACCACTGTCTTTCAGGGATGTCCTAGAAAGGAACTGTAGTGCCGCAGCTGTGTCCACTTTCAGGTGGTGCCTGCTTATTATACAGAATCATCTGTAAACGAGGCCATAGTCTTTTCTTCCTCTGTCAAATGATCACAGGGAACTCCCCCTTAGGTCATCAGTGCAGGCTGGGGGAGAGAAGGCAGGATGGCAGAAGTGGAGACCATGGGCATTTGAGCCACTTTCTCATTTGTGCCTTCAGAAACTGCTCAAGCCCAATCACATATATACTACCTCCATTTGATGATGGAATGCTGTTTTGCATGACCTACTTTATGGTTAGATGGGTCAGAAAGCACCCAGTTCATGATAGGCAGTTCAGGTCGCATGGTGACTTGACAACCCATAGTCAAAAGTTCAGTTTTTACCAAAGCCCAGTAATAGGCCAAGAGTTGTCTCTCAAAAGGAGAGTAGTTATCTGCAGAAAATGGCAGGGCTTTGTTACAAAATCCTACAGGCTGGCCAGGCACAGTGTCTCATTCCTGTAATCCCAGCACTTTGGGAGGCCGAGGCAGGCAGATCACCTGGGGTCAGGAGTTTGAGACCAGTCTGGCCAACATGGAGAAACCCCATCTTTACTAAAAATATGAAAATTAGCCAGGCATGGTATGGTGGTGGGTGCCTGTAATCCCAACTACTCAGGAGGCTGAGGCAGGAGAATTGCTTGAACCTGGGAAGTGGATGTTGCAGTGAGACAAGATAATGCCATTGCACTCCAGCCTAGATGACAAGAGCAAGACTCCATCAAAAAAAAAAAAAAAGAAAGAAAGAAAGAAAGAAAGAAAGAACAAAATTCTAGAGGCCTCTGCTGTGATTCACCTAAGGGGGCCTGCCAAAGGCTACAAATAGCATCCTTATTTTACACTGACAACTCAAGATCCATTGGATCTCCTGGGTAATATGGCCCAAGTGGCAGAGCAGCTTGCACAGCAGCCTGGACCTGTTGCAGAGCCTTCTCCTTTTCTGGACCACACTCAGAACTGGCAGCTTTTTGGGTCACTCAATAAATGGGCCAGAGTAACACACCCAAATGAGGAATAGGTTGCCTCCAAAACCCAAATAGGCCCACTAGACATTGTGCCTCTTTCTTGGTTGTAGGATGGGCCAAATGCAGCAACTTACCTTTTACCTTAGAAGGACTATCTTGACAGGCCTTGGACCACTGGACCCCTGGAAGTTTTACTGAGCTAGAAGGTCTCTAAATTTTAGTCAGACTTATTTTCCATCCTCTGGCATGCAAACGTCTCATGAATAAGTCTGGTGTGTTTGCTATTTCTTGCTTACTGGATTCAATCAGCATAATGTCATCAATGTAATGGACCACTGTGGTATTTGCAAAAGCAAAAAGTGATAGAGGTGTCTTTGAATAAGATTATGACACAAAGCCAGAGAGAGCGATAGGATAGTAAAGGTATATTGCCGGCCTTGCCAGCTGAAAGCAAATTGCTTCTGGTGGGCTTTATGGACAGGAATTGAGAAAAGGGCATTTGCTAAGTGAATGTCTGCATACCAGGTACCAGGAGATGTGGTAATTTGCTCAAGCAATGAAACTACATCTGGTACAGCAGCTGCAATTGGAGTTACCACTTGATTAACCTCATGATAATCCACTGTCATTCTCCAAAATCCATCTGTCTCCTGCCAAATGAGTTGAACGGGATGGGGTGGGAATCACAGCCTCTGCGTCTTTCAAGTCCTTGATGCTGGCACTAATCTCTGCAACCCCTCCACGGATGCAATATTGGTTTTGATTTACTATATTCCTAGGTAGAGGCAGCTCTAATGGCTTCCATTTGGCTTTTCCCACCCTAATAGCCCTCACCCTACTACTCAGAGAGCCAATGTAGGAGTTCTGCCATCTGCTAAGTATGTCTATGCCAATTTTGCATTCTGGAACTGGGTAAATGACCACAGAATGAGTCTTGGGACCCACTGGATCAACCATGTTGGACCTGAGCTAAATTTCTATTAAGTACCTGACCTCCATAAGCTTCTACTTTAACTGGAGGACCACAGTGATGTTTTGGGTCCCCTGGAATCAATGTCAGCTCAGAGCCAGTGTTTAGGAGTCCCCAAAATGTCCAATCATTTCCCTTTCCCCAGTGCACAATAACCCTCATAAAAGGCCAGAGATATCCTTGGGGAAAGATGAGAGAAAGATTCACTACATAAATTGTCAGTAGTGTAGTGGGGTTTTTCCTCAAGGGAATCCGGCCTCCCCTTTATTCAAGGGGTTCTGGGTCTGTAAACTGGCTCAAGTCTGGAAATTGATTGAGGGGCCATGATTCTCTGTTTTTATGTTTCAAATTAGTCTTTTGTCCATTCAACCTAGAATTTTTCTGCTTGCATAAATTAAGTAGGAATGCAGTAGGTTTCCTATCAATTTTACTTCTAAGAACACCGTGATGAATCAGCCAATGCCAGAACTCTACACAAGTCAGACTATTCTGATTGCCATTTTGCCTCTGCTGTCCATTACAGTAGCTATGCCCACCTTGCCTTTGATGGTTGGCCCCTGCCACCATGGGATCCAATTATTCCCACTGTATTTAAATTTTGTAGTTGAGTGACCGGGGTTCCCACTGTTAGATCCGACATGCAGAGAAGAGCAATTATAAGGTTCTTCAAAGATTCAGGTGCTGCCTTCACAAATCTATTTTGCAAGGCAATGGTCAAGGGTATATCTTCTGGACCTTCCCTGCTAGAATTAGTAGGTCTAAAGTGACTAATCCACTCCAGTATCCCAATCTCCCTAAGCCTTTTGATTCCTCCCTCTACATTAAACCAAGGGATATCAGGCATTTCCAGGTCCCTCACAGTGGGCCATCTTTTAATCTATATTTCAGCTAACCGAGCAAATAAACTATTAAAACCTTTTTTAATTCCCCAAGCTGCAACATTAAATGCAGTGTTCCTACTTAGTTGGCCCAAATAAACAAATTCAGCCTTGTTCAACTCTATGTTCCTTCCACCATTATCCCACACCCTTAATATTCATCCCCAAGCCTGTTCTCCAGATTTCTGTTTATATAAATTAGAAAACTCAAGCAGTTCTTTTTGAGTGTAGTGTACCTCCTCATGGGGCACACTCTCAACCTCACCTCTAGGGGTCTGCTGGGACTTTAGTCTACTTATATGCCTAGAAGCAAACAGGGGTGTTGAGGGTGGCTCCTGAAAAGAATCAACATTATTTTGCCTGACAACTGCCTCAGGGGAGGCCATCAGTGTTGCCTCAGGCAGTGCAGAGTTTATCTCAGACAAAGGTGGAAAGGCTAATGGCAGCACGGATCAGAAAGGGGATGTTGCCACTACTGGGGATGGGGAAGCTCTTTCTTCTAACAAAAAAGGCTCATCAGAGTTTACAAACTCAGAGCCCCTAGCTTCATCAGGGTCCTCCCACACGTCCCCATTCCAAGTGGCAGGGTCCCATTCTTTTCCAATCAATGCGCTCACTCTAACAGTAGACACCTGGCGAGGCTGTGCATACACCTTTTGTTGCAGGTCAGCCACTAGCATAATAAGAGTTTGTGTCTGTTTTTGCACAATTTCAGCTCTTTCTCTACCAGAGATGAGACTCTCACACAGGGCAATCTTAGCAGATTTGAGGCTCAGTAACTGCTTCTGAAGCCAAAAGATAGAATCCCTGAGTTCATCATTTTCTATCATCACTTTGTTCACTGAACTTATGACAACCAGCTTCATTATGTTCCTTGGTTCTCCACATATGGTCAAACCTCCGCCTCCCAGTTCAAGCAATTCTCTGCCTCAGACTCCTGAGTAGCTGGGATTACAGGCACCCACCACCACACCTGGCTAATTTTTGTATTTTTAGTAGAGAGGGGGTTTCACCATCTTGACCAGGCTGGTCTTGAACTCCTGACCTCGTGATCCACCCACCTCGCCCCCCCCAAAGTGCTGGGTTTACAGGTGTGAGCCACTATGCCCAGCTGGTCAAAGGTATTATGTATAGAGTCACTAAACTCCTTGCCTCTCATGAATGATAAATCAGGAGTGTCAAATGCATTTATTTTACATAACTCTCTAAACAGTTCATCCCAAAGACTATCAGTGTTTTCCATACTATTAGAAGTAGATCCTTAACATTTTTGGGTCTAATCATATTAAGCAGCCAATTCCAGAAACCCCAGAATCAAAAAAGGAACTTCATCCTTAATATTCTGTTCCTCTAGAACCACTCCTGGTACAAAAATCTGTATTAGTCAGGGTTCTCTAGAGGGACAGAACTAATGGAATATATATATCCCTGTGTGAGATATGTATGTGTATGTGCATATATATATATATATATATATATATATATATATATATATATAAAGTATATAAAGGGGAGTTTATTAAGTATTAACTCACAGAATCACTAGACCCACAATAGGCATTCTGCAGGCTGAGAATCAAGGAGAGCCACTCCGAGTTCCAAAACTAAAGAACTTGGAGTCTGATGTTCAAGGGCAGGAAGAATCCAGCACAGGAGAAAGATGTAGGCTGAGAGGCTAGACCAGTCACTCTTTTCACATTTTTCTGCCTGCTTACATTCTAGCCACTCTGGCATCTGATTAGATTGCGCCCATCCAGATTAAGTGTGTGTCTGCCTTTTCCAGCCAACTGACTCAGTTGTTAATCTCCTTTGGCAACACCCTCACAGAGACACCCAGATTTAATACTTTGTATCCTTCAATCCAGCCTAGTTGACACTCAGTATTAACCATCACACCTAGTTAAGAGAGTCAACATCTCTCCATTTGGCTGAGTCCAGGTGAAACAGTCATCACCATTTTTCTAAGCTGAATCCAGAAATGAGTCAGCATTCCATCAGTGGGCAGATTCACATATCAGTCACAATTCCAACTGTGAATTTTTTTGGTGTGTGAGATTTAGAACCTCACCAGTGGGCTCTGTTTATATGTGAAGGTAACAATACTAACTGTTAGCTTTGTCTGCATATTGAAGTCACAATCTCACCTGCGTGTGGGGCCCCGTGATAAAACTTTGCATTGCCAGAGGGCTTTATGTAATTTCCATAAGTGTCATAATCTTCTGTGACTCTCATACAGGTAGAAGACCCAGGACCCTACCAGTTTACTCAAGCCTAGCTATAATAGTCAACATATATTTTATTGGCTGGATCCAGGTATGAGAGTTATCAATGTGCCTGTGAGCTAACTTTATAAATAGGTCAACATCACACCTGTGGCTGGATCTACATATGACATTCCAGCTGTGGACTGTGTCCATGTACAAGATTCAAGACCTTACCAGAAGTCTCTGTCCATGTGTGAGGGTGACACTCAACTTTTGGCAGGATGAGCATACAAGAGTCACAATCTCACCTGTGTGCTGGGTGCAGTTATATGTCAAAATCCCACCTGTGGAAAAGAAACAAGCTAAGAGAGTCACATATTTTAAGTTCTAGGCTAAAGATATGTTACAATATGCCTTGTGGGCAAGGCTCAGGAAAGAGAGTTACATCACCTGAGTGATGTGACTGGTGATATGTCACAATGCCTTCTATGGGCATGGCTCAGGCAGGAGTTTTACATTATTTTTGTGTTGGCCCTATGATATGTCACAATCCCCCTCCATTTGCGTGACTTAGAGAAAATAGAAGAGTCACAGCACCTAAATTATGACCACAGAGGTATATCACAATACCTCCTGTGGGCAGAGCCTAAGATAGAGGGTCACATCACCTGCAATCTGGGCTCAGTACAATGTTTCAATCTCCCCTGAGGCCAGAGCCCAGGCAGAAGAGGAGAATTATATCACCTAAGTGCTTGGGCCTGTGGTATGTCACAGTTCTTTTTTTTTTTTTTTTTTTTTGCTGGGGGGTAGGCAGAATGCAGGCAAAGTATTTCACAATACCTACTGTGGGCAGGGCCCAGGCAGTACAGTCACATCACAGAGGTGCTGGGCTCAGTGACATCTCACAGTGACTTTGTGGACAGGGCCCAGGCTGAAAATAAGAGTCATAAGACCTAAGTGCTGAGCCCAGTGAAATTTCACAATAGCCTCTGTGGGTAGGGCTCAAGCAAGAGAGTCACATCACAATCTTTTCTGAGAGCTGGGCCCAGGCAGGGAAGTAAAATCACTCAGGTGCTAGGCAAAAGTATATGTCACAGTCATACTTGTGGGAAGATCTAGGGCTAAGATTCACAATTCCACACATGTCCCAGCTTCAGGTAAAAGCGTCAACACCTCCTGTGAGTTGCATCCAAGTACCTGAGTCACAGTATCAATGATGAACTGGATCCATGCATGAGAGTCCCAATTCCACCTGTAGACTGTGTGTTGTGTTGGCCCTATGATATGTCACAATCCACCTCCATTTGCATAACCTAGAGAAAATAGAAGAGTCGCAGAGCCTTCTGTGACTCGTATTAGAGTCAAAGCCTTCTAGTTGTGTTGAATCCTGGTCTTAGAGTCACCATCCACCTGTAGACAAAATCCACATAAAACAATTACAATCCCAACTTTCGACTGTGTCCAGGTGTGAGATTCAGAAGCTCAACAGTTTTCTGTATCCATGCAGGAGGGTGACAATTTTTACTAGGCGCTGGAAGTGCATATGAGAATTAAAATCTCAGCTTGTTCTGGGTCCTCTTATGACACTCTCTGTACCACCCAAGGGCTTTACATTGATTGGGTGAGAGTCACAATCCCCTGTGAGATATTACCACTGGTATAAATTCATGATCTTGCCTGTTGCCCTAAGTTTGGGTATGAGAGTCAACATCTCTCCTATTGTCTGGGTCCAGGTATGAAAGTAATTGCTGTGCCTCTTAGTTGGGTTTTATGAGTCACCCTCCCACCTGTGGCTGGATCCACACATGACATTAAAAATTCCAACTGTGGACTGCATCTGTAAGTGAACCTGCAGGTTCTGTCCATGTGTGTGGGTGACAATTCTTACTCTTTGCTGGGTGTGCATTTGAGAGTCACAATCTCAAATTTTGCTGAGTTATGTAATGACACTTTCTGTACAACCCGAGGGCATTATACAATATTAGTGAGCGTGGTAATCCTCTGTGACATTTATACAAGTAGAAAACCCAAAACCTTACCTGTTGCCCTAAGCCTAGGTACAAGCAGCAACATATCTTCTATTGGTGGGTTTATTGGGCAAGTGAATTGGGTTCAGAAATTTTCCACCATCCAACTGGTGTAATAGGTTCATATGTGAGACTCAGGCCCTCACCAGTAAGCTCGGCCTATGTGTGAGGGTGGCAATTCAAACTGTTGGCTAGGTGTGTATAGGAGAGTCTCAATGTCACCTGTGTACTCAGTCTTGTAATGACACTCTGTATTGCCCAAAAGCTTTATACTATATGTGTGAGTGTCATAATCTTCTACTACCTGCCTACAAGTAAAAGACTTAGACCCCAAAGCCTAGCTACCAGAGTCAACATCTCTCTTATTGGCTGGGCCCATGTTTGACAGTCATCACCATTCCTGTGAGCTGAATCCAGAAATGAGTCACCATCCCACTTCTGGCAAGGTATACATATGACAGTCACAATTCCAGCTGTTGACTGCATTCACTCATGAGACTCAGGACCTCAACAGCAGTCTTTGTCCATGTGTTATAGTGACAATAGTAACTATTGTCTGGGATTGCATACAAGAATAAAAATCTCATCTGTGTGCTTGACCACGTTATATTTCACAATTTTACCTGTGGGAAAGGCTAATAAATGAGAGTAACATCACCATAATTCTTCACCTGGAATATGTCTCAATCTCCCCTGTGGGCAAGGCCCAGGCTGGAGAATCAGATCACTTGCATGCAGGGCCCAGTGACATATTATATTTTCTCTAGGCACAGCCCAGGCAGGAGAGTCACAACATTTGGGTGTTGGGCTCAGAGATATGTCATAATCCCTTTTTGGGTCATGTCTCCTGCAACAGAGGAGAGGCACATTGTGTAGAAAATTGGTCCAGGGATTTGTCACAATGTCCCCTTTGGGTGGTGCACAGGCAGGTGAGGAGAGTCACATCACCCAGATAATGGAACTAGCAATATGTCACAATGCCCCCGATGGAAGGGCAAAGACAAGAAAGTCACATAACCTAGGTAAGAAAACCTGACATATGTCACAATTCATGCTATGAGTAGGGATCATGGAAAAGAGGAGAGTCACATAACCTAGGGGCTGCACCCAGATATATGTCATAATCACTGCAGTGGGCAGGGCCCAGGCATGCGAATCACATCACATAAATGCTGGGCTTAGTGATATGTCACAATCCCCACTGTGTACATGTCCCAGAATGAAGTAAAGAGTCACATCATCTACTTGTTGGGACCAAAGATATGTATCAATGACACCTGTGGGCAGGGACCAGGCAGAAGAGCCACAGCACCTGTGTGCTGGACCCTGTGATAAGTTACTATTTATCTGTTGGCATGGCCCAGTCAGAAGAGGCAAATCAAACCACCTGGGTGCTGGGCCCAGTGATATGTCACAGTGTCTTCCATAGGCAAAGCCCAGGTAACAGAGGAGACTCACATCAAACAGTTGATGGGCCCAGAGATATTTCACAATGCTCCCTGTGAGCAGGGTCCAGGCAGGAGGCTCACATCACCTTTGTGCTGGGCCACTATCTTTTGTGTGAGCAGAACATAGGAAAATGATAAGCATTGGCTGGGTGCGGTGTCTCATGCCTGTAATCCCAGCACTTTCGGAGGCTGAGGAGGGTGGATCACCTGAGATCAGGAGTTTGAGACCAGCCTGACCAACAAGGTGAAGCCCCATCTCTACTAAAAATACAAAATACTCCAAGTGTGGTGGCAGGCACCTGTAGTCCCAGCTATTCAGGAGGCTGAGACAGAAGAATTACTTGAACCCAGGAGCAGAGGTTGCAGTGACCGGAGATTGTGCTACTGCACTCCAGCCTGGGTGATGGAGCAAGACTCCATCTCAAAAAAAAAAAAAAAAAAAGAGAGAACCGTCACATCATCTGAGTGCTGAGCCCAGATATGTCTCAATCTCCCTGTGAGCAGAATCCATTCAGGAGAGTCAACATACATGGGTGATGGGCACAGAGATATTTCATAATGTCCGCTGTAGGAAGGGCACAGGCAGAAGTGTAGCATCACTTGAGTATTGGACAGTGCAATATGTCAAAACAGCCAATGTGGTCAGGGCACAGGCAGAAATCACATAACCTGGGTGCAGGGCCTGACAGTGCATCACAATGTTCTCTATGGGCAGAGCCAAGGCAGGAGAATAGGTCACATCAGCTAAGTGCTTGGCCAAGTGATACGTCATAATCCCTCCTGGGGGCTGGACCAAGGCTGGGAAGTCAGATTGCTCAGATTCTGGGCAGAAAGATATGTCAGAATCACACCAGCAGGAAGATCCTGAAATGAAATTAACAATCTCACACATGTCCCAGTTTCAGGTTTGGGAGTCAACACCTTTTGTAGGTTTGGTTTAAGTACCTGAGTCACAATTTCAACAATGGGCTGGATTTGTACACAAAAGACCCAATCCCTCCTGAAGACTGTGTCCCCTTAATGAAGCCACAGCCTCACAGCTGTGGGGAATCTTGGTCTGAGAGTAACCAACCAGCCTATGGATCAGATCCACATATAAGAGTTATTTCTTCAACTTCCCACTGCCTCTGAGTGGGAGATTCAGAGCCTCAACAGTGGGTTGTGTTCATGTGGAAGGATGACAATCTTTACTATTGGCTACCTGTGCATAAGAGTGTCACAATATTACCTGTGTGCTGGGCCCTATGAGGACAGTCTCTCTACTATTCAAGGGCTTTATATGCTATTCACAAGAGTCAGAATTTGCTCTGAGACCTCCATGCTGGTATGAACCCATGATTGTACTCATGGCCCTAAGCCCATGTATGAGAGTCAACATCTCTTTAATTGACTTGGTCCAGAGAGGAGATTACTCTGCTGCCTATGAGATGGTTTTAGAAATGAGTCACCATCTCAGTTGTGGTCAGATGTTTACATATGACAGTCACAATTCCAACTGTAAGCTGCATCCATGTATGAAGTTCAAGAACTCACCAGTACTCTGTGTCCTTGTGTGAATGCAATAATCCTAATAATTGGTGGGGTGTGCACACAAGGTAAACAGTCTCACCTGTGTGTTGGGCCTGTGATGACACTCTCTGTATCACCTGAGGGCTTTATACAGTATGTGAGGGAGTGAAAATAATCTATGACCTTCCTACAAAAAGGAGACTCAGGATCTTACCCATTTCTCTAAGCTTAGCTACAAGAGACAGTATCTCTCCTGGTGACTGGTATGAGAGTCACTATTGCACCTGTCAGCCAGGCCAAGATGTATGTAACAATCCCATTTGTCAGTAGAGAATGAGCAGGATGATCACATCACCCGAGAGCTGGGAAAGGGTTATGTCACAGTCATTTTTGAGGCCAGGGACCAGGGATAAAAGAAACATCACCTTAGTGCTAGGCCAAGGGCTATGTTCCACTGTTTTCTGTGGGCAAGGTGCAGGCAAAACAAACTCATCACCTTGTTGCTGGGCCCAGTGATATGTCACAATTTTCCCTGTGGGCAAAGTGGAGGCTAAAAACAAGGGTAATATCTCTTAGGTTATGATGCAGAGATACATCACAAGGCCTCCTGTGGGCAGGCCACAGGTAGAAATCGCCAATTTCCTAGGTGTTGGAGCCCATGATATGTCAAAATACACAATGTATGCAGGGCCCAGGCAGAAGAGAAGAGTCACATAACTTAGGTGCTGAGCCTAGCAATACATCCCAATTTCTTCTTGGACGGAGCCCACACACTTATTACCCAGGTGTTGGGTCTAGCTATATGTCAAAATATTCCCTGAAGGGAGAGATCAGGGAGGAGTGTAACCTCACCTAGGTGAGAAGATCAGAGATGTTGCCGATTCTGTGTAAGTCTCAGGAATAAGAGAAGAGTCAGGTATCCTAGAAACTCGGCTACATTATATGTTGCAATTACCCAAGTGGGCAGGAATCTCATGAGAAGAGGGTCACATCATGTAGCTGCTGAGCTAAACGATGCATCACAATTCCCACTGTGTATTGGTCCCAGAAAGAAGAGGAGAGTCTCATCATCTAGGTGATGGGCCTGGAAATCTGGCATATGCATCCTGTGGGCAAGCAACAGGCAGAAGTATCTCAGCATGTCTGTGGTGGGCTTGGTAGTAAGTTACTCTCCCTTCTATGGGCATGACCCAGGCAGAAGAAGTCACATCACCTAGGTGCTGGGCCCAGAGATATATCACAATCTCTTTTGTGGGAAAAGACAAGGTAAAAGAAGAGACTCACATCAAATAGTTGATGGGTCTAGAGATATGTTACAATCTTTCTGTGGGCAGAGTCTAGGCAGGAGACTCAGTCACTGTAGTCCTGGGCACAGCACTATGTAAAAATGCTTTATTTTGGAAGAGCCAAGGCAGAAGAATATCACCTGTCTGTTAGCCTAGCAATGTCACAACATCCCCTGCAAACCAAACCTTGAAAGAAGAGTAGAGTAACCTCAGCTAGGTGCTGGTCCCAATTATTTGTCAAAATCCTTCTTTTGAGCAGAAATTGGTAGAAGAGGATTATCAAAACACAAAGTTGATTGGTGCATAGATATGTCACAGAAAACCTAGTAGGCAGGGCCAGGCCAGAGAGTTACATCACCTGGGTATCAGACTCAGCTACATGTCAAAATGGCCCATATGGGCAGGGCACAGGCAGGAGAGTCACATAACCTGAATGTGGTGCCAAGTGATATGTGACAGTGCTGCCTGTGGGCAGCATGAAGGCAGAAGAGACTCACATCACCTGGGTGCAAGGCCAAGCAATATGTCACAATGCTCCCTTTTGGCAATGCTAAGGCAGGAGCATGCAGCTACATCACCTAATTGCTGCTTTCAATGAAATTTTATAATTTCAGCTCTGGGCTGGGCCCAGGGAGTAGAGTTAAATCAGTCACATGACAGGCAGAATCTATGTCACAATCACACCTGCAGGAATGTCCAGGTATGAGATTAACAATCCCATATGTATCTAGGTTCGAGGTGTAAGATTCAATAGCTCATGTATGTTGGGCCTACGTAAAGAGTCACAATCTAGATGGTAGACTAATCTGTCCATGAGACCCTTAATTCCTCGTGTGGACTGTATCTCCTTAATGAAGTCACAGCCTCAGAGTTGTGTTGAATCTGAGAGTCACAAACCCACCTGTGAATGAGATCCAGGTATGATAGTCAATTTTCTAACTTTTGACTGCCTCCAAGTCTGAGATTCAGAAGCTCAATCATTGGCTGTTTTCATGAGACAGAATGACAATCTTTACTGTTGACTGGGTGTGCATATGAGTGGCACAGTCTCACCTGTGTGCTGGGCTCTGTTGGAACTCTTTCTGCACCACCTGAGGACTTTGTAGAGTGTGCATAAAAGTCACAGTCTGCTCTGAGACCTTTCTGCTAGTATAGACCCATGATTATATCTTTGACCCTAAGTTCAGGTATAAGCATAGTTGTCAGGGTCCAGATTAGAGAGTCCTCACTCTCTAGTCGGCAGGGTCTAGATTGGAGAATCTTCACCTGCCTATGCACTGCATTTATTAATGACAATTTATTAATTGTGGCCAAATGTTAATATATGACAGTAACAAATCGAACTTTGAACTGGGTCCACCTGTGAGATTCAGGAGCTTACCAGTTGGCTTTTGCCATGTGTGAGGGTGACAATCCTAACAGTTGGCAGTTTCTGCACTTTAGAAACAATCTCACCTGTCTGCTAAGCTCTGTGAAGACACTCTTTGTGCCACTCAAAAGGTTTATGAAACACACCAAAGATTGGTAATTCTTTTTTTTTTTTTTTTTTTTTTTGAGAGGAAGTCTCATCTCACTCTGTCACCCAGGCTGGAGTGCAATGACATGGTCTTGGCTCACTGCAACCTCTGCCTCCAGGTTTAAGTGATTCTCCTGCCTCAGCCTCTTGAGTAGCTAGGACTACAGGTGCATGCTACCACACATGGCTAATTTTTATATTTTCAGTAGAGACAGAGTTTCACTATGTTGGCCAGGCTGGTCTCCAACTCCTGACCTCGTGATCCACCCACCTTGGCCTCCCAAAGTGCTGGGATTACAGGCATGAGCCACACTGCCCAGTCAGATTGGTAATTCTTTATGACATTCATACAAAGAGGAGGCCCAAGATGTTACTTTTTTCCCTAAGCTACAATACAAGAGACACTATCTCCCCTATTAGCTGATTCCAGGTATGGGAATCATCATAGCACCTATGAGTTGGACCAGGATATTTGTCACAATCCCAAGTATAAGTAGAAAATGAGCAGAAGAGTCGCATCACCTGGGTGCTGTATGAGGGATGTCACAACATTTCCTGGGAGCAGGGCAAGGCAGAAAGGTCACATAACCTGGGGGCTGAGCCCAGTGATATTTCACAATGCTCCCTGTGGGAAAAGACCTGCCAGAAAAGACACATCACCTGGTTACTGGGCCCAGCGATATGTCACAATCTTCTCTATGTGCAGGATGCAGGCAGAAAAAGTGTCACATCACTTTGGTGATAGAGGCAGACATATGTCACAAGGCCACCTATGGACAGGGCTTATTCAGTAGCCTCTGACCCAATCCTGTAGGTGTTGGGTCCAGTGACATGTCACAATACCAAAAATATTCATGGCTCAGCAAAAGAAAAGATTTACATCACCTAGGTGCTGGATCCAGTGATATGTCACAATCCTCTTCTTTGGCATGGCACAGGAAGAAGTAGAGAGTCACACCACCTAGGTGTTGGACCAAGCCATATGTCACAATACACAATAAATGCAGGGCCTATGCAAAAGAGGAGAGTCAGATCTCTTAGGTGCTGGAAACAGTGGTACATCACAATTTCTCCTCTGTCAGAGCCACATCACCTAGGTGCTTGGTCCAGTAATATGTCAAAATTCCCTTGAGAGGTGAGCCCAGGCAAGAGAGTCACATCATTTCGGTGAGAACCCCACAGATGTGTCACTATTTTCCCTGTGAATAGCGCTGAGGAAGAAAAGGATAGTCACATCATTTAAATGATGGGCCCAGAGATAGATTACAATGGCTCCTGGGTACAAAAACCAGGCAGAATAATTACATCACCTGTGTGCTGGGCCCAGTGATAAGTCACTTTCCCTTGTGTGGGCATGGCTTCAGCAGGAGAGAAGAGTCACATCACCAAGGTTCTGGTTCCAGAGATATGTCACAATCTCTCCTATTGACAAAACATGGGTAGGAGAGGAGAGTCAAATGAAGCAGCTGATGGAACCAGAGATATGTCACAATGTCCCCCCGCCCCTCATAGGGAGAGTACAAGCAGGTACCTCCCAATTCTTTAGGTATTGTGGTCAGGGACATGTCACAATACTTAAAAAATGCAGAACCCAGGCAATAAAACAGAGTCACATCACCTAGGTGCTAGGTTCAGTGATACGACACAATTCCTAATTCAAGAGGGCTCAGGGAAATAAAAAGAGTCACATAACCAAGGTGATAAAGGTAAAGATATGTCATAATACTCCTGTGGGCAGAGTCCATTCAGGAGAGTCACATTACCTTGATGTTGGACCCAGCCATATATCACAATGCACAGCATATCCAGGGCTCAAGCAGGGAAGAAAAATCACATCGTCTAGTTGCTGGGTTTGATGATATGTCACAATCACTTGTTTTTGCAGAACCCAGACAGAAAAGAAGAGTCACATCTCCTAGTTCATGGATGCAGAGATAAGCCAAAAGGCTCCTTGTGGGCAGGACCCAGGCACAAGGCTCTCATGCCCTAGGTGTTTGTCTCAGCCATACGTCACATTACCAAATATATGCAGGGCCCAGGCAAACAAGGTGAGTCATAACACCTTGGTACTAAGTTTAATGATATGTTACAATCCCCACTTTTGGCAGGGCCAGGACGCACACACACACACACACACAAACAAAGGCACATCACATAGGTGATTAAAAAAAAAAGATATGTCATAATATCCCTGTAAGCAGGGCTCATGCATAAGAGTCTCATCACCTAGGTTTTAGACCCAGAGATTTGTCACAATACACAATTTATGCAAGACTCAGACACAAGAGGAAAGTCACGTAACCTAGGTGCTGGGTCCAGTGATACATTAGAATCTCTCCTTGGGTAGAGTCCAAGCAGTAGAAAAGAGTTACATTACCTGGGTACTTGCTCCAGGAATATGTCACAATACCTCCTGAGGAAAGAGTCCAGAAAGGGGAGTCACATCACCTAATTGAGGGGCCCAAAGATATATTTCCCAGTGCTCCTTGCAGGTAGAGCTGGGGATAATCAAAAGAGCCACATAACCCAGGGGCTGAGCCCAGCTATATGTCACAACTACCCTAGGTGCAAGTCTCTGGTATGAGAGAAGAGTCACATTACATAGGTACTGGGCCAAGTAATATGTCACAATCTCCACTGTAGGAAGGTCTCAGGAAAAGAGAAGAGTCACATTATCTGGGTGATGAGCACAGGAACGTATCACAATTACCCTAGACAGAAGCGTTACATCACCTGTGTGTGAGGTCCAGTGATAAGCCACTCTTCCTTTTGTGCACACGGTCCAAACAAAAGATGAAAGTCACATCACCTAGGTGCTGGGCTTCCAGAATTGTCTCAATCCCTCCTATGGTCAAAGCCAATTTAAGAAACAAGAATTACATTAGCTGCTCTGCCTATGGAGCAGCCATTTTTTTTGTTTCTTTGTTTCTTTACTTCTCTAATAAACTTGCTTTCATTTTACTGCATGGGCTCACCCTGACTTCTTGGGGTCTGGATTAAAAGCCCTTTTCAGTAACAGCTTTCTGGCAAACTATAAAGGGACTATACTGAGGAGAAAACTGAACCAAAGGAAGTAAACTGCAGCACCAATTAGCCAACTTGGGGTAACTAGTGGAGTACATTTTACCAGGGTAAAAAATGGGATTGGGTTAGAGGCCCAACATAGAAGAGTTACAGTCTCTCCTAAGAAATACTGGGTTAAAGACCTCTCTTAATAAAAAGCTTGAGGCCCAAGTTAGGAAGGTTCAAGTCCTTTCTAAGATTTAGGGGGTTGGCCGGGCACGGTGGCTCACGTCTATAATCCCAGCACTTTGGGAGACTGAGGCAGGTGGATAACCTGAGGTCAGAAGTTCCAGACCAGCCTGGTCAATATATAGTGCAATCCTGTCTCTACTAAAAATAATTTAAAAAAAGCCTGGCGTGGAAGAGACACCTGTAATCCCAGCTACTCCCAAGGCTGAGGCAGGAGAATTGCTTGAACCCAGGAGACGGAGGTTACAGTGAGCCAAGATTGTGCCATTGCACTCCAGCCTGGGCGACAGAGCAAGATGAGGCTCTGTCTCTAAATAAATAAATAAATAAGTAAATAAATAAAGTACAGCTGTCCTAGGACTTTTTGTCACCCACAGACAATTGTTGTCTTGATTCGATCCTCTTCAAGAGGTGATTTATGGTCCGCTATGGAACTTTGCCAGGTATTTTTAAATGCAGGTTTCTGATAACTTTGGAGACTGCAACATTAGAACAGAGGAAAAATTTTCAGGACTCTCA
Organism: Homo sapiens; assembly: GCF_000001405.40. NCBI lineage: Eukaryota > Metazoa > Chordata > Mammalia > Primates > Hominidae > Homo > Homo sapiens. The sequence continues at coordinate 22,037,559 of NC_000019.10, forward strand.
TGGAGAGCTGAAATGTTAATGAATATCAAGCAGAAAAGGAGTTTATGGCATAAACTGAAATAATAGAAGACAAAAATAATAGTTTTTGGCTTTTTTCTTAAAATGCTGCAAATCCTTTTTTTTTGTTTTTCAGAGTCAAAATATTTATAGCTATTTACAGTTTTTAACAACTGGGGAAGGTATACTTCTGTAAAAAAAATTTGGAGCATACTTGTTTTTCGCTACCTGATTTCTCCAGAATGTAGAAACCTATTGGTATTTTTAATTTATGGAAATATAGCTATTTGCATATGTGCCATAAGCATGTTTTCTTTTGCAACAGGGCACAATTGGAGACACTGGTAATTTCACCAGACTTTGGCTGGAATGGGGTGCTTTCCTTGAAGAAATCATACTGAATTTGTAGAGTCAATATAAGCCTTATGGGAAACCTGGCCTCCTGCTATGTCTACACAGTCCCTGTGCAGGGTTCCTGACCCATGGTAAGTAAGGAATGTCATTTCTTTTTTTTTTTTTTAGACAGAGTTTCCTTCTATCACCCAGCCTGGGGTACAATGGTGTGATTTCAACTCACTGCAACCTCTGCTTCCCAGGTTCAAGTGATCCTCCTGCCTCAGCTGCCTGAGTAACTGAGACTACAGGTGCATGCTACCACAACCAGCTAATATTAGTATTTCATGTAAAGATGGGTTTTCACCACGTTGAGCAGGCTGGTCTCGAACTCCTGACCTCAGGTGATCAACTCACCTTGGCCTCCCACAGTGCTGGGATTACAAGTGTGAGCCACCATGCCTGGCCAGGAATGTCTCTTTCTGACAGAATCAGGAGCCTGAAGTTATCTTGGGACCCCAAGAAGAGAGAAACTCACCCAACTCATAGGTATTTGATGGTACAAACCCATGGCTGGGCTTGGCTTTTAAAAAGTCTTTTCTGATATTCCTTTAATGGAACATAGTTACATCAAAGCCAATTTTTAAAACATATGTGAAAAATAATTATTTATGCTGCACTTTATACAAATAATCAGGCCAAGTATAAGACTAAAGCTTTTTATGCAAGTAAATCAGTTTTACCATGATTTGTCTTTAGTAGAAATGGAAGACAGGAGAGAGAAAAAAATTATGTTTCAAGAACTATAGTACACCCGTTATTAGACACTAGTCTCATTTGTTGTTTTTGAGTATTTTCCCTGCTATTTAGACTAATTCTGCTTATTCCTGTGAACACACCAGTGATCTCTGACTGCAGCTCTAAAGAAACAAGAGAGATGGGTAATATAAAAATCCAGATCAGGGGCCAGGCACGGTGGCTCATGCCTGTAATCCCAGCACTTTCGGAGGCCGAGGTGGGTGGATCACGAGGTCAGGAGTTCGAGACCAGCCTGGCCAACATGGTGAAACTCTGTCTCTACTAAAAATACAAAAATAAGCTGGGAGTGGTGGCACATGCCTGTAATCCCAGCTACTCAGGAGGCTAAGGCAGGAGAATTGCTTGAACCCGGCAGGCGGAGTTGCAGTGAGTCGAGATTGTGCTACTGCACTCCAGCCTTGCCAACAGAGTGAGACTCCATCTCAATAAATAAATAAATAAATCCGGATCACTATTCTAACTGTGAACACATATTGGAATCAGGTAGTAAACCCATATCAGCTTTGTTCCAACATCTGCCCTTATTTAGTTTACTTGGGACAATTTTACTTATTTTGCTTGACTGTTGTGGATTGTATTGTTGTTGTGCTCTTTGTGTAGAAATGCAGGATAAGCTTGCTGAATGTTTTTCTTAAATAGAACACTTAATTTTGCAGATACCATCTTTTGTTAAGAACTCCAGAGTTATAAATGGCCCTTGTCATACTAATGCTTTCTCATCTGGCCAGGCATGGTGGTTCACGCCTGTAATCCTAGTACTTTGGGAGGCCAAGAGAGGTGGATCTCCTGAGGTCAGGAGTTCAAGACCAGCTTGGCCAACATGGTGAAACCCCGTCTCTACAAAATTAGCCAGGCATGGTGGCAGGTACCTGTAATCCCAGCTTCTCAAGAGGCTGAGGTGAGAGAATCGCTTGAACCCAGGAGGCTGAAGCTGCAGTGAGCCGAGATCGCACCACTGCATTCCAGCCTAGGCAACAGAGTGAAACTGTCTCAAAAAAAAAAAAAAATGAAAAAGAAAAAGAAGAGTCAAATCACCTAGGTGCTGGGCCCAGAGATACTTCATAGCCCCTCACTAGGCACAGCCGAAGCAGTAGAAAAATTCACATAACCTAGGTGCTGGGTACAGCAGTATGTCCCAATACCCCTTGAAAGAAGGGTGAGCCAGAGAGTAACATCACCGTTGAGGGACCAAAAGGTATGTTACAATGCCTTCTGTAGGCAGAGGACAGGGTGGAGGATTACATCACCTTCATGTTGGACTCAGCAATATGTCACAATGGCCCATGTGGGCAGAACACAGGCAGGAGAGTCACATAACCTAAGTGCGAGGAGCCACAATATGTCAAAGTTGTCTCTATGGGCAGAACCAAGACATTGACTAAGTGCTGGGTGCAGCAAGATGTCACTACCCAGTCTGTGGGCTGAGCCTAGGCAGGAGCGTAAAAGTTCTCAAGTGCTAGGCTGAGGTATATGTCACAATCACAGCTGCAGGAAGATCCAGAGATGAGATTAACCATCCTGCACACATCTTGGTTCTAGGTATGAGAGGCACCACCTCCTGTATGTTGGGTCTAAGTGTATAACCCACAATCTCAACAGTTTAGAGAATCCATCCATAAGAGCCTCAATACCTCCTACAGACTGTGTCCCTTTACTGGAGTCAAAGCCTCACAGATATGCTGGATCTTGGTCTTAGTGTCACCAACCCACCTGTGAACCGAATCCATGTATGAATCAATTTTCCATCTTCAACTTTCTTTGCATGTGAGATTCAGAACCTCAAGAGTGAGCTGTGTTCATGTGGAAGAATGACAATATTTACTGCCAGCTGGGTATACATATATGAGTGTCATAATCTCACCTCTATACCATGCTCTGTTATGACACCCTTTGTATCACAAAGGTCTCAGAGCACATTAAAGTCACACACACACACATTAAAGTCACAGTATGCTCTGAGACCTTTGTGCATCTACAGACTCATGATCCTACCTGTGGCCCCAAACCCAGGAATAAGAGTCAACATCTCTCCATTGAATACATCCAGGTAGAAAGGATCTAACTTGCCAGAATTAGAAATGAGTCACCATCCCAACTGTAGCTGGATGTTCACATATGACAGTCACAATCCAAACTGTGGGCTGTGTCAATGTGTGAAATTCAGGACCTCTCCAATGGGCTCTGTCCATCTGTGAGGGCGACAGTCTTAACAGTTGGTGGTATGTGCATATAAGAAACACAGTCTCACCTGTTTAGTGTGCCCTGTAATGACACTTTCTGTACCATTCAAGGGCTTTATATAATATGTAAAAGAATAGTAGTGCTTTATGACCTTAATACATAGAGAAGACTCATAATCTCTCTCATTTTCCTAAGTCTAGTTATGGGAGACAGTATCTCTTCTATTGGCTGGTTTGAGGTATAAGAGCAATTAATGAACCTGTGAGCTGGATAAAATATATATCACAATCTTACCTGTCGGTAGGAAGTGAGCAGCAGATTCACATCATGTAGGTTTTCGGCAAAGATATGTCACAATCTTTCCTGAGGTCAGAAACCACGCAGAAGTCATCTCACCTAGGTGCTCAGCCACAGATATATTACAATCCCCTCTTAAAGCAGAGTACAGGCAGCAGAGTCATTTCACCTGGGTGCTGAGCCCAGTGATATGTCAAAATGCTCTCTGTGGGCACAGCCTTGGCAGGAGAGACACATCATCTGGTGACTGGGTCCAGCAATACATTACAACATTTTCTGTGGGCAGGATGCAGGCAAAAGAAGAGAGTCACATCTCTTAGGTGATGGAGGAAGAGACATCTTACAAGGCCCCTCATGGGCAGGGCCCAGGCTGGAGCCTCCCATCCTAAAGGAATGATGCCCAGCTATATATAACAATACCCAAGATATGCAGTGCCCAGGGAAAACAGAAGAGTAGCATCACTTAAGTGCTGGGTTTAGTGATGTGTCAAAATCCCCCATTTTGTCAGGGCCCAAGCAGAAGAGAAGAGTCATATCACCTAGGTGATGAATGAACAGATATGTTTTAATACCTCTGTAGGCAGGGCCCAAACAGATTTGCATCACAAAAGTGTTTGGTCCAGGCAGGAGAGGAAAGTCACGTCACCTAGGTGTTAAGCCCAGTGACATGTCACAATCTCTTCTTGGGCAGAGACCACGAAGCAGAGGAAAGTCACTTCCCCTGGGTTCTAGAGCCAGCAAAATGTCACAATGCCCTCTGTGAAAAGTGCTAAGGCAAAAGTATAGTCTCACACCACCTAGATGCTGGGTTCAGTGATATGACACAATTTCACCTGTAGGACCTAGGCAGAAGGGTCAAATCACTCAGTTGCTGGGAAGAGCTGTATGATACAATCACACATGCAAGATGGTCTAAGAATGAGATTAATGATCCCATACATGATCTGGTTCAAGGTACGAGAGTCAATACCTACTGTATGTTGTGTCTAATTACACGAGTCACCATCTCAAAGGTGAACTGGATCTGTGTATTAAATCCTCAATCCCTCCCATGAACTGTGTTCCCTCAGTGGAGTCAGAGGCTCACAGGTGTGCTGAATCTTGGTCTGAGAGTCACCAACCCACCCGTTGACGAGATCCATGTATGTGATTCAATTTTTCAACTTTCAGCTGCCTTTGGATGTGAGGTTCAGAGCCTCAAAAGTGGGCTGGGTTCATGTGGGAAAATGACAATCTTTACTATTGTCAGGGTGCGCACAGGAGTGTCATAATCTCACCTGTGTGCTTGGTCCTTTTAGGACACTCTCTGTACTATCCTAGGGCTTTATATGGTTTGCATGAGAGCCACAATCCAGCTTGAGATTTTCATGCTGGTATAAACCTATGATTGTATCTGTGTCCCTAGGCCCAGTTATGAGAGTCAACATCTCTCCAATTTTCTGGGTTCAGATAGGACAGCCCTCACTTTCTTATGAGCTGCATTTAAAAATGTTTTCCTATCCCAAATCTGGATGGATGGTCACATATGACAGTCACAATTCCAACTGTGGACTGCATCCATGTGTGGGATTCACAATTGCGGTCTGTCCATCTGTGAGGGTCACAATTTTAACAGGTGCTTGGTTGTCCATACATGCAAGTCAATCTCATCTGTGTGCTGGGCTCTGTGATGACACACTGTGTACAATCCAAAGGCTTTATACCATAGGTGAGAGTGTGGTAATCCCCTCTGACCTTCATAAAAATAGGAAACCCAGAATCTTATCCATTTTCCTAAGCCTAGCTATGAGAGACAGCATATCAACTGTTGTCTGGTTTAAGATATGAGAGTCGTCATCTCACCTGCGACATGGGACATGTAACCTGTGAGTAGGTAGTGAGCAGGAGAGTCACATCAACTGGGTGCTTGGCCAGAGATTTGTACAATATTCCCTGATGGAAGGGACCAGGCAGGAGAGGAACATCACCTGGGTGCTGAGCCCAGTGGCATGTCACAATGCTCCCTGTGGGCAAGGTTCAGGCAAAAGAAACACATCATCTGGTCAGTAGGCCCAGCAATATGTTACAATCTTCTCTATAAGCAGGGTGCAGGTAGAAGAGGACAGTCACATCTCACAGGTAATAGATGCAGAGATATGTCACAAGGCCTTCTGTGAGCAGGGCCCATGCTTATGCCTCCCATCCCCTATGTGTTGAGTCCAGTGATATGATACAATACCCAAATATGCAGGGCCCAGGCAAAATAGGAATGTCACCTCAACTAGGTTCTGGGTCCAGTGAATTGCTACAATCTCCTTTTTTCTTTGGCAGTGCCCAGGCAGAAGAGAAGAGGCAAATAACCTAGGGGATGAATGAAAAAATATTTTATAGTACCCCTGTGGACAGAGCCCATACAGAAGAGTCATATTAACGAGCTGATGGACCCAGATATATGTCACAATACATGACGTAGGATTGGCCCAAACATGAGAGTCACATCATCTACATGCTGGGACTAGTGATACATCACAATCTCTCTTTGAACAGAGAGTAAGCAGTGGAGGAGAGTCACATCACCTATGCGCTGCGTTTAGCAATGTGTCACAATACCCTCTGAGGGGAGAGCCCAGGCAGTATTGTTACATCACCTGGGTGCTAGGTCAGGGATATGTCACAATCTTCCCTGAATGTGGGGACCAGACAGGTGAGTCACATCACCTGGGTGCTCAGCCAGTGATATGTTACAATGTCCTTCTAAAAGCAGGGCACAGTCGGTATAATCACATTACCTAGTTTCTGGAAGCAGCAATATGTCACAGTGCTCCCCGGTTTGCTAGGCCCAGGCTGGAGAGACACATGACCTGGTTGTTGCACCCAGTGTTATGTCACAATCTTACCTGAAGGCAGGGTGCAGGCAGAGGAGAGACACATCCCCTAGGTGATAGATGCAAAGAAATATCAAAAAGCCCTCTGTAGTCAGGGCCAAGGCAAAAGTCTCTCATCTCCTAGGTTTTGGACCCAGCAATATGTCACAATAACAAAATTATGCAAGGCCCAGGTAAAAGAGGAGAGTCACACCATTAAGTGCTCTGTCCAGTGATAAGTCACTATCCTTCTTTTTGTCAGGACCCGGGCAGAAGAGGGGAGTCACATCACCTAGATAACTAACAACATGATATGTGATAATGCCCCTGTGGGCAGGGCCCATGCAGGAAACTCACATGACCTAGACATTGTACCCAGCCATGTCACAATAGCAACGTATGTACAGCCCAGGGAGGAGAGGAGCATCACATAACCTAGGCCCAGTGATACATCACAATTTCTTATTGGGCAGAGCCCAAGCAGTAGAGAAGAGTCATATCACCTAGTTTCTGGGTGTGACAACATAAAACACTACCCCCTGAGACGAGGATCAGGCAAGAGAGTCACATCACCTAGGTGATGGGCTCAGATATGTTATAACGTCCCCAGGTGAGCAGGGCTAAGGAAGAAGAGGAAAGTCACATAAACTAGGGTCAGGGCCAAGCTATATGTCACAGTCACTCCAGTGGGGATCACCCAGGCATGAGAAGAGAATCACATCACATAGGAGCTGGGCCCAGCAATATGTAGCAATCTCCACTGTGAACAAGTCTGAAAATAAGAAGGTTCACATCAACTAGGTGATGAACTCAGAAATATGTGAAAATGATTTCTGTCGGCAAAGACCAGGCAGAAAAATTACATCATGTGTGCTGGGCTTAGTGATAAGTCATTATCCCTTCTGTGGGCATGGTCCAAGCAGAAGAAAAAAGCCACATTACCTAGGTGCTGGGCCCAGAGTTTGGCACAATATCTTCTATGGAGAAAGCTGGCCGGGTGCAGTGGCTCACACACCAGTAATCCCAGCACTTTGGGAGGTCGAGGCAGGTGGATCATGAGGTCAGGAGTTTGAGACCAGCCTGGCCAACATGGTGAAACTCCGTCTCTACTAAAAATACAAAAATTAGCCAGGCATAGTGGCGGGCGCCTGTAATCCCAGCTACTCAGGAGGCTGAGGCAGGAGAATCATTTGAAACTGGAAGGCGGAGCTTGCAGTGAACCGAGGTAGCACCACTGCACTCCAGCCTGGGTGAAAGAGCAAGACTTTCAAAAGAAAAAAAAAAAAGAAAAAAAGAAAAAAGAAAGCCTAGGCAAGAAAGAAGTCATCAAATAGTTCATAGGCCCAGAGGTACATCGCAATGCCCCTTGTTAATGGGGTCCAGGTAGAAGACTCACATCAACCTGCTAGTGGGATCAGCAATATGTCACAACGCTTTTTGAGTGCAGGGCCAAGGCAAAAGAGGAACATCACCTTGAAGTTGGGCCCAGTGATATGTCACAATGTTCCCCGTGAACAAAACCTAGAAAGAAGAGTCACATCATCTAGGTGCTGGGGCTAGCAATCTCTTTCAATACTCCCTGTAAGCAGGAACCCAGCAGGAAAAGAGAGTCACATCACCTGTGTGATGGGCACAGAGATATGTCACAATACTTTCTGTAGGCAGGACCTAGGCAAGAGAGTTATATGACATGGACATTAGACCCAACAATATGTCATAATGGCCCATGTGGGCAAGGCACAGGCAGGAGAGTCACATAACCTGGTTATGGTTCCCCTATGTTAGCTGCAGTAATATGTCACAGTGCTCCCTGTGGGGAGCACCAAGGCAGGAGAATAAATTTACATCACCTAGATCCTGGGTTCAGCGATGTGTTACAATCCAATCTGTGGGCTGAGCCCAGGCAGGAGAGTGAAAAAACTCAGGTGCTGGACAGAGGCGTATGTCACAATCACAGCTGCAAGAAGGTCCATAAATGAGATTAACCATCCTGGAACCATGTTATGGTTCCAGGTATGAGAATTAACACCTCCTTTATGTTGCATTTATGTTCAGGACTCACAATCTCAACTGTGGACTTGATCTGTGTATGAGACCTTCCATCCATCCTCTAGACTGTGTCTCCTTAGTGGACTCACGGTTTCTCAAGTCTCAGGGGTGCTGAATCTTGGTCTGAGAGTTACCAGCTTACTTGTACACTGGATTCAAGGATGAAAGTCAATTTTTCAACTTTTGAAACTTTCATTGGTTTTGAGATTCAGAATCTCAACAGTGGGCTGTGCTCCTGTGGAAGGATGACAGTTATTACTGTCAGCTGGGTCTGCATGTGAGTGTCACAATCTCACCTGTGTGCTGAGATCTGTTAGGACATAATCTGTCCTATTTGAGGGCTTTATACTTTATGCATAAGAATTGCTGGCCAGGCACAGTGGCTCAAGCCTGTAGTCTCAGTACTTTGGGAGGGTGAGGCAGGTGAATCACCTCAGTTTGTGAGTTCAAGACCAGCCTGACCAACATGGAGAAACCCCATCTCTACTAAAAATACAAAATTAGCTGGGTGTGGTGGCACATGCCTGTAATCCCAGTTACTTAGGATGAGGCAGGAGAATCACTTGAACCCAGGATGCAGATGTTGTGGTGAACTGAGATTGCACCATTGCACTCCAGCCTGGGAAAAAACAGCGAAACTCCATCTCAAAAAAAAAAAAAAAAAGTTACAATCTGGTCTGAGAACTTTATGCTGGTATGGACCCATGATCATACCTGTGGCTCTAAGCTCAGCTATGAGAGCCAACATGTCTCTAGTTGGCTGAGTCTAGATAAGAGATTTCTTACCGCCTATGAGCTGCAGGAAGCTCATAGCCATTGAGCCATATGTGAATATCTAGCCATTTCAACTCTGGCTGGATATTCACATATGACAGTCACAATTTCAAATGTGGACTGAATCCACTTATGAGATTAAGAATCTCAGCAGTGAGCATTGTCTATGTTGGGGCGGGGGTTCCAATCCTAAGTGTTGCTGTGTTGTGCATATGAGAAACACAACCTCAACTGTGTGCCAGGCTCTGTGATGACACTCTCTGTACCATCCAAGAACTTTACACAATATGCAAGTGAATGCCAATTCTGCAAGGTATTTATAAAAAGAAGACCCAGAAACTCGTCTGTTTGCCAAAGCCCTGCAAAGAGACACAGACTCTCTGCTACTGGCTGGTTAAATGTATTGCACCTCTGAGCTAAACCAAGGTAAATGTGACAATACCATCAGGGATATGTCACAATCTTGCATGAGGCCAGAGATCAGGCAGTGGAGTTGCATCTCCTGGGTGTTGGACCCAGCAACATATCACAGTGCTTTCTGTGGGTTGAGCCCAGGCAGGAGAGACACATCACCTAGTTGCTAGGCCCAGTACTATGTCACAATCTTCTCTATGGGAAGGGTGCAGGAAGGGGAACCACATAGTCTAGGTGATGGACGAAGAGATATTTCACAAGGACTCATGTGAGCAGGGCCCAGGCAGTACTCTCCCATTCCTTAGCTGTTGAGCCCAGCAGTATCTCACAATATTCAAAATATGTGGGGCCCAGGTAAAAGAAAAATATCACATTACCTAGCTATTGGCCCAGCAATACACCACAAATTTCTCCCTGGGCAGAACCTAAGCAGTAGAGGAGTGTCACATCCCCTAGTTTCTGGGTCCAGCAATATGTCACAGAGCATGGCCCAGGCAAAAAAGTAACATTACTTAGGTGAAGAGATGTCACAATGTCTTCTGTGGGTAGGGCTAAGAGAGAAGAAAAGTGTCACATAACCTAGGTGGTGGTGCCAGCGATATGTCACAATCACCCCAAAAGTTCTGGACCAAGTGATATGTCACAATCTTCTCTGTGTACAGTTTACAGGAAGAAAAAGGGAGTCACATAATCTAGGTGATGGGCTTAGAAACATGTCAATATGACCCCTGTGGGCAGGGACCACACAGAATAATCACCTCACCTGTGTGCTAGATACACCGATAAGGTATCTTGGTTCTGTGGGCTTGATCGTGTGCTAAGAAGAGGGTCACATCACCTAGGTTTTGGTCCCAGAGATATGTCACAATTTTGTCTATGGTCAAAGCCGAGGTAAGAGAGGAGAGTCACATGAAATAGTTGATGAAGTCAGAAATATGTATCAATGCCCTCTGAGAACAGGGCCCAGGCAGGAGACTCACATCACCTTGCTGCTGGGCCCAGCAATATGTCACAATGTCTTCTGAAAGTACGACGAAGCCAACAGGTTAATGTCATCTCGGTGTTGGGCAAGGTAAAATGTCAACATCTCCCTTGCAGGCAGAACTTAGAAAGATGAGAAAAGTCACATCAGCTAGGTGATGGACCCAGCAACAGGTAGCAATCTTCCCCTTTGAGCAGAGAGCACACAGGAAAACAGAGTCACATCACCTGGGTGATGGGTGCAGAGATGCATCACCATGTCCGAGGTAGGCATGGCTGAGGCTGAAGAGTTACATCACATCGGTGTTAAACTCAGCAGTATGTCACAGTAGCCCATGTGGGCAGAGAACAAGTAGGAGAATGACATAAGCTGGGTTTGTGGCCCAGGAATATGTCATGGTGTCCCCTGTGGGCAGTACCAGAAAAGGAGAGACTTACATCACTTGGATGTAAGGCCCAGTGATATGTCACAATGCCCCCTGTAGGCAGCATCAAGGCAGGAGTATGGAGTCACATCACCTATGTGCTGGGTTCAGCAATGTGTCACAATTGCAACTATGGACTGGGCCCAGGCAGGAGAGTCAAATTACTTAAGTACTGAGCAGAGGCATATGTCACAATCACACCTGCAGGGTGGTTTAGAAATTAGATTAACAATTTCACTTATGTCCCAGGTCTAAATTTGAGTCAACACCTCCTGTATGTTGGGTCTAAGTACAAGAGTCACAATCTCAATGGTGCACTTGATTTGTTTGTGAGAGTCTCAATTTCTCCTGCAGACTGAAGGCTTACTGGAGCCACAGACTTACAGGTGTGTTGAATAGATGTCTGAGCGTCACCAACTCACCTTTGAACCAAATCCACATGTGAGTCAATTTTCCAACTTTTGACTGTTTTCACAAGGAAAATTTGGGACCTCAAGAGTGGGCTGTGATCATGTGGAAAGGTGACAATTTTTGCTGTTGGCTGGGTGTAAATGTGAGCCTCACAATCTTACCTGTGTACTAGGCTCTGCTAAGACTCTCTCAGTACCATCTGAGAGCTTTCTACAGTATTAACGAGTGTTGCAAACCACTCTGTGACCTTCATGATGGTAAGGACTCGTGATTGTACCTGTGGTTCTAAGCCCAGGTATGAGAGTCAACATCTCTATAATTGGCTGGTTCCAGATAAAAGAGTTCTCACCTGCTGTGGAGCTAGGTTAAAAATGAGTCACCATCTCAAGTGCAGCCAGATGTTCAACGATGACAGTTACAATTTCAACTGTAGACTGCATCCTCATGTGAGATTCAAGACCTTACCAGTAGGCTCTGTGCATGTGTCAGGTGACAATCCTAATAGATGATGCGGTGTGCATACAAGAAATGCAATGTCACCTGTGTGCTGGGCCCTGTGATGACACTCTCTGTACCACCTGAAGGGTTTATATGACATGCAAGAGAGTGGTAATCCACTATGACCTTCATACAAGGAGGAGACTGAGAATCTTACATATTTCCCTAAGCCTAGCTTTGAAAGACAGTATGTTCCCTATTTGTTGATTTGATATATGAGAGTTATCATCTCACCTGTGAGCTGAACAAATCCCACCTGTGCATAGACAGTGAGCAAGAGAGTCACATCATTTTGGTGCTAGGCCAGAGATATATCAAAATCTTTTCTCATGGCAGAAACTAGGAAGAAGAGTCACGTCACCTGGGTGCTTGGCCAGGGATATGTTACATTCCTGTTCTGAAAGGAGGGCACAGGCAGCAGAGTCACAGAATGTGGGTGCTGTGCCCAGTGATATGTCACAACGCTCCCTGTGAACAGGACCCAGGAAAAGAAAACACATCAACCTGTTGCTGGGCCAAATGTTATGTCACAATCTTTCCTGTTGGCAGGATGCAGGCAGCAGAAGAGAGTCACATCTCCTAGGTGATGAATGCAGAGATATGTCATGAGGCTTTTGAGAATGGTAGGGCTAACACCCTGTTTACAGGGAACAGACAGGTGCCTCCCATCTTCTAGGTGTTTGGTCTAGTCATATGTCACACTACTCAAAATATGTGGGGCCTCTGCAACATACAAGAGTCACGTTAACTATGTGCTAGGTCCAGGGATATGTCATCATCCCACATTTTGGCAGGGACATGACAGAGAAGAAGGACATATCACCTAAACCATAAATGTAAAAATATATCATAGCCAGGCACAGTGGCTTATGCCTGTAATTCCAGCACTTTGGGAGGCTGAGGTGGGCGGATCACTTGAGGCCAGGAGCTCAAGACCAGCCTGGCTTACATGGCAAAACCCCATCTCTACTAAAAATACAAAAAAATTAGCTGAGCATGGTGGTACACGCCTGTAATCCCAGCTATTCCGGAGGCTGAGGCACGAGAATCACTTCAATCCAGGAGGCCCGATGATTAGGTTCAAGGCCAAATAGCAAAATATGTTTGCATTTAATCTATTTTCTCTCTATATAAACACTGCAGGTCAAGAGTATGCACAGATATGAAGACTTAGAGTTTTCTTCTCCTCCGGACCTATCATCCTTTGCTCCCTTTCTGATCTCTGGAAGGAAGGTGGGCCAAAGGTGGCCAGCAGTTGTCTACTTGTGGTTAATTTATTCCTGCTGCCCTCTGCTCTTTCTATGGCCGCCATCTTTTCCATCCTCCAAACTGAAGAGAGATGTTGTTAGGAAGAGGCCCTTCCTTCACACTGGCAGAATAAATTTATTCAGGCCCTTTACCCACCCAACATCAGAGCTGCACTTCACGTGTGGCTCCTGAGTGCCTGGAATGTGGCTGGGTCTACACTGTGATGTGCTGGAAAGGCAAAAAACAGACTTAGTAGCCTGTGTGCGGTGGCTCACGCCTGTAATCCCAGCACTTTGGGAGGCCGAGGCAGGTGGATCACTTGAGGTCGGGAGTTCCAGACCAGCCTGACCAACATGGAGAAACCCCGTCTCTACTAAAAATACAAAAATTAGCCGGGCATGGTGGCAGATGCCTGTAATCCCAGCTACTCAGGAGGCCGAGGCAGGAGACTCACTTGAACCCAGGAGGCAGAGAACACACTTTGTGCCATTGCACTCCAGCCTGGGCAACAAAAGCGAAACTCCATCTCAAAAAAAAATAAAAAAAAAAAAACAAAAAAAACAAAAAAAAACAGACTTAGTTCCAATGATATAGTTCTAACTATATACATGCTACATTAATAATTACACATTGCTCATATAGTAATATTTTGGATATATTGGGTTACTGAAATTGTTACAATCAGTTTGACCTATTTCTTCTTTCTTTTTAAAGTTTGGCTACTAGAAAATTTAAAATTCACATTTGGCTCACATTCTATTTCAGAAGATTGCCTCCTTTTTTTTTTTTTTTTTTTGACGGAGCTTAGTTTCGCTTTTGGTGCCCAGGCTGGAGTTCAAAGCGATCTCGGCTCACTGCAACTCCTGCCTCCCGGGTTCACCTGTCTCGGCCTCCCCAGTAGCTGGGATTACAGGCACCCGCCACCATGCCCCGCTAATTTTTGTATTTTTAGTAGAGACGGAGTTTCATCGTATTGGTCAGGCTGGTCTCCAACTCCTGACCTCAGGTGATCCGCCGGCCTCGGCCTCCCAAAGTGCTGGGATTACAGGCGTGAGCCACCGCACCCGGCCATGATTGCCTCCTTCTTAAAATCTCAGGCTGCCTGATCAAAAAACCAGAAGCCAGGAAGGTCAGGAAAGCTGAAATTTTAAAATAGTTGTTATTAGATTATTTTTGTTTGTGAATAACAATATAGTGTATTTTTTTCTTTTCTTTTTTTTTTTGAGACAGAGTCTCACTCTGTGGCCCAGGCTGGAGTGCAGTGGCGCGATCTCGGCTTACTGCAATCTCCGCCTCCTGGGTTCAAGCGATTCTCCTGCCTCAGCCTCCGGAGTAGCTGGGACTACAGGCGTGAGCCACCGCGCCCGGCCATATTATGTATTATGTATAAACGCATATGACCTTACACACAAGGTTAAATGCAAATACCTTTGGGTTGGGCCTGGCTCAGCTCAGGGAGGAAAACCTGCCTGAAAAGGCTGGAGCTTAGGCTTTCACTCTTTCTTCATTCAGCCGAGCATCTGATCACGTCTCCTGTCACTCAGGGCCTAAAGGGGCGAGGCCTTAAACGTTATCCAGTCAGGGACGCTGGGCTGGAAACCGTCCAATCAGACACGAAGCTGGAGCGGACAGGGTGGCTTCCGGGTTTGGCGGGTACTTTGTCTCTCGCTCTAGCCCGAGCTGCAGGTCTCGTCTTCCCTGGTCTGTGTCCTCTTCTCCTAGGGGCCCAGCCTCTGTGGCCCTGTGACCTGCAGGTATTGGGAGATCCCCAGCTAAGACGCCAGGTCCTCCTGGAAGCCTAGAAATGGTGAGAGTGCTGGGTCCGACATCCTGGGAGAGGGGAAGGGGGTGGTTGGAACCTGTGGGAAGTCGCTGTGGCGGGACTCAGGCCTCCTTGCAGTCAGCCCTACCATCTGCGCCCGAGTTTTCCTTGGCCAGCTCGGCCTCGGTCCCCCTCAGCCATAAGATGGCGGCTGCGCTGACAGCCGGGACCCCGGGCGTCCTGTCTCTTCCCTGCGCAGTGACTGTGCCCTGGCCTGGATCCCTCTCTCGGCAGCTCTGCACCCGCAGCGCCGAGTCTCCCCAGGTTGTGCAGGGACCACAGGAGAGTCGTCAGGGGAGAATCCTGACTCGGGGTGCGGGGTTCATGAATGGGAAGAGCTTTGGTCTGTGGGGTTCTGAGTCTCTCTTTTCTCTTATTAAAAATATACAGAAGTCACCGCAAAAATATTAAAGAATTTAATTAAAGAGTGATTCAAAAATCCGGGCGCGGTGGCACACGCCTGTAATCCCAGCACTTTGGGAGGCCGAGGCAGGCGGATCACGAGGTCAGGAGATTGAGACCATTCTGGCCAATATGGTGAAACCCCGCCTCTACTAAAAATACAAAAATTAGCGGGCGTGGTGGCATGTGCCTATAATCCCAGCTACTCAGGAGGCTGAGGCAGGAGAATCGCTTGAACCAGGAAGTCAGAGGTTGCAGTGAGCCGAGATGGCGCCACTGCACTCCAGCCTGAAGACAGAGCGAGACTCCGTCTCAAAAAAAAAAAAAAAAAAAAAAAAAAAATTGTAAAGTACCCAGCTATGGTTTGTCATTTGTCGTCCATAGCAGGGGCTTGAAGAGAAGACTTTAATAACATGAGATAAAGAAAACCAAATTCAGTAATTGGTTAGATGCAGTTACATAGTTTGTTAATTTGTACTATCAAGGTGGACATTTCCTTGTTATGTAATCAGAGGTTAAATGGTAGTGTATAGTTGGCTACGCCTCAATTTTGTTTCCCCCAATTTAGTAATTTATAAAAACATGCGTTTGAGGCCGGCGCTGTGGCTCACGCTTGTAATCCGAGCACTTTGGGAGGCCCAGGCGGGCGGATCACTTGAGGTCGGGAGTTCGAGACCAGCCTTACCAACATGGAGAAACTCCGCCTCTACTAACAATACAAAATTAGCGGGGCGTGGTAGTGCATGCCTGTAATCCCAGCTACTCCGGAGGCTGAGGCAGGAGAATCGCTTGAACCCAGGAGGTGGAGGTTGCAGTGAGCCGAGATTGTGCCATTGCACTCCAGCCTGGGCAACAAGAGTGAAACTCCATCTCAAAAAAAACAAAACAAAACAAAAACCATGCATTTGAGTTAAATTTCTTTAAAGTAGAAATCCAGGGACTAGAGCCACCTCAGTCTAGTTGCCTGCCACTTAATTATTTTCACAAGCCACAGGGGACTAATTTTCCGCTGATTTGTTTTTCTTTTTTTTTTTTTTTAAGAAGGAGTTTCACTCTGTCACCCAGGCTGGAGTGCAGGGGCGAGATTTCTGCTCATTGCAACCTCCGCCTCCCAGGTTCAAGCTATTCTCCTGTCTCATCCTCCGGAGTAGCTGGGATTACAGGCACCCACCACCACACCTGGCTAGTTATTGTATTTTTAGTAGAGATGAGGTTTCATGTGGGCTAGGCTGGTCTCGAACTCCTAACCTCAGGTGATCCGCCTGCCTTGGCCTCCCAAAGTGCTGGGATTACAGGAGTGAGCCGCGTCCGGCCTTTTCCGCTGAATTTTTTACATGTGTCCCAAGCAGAGTCTCAAGTTTTACCCTCCTCCCCCTTCATCATTTCTTCAGCCTAACTCTGGATTGCAAAAATAGTAAATAATAAAATACTAAATTTTCAGTTTCTTCTGACATTCCCAAATGCCAGTTTTCCCTAATTCACATTATCAATTATTCATCCTTTAGTTTACATTTTTTATACCATATTTTAATCATTTTTTGACAAAGCATTGGATGGCACTTTAAAAAGATTTGTTTTCTGTTTGTAAATACTTTCCATGGGAAGAAAGCAAAGTATAATTCCCTGACACTGTAGTGTAAAAAAAATTTTGTTCCTCTTTGCTTTTATCTTGTATAGGCACAGAGATCTTATCAGAATGTTTTTGGGTCAAAGTTTCCCTTTGGAAGCTGTGAGGTGAGATGTCTTCACCCACCCTTTAGTTTTGTTCTTGGTCTTGGGCTTCAGTATTTCCTGGGGATAAACCAAGATACCCACCATGGCTATATCTGCTAGAGTATCTAGTGGATATCAGCTACTGGGTCTTTTTTTTTTTTTTTTTTTTCTTCTTATAGCACAACCTGAGTTATGGAGTGTAGCCTATTAAGAAAGAAGGTGGCTGCCCCAGGGCTGAGAGGAGTCTCCTGTTGTATTTCTTTTTCGAAGATATTAAGATTGTCTTCACCCAACTCAGCTTCCATTTCTTAGAGACACATTGCTGTTAAGCCAATCAGATGCTGGTAAAAAACACAGAAATAATTTCTGCCCCCTGGATTCTCTAAGTGGGCAGAGAAATAGTGAAATAAAAATAGTGAAACATTTGTGAAAGAAAAAATAGTATTTTTTGGTTTCTTTGAGACAGAGTCTTGCTCTGTTGCCGAGGCTGGAGTGCAGTGACACCATCTTGGCTCACTGCAACCTATGCCACCTAGGTTCAAGGATTCTCCTGCCTCAGCCTCCCAAGTAGCTGGGATTAAAGGTGCCCACCCCAACGTTTGGCTAATTTTTGTGTTTTTAGTAGATACAGGGTTTCGCCATGTTGGCCAGGCTGGTCTTGAACACCTGACCTCTGGTGATCCACTCACCTCGGACTCCCAAAGTGCTGGAATTACAGGCGTGAGCCACCGTGCCTGGCCAAAAAACAGTATTTCAAAAGACAAAAATTTAAAAAAAGAAAACTGAACCCAGTTAGATGGTATAAGAGCTTACAAAATAAAATGATCCTGGGCCACTCAGTGGGGCATAGTGCAGTTTCTCCTGAGAGAGTGGTTATTGAGCACTTATGAGAGCAGGATGGGGTGGGAGAATCTCTCAAGCGATTAGATGGCCTTACTTGACATATGAGTCAGACACATTTGTTTCTTAATCAGCATTGCTACTCCCTCGGTTTGTCACCTTGAAAAGAATTGTTTTCGGCCGGGCGCGGTGGCTCACGCCTGTAATCCCAGCACTTTGGGAGGCCAAGGCGGGAGGATCATTAGGTCAGGAGATCGAGACCACGGTGAAACCCCGTCTCTACTAAAAAATACAAAAAAATTAGCCGGGCGATGTAGCAGGCGCCTGTAGTCCCAGCTACTCGGGAGGCTGAGGCAGGAGAATGGCGTGAACCCGGGAGGCGGAGCTTGCAGTGAGCCGAGATCGCACCACTGCACTCCAGCCTGGGCGACAGAGCGAGACTCCGTCTCAAAAAAAAAAAAAAAAAGAAAAGAATTGTTTTCACTTATCTTGACCTCCGATTTTTTAAGTATAAGTTGCATTTTATTAGTAGGGCTTTAAAGGTAAGAAAATATTTACAAAGGGACGGGGGAGCACTGTCTCGTGCCTGTAATCTTAGCACTTTGGGAGGCCGAGGTGGGTGGATCACCTGAACTCAGGAGTTTGAGACTAACCTGGGCAACACGGTGAAACTCCGTGAAAGCCCGCCACTATGCTGGCTAATTTTTGTATTTTTAGTAGAGATGGGTTTTCACCATGTTGTCCAGGCTGGTCTGGAACTCCTGACCTCAAGTAATCCGCCTGCCTCAGCATCTCAAAGGTCTGGGATTACAGGCATGAGCCACCATACCTAGCCCTCATTTACCTATTTCTTTTCCAGAGTGAATTTAGAAATTTTTTTTTTTTTTTTTGAGACGGAGTCTCCCTCTCACCCAGGCTGGAGTGCAGTGGCACAATCTTGGCTCACTGCAAGCTCCGCCTCCCAGGTTCACACCCTTCTCCTGCCTCGGCCTCCCGAGTAGCTGGGACTACAGGCACCCGCTACCATGTCCGGCTAATTTTTTTTTGTATTTTTAGTAGAGACGGGGTTTCACCATGTTAGCCAGGATGGTCTCAATCTCCTGACCTCGTGATCCGCCCACCTCGGCCTCCCAAAATGCTGGGATTACAGGTGTAAGCCACCGCGCCCGGCCGAATTTAGAAATTTTTTCAAGTGTGTTTTATTATGGCTGGGTGGTTTCAAACGCAATTCCAAGGCTTAGCTTTTAGAATGCTACCAAGGAAAAGAATAGAAAAAAATCTCTGTATTTTGGCTGTAGAAAATGAATACATTTCCACAAGAAAATATGGTAGATAATTGATGAGTTACATGGATTCATAAAAGCATCAGTTTCTTTTTTTGCAGGGAAAACTTGTGATAGTGAATATCTCTGTTCTATATTCTGTTATTTTGATTTCTGAGTTTAATGTTAAATTTTATGAGATTAAACTTGTTACCTCCTAGAAGTGTTCACATATTACTAATTATTTACAACATGATTTTTAATGAAACTAATACAATAATACATTTATTCTCTGAAAGGAATACTTTAACTTTTCTTATTGGGTATGAAATATAAGCACCTTAATTTTTTTTCCTTATATGAGTACTATGTTTGATAATTTTGCTAGATTTTTTAAACACTTAGTTTCAAAAACCAAGTGAGTAACTCTGTCATAGAAATTAAAACTTGAGCCCAGTGACTCCAAGCTAAGGCTAATATTGAGCCTGCAAAAAAGGTTATTAAAGGCCCAGCTAATTCTTTCTGGGGAGCCGCCCCTGCAGATGTCCCAGCCATGGAAGAAGCCTTTATCCTGAGAGAAGCTACAGAGCCCTGGAAAGCCGGGGATCCACAGGCAGATGCAGTTAAGGTTAAAATAGAAGGGGTCTCAGAAGGTCTTACTGAAGATGAAGTTGTTATTGTTCTGAGATAGTTTCTAGACTTTGTAAAATATAAGCAAAGTTAGATTTATGTTTAAAAAAAATTCCACAGGAGTATTGCAACAGGAGGAAGCACTAACAATAATATCTTTAAGGACTGCAAAGCTTAGGCTGACAGGGACTGACTTTCATAAGGAGGAGCAAACAGATTAAAAAGAAAGTGTGAGGGAAATGGGAAATTGAGGATGAAATAACTAGATTTGAGATCTTTTGAGATGGAGTCTCACTGTGTCGCCCAGGCTGGAGTGCAATGGTGTGATCTCAGCTCACTGCAACCTCTGCTTCCTGGGTTCAAGCGATTCTCCTGCCTCAGCCTCCTGAATAGCTGGGATTACAGGCACCAGCCATCATGTCTGGCTAAATTTTTTGTATTTTTGTAGAGACGGGGGTTTCACCATGTTGGCCAGGCTGGTCTTGAACTCCTGACCTCAGGTGATCCACCCACCTCGGCCTCCCAAAGTGCTGGGATTACAGGCATAAGCCACCGCGCCTAGCCAAATTCAGCTGATTTTTATATGAGAAAAAGAAGAAAATGTGCAGAGTCTGTGTCTGGCTATGTGATGGGCAAAAAAAAGAGCCCCATCTAAGTTATAATGGAAAGGGTGTTTCTTTCCATGAACTGTTCCTGGAGCACACAAAGGATGGAGAATTTTATTAATCACAACTATTTACCTGGATTACCTATGTGCTTCATCTTTCCCCACCTATTTTTTTTTTGTCCTATACATTTATTCCATTTTGCTTTTTCTGGGTTGTATCTTTTATGATTAACTGGTCAACATAACTATGTTGTTTTGCTTGTTAGTGGCTCTATCAAATCATTGAACTTGAGGGAGGTTATGGGAGTCCTTGATTTTTAAACAGTAGCTCAGGAGCATAGATGGGTTCATTGGGTTTGTTCCTGACATCTGCAGTAAAGAGAATACTGTGGTACTGAGCCCTGAATCAGGGTCTGTGCTGAATGGGTGGTGTCAGAATTCAAATTTTAGACAATGAGTTGATGTTGGAGAATCTTGGTATTCAGCAAACTCTACAGATTTGGTGCCAGAAGAAAGATACCACAGAGGCCTGGCCTGAAATGAAACTCTGGGAGGCTCTGCTTTTCTGTCTGTCATAGTGCCCATTGTTTTGTGATTCTAGGTCTCCTCCCAGGGTGAGAGAGGACTGAAAACTTAAAGGAAAGAAGCTCGGATAGCAGATTCCCTTTTTCCACAGCTGTCAGCACAGGATTTCTACCCAGTCACAAAGACACCCACTAGACATTGAGGTGTCTACACCACTCCCAGGGCTAGACACCACCCTCAGGAATTTCACCACAGCATTTTTATCCTAATGTTTTTTTTTGCCAAAAACCCACAAGTGTCTACAAGTCTCCTGGCATATCCTCACCCCTAGACACTGAATCTGCAGCAGCAACCTGTTTTCTCCACCAACCTAGGGTTCTGGACCACCTGTTCGTAATCTCATCTGCCTGCATG
This sequence comes from Homo sapiens, assembly GCF_000001405.40. NCBI lineage: Eukaryota > Metazoa > Chordata > Mammalia > Primates > Hominidae > Homo > Homo sapiens. The sequence goes on from NC_000019.10 coordinate 22,059,044, forward strand.
AACCCAGAAATAAATTAGAGTCACACCTGGGCCACTATCTGTAGCACAAACCAGTCCTATCACCTACATTGCACTCTCTCAAACTAACTCATGGATTTTTTTCCTTTTAACTTTTATTTTTTGTTCCTGAGTACACATGCAGGTTTGTTATATAGGTAAAATTGTGTCATGGGGGTTTGGTGTGCAGATTATATTGTCACTGAGATACTAAACTTTGCACCAAACAGGTATTTTTTCTGATCTTTTTTGTCCTCCCATCATCCACCATCAACTTGCCCTCAGTATCTATTGTTCTCTTTGTGTCTATGCATTCTTATCATTTAGCTCTTACTTATAAATGGTAACATGTATTTATTTATTATTATTTTTTGAGACTCTGGGATTACATGCGCCTGCCACCACACCAGCTAATTTTTGTATTTTTGGAGGGACGGGGTTTCACCATGTTGGCCAGGCTGGTCTCGAACTCCTGACCTGAGGTGATCCACCCACCTCGGCCTCCCAAAGTGCTGGGATTACTGTCTCTACATTAGTTTTCTAAGAATACTGGTCTCTAGCTCCATCCACGTTGCTACAAAGGACATGATTTTGTTTCTTTTCTTTTTTTTTTTTTTTTAATGGCCACGTAGTATTCCATGATGCTTATGTACCATATTTTGTTTTTATTAAATCTTTTATTTTATTTTATTTATATTTGAAGAAAGGGTCTTACTCTTTCACCCAGGCTGAAGTGGAGTGGTGTGATCTAGGTTCAATGAAGCCTCAATCTCCTGAGCTTAAGCAATCCTCCTACCTCAGCCCCCCAAGTAGCTGGGACTATAGTCACATGCCACCACACCCACTAATTTTTTTCTTTTTCTATTTTTTGTAGACATGAGGTTTTGCCATATTGCTCAGGCTGCTGTCAAACTCCTGAGCTCTGGCAATCCACCAGCTTTGGCCTCCCAAAGTGTTGGATTAGAGGCATGAGTCACCATACTTGCCCATACCATATTTTCTTTATCCAGTCTACCATGGATAGGCATTTAGGTTGATTCCATGTCTTTGCCATTGTGAATAGTGCTGCAATGAACATGCATGTGCATGTGTCATGATGGAATAATTTATATTTCTTTGGGTATGTACCCAATTAAGAGGTTGCTAGGTCAAATGGAAATTTGTTTTTACTTACATGAGACATCACTACATTGCTTTTCACAATGGTTGAACTAATTCACACTCCCACCAGCAGTGTATAAGCATTCCTTTTACAACCTTATCAGCATCTGTGATTTTTTTTAACTTTCGTATAATATCCATTCAGATTTGTGTGAGATGATGCCTCATTGTGGTTTTTGTTTGCATTTCTCTAATGATTAGTGATGAGCATTTTTTTATATCCTTGTTAACCACATGTATGTCTGTTTTGAAAAGTATCTGTTGATGTCTTTTGCCTACTTTTTCTTTTTTTTTTTTTTTTCCGAGATGGAGTCTTGCTCTGTCGTCAGACTGGAGTGCAGTGGGATGATCTCGGCTCTCTGCAACCTCCGCCTCCCAGGTTCAAGCAATTCTCCTGCCTCAGCCTCCTGAGTAGCTGGGATTACAGGTGCCCACCACCACGCCCGGCTAATTTTTGTATTTTTAGTAGAGATGGAGTTTCACCATATTGGCCAGGCTGGTCTCGAACTCCTGACCTCAGCCAATCTGCCCGCCTTGGCTTTGGTTGGGATTATAGGCGTGAGCCACAGTGCCTGGCCTAATCAATCTTGAGTTGATTTTTATATATGGTGTAAGAAAGGGGTCTAGTTTCAGTCTTCTACATAGTGCTAGCTAGTTATTCCAGCAAAATTTATTAAATAAGGAATTTTTCTCAAATTCCTCTTGTCAGTTTGTCAAAGATCAGATGGTTGTAGGTGTGCAGAATAAATTTTGGGGCTCTTTAATCTGTTGTTTTGGTCTCTGAGCCTGTTTTTGTACCAGTACCATGCTGCTTTTTTTACTGTAGCCCTGTGGTTTAAAGTTTGGTAATATAAGGCCTCCAGCTCTGTTCCTTTTGTGTAGGATTGCCTTGGCTATTTGGGCTCTTTTTTTTTTGTTCCATATGAATTTTAAAATGGATTCTTTTGGTTCTGTTAAGAATGTTTTTGGTAGTTTGATAGGAATAGTATTAGATCTGTAGATTTCTTTGGGCAGTATGCCCATTTTAATGATATTGATCTTTTCTATCCATGAGCATAAAATGATTTTCCATTTGTTTTTCATCTCTGACTTATTTAAGCAATGTTTTTTTGTTTTGTTTTGTTTTTTATTTTTGTCATAGAGATCTTTCACCCCTCTGGTTAGCTGTATTTCTACATAATTATTTTTCTGTGGCAGTTGTGAATGAGATTTTGTTTTTGATTTGGCTTTTAGCTCAGATATTGTTGATGTACATGGGTGCTACTGGTTTTTGTACATTTATTTTGTATCCTGAAACTTTTCTGCAGTTGTTTGTCAGTTTAAAGAGCTTTTCTGTCACGACTATAGTCTTTTCTAGATACAGAATCATGTTGTCTGCACACAAAGATCGTTTGACAACCTCTCTTCCCATTTGGATGCCTTTTTTTTTTTTCTCACCTGATTGCTGTGGCTAGGACTTCCAATCTATGTTGAATAGGAGTGGTGAGAGAAGACATTCTTGTCTTGTGCCATTTTTTAAAGAGAAATGCTTCCAGCTTGTGTCCATTCCATTCAGTATGTTGGCTGTGGGTCTGTCATAAATAATTCATTATTTTGAAGTATGTACCTTCAATGCCTAATTGGTTGAGGGCTTTTAACATAAACGATGTTAAATTTTGTTGAAAGCTTTTTTTTTTTGTTGCATCTATTGAGATAATCTTGCAGTTTTTGTCTTTCATTATGTTTATGTAATAAATCACATTGATTTGTTTATGATGAACCAATCTTACATCCCAGAGATAAAGCCTACTTGATTATAGTGGATTAGCTTTTTGATATGCTGTTGGCTGTTGGATTTGATTACACAGTATTTTGCTGAGGATTTTTTTTTTTTTTTTGAGACAGAGACTTGCTCTGCTGCCCAGGCTAGAGTGCAGTGGCATGGTGTTGCCTCACTGCAACCTCTGCCTCCTGGGTTCAAGTGATTCTCCTGACTCAGCCTCCTGAGTAGCTAGGATTGCAGGCACCCACCACTGCGCCTGCTTTTTTTTTTTTTTTTTTTTGAGACGGAGTCTCGCTCTGTTGCCCAGTCTGGAGTGCAGTGGCGAATTTTTTTTGTATTTTTCGTAGAGACGGGGTTTCACCAAATTGACCAGGCTGGTCTTGAACTCTTGACCTTGTGATCTACCTGCCTCGGCCTCCCAAAGTGCTGGGATTACAGGTGTGAGCCACTGCGCCCAGCTTTGCTAAGGATTTTTACATCAATGTTTGTGAAGGATATTGGCCTGAAGTTTTCTTTCTTTCTTTTTTTTTTTTTTTGAGACAGAGTTTCCTCCTTGTTGCCCAGGCTGGAGTACAATGGTGCAATCTCGGCTTACCACAACCTCCACCTCCTGGGTTCAAGCAATTCTCCTGCCTCAGCCTTTCAAGTAGCTGGGATTACAGGCATGCGCCACCACACCCGGATAATTTTGTATTTTTAGTAGAGATGGGGTTTCTCCATGTTGGTCAGGCTGGTCTTGAACTCCCGACCTCAGGTGAGCTGCCCGCCTTGGCCTCCAAAGAGCTATTACAGGTGTGAGCCTCCACTCCTGGCCAGCCACTGCACCCGGCTTACCTGAAGTTTTCTTTTTCCATTTTATCTTTGCTGGGTTTTAGTATCACAATGATTCTGTTCTAATATAATGAGTTGGGGAAGATTTTCTTCTCATTTTTTTTGGAATACTTTTAGCGGAAATGGTACTAGCTCTTTGTTCATCTTAAAGATTTCAGCTGCAAATTTCTCTGGTCCTCAGAACTTTTTGGATGGTAGGCTATATATTACTAATCCAATTTTGGAGCTTGTTATTTGTCTATTCAGGGCTTCGTTTTCTTTTGTGTGGAGTCTTGGCAGGATATATTTGTGTTCAGTCTTGGCAGGATGTATTTGTCCAGGACTTTATTTATTACTATTAGATTTCTTGTTTGTGTGCATAGAGATGTGCATAGTAGACTTCAGTAGTTATTTGTATTTTTGTGGGGTCAGTAATAATGTCCCTTTGTCATTTCTAATTGTGTTTATTTGGCTCTTGTTTCTTCATTAATCTAGCCAGTAGTATATCTTATCAATTTTTTTTCAAAGATTTAACTCCTGGATTTCTTGATCTTTTGTATAGTTTTACATGTCTAAGTCTCCTTCAGTTCAGAGCTGCTTTTGGTTATTTTTTGCATTCTGCTAGCTTAGAATTGGTTTGCTCTTGCTTCTCATACTTTATTTTGTGATATTAGGTCACTAAATTAAGATCTTTCTAACATTTCGATGTGAGCATTTAGTGTTATAAATTTCCTTCTTACCACTGCCTTAGCTGTGTTGCAGCAATTCTGGTATGCTGTATCTTTATTCTCAGTTGTTTCAAACAACTTCTTGATTTCTGTCTTAATTTCATTATTTGCCCAAAAGTCATTTAAATGCGGGTTGTTTAATTTTCATATAATTGTATGTTTTCAAGTGGTTTTCTTTGTAGTTGAATTATATTTTCAACAATCTGTTGTCTCCATGTGTGGTTGGTATAATGTAGGGATTTTTGTATTTGCTGAGTATTGTTTTATTTCTAATTGTGTGGTAAATGTTAGAGTTTGTTTCACATGGTGATTAGAATAATGTATATTATGTTGTTTTTACATAGAGTTCTGTAGATATCCATTAGGACTATTTGGTCAAGTGTCAAGTTTACATACTGTTATCTTTGTTTATTTTCTGTCTCAAGGATCTGTCTAATAGTTTCTGTGGGGTGTTGTAGTCTCCTACTGTTGTGTCAGAATTAAAGTCTCTTCATAGGTCTCTAAGAACTTGCTTTATTCATGTGTACCCATGGAATTTTTATAACACATTTCTCTCTTCTGCTTTTTTCCCCATAAGCATTATTTCAAGTGCACAAAGTGTGCCCAAGGTTGCCCCTTAGATGCCTGAATCCAATGTCTGCTGAAATTGAGATGTCCAAGAATTCAAGAACACGTCCAGAAAACCTGGCTGTTGTAGAAAAAAATATAAATTAGAAATGAAAAGCTTTATTCTTCTACCTTGAAATAAGCACTTAGCATCTTAAAGCATTTAAGATGATATGTACATTTATCTTTGTTATTTTGAAATATACATAAATTATATTAACAGCTAAGTAAACCTTTTGTCATTATTTTTTACTCAAGGTTGTCATTAGCTAGGACTTCAGATTCATTGCTTTGTTTTTGCTTTGGCAAAGTTTTTTCCTTTCATTTTTAGTCTTTTAAAGTCGACAGTTTTGTTTATATCAAAGCTTATTTTAAAAACACGCAAAAGTGGAGCACAAAAATAGGATTAAATTTAGCCATACAGAATGATAAAGACTAAAAGATACTGAGTAGTTTTTTTTAACAGAAAACTGATTGTCCAAGGTGATTATCTAATATTTTCAGGCTGAAGTACTCACACTGCAAAAGAAAGCAGTTCAGTATATAAACTGAACAGTGAAGTCTTTAGTTGTACTTTGGTTTCCGTTTATTACTTCAGAACAATTAGCATAGTTATGTGTAGTGTTTGTAGGCAACCTGCGTTTATATACTTTAAAAACTATTTTCAGCCAGGCATGGTGGCTCACACCTGTAATTCCAGCACTTTGGGAGGCCGAGGTGGGCAGATCACGAGGTCAGGAGTTGGAGACCAGCCTGGCCAACATGGCGAAACCCCGTTTCTACTAAAAATACAAAAATTAGACGGGTGTGGTGGCACGCGCCTATAGTCCCAGCTGTTCCGGAGGCTGAGGCAGGAGAATCGCTTGAACCCAGGAAGCAGAGGTTGCGGTGAGCCCAGACCACGCCATTGCACTCCAGCCTGGGCGAAAGAACGAGACTCCGCCTCAAAAAAAAAAAAAAGTATTTTCTACAATAGTATGAATATAAGGCCACAAAATTTACTTTCAATGAATCAGATGGGCCTTTTAATATTGTTATTTATACTTTTGAAATATAAAGTGTTTTAACTGAATTATGATAACAGACTTTTTTTGTTTTGTTTTGTTTTTTCAATGGAGTTTCACTCTTGTTGCCCAGGCTGGAGTGCAATGGCATGATCTCAGCTCACCACAACCTCTGCTTCCCAGGTTCAAGCGATTCTCCTGCCTCAGCCTTTCAAGTAGCTGGGATTACAAGCACCCACCACCATGCACAGTGAATTTTTGTATTTTTAGTAGAGATGGGATTTCACCATGTTGGTCAGGCTGGTCTCGAACTCCCGACCTCAGGTGATCCACCCACCTCGGCCTTCCAAAGTGCTGGGATTACAGGCATGAACCATGGTGCCCAGCGATTACAGACATTTTTAAAAAATTTTACATTTATTATGACTAGTACATTAAAATTATATATACTTAGATATTTATATCTAATGTTCAAAAAATTTACTACAAAATTGTTACAGTAGATATTAGTCTGAAATGCTTATTTATCTAATAGGGATAACTCTAGGTAAGCATAATTTTAGTGTCTTGTATTTCACTAACTTGGAATGCTGCTATTACAGGACAAACACAGGTGACATGGCCATCCAAAAACCGTAATAGCTCTTTAGTTAACTATGTTGCAAGCTCAAATATATTCTACTATATGAACAGAGAGGGATTCCAATTCTTCATCAAAAAGTGCTGGTGGAAGTTGTCAGATGTATTTCAACATAGATCCCCCATTCAATGGCTAGGAGATGAGAGAGCAACAGAGATGAAAGAGAAACCTTATGAAATTCTGCTGAAAATATGCACACTTTCTTTATAATGCTCATGTTTCTCATGCTGAGAGTAGCTGTGCACTCTGGATGCTTAGAAATTCTTTTCAGGGGAATATTTTCTGGCTATTTCGATAAATCTTATGTCTAATTTGAGTTTTTCTTAAGATGCTTTTAACTTCTTTATTTCTCTCAATAAAATCTTGCTCATTTGAGAGCTGTTTTTCTCTCAAATGCTTTGGGTGTCTGTTTTAGAAGCCTTATGCGTATCCCGTGGTGTCTTTGAATGAGGTGGGCTGTCACAGGGATGACTCTTGGAGTGATCTCTACCGAGACTCATACTGCAAATCCAGCAGTATTTTTTCATGTCACCATTATAAATTGGCACTGAGGCTGAAACACTTCTTCCATTCCCTTTATTGTGAAGGTGCAGTTCTACCCAGGAGGCCTGCAGGCTCTCCTCCTGCAGCTCAGGCTTCACTCTCTGATGTGGCACTGGAGTGCTACTGTGGCAGTTTGGGTTCACATAAGATGTGAGCTGCCAGCTGTGAGCCCTGTGCTGTGGGCTGTGCCTCAGTGGCAGATGGTAGGAGTCAAGAGAGGACACTGGTGACCAGGGGAGGGCAAGCAGGAGTGCTCTAGCCCAGTCTCAGGGAGTAGAGAGCCATTATTTTAAAATGTAAATAGCCAAAATGATAGCATCCTAATCAACCATTTTTGTAGAAGAGTGAGAGCCTACCTTCAGCAGGCACCAGGCTTAAGTGGCAAAACTGCCTTTTGTCATGAAGATGTGATAAGGTTTATTTTGGCATTGAATATAACCATGTAGCATATATGGAAGGCCTTTTCAATTATCAAGTGAATTTAGAATGAATTATGTATAGCATGGTGTTGTAAATTTTTCTACTTATGGACTAATTATGATGAACATCTTTCTGTCTTTGCAGTCTTTGAGCAGATTGACCATGATGCACTTCACATTCTAGGTTAATTGTGTAATAAAACAGTTTTCTTTCTGTTCTATCATTGTGTTTCTCTGGGGCTGTAGAAAGTTTTTCTTTTCGTTATATATTCCAGACACTGTCTAGAATTACCAGACATGATATAAACACATAAGGTGCCAGCCAAGCTTTACTCTAGAGGGGACTTTCCCTCTCAGGCTTCCAGTCACCTCACAATTATGCTACATAGTATGTGCTGTCTCCTAAATATGCAGGAAGAATTGTGTATCTGCCTATTTGGTATCTATAGGCCACTACAGTCACTTCTAGAGAAGCTAGACCAGATTTCTACAAACTTCACAGGGCAGCAATCAACATTTTACCTCTTTCGTTGACTCTTGTATCTTCAGACCTGAAACTGATTCACAGAACATGGAGCTCAGAAACCCAATCAGAGTAATATGTGCGCACTGAATAGACACGTAGACATGAGAATCTCCACTTTCTTGTATCTCCTCTTGCTAAAATGTCCACAAATATGCAGGTAACACCTGCTGCTACTCCACCCATCCAGAGCCTAAATCTGCAGCTCCAAATTCTGAATGTAGGTCTTAAGTTTTGGAAAATAAAAAAAAACGTTTATCTGAGGAATACAAGTCCTTTTAGTTGTCAAACACAGAGAGACATTAAAATGAGAGCTCAGGTTGGGTGCAGTGGCTCACACCTGTAATCCCAGCACTTTGGGAGGCTGAGGCAGGTGGATCACGAGGTCAGGAGTTCAAGACCAGCCTGGCCAACATGGTGAAACCCTGTCTCTGCTAAAAATACAAAAATTAGCTGGGCATGGTGGTGGGCGCCTGTAATCCCAGCTACTTGGGATGCTGAGGCAGAGAATTGCTTGAACCTGGGAGGCGAAGGTTGCAGTGACCCGAGATCGCGCCACTGCACTCCAGCCTGGGTGACAGAGCGAGACTCTATCTCAAAAAAAATAAAAAATAAAAAATAAATGAGAAACACAATTATGTCTCCCCCCCGCTTGAGCTATGTATTCATCTCCTGAAACCATTCACAATTGCCACAAGTAGCATCAATTTAACTAATAATGTGACACTGAACACTATAACTTAAGCTGTAAACCTTACTGATGTATATCCAATCAATAGTCAATGTTATTTCTATAAATAAATAAGAAAGGTAGGTATAGTTGTGGTTATGACTCTAGACACTTTGTTGCCTTGATCTCTCACTCCCAAAATCGTTTGTTACTAACAAACATTTTTGTACCATCCCACTCTCTGTCCCTCTTTTTTTTTTTTTTTTTTTGCCTTTACAAATCCACTTGTAACTGCTGATTATCAAAGTGTAGATTCCAGGCAACTTGAATCTTTGCTCCCAGGTTACAGTCCTCAAAGATGGAACAAATAAACTGTCTACTTATATCTGTGTTGCCTCGGGTTTTTCTTTTTAGGCAGACATATTACTTAGGATGTGCTAGAACAGCCTCTAGGAGAACATCTCTCTTTGATTGTACTCCACTTGCTGTAACACCCAAGAATGCAGAGCCAGTTTGATCTGACCAAGAATCTGCACATAAGAGCTGATCTCTGCCTGAGATTCACAAGACAGGGCCAGGTTTTAGATTAAGAAGGTAATGAAAACCAACAGGAGGAATTTCTGCATTGTGAGATGTCAACATAGACATCTTAAAGCCCCCCTTTGATAGTGTGGCTCTTTGAGCTTTTCAAGTCTTGTCCAGTGACCTGCTGCAGTTACATGAGAGGATCCTGGTGTAAACAGAATCTGATAGCAACATCTTAGGAGTGAGAGATCAAGGCTACAAAGTATCCAGAGCCATGACTGCAACTATACCTACTCCTAAAATGTGATACTGGAGTAGAACATTTTTGTCCTTCCTCTTACCCAAAAGCTAGCAAATCAGGACAGGTGATCCAGGTTCTGGAGCTTTACCAGGGCAGTTCCATTTTCTATTTAGAATCAGCCTAAATCTCTTCTGTCTGGCTTACAATTGGGCCGTCAGCACACGGTCACTGGGAATCCTCTCAGAATCACCTAGGTGTCTTTGAGACATTTGAGGATTTCCAGAGCAGAATTGTCAGGCTGACGAGTGGTTAACTCTGCTTCTGTCTCAGTGTAAGAGAAATGGGTCATCCTTCCCTCATTCAAGAGGTGTCTTTGGTTGGTACCCAGATGACAGTTTCTTCAATTGCTGGTACTTGGGAGGAAAAGAAGTAGTTCTGGAGATTCGAACAGTTAAACTAAATGCTTCCATCTCATATGGCCATTAGAATAATAGATGTAGCAGTCATGGTCCCTACCATCCATGAACTTTTAGTCCAGACTAGCAACTGGATAAACGATGAATTAAGCATCATATGGTTGATATAATAAATAGATTTGTGCAAAGAAACTTGGGGTTTATTTGGGCCGTAAGTAACCCAAATAAAAAATAAACAATATTAGGCCGGGCGTGGTGGCTTACGCCTGTAATCCCAGCACTTTGGGAGGCCGAGGTGGGTGGATCACGAGGTCAGGAGTTCGAGACCAGCCTGGCCAACATGGTGAAACCCCATCTCTACTAAAAAAAATAAAAAATTAGCTGGGCGTGGTGGTGGGCGCCTGTAATCCCAGCTACTTGGGAGGCTGAAGCAGGAGAATTGCCTGAACCCAGGAGGCGGAGGTTGCAGTGAGCCAAGATTGAGTGATTGAGTGATTGCATTCCAGCCTGGACATCAGGGCAAGACTCTGTCTTAAAAACAAAAAAACAATATTGTTGTGACTTCTGATGTCATCACCTGAAGGGATGTTTATGGACAGAAGAATTGTTATTATTTTTATTTCTTTTATTTTGCTAAGAATACTTATTTATCTTCTAATAAAATTATTCTAGATATCCTTAAGATATTTGTTTAAATGGATTATTAGTATATATTAGGAAATTGACAGGGCAGTAGCTAAAAAAGATTAAAGTTACATGAACTCTGGGATTTAAGTTTTTCTTAGGTAAGCTTAGGAAACAGAACTGGAAGTACCCCAGTGGCACAGAGAACAAATTCTACATAGGCTCCACTCCCTGCTCCAGTTCTGTTCAGTTCCTACTTGGGGGCTTTATTTAGTCCTGTCCCCACCCTGGAGTCTTGCCTCAGATAATTGATTTAATAAGATCAGAGTTTTGGTTGGTGAAGCCTGCTGTCTTTCTAGAAGTGGTGCTCACAGTTTTCTGAAATCCAAAAGCAGATAAATGGGAATAATAAAGTATGTATTTTAGGGTCTTTTTAAATTTTTTATTAAAACCAGTGCTTGCAGAGACATTCCATTTAGCAACTTGTTTTCTAATCTTACAAATCAGTAGTTGCTCCACAAGTCACAAAAAATTAAATATAAACACAATAAAAATTCCTCTAAACTACATTAAATTTTTCCTTTATCCCTCTCATCTATCTATTTAGCTTTATTCTATACATTTTATAAAAAATTAATGACAGAGAAACTATAAAAATTAAAATGCTGTGCCCTTTATCTAAATCCTGGGAATTATTAAACACTTAGTACCAATTCCCAAGGGTGTTATGAAGATTATGTCACATAATGTGTTATTCCCAGCACAGTGCTCCGTAACATCCTCTTGAGCACATAGAGCACAATGTTTAATAAACATTCCATCAGTACACTTGTACATGTTATTTAAACGCAGACTTATTCAGACATGGCTGTTTTCTGTTTCCTCTGTATACTCTACAGAGCCAGCAAAGAATATGATACTTTAGGATGGAGAGTGGTTGTCTTCATTTGCCCTAGAAGTATTTGTGTTGTGACAAGAGTGCTGAGTATAAGGGACTCTGTGCTGTGCCTGCTTTCTCTAACTAATGCTGATCATGAGCCCAGGGGAGCAACATCAACATTGACAGGGGACTTGTTTAAAACATTCATTTTGGACCCTTTTCAAACCTGCAGCATCATATTACATAGAGTGGGCCCAAAATTACTAAGTGATTTGTAAGCTCATTAAAGCTTGAGATTAAATGCTTAGCTAAGTGGTTATAAGCCCAGACCTCTAATTAGGATTACATGGCCAATTTGCAGAAAAATCCTTACTTCAGCTTTTCCTACAGGTTTTGTTTATTGTTTTAGGTGGAAACATATATGTTGTTTTGGTTAAGTACCTCGTATAATTCCAATGTGAGGCCAGAATCAACAATGAAGGGTTCAAGGCATTCATGAGAGTTAAGGTAGAAACCTTTGCACTAAAGGGTGGTCACAGGGCATGTTCTGTTTGGGTTTGGGAGAGACAAGGCAGTGTGGCCCATATTACCATTACTGTAGCAGAAATTGCTGGTGTCTGTGGCAGAGGAGGGCATCTGAGGACAGAAAAGAAGAAACTTATATTTTTATTTTCATAGAGAAGCTCATTGTTCCTGAATCTCTACTAGTATAAAGGACAGAAATGGATGGAATGTTTCTGCAGGTCTTGGTCCTGCCAGTGGGTGTGGTGGTAGCAGGTAAATGGGTGGTGCTGACACCTTTAAAGGCATATTCTCGAGATGCAGGTGTAATTTGTGCAGAAAATTTCATCTGAGCAAGAATTCCAGAGGAGAAGGAGGAAAAAATGGCTTTTTTTTTTCAACTAAACATGTCTCATATCAAGAGCTGTGTCCACTCTGCCTTCTGAAATGCCATGCATTTTTACGTGCAAACCTTTACTTCTCTACTTGTTTTTCCTCCCTAATGAGTTTGTTTTAACTACTTTAAAAAATTCTTGTAATAGTCAAGGGTCTCTGAAAAATATGTTTTTTCCCATATACCAGAGCCTTCTACATCATGGCTCCTTCTATGCCACGCAGAATTTTCTTCATGGATTTATAATCTACTGTATTAAAAATGTTCCCTTTGTGTCTGGGAAGGTGTGAATACTCAAGATTCCTATTGGAAGAAGAAAGGGGTTCTTAAAAAAGATGGAAAACTTGTAATGTTGAGGTTCCATCTGTGTTCTTCATTAACTCTATAGAGAGCAGGATTAAGGAAGTGTTTATTTAAGGAGGATGGCATTTATTACCCAGAAAGTCCTGAAAAAAAATGAGGAAATACTTGCTCTCTAGGGTGCTAAAGAAAGACTACTTAAAATCACTATTAAAAATTACAGAACATGAGAGATATCTGTGTCTTGAACTTGGTATAAAACTGATGGTTCTTTATGGTTGAATTCGGACTACGATTTACTTCTGGGAGAAAATGTCACAGTGGTGATGCTGTGTCCTTCTTTTGTGCATCAGCACATCATAAAAATTTGTCCTAGTGCAAGTAACATTAATGATTCACTTGGTTAAGGAGGTCTACAAATTTTTTTACTAGAAAGCTAGTTATTTTTCTTTTCATTATAAATTATTTTTATGCAGCGGATGTGCATAAACCATCACATTTTATCTGGTAGCTGCCCCTCTTTCTTAGGTTTTATTTGCATATATCTGTCTTTGGCAAGTAAAAACTGTCATCTTTTTCTTTTTACAGTCCAGCAATACTAGGAAAAACACAGGCTCTTTTACTTAGTGGATGTTTGACAAAATATTCTTCTTGGGCCAAAAACATTGGCATTACTGGTGAACTTGTTAGAAATATAGAAACTCAAAACAAAACAAAAAAAATTCAGAAACAGACTTTCTATAAGTCAGAACCAGTTCTCTACTCTCTCATTTGACCTTGAGACATTAAAAATTCTGCCCTGGCTGCTTGGTAAATGTGTATGGGGGTGTGTTTTTTAGAGTCAGAGAATACATTAGAGAATATTTCTGTGTTAAAAAAATATTTTCTTGGATAATTTTGGTCACTCCAATAAGGCAGAACCTGTTCTCTCTGCTCTTTAATTACACCTTGAGTGACATTAAAAATTCTGTCCCTGACCACTTGGTAAATATATGTGTGTCTGTGTTTGTGTGTTTTTCAGGGACCACTGACAATTAGGGATGTGACTGTAGAATTCTCTCTGGAGGAGTGGCATTGCCTGGACACTGCACAGCAGAATTTATATAGGGATGTGATGTTAGAGAACTACAGAAACCTGGTCTTCCTGGGTGAGGATAACTTCAGTACTCAATTCCTAATATACTCCAAAGGCTTTATTTTTTATTTATTTTTTTTTTTGTAGAATGTTTTTTGGTAATTTGGTAATTTTTGATAATTATGTTTTGCATAAATGAGTTTCATATCCCTGTTTTCAAGAAAATCATAAGGATTTGTCAGTGTAGAAAAAAAAATTTCTTCAAGAGGTTTCACCTTGAACTGAACTTTCCACATTGCTGAGCTGATCTGTATCCCTCACTCTAGAATAGTGGTAATTCCAGAAATTTAGTGGTGTAAAATATTGTTGCCCACACCTTAAAATCTAATTGCTACCACCAATTTTTTTATTCAGTAGTACTGGGTAGTGAATTAAGAATCTACAAATATACAGTATTTTCTAAATATTTAGAAATTTCTGTTATAAATTAGTATTTTGGCATAAATGTATTAGAATATTATATTACATTCTCTTTATTGAGCACATTACTAAGTTGGTAATTGGAGAATATGAGCAAGATGCGTGTTACTTATTTTTAAAAAACAGGTATTGCTGTCTCTAAGCCAGACCTGATCACCTGTCTGGAGCAAGGAAAAGAGCCCTGTAATATGAAGAGACATGAGATGGTAGCCAAACCCCCAGGTAGGTGAGAGTGAAAGCCAGTACAACAGGTGAAACAGATGAGAGATCCACAGGTCAAGGAGAAAGCAAGTCCTTAAAATGTCATTTCGGAAGCTGTATTCCAAGGGATATAGTTTCTGGAAGCCTGAGTTTGCATTTTTTTTTTCTTTGCTCTCACATAGGGACATTTCTGTCTTATGCTTTTAAATTCTCTAAAGATTCTACTTTCCTTTCAGTCATTTTCCTTCAAGTTTACAGTGAGAGCCAAAGTCCTCATGGCATATAAGAGACTGCATAGTCTGACTGCTTTTTCATTGTTTTTAGGGGCATACAAATATCTGCATAATTTTCAAAAATTCTATGTTAAGCTATTTCTTAAGTTCTCTTTTTGCATTGTGCCTGACATGAATAGAGTAGTGGTTTCTGTTCCATTGAATTTTTTAATTTTTCTGCACATTTCATCCTTTTTCTTTAGTATATTTTTGAAAGATAGTTTGGAATTATAAAATATGATGTCATTCTGCTTTTTTTTTCCTGAAGATTGCTTTGGCTATTCAAAGCTTATTGTAGTTTCATGTAATCTTTAGCCTTGTATTTTCCGTTACTGTGAAAAAAACTTGCCACTGGAATTTTTACAGGGAGCTTATTGAACCTATATTTATTGAATCTATATTCTTTCAACTCATAGACATGAAACATTTTCAAATTTATTTTTGTCTTCTCTATTTCTTTTCCTAGCTATCTTATATCTTTCAGTGTAAAGAGTTTTTATCTCCTTGGTCAAATTTGTTCTCAGAAATTTATTTATTTATTTATTTATTTTTTGAGATGGAGGTTCACTCTTCTTGCCCAGACTGAAGTGCAATGGTGCAGTCTCAGCTCACCGTAAACTCCTCCTCCCGGGTTCAAGCGATTCTCTTGCCTCAGCCTTTCAAGTAGCAGGGATTACAGGCACTCGCCACCATGCCTGGCTAATTTTTGTATTTTTAGTAGACATGGGGTTTCACCATGTTGGCCAGGCTGGTCTCGAACTCCTGACCTCAGATGATCCGCCCTTGTCAGCCCCCCAAAGTGTTGGGTTTACAGGCGTGAGCACCGCGCCCGGCCAGAAATTTATTATTTTAATGCTATTGTAAATAAGATTTTTTTTTGTCTATTTTACCAGATAGTTTGTTTTAAGTGTATGGAACCATAACTTGTATTTTAATTTTATATTTTGCTAATTTACGGAGTTTATTTATTAACTTAGGTTTTAATGCGCTGCTTATGGTTTTCTATAAAAAAGATGTAATCTACAAACAGCAAATTTTTACTTATTTGTCTTCAGTTTCAATGGCTTTTTGAAAACTGTTTTGACTAATTATTCTGCCATATACTTCAGTGCTATGTTAAAATAGAAGCATTGACAAGGTGCACAATATAATTTTGCATTTGGTGTCTGTGAATTTGAAGGAGCAAACACCTCTTCAAGTTTCTATAAACTAGTTTCAGGAGGTAAAGATCTTCTTCCATTGGGCCCCCAGGGTGATGGGATTCCCTCTGGGTTTGTGATGGAGAGGGGTTGTAGCTTGGTCACAAGATTGCTGGGTCTGCACTAGGGTCCACCTTTAGTTGGCTTGTTACAAAGGGCTTGGATAGTTGTAATTCCCATATTATTTTTGGACAGATTGGATATCCTTCAAGACTTTGCTCTGTAGGGCAGACACTAGGGCAGGTTTTTGCAGTAGGGTCTGTATATAATGTACCTTAAATCGGGATGTAAATGAGTATGGCTTTTGCTGAGTACCACAGAGGATTTCCTCGGGTCACACTGTGTTGGTTTCTAGGTAAAGAGAACTGGCCATAAACTGTGGCCCAGGAAGCTGGAACTGAGACTTTGAACTGCTTCAGGCACCACATTAAAAGCCAGGGTCTGCAGGCCTGCCTGCATGGCTGTAAACGGGTGTCTTCCTCCAGGCCTGTGAAAGGACAGAACCTCTCCCAGACTGCGGCTGAAAGGATTTTGAAATAATTACAGAGTAAATTCAGAATTCTCAGTGGGACCAAGTAGCGTTGGCCATTTCCTGTCCTGTAGCCAAGACCAGGGGTCCTGTAGTTTGCCACCAAAATGAGAGCCTGCTTTCTGAAGAGAACACCCCTCAATCTTTGGCTTTAGCAGAATTTCACAACTTCATCCCTGGACTTTAAAGATCTCTTAAAGGCATTTATTTTGGAGATGGGGTCTTGCTACATAACCCAGGCTGGTCTTGAAATCTTGGCCTGAAGCAATTCTCCAACCTTAATATACCATGTAGCTGTCATTACAGGTTTGAGCCATGAGGCCTGGTACTCTCATAAAGGTATTTTTGTCAGGGATGGCCAACAAATTTTCTTGCTGTGGAGGAATAGACAAATAGGGCACCTTTTATTTCTCTATCTTATTAATGTCACCCTTTCTATAAGTTTTTAATTTCTAATTTCTATTTCAAATGTGCCTGTAATTTTAGATTCAGACATTTAGGAGCAATAAGCTAGAATTTACATGTTATGTTTGAAGTAAATTAGGTAATTAGTAGGCATTCCATATTTACTAATATAGTTACTTACAAATTTAAGTTTGCTACAGGCAAAAAGGAATTATATATTTTCACCCATTTTCTCTAGCCTATATCTAAACAATAACATAATTTATTCATTAAGTATTTGTTTTATATAATAGACTCCAACCATATTCTGCTATATATATATTAAATTATATATACAAAATAAATAATAAATACATATATTAATTACATATATATTTTAGCAATGTAAGGCTATTTCTTGCTTCTAAAGTTGGATTACAGCAGTTTCATTTTGTGAAAGAATAGCATACAATTAAAACATAAAAATTATCTCTAGTTTATTTTAAATGCTTATTTATTGTTTCTCATTAAAATCTTCTGTTTATGATTATTCTGCATTATCTCTAAAATTTTACTGCCACACAGTGCCTGTCAATGATTCGAAATACCTGCCTTCCATGAGTACACAGTTACAGTCAAATACTGTAGTTATCTAGACAATTTTTTTTAATGGTACATCAGTGTTGCATACCACATTATATGAGTAAACATTTTACTTATTGTTGTTTTGCAGTTCCATATTAGTGTGTTTTTTTCAATGTAGGTTTCTTTTGTTTTTTGAGACGGAGTCTCGCTCTGTCACCCAGGCTGGAGTGCAGTGGCATGATTTCAGCTCACTGCAACCTCCGCCTCCCGGGTTCACGCCATTCTCCTGCCTCAGCCTCCCGAGTAGCTGGGACTACAGGCGCCCGCCACCATGCCCGGCTAATTTTTGGTATTTTTAGTAGAGTCAGGGTTTCACCGTGTTAGCCAGGATGGTCTCGATCACCTGACCTCATGATCCGCCTGCCTTGGCCTCCCAATATGCTGGGATTATAGGTATGAGCCACCGCACCTGTCCTAAAATTTACCATCTTTAATCTGTTTAAGTGTACATTTCAGGCCTAGGCATGGTGGTGGCTCACATCTATAATACCAGGATTTTGGGAGACCAAGACAGAAGGATTGCTTGAGCCCAAAATGTTGAGACCAGCCTGGGCAGCATATAAAGTCCCCCTCTCTCCACACACAAAAAATGTTTTAATAGCCAGGCATGGGGGTATGCACCTGTGGTCCTAGCTATTTGGGAGATTGAGTGGGGAGGATTACTTGAGCCTGGGAGTTTGAGGCTGCAGTGAGCCATAGTTGTGCCACTGCAATCCAGCTTGGGTGACAGAGTAAGATCCTGTTTCAAAAAAATGGTATACATTTCAGGCATGTTAAGTACATTCACATTGTTATACAAGAGACTTCCAGAAATTTTCCATCTTGTAAAACTAAAACTCAATACCCATTAAATAACAACAACCCATTTTACCCTCTCTCCAGCCCTCAACAAACACCGTTTCTCTTTGTGTTTTTATGAGTGTGATGACTTAAAATATCTCATATTAGTGGAATTATATAGTATTCATTATTTTGTTACTGGCTTATTTCAGGTGACATAATATTCTCAGTTTATCTTCAAATGTGACAAGATTTTATGAGGCTGAATAATATTTCATTGTATTTAGGTATTACATTTTTCAATGTGTTTCCAAATTAAGACATTTGGGTTGCTTCAGCCTTTTGACTTTTGTGAATACTAATACAATAAACATGACTGTTCAAATACGTCTTCCAGGTCCTGTGTTGCATATTATAGATATAGATTCATAAATGAGATTGCTGTATTTTATGGTAATTTTATTTTTGATTATTTGAGGTACATTTATAACATTTTAAAATAATGGCTACGCTCCTGATTTTCACCAACAATCGACATGGGTTTCATTTTCACTGCATCATCAACAGATTTGGTGTTTTTTTAAAAAATTATAGTGGCCATTCTAGGCCAGGCACGGTGGCTCATGCTTGTAATCCTAGCACTTTGGGAGGCCAAGGTGGGCGGATCACAAGGGCAGGAGTTTGAGACCGGACTGGCCAATATGGTGAAACCCCGTCTCTACTAAAAAAAAAAAAATTAGCTGGGCGTGGTGGCGGGCGCCTGTAGTCCCAGCTACTCAGGAGGCTGAAGCAGGAGAATTGCTTGTACCCGGGAAATGAAGGTTGCAGTGAACTGAGATCTCGCCACTGCACTCCAGCCTGGGCAACAGAGGGAGACTCCAACTAAAAAAAAAAAAAAAAAAAAAATTATAGTGGCCATTCCAATGAGTGTGAGGTGATTTTGTTTTTTGTGATTTTTATGCAATTCTCTACAAAATAGTTATTTTGCATTTTCTTTTAAATGCATTTTCTTATTTGTGTATATTTTTGATAAGAATTTTGTTCAATTATTTGACCATTTCTAAATCAACTTATTCAACTGTATTGTTTAGTTTTAAGACTTGTTTATATATTCTGAATATTAACTCCTATCATGTGATTTGCAAATATTTTCACACATTTTTTATGAGGCATTGTCACTCTATTGAATATTTTATTTGAGTGCAAAAATTTTGAAGGATAGTGCAGTTAAATTTTTCTGTTATTTTCTTTGTTGCTGATGCATTTAATGTTGTATCTAAAAAAGTGTTGCTAAGACAAGCGTCATGTTTTTCTTCTATATTTCTAAAAAATTGGTTAATTATTTTTTATGTCTGGGTATTTTATTTAAAATATTTTTCATATATGGTTCAAGGAAATAATCCAGCTTTATCACTGTTGACACCCAGTTTTCTTTCTTTCTTTTTTTTTTTTTTTTTGAGACGGAGTTTTGCTCTTGTTGCCCAGGCTGGAGTGCAATGGTGCAATCTCTGCTCACTGCAGCCTCCACCTCCCGGGTTCAAGTGATTCTCCTGCCTCAGCCTCTCTAGTAGCTGGGATTACAGGCATGTGCCACCACGCCCTGCTAATTTTGTATTTTTAGTAGAGACGGGGTTTCTCCATGTTGGTCAGGCTGGTCTCAAACTCCTGACCTCAGGTGATCTACCTGCCTTGGCCTCCCAAAATGCTGGGATTACAGGCGTGAGCCACCACCGCACCTGGCTGGTATCCAGTTTTCAACATTAATTTTTGAAGAGATTATCTTTTCTCTATTGTGTGCTCATGGCAACTTTGTGGAAGATCATTTGATCTTTTAAAGGGGGGTTCATTTCTTCACTCGTATTCTGTTCTTTCATCTGTTTATGTGTCTTTGTTTCAGTACCACATCGTTTTTATTTTAGCTTCTAGTATGTTTTGAAATTAGAAAGTATAATGCCTCCTTGTTCTTTTTCATGGGTTTCTGGCTATAGTTGTAATCAAGGTTTAAACTTTTACACAAGATTTCTTGTATTGGTTGGTCTGTTCTCATGCTACTAATAAGAACATACCCAAGACTGGGTAATTTATAAAGAAAGAGGTTTAATTGGCACACACTTCCACATGGCTGGGGAGGCTTCACAATCATGGCACAAGGCAAAGGAGGAGCAAGTCATGTCTTACATGGTGGAAGACAAGAGGGCGTTAGCAAAGGAACTCCCCTCTATAAACCCATCAGATCTCCTGGAACTTATTCACTATCACAAGAACAGCACAGGAAAGACCCACTTTCATGATTTAATTACCTCTCCCTGTCTCTCTCATGACACATGGGAATTGTGGGAGCTACAATTCAAGATGAGATTTGGGTGGGGACACAGCCAAACCATATTATTTCTGTTAAAAACTGTGCTATTGAGATTGTTATAATGATTGTATTAAATTTGTTCACAACTGTAGGTTGTATTGACACCTTTGAAAAATTAAATTTTTGGCCCCTGAGCAAGAATATGTTGAAGAATTTTATATATTTAGTTTTATATACTTTTGGACTTGCCAGTTTTGCTTTTAATTCCTAGTTTTATTCAATTGTGGTCAGAAAACGCACAGTGTATAATTTTGGTATACTTAAATGTATTTATTGTTGTTTTTAGACAGGATCTTACTCTGTCACCTAGGCTGGAGTGCAGTGGCATGATTTTGGCTCACTGTCACCTCAACCTCCTGGGCTCAAGTGATCCTTTCACCTCAGCATCCCTAGTAGCTGGGACTATAGACATGCATTACCACGTCTGGCTAATTTTTTTATTATTTGTAGGAACAGGGTCTCACTATGTTGCCCAGCCTGGTCTCAAACTTCTGGCCCCAAGAGAGCCTCTCACTTTGTTCTTCCAAAGTGTTGGGGTTATAGGCATGAGGACTTCATGCTGCCATGTAATTCTCAATGTTGAATGTAAGACCAGTGGGAGGTGTTTGGTTTGTGAGGAAAAATTCCTTGTGCATGGGTTGGCACCATCCTCTTTGTAATCAAAATTTTACATTCTATTAATTCAAAAGAGAGCTGGCTCATTAAAAGAACCTGGCTCCTTCACCTTACACTTGCTGTCTGTTACCATGTGGTATGTCCAGTTACCAGTTACTCTTGGCCTTCCACCATGATTGTAAGCTTTTTGAGACCCTCACCAGAAGCAGATGTTGGCACACACTTCTTGTACAGTCTGCCGAACTGTGAGCCAAATCTTTTTTTTTTTAAATAAATTATCTACTATCAGGCTTCCTGTGTATTCAAAATAATTTATACAGTCTATAATGTTTTCTAAGTTCTCTGTTTTATTATTGCTATTTTATCTGAATTTTCTATTTATTATTGAAAATGAGGTCTTGATGTCTACAACTATGTTGCTATGTATTTCCTGCTTCAATTTGTTGATATTTGCTTTATATATTTTGGAGCCCTGATATTATATATACATATACATATAGCTAGATAAGTATTTTATTAAATACATTAATTATATTATATATCTATATAGTTGGTTTTTTTTTTTTGAGATAGAGTCTTGCTTTGTTGCCCAGGCTGGAGTGCAGTGGCACGATCTCAGCTCACTGCAACCTCCATCTCCCAGGTTCAAACAATTCTTCCACCTCAGCCTCCCGAGTTGCTGGGACTACAAGGCACGTGCCACCATGCTCGGCTAATTTTTGTATTTTTAGTAGAGTCGGGGTTTCACCATGTTAACCAGCATTGTCTCGAACTCCTGACCTCGTCATCCACCTGCCTCGGCCTCCCAAAGTTCTGGGATTAAAGGCATGAGCCACCATGCCCGGTCCTATATAGATATCTATATGTATACATATATATGTTATATATACACGTATCTGTAGGTATACGTATATATATACTCATATACATATGGATAGATACCAGTTAAATTGACCCATTTTACCATTATATAATATCAGTCTTTGTCTCATGCTAGTACTTAGGACTACCATAATTATGTCTACCATAATTATGCCTACCCACCCAATTATAATTACTATTTGCATGGAATATAGATTTTTTTCATTCTGTTACTTTCAGCCTATTTAACTAAATTCTAAAATGAATCTCTTGTATGCAGCATATTGTATGCTGTTTTTCTTAAGCCAATTAGGCATTTAATTTTTTAAATATAATTTATTTAATTTTTTATTTTTGAGATAGATTCTCACTCTGTCAGCCAGGCTGGTTTGCAGTGGTTTAATGATGGCTCACAGCAGCTTCAGCCTCCCAAACTCAGATGATCCTCTCATTTCAGCCTCTCAAGCAGCTGGGTTACAAGTATGTGGCATCACACCCTGCTAGTTTTTTTGTATTTTTTGTAGAGACACAGTTTTGCCGTGTTGCCCACTCTGGTTTTGACCTTCTGAGATCAAGTGATCAGCCCACCTTGGCCTCCCAAAGTCCTGGGATTACATTTTTAAAAATTAAATAGTTTAATTAATTTGTATTTAAAATAATTGCTTGAAGAAATGTTTCTATTACCAGTTTTATTGTTATTGTTTTATGTGCTCTTATAGATATGTTTTTTCTCATTTCCTATTTTACCACCTTAAATTTTGCTTAATTTTATAGTGACATGCCTTACTTTTCTATTTGTTTAGCATACTTTCTATAAATATTATCTTCATAATCATCTTGAAAAATGAAGATTACATAAAACATCTTAAGGTTAAAACAATATATTTTAATCTCATAACTTCAACTGAATACAAATACTATACCTCTACATTTTTGTTATTAATATTACAAATTATATCTAATAACAGATTTATGCAGATTTATATTTTGTTTTTCATATTCTGTAGAAGAAATTTAGGGATTTTATGCACCATCATTATAATAGTAAAGGATTCCATGTGTGTCTGTATATTTACATTTAATAGAGAGGTTTATATTTACATAGTCATATGATGCTGTGCGAATTTTATTTTTCAGCATAATGGACTCGTAGCATTTCTTTGTTTTTATATGCAAAGTCACCATGTTCCTCAGGATGTTCTTGAACTCCTGGTCCCAAGTGATGTGACTGCCTGGGCCTCCTAAAACTGTAAGATTACAGGCATGAGCCACTGTGCCTCGCCACCATGTAGCATTTTTTATAGGACAGTGCTAGTCGTGATGAACACTCTCACCTTTTATTTTGGAAAGTGTTTATTTTTATCTTTTTTTGAAGTAACATAATTTCAAATCAAGTATTATTGGTCAGGTATGATTTTATTACCTCAAAATTTGGGAAGTACTTAGTCTTTTTCATTTTCAAGTAAACTCTGTATTACTTTTTCCCTATAGTCTTCTTCCAGCATTTTGTTCATGAATATATTGATCGACTTGATGCTGTCCAATAAGTATTACATTCTATGTTTTAAATTTGTTTTGCAATTTTATATTTTTGTATTATATATTTTAGAACATGACATCTCATACCAGTTAATTGTGTTTTGATTTTTCAGTTTATATTATAATTGTGTATGACAATATTTAGTTCTGAACAATTTAAGACAGTGTGGAGCAAAATCAAATATGAATCAGCCATACAGCTAGTGCCAATATAATTGTCTCTGTGTTTGTTTGCCTTTATAAATATTATCCCTGTGTTTCTTTATAACTTGTATATTTGTGGTGTAGGTTTGTTGTGAAAGGTTGTTTAATCCTGTGTAGATGAGTAGCCACAAAAATTCTCCTAATTTCAACATCCTATTTATTTGTGAATCTTCCATATCCGGTTTATTCATGAATCTATATTATTTTTCTGTGAAAGAAATACTTTTGGCTTTGAAGATAATTTAAAAACTACCGACAGGGTGTGGTGGCTCACACCTGTAATCCCAGCAGTTTGGGAGGGCGACGTGGGTGGATAACCTTAGGTCAGCAGTTTGAGACCAGCCTGGCCAAAGTGGTGAAACCCCGTCTCTACTGAAAATACAAAAAAATTAGCCAGGCATGGTGGTGGGCGCCTGTAATCCAGCTACTCAGGAAGCCGAGACAGGAGAATTGCTTGAACCCAGGAGGTGGAGATTGCAGTGAGCCAAGATCGCGCCATTGCACTCCAGCTGGGTGACGAGTGAAACTCCATCTCGAAAAACTAAACTCATAACTAAATTTCTCTTCTAGCTACTATTGTTCATTTTTACTTGTCAAAAACACATAATAATTTATAATAAAATATTTTCAAATATTCTGGTTTATTTTTTAGTTATATTGACATTGTTATGCAACATAATTGCTGAAGTGTTTTTATCTTGCAAAGCTAAATCTCAATACACATTATACAACTACCAATTTTTCCAGTATTATGGCACTTTTGAAACACCACTCTGTTTTCTCTTCCTAGTGGTGTAACTTCTTTATATATCTCATACAATCTCTGTCTGTTTGTGGCTGGCTTATGTCACTTTGCAAAATATCATCAAGATTTATCTGTGTAGTTGTTAGAATATTTTCTGCTTTTTGAAAACTGAGTGATGTGGTCCGGTGTGGTAGCTCACGCCTGTAATCCCAGCACTTTGGGAGACCAAGGTGGGTGGATCACCTGAGGTCAGGAGTTCTAGACCAGCCTGGCCAACATGGTGAAACCCCGTCTCAACTAAAAATACAGAAATTAGCTGGGTATGGTGGCAGGTGCCGGTAATCCTAGCTATTCGGGGGGCCAAGGCAGGAGAGTTGCTTGAACCCGGGAAGCAGAGGTTGCAGTGAGCTGAGATCGCGCCATCGCACTCCAGCCTGGGGGACAAGAGCAAGACTTCATCTCAAAAAAAAAAAAAAGAAAACTGAGTGATGTTCCAGTATTTTTACATTTCAAATTATATCTATTGAATAATTTGGTGACAGAAATTAGCATTGTTTTTAACTATTGGCTTTCCGTAACAATGCTACAATTATTATGGGTATGTAAATGACTCTTTATATGACCATATATATGAAAGTTTACGTGTTGCATTCTATTTGATTTGTCTAGTTTTCAGCTTGATACTGATACCAAATTGTTTTAATTCTGTAGCTTTGTAATCTGTTTTGAAATAAGGAATTATAATGCCTCCAACATTGTTTCTTTTTTTTTTTGAAGATTGTTGGGTACTTTGTTGTCTCTTGCAATAGCACTCCTGAGTTTGTTATTGCTATTTTTTCAAAAGTGCAATGAGAAATTTGAAAAACATTGCATTAAATCTGTAGATTACATTAAACAGTATAAACATCTATACAATATTAATTATTTTAACTTTTGAAAAAGAGCATGCTTGAGTGTATCGTTTAATTTCTATATATTTGTGAAATTTTCAGTTTTTTCCATTGTTTCATATTCTTATTCCATTTTGTTCATAGAAAGTAATCTATAAAATTTTAGGGTTTTTTTTTTTTTTTGAGACAATCTCACTCTGTTGCCCAGGCTAGGGTGCAGTGGAGTGATCTCGGCTAACTAACTCCTGCCTCCCGGGTTCAAGTGATTCTCGTGCTTTAGCCTGCTGAGTATCTGAGATTATAGGCGCATGCCACCAGGCCCAGTTAATTTTTTATTTTTGGTAGAGACAGGGTTTCACTATGTTGGCCAGGCTGGTTTCAAACTCCTGACCTCAGGTGATCCACCCGCTTTGGCCTCCCAAACTGCTGGGATTACAGGCATGAGTCACCGTGCCTGGCCAAAGTTTTAGTTTTTTTTTTTGTTGTTGTTGTTTGTTTGTTTTGAGACAGAGTCCTGCTCTGTTGCCAGGCTGGAGTTCAGTGGCGCGATTTCTGCTCACTGCAACCTCCGCCTCCTGGGTCCAAGCGATTCTCCTGCCTCAGCCTCCCAAGTAGCTGGGATCACAGGCATGCACCACCACACCTGGCTAATTTTGTATTTTCAGTAGAGACCACCACACCTGGCTAATTTTGTATTTTCATGTTGGCCAGGCTGGTCTTGAACTCCTGACCTCAGGTGATCCACCTGCCGTGGCCTCCCAAAGTGCTGAGATTACAGGTGTGAGCCACGATGCCTGGCTCAAAATTTTAGTTTTAAAACACTTGTTAAGATTTATTTTTTGACCTAACCGGTGGTCTATCAAAAAGATTGTATGAGCTATTGCAACGGGTGTGTTTCCTGATGTTGAGAAGTTTTCTCTATATCTGTGTTAGAAATACTTGTTTTATACTGCCTTCAAGTCCACTGTTTCCTTATTAATATTCTCTTGTTTTATTATTATCAGAGAAAGTGAGGTATTGAAATATCCTACTATAATTATATTGCTTTCTATGTGTTTATTCAATTATGTCAGTATTTACCTTACATATTTGGAACCCTAATGTGAGATACACACACACATGCACACACACACACACACACAAACACGCAAACATGAGTATATACAAATTTTTCATAGGTTCCCCATCAATCTATTATTGCTTAATGTCCTTTGTCTTTTTGAGTTTTGACTTCATATACATTTTATATAATATGAGTTTTTGACTTAAGATATAGCTTGCGTAATACTATTTTGACCTTTTCTGCTCTCATTTGGTTAATATTTGGATAAAATGCCTACAGCAATCTTGCCACTTTCAGGCTTTTTTAATTATTAGTTCTAAACTGACTGTTATAGAAAGGCAAGTCTGGCCTTGAGTTTTAATGTTTTTTAATGAATCCCTTTATTTGAAACTAGAAAGCTAATTATACCTATATGTAAGTAATTTTCTAAAAGACAAAGACTTCCGTTATTTTATTAATTATTTTATTTGATTCTTGTATCTTTGTCCCTCATTTTCTCCCTTTCTGTCTTCCATTGTGTCTGTTTCATTTTAGTATTGATGTGGTTTCGCTTCTTTCTTATTTTCTTTTGGGTGTCTATACAGATATTTTCTTTGTGGTACCTTAGGGATTACATAAAACCTCTAAAAGATAAAGCAGTATATATTTAATCTGGTGAAAAATGAACTTCAGTTATATACAAAAATTTTTCCTCATTACATCTGCCCTCGACTTTGTTATTGATATTGCTGATTATATGTTGTATATTTATTAACAGATATTCACAATAATTTCTGTTCTTTTATTTTTCTAATTTTAGAGCATAATTATAAATGTTTTCTGTCCCATTATGAGAATGATAAGGAATTCTATTTTTGTGTATGTATGTTTCCCAGGAACATGTATTTTTATATGATTATGTGTTGATTTCTTGCATCGTGTTATTTTCAGTGGAAGAAACTTTTTTCAGCATCTTTGATCTATATAGGCCATATGCAGTGCCAATATACTGTCTCGGGATTTGGTTATTTTAGAAGGTCTTTTTTTTTTATTTATTTGGTAGGATGTTTTTGCTGATGATTATTCTTTTCACCTGACAGCATTTTTTCTTCAGGACTTTGACAATATCACACAGTTTTCTTCTGGCCTGCAAAATTTTCTTTTGAAAAACTCACTGTTTAGTGTGTAACTCTATGCCAATAAATGACACATCACTTTTGTCTTGCAGTTCTTGAGATTGTCTCGTCTGTGACATTTTAAGTTGTTCTTATATATGTGTTTTTTTAAATAAATATCTTGTATGTGTATTTTTGTTTTTTGAACTTCTTTATTTTTATATCATTTTTCTTTTAGAATTGGTTAATTATCTCTTTGTATTATTTACCTCCACAATTACTGTTTTTAAAATGCTTTTAATATTTTTGCCGTTTTTCTTATTTTTCTGATTTTCAGTAGTTGTCTGTGCTCCTTTTACTCATTATTATTCAACTTATTTTAAATTTCTAAAATTTATACATTTTTATTTTATAATGATTGCTTTCTGAAAATTTCATGATTTGTTTGATGGGGCCATGTTGCCCTAATATTTTGTACACATTGTAATCTTTGAGACTGGGACATTTAAAAAAAAAAAGGCTACCTGTCACAATCTTTACAATGTAGCTTTATCCCGGCATAGTCTAAAACCAGTTGTCATGGCTAGACATTCTGGGAGCCTTTCAAACATGTTCTTAGAGTGTGTCTGATCTGAAATGTTTTATTTTCTAGTTTAAAAAGTTTATTTGCACTTCTTCCTAGTTATCAATCACTTGCTACACTTGTTACCTGTCTGTGGTACTGCAGTCTGTCTGCTGCTGTAACATTTACCTTTGGTCTCAGCAGTCTCAAATTGTCATTCTAAAGTATACTATTTTTTTTCAGCATTTTATTTAATGGGAGAATGAAACCAGTGTCTTGAAAGACCCCTAAAAGCCAGACATAGAAATGTATGTGCCAATATTTTTCTTGTCTTTTAAATAGAAACAAGGAGTTGGCAATTTACTTCTAAGGGCACTATGTTATACTGAGGAGAAGGAAGTACTGTGTTGGGTTAATATAACAGATTTTTCTTTTTCTTCTATGTTGCTTTTTACATCGTGTTAACCTGGGGCACTTTACACACTTAACTCATTTATAAATTTTCCAAAAATGTGTTTTGGTCAGTATGTTTTTGTTACATTTTATATGTTTTTGAATAAATTAGAGCCTGTGGTATTTTGCTATGCCATCTTCCTTATGTAGTATATACAGTTTTATAGGTTAGATTTGTAAAAAATATTTACCTGAGTCTAGTAAGTGGAGTAATTTGTTGTTTTTATTTCTTTTAGTTATGTGTTCTCATATTGCTGAAGACCTTTGCCCAGAGCGAGACATAAAATATTTTTTCCAAAAAGTCATACTGAGGAGATATGATAAATGTGAACATGAGAATTTACAATTAAGAAAGGGCTGTAAAAGTGTGGATGAGTGTAAGGTGTGCAAAGGAGGTTATAATGGACTTAACCAATGTCTGATAACTACCCAGAGCAAAATGTATCAATGTGATAAATATGTAAAAGTCTTCTATAAGTTTTCAAATTCAGATAGACATAAGATAAGACATACTGAAAAGAAAACTTGCAAATGTAAAGAATGTGGCAAATCATTTTGCATGCTTTCACAACTAACTCGACATAAGAGAATTCATATTAGAGAGAATTCCCACAAATGTGAAGAATGTGGCAAAGCCTTTAACCAGTCCTCAGCTCTTACTCGACATAAGATGACTCATACTGGAGAGAAACCCTACAAATGTGAAGAGTGTGGAAAAGCTTTTAACCGGTCTTCACACCTTACTCAACATAAGGTAATTCATACTAGAGAGAAACCCTACAAATGTGAAGAGTGTGGCAAAGCCTTTAACCGGTCTTCACACATTACTCAACATAAGAGAATTCATAATAGAGAGAAGCCCTTCAAATATGATGAATGTTGCAAAGCCTTTAAGTGGTCCTCAGCTCTTACTACCCTTACTCAACATAAGAGAATTCATACTGGAGAGAAACCCTACAAATGTGAAGAGTGTGGCAAAGCCTTTAACCAGTCCTCAGCCCTTACTCGACATAAGATGATTCATACTGGAGAGAAACCCTTCCAATGTGAAGAGTGTGGCAAAGCTTTTAACCGGTCTTCACACCTTACTCAACATAAGATAATTCATACTAAAGAGAAACCCTACAAATGTGAAGAGTGTGGAAAAGCCTTTAACCGGTCTTCACACCTTACTAAACATAAGAGAATTCATACTAGAGAGAAGGCCTACAAATGTGATGAATATTGCAAAGCTTTTAACTGGTCCTCAGCTCTTACTACCCTTACTCAGCATAAGATAATTCATACTGGAGAGAAACCCTACAAATGTGAAGAGTGTGGCAAAGCCTTTAACCGGTCTTCATACCTTATTCGACATAAGATAATTCATACTGGAGAGAAACCCTACAAATGTGAAGAGTGTGGCAAAGCCTTTAACCAGTCTTCACACCTTACTCAACATAAAATAATTCATACTGGGGAGAAGCCCTACAAATGTGAAGAATGTGGCAAAGCCTTTAACCGGTCTTCACACCTTTCTCAACATAAGATAATTCATACTGGAGAGAAACCCTACAAATGTGAAGAATGTGGCAAGCCTTTTAATCGTTTCTCATACCTTACCGTACATAAGAGAATTCATGCTGGAGAGAACCCCAACAAATATGAAGAATGTGGCAAAGCTTGTAACCATTCCTCAAACCTTACTAAACATAATTCATAATGGAGAAAAACCCTACAAATGTGAAGAATGTGTCAAAGCTTTTAACTGTTCCTCAATCCTTACTAAACATAAGGGAATTCATAATAGAGAAACCCTACAAATGTGAAGAACGTGGCCTGGCTTTTAACAAATCCTCAACATTTACTAAGCATAAAATAATTCATGCTGGAGAGAAACTCTTGAAATGTGATGAATGTGGCATAGCCTCTTCCCAGTTCTCAACTCTTACTAAACATGAGAACACATGTGGAAGATAAAGCCTACAAATATGAAGAATGTGACAAGGCCTTTAAAAGTTCTCAACCCTTATTACACATAATTTATACTGGACAGAAATCCTAAAGTGTGAAGAATGTCACAAAGCCCTTAATAAGTCCTCAATTCTTAACAGATATAAGATGTTTCATACTGGAGCGAAACTACAATCCTGAATGATGTCACAGTGCTTTTAACAATACCTCAAACTTTTCTAAACATAAAAAAAAATTATACTAGTGCGAAACTCTAGAAATATAAAGAACATGAAAAACTTTTAAATGGTTTTCACACTTGATTGCAGGTAAAATAATTTATACCGGAGAAAACTCCAAGTGTGAAGAATATAACTTTTAACCAGTGTTCACAACTTATTGTACAGGAAAGCATTTATAGTTGAGAAATGGTGTACAAATATAAAGAATGTGGAAAAGTCATTAATATTTGCTCACATATTACACATCAGAGAGTTCATACTTAATAAAAGTATTATAAATACAATTACTGTCAAATGATCTTTCAGAAATATAAACCTTTAAAGTGAAGAAGAGTTCATTCTAAAGACAAACATTACAAATATAAAGGGGTTTGTAGTGCTTTTACTTGTATCACAGATTTTATTGTACACATTTTGTACTAGAGAATAACCCTGAAGCAGTTGCTAAAATTTTGTTCAGCATTAGGAAATTTATGTTGGAGAAGAATTCAGCAAGTGTGATTAATTTGGAAAAACATTTTTTCCATAACTATAGCTTAGAAAATGCCAGAGAGCTCATACTAAAATATACTTTTGCAGATGCAATAAATACAAAGAAATATTTAATTCAAATTGAGTTTATATAATTATCAGAGAATTAACAGTAGAAATAGCTAAGGCACTGACACTTCAGACATTACACTAAATCAGATTGCTGAGTATAGAAAATCCAAAACTACAGTTGGTAAGTAAATTAATTTTATGTAACTTTAAAATGAGTAGACATTTCTTTGAGAAGTCATAATTAAATTCAAGTATACTTTTTTGATAAAATTATAAAGCTTTTTAAAAGTAAATAATGATGTAAGTCAACTCTCAAATTACTTCATGCTGTTTCTTCATTTCTATTGTATTCACCTGTGAAAGCATGTGATCAACTATTGCTGCATCAGAGATATGAGAGATACTTTATTAGGTGGGAATTATATACGACCTCTTCTATAAAATAGTAAGGACACTGAAATATAAGATGCATAAGAGTCTAAGTGAAGAGGTTCTTTGTGGTTAACTTAGTGATGTATGAAGTAGTTGCTCATGTTATGAGAGAAAAAC
The DNA here is from genome assembly GCF_000001405.40 of Homo sapiens. Taxonomy (NCBI): domain Eukaryota; kingdom Metazoa; phylum Chordata; class Mammalia; order Primates; family Hominidae; genus Homo; species Homo sapiens. The sequence continues at coordinate 22,091,007 of NC_000019.10, forward strand.
ATTTTTAATTTTAGTTAAATGTAAGTTAAAATTAAAATAGTACCATATAATGTTAGTGATTGTACTTTTATTTAATAAAATGCAGTACATTTTAAAATTTTTAGATTATTTGTGGACTTAATTTATAATTAAATATTTTCTTTTACCACGTTAAGACTATTGTACGTTCAGGCCGGGCACAGTAGCTCACGCCTGTAATCCCAACACTTTGGGAGGCTGAGGCGGGCGGATCAATTGAGGCCAGGAGTTTGAAACCAGCCTGGCCAACATGGTGAAACCCTGTCTCTACTGAAAATACAAAAAATTAGCCAGGCATGGTGGTGGGTGCCTGAAATCCCAGCTATTTGGGAGATTGAGGCAAGAGAATCACGTGTACCCAGGAGGCAGAGGTTGCAGTGAGCCAAGATCACGACATTGCACTCCAGCCTAGGCAACAAGAGCAAGACTTCGTCTCAAAAAAAAAAAAAAAAAAAAGACTTGTGCATTCAGTGGAGTATTATTATTCCACTAACTTTAACATACCCCACCTTACTCAAGGGTGTAGGTAAAATATGGTAACAATATGCTATTTGGCAACATAGTGGAATAACACCTCTAGTAATCTCTTCTGCCAATGGCTTCAAATTGCAAATAAGTTAAAAAATATTTTTCCCATAGGTTACATTTTTATCCTTTTTTTCTTAAATTTATTCTTTTTAATTTTGTGGTTACACAGTATGTGTATATATTTATGCCATATATGGCATATTTTGGTACAGGCATATAATATATAATAGTTACATCAGGATAAATGAGGCATCCATCACCTCTAGCATTTATCCTTTTTATTACAAACAATTTGATTAGTAAAATAAAAATATTGTTATTTTAAAATATTAAAAGTACTTTATTTTAAAATTTGCAATTGTTCTGACTACAGGGTCATTTTTATGGTCATAATAAAATTTATATAGAAGTATAAATAAAATTGATACATTTCTAAGTACTGAATAAATATTTAAAGAATTTGTTACATATTTTTCTTTGAACATGATTTATCTCTGCCTGCAAACACATATAGGCTTTTAGTTTTGATTTACATAGAGTTAAACATATACATATATTACTCTAAAGATAAACCTTAGGTGTAAGAAAATTATGAAGTAAGTGTGTATGAGTATGAGTTTGTACCCATTTTTGGAAGGAGAAAGCAATATTGGAACAAAACAAATTATTTTAATAAGGTGACTTATTAGAAAACTAAAAACCTCGAAAATGTTGAAAGCAAATCTATACTCTGTGCATTGTATTGAATTCATTGCTATAAAATGTTAGGGCTTATAGTTCAGAATCTCCCTATGCACATTCTCTGTTTTTACTTGTCTGGTACTCATGCTAGACCCATAATGTTCTTGTTTTGTATTTTATGAAGTACTCATTATGTGAGCTGGTCAGGGATTATAAGAATGATTTTTATGAAATTTAAGAGTGCACACAAAATAATTTTTAGATGTAATTACAAAATTAGTTATATTTTTATATAAGTTAGTTTTTATATAATAGTTATATTGTTATATTTTAACGTTTGATTTTTGTTTTATTGGAGAAACCTGTATAAGGCTAATTTTCTTTATTGTTTCTTTCACTTTTTATAATTGACATAAGTAAATCTATTGAGTGAGCTAATTTGCTTTGGTAAGTACTAGGGAGACTTCATAAGTCATGAGGATGTTTTTACATATAAATGTAGCAAACAAATATGACAGTTCTTCTGAGTAAAACATGCTTTATAATAAGTCATAAATATTTTTGCTGGAGTTAGTTTGTAACTTCAAGTCAGAGATGGAAAATAGCAATGGTGAAGAAATAACATTGATTCATCATGTGGAGAGGACATTTTCAGGCTGCAAAGCTGACTTGCTGAATTTAAACACAAATTCTGCTGCTTTTATTTTCTACTGATCTTCAGTTTTGTCTTACTTAGTGTATTCCAACTATATATGCATCACAGTCTTTCTTCTTTTACTGTGTTATGACTACAGTTTTCTCATTGTTGTCTTCATGCCATGTCATTTTACATGGTAGTTTGTGGGTTCTCATGAGAAAGTTGGTATTTTTAATGCATTGAAAAATTGGTTTTAACTGAAGAATTTGCTTATCAATAAAACTTTCAGATTAGTCAATTAAGAGAATAGACATACACTGTTAACAAGTGAAAAGATTACATCAGTTAGCTTTTTCTTTGTAAAAAAAAAAAGTTTTATTCTTGCAAAAAGCATGGCAAATATAAAATTTGTAAAAATATTTCAGAAATTAGATTCTAAATAGAGTTAATGGTAAATGAACAATTTTAAATTTAATTTTCTATGATATATTTATAGCACAACTTATGTTTCTATGCAGAATCTTTTTTTTTTTCTTTTTTTGAGACAGAGTTTCACTCTCTCTCCCAGGCTGGAGTGAAGTGGCCCAATGTCGGCTCACTGTGACCTCCATCCCCCAGATTCCAGCGATTCTCCTACCTCAGCCTCCCAAGTAGCTGGAATTACACCACGCCCAGCTAATTTTTGTATTTTTAGTAGATATGGGGTTTCGCCATGTTGGCCAGGTTAGTCTCAAACTCCTGACCTCAGGTGATCCACCCGCCTCGGCCTCCCAAAGTGCTGAGATTATAGGCGTGAGCCACTGTGACTGGCAGAATCTTATATTTTTAAGTGTGAATGTTGAATGTGGCAAAACAGTACAATGACCTGTGGATCTGAAATTTGGAATAATATTTATTTTACATCTTGATAAAACAATTTGGAGAAATTCCACTCTTTTTTTTTTTTTTGAGATGGAGTCTCGTTCCGTCACCCAGGCTGGAGTGCACTGGCATGATATCAACTCACTGCCACCTCCTCCTCCCAGGTTCAAGCGATTCTCCTGCTTCAGCCTCCTGAGTAGTTGGGATTACAGGTGCACACCACCATGCCCGGCTAACTTTTGTATTTTTAGTAGAGACGGGGTTTCACCATGTTGGTCAGGCTGGTCTCAAACTCCGGACCTTGAGATCCGCCTCGGCCTCCCAAAGTACTGGGATTACAGGCATGAGCCACTGCGCTCAGCCCATATTCTTTTATATGACTTTTTTTTAGTAGGTACAGTTTAGTCTACAGATTTTTACTCACCTAACTGTAGCCAACTCCTTGATCATTGGTAAGTGACTGATTAGTAATTCCAAACTATTGACCGGATGCAGTGGCTCATACCTGTAATCTTAGCACTTTGGGAGGCCAAGGCAGGTGGATTGCCTGAGGCCAGGAGTTCGAGACTAGCCTGGCCAACATGGTGAAACCCTGTCTCTACTGAAAATACAAAAATTAGCTGGGCATGGTGGCGAGCGCCTGTAATCCCAGCTACTCGGGAGGCTGAGGCAGGAGAATCACTTGCACCTGGGAGGTGGAGGTTGCAGTGAGCCAAGATCGCGCCACTGCACTCCAGCCTGGGCAACAAGACTGAAACTCCATCTCAAAAAAAAAATAAGTAAATACAATTTTTTAAAAATAAAAAAAGTAATTCCAGACTATTTTAGTCACTGTAAAAACTTAATATTCTTTAATTATTAAATAGGAAAAAGTATTCTGATATTAGTGTTTCTGAAACTTTCAGAAAGTGTAAACCAGTAAAAAAATGATCAGGTATATGCAGACCATAAGTTTTCTATTTAATCATAGGCTCATTCTAGCTTTTAATATAAAAATTTGATAAAAGGTAAAATGAGTGGTTCTTTTAAATAATAAGAGAAATATCATTGTTAGTAGCCATTTACCAATGTATTTTTGTTAGGCTTAGTAATGAGTACTTTAAACCAAAAATCCAGTTCTACATACTATCTAAAGGTATAAATAGTGATTTTTAAATTCCTTTTAGATTCTACTAAAGTAGAAAATTCAAAGCCAAAATGTTACGTTGGAAATGGAAAAAAGCATTAGGCGAGAGGGTGTTGGGCTTAATGATTAAGATTGATACTTAGTATGAGGTGGTTCCTGTTTGCATCCTAGTTCTGCCACTTATGAGCTGTATGACCTGAATACAGTTTGTTAACCTCCGTGTGCTTAACCCTTAAGCTGTACAGTGAGGATAATAGTGCTTAAATCTTAGGATATTAGTAAAATCAGAGCAATTAATACTGATAAAGGTACCAGAAGAGTTCCCAGCACATCGTGAGTGTACAGGAAATTTATCAGCTCTTGTTGATTCTGTTAGCTCGTGATCAATGTTGAGCCTAAAAAGAACGTGGCCGAATCAGTGGTTTGTAACCCATGTTTATTCTAATCAGTCAGTCCGGGGCTATAATGGTAGTTGGATGTTTTTAATACTATCTTTGGCAAATTCCCATATATTCACATACAGCATAGTTACAAATATCTGTGGAAAGATTTCTTGTTGAGTACTGCTCCTTAGCACTCCAGTAACACTAGATAAATAAGCACTTAAATGCCTAGTGTTTGTCAGTGTTAAAATTAAAGAGGCAAATTGTTTCTTCATCTGCTTGTTTAATAAATTTCTTATTGCCAAGTATTTATGTTCATTTGTTAAACTTAAATGTAGTTTACAAATATGTATTCAAATATTTTTTCTCTAACAAGTGAAGGAAATCATCTACTTAGACATTTAGAGAAAACTTTAAACAGTTGCTTTAGAGTCTGTTTCTTAGTATTACGTTATGTTGAACATTCAAATCAAGATATTTTATTTCTGAATTTTGGGTCCAGACTATTAATAATATTAAAAGTTTACCTACCTACATTACTAAATGAGAAAGGCATTTGAAATATATATATATATAAAATATAAATATATATATATATATTTCTTCATCTTATAATTCCAGGAAACATATGTTTTAATTTATATATATGTGTTTATATATATATATGTATATGTTTTAATTTATGTATGTTTCCTGGCATTTTAAGATGAAGAAACACTTTTTCTCTGACCCAATTTCTTAACGTTTATCTCTTTAAAAAAAAAAAAAATGTACTGGCTGGGTGTAGTGGCTTACGCCTGTAATCCCAGCACTTTGGGAGGCCCAGATGGGCAGATCACCTGAATTCAGGAGTTCGAGAGCAGTCTGGTCAACGTGGTGAAACCCTGTCTCTACCAAAAATCCAAAAATTAGCTGGGTGTGGTCGTGGGCACCTGTAATGCCAGCTACTCGGGAGGCTGAGCAGGAGATTCGCTTGAATCCAGGAGGCGGAGGTTGCAGTGAGCAAGTTCACACCACTGTACTCCAGCCTGGGCAACAAGAGTGAAACTCCTTCTCAAAAATAAATAAGTACAAAAATTAGCCAGGCGTGGTGGCGCACGCCTGTAGTCCCAGCTACTCGGAAGGCTGAGGAGGGAGAATTGCTTCAACTCGTGAGACGGAGGTTGCAGTGAGCTGAGATCACGCCACTGCACTCCAGCCTGGGCAACACAGTGAGACTCCTCTGAAAAAAAAAATAGTATTTTTATTGGAAAATCAGAGTTTTATACATTACAGTGTACAAAGTGATGTTCTGATATATGTATATAAAATAAGTAAAGTTACATAACGTATCAATAACCTTTTTGTGGTGAGACATCTGAAATGTACTCCTATTTTGAAATAATGCATTATTGTTTACTATAGTTATGCTGCTGTGCAATAGATCTCAAACCCTATTTGCCTCTGTCTATTTGAAACGTTATACCCTTTAACAAATCCCTATTTCCCTCTCAGACCCTTGCCTTCTAGTCACCATTATTTCACTTTCTACTTTTTTGAGTTAAACTTTATTAGATTCTGCATATAAATGAGATCATGCAGTGTTTGTCTTTCTGTGTCAGACTTATTCCCTCTAGCATAGTGTCTTCCAAATTTATCTATATTGTTTCAAATGGTTGGATTTACCTTCTTTTAAGGCTGAATTGTATTCCATTTACCACATTTAAAAAATTAAATATATATTTATTTGTTGATAAACGTGTGTTATGTAAAAATATTTGTGTTAAAGCACATATTAATGTAATTCAGCATATGAATATCTTATTAATAGCTAATTTGTACTGAGCACTAACCATAACATTATTTATGTGTTAATGGATTTTAATTCTCACAGTAACTTAATACATCTAAACACTCATTTTTAATAAAAATCAAAAATTGAATCATTTATATTGTTATAAGATTGTATAGAATGGTACATGAAAAAATAATTTAAGCAAAAAAGATATTAATATTTGCAATACATAAAATTGGAAAGCAGTTAATTATTTGGAGATGATATCTTTGTTTACTTAGATAACAAAATAAACTATAAGACTATTTTAAAAGTCTATTCAGGTGGGTAGGCAAAATTCTAAGATGATCCCAAGGATTCCAGGTCTGTTGCACATCTGCTGTGCATTCCTTTTCTCTTGAGTGTAAAAAAGGTGTGACTGTGGTGAGAAATCACTCATGAAATTAGGTTACTAATATGTTGACTTGGTGTTCATCAAAAGGGAGATTATCTCAATTTGGCTAAACTGAATTAGAGGTGCTTTTAAGAGGAAGAGACACATCATAGTAAAACACTGCTGCTTGCCTGGAAGTAAGTGACTTCTAGGTGGGCCATGTTGTAAGCTGCTTTTGGTGGTCACATGGCAGGAAATGTTTGTATATTGTAATCATTTCTGCTTCCCACATGTTGCTTTCCACAGGAAGACAGAAGAATTCCATGACAAGAAAATAAAGGGTGGGGGGGTCTCATTCATGCAAGAAATAATCACTTCTCATTTGAGATAGCATTAAGGTGACAGAAAAAACCACAACATGACCACATCAATGAGAGGAAAAAGACAACACGGTCGAAGGTGCTCACTGGCATTATGGAGAAACATTTTGTAAGCCATAGTGAATGATCAGCCTCTGGGATACCGGTAGTCTACTAAGAAAGCTAAACTCATTCTAATAAATCAGCATATCTGCACCATTCTGGTTGGCCCAGTTTTACACTATCCATTTCAGAAATACCATGGAGACCAGTGGGTACCCTCCTAAAATTGAAATTATAATTAGAAAGCATACCTAATTATTTGTTTTCATAATTGAAAAGCCTTGAAAACAATGAATTTATTAATAAGGAACTGCTAATTTTAGAAGATCCTATTATACTGTATTACAACATTGAACTTTAAACACCTTGAGTATTTCTTGAATGCATAAACAGTTACGTAGATAGTTTCTCTTAGATTAACATGATAAAGGTAACAGAAAACATTTGAAATGGAATAAAATTAAAGCCACATGTTTTCAATGTCTTGGCGTAATTGCCATGCTTTTTAAAACGGCCAGAAAAATAAATAAATAAAAAACAATAAAACAGCCAGTTACTACCAAGAAGCAAAGACAAGATTTTAGCTTTGCTCAATCATTACATGATTGACCTTTAGAAATCTAAAACTCTGGCTAAAAAATTAGGAGAAATTTTTTTTTTAGGTAACTTCCTAGGATTTCTGAGGCAACACAAGAATTCTGATAGGCAGAAAAAAAGCATACTAAATATACACATTGCTCTTCTCTGATTTGCTTTAACATTAAAAGATTAAAAATTGCAAATATAAGCTAAATTTAGAGTATGTTAACAAAACATTTATTTTTCAGCCAAGCAAATAATTATATAAAATTAATGAGTAACAGATGCCATCATCTGCCAAAAAATAGTATGACTAGATTCAGTAAGTGTCTAGCCATGAAAATGACAGCCCAATTAAATTAAGACCCTAATAGGTGCATGTGGAAAGCATGTGCAAAGGTGCTGCACCTCCACTTAGCACCTTCTTCTGCCTCTTTACAGAGACACCAATTTCCCTAGTGACTTCTGGTGAATACTGGGAACTAAGAATGCATTGTTCAGAGCGATTACTGAGAACATGGTTAACACAGTTTTTTCATATTATAATAAAATTTTGTAAATCTTACTCTACCTCTGAAAGGCTTTTAGTAAAAGAATTGTTTATGTATGGTACTCAATTTGGATTCATAGAAAAATTTACTTTTCCAGGTAAATCAGAGACACATGTCAATCAAATTCTATAATACATACTTGAATGAGATAAAGTCTTCTTAGCTAAGAATTTTATTTCATTAGTACATTAAGAGAAAAATAGAAAACCAGTACTTTGGGCCCAAAACAGAGTTTGGCATGTGAGTACCACTCAAACAAGTGCTCTTTGCTCTTTATCATCACTGTTAAAGTAGCAATAGCACTGCGTGCTTTCCTAGAACCAGCTGGCCTGTTTTCTACTGATAAAAGTGGAGAAAGCATTGAAATAGTGGAGGGTAATATAAATTGAAAACTTATATGAAATACAATTTTTAATAAAAAGCATTTGATGTTGTACAACTCCAGGTGAGACTATTAGTGTGAGGTCATATTTTTACTTCTATTGACAGAAAACTTAATTGACAATATTCTGATTTCCAGTGATATTCATTTATCTGCTGTATATTTGCTCGCTTTAGATCAATATTACCTGAGCTCAAAAGAAATCAACCAAATGAATATCCACGAGCATTTTATTATTGATGCATATGCTTATTTTGCTTAAAGTATGTTAGCTTTTTATCAAAGATTTATACTTTTGGTGTGTTTTTTACTGCTGAGAAGTGGCTATTCTGCCAGGAAACTGGCATTCTCAGCTCTACCCACATTGACTAATAGTGAGTGGAAGTGATGTGTGGATGAAAAGCAAATGTGTCTTCTCAGCATCTCCTTTTTCATCCATTGGCTGAAGAAAGAGAAGGACGCAGATAGAAAATGAAAGTGTGCCGGGTGTTGTGGCTAACGCCTGTAATCCCAGCATTAGGAGGCCGAGGCGGGTGGATTACCTGAGGTCAGGAGTTCAAAACCAGCCTGACCAACATAGAGAAACCCCGTCTCTACTAAAAATACAAAAATTAGCCAGGTGTGGTGGCGTGTGCCTGTAATCCCAGCCACTCAGGAGGCTGAGGCAGGAGAATCGCTTGAACCTGGGAGGCAGAGGTTGCAGTAAGTTGAGATGGCCCCATTGCACTCCAGCCTGGGCAATAAGAGCAAAACTCCATCTCAAAAAAAAAAAAAAGAAAAAATAATCTCTGAAAGATCATGAAGAAGTCCTCTCAACATCAAAAGAAAAAAACCAGAGGATAGTGATGTCAGCAGAAAATATATTATTTTGCTAAGCCTCTGGAATTTCAGCATACATCCTGCATTACTTTAATAAATATATTATTTCTTCAGTTTTCTTTTTTTTTTGAGACAGAGTTTCGCTCTTGAGGAAAAAAACCAGAAGATAGTGATGTCAGCAGAAAATATATTATTTTGTTAAGCCTCTGAAATTTCAGCATACATCTTGCATTACTTTAATAAATATATTATTTCTTCAGTTTTCTTTTTTTTTTCTTTTTTGAGACGGAGTTTCACTCTTGTCGCCCAGGCTGTAGTGGTGCAATCTTGGCTCACTGCAACCTCCACCTCCCAGGTTCAAGCGATTCTCCTACCTCAGCCTCCCGAGTATCTGGAATTACAGGCACCCGCCACCATGCCCAGCTTTTTTTTGTATTTTTAGTAGAGACGGGGTTTTGCCATGTTGGGCAGGCTGGTCTCAAATTCCTGGCCTCAGGTGATCCACCTGCCTCAGCCTGCCAAAGTGCTGGGATTACAGCCGTGAGCCATCGCGCCTGGCCTGTTTTGATTCTTAAGGATATAATTCACTTCCTTGTTGAATTAAAACTGATAGGAGAATAATTCATTTGTTAAGGTAAGTGGTTTAGGGAAGACCCATTGCTTTTGACCAACATCTCCACCTCCAGTCCCAGGCATTATTCTATTTTCTGCTTCTGTGAGCTTGAATATTTTTAAACTCTACATAAAAATAAGATTGTTTGGTATTAGTTTTTTCTCTGCTGACTTATTTCACTTAGCACAATGTCCTCTGGGTTTATTAATGTTGTTGCAAATAGCAAGACTTTCTTTTTAAGACTAAATAGCATTCCATTGTGTAAATATACCACATTTTCTTTATCCATTCCCTTGTTGATGAATACTTAGGTTGACTTCATACATTACCTATTGTGAGTAATCCACATCCTTTACTTTCATTTGTTTTTATATCATTTTTCCTTCCTTTTTTTATTCCTAGAAGTAGATTATTCTTAAAATGTAAATTATGACTGTTAAATATTTTCTATGCCTTATTTTGGTTAATATTTTGGCTGATTAAGAAGATAAGTTTCTAAAAAATTTTTTCGATCAAAGCCATTTCTTCATTATCAACATCGTTTGAGACAAAATAGTAATAAACATCAACATCGATTAAACAATTATCTAACCCTATAATCATTTTCTAAGCTGCATCTTTGTGTCATCTCTCTCGGTTATAAGAAAGAGGCTTCTGATTTTCAACATAAAATTTTGTAAAATTTAACCTTTTGGTCTGAAAATTAAACTGATCAGTTACCAGAAAAGTTGATTTTTGATACATGTTATTGTAATTGTTTCTACTTAAATTCTTCAGAAAACCCAAACTGACAACAAATGCATTTAAATTTTTTTGAAAATTAAAAGTGCCTGGCCAGGCACAGTGGCTCACGCCTGTAATCCCAGCACTTTGGGAGGCCCAGGCAGGCGGATCCCCAGGTCAGGAGATCGAGACCATCCTGGCTAACATGGTGAAACCCAGTCTCTACTAAAAACACAAAAAAATTTGCCAGGCGTGGTGGCGGGCGCCTGTTGTCCCAGCTACTCGGGAGGCAGAGGCAGGAGAATGGCATGAACCCGGGAGGCGGAGCTTGCAGTGAGCCGAGATCACACCACTGCACTCCAGCCTGGGCCAGACTCTGTCCCAAAAAGAAAGAAAGAAAGAAAATTAAAGTGCCTAACAAACATTTTTGTAGAAATTAAAAATACTTGTAGATTTTCAGAGAATGTCTCTCAAATACTTCAAGTTACCTTCTTCTGATCGTAGATACATATTTTTCTATATTGCTATAATAGAGTTTTGGCTGTCCTTTGTGGCCAGCTCCTTCATTTCTATCTTATTTAGTTGTGCATTATTTATATTACGTATTTTACATTTTAAAACTTGTAGACCATGCAATGTAACTTTCAAACAATTGAAAAACCTTTTTCTATGTTAGACTCTCTGCTTAATCAGTAGTCAGTTTATTTTCACCCTTCAAAAACATTTTAACTGCCTGAAAATCAAAGGGACAGTTCAAGTGAGTATTCTGAGCTGGTTCTCTCCACTATCAATCTATTCAAATTCACACAGGTTATCTTATAAAGAAAGTGCACTTGAACAACATTGTCACAGCAATGTAAAACAGGTATAATATAATAAAGATGAGACACTGCCTTCTAGGAAAAGAGTTAATTTTTCTTATTCTGTGTATGTGAGTATGTGGCAGCTGTAAGGTTGTCAATAAAGACTAAAGTTAGAGAGGGAGAGAGAACACTTTACATTAGTAATGCAGCGTAGTTCCTATGCAGCCTTCTTGTTTGTCAAACATCTCTTGAATTGTTTTGTCAAGTATTATGTTGCTGTATCCATCACTTATTAGACTTTGATGATTATCTTCTACTTTATCAATTAAGTATGCAATCAACATCATTCAGAGTCCTGTCCTTGATGTTTAAGTACTCAGACATAAAACTATTAAAATATTGATTAAAAAATGAGTTTGTTTTTTTTTTTTTTTTTTTTTTACTACAGAGCATTTCATGCCAGTAAGCTTAAATCTCTTGAACTTTTGAAAACATGCTTTAGTTTATCTTTAGCTTGGAAAGCCTAAATTGGTCAAAAGCAAATATAACAATAAACTTGAATATAAATCATTTTGGAATTGAATTCAAATTATAAAATAAAATATTAAATTTGATAAATGTATTTTACTGTGTGTCAGAAATTTTACAAAAATTTTGAATAGTGTAATAAAGCTGAAATGGAAATACATACATGCTTTTATGATAAGTTATTTTGTGATTTAAATTTTTAATTTAACAGTGTTATATAGTAGACTTCAATAAAAGTAGTCTGTGTTTAAAATGTGCATATTGACATATCAGAGAAGAAAATATTGATAATAAAGAATACAAAACAAACCATGACAGTCTTGATGGCTGTTGTAAGACCTCGTTTCTTGTCTTCTTAGTTAAAAAAAATTAGAGACACACAACAAAGGAAATGAAGCATAAAGTATTGCAAAGGAGAATGACTATTTTAAAAGTTAGGTGCAGAATAGCCAGTACACCCTGAGAGAGAAGGGATTCAAGGCAGGCTGCTTATAAGAATGAGACAGAAAAGACTGTGACTAGGGAGACTGTATTTATGCAAATCTTACTTAGTTATTTATAAAGATGTGGGAAGGCAGGGCGCAGTGCCTCACGCCTGTAACCCCAGCACTTTGGGAGGCTGAGGCGGGCAGATCACAAGGTCAGGAGATCGAGACCAGCCTGGCCAGCATGGTGAAATCCTGTCTCTACTAAAAATACAAAAAATTAGCCGGGGATGGTGGTGTGCACCTGCAGTCCCAGCTACTCAGGAGGCTGAGGCAGGAGAATTGCTTGAACCCGGCAGGCGGAGGTTGCAGTGAGCCGAGATCAAGCCACTGCACTCCAGCCTGGGCGACAGAGGAAGACTTCGTCTCTTAAAAAAACGATGTGGGAAGAGGTGTTACTACAATAGCATGTTCTAGGTGGTTCTCTTGGTGCACAAACACAGTAGCTGTACATGCTTGTTCATACGTCGCATGTTTCATAAGCATCCTAAATCACTCACAGGTGTGCATTTTCCTATTATGAGTAAAAGGTTAGTTTGAGAACAGGTAAAATCAAAATGTGCATACTATCTAACTGGAGAAAGTGTTGCTTGAATGAGCTGAAATACTATGCAAATGCTGTGGTTTATTTTGTTGACAATATGCAGTCATCATGCAATCACCATGGTTGTTGCATTTCAAGGACATGGTCACTTTCTTGATTACCTATCCTGCCTAAATAGTACGTCTTAATTTATTCCCAACTTCCAACTCTGTGATTAAGATTTAGCTGTTATGTTACCATAGACAATAGTGGGAAAAAAATTTTTTTTTTTTTTGAGACGGAGTTTCGCTCTTGTTGCCCAGACAATGCAATGGTGTGATCTCAGCTCATCGCAACCTCCGCCTCCCAGGTTCAAGCAATTCTCCTGCCTCAGCCTCCCGAGTAGCTGCGATTACAGGCATGTACCACCATGCCTGGCTAGTTTTGTATTTTCAGTAGAGACGTGGTTTCTCCATGTTGAGGCTGTTCTTGAACTCCTGAACTTAGATGATCTGCCCGCCTTGGCCTCCCAAAGTGCTGGGATTACAGGTGTGAGCCACTGGGCCCGGCCAGGAAAATAAAAATTTTAAAAATAAACATATGTGAGCTTTATCTAGGTTATTAGCTGTGTGTGCCCAGGAGAAATTATTTTACATCCTTGGAGCTTCAGGATTCACAATTAATAAAAATTACTATTTCCCCCGGGGCTGTTTTAATTCATACATGGTAGCTGTAAGTATTTTTTACTGAAACTCTTGTCTAAATATATTATAGTAAATATTAAGAATAAAATTATTCATATTTCAAATATTTTATTGTAATTGAGTGAGTATATTTTGTCATATTTCGTGTATTTATCCTTTTTTAAAAATGCCAGCCAGCCTCGGCCTCCCGAGGTGCCGGGATTGCAGATGGAGTCTCGTTCACTCAGTGCTCAATGTTGCCCAGGCTGGAGTGCAGTGGCGTGATCTCGGCTCGCTACAACCTCCACCTCCCAGCCGCCTGCCTTGGCCTCCCAAAGTGCCGAGATTGCAGCCTCTGCCCAGCCGCCACCCCATCTGGGAAGTGAGGAGCGTCTCTGCCTGGCTGCCCATGGTCGGGGATGTGAGGAGCCCCTCTGCTCGGCTGCCCAGTCTGGGAAGTGAGGAGCGCCTCTTCCCGGCCGCCATCCCGTCTAGGAAGTGAGGAGCGTCTCTGCCCGGCCGCCCATCGTCTGAGATGTGGGGAGGGCCTCTGATCCGCCACCCCGTCTGGGATGTGAGGAGCGCCTCTGCCCGGCCGCGACCCTGTCTGGGAGGTGAGGAGCGTCTCCACCCGGCCGCCCCGTCTGAGAAGTGAGGAGCCCCTCCACCTGGCAGCCGCCCTGTCTGAGAAGTGAGGAGCCCCTCCGCCTGGCAGCCGCCCCATCCGGGAGGGAGGTGGGGGGCAGCCCCCGCCCGGCCAGCCGCCCCTTCCGGGAGGGAGGTGGGGGGCAGCCCCTGCCCGGCCAGCCGCCCCATCAGGGAGGGAGGTGGGGGCCAGCCCCCGCTCGGCCAGCCGCCCCATCGCGGGGGAGGTGGGGGCCAGCCCCTGGCCCGCCAGCCGCCCCGTCAGGGAGGGAGGTGGGGGGCAGCCCCTGCCCGGCCAGCCGCCCCGTCTGGGAGGTGGGGGGCGCCTCTGCCCGGCCGCCCCTTCTGGGAAGTGAGGAGCCCCTCTGCCCGGCCGCCACCCTGTCTGGGAGGTGTACCCAACAGCTCATTGAGAACGGGCCATGATGACGATGGCGGTTTTGTCAAATAGAAAAGGGGGAAATGTGGGGAAAAGATAGAGAAATCAGATTGTTGCTGTGTCTGCGTAGAAAGAAGTAGACATAGGAGATTCCATTTTGTTCTGTACTAAGAAAAATTCTTCTGCCTTGGGATGCTGTTGATCTATGACCTTACCCGCAACCCGGTGCTCTCTGAAACATGTTCTGTGTCCACTCAGGGTTAAATGGATTAAGGGGGTGCAAGATGTGCTTTGTTAAACAGATGCTTGAAGGCAGCATGCTTGTTAAGAGTCATCACCACTCCCTAATCTCAAGTACCCAGGTACACAAACACTGCAGAAGGCCCCAGGGTCCTCTGCCTAGGAAAACCAGAGACCTTTGTTCACTTGTTTATCTGCTGACCTTCCCTCCACTATTGTCCTATGACCCTGCCAAGTCCCCCTCTGCGAGAAACACCCAAGAATGATCAATTTAAAAAAAAAAAATGCCAAAATAAGAATTTTTTTTTTTTTGGAATACCAGGCTAAGAGTTTCTATATTGTGACTTTGCTAAGTTTTTTTTTTTTTTTTTTTAATTTATTTTTTTATTGATAATTCTTGGGTGTTTCTCACAGAGGGGGATTTGGCAGGGAAGGTCAGCAGATAAACAAGTGAACAAAGGTCTCTGGTTTTCCTAGGCAGAGGACCCTGCGGCCTTCCGCAGTGTTTGTGTCCCTGATTACTTGAGATTAGGGAGTGGTGATGACTCTTAACGAGCATGCTGCCTTCAAGCATCTGTTTAACAAAGCACATCTTGCACCGCCCTTAATCCATTTAACCCTGAGTGGACACAGCACATGTTTCAGAGAGCACAGGGTTGGGGGCAAGGTCACAGATCAACAGGATCCCAAGGCAGAGGAATTTTTCTTAGTGCAGAACAAAATGAAAAGTCTCCCATGTCTACTTCTTTCCACACAGACACGGCAACCATCCGATTTCTCAATCTTTTCCCCACCTTTCCCGCCTTTCTATTCCACAAAGCCGCCATTGTCATCCTGGCCCGTTCTCAATGAGCTGTTGGGCACACCTCCCAGACGGGGTGGTGGCCGGGCAGAGGGGCTCCTCACTTCCCAGTAGGGGCGGCCGGGCAGAGGCGCCCCTCACCTCCCGGACGGGGTGGCTGGCCGGGCAGGGGGGCTGACCCCCCCCACCTCCCTCCCGGACGGGGCGGCTGGCCGGGCGGGGGGCTGACCCCCCCACCTCCCTCCCGGATGGGGCGGCTGGCCGGGCAGAGGGGCTCCTCACTTCCCAGTAGGGGCGGCCGGGCAGAGGCGCCCCTCACCTCCCAGACGGGGTGGCTGGCCGGGCAGGGGGGCTGACCGCCCCCCACCTCCCTCCCGGACAGGGCGGCTGGCCGGGCGGGGGGCTGACACCCCCGCCTCCCTCCCGGACGGGGCAGCTGGCCGGGCAGAGGGGCACCTCACTTCCCAGTAGGGGCAGCCGGGCAGAGGCGCCCCTCACCTCCCGGACGGGTCGGCTGGCCGGGCGGGGGGGCTGACCCCCCCCACCTCCCTCCCGGACGGGGCGGCTGGCCGGGCGGGGGGCTGACCCCCCCACCTCCCTCCCGGACGGGGCGGCTGGCCGGGCAGAGGGGCTCCTCACTTCCCAGTAGGGGCGGCCGGGCAGAGGCGCCCCTCACCTCCCAGACGGGGCGGCTGGCCGGGCGGAGGGCTGACCCCCCCACCTCCCACCCGGACAGGGCGGCTGGCCGGGCGGGGTCTGACCCCCCCACCTCCCTCCCGGACGGGGCGGCTGGCCGGGCAGAGGGGCTCCTCACTTCCCAGTAGGGGCGGCCGGGCAGAGGCGCCCCTCACCTCCCAGACGGGGCGGCTGGCCGGGCGGAGGGCTGACCCCCCCACCTCCCTCCCCGACGGGGCGGCTGGCCAGGCGGGGGGCTGACCCCCCCACCTCCCTCCCGGACGGGGCGGCTGGCCGGGTGGGGGGGCTGACCCCCCATCTCCCTCCCGGACGGGGTGGCTGGCCGGGCTGAGGGGCTCCTCACTTCCCAGTAGGGGCGGCCGGGCAGAGGTGCCCCTCACCTCCCGGACGGGGCGGCTGGCCGGGCGGGGGGGCTGACCCCCCCACCTCCCTCCCGGACGGCACGGCTGGCCAGGCGGGGGGCTGACCCCCCCACCTCCCTCCCGGATGGCACGGCTGGCCGGGCGGGGGGGCTGACCCCCCACCTCCCTTCCGGATGGGGCGGCTGGCCAGGCGGGGGGCTGACCCCCCCCACCTCCCTCCCGGACGGGGTGGCTGCCGGTCGGAGACGCTCCTCACTTCCCAGATGGGGTGGCTGCCGGGCGGAGAGGCTCCTCACTTCTCAGATGGGGCAGCTGCCGGGCGGAGGGGCTCCTCACTTCTCAGACGGGGTGGTTGCCAGGCAGAGGGTCTCCTCACTTCTCAGACGGGGCGGCCGGGCAGAGACGCTCCTCACCTCCCAGATGGGGTCTCGGCCGGGCAGAGGCGCTCCTCACATCCCAGATGGGGCGGCAGGGCAGAGGCGCTCCCCACATCTCAGACGATGGGCGGCCGGGCAGAGACGCTCCTCACTTCCTAGATGTGATGGCGGCTGGGAAGAGGCGCTCCTCACTTCCTAGATGGGATGGCGGCCGGGCGGAGACGCTCCTCACTTTCCAGACTGGGCAGCCAGGCAGAGGGGCTCCTCACATCCCAGACGATGGGCGGCCAGGCAGAGACACTCCTCACTTCCCAGACGGGGTGGCGGCCGGGCAGAGGCTGCAATCTCGGCACTTTGGGAGGCCAAGGCAGGCGGCTGGGAGGTGGAGGTTGTAGTGAGCCGAGATCACGCCACTGCACTCCAGCCTGGGCACCATTGAGCACTGAGTGAACGAGACTCCGTCTGCAATCCCGGCACGGGAGGCCGAGGTTGGCGGATCACTCGCGGTTAGGGGCTGGAGACCGGCCCGGCCAACACAGCGAAACCCCGTCTCCACCAAAACCAGTCAGGGTGGCGGCGCGCGCCTGCAATCACAGGCACTCGGCAGGCTGAGGCAGGAGAATCAGGCAGGGAGGTTGCAGTGAGCCGAGATGGCAGCAGTACAGTCCAGCTTCAGCTCCGCATGAGAGGGAGACCGTGGGGAGAGGGAGAGGGAGAGGGAGAGGGAGACGGAGAGGGAGAGGGAGAGGGAGAGGGAGAGGGAGAGGGAGAGGGAGAGGGAGAGCCTTGTTCGCTTAATTTAAAAAAAAAAAAATGCCAAAATAAGAATTTTTTTTTTTTGGAGTACCAGGCTAAGAGTTTCTATATTGTGACTTTGCTAAGTTTTGCATATGATTTTGACTGCTACCATTGAACTCAGGTTGAATATTAAACCCACTTTTGTTTAGCTTGTGTGGTTTTTGGTTCATCCGTAAAACAAAATATATTATACATGAACTGTTGGGGTAACTTGGCTTCATTTTTGTTCTCTTTCTGTTATTACATCTGTGGCTTTAGAAATCACTAAGATTCGGCCAGGCATGGTGGCTCATGTCTGTAATCCTAGCACTTTGGGAGGCCAAGGCAGGCAGATCACCTGAGGTCAGGAGTTCGAGACCAGCCTGACCAATATGGAGAAACCCTGACTCTACTAAAAATACACAATTAGCCCAGCGTGGTGGCACCTGCCTGTAGTCCCAGCTACTCGGGAGGCTGAGGCAGGAGCATCATTTGAACCTGGGAGGTGGAGGTTGTGGTGAGCCAAGATCGCACCACTGTACTCCAGCCTGGGCAACAAGAGCAAAAATCCATCTCAAAAAGAAAAAGAAAAAGAAAAAGAAATCACTAAGATTCAAATAACGTTAGTTGGGACTCAAGCAACAGAAAATCCCAAAAATGACTCAGAAAAATAGCTACTGGATAGTGCCTTTCAGTGAGATTTATACGTGAAACAGAAGCCAATATATTTTACAAACTTATTGCAAGTTCATTAAATGTAGAAAATAATTGCCTGCAACATATTAGGCACTTGTCTTAGTCTATGGCATCCCTAGCTTGGGGAAGCTGACATTACAGAAAAGAATATTGCTACTCTAATGAGATTTGGAACAAATACTTATGTGCTTTTAAACATTCTCTTTAATAATCCTTAGATACATGTCATTCTGGCTCAATTCTTTTAGTATAACTGTCTACAGTTCTAGAGACTCAGTCCCATCAAATTTAAGCCATGGTATTTTCAGCTTTTTATGTTTATTTTTAGCTAGTGAGCTTAATAGTTGATATTATTATATTGGGGTCACCATGGCAATCTGGGCCTTAGAGTTGACCATCCTACCTCATCCTTTTTGTTTCACATGCTCTGTTGTTGAATCCCTCTCACTTTATATTTGAGCCTTAAGGAGGCTTCAGTTTGGAGGAACCAGAGGAATGGGTTTCTATATATATTGAGTTGAGAATTAGAATCCTCTTAAGGATAGAGATCTTACATTTATTATTTACAGTACAAAGCAGTATTTATAGGATGTAGACATATTTTATTCAAATATAAATAATTTTATCAGTATGCCAATGTGGTCAAAATAACTGCATCAACTTCACCCAATGTTCTGCTTCAGACTCTGCCAACACAAAGATCAATATGTATGCATTCGTGGATGTTAGTTTTTTTTTTTGGTGTAGGTTTTCGTTTGCTTAAATTTTTAAAGATTTTGTTCCTACATTATGCTGATGTTAAGCTAAAGAAGTACATCTAACTGCCATTAGAATAAAGATAATGATAAGAATGATGACTAATCTTAACTGCTGTCTGCTGACAGGGGGCACTGTTTTGGCAAGTCAGCAGTCAGATCTCCCTCAGAGGCCTATGTAAGGGTCTCCAGTAAAACGTGGCCATCATCTGAGGCTCCAGTTGCATGGCCATTTGGAGTTTAATGGCCTGAATGCAAGAAAAGACAAACTGGGTTATTGGAAGACATGTATTAAAATGAAACAAGAGGGTAATGACAGCACAAAAATCCTAAGGCTGCTGACACACCCAGATAACAGGTGGCTATAGTTATGCCTGCTAAGATTTGGGTGCATGGGGCTTGGATTTCGTTAGCTCCATTGTTCTTATTTTCCCAAACATAGAAACCTCCAGGTTATGGGTACTCTAGTTACTCCTATCACCTGACAGGATTTGCGGGATAATTGCCCAGAACTGAAATGTGGATCCAGATTGTTACATTAACCATTCCTTTCTGTTTCTTCTGCACTGTAGCTGGAGATCACTGGTTGATTTCACAGGAATAAACAGGGTTAGTCTAAATTGCAAGGAAAAACTTAAAAACTAATGAGACTATAATTTAATGACAAGTGTATGATCAGTTTGGAAACATAATTTTTCTCTCCAGTTCTCATTTTTGTTAAAAACACATCATGATAGGACTGACTTGTTTGCAAAATAAAATTTAGTCTTATACTTGGCCTGATTGTTTGTATAAAGTGCAGGAAGAATAATTATTTTTAAATAGGCTTTTAAAATTCACTTTGATGGGACTCTGTTCTACAAGGAATCTATGATATAACTTTTTAAAGCCAAGCCCCCTCATGGGTTTGTAATCTCAAATACCGAGGAATTAGGTGAATTCCTTTCTTCTTGAGTTCCCAAGTATATGGGGTTCCTGGGCCTGTTACAAAGTGACATTTTTTACTCAACACATGTTAGGAACCCTGTACAGGGACTGTGTAGAGAGGTATGAGACCAGTTTGCTCTAGGAGCTTTTATTGGCTCTGCAAGTTGAGCCTGATTCCTTAAAGGGAAGCATATTTTTCCAGTCAAAGCCTTGGTAAAACAACCAGTTTCTCCAATTGTACCCTGTCACAAAAGAAAATGGATTCTTATTGCACTGATGCAAACAACCATATTACCATAAGTTAAGAACACTCACAGATAAGCTTCCAAATTCTGTAGAAACTAGCCAGAGAAAAACAAATATGCTCCAAATTTTGTTCACAGGAGTATACTTTACTCAATTATTAAAGGCTGTAAATAGCTCAAGGTAAGTTTCCTTGACTATGGAAAACAAAACAAAAATTAGCAATGTTTGAAGCAAAAAGTTGAAAAAAAAATTACTTCAATTTCCTATTAGTTTAGTCCATTGAGCTAACTTTTGTTCTGCTTGATATTCATGAACACTTTAGCTCTTCATGAGTTCTGTATGTTTCTCCTGTATTTCAATGTCACAATCTCTAAATTTATCAGAAACCTGTATTTGAGAGCACCTGTTAAAGTCCTATAGCTGATTATAAACCATCTTTTGAAAAAGATGAAAACAAGAAAACAATTGTCTGTGAATGACAACATGTCCAGGGAATAGTCCAAAACACAATTGAGGCCAGGCACGGTGGTTCACGCCTATAACCCAGCACTTTGGGAGGCTGAGGCGGGCAGATAATCTGAGGTCAAGAGTTTGAGACCAGCCTGGCCTACATGGTGAAACTCTGTTCCTACTGAAAATACAAAAATTAGCCAGGTATGTTTGTGGGCACCTGTAATCCCAGCTACTTGAGAGGCTGAGGCAAAAGAATGGCTTGGACCCAGGTGATGGATATTGTAGTGAGCCGAAATTGTACCACTGCACTCCAGCCTGGGTGACAGAGTGAGACTCCATCTCAAAAAACAAACAAACACAATTGACAAATAAATTTTGTTATCTCTGTTTTACAATAACATAGCAACCTAACTGTGATTGATAGCATATATTTAGACATTAGAATTCTAGAAATCCCATACAATTTTGAAACACATATTAATATTATTCACTAAAATATTATGTGAGGAAGATTAAACATTATTTTGGCAATCCCATCTACCTAAACATGTCAAATAATTCTGATTTTCTCTCTTCTGGATGCTCCAGGGGTTCTCTGTATCACTGAAGCATCCAAAAGCTAGGGGTCAGGAAAGACAACCTTGAAGCTGAAATTTGATTTTGGGAAGCCTGTCAAATATTAGAGGTTTTAAATACTTGATATTATGAAATACAATTTCAAGTTACCATAAGTTATTTATTTTGCCAAAATGATAACTTGAAAATTTTAAAACAAGGCAAAAGCCTTTACTTATTAAGAGGGGAGACTTAGCTTTCTAAACAATTTGTCTTTTCTCTTTTCTTTCTTTTCTTTGGCAGTCTACCTGCAAGGTAAACAGAAATGTTTCATTAATTTTTCTTTTTTTTTTCTCCAGACAGAGTTTTACTTTGTCACCCAGGCTGGACTGCAGTGGTGCAATTTCAGCTCACTGCAACCTCCACCTCCCAGATACAAGCAATCCTCTCACCTCAGCCTCTTGAGTAGCTGGGTCCACAGGCACACACAACCATGCCCAGCTAATTTTTGTGTTTTTATTAGAGACGGGGTTTCACCACATTGGTCAGTCTGGTCTTGAACTGTAGTGGGATATTTTACGGAATCAGAGAGACCAAGGGGTTGAGGAGGATATTTATTATTTAGGTGCACTGGCCCAGTCGGATTAACATCCAAAGGACTGAGCCCTGAACAAAGAGCTAAGTCACCTTTTAAGCATTTCGTGGGGTTGGGAGAGATCTGTGCAGAGGGAAGCATTTTACAGAAGTGAGAAACAAAGACAGTTATTCAATTAATTGAGACATGCACTACATCATCTCTTACTTTTTAAGGAAAAACATTTTTTATGACTTGAGTTTATCTGTCTAGTGACAATGCAGCTGCACAGCTAGAGAAACAGGGTCTTCACAATGCCTGGGAAAGAGTGAGATAAGGCTCGCTAGCCACAGAAAAACAGGCAGTTAATTTTTAAAGGACTCCAGCCTTTCTCTTTCTCAGGGAGGGATTGGATTTTCTTACATACAACTGAGTTTCTGTTTACACATTCTTTAATTTCTTTTAATTCCTGTTCCAGAACTCCTGACCTCAGGTGATCTACCCACCTCTGCCTCCCAATGTGCTGGGATTACAGGTGTGAGCCACTGTGCCCAGCCATTATCTTTTACTATTACATGAAAATCTTGTACAAGGAAGAGAAAGCCAAATTTTACTCTTGCATTAGTCTACTATTAATATCAAACCTAATTTTCTAATGAAACTATATAGGCAATTCTATCCAATCTTAATCAGTTTGACCATAAGGTAAAATTCTTATAAACCTTTTGTAATCATTTATAAATTTGCTAAAGCACAGACTAGTGCCTTACGGAAATGTTTTTCTTTTAGTTCAATGCACAATTTATGGAATAACAACTATATAATACCCTCTTGAATTTAGTCAGTATGTTCATGCACAGAATTTCTTTTGCAATATTAATTTTTATAGTCCATCCACAATTTGTTTAAACCATCAGTTTTTTTTTTGTTTTTGAGACGGAGTTTTGCTCTTGTTGCCCAGGCTGGAGTGCAATGGCGTGATCTCGACTCAGTGAAACCTCCACCTCCCATTTTCAAGCAATTCTCCTGCCTCAGCTTCCTAAGTAGCTGGGATGACAGGCATGCCCCACCACACCTGGCTAATTTTGTAGTTTTAGTAGATACGGGGTTTCTCCACGTTGGTCAGGCTGTTCTTGAACTCCTGACCTCAGGTGATCCCCCCGTCTCGGCCTCCCAAACTGCTGTGATTACGGGCATGAACCACCATGCCTGGCCATGTCATTCACATCTGCTAGTTTGAGCCTGCCTTGATGCCTCCACTTCCCAGTTTAGATAATTGGGTGCTTATATTAACCTGAGCTGAATTTATTGGTTTACTGCTATCAGCTTTATCTTATCTAATTCAAAATAATCCTTTAAACCTAGGTAAAAATTTAAACTTTCATCCCTTTTATAATCTTTTACTAAAACATATTTTGCTGTTCTTACACACCTGGCATGTAAATTCATTTTTAGTGGTCTTTATTACATGTTATAATGGTAACTCAGCAATTTTAAACTTTAATGTAAAACCTGGTAACTTATTTTAATTATGTACTAAGGGCAGATAAAGTTTTACTGTTTCCAGCATAGTTGGCCGGGCTGATCTTGAACTCCTGAACTCAGGTGATCTGCCCACCTTGGCCTCCCAAAGTGCTGGGATTCCAGACGTGAGCCACTGTGCCTGGCCTTATTCAGCATTTTTAACTTTGGGTGAGGGTCTTTAAGCTGAAGCTAGTTTATCTCTGGTCCTGTCCTCACCAGAATAAAACATAACATTCTTGACATCCGGATATAGTAATACATAGGTAGATTGATAAATAAATATGAAGAGAATTATGTTTTTCATGCAAATATTTATGCATACAAAAGATGTTAATCAAGAGACATTTTCAATACATCAGCCAATTTTGAGGACATAGATGAAAATTTACTTCTCATCTATATGTCTCCATTCCATCAAAGACTCAAATACACCCAAACAATGTTATGTGTAGACATCAACAAACCTTCACATTTACAGGCATGGCCTGGGAAATAAGTTTTTACTATTACCATTTAAGTCTTTGTGTCCAGCTTAGAATTTCAGAACCCTGCATTTCTTCTCCTGGTATGCATGTGTTTTTTACATCCACAATTTTGGGCCTGCCCTGATTTCTCTATTTTCCAATTCGGCTAATTGGCTCATTATATCCTCCCAAGCTAAGCTAATTGGCTTATTGTTATCATCTGGGTTGTGCTAATTGGCTTATTGAATTCACCTGTGCATCAGGGATTTAAAAAAATGATGACCACTGACCAATTTTTTTTTTTTTTTTTTTTTGAGATGGAGTCTCGCTCTGTCATCCAGGCTGGAGTGCAGTAGCCTGATCTCAGCTCACTGCAAGCTCTGCCTCCTGGGTTCACGCCATTCTCCTGCCTCAGCCCCCCGAGCAGCTGGGACCATAGATGCCCGCCACCATGCCTGGCTAATTTTTTGTGTTTTTAGTAGAGACGGGGTTTCACCATGTTGGCCAAGACGGTCTCGATCTCCTGACCTTGTAATCTGCCCGCCTCAGGCTCCCAAAGTGCTGGGATTACAGGCATGAGCCACCATGCATGGACTTTTTTTTTTTTTTTTTTTTTTTTTTTTTTTTTTAAGATGGAGTCTTGCTCTGTCACCCAGGCTGGAGTGCAGTGTTGCAATCTTGGCTCACTGCAACTTCTGCCTCCCAGGTTCAAACGATTCTCCTGCCTCAGCCTCCCGAGTAGCTGGGATTACAGGCACCCACCACCACACCCAGCTAATTTTTGTATTTTTAGTAGAGACGGGGTTTCTCCATGTTGGTCAGGCTGGTCTCAAACTCCTGACCTCATGATTTGCCTGCCTCGGCCTCCCAAAGTGCTGGGATTACAGGCATGAGCCACCGTGCCTGACCAAAAGGTTTTTTTTTATACTGCCCTCAGTACAAGTAGCTATCAATATCTTGAGCTTCTATATTTTTTATTCTGCATGAATATGGAGAGAATGCTAGATAGATGATTATAGATGTACATAGGTAGAGAAATATTTTAACACATACATGCAGCATTATATTAGTTTGTCTATGTAAATGTTTATGTATACAAAAAATGTTCATCAAGTGACATTTTCAATTCCTCAGCCTATCCTGAAAACAAAGATGAAGACATACTTCTCACCTAGATGGCTCTATACAATTACGGAGTGAAACGGAGCCACACAATGTTATTTATAAACATCAACAAAACTTAATGTTTATGGTCACCACCTGGGAAATAAACTTTTAGTACTGCCTTGTAAGTCTCTATGTCTAGCTTACCACTTTAGGGGCCTGCTTTTCTTCTATCTGTATGCCTGTGTCATTCACGTCTGCTAGTTTGAGCCTGCCTTGATGCCTCCACTTCCCAGTTTAGATAATTAGGTGCTTATATTAACCCAAGCTGAGTTTGTTGGTTTACTGCTATCACCTGTGCTGAGTTAATTGGCTTAATGAATTCACCTGCACTGCAAATGTAATAAAGGAGATGACCTCTAGTCTACTTTTCTTCGGATGCTTTTTTTTTAACAGGACACATGGACAAATGACCATTACATAGATATACCCATGGAAGTTATTATGTGTGTATATGTTTATTTATGCAGCTACTTTATATCTATATATCTATATAGGTATGTACAGAATAAAGCTTCCAAAGTTAACTAGGTCAGAGTTCATTTCCATTTTCTTTTCCTCCATGCCATTTAAATATGATTAGCAAATTAGTTCAGTTAAGTTGTATTCAGTCTGAGCCATACACATCACATTTTTTTCATAAATGTGAAACTGCTTTTGTCACCTGAAACCCTGTAGTTTGTAATTGTGTATTCTATTAAACCACTCCAGCGGGGTTCTGTCCATTCAGCTAGAAACAGCCAGATATGCCTGACACCAGTGTGCCTAGCCTTCATCACAAAGCAAATTTGACCTGGGCAATAATAGCCATTTTTGGCACTTCAGTGAACATTCACTATCACCTGGTTGAAATGTGGCCAGGTACCATGCACTGTTATAATTACTTTCAGTATCAAAGTCTATCTTCTAAAAAGAGATCTAGACTTTTTTCCATTACCATAGACACCCTACATCAGCAACAAAGAGTAGTTGACAATAGTGCACATTTACATTACACATTCATGAAGAAAAGAAAAACTCATCTTGATGGAGGCCCCAGTGAGAAAGAATAAGCATTCTGAAATTGAGGTTAGGGTCTTTGTCCTGGGACTGGTTTATCTCTGGTCGTATGTACAGCAGAAAACGAAGGATCAACATTGACATGGCAATGAGTGACTCCCATGGCTTAAGTGCATATTTAAATGTGGGTGAGGGCCTTTAAGCGAGGCTAGTTTATCTCTGGTTCCATGTTCACCAGAATCAATAGAAACCTTTTTTTTTTTTTTTGAGAGGGAGTCTCACACTGTCGCCCAGGCTGGAGTGCAGTGGTGCCATTGCTCACTGCAACCTCTGCCTCCCAAGTTCAAGTGATTCTCCTGCCTCAGCCACCCAATAGGAACAATTTTAACTTAACAATAAAAACCTCTTTGGGCTTTAATAAATATTATTCTTACAGATAAGAGCAATAAAGCTAAGAGGAACAAAGCTTCACATTTATGGGCATGGCCTGGATAGTAAGCTTTCAGAACTACCTCGTAAGCCTTTAAGTTCAGGTTAGCATTCCAAGACCCTGCTTTTTTCTCAGGTATGCCCGTGTTATTCACAGCCATCATTTTGGCCTACCTAAATGCCTTTGCTGTCCCCATTTGGCTAATTGGCTGATTATATTCACCTGAGCTGAGCTAATTGGCTTATTGCAATCATGTGGGCTGAGCAAATTGTCTTACTGAATTCTGGGCTGCAGGGATAGAAAAGTAAGACCACCTCTGACCTACTTTTATTCTGAAGCTTTTTTTTACAGGACAGATGCATAAATGGACATTTTGTAGACAGACCCATGTAATCTATTCTGTGTTTATATGTTTATCAATCTACTGATCTTATATCTATGTTTACATGTACAAAAAGAGGCCCCTAACATAAACTATGTCAGAGGTCATTTGCATTTTCTTTTCCTCCAGGCCAGATAAATCTAATCAGCCAATTTGCTCAATAACTTTTGTTTGATTCAAGCTACCCACCACATCACTTTTTTGATAAGTGTGAAAATGTCCTACTTACCTGGAACCTGGGTTCTTTTAATTTTGCCTCTCACCAAACCAGCCCATTGGGATTCTGTTCATCCAGCTAGGAAATTTAAAAATACCTGACACCAGTGAGCCTAGCCTTCCTCACACACAAAAAAACTTTGGCCTAGTCAACAAGAGTCACCTTTGGCACCTTATTGCATGTTCGCTCTTGCTTCACAGGAATTTGGCCAGACACCATGTACTCTTATATTTGCTTTCAGTATCACAGTCTATCTTCTAAAAGGAGAGCTAGACTTTCTTTCCATTACCATAAAGACCCTACTTCAGCCACAATGACAAAAAGATAAGATTGCACTTTTACATCACACACTCATGGAATAAAGAAGCAAAAACCACTGTCTTTTTTTTTTTTTCTTTGAGACAAAGTCCCCCAGGCTGGAGTGCAATGGCATGATCTCAACTCACTGCAACCTCCGCCTCCCGGGTTCAAGAGATTCTCCTGCCTCAGCCTCCCGAGTAGCTGGGATTACAGGCACCTGCCACCACACCCAGCTAATTGTTGTATTTTTTTTTTTTTCAGTTGAGATAAGGTTTTGCCATGTTGGCCAGGCTGGTCTAGAACTCCTGACATCAGGTGATCCACCCGCCTCGGCCTCTCAAAGTGCTGGGATTAAAGGCGTGAGCCACTGCATCCAGCCATAAAAAAACCCTGTCTTGATGGAAGTTCTAATGAGAAAGAATAAGCATTCTCAGATGTGGGTGGCCATTGGACTTTAGTTGGTTTATCTCTGGCCCTATATACAACATAAAGAAAGGGTCAACTTTGACATGACAATTAATGAGTTCCATGGCCTTAGTACATGGCCATTTCACAGAAGTGAACAAAAAGGACAGCTGCTTTTTTCTTTTATGTTAAATGCAGCAAAATGTATGTCAGAACATACCTCTATTTGTGTATTATTCTAGATATAGTCTATAGAGCAAATAAGTTTATATATCTATTAAAGTTTCTCTCTTTTTTTTTTTTTCTTTTTGAGACGGAGTCTTGCTCTGTCCCCCATGCTGGAGTGCAGTGGCACAATCTCGGCTTACTGCAACATCCATCTCCCGGGTTCAAGCGATTCTCCTGCCTTAGTCTCCCTAGTAGCTGGGACTACAGGTGACCACCACCACGCCTGGTTAATTTTTTGTACTTTTAGTAGAGACTGTGTTTCACCATGTTGGCCAGGCTGGCCTCAAACTCCTGACCTCAGGTCATCCACTTGCCTCAGCTTCCCAAAGTGCTGGGGCTACAGGTGTGACCCACCACACACAGCCTAAAGTTTCTTTCTATATTGCAATTAGTACCAATATTTACCAATACTTCCACATTCTGTATCTCTATTCTTTTTAAATATGAATACAAAGATTGGCACATCAGGATATAGATATACATAAGTAAATAGATTTTAAAAACTTACAGGATTATATGAGTATGTCTATGTAAATATTTATGTATAAAAGAAATGTTCCCCAAAAGATCATTTTCAATCTCTTAACATATACTAATGATGCAAGTATAGAATTACTTCCAAGCTCCTTTGCACAACAGAATTTCAGAATGGAACATAGCCATTCAATATTGTTTATATAAGCATAAAAATACCTTCACCTTCAGTAGCATAGGCCTCAGAAATAAGCTGACAGCAAAGCCATGTTATACATGCTGCTTTGATGAAGCTGCAGTTGTTATTTGAATAATTTCTTGATTGGATCTACCTGTGCAAAACTAATTGGATTATTGGAATAAACTAAGCTGAGCTAATTGGCTAATTGGATATTCCTGAACTGAGCTAATTGGCTGATTGAAATCACAAGGTTTCAGCTAATTGGCTGATTGGATTTACTAGAACTTAGCTAATTTCCTTATTAAAATCACATGAGCTAACTTTCAGGTTAGAATAACCTAGGCTAAGCTAATCAGCCCATTAGATTCACCTGGGCTGATCTCATGGGCTGATTGAAATTGCCAGGGCTGAACTAATTGGCTGTTTGGAATCACCTGGGCTGAGCTAATTTACTGATTGGAATTGCCTGGGCTGAGCTGATTGGCTAAATAGAATCAGTTGGGCTGAGATAATTGGCTAATGGAAATGACCTGGGCTCAGCTAATTGGCTAATTGGAAACACTCGGGTTGAGCTCATCAACCGATTACATTTACCTGGGCTGAGAAAATTGGCTGATTGTATTCATCTATCTTGAGGGGCATGAGTAGGGACATAACCTCTGACTTACTTTTCATTTGTGAGTTTCTTACAAAACATAGTCACAAATGAACATTACATACACGTATTTCTATGACCTTGTGTCTTTGTATATGTTTATCTTTTTATTTTTGAGACTGTCTTGCTTTGTCCCCCATGGTGGAATGCAGTGGTGTGATCACGACTCAATGCAACTTTTTCCTCCCAGGTTCAAGTGATTCTCGTGCCTCATGAGTAGCTGGGATTACAGGTGTGCACCACCATGCCTGGCTAATATTTGTATTTTTAGTAGAGATGGGGTTTTGCCATGTGTTCAGGCTACGGTCTTGAACTCCTGGCCCCAAGTGATCAACTCGCCTTGGCCTCCCAATGTGCTGGAATTACAGACGTGAGCCAGTGAACCTGGATGTGTATGTTTATCTATCTACATACATTATATCTGTATTTAAATGTACAGAAAAAAAGTGTCCAAAAAAACCCTGAAGTTTGCTTTCAGTATAGCAGTCTATAGTCAAGTCCCAGACCTCGTGTTTTATTTTCTTACCCAAAATGTCACTAAGTAAGATTTTGCATTTATGGAAGTTTTTCTTTACATTGCTATAAATGCAAATACTTATTTATCCTTTGACCTCCTATATCTTTATTTTGTATGCAAATGGAAAAAATGATAGATCTGTATATAGATATACATGAGTAGATAAATATGAATATAGAATTATATGAGCATGCCTATGTAAATATTTATATATATAAAAGATATTAATCAAAAGACATTTTAAATTCCCTAGCCTACACTGAAGATGCAGATGTAAACCTACTCTAACCCATATGGATCCACACCATCTCAGACTGGAACACAGCCATACAATGTTATGTTTAAATATCAACAAAGCTTCACATTTAGGTGCATTGCCTGGGAGGTAAGTTTTCGGCAAAACCATGTTAGACTCTAGTTCCAGCTTAGCATTTCAGGGCCCTGCTTCCTTTCTCACTGTAAACCTATGTGATTCACATTTGCCATTTGGGGTCTGCCTGGATGCCTGCAACTTCCTAATTTAGCTAATTGACTTATATCAACCTGAGCTGATCTAAGCAGCTCATTAAACTCACCTTGGCTGCAGAAGCTGGAAAGAAAAATGACCTCTGACCTACTTTTATTCTGAGGCTTCCCTACAGGACATATGCAATAAAGATCATTACGTTGATATACCTATGTTACCCATTTTCTGTGTATATGTTTATCTAGCCACCTATCTTATATCTATATCTATATGTACAAAAGACAGCCAACAAGAGTAGGTCAGAGGTGATATTTATTTTTTTCCCATTCAGGCCAGGTAAATTCAATCAACCATTAGCTTAGTGAAGATTTATCAAATTCAAGCCATACAGCAAATCATGCTTTTTTTTTTTTTTGAGACAGAGTCTCACCCTGTCACCCAGGCTGGAGTGCAGTGGGTGCAATCTCAGCTTATTGCAACCTCTGCCTCCCAGGTTCAAAGGATTCTCCTGCCTCAGCCCCCAGAATAGCTGGGATTACAGGCACCCACCACCGCGCCCAGCTAATTTTTATATTTTTAGTAGAGACGGGATTTCACCATGTTGGCCAGGCTTGTCTCAAACTCCTGACCTGGTGGTTTGCCCACCTCGGCCTCCCAAAGTGCTGGGATTACAGGCATGAGCAACCACACCCGGCCTCAAATCTTGCTTTTTTAATGTAAAAATGTCCTCATTACACAGCACCAGGGTGTTTTTAACTCGGTCTCATCAAACTGGCCCATGGGATTCTGTCCATCCAGCTAGAAACATTCAGACATGCCTGACACCAGTGGGCCTAACCTTTTTCACAAAGGAGCTTTGGCCTGGCCAAAAAGAACCACCTTTGGTGGTTCAGTGCAGTGTCACTATCACCTATTTGAAATGTAGCCAGGTAACATGTACCATTATATTTGCTTTCAGTATCACAGTCTATCTTATAATAAGAAACCTAGGCTTTCTTTCCATTACCATAAAGAGCCTATTTTAGCCACAAAGACAAAAAGAAAAGTGTTTTCACATCGCACGCTCATGGAAATAAACAAGAGTCCCTGTCTTGATGAAAGTCTTAATGAGAAAGAATAAACATTCTCAAATTTTGGTGAGAAACTTTGGACTGAGGCTGGTTCAACTTTGGCCGCATGTGCAACAGAAAGAGAAGGGTCAACATTGACATAGCAATGAATGACTTCCATTGCCTTAGTGTATTTTTATCTCCCAGAAGCAAGAAACAAGAAAAAATCCTTCTTTAACAATATATGTTAAATGCAGCAGGATATTGGAGCATATTTTTATTTGTGTAATTCTCTAGATCTTGTTTAAAGGGCAGATAAATTTATACGTGTATGAAAGTTCCTTTTTTTCTTTTTTTTGAGGCAGAGTCTTGCTCTGTCGCCAGGCTGGAGTGCAGTGGTGTGATCTCGGCTCACTGCAACCTCTGCCTCCTGGGTTCAAGTGATTCTCCTGCCTCAGCCTCCTGAGTAGCTGGGACTACAGTCATGTGCCACCATGCCCAGCTAATTTTTCTATTTTTAGTAGAGACGGGGTTTCAACATGTTGGTCAGGATGGTCTCGATTTCTTGACCTTGCAATCTGCCCACCTCAGCCTCCCGAAGTGCTGGGATTACAGACGTGAGCCACCGTACCCGGCCCTTGCATTTCTTCTCAGTGTGTGCATGTTCTACTCACACCCACCATTTTGGTCCTGCCTTGATAAATCCAAAGTCGTTATTTAGATAATTGGCTGATTGGATCCACCTGGGTTCTGCGAATTGGCTTACTGAATTTACCTTGGCTTCAGGAGAATACGGAGATGACCTTTGACCTACTTTTTTCTGAGGCTTTCTTTGGAGACCTATACACAGATGAATATTATGTAGACGTACCCATGTGACTTATTTTGTGAGTATATGTTTAGCCACCTATTTTATGTCTAATGTATATATGTACAGTAAGAAGCCAATAAAATAAAATTCATCAGAGGTGATTTCCATTATCTTTACCTACAGGTTAGGTAAATCCAGTCAGTCACTTAGCTCCGAAAAGATTTATTCAATCCAAGCAACACACCACGTCACTTTTTTTCATACATTTAATTATTTCCTTGATAACCTGGCACCTGGGTGTTTTTAATTTTGGGTTTCATCAAACCAGCTCACTGAGGTTCTGTTCATCTAGAGAGGAACTGCCAGAAATATTCACTAGGGGGCCTAGCCTTCCTCACAAAGAAGATTTGGCGGGGCAAATAAGAGCCACCTATGGCGCTTTAGAGAATGTTCAGTATTACCTATTTGTTTTATTGGGTTTTGTTGTTGTTGTTGTTCTTGTTGCTTTTTTGTTGTTGTTCTTTTTTTTTTTTTTTTTTTTGAGACAGAGTCTCGCTCTGTCGCCCAGGCTGGAGTGCAGTGGCGCTATCTTGGCTCACTGCAAGCTCCGCCTCCTGGGTTCACGCCATTCTCCTGCCTCAGCCTCCGGAGTAGCTGGGACCACAGGTGCCCGCCACCACGCCCGGCTAATTTTTTGTATTTTTAGTAGAGATGGGGTTTCACCGTGTTAGCCAGGATGGTCTCGATCTCCTGACCTCGTGATCCACCCTCCTTGGCCTCCAAAAGTGCTGGGATTACAGGCATGAGCCACCACGCCCGGCCTCTTGTTGCTTTTTGAGGCCATCTTGGTTGGCCACCCAGGCTGAAGTGCAGTGGCACAATCTTGGTTCACTGCAACCTCCACCTTCTGGGTTCAAGTGATTCTCCTACCTCAGCCTCTCAAGTAGCTGAGAGTGTAAGCATGAGCCACCATGCCTTGCTAATTTTTTTTTTTTTTTTTTGAGATGGAGTCTTGCTGTCTGTCCCAGTCTGGAGTGTAGTGGCGTGATCTGGACTCACTGCAAGCTCTGCCTCCCAGGTTCATGCCATTCTCCTGCCTCAGCCTCCGGAGTAGCTGGGACTACAGGCGCCCACCACCATACTTGGCTAATTTTTTGTATTTTTAGTAGAGACGGGGTTTCACCGTGTTAGCCAGGTTGGTCTCGATCTCCTGACCCCATGATCTGCCCACCTCGGCCTTCCAAAGTGTTGGGATTACAGGCGTGAGCCACCACACCCAGCCTTTAGGACCCCACTCTCATACTCACTGTATGTCTGTGTTATTCATATCAGCCATGTTGTGATGTGGCTTGACAACATCACAAAATGTGATGCTTTCACTTTTCCAACTTAGCTAATTGGCTGATCATATCTATCTGGGCTGAGAGGATTGGCTGATTGATTAACCTGGGTGGAGCTAATCAGCTTCTCGAATTCACCTGGTTTACAGTTGTGAAGGAAAATAACCTCAGACCTACTTTTTTCCTGAAGCTTTTTGCCAGACGTATGCATATATGGAGTTTGTATAAACATAACCAGGGGACCCATTCTGTATGTTTATCCACCAATCTTATACCTGTATCTATATGTATTAAAAAAGCCCCCAAGAAAAAAATAGGTCAGGACTCAACAAAAAATGGTATACAGAAGGCAGAATTAGATCACAGCTTCCACTCAGACACACAGAGCAGCGTGTTGAGACTCGCATCATGAACTTTTCCTCCAGAACTACTGCAGAAATATACCAGAAAAGCCAAGAAAATCCACAAACCCTCTGAAAAAAGCAGATGCTCCTGCAGGGCCTGGGAGACTGCCCAAATGCTGTGAATGCCCAAGCTGTGAAAGTAAGAAAGGGGGATTGTTTGCCACCAAACACACACTTTCACTGAAAAACCTGAAGGTCTAGATCACAGAAAAAGAATTTGACCTTACCTGGAGCCGAATCAATTTAGAGAGCTGAGCAAAATGCAGGAGTAGAAGCAGCAGCCAGAAAAGACCTGTGGGCTCTCTAGGTCCTCCAGAAAACCCAGTTCTGATCTATTTTACAGGGGTCATTGGGGAGGGATGCCAGAGGCACTGGGAAAAGGCCACAGGAAGAAGAAAACCTCCAGCTGAACTTTGTAACAATTCCAACTGGACACGAAGTCTCCTGGCCAGAACATGGGAAGGGTGTGAGTCCGGTGTGCACACATGACAGGCGGTAAGGTGTGAAAGTCCTGCTTACTTTCTCAGTTGGAAGGCTGGGAGCCTGTGGCAAGTTCTCAGCCCTACTTACCCACTGCCTGGAAACAGACTTGGTGCTGTTGGAGGTGGCACGGTGAGAGTAAGACAGACCTTTTGGGTTGTACGGAAGCTGGGTGAGGCCTGTAACTGCTGGCTTTCCCCCATTTCTCTGACTGACAACCTGAATGACACAGCAGAGGCAGCCATAATCCTCCTGGGAACATAACTTTGTTGACCTGAAAACCACACCCCCACTCCCCATAGCAGCCACAGCAAGCCCTGCCCAAGGAGAGTCTGAGCTCAGATATGCCTAACCCTGCCCCCACCTGATGGTCCTTCCCTACCCACCTTGGTAGCTGAAGACAAAGAGGGTATCCTCTTGGGAGTTATGGGGCCCTGCCCACTGCCTGATCCTCCTTTTATTACCACAGCTGATGCTGTTTTGAAAGCACCACCTTTTGTCAGGAGCACAAAAATAGTACATTAAACAACCAAAATTAAGAAACATCACAGAGTCCATTTTACTCCCCTGCCACCTCCACTGAAGCAGGTGCTGGTATCCATGGCTGAGAGACCTGCAGATGGTTCACATCAAAGGACTCTATGCAGACAAGCCCCAGTACCAGCCCTCAGCCTGGTAGTTCTTCTAAGTTGCTAGATCCAGAAAAGAAATAACAATCACTACAGTTCAGCTCTAAGAAAGCCACATCCCTAGGAAAAGTGGCAGAGTACTACATCAAGGCAACACCCTGTGGGACAAAAAAATCTGAACAGCAGTCTTGAGCCCCAGGTCTTGCCTCTGATATTGCCTACCAAAATGAGAAGACACCAGAAAAACAACTCTGGTAATAGGAGAAAACGAAGTTCTTTAACACCCTCCAAAAGTTACACTAGCTCACCAGGAATGAATTCAAACCAGGAAGAAATCCCTGATTTACGTGAAAAGGAATTCAGAAGGTTGATTATTAAGTTAATCAAGGAGGCACCAGAGAAATGCGAAGTCCAATTTTAAAAAATTTGAAAAGATACAAGAAATGAGGGGAGAAATCTTCAGTGAAATAGATAGCATACAAAAAACAAATCACGACTTCGGGAAATAAAGGACACACTTAGAGAAATGCAAAATGTCCTGAAAAGTCTCAGCAATAAAATTAAACAAGCAGAACAAAGAACTTCAGAGCTCGAAGACAATGTTTTCAAATCAACCCAATCCAACAAAAACAAAGAAAAGATAATTTTAAAATAATAAAGCCTCCAAGAAGTTTGGGATTATGTTAAACAACCAAATCTGAGAATAACTGGCTTTCCTGGAGAAGAAGAGAAATTTAAAAGTTTGGAAAATATTTTTGGTGTAATGATCAAGGAAAACTTTCTCAGCCTTGCTAGAGACCTAGATGTCAAAATACGAGAAGCTCAAAGAACATCTGGGAAATTAATCACGATAGATCATTGCCTAGGCAAATTGAGGTTTTTAGTTTTCTAGTAAATTAGCCATTAAAATAATTTGTTTTGTTCTAATATTGTTGTATTCTTCTGAAAACAGGTACAAACCCATAGTTATACAAACACACTTACTGCATGTTTTTACACCTCATGTTTGTCTTCAGAGTAATATATGTATATATTTAATCCTACTTAAATCAAAACTAAAAATCTGTAAATTTTTGCAGGCAGAGTGTCCACATGTTCAAAGAAAAATATGTAACAAGTTTTTAAAAATATTTAGGTCTCAGATATGTATGGATTTTATGTATACTTGTATATAATTTTTATTATGACCGTAAAATGACCCTGTAGTCAATAACAATTTAATTGTACATTTTAAAATAACTAGAAGTGTAGAATTGAATTGTTTCTAACTTAAAGAATAAATGCTGCCTGGCGCAGTGACTCGCGCCTGTAATCCCAGCACTTTGGGAGGCCGAGGCAGGCGGATCATGAGGTCAGGAGATCCAGGCCATCCTGGCTAACATGGTGAAACCCCGTCTCTACTAAAAATACAAAAAATTAGCCAGGAGTGGTGGCAGGCGCCTCTAGTCCCAGCTACTTGGGAGGCTGAGACAGGAGAATGGCATGAACCTGGGAGGCGGAGCTTGCCGTCAGCTGAGATTGCGCCACTGCACTCCAGTCTGGGTGACAGAGCGAGACTCTGTCTCAAAAAAAGGAAAAAAAAAAAAAAAAAGAATAAATGCTGGAGGTGATAATCCCTCACTTACCCTGATGTAATTATTTCATATTGTATGCCTGTATCAAAATATGCCATATATGGCATAAATATATACATACACTATATGCCCACAAAATTTTTTAAAAAATTTAAATAAGAAAAAAAATAAAAACTTAACCTATGAGAACAATAGTCTCTCACTTATTTGCAGATTAAAGCCACTGAAAAAATAGATTACTAGAGATGTTATTCCACTATGTTACTAAATAATATACTGTTACCATGTTTTACCTACACCCTTGAGTAAGGTGGGATAGGTTAAAGTTAGTGGCATAATAACACTTCATTGAGTGCACAATAAAATTAACATGTTAAAAAATGTTACAAAATTAAGTTCACATATAATCTAAAAATTTTTAATATACCATATTTTATTACATATAAGCACAATTATAATGATATACTACTAATTTTATTTTTAATTTTAACTAAAATTTAAAAATGTTTTTCTCTCACTATAATGCACAAGAATATTACTTAGAAACCTACCTCATACACTACTTAATATTATAAGTCAACCACAAAAAGCCTCTTCACTTAGATTTTCATCATGCATCTTATATTTTAATATCCTTATTCTTTTATGGAAAAGTTCATAAATAATGCCCACTTAATAAAAATAATCTCTCATATATCTGATGCAGCAATTGATCACATGCTTTCACATGTGAATACAATAGAAACAAAGAGCAGAAAATAATTTGAGAGTTCAATTGCATCATTATTTGCTTTTCAAAAAGTCTGTATTTTTTCAATAAAAAGTATACTTCCCATGTAATTATAACTCTACAAAAAATCTACTCCTTTTAAAGTTATATACAAAAAACTTATCTAACAATTTTAGTTTGGAATTATTTTCTATACTCAACACTCTGATTTAGTGTAATGTCTGACATTTCAGTGCCTTATTATTACTACTGTATATTCTCTGGTACTGACATAGACTTAATTTTGGATAAAATACTCTATATTTACTGTATTTACAAAAAAAATCTTAGTATACACTCTGATGTTTTCTAAGCTGTAGTTTTTTAAAAAATGGTTTTCCAAATTCATTAAATTTGCAGGGTATTTCTACAGTATAAATTTCCTGGTGTTGAATAAAGTTTGAGCAACTGCCGTAGGGTTTTCCTCTAGCACAAAATGTATACAACAAGATCTGTAATAGAATTAAAGGCACTAAAACCCTTTTTATATTTGTAATGTTCGTTCATGTTCAAAATTAATACACTTTTTTTTTTTTTGAGGCAGAGTTTCGCTCTTGTTGCCAAGGCTGGAGTGCAGTGGCGTGATCTTGGCTCACCGCAACCTCCACCTCCTGGGTTCAAGCGATTGTACTGCTTCAGCCTCGCAAGTAGCTAGGATTACAGGCATGCACCACCATGCCCGGCTAAGTTTTGTATTTTTAGTAGAGACAGGCTTTCTCCATGTTAGTCAGGCTGGTCTCGAACTCCCAAGCTCAGGTGATCTGCCCGCCTCGGCCTCCCAAAGCACTGGGATTATAGGCATGAGCCACCGCACCCAGCCCAAAATAAATACTATTAAAGGTTTATATATTCTGATAGATCTTTTGACAGTAATTGCATTGTTAATGCTTTAAGTATGAACTCCGTGATGTTGAGTAAGATGTGAGCAGATATGAATGGCTTTTCCACATTTTTTATATTAGTATAATTTTTCTCAAGAATAAATGCTTTCCTGTGCAATAAGATGTGAGCACTGAGCCAGGCACGGTGGCTCACGCCTGTAATCCCAGCACTTTGGGAGGCTGAGGCGGGCAGATCACCTGAGGTCAGGAGTTTGAGACCAGCCTGACCAACTTGGAGAAACCCCATCTCTATTAAAAATACAAAATTAGCTGGGTGTGCTGGTGCATGCCTTTAGTCCCAGCTACTCAGGAGGCTGAGGCAGGAGAATCGCTTGAACCCAGGAAGCACAAGTTGCAGCGAGCCAAGATCACACCATTGCACTCCAGCCTGGGCAACAAGAGCGAAACTCTATCTCCAAAAAACAAACAAACAAACAAACAAAAAGATGTGAGCATTGGTTAAACTTTTTGTCGTATTCTCCATACTTGAAGAAGTTTTCTCCAGTATAAATTATCTTACAATCAAGTGTGACAAGAATTTAAAGGCTTTGTCACATTACTCACACTTCTACTGTTTCTTACTAGTATTTCTTTTATTTTTAGAAGTTTGAGGTGTTTTCAAAAACATTGTCACATCTTTCAGATTTGTAGAGTTTCTCTCCAGTATGGTTTGAGAACTTATTAAAAGCTTTGCCATATTCTTCACATTTCTAGAATTTCTCTCCAATATGATGTATCCTATGTGTAATAAGGGTTCAAAAGTTAAAGCCTTTTTCACATTCTTCGTATTCTTAGGCTTTATCTTCTGTATAAATTCTCTGATGTTCAGTAAGAGTTGAAGACCAATTAAAGACTTTGTTACATTTTTTCACATTTATAGGGTTTGTCTCCAGTATGAATTATTTTACGTTCAATAAGGTTTGAGGACTGATTAAAAGCATTGCCACATTCTTCACATTTGTAGGGTTTTCTCCAGTATAAATTTTATTATGTCTAGACTACAGAGCTCATGGTCAGATTAACCCATATATGAGCTCTCCCTGCCACATAAAGATGATCTTTACTGAAAAGGAACAAATTGTTCCTCAACTGAAAAAGGACATTACCCACAAAAAAAAGGTGTCCCAGAAGAAACTGAAGAAACACAAACTTATGGCCTGTGAGTAAATTCAGCATTAAAATAAATGCAATTAAAAAAAGAATAACAACAAAAATATTTAAAATATCAATAAACCCTAGAAATTATGGAGGTAAAAATACAAAGTGAAATAACTGAAAATTTTTAAAAGTAATAAAATGTGATGTAAAAATGAAGAAGCTCAACAAACAAACTAGGATGCACACAAAGATATTTCTTTCTTTTTTTTTTTTGAGACCCAGTTTTGCCCTTATTTTCCAGGCTGGAGTGCAGTGGTGCAATCTTGGCTCACCACAACGTCCGCCTCCTGGGTTAAAGCGATTCTCCTGCCTCAGCCTTCTTGAGTAGCTGGGATTACAGGCATGCACCACCACACCCGGCTAATTTTTATATATTTTTTTTAGCAGAGACGAGGTTTCTCCAGGTTGGTCAGCTGGTTTCAAACTCCCGACCTCAGATGATCAGCCCGCCTCACCTCCCAACGTGCTGGGATTACAGGTGTGACCCACTGCACCTGGCCACACAAAGATATTTCTAACAAACATATATATATAGGCACAATTTTTAAAGTCACAGACAATTAGAGAATCTTGAGAGCTTCAAGGCAAAAGTGATGTGTCATTTAAAAGCATAGTCTAATGAGATAACCAGTAAATTTGTCGACAAAATTTTGCAGGTTAGGAGGAAACTGTGTGATGTAGTCAAAGTCCTAAAGAAAATAGTTGTCAAGTGAGAATAATGCTATCAGCAAAACTGTCCTAACAAATAAAAAGAAAAAGACCTTGCAAAGTAACCAAATTCGGAAAAAGTATATTGGCATTTCATATGCCCTACATATTAAAGATGCTGAAATGAGTTCCTTCCACTGAAAAGAACATGATGAAGGAGAACAACACATAATTTTATAAAAATACATAACTTTCTAAAAAACTTACACACATACACAAAACAGAATTCCTTAGCATTATCAAAATGGTGGAAAAAGCACTTTTAGTGTCTAAAATTTGAAACATAAAAGCATAGAAATTATGGTAAACACCTGTTAATGAATATGCAACATAAAAAGATAATTAGCAACATTAATAACAAGGTTTAGGGCACATGTAATGAGGAAGAAATTTTACAGGCAACTAAAGTTAATTTTTTACCAGATTAAAATATATTGTTGTATCTTTTAAAGGTTTTATGTAATCTCCAAAGTACCATAGAAAAAACCTGTATAGACTACAGCCTGTAGCTGGTACTACAGGCACATGCCACCCGCCCGGCTAATTTTTTTTTTTTTTCTGTATTTTTAGTAGAGACACGGTTTCACCATGTTAGCCAGGAAGGTCTCAATCTCCTGACCTCGTGATCCACCCACCTTGGCCTCCCAAAGTTCTGGGATTACAGATGTAAGCCACTGTGCCCTGCCAACAATAATACAATAATAGATTTATGCACTGGGAACCTATGACAAATTTGTACATAAGTTTGTGTGTGTGTGTATCTCATATTAGGGTTCTGAATATATAAAGCAAATATTGAAAGAATTGAAGAAACACATAGAGAGCAACATAATTATAGTGAGATATTTCTATACCTTGTGTTCAATAATAAAAATAAGACAAAGCAGAATATTAGTAAGGGAACATTAGATTTGCAGGCAGTATAAAACAATGATTCCTAAGAAAGGTATAGAGAATACTCCTCAACAGCATAGGACACACACCCTTTGCAGTAGCTCATAACATTCTCTTTGATAGATCACCAGTTAGGTCAAAAAAGAAGTCTTAACACATTTTTAAAACTAAAATTGTGTGGATTACTTCTTATAACCAAAATTGAATAAGAATATATAAACAACAGAAGAAACCTGAAAAATTCACAAATATCTACAAATTAAACAATACACTCTTGAGCATGCTCTTGGTGAAAAGTTGAAATAATTAATATTGTGAAGATGTTTATACTGCCCAATGTAATCTACAGATTTAATGCAATGTTTTTAAAATTTCTCATTGCATTTTTAAAGAGACAAAAACAGCAAATGCAAAAGTATATGAAATTGCAAGAGACAATAATGTACCAAAAAATATTTTTAAAAAAACAAATCGGAGGCATTACAGTTCCTGATTTCAAAAAACATTATAAAGCTAAAGAATTAAAACAATTTGAATGAGTGTAAAGGTAAAAAAAAGTAGACTAATAAAATAAAATGCAACACATACATAAATTTTCACATATATGGTAATCTGAACAGTTATTTGCATACCCATAGTTATTGAAGCATTGTTATTGTAAGCCAATAGGCAAAAGCAATGCAAATTTCTGTCACCAAATCATTCAGTAGAGACAATTAGAAAGATAAATACATTGAAAATTCACTCAGTTTTCAAAAATAAGGAAATATTCTAACAAATATAAACAAATATAACAGATCTCTGTGACTATGTCTAGTTAGTTCTCAGGACCAGTTAAAAGCTTTGTTTTTTATAACAAATCTCTGGCCCAGCACCCAGGTGATGTGACTCTCGTGCTTGCTACCTACACAAATGTGGATTTGTTACATATATACTGTCCCATCTCACAAGTAATATGATGACTTTCATATCTTGAACCAGCCAGTTGCTGAGATACTGTCTCCCAAGGCTAGGCTTAGGGATATGGGTGTGATCGTGGGTCTCCTATTTTTCTGCAGGTCAGAGGGGATTACCACACTCTCACATATGGTATAAAGCCATTGAATTGTACACAATGTGTCACCACAGAGCCCAGCCTACAGGTGAAGTTGACTTGCACATATGCACAACCCATCAACCATTAAAATTGTAACCCTCACAGATGGATAGACCTCACTTGTGAATCTTACACATGGATGCAGTTCACAGTTGGATTTGTGACTGTCATATGTGAGCATCTGGCCAGATTTGTGATGGCGAAACATCTTTAAATGCAGCTTATAAGAAGATGAGGGCTCTCCTATCTGGACCCAGAACATTGGAGAGATGTTGCCTCTCCTACCTAGGTTTAGGGACACAGATACAATCATAGGTTCATACCAGCAAGAAAGTCTCAGACTAGATTGTGACTCTCATTCAAACTGTATAAAGCCCTAGACCCAACACCTAGGTAATGTGAGTCTTCTCTTTTACCTGGGCCTCTCATATTTTGAGTATTGTGACATATTGCTAGGCCCAACACCTAGGGTATGGGAGGCTCTTGCCTAAAACTTACTCACAGAAAGCCTTGTGACATATCTCTGCATACATTACCTAGGAGATGACTTTCTCCTGCTTGCACCCTACCCATAGGAGAAATTGTGACATATTACTAGGAGCAGCACCCAGGTGATGTGACTTTCCTGCCTGGTCTCTGTCCTCAGGGAATGTTGAGAAATATCTCTAGATCCAAACCCACATGATGTGACTCTCCTGCATGCTTCCTATCCACAGGTGGAATTGTGACATATGTCTTTACTCAGGTAACAGATGTGATGATGACCCTCATTCCTCAAACCTGCCAATAAGAGAAATACTGTCTTTTGTAGGTAGACTTAGAAAAATGGGTAAGATCCTTGGGTCTCCTCTTTGTACAAAGATCATGGAGGCTTATCACTCTAT
Organism: Homo sapiens; assembly: GCF_000001405.40. NCBI lineage: Eukaryota > Metazoa > Chordata > Mammalia > Primates > Hominidae > Homo > Homo sapiens. The sequence continues at coordinate 22,134,066 of NC_000019.10, forward strand.
TGCATGTACCATAAAGCACTCAGCTTGTACTGAGAGTGTCACCACAGAGAACAGCACACAATTGAGGTTGTGCTTTACATATTTACACTGTGGCAGTCATTAAGATCATCACCCTCACACATAGACCGAGCCCACTGAGGAGGTCCTGAATCCCAAATGCAGACACAATCTACAGTTGCAATTGTGACAGAACATTCAGCCTCTGTTAAGATAGTGATTCATTCCTAAACCCAAATCATAGGTAGGTAAAGACTGTTCTATCTGGAACCCACCAATAGGAGAGATGTTGACCCTCATACCTGGGCTTAAAGCCACAGGTAAAAATCACAAATCCATACTAGTATGAAGGTTTCAGAATAGATTGTGACTCTCGTGCATACCACATAATACCCTTGTGTGGTACAGAGAGTGTCCTAACAGGGCCCAGGAGTCAGATGAGATTGTAATACGTGTGTGCACATCCAGCTGATAGTAAAAATTGTCATCCTCCCACATGAACACAGCCCTCTTTTGAAGTTCTTAATTTCATACCCTGTGGCAGTGGAAAGTTGGAAAATTGACTATCATCCATGGATCCAATCCACAAGTGGGTTGGTTAATCTCAGACATTCAGCACACAGGTGAGGCTGTGAATCCTCAAAGAGGACACAGTTTGCAGGAGGGATTGAGGCTGTCATGTATGGACCCACTCTCTCATTGAGATTGCGTGACTCCTGTTTTTAGAGCCAACATACAGGAGGTGTTGACTCTCGTAAATAAAACCTAGACATGTTCAAGATTGTCAATCACATCCCTGGACCTTCCTAGGTGTGATTGTGACATAAGCCTCTGCCCGGGACCTTAATAATTTGACTCTCTTGCTTGGGGTCAGACAACAGATAAAAACATGACACATCCATGGACCCAGCACCTAGGTGATGTGACTTTATTCTTTTGCTGTGGCTCCACCCATAGAGAGCATTTTCACATATCAAAGTGCTCTGTAGACAGGTTATGTGACTCTTTTGCCTGTGTCCAGACAACATTGGCCACTGTGACATATTGCAGGGTCCAACACCCAAAGGAAGTAACTCTTATGACTGGGTTCTATCTACAGAGGGCACTGTTACATATTTCTGTGCTCATCACTCAGTTGATGTGACTCTCCTCTTCTGCCTGGGCCATGCCTTCAGGAGAGTGGGAGATAGGGAGAGTGACTTATTGCTAGGCCCAGAACACAGGTGATGTAATACTTCTTCCTGGTCTCTTTCCACAGGAGTTACTATGATATATCATTAGGCCCATTACCTAGATGATGTGATACTCCTGTTTTTTTCTGCAACTTGTGCACAGTGTGGATTGTGAACTTGGCTTAGCACCTACATGGTGTGACTCTCTTCTCATGACTAGGTCTTATCACTGGGTTGGTTGTGACATAGAGCTGGGCCCAGTCACTAGGTTATGTGACTCTCCTCTTTTTCCTGAGCCCTACCCACAAGAGGACATATTTCTGGGCCATTCATCTTGGTGATGTGAATCTACTTCCTGGGACCTCCCCTCAAGGGATATTATGAAATATTGCTGGACCCAGCACCTAGTGATATGACTCTCTGCTTTTGCGTGGGCACTGCATACATGTGTAATATATAGCTAGGTTAAACACCTGGGTGATGTGACTTTCCTGCATAAGCTCTGTTCACAGGAATGTTATCACATATCATTTTGTTCATCACCTAGGTGATGCGACTCTACTCTTTTCCTGAGCCCTGCAAAAAGGAGAGATTGTGACATATCACTGAACTGAGCACCTTGGTGATGTGACTATCCTCTCTTGCTCAAGTGTCACATATTATTGGTATTGTGACATACCTCTGTGACCAACACCTATGGGTAGGAAAACTTCCACCCAGACTCAGCCCAAGGGGCCCTCATCACTTTTTTAAAAGATATGTGACTTGAAAAATGTGACTGTCTTCTGCTTATACCCTGCCCTCAGGGAAGATTGTGGCATATTACTGAACTAAGCAACCTAGTGATGTGTCTCTTCTGACTGGGGTTTGCCCACAGAGACAATTGTGACATATCACTGGGCCCTAGGTGATGTGACTCTGCTGCCTGTTCCCAACATTCAAGAGAGGATTGTAAATCTTCCTGGCCAAGAATTCAGGAGATTTGACTCTCCTTTCTTGTCCCTGCCCTCAAAGAAGATTATGACGTATCTTCAGCCCCAAACCCAGGTAATGTGACTTCCCTGTTTACTCTCTCTTCAGGGGAGAAATTATTACATATATCCTGGCCCAGCTCACAGGTGTGATGACAGTTCTCATACCTCAAACAAGTCAGTAGAAGCGATACTGTTTCTTATAGCTAGGCTTAGGAAAACTTATAAAATACCTGTGTCTCCTCTTTATATGACGGTCATAGAGAACTACCATGCACTTGTATATGGTATAAAGCTCTTGAGTGGTACAGAGAGTGTTCACATGTCCCAAAACAAAAGGGATATTGTGTTTCTTGTATACACACCCAGACACCTGTTAGGATTGTCACCCTAACACCTGGAAACAGCCCATTGGTGAGGTCTTGTGTCTCACATGCAGATGCAATCCACAGTTTGATTCCTGACTGTCAAATGTAAACACCTGTCCAAAGTTGGGATGGTGACTCATTTCTAGACCCAGCTCATAGACAAGTGAGGACTCTTCTGTCTGGGCCCAATTAATTTGAGAAATATTAACTTTTCTACCTGGGCCTAGGGAGCAGCATAAAGGTCTCAGGGAAAATTGTGACTCTCATTCCTAGTCTACGATGATCTTGGGTAGTATTAAATGTCCTAACGGGGTTCAGCGCACAGGTGAGATTGTGACAGTGATATCCACACCCAACTGACAGTAAAACTTGCCATCTTTCCTCATGGATACAGCCCACTGTTGAGGTGTTGAATCTCATAACCAAAGGCAGTTGAAAATTAAAACATTGTCTCTCATTGGTAGACCCAGTCCACAGGGGGGTTGGTGACTCTCAGACCAAAATTCAGCACAGTTATGAGGCCATCACTCCACTAAGAAAACGGAATTCATAGAAAAAATTGAGACGCTCATGCACAAATCCAGCCCACCACTGAGATTGTGACTCATTTGCTTAGACCCAAAATATAGGAAGCGTTGACTCTTATACCTAGAATTGGGACATGTGTAAGATTGTTCATCTTTTCCTCAGACTTTCCTGCAGGAGTGATGCTGACATGTTCCTCTATTTGGCATCTGAGTGATATGACTCTTGCCATGGTCTAGCCCACAGATGGAATTGTGATGGGTTGCTCTACCCAGCACCTAGGTGATGTGACTCCATTTTTCTGCCTCGGCACTGTCCACAAAAGGTATTTTGACATATCTCTGGGGTATATACCCAGGTTACATGACTCTCCTGCCTGTGCCCTTTTCACATATTATCATAAAATATTGCTGGGTCCAACACCCAGGTGATGTAACTCTCATGCCTAGGACCTGCCAACAGGGGGAATTGTGACAAATCTCTGTGCCAATAACCCAGGTTATGTGACTCTCTTTTTTTGCCTGGTCCCTGCTCACAGGGGGCATTATGACATATTGCTGAACTCAGCACCTAACTGATGTGATTCTCCTTTCTAGTTTTTGTCCACAGGGGAGATTGTGACATATCACTGGGCCTCAAACTAAGGTGACGTTACACTTTCATTTTTGAACTGTACTCAGAAGGCATTGTGATATATTCCTGGGAACAGCACCAAGGTTATGTGAGTCTCCTGCCTGCACTTTGCCCACAAAGGGCATTGTAACATATATTTAGACCTATCAACTATTCGATGTGACTTCTTTTCTTAACGTGTAAGCAAGTTGCCCCAACCATGGAGGGGGTCGCGGTGGTGACGGCGGGCAGCGTAAGCGCTGCCAAAGCCGAGGGAGCTGCAGCCTTGCCGCCTCCGCCTCCTGTCTCCCCGCCCGCCCTCACCCTCGCACCCGCAGCGGGTGAGGAGGGACCGGCGCCTCTGTCTGAGACTGGGGCTCCCGGCTGCTCCGGCTCCCGGCCCCCTGAGCTGGAGCCAGAGCGCAGCCTGGGCCGCTTCAGAGGCCGCTTCGAGGATAAGGACGAGCAGTTGGAAGAAGAAGAGGAGCTAGAGGAGGAAGAAGAGGAGGAGGAGGAGGAGGACATGAGTCACTTCTCGTTGAGGCTGGAGGGAGGCCGGCAAGACTCGGAGGACGAGGAGGAGCGCCTGATTAATCTCTCTGAGCTGACCCCATATATCTTGTGTTCCATTTGCAAAGGTTACTTAATAGATGCAACTACCATCACAGAATATCTTTATACCTTTTGTAAAAGCTGCGTCGTAAGACATTTTTACTACAGCAACAGATGTCCAAAATGCAATATAGCAGTACATCAGACACAACCTCTTTATAAGGTTGGACCGACAGTTACAAGACATAGTGTACAAATTAGTGATCAATCTAGAGGAAAGAGAAAAAAAGCAAATGCATGATTTCTATCAAGAAAGAGGTCTAGAAGTACCTAAACCTGCTGTTCCACAGCCAGTCCCTTCAAGCAAAGGAAGATCTAAAAAAATCCGAGAATCAGTGTTTCCTATTCCACCTGAACTTGATATGTCTTTATTACTGGAGTTCATTGGTGCTAATGAAGGCACGGGACATTTTAAGCCATTGGAAAAGAAGTTTGTTCGAGTTTCAGGAGAAGCAACTATTGGACATGTAGAAAAATTCTTCAGAAGAAAAATGGGTCTTGATCCAGCTTGTCAGGTAGATATCATCTGTGGTGATCACCTGTTGGAGCAGTATCAAACTCTAAGGGAAATCCGACGTGCAATAGGTGATGCAGCAATGCAGGATGGTCTGCTTGTCCTTCATTATGGTCTTGTAGTTTCTCCTCTGAAGATAACTTGAAGATTCTAGGCACATTATGAGGAGGGAAACAAAGGAGGCTTCTGCAGGACTGCATCTCACCAAAGATTTCCATGAAATGTAATTGCTACCACTTTGCTGTTCAAGACATAACTTACCTATTTTTAGCACCAAGAATTATAGCATTTATAAGTACAACTTGGAACGATGGAATGCATCTGTTACTAGAGACTGTATATAAAAAGCAGCGAAAGCTCAGGGGAAATTTTTCAAAAATTGAATTTTAAAATTTCTTATGATTTTAAATACCTTGACATTGATTTTGCTTCCCATCTTTGAAGTAATTGGTTAGTTTTCTTTGTTCAGCCATTTCAAGTTGGTGGTTGGGATATCTGCTCTCTGGGATGGCATCAGTTGGGCAGTCATCCTTTTGGAAGAGAAGTGTGCTTTTGAATGGAAGATCCAAAGCCAGTCTTTGTTAAACTGCAGGGCGTACTCTCAAAGACCAAAACTATTGGCCACTTTTGTATGTTGCCAGCATATTTTGAACTTGTATCTTTTTTTATACTAGCAACACTACAAAGGAGAAGTTACTCATTTCAAAATGGATGAATTGTTATTATGTGTGAAGAGACTCTGAGTTTATGGTCTGTGCCATAAACTTTCAGTGTAATAAGACTTCTTCAATACATCTTCCAATAAGGGGTGCTTCTTTGTGACAGTATTTTTATTTCTGACATTCATTTTATTTGGGTACATAGTGTGGTTGTTGATACCTTGCAAAAGTATTGCTTCTGAAAGTAATAAAAAATTTTAGGAGAATTTGAGAAGTTTACAGAATTACTTATTCATTGTTTTCTTGGTAAGTCAGTTTAATGTTTATTTTTCTCATTATTTCATCACTGGAATAAAGAATAAGGGTGTTTGAGCTCACCTCCATGCAAAGACTTCAGTTTTAAAACATTATTTTGCCTAAAATTAGCATTGTGATGCTCTCTAAAAGAAATATTTTATAAACCCTGTTCACAGCAGAATTTCTGAATCTGTATAGAGACTACTACAAAATTGGACAAAGATTGGCAATTCTTTGTAAAGAATTTGTGAACTGTGTATAAATTTATTCTAACATTTAATAAAAATGTATTTAAACCTAAAAAAAGAAAAGAAAAGAAAAACTGAAAACTCGATTGGGTCAGATATGTCATTTCTATTCTATACTTTTTTTCTGGAAGTAGTTCCTTCCTCTCCTGATGCAGAGGGAGGCTGGCTGGGGGATCCTGGGCCCCTCTGTCCTCCCCGCGGTGGCAGTGGCTGATCTCTGCTCAGGTGTGAGGGGTGTGGCCATGTGCTGGGCTTGAGCCTGCCCGGCCCAGCCCCTCCTCACTTCCCTGGACTCTTCACGGTGTCCACAGGCCCTTACACAATCTTGAGCATCCCTCTGATGGAAGGGGAGGTGGCAGCAGAAAGCCAGTGGGAGAAACTGGCCCCACAGGTCAAGGAGGGCTTGCCCAGCTGTGGGAAATGCTTTGGTTGACCTCGGATTTCTGTGCGCCAAGCTGAGCCCCAATCCTGGCTTTGAGTCCAGGTGTCCTCGGGCTGGGCGACCTTGGCCGTGGGCGCTCTGGCTGCTGCGGTGGTTCCTGCTGTGCTCGGCTGGATCACAACTGGAACTGGTGCCCTCCAGAAGTGAAGGAGGTGCCCCGCAGGTGGGAGGAGGCAGTAGCCATGGTCCCTGTAAACCAGGCCTTGCTGACAAATCTCAGATGCCAAGAACAGAAGAACGGAGAGCTTCTGCCAAATGAACAAACTGTTGGAGCGACTGAGTGTGAAGCTGCCCAAACTCCTCAAAGTGGAGCAGTGAAGCAAACACCAGAGAAGGACAAGAAAAATGAAAGTCAAAGAAAATGAGCAGAAACCAAAGGCAGATGCTAATGCAGTGCAAAGCAGTTCACACCATGATAGAAAGAGTTGATGAGTCTCGGAAACTAATCTTAGTGACAGAGTGAAAGGACAGCAGTGAACATGGTAAGGTGCTGACGATTCTGGTCCACTGGATCCCACCATCCCTAGGACAGTAAATACCATCACAGTCACCACACAGCGAGTTACAACTGCACCATTTCCTGTTTATTCCTAAATGAATAAAGGTGATTCTCATCACAAGTGCAAATAAAAAGTTATTTATCTTTTTTTTAAACTAAAGTGTCTTGCTTTAGCTTTTTTTTTTTTTTTTAGTTCTTATAATTTTGAAAATGAAGTTGACATTTGTATGGCTTATGAAATTTTCAATAGTCTTGCATTAGTTGAATTGTTCAAAGTAAATATATTTTAAACTAAGAAGAGTAAACTGTGTGTATTTGTTTTACATAGTAAAGGCTGAAAGTAACAAATATTATCTGTTTATGATTTGAAAATTTCAAAGTTTGATTATTTATCCATACATACACAGAATAGTGTATCGTGCTGAAACATTTGTGTTTTAAAGTGGCAGCCATAGTTCCTGCCTGTCTGGATATATTTTGGACTTTTGTATGTTAAATACAACGTAAAAAGACTTTATTGTGCTTTAGAAAATCTAAGGTTGGTATACACAAACAAACTTTACAAATTACTGTAGGGTTCAGCAAACTGTGTTTATAATGTGACATTAATACCTCTACATTTTGATGTGTAAATCTTTCTTGAGAAAAGATTGTTTTTTAAAAAAATGGCTACAAATTCAGGCTTCAGTTATAAAATGACAAAATAGTAAAGAAATGAGTGGTTTGCCATACTATATGAATACTGGCATTCAATTAAAATACCAAATATGTTAATGAAAAACTTTTAGACAATAGATTTAAATAATTTCTTGATATTTTACTACAGTAATAAATATTCACAAATATTTTATAAGTCATATCTATTAGTACTAGGTTTTACTTAATAGTAGTATATATATAAGATCAAAAATCTGTTAAAAATAGATATGCTTATCAATAATTTGGTGTTTCTAAATACCCAGAAGTCTTGTTTTAATCAGATTAGCTCTGGGGATAGTTTACTAATTTCATTTTATATATGGTGTGTTCAAAGTTTTGTAGTTAAACCTAATATTGATTGATGATGGGTAAACAAATCTTTTTTTGCTAATTCCATAGGTTTATTAAATTGTTGAAGATGTTGTTAATTAAAAAATTCCAACTTTCAATGTTGTTTACAGGGATTTAGGTCTAGTTTAATCTGCTCAACCTGTTAATCAGTGTCAGGTGCCGGATTCCAATTTATTTTCAGTGCGTTTGTATGACTTTTGTTTTTTTTTCTTTCTTTTTTTCAGACAGAGTCTCGCACTCTCATCTGGGCTGGAATGCAATGGTGCAATCTTGGCTCACTGCAACCTCCACCTCCTGGGTTCATGCAATTCTCCTGCCTCAGGCTCCCCAGTAGCTGGGATTACAGGTGCACACCACCACACCCAGCTAATTTTTTGTATTTTTAGTAGAGATGGGGTTTCACTATGTTGGCCAGACTGGTCTCAAAATCCTGACCTTGTGATCTACCCCCTTCAGCCTCCCAAAGTGCTGGGATTACAGGTGTGAACCACCACACCTGGCCAACTTTTCTTTCTTTAGTCTTTGAATAAAACGTCTATTAACAAAGACAAATTTCTACACATTTATCAAGTTCCTTTTAGTAACTCAAAAGGTAATATATCCAAAATTCTCATGTTATTGTCTGAGAAAACAGATTCTACTGTTACCAAAAAATCAACTGGAAGGCATTTTTATAACCTTGCACCACATAAGAAAAAAACTGTAATGCAGTAGTAATAAGTGAAGATACATCAAATGAAAAATGGTAATTGAGAAAGTCACTTTCAATGTTTGAGTATTTGGACTTTTTGTTTAAAAAAATTGTAGTAAAATAGAGCTTTTGGTAAGCTTTCTATAGATTAACATTATCATAAATTAGGAAAAAAACCTTTAAATTGTAAATAAACAAACAAAAAAACAACAACAAAAAACAACAACAAAAAACTAAGATCCAGGACTGCATACATATTGATCCTTATTTTGGGAGATTATGAAACAGACCATTGCATGAACTTTATATAGATACCTTGCCACATGGGCATACTAATAAAAATCATTATATTTAATTTGAATGAACATGTCCACATCTTAAAAATACTGCTTTGTACTATGAATGATAAATGTAAAAGTTTTTATACACAAGAGGATCCTGATTCTTAACTGAACATATATGGCAACCCATTTCTATGTTTCTTCTGAACTGAAGCCTGATTAAGGCTTAAATGTGGAATGAGAGGGACTCAATAACAGGACATGTGGAACAAAAACAAAAAAATGAGATAGGTTGGTCATTTCTAAGTTCAAATTATTAAATAAAATATTAAATTCTTGTCCTAAGTTTTTTTCTTTCAAAAACAAACTTGAAAACTGTTCTAATCCAGTTTTCTTTCATGAAGGGCCTACTCATTGTGTGGAACTGAAAGGAGGTCCTAGGGCTACTGAAGGTTCCTGGCTGAGTCTATACCTCAATGTTACCTAAAAGCCCTTGGACTAACTCCAGTCCTCAACAGCCAATGAGGGTGTTGGCACAAGAACTTCCAGTCTTTTTTTATTTCATTTCATTTCATTTCATTTCTCTTGTTCTTGTTCTTTTTTTTTTTTTCATGGCTATCATTTCTCCTATCCGTTCTTTGTATGCAAAGTTGTGAATGTTTTTACAGCCTATGGATATAATCGTGCTGAGTAAAGTCAGTCAGTGTCTTGGTAATCAAATATGTAACTCAAAGGTGTTGTTTTATAATTTCCTAGCAACAGAGTGAATTCAAAATCTCTCTAAATTTTTACTTAGTAAAGGTCTTTCTCTCCCCCAGTAATAAACATTCATGGCACTGTATGAGAGAATATTTCACTCTGAGTTAATACCCTCCTTTGCATTTCGTTTTTTCCCTCCATGTGAAAGCTGAGCACTGTCCAATGTATCTAAACAGTTCCTATATGAGACAAGTTCATTTTTTTTGTTCTGGGGCATATGCTATAGGAACAGCCTATCAAACCCCAAACCTCTTTCTAACTTTTGCCTAAAAATATAAAGTTGGAGTTTTTACCTAGCATTTCTAATTTTACAGCACCCCTAGTGGAATGGGATTGTTCTCCATGTGAAGACTTGCCAACACTCTGTCCAAAACTTACAGTTCCCCAATTATTTTCCCTTTTACATCCCTTTATCAGTGATAAGTCCTCATGCCCTATTTGTAAACAGAAAAACTCAGCTTTCAACAGCCAGAAGAAAGGCTTTCTAACAAAACAAATCTTCAATTTTTACACATTTTTAAGGCACCTGTTCTTCATCAAACTACATTGAAATTTAAACAGAAAGGAATTTTATGTTTGAAAGTAAACTCGTCCCATTCTCTGGGATTCTGATGTTTTCCTGGGGCCGTAGTAAGGGAAGCCAAAAATGGCATTAGGGCATTCCCTCTAAAAAAGTATCTTGCCTAAATCCAACTACTGCATAATCTCTCCCCAGCCACTGGAGTACCTTGAGAGCCTTTTGCGCTGAGTGGGTCTAGAAAACCAGCAGGATGGAAAGCTAGGGTCTTGAGAAGGTGAGCACAATCTGTCCTGCCTATGAACTCCTCCGGAACCATGGGTAAAGGTCATGCTTCCATCCATGGGTAACATCTATGATGGTTGCTGGGACACAGAGGAAAAAAAGGAAGGTTGAGAAGTGGTATGTCCTTTTTCTCTTTCCTTCCACCCTAGGCCACACTGAAAAGAGAAAGGGGACTGAGGAACGCCTTGTCTCCCCTCTTTCTCTAGATAGGTAACAAACCATCGACAGTCTGCATTCCCCTCTAGTGCATTCTGAAACACTGGAACTTCTTTAACCCTGAAATTCTAAAGAAAAAGTGGCTTATATTCTATTGCATAAACCCATGGCCATCTTAGAGACAGTAGGCCTGGCTTTCTAAGGGAAGCATTAATTTCAACACTGTCCAACAAATAGATCTTTCTTTGCCCTGTGAGACAACCCAGATCTTTGTAAGCATTGTAAAATTAAATCTGCCTTCTTGGCAGCCATATCAGACAAGTCTACAACATATAATTACCAAAAGTTGAGATACAAACCCTTGGGGAACACTCAAATGTAACTTCCAGGTGCCCCAGCAGCCTCACATATTTTGGGCCCCCAATACCCATATATCATCAGCTCCTCTGGTTGTGCCACTGAAGAAACCCACAACATTGCTGTTACCCCCTACAGAAAATGCCCAGTAGACATGGTGTTACTAGTATTCAAGTTCCCTTCTAGTTGCAGGACCTTAAGAAAATAAAGTGAACCCCAGGCAAGTTCTCTAATGACACTGACTCATATATAGAGGCTTTCCAAAATTTAACCCAAGTGTTTAATGTTACATGGAGAGATGCTATGCTGCTTTTAAGCCAAACCCTAACTGTTAAGAAACAGGCAGCCTTACAGGCAGCAAAAAAAAAAAAAAAAAAAAAAAAAAAAAAAAAAAAAAAAAAAAAAACTCAAAAACAAACAGTAGGTTTCCTAGAGCCAGTCAGAAAAGAAACCCAGTCAAAAGGGAAAAAAAAGAGACATAATCCGCATTCCCAATAAGAATAAAAACAATGCCCCTTAAATATTCTAATGGGAGCCCTTGTGATCTTATAGAGAAGTGGAAAAGAAAACACTTTCTGATGTGCATATTAGAAAGTTTGCAAAGAACCACAATCAAGCATATTAATTACTCTAACCTCTCCTTGTTAAATCAGAAACCAGATAAAAATCCCATGGCCTTTTTGAAAAGGCTGAGAAAAACTTTAGTAAAACAAACCTCCCTGTGTTGTGATTCAGGAAAAAAGGTTTATTACTTAGGCAGTCTCTAATATCAGAAGGAAGCTGCTAAAACAGGCCCTGTTCAAACACCTTTCTAGGTTTTGTCATCCTCAAGTTGAAACTTTGCAGTATTTAAATAACACTGTTCTCTCTGCCTCAACTGAAGAGGTCTCAGGAAGGCACTAAGGCTTTCCTCAATTTATTAGCTGAAAGGAAATATAGGGTCTCAAAATTTAAAGCTCAGCTCTGTCAAACTGCAGTAAAGTAGATAGGTCTAGTCAGAAGGTACAAGAACACCAGGTAAAGAAAGAATTAAACTTATTTTCTCCTTTTCCTTTCCAAAAACTCTTAAACAGTTGGGAGGGATCTTAGACATTACTGGATTTTTGCAAATTCTGGGTATTTGGGAATGGTGAAATAGTTAATCTTTTATACCACCTTACAAAAACTCAAGCACCTAAAGACTCACTTGGTAACTTGGGAATCTAAAACTAAGAAGCCTTTAACCAACTAAAGGCAGCCTTACTTAAAGCACCAACCCTTAATCTTCCCATAAGGAAAGCATTTAATCTCTATGTATCAAAAAGGAAGTTAATGACCCTGGGAGTTTTAACTAAGGCTCAAGGTCCAGGTCAACAACCAGTGGGTTACCTAAGCAAGAAACTTGACTTGATGGCTAGAGGATGGCCAGCTTGCCTCTTACCAGTTTTGGTGGTGGCTTGCTGGTACGAAATGCCATGAAGTTAACAATGGGAAATAACTTAACTGTCTGCATTCCCACATAGGACTGCTGTCCTCTAATGCAAACCTCTGGCTAATAATCACCTCCTCAAATATCAAGCTTTGCTGCTAAAGTGATCTGCAGTCCAGTTAAAAATTTGCCTTTGCCTGAACCCAGCCACTTTCTCCCAGAGGAAACTAAAGAGCCTAAACGGGATTGTAAACAGCTAGTGGTGTAAACTGGTAAAAGAAATAAGAAGAATCACTGTTTATATTCTTTGTAAAGTTTTAATTAATTAAATAAACATTTTTAAAATGTACTCAACTTAATGAAAAGTGAATATCCAAGCTATAAGTATATTCAAAAAGCCTTTCTATTTTTATCTTTATAAAACTTGTTTTCCTGGAAGAGGGTTTTATCTCACTTAACTGAATTACTTTTATCCACTCTTTCTTGTCACTGTTGATGCAAGCATAGAAGGCCCTAAAATAACCTCTGGTGGCCTAAGACTCCTCAGGAAAACAAAAAAGCCACCACAAATTACATTTTAAAAGAAATCTCTGCTTTTTTTAATGAAACTCCTAGAATTAAAAGTAAATAAGTCCCTCTCAAAATCTCTTTTTCTTCTAGCTATGCTTATTTGTTAGGCCCTGGAAACTGTATTCCTAGCCCTGTCCTTTTTTTTTTTATGGGGGACAGAGTCTCACTCTGTCACCTAGGCCAGAGTGCAACAGTGCAATCTTGTCTCACTACAACCTCCACCTCCTGGGTTCAAGCAATTATCCTGCCTCAGCCTAGTGAGTAGCTGTGATTGCAGGCACCTGCCACCATGCCCAGCTAAATTTTTTTATTTTTAGTAGAGATGTGTTTTCACCATGTTGGCCAGGCTGGTCTCAAACTCCTGACCGCAGGTGATCCACCCACCTCGGCCTCACAAAGTGCTGGGATTACAGGCGTGAGCCACCATGCCTGGCCCCTAACCCTGTTCTTAAATGGCCTCAAATAGAGACCAATAATCCAATTAGAAAATTGGCAAACAAAAAATCTTATAGTTACTGAATTTTCTTCTGTTTGTTTAGATGGTTATATACGTGTTTTGTGTGAAGTCTATAAAAAACCTCTAATTAATTGGTGTGCAAATAAGCACTTCAAAAAAAATTAAGACAAAATTAAGGCTGTAGTGCCTCTTGGTTCATGTAACTTTAATATTTAAGAAATAAAAACATTCTTGTAAAATACAAACGTCTTAAAATGTAAACAGGTGGTCTAAATTATGCAGGTCAAATACTAGGTTTGTTAAATGTTTTAATGTTGTAAACTGCTTCTTTGGCCTTTAAGTACTGTCAACCTGCCAGCTTCACAATTAGTAAGGCCTGGTGACATATAAAAGTAACCATGCCCCTAACTATACTGGAAGAAGTCAGACTTTATCTGCTCCTAGCACATAATTAAAACAACTTACCAGGTTTTACATTAAAGTTAAAATTACAAAAAGTTACCATTGTAACATGTAATTGAGACTATTAAAAATGGATTTGCATGAAATGTGTGTAAAATCAGTAAAATTTTTTAATAAAAAATTATAAGAAGGCATAAAAATCTACATTTTTCTCAGGAGTGAAAGATTGTCTTAAATTAAATAAAGTGAAAGTTTTAAGCAAATTTTTAAAATACTGTAAAAATTAATTTTGCAAAAGAAAACTGTAAATATATGAACTAAATTCAAAGGAATAACATATGGTGTTCCTTTAAATTAAGCATTTAAATGAAAGCACAACAAGACTTTCTTAAGATGCTAATCTGCTCTGTATCAAAATTTCTAAAAGATTATAAAAGATTTGTAAACATCAAAGATCCATTCCAAGATGGGCAAATAGGAAGAGATCTGGTCTGCAGATCCCAACGTGATCAAGGAAGAAGATGGGTGATTTCTGCATTTCCAACTGAGGTACCTGGCTGATCTCATTTGGACTGGTTGGACAGAGGGTGCAGCCCACAGGGGGCAAGCCAAAGCAGGGCAGGACATCACCTCACCTGGGAAGAACAAGGGGTTGGGGAATTTCCCTTTCCTAGCCAGGGGAAGCTGGGACAGACTGTACTTGGAAAAATGAGACACTCCCACCCAAATACTGCACTTTTCCCAAGGTTGCAGCAACCAGCAGAGAAGAATATTCTCTCCTGTGCCTGGCTCAGCAGGTCCTGCAGTCACAGAGTCTTGCTCACTGCTAGCACAGCAGTCTGAGGTCAAAGGTGACACAGCAGTCTGGTTGGGGGAAGGGTTTCTGCCTCTGCTGAGGCTTGAGTAGCTAAACAAAGTAGCTGGGAAGCTTGAACTGGGTGGAGCCCACTGCAGCTCAGCAAGGCCTACTGCCTCTATAGACTCCAACTTTGTGGGCAGGGCATATCTGAACAAAAGGCAGCAGACAGCTTCTGCAGACTTAAAAGTTCCTGTCTGACAGCTCTGAAGAGAGCAGTGGTTCCCCCAGCATGGGGTTTGAGCTCTAAGAATGGACAGACTGCCACCTGAAGTCAATCCATGACCCCTATGTAGCCTAACTGGGAGACACCCCCCAGTAAGGGCCGACAGACACCTCATATAGGTGGGTGCCCTTCTGGGACAAAGCTTCCAGAGGAAGGATCAGGCAGCAATATTTGCTGTTCTGCAATAATTGCCATTCTGCAGCCTCCACTGGTGACACCCAGGCAAACAGGTTGTGGAGTGGACCTCCAGCAAATTCCAACAGACCTGCAGCTGAGAAACCTGACTGTCAGAAAGAAAACCAGCAAACAGAAAGGAATAGAAGCAACATCAACAAAAAGGACATATACACCAAAACCCCATCTGTAGGTCACCAACTTCAAAGACCAAATGTAGATAAAACCACAAAGGTGGGGAGAAACCAGAGCAGAAAAGCTGAAAATTCTAAAAACCAGGGCACCTCTTCTCGTCCAAAGGATCACAGCTCCTCACCAGCAATGGAACAAAGCTGGATGGAGAATGGCTTTGAAGAGTTGACAGAAGTAGGCTTCAGAAGGTCGGTAATAACAAACTTCTCTGAGCTAAAGGAGCATGTACAAACTCATCACAAGGAAGCTAAAAACCTTAAAGAAAGGGTAGACGAATGGCTAACTAGAATAAACAGTGAAGAGAAGACCTTAAATGACCTGATGGAGCTGAAAACCATGGCACGAGAACTTAGTGATGCATGCACAAGCTTCAATAGCTGATTCAATCAAGTGGAAGAAAGGGTATCAGTGATTGAAGATCAAAATAATGACATAAGGTGAGAAGACAAGGTTAGAGAAAAAGGAGTAGAAAGAAATGAACAAAGCCTCCAAGAAATATGGGACTATGTGAAAAGACCAAATCTATGTTTGATAGGTGTACCTGAAAGTGATGGGGAGAATGGAACCAAGTTGGAAAACACTCTTCAGGATATTATCCAGGAGAATTTCCCCAACCTAGCAAACTGGGCCAACATTCAAATTCAGGAAATACAAGAGAACACCACAAAGATACTCCTTGAGAAGAACAACCCCAAGACAAATAATTTTCAGATTCACCATGGTTGAAATGAAGGAAAAATGTTAAGGGTAGCCAGAGAGAAAGGTCAGCTTACCCACAAAGGGAAGCCCATCAGACTAGCAGCAGATGTCTCAGCAGAAATCCTGCAAGCCAGAAGAGAGTGGGGGCCAATATTCAACAATCTTAAAGAAAAGAATTTTCAACCCAGAATTTCATATCCAGCAAAACTAAGCTTCATAAGTGAAGGAGAAATAAAATCCTTTACAGACAAGGAAATACTGAGAGATTTTGTCACGACCAGGCCTGCTTACAAGAGCTCCTGAAGGAAGTACTAAAAATGGAAAGAAACAACCTGTACCAGCCACTGCAAAAAACATGTCAAATTGCAAAGACCATCGATGCTATGAAGAAACCGTCAATTAGCAGGCAAAATAACCAGCTAACTTCATAATTACAGGATCAAATTCACACATAACAATATTAACCTTAAATGTAAAAGGGCTAAATGACCAATTAAAAGACACAGACCAGCAAATTGGATAAAGAGTCAAGACCCATCAGTGTGCTGCATTCAGAAGACCGATCTCACATCCAGAGACACACATAGGCTCAAAATAAAGGGATGGAGGAAGATCTACCAAGCAAATGGAAAACAAAAAAAAGCAGGGGTTGCAATCCTAGTCTCTGATAAAACAGACTTTAAACCAGCAAAGATCAAAAAAGACAAAGAAGGCCATTACACAATGGTAAAGGGATCAATGCAACAAGAAGGTTAACTATCCTAAATATATATGCACCCAATACAGGAGCACCCGGATTCATAAAGCAAGTCACCAGAGACCTACAAAGAGACTTAGACTCCCACACAATAATAATGGGAGACTTTAACACCCCATGGTCAACATCAGACAGATGAACGAGACAGAAGGTTAACAACGATATCCAAGAGTTGAACTCAGCTCTGCACCAAGCTGACCTAATAGACATCTACAAAACTCTCAACACCAAGTCAATAAAATATACATTCCTCTGAGCACAACATCACACTTATTCTAAAATTGACAACATAATTGGAAGTAAAGCACTCCTCAACAAATGTAAAAGAACAGAAATCACAGTAAACTGTCTCTTAGACCACAGTGCAATCAAATAAGAACTCAGGATTAAGAAACTCACTCAAAACTGCACAACTACATGGAAACTGAACAACCTGCTCCTGAATGACCACTAGGTAAATAATGAAATGAAGGCAGAAATAAAGATGTTCTTTGAAACCAATGAGAACAAAGACACAACATAACAGAATCTCTGGGACACATTTAAAGCAGTGGGTAGAGGGAAATGTATAGCACTAAATGCCCACAAGAGAAAGCAGGAAAGATCTAAAATTGACACCCTAACATCACAATTAAAAGAAATAGAGAGGCAAGAGCAAACACATTCAAAAGCTAACAGAAGACAAGAAATAACTAAGATCAGAGCAGAACTGAAGGAGATAGAGATGCAAAAAACCCTTCAAAAAATCATTGAATCCAGGAGGTGGTTTTTTGAAAAGATCAACAAAATTGATAGACTATTAGCAAGACTAATAAAGAAGAAGAGGGAAGAATCAAATAGATGCAATAAAAAATGATAACGGGGATATCACCACTTATCCCACAGACATACAAACTACCATCAGAGAATATTATAAACACCTCTATGCAAATAAACTAGAAAATCTAGAAGAAATGGATAAATTCCTGGACACATAAACCCTCCCAAGACTAAACCAGGAATAAGTTGAATCTCTGAATAGACCAATAACAGGTTCTGAAATTGAGGAAATAATTAATAGGCTACCAACAAAAAAAGTCCAGGACCAGATGGATTCACAGCTGAATTCTACCAGAGGTACAAAGAGGAGGTGGTAACATTTCTTCTGATACTATTCCAATCAATAAAAAAAGACAGAATCCTCCCTAACTCATTTTATGAGGCCAGCATCATCCCGATACCAAAGCTTGGCAGAAACACAACAAAAGAGAATTTTAGACCAATATCCCTGATGAACATTGATGCAAAATTCCTCAATAAAATACTGGCAAACCAAATCCAGCAGCAAATCAAAATGTTTATCCTTGACAATCAAGTTAGCTTCATCCCTGGAATGCAAGGCTGGTTCAACATATGCAAATCAATAAACGTCATCCATCATATAAACAGAACCAACGACAAAAACCACATGATTGTCTCAATAGATGCAGAAAAGGCCTTTGACAAAATTCAACAGCCCTTCATGCAAAAACTCTCAATCACCTAGGTATTCAAGGAATGTTTCTCAAAATAATAAGAGCTGTTTATGACAGAACCACAGCCAATATCATACTGAATGGGCAAAAACTGGAAGCATTCCCTTTGAAAACTGGCACAGGACAGGGATGTCCTCTCTCACCATTCCTATTCATCTTAGTGTTGAAAGTTCTGGGCAATCAGGCAAGAGAAAGAAATAAGGCGTATTCAATTAGGAAAACAGGAAGTCAAATTGTCCCTGTTTGCAGATGACATGATTGTATATTTAGAAAACCTCATCATCTCAGCCCCATGTCTCCTTAAGGTGATAAGCAACTTCAGCAAAGTCTCAGGATACAAAATTTTTCAATGTAAAAAATCACAAGCATTCCTATACACAAATAACAGACAAACAGAGAGCCAAATCATGAGTGAACTCCCATTCACAATTGCTGCAAAGAGAATAAAATACCTAGGAATACAAATTCCAAGGAATGTGAAGGACCTCTTCAAGGAGAGCTACAAACCACTGCTCAATGAAATAAAAGAGGACACAAACAAATGGAAGTACATTCCATGCTCCTGGATGGGAAGAATCAATATTGTGAAAATGGCCATACTGCCCAAGGTAATTTATAGATTCAATGGCATCCCCATCAAGCTACCTCTGACTTTCTTCACAGAATTGGAAAAAAACTACTTTAAAGTTCATATGGAACCAAAAAAGAGCCCTCATTGCCAAGACAATCCTAACCAAAAAGAACAAAGCTGAAGGCATCACACTACCTGACTTCAGACTATACTACAAGGCTACAATAACCAAAACAGCATGGTACTCATACCAAAACAGAGATATAGACCAATGGAACAGAACAGTGGCCTCAGAAATAACACCACACATCTACAATCATCTGATATTTGACAGACCTGACAAAAACAAGAAATGAAGAAAGGATTCCCTATTTAATAAATGGTGCTGGGAAAACTGGCTAGCCATATGTAGAAAGCTGAAACTGGATCCCTTCCTTACACCTTATACAAAAATTAATTCAAGATGATTTAAAGATTTAAATGTTAGACCTAAAACCATAAAAACCCTAGAAGAAAACCTAGACAATACCACTCAGGACATAGGCATGGGCAAGGACTTCATGACTAAAACACTAAAAGCAATGGCAACAAAAGCCAAAATCGACAAATAAGATCTAACTAAACTAAAGAGCTTCTGCACAGCAAAAGAAAATACCATCAGAGTGAAAAGGCAACCTAAAGAATGAGAGAAAAATTTTGAAATCTACCCATCTGACAAAGGGCTAATATCTAGAATCTACAAAGAAATCAAACAAATTTACAAGAAAAAAACAAACAACCCCATCAAAAAGTGGGCAAAGGATATGACAGACACTTCTCAAAAGAAGACATTTATGCAGCCAGCAAGCACATGAAAAAATGCTCCTCATCACTTGTCATCATAGCAATGGAAATCAAAACCACAGTGAGATACCATCTTATGCCAATTAGAATGGTGATCAAAAAAGTCAGGAAACAAGATTCTGGAGAGAATGTGGAGAAATAGGAACACTTTTACACTGTTGGTGGGAGTGTAAATTAATTCAACCATTGTGGAAGACAGTGCAGCGATTCCTCAAGGATCTAGAACTAGAAATACCATTTGACCCAGCAATCCCATTACTGGATATATACCCAAAAAATTATAAATCATGCTGCTATAAAGACACATGCACACGTATGTTTATTGCAGCACTACTCACAATAGAAAAGACCTGTACTCAACCCAAATGTCCATCAATGATAAACTGGATTGAGAAAATGTGGCACATATACACCATGGAATACTATGCAGCCATAAAAAAGTATGAGTTCACGTCCTTTGCAGGGACATAGATGAAGCTGGAAACCATAATTCTCAGCAATCTATCACAAAGACAGAAAACCAAGCATCATATGTTTTCACTCATAGGTGGGAATTGAACAATGACAACACTTGGACACAGTGTGGAGAACATCACACACTGGGGCCTGTCGTGGGGTGGGTGCCAAGGGGAGGGATAGCATGAGGAGATATACCTAATGTAAATGACAAGTTGATGGGTGCAGCAAACCAACATGGCACATGTATCAAACCTGCATACTGTGCACAAGTACCCTAGAACTTAAAGTATAATAATAAAAAAAATTTGTAAAAATCTCACTTCATGTTTAAACTGGTTAAGATTAAATAGAATTATCTATAAGGTTTCATTAAAATTGGGGTTAACATTAATAGTAAACTAATGCAAGGGGAAAATTTGGCTTTTTCTTTTTAACAGGATTTTTATGTAGTAGTAAGGGCCAATAAAAGATTTTTGCTTTTTCAAATTTTTAATTCTTCATGTTGGCAAAACAAATAGCTTATGGTAATCTAAAATTCTATTCCTTAAGATTAACTGTTTTAGACCTCTAACATATTTAAGAAGGTCCCCAAAATCAAACTTCAGTCTCAAAGGTTGTCTTTCCTGATGCATGGCTTTTTGGTGCTACAAAGAGCCCCTAAAGCATTCAAAAGAAAGGCAAACAGAATTATTGAACATGTTTAGGTACATGGGATTGTCAAAATGATGTCTTTTTTTTCAGTTTATATTTAAGTATATAATATTGACATATGTTCCAAAACTATATGGGGTGTCTAAGGTTCTAATGTCTAAATATGTGCTACCAATCAAAATTAAGGTTGTTATGTTGGGTTATTGTAAACTACAAAGATAACCAAATTTTTTTGTCAGTCGTGTTTCTAACTGTAACCCTGGATATTTTGTCATTGGCAGACAATTTTCTTGTTTTAATCCTCTTAAAAATGGTTTATAATCAGCTGTGGGACTTTAACAGGTGCTCTCAAATGCAGATTTCTGATAACAGATAAAAGTACAGAACTCATAAAAAGCTAAAATGTTTATGGATATCAAGCAGAACAAAGTTAATAGAATGGATTTAGCTAATGGAAAACTAAAGCAATGCTTTTAACTTTTGCTTAAAGCATTGCTAATTCTTATTTTGTTTTTCAGAGTCAGAAAAACTTTCTTAAAAGTTTTAAACCACTGAGCAAGGTATACTGCTTAAACATAATTTGGACCTTGTCTGTTTCTTTTTGCCTGGTTCTGCTAAAAATAAAAAACTATTTATAAGTATTCTTTTTTTAAATTTTTTAAATTACACTTTAAGTTCTAGGGTACATGTGCACAACATGCAGTTTTGTTACATATGTATACATGGGCCATGTTGTTGTGCTGCACCCATTAACTCGTCATTTAACATTAGGCATATCTCCTAATGCTATCCCTTCCCCCTACCCTTACCCCACGACAGGCCACAGTGTGTGATATTCCCCTTCCTGTGTCCAAGTGTTGTCATTGTTCAATTCCCACCTATGAGTGAAAACATGCGGTGTTTGGTTTTCTGTCCTTGGGATAGTTTGCTCAGAATGATGGTTCCCAGCTTCATCCATTTCCCTACAAAGGACATGAACTCATCCTCTTTTTTGGCTGCATAGTATTCCATGGTGTATATGTGCCACATTTTCTTAATCCAGTCTATCATTGATGGGCATTTGGGTTGGTTCCAAGTCTTTGCTATTGTGAATAGCAGCACAATAAACATACATTTGCATGTGTCTTTATAGCATGTGTCTTTATAGCAGCATGATTTATAATTTTTTGGGTATATACCCAGTAATGGGATTGCTGGGTCAAATGGTATTTCTAGTTCTAGATCTTTGAAGAATCACCACACTGTCTTCCACAAAGGATGAACTAGTTTACAGTCCCACCAACAGTGTAAAAGCATTTCTATTTCTCCACATCCTCTCCAGCGTCTGTTGTTTCCTGACTTTTTAATGATCACCATTCTAACTGGTATGAGATGGTATCTCTTTGTGGTTTGGCTTGCATTTCTCTGATGGCCAGTGATGATGAGCATTTTTTCATGTGTCTGTTGGCTGTGTAAATGTCTTCTTTTGAGAAGTGTCTGTTCATATCCTTTGCTCACTTTTTGATGGGGTTGTTTGATTTTTTCTTGTAAATTTGTTTAAGTTCTTTGTAGATTCTAGATATTAGCCCTTTGTCAGATGGGTAGATTTTAAAACTTTTCTCCCATTCTGTAGGTTGCCTGTTCACTCTGATGGTAGTTTCTTTTGCTGTGCAGAAGCTCTTTAGTTTAATTAGATCTCACTTGTCAATTTTGGCTTTTGTTGCCATTGCTTTCGGTGTTTTAGTCATGAAGTCCTTGCCCATTCCTATGTCCTGAGTGGTATTGCCTAGGTTTTCTTCTAGGGTTTTTATGGTTTTAGGTCTAACACTTAAGTCTTTAATCCACCTTGAATTAATTTTTGTATAAAGTGTAAGGAAGGGATCCAGTTTCAGCTTTCTACATATGGCTAGCCAGTTTTCCCAGCACCATTTATTAAATAGGGAATCCTTTCCCCATTTCTTATTTTTGTCAGGTTTGTCAAAGATCAGGTGGTGGTAGATGTGTGGTGTTATTTCTGAGGCTCTGTTCTGTTCCATTGGTCTATATCTCTGTTTTCATACTAGTATCATGCTGTTTTGGTTACTGTAGCCTTGTAGTACAGTTTGAAATCAGGTAGTGTGATGCCTCCAGCTTTGTTCTCTTGGCTTGGGATTGTCTTGGCAATGTGGGCTCTTTTTTCGTTCCATATGAACTTTAAAGTAGTTTTTTTTTCCAATTCTGTGAAGAAAGTCAGAGGTAGCTTGATGGGGATGACATTGAATCTATAAATTACCTTGGGCAGTATGGCCATTTTCACAATATTGATTCTTCCTATCCATGAGCATGGAATGTACTTCCATTTGTTTGTGTCCTCTTTTATTTCATTGAGCAGTGGCTTATAGTTCTCCTTGAAGAGGTCCTTCACATTCCTTGGAAGATGTATTCCTAGGTATTTTATTCTCTTTGTAGCAATTGTGAATGGGAGTTCACTTATGATTTGGCTCTCTGTTTGTCTGTTATTTGTGTATAGGAATGTTTGTGATTTTTGCACACTGAAAAATTTTGTATCCTGAGAGTTTGCTGAGGTTGCTTATCAGCTTAAGGAGATGTGGGGCTGAGATGATGAAGTTTTCTAAATATACAATCATGTCTTCTGCAAACAGGGACAATTTGACTTCCTCTTTTCCTAATTGAATACCCTTTCTTTCTCTCCTGATTGCCCTGGCCAGAACTTCCAACACTAAGTTGAATAGGAGTGGTGAGAGAGGGCATCCTTGTCTTGTGCCAGTTTTCAAAAGGAATGCTTCCAGTTTTTGCCCATTCAGTATGATATTGGCTGTGGGTTTGTCATAAATAGCTCTTATTATTTTGAGATACGTCCCATCAATACCTAGTTGATTGAGAGTTTTTAGAATGAAGGGTTGTTGAATTTTTGTCAAAGGTCTTTTCTGCATCTATTGAGATAATCATATGGTTTTTGTATTTGGTTCTGTTTATATGATGGATTAAGTTTATGATTTGTGTATGTTGAACCACCCTTGCATCCCAGGGGTGAAGCCAACTTGATCGTGGTGGATAAGCTTTTTAATGTGCTGCTGGATGCGGTTTGCCAGTATTTTATTGAGGATTTTTGCATCAGTGTTCATCAGGGATATTGGTCTAAAATTCTCTTTTTTTGTTGTGTTTCTGCCAGACTTTGGTATCAGGATGATGCTGGCCTCACAAAATGAGCTAGGGAGGATTCTGTCTTTTTCTATTGATTGGAATATTTTCAGGAGGAATGGTACCAGCTCCTCTTTGTACCTCTGGTAGAATTCAGCTGTGAATCCGTCTGGTCCTGGACTTTTTTTTATTGGTATGCTATCAATTATTGCCTCAATTTAAGAGCCTGTTATTGGTCTATTCAGGGATTCAATTTCTTCCTGGTTTAGTCTTGGGAGGGTGCATGTGTCCAGGAATTTATCCATTTCTTCTAGATTTTCTAGTTTATTTGAGTAGAGCTGTTTATAGTATTTTCTGATGGTAGTTTGTATTTCTGTGAGATTGGTGGTGATATCTCCTTTATCATTTTTTATTGTGTCGATTTGATTCTTCTCTCTTTTCCTCTTTATTAGTCTTGCTAGCCATCTATCAATTTTGTTGATCTTTTTAAAAAACCAGCTCCTGGATTCATTGATTTTTTGGAGGGTTTTTTGTGTCTCTATCTCCTTCAGTTCTGCTCTGATCTTAGTTATTTCTTGCCTTCTGCTAGCTTTTGAATGTGTTTGCTCTTGCTTCTCTAGTTCTTTTAATTGTGATGTTAGGGTGTCAATTTTAGATCTTTCCTGCTTTCTCTTATGGGCATTTAATGCCATAAATTTCCCTCTACCCACTGCTTTAAATGTGTCCCAGAGATTCTGTTATGTTGTGTCTTTGTTCTCACTGGTTTCAAAGAACATCTTTATTTCTGCCTTCATTTCATTATTTACCCAGTAGTCATTCAGGAGCAGGTTGTTCAGTTTCCATGTAGTTGTGCAGTTTTGAGTGAGTTTCTTAATCCTGAGTTCTTATTTGATTGCACTGTGGTCTAAGAGACAGTTTGTTATAATTTCTGTTCTTTTACATTTGCTGAGGAGTGCTTTACTTCCAACTGTGTGGTCAATTTTGGAATAAGTATGATGTGGTGCTGAGAAGAATCTATATTCTCTTGATTTGGGGTGGAGAATTCTGTAGATGTCTATTAGATCTGCTTGGTGCAGAGCTGAGTTCAACTCCTGGATATCCTTGTTAACTTTCTGTCTCATTGATCTGTTTAATGGTAAGAGTGGGGTGTTAAAGTCTTCCATTATTATTGTGTGGGAGTCTAAGTCTCTTTGTCAGTCTCTGGTGACTTGCTTTATGAATCCGGGTGCTCCTGTATTGGGTGCATATATATTTAGGATAGTTAGCTCTTCTTGTTTAATTGATCCCTTTACCGTTATGTAATGGTCTTCTTTGTCTCTTTTGATCTTTGCTGGTTTAAAGTCTGTTTTATTAGAGACTAGGATTGCAACCCCTGCTCTTTTTTTTCCTCTCATTTGCTTGGTAGATCTTCCTCCATCCCTTTATTTTGAGCCTATGTGTGTCTCTGGATGTGAGATGGGTCTCCTGAATGCAGCACACTGATGGGTCTTGACTCTTTATCCAATTTCCCAGTCTGTGTCTTTTAATTGGAGCATTTAACCCATTTACATTTAAGGTTAATATTGTTATGTGTGAATTTGATCCTGTCATTATGTTAGCCGGTTATTTTGCTCATTAGTTGATGCTGTTTCTTCCTAGCATCGATGGTCTTTGGAATTTGGCATGTTTTTGCAGTGGCTGGTACCAGTTTTTCCTTTCCATATTTAGTGCTTCTTTCAGGAGCTCTTGTAAGGCAGGCCTGGTAGTAACAAAATCTCTCAGCATTTGCTTGTCTGTAAAGGATTTTATTTCTCCTTCACTTATGCAGCTTAATTTTGCTGGATATGAAATTCTGGTTGAAAATTCTTTTCTTTAAGAATGTTGAATATTGGCCCCCACTCTCTTCTGGCTTGTAGAGTTTCTGTTGAGAGATCCACTGTTAGTCTGATGGGTTTCCCTTTGTGGGTAACCCGATCTTTCTCTCTGGCTGCCCTTAACATTTTTTCCTTCATTTCAACTTTGGCGAACCTGACAATTAATTGTCTTGGAGTTACTCTTCTCAAGGAGTATCTTTGTGGTGTTCTCTGTGTTTCCTGAATTTGAATTTTGGCCTGCCTTGCTAGGTTGGGGAAGTTCTCCTGGATAATATCTTGAAGAGTGTTTTGCAACTTGGTTCCATTCTCCCCGTCATTTTCAGGTACACCAATCAGACATAGATTAAGTCTTTTCACGTAGTCTCGTATTTCTTGGAGGCTTTGTTCATTTCTTTTTACTCTTGTATCTCTAAACTTCTCTTCTCACTTCATTTCATTTATTTGATCTTCAATCACTGATACCCTTTCTTCCACTTGATCAAATCGGCTCCTGAAGCTTGTGCATGCATCACGTAGTTCTTGTGCCATGGTTTTCAGCTCCATCAGGTCATTTAAGGTCTTCTCTATGCTGTTTACTCTAGTTAGCTCTCTTCTAATCTTTTTTCAAGGTTTTTAGCTTCTTTGCGATGGGTTTGAACATCCTCCTTTAGCTTGGATAAGGCTGTTATTATTGATCATCTGAAGCCTTCTCTCAACTCATCTAAGTCATTTTCCATCCACCTTTTTTCCATTGCTGATGAGGAGCTGTGTTCCTTTGGAGGAGAAGAGGTGCTCTGATTTTTAGAATTTTCAGCTTTTCTGCTCTGGTTTCTCCCCATCTTTGTGGTTTTATCTACCTTTGGTCTTTGATGATGGTGATGTACAGATGGGGTTTTAGTGTGGATGTCCTTTCTGTTTGTTAATTTTCCTTCTAACAGTCAGGACCCTCAGCTGCAGGTCTGTTGCAGTTTGCTCGAGTTCCACTCCAGACCCTGTTTGCCTGGGTATCACCAGCGGAGGCTGCAGAACAGCAAATATTGCAGAATGGCAAATATTGCTGCCTGATCCTTCCTCTGGAAGCTTCATCTCAGAGGGCCACCCAGCTGTATGAGGTGTCAGTCAGCCACTACTGGGAGGTTTCTCCCAGTTAGGCTACTCGGGGGTCAGGGACCCACTTGAGGAGGCAGTCTGTCCATTCTCAGATCTCAAACTCTGTGTTGGGAGAACCACTACTCTCTTCAAAGCTATCAATAGGAACGTTTCAGTCTGCAGAAGTTTCTGCTGCCTTTTATTCAGCTATGCTCTGCCCCCAGAGGTGTAGTCTACAGAGGCAGGCAGGCCTCCTTGAGCTGCGGTGGGCTCCACCCAGTTCGAGCTTCCCAGCCACTTTGTTTACTTACTCAAACCTCAGAAATGGCACATTCCCCTCCCCCAGCCTCACTGCCACCTTGCAGTTTTATCTCAGACTGCTGTGCTAGCAGTGAGCAAGTCTCTGTGGTTGTGGGACCCTGCAAGCCAGGCATGGGATATAATCTTCTGGTGTGCTGTTTGCTAAGACTGTTGGAAAAGCACAGTAATAGGGTGTGAGTGTCCCAATTTTCCAGGTACAGTCTGTCACAGTTTCCCTTGGCCAGGAAAGGGAATTCCCCAACTCCTTGCACTTCCCAGGTGAGGTGATACACTTCCCTGCATTGGCTCACACTCCATGGGCTGCACCTACTGTCCAACAAGCCCCAGTGAGATGAACCTGGTAGCTCAGTTGGAAATGTAGAAATCACCCATCTTCTGCATCGCTCACGCTGGGAGCTGTGGACTGGAACTGTTCCTATTCAGCCATCTTGGAACCTCTATCAACTAGTTGTAAGTATTCTTAACTTGCAACAATATAGTTGTTTGCATCAATGAAACAAAAATCCTTTTTCTATTTTTTCTTTCTTTTGAAACATAGTCTCGCTCTGTCTGTGGCTGGCATGCAGTGGCAAAATCTTAGTTCACTGCAACCTCTGCCTCCCAGGTTCAAGTGACTCTCCCACCTCAGCCTCCTGAGTAGCCAGTACTACAGGTGTGCACCACCACGGCCAGCTAACTTTTGTATTTTTAGTAGATATGGGGTTTCACAATGTTGGCCAAGGTGGTCTTGATCTCTTGATCTGCCCACCTCAGGCTACCAAAGTGCTGTGATTACAGGCATGAGCCACCGTGCCCAGCTGAAAAATCCATTTTCTTATGCAGTGAAACACAATAGAAAAATGCTAGTTCTTTAGCAAGGCTTTAACTGGAAGGGTGTGTTTTCCTTTAAGAAATCAAGTTTAAGTTGCAAAGCCAGTAACAGCCTCTTGGGAAAGCTGGTCTCATACCTGTAGTCTACACAGTTCTCATACAGAATTCCTGGCCTGTGGTGAGTAAAAAAATGTCTCTTTCTAACAGACTCAGAAACACTATGATCTTGGGACCTCAAAAATACAGGAATTTACCCAATTCACAAATATTTAAGGGTACAAATCCATGGCTTAGCCCAGCTTTAGAAAGTCCTATCTAAGATTTCTTTTGGAACAGAGTTCCATCAAAGCTTATGAAAAAGGCCTATGGAGAGATAGTTACTCTTGCTGCACTATGTTCAAATAGGCCAAGTATAATAATAAAGTCTATTTTGCAAACAATTCAGTCTATTGTGAGTTGTTTTTAACTAAAGAAAATCTAAAAACAAAATCATGTTTCAAAGCTTACCATACATTTCTCATGAACTTCTAGTCTCATTGATTGTTTTAGAGTTTTTGATGACGTTTTAAACTAACCCTGCTTATTCCTGTAAGCCAACCAGCAATCTCTGCCTGCAGCTCAGAAAACAGAAAGGGAAGGGTAATGTAAAAATCTAAATCAATATGCTAGTTCTGAGCAATTATTCTGTAAATCCAGCTGGAAATAAATAAGGTGCCAATAACCCAGAGGTTTCTTTTATCAGAAAGTAAAATCAAAGGAGCTAACCAAAGCCAAGCCTCATGCACCCAAATCTTAGCAAACATAACTATAGCTACCAGGTATCAGGGTGTGTCAACAGCCTCAACATTTTTAGGCTTTTCCTACCCCCCTTAATTCATTTCAATGCCTCTCCTCTACTAAACCAGATTGTTTCTTTTTGCCTTAAAAACTATCAAGCTCTAAGTGGTAATGCAAATGGAATGACGCATAAACACATGTTTCTTCTGAGGACAATTAAACTAGCCATGGAAGAAGTCCTAGCTGCTGTTTTCTACACAGCACCCCTTTCCAGCGAGGAATAGCCAAAAATATCAATGCCTCTTCTCCCTAACAGCAGTTAGGGTCTCCACTCCTGAGGAGGAACTGAGAGGGATTAGCTAGCTAGCCTAAGGTAGACAGCAAGGGAAGGGTCCCTGGAGAGCACCCAACCCATGGGTCAGTGCATCATAACTACATATCCACCAAGCCCAGCATAATGGCACACACCTGTAATCCTAGTGACTCAGGAGGCTGAGGCATGAGAATTGCTTGAACCTGGGAGGTGGAGGGTGCAGTGAGATCACACCATTACACTCCAGCCTGGGCAACAGAGCAAGACTCAGTCTTAAGAAAAAAAAAACTCATCTTTCACCAATATTTTAATCGTTTTATGTCTGCACACTTAAGCATCAAGGACAGGGTCCTGGATGATGATAAGTGCATATTTCAATTTATAAAGTAAAAAATGACCATCAGAGTCTAATAAATGATGAATACAGCAACATCATACTTCATAAAATCATTCCAGGTATGTTTGACAAACAAGAAGGTTGCATAGGACCTTCTTGTGCTACTCATGTGAAGTGCTCTTCTCTCTCATGTTAATCTCAACTCCCAACCTTACAAATACCACATACTCACATATACAGAAAAAGAAAAATTAACTTATTTTCATAGGAGGCTGTGATTCACATTTTATTCTATTACATCTTTTCCACATTGCTGTTACAATACTGTTGAAGTGCACCCTCTTTCACCAGAAGAATACTTTTGTGAACGTGAATAGACTGACACTGGAGAAGACCAGCTCAGCACACTCACTTGAATGATCCCTTTGCTTTTCAGGCAGTAAAAATCGGGGAGTGAAAATAAAGTGACTGCGGATTAAGCAAAGAGTTATACATGGAAAAACATTTGTCAATTGTTTGAAGATTACATTGCATGGTCTACAACTTTTAAAATATAAAATGCATAGCATAAATGTTGCACAAGAAAGTAGAATAAAAATGATGGAGTTGGCCACAAAGGATAGCTAAAGCTGTACTATAGCAATATAGAAAAATACATATTTACTGTCAGAAGAAGGTAACTTGAAGTATTTGAAAGATGTTCTCTAAGAAACTAAAACTATTTTTAGTTTTAGATTCTGTAAAAAATGTTTCTTAAGCATTTTTAATTTTCAAAAACATTTGAGTGCATTTTTGTCAGCTTAGTTTCTCTGAAGAATTTAAATATAATAAAGTAATACATATTAAAAATAACTTTTCTGGCAATAGAGCAGCTTAATTTTTAGATTAAAAAAGTAAAATTTTACACAATTTTATGCTGACCAATTTAATCAAAAGCTTCTTTCTTACAACTTGGAGAAATGACACAAAGACTCAACTTTTATGTTGGGTGGGAGAGAAAATGATTACCAGGGGCTAGAAACTTGTTTCACTAATCAATGTTGATTTTTATTGCTATATTGTCTCAAATTATGTTAATAATAAAATAATGGCCTTGATCCAAAAAATTTTTTACAAACTTATTGCTTCAATCAGCCAAAATATTAACCAAAAGAAGGCATAGAAATAGAGGTATTTAACAGTCATAATTTATAGTATAAAATTAAAATGTTTCTAGAAATAAAGAAAGATATATAAACAAATAAGAAAAGGAAAAAAAGTGGATTCCTCACAATAGGTAGGGTGTGAAATCAACATAAGGGTTCATCAACAGTTGAATGAATTTTAAAAAGTGGTATATTTACACAATGGAATGCTCTTTATTCCTTAAAAAGAAAGAAGTCTTGGAGGTGGGCTCAGCAGTCTGTGTCTCAGCAAGCCTTGCAGAAATTCTGATGCACACTGAAGTTTGAGCGTCACTGGAATGGACAGTGTCCAAATGATTGCTGGGTCACCCCACCTATCCTGAATGTCAGGAACATCCCGAGTGAGACTAGTCAGTACATTGTAGCTCTTTCTCCAGCCACAACCAGAAAGTCTTTGCTTCCCCTTTGCCTTCCACCATGATTGTAAGTTTCCTGAAGCCTCTCCAGCTGTGCGAAACTAGAAAAAGATGCACACCCAAAAGCCCCATTTGAAGCTTCTAGACAGAAAGCCAAGCATTTGGAGAGTGTCTTTGGACAGTTTTAAACACAACTGTGGAAAAGAAAGCAGCCCTACTCAGTGTGAAGATGATGAGAATGAAGACCTTTATGATGATCTACTTCCACTTAATAAATAGTGACTTTAGAATCCTTAACACAGCACTCAGCTACCAATGCCAATGAATAAAATTTTGCATCACTGTTGAAATCTGTTCACCACTCCTTTTGTAGATGTTCTGAGTTGGGTACCAGAAGTCAATTATCTCATTATTAAGATGGCTTCTAAGGTGATTCATTTTTGTGACACATAATGAGTGTTAGTTGAGGTCTAGCTGTATGCTGAAAAATGCTGATGAAAAATGTTGTCTACAGAGAGGATAGTCAACTTATATTAACTGTGAGTTATACTAGGAGCTATACTTAATTCATTTAGACTTTATTTGGTCAGCTTTTTTTATATTTCATAAAAAGAAGAAAGATTAAAAAAAGAAGTCTTTTTAAATATATATTCTGCTCAAATCACCATTTCCTTTTTTTTCTGATTCAAAGGACTTTTTCAAGATCTTTCAGGGATTATATTTTCTTTCACCTTCTATCTGCATTCTCTTTCTTCAGCCAATTGATTAAAAAAGAGATGCAGAGAAGACACATTTGCTTCTCATCCACACATCACTTCCACTTGCTATTAGTCATTGTGAGTAGAGCTGAGAATAGCAGCTTTCTAGCATGACAGCAACTTCTCAGAAAAAAGCAACACTCGGAAACAAAACTATAAATCTTTTCAAAAGCTAATGTATTTTAAGCAAAATAAGCAGATGCATCAATAATAAAATGCTTGTGGTAGAATCGATTTATTTTGTTGATTTCTATTGAGTTCAGATAAGATTTGACCAAAAGCTAGCAAATATAGAGCAGAAAGAAGAATATTATCTGAAATCAGAATATGGTAAATGAAGTTAATTTGTCAAAAGAAATAAGAATATTATGACCTCATGCTAATAGTCTCATCTATGGTTGTAAAACATCAAATGCTACTTTTTATTATAAACTGTAGTTCATATAAGTATTCCATTTATATCACCCTCTTTCACTATTTCAATGTCTTCTCCACTTTGTATCAGTGGAAAACAGGTCAGCTGCTTCCAGGAAAGCAGGCAATGCTCTTCTTACTTTAACAATGATGATGAAGAGCACTTGTTTTGGTGATACTCCCATGCCAAAAACTGTTATTTTGCCTGAAGTACTCTATATTTGTTAATAAAATAAAATTATTAACCAAGAGGAATTTATCCATTCAAGTTTTATGGAATTTTGGTTACATTTAAGTGTCTCTGACTTTCGTGGAATATTGAAATTTTTATGAATCTAAATAGAGTACTATAAATAACCTTTTACTAAAAGACTTTTTGAAGTGGAGTGATATTTATAAAAACTTTTCATAGCATTGAAGAAATGTTTTAACCATGTTCCCAGTAACTACTCTGAGCACAGAATTTTCCATTTTTAGAATTCGCTCTGAGTCACTCAGGGGAAATTGATATCTTTACGAATGGGCAAAAAAAGGTGCTGAGTGGAGGTGCAACACATTGCACATCAATGCTTTTCACATGCAACTACTAGGGTCTTAATTTGATTGAACTCTCATTTGCATAGCTAGACACTTACTGAATCTAGTCATACTATTTTTTGGCAACTAATGCCATGTTTGTTACCCATTAGTTTTATACACTTATTTGCTTGGCTGAAAAAACTTAATCTTCTCTTAATTTACTCTAAATTGAGAGACTAGATTTACAGTCTGGGTCTATAATAGTAGTTGAATGTTTTTAATACTATTCTTGGCAAATTCTCATATATTCACATTCAAAACAGATATAAATTTTATGAAAAGGAGTTGACAAAAAGTAAAAAATTTCAAATAGGTTAAGTAAGTTTTGAGATCTATTGCACAGCAGGGTAACTATAGTAAACTATAAACTATTCCATATTTCAGAATAACTAAGAGTAAATTCCAAATGTACCACCACAAAAATGATAGGTAAGCAAGTTCATAGATATGTTATTAAATGAAACTTAATTATTCAATATTTTATACATATACTAAAACATCACATTGTATCCCATAACTTTATGCAACTGTGATTTGCCAATCAAAAATACTAATACATTTTTTAATAAGAAAGAGTGAAATAAGCTTTAAAATATTGCACCAGAGAAAAATGTGGCTGTTAATCTTAAAATTTTAGGAAACATATACATATATGTATATTTTATTTCAAATGGCTTGCTCATTTACAGATGTAGGTAAGTAAACTTTTAATATCATGAACAGTCAGAACCCAGCACTCAGAAATAGGCTGTTGATTTTTAATGTTCAAAATAATATAGTACTTTAAAAGACAGACTCTAAAGCAACTGTTTACAGTAAAATTCTAAGTTTTTAAACAAATGATTTCCTTCACTTGTTAGAAAAAAATTTTAATATATATTTTTAAACTATATTGAAATTTATCAAATTAACATAAATTTATTAAACAAGTAAAAAAATGTGCCTTCTTGTCTCTAATTATAAAACTGACAGAGACTCTGCATTTAACCAAATACTTTGGTAAATGGATTTTAACAATGATATCTCTCATGACTTAAAACAGCCACTAGTTTTAATTTAGAAGTATATTAAATTTTTATATTAAAATCTAGGATTAGTCTATTATTACATAGAAAATTTGTGGTCTGCATGTACATCATCATCCATTGAATGGTCCACAGTTTCTGAGTTTCAGAAATGTTAATATAAGAATACTTCTTCTGATTGAATAATTTAAGTTTTCTCAGTAACTAAAAAAGATTGGAATTACTGATCACTCACTTATAATGTGGTTTTAAATGTTATTTAATGAAGATATATAAAGTTTCTTTTAAAATCATTTTAACAACATATTTCTCTTGCTTTTCACTTTTATTAGAAAATAAGTATGAAAATTTATGTTACCACAAGACTATAAATTTTATTTAAATCTAGACATAATGCTAATCTTAAAAGATCTGTATGTTTAAGATTATGGATAACCAATTTACACTTAAAAGATAAATAACTGCTTTCCAGTAAATCAAATGGGGCAATTTTGACTCTCAATTATAAGCTATTAAAATATTAATACTATCACCTATGT
This sequence comes from Homo sapiens, assembly GCF_000001405.40. Classification (NCBI taxonomy): domain Eukaryota; kingdom Metazoa; phylum Chordata; class Mammalia; order Primates; family Hominidae; genus Homo; species Homo sapiens. The sequence goes on from NC_000019.10 coordinate 22,168,311, forward strand.
GGAAATTTTAGGTATCTGCATGTTCATGTTTTTTAGCATATAATAAATCAGAAACTATAAATTTTTATAAACTATAAATAATAAACTAAAAATTTAAAGTATCACTTTTTGTCAGTTTTGAAATACTGTCATTATTTCTAGGTGATATAACACTCAATTACAGAGGCTGTGGCTGTTGAAATTAGAAATGTCATGGTTGATTCTTCTTTACTTGCTGCCTTTTTATTTCACACAAACTCAGCAGCACAAGGAAGGCAAGAAATGCTACACCTTGATTGCAAACACACCAGTGCCTTTCAAAGGAGAATAAATGTCTGAGCATATTCTCTTGAAATTCATGGCATCTTTTGCTCAAGTACAGACTTTCATATGGAAAATAATAAAGACAATAATTTCACATGGCAATAGCATAAGAAAAGTACTCTAAAAATACCTTCTGACCCATTATTTCTATTTTTCACAAGAATGATTGTGATGGAATGAGCATTTGCAGCACTGTGGTCATAAATAACCCCCACTTTCTGTTGAATTATTTTTGGAATGTGACTATAAGACTTTTGTGCTTTTTTTTTGGAAAAAATATTTTATATTTCTAATTCAGTGATTTAGCATAATTTTTAGTCTCACACTTTCAAAAATAGTTCATTCTGAAAAAAATAAGACTAAACCACTTACCACCTTTTCCCCCAAAAGAGTAACAAATTAAATCTATAGTCTACTGCACAGTTAATACATAAACGATAAAGGTGTAATTTGTTTTACCTGCACACTTGAAAATAAAACACTTTTTGGGCTATAGACCAAGAACTTTCAGAGAGGTTAGCTTATAAAATGTGAGGAGACCTGGTATAGAAACATTCACCACTATGCCTTAAGGGGTGAAAATTTGTCTTTCACCCCTAATTTCAACCATTAACCCAGAGCTGGAAAAATAGAACATGTCATTATACCAAAAAGCATTTTATTATTTTTATTTTATATTTAAGGGGTACATGTGCAGATTCGTAAAACAGGTAGACTACATGATATTGAGGTTTGAACACTTAATTATTCCATTGTCTGAGTAGTTTACATCATACCTAAGCCAATTTTCAATGCTTGTCACCCTTCCTTCTCTTATTGTTTTCATCTTTGTTTCCATGTGCGCCCAATTTTTAGCGTCCATGTATGAGTGAGAACATGTGGCATTTGTTTTTCTGATGCATCAGTTTGCTTAGAATAATGGCCTTCTGTTGCATTCATGTTGCGGCAAAAGACATTACTTCATTCTCTTCCATTGCTGCGTAGTATTGGAGGTTGTATAAGTACATCATTTTTCTTATCCAATAAAAGATTCATGGGCAACTGGTTTAATTCTGTTTTTGCTATTGTGAATAGTGTTGCAATGAACATGTGAGTGCTTGTGTCTCTTTGGCAAAATTATTTATTCTTTTTTGGGGCAGATACCCACTAATGGGCTAGATTAGTCAAATGGCAATTCTATTTCTAGTTCTTTGAGAAGTCTCCAAACTGCTTTGCACAGGCCCTGAATTAATTTGCATTCCCACCAACAGTGTAGAAAGATTTTCTTTTCTCTGCAACTTTAACATCTTATTTATCTTACTTTTAATAACAGTCATTCTTACTGGTGTGAAATGGTATCACACTGTCACTTTGATTTACATCTTCCTGATAATTAGGAATGTTGAGCAATTTTTACATGTTTATTGGCAGTGCTTATGTCTTCCTTTGAGAAGAAGCTGGCTATTCATATCATTTGTTTGCTTTTTTATTAAATGGTTTATAGATTCTGCATATTAATCCTTCATTGTCGGCAGTTTGCAAATATTTTATTTCATACTGTAGGTCATCTGTTTACTTTGTTGATAGTTTCTTTCACTGTGCAGAAGTTCTTTGCCTTAATTAGATGTCATTTTTTATTTTTATTTTTGTCGCACTCATGTTCATGTTAGTCATAAATTCTTTAGAGAGGCCAATATTTTCTAAGTGTTCTTCTAAGAATTTTGTAGCTTGAAGACTCACAGATCAAGTCTTTAATTTATGTTGTTATTTTTTTATATAGAAAAAGGTAGGACTCCAGTTTTCTTCCACATATGACTAACAAGTTTTCCCAGTATTATTTACTGAATAGGGATTTAATTCTGTTGGCTTTGTAAAAATAACCTGGTTGTAAAGTATAGCTTAATTCAGGACTGTCTCTTCCATTTCATTGGTCTATATGTATATTTTTGTACCAGAATCATGTTATACTGGTTACTCTGATGCAATCTTGGCTCACTGCAACCTCCACCTCCCAGTTCAAGTGGTTCTCTTGCCTCAGCCTCCCAAGTAGCTAGAATTACAGGCATGTGCCACCACATCTGGCTAATTTTTTGTATTTAGTAGAGACGCAGGTTTCACCGTGTTGGCCAGGGTGGTCTCAAACTTCTGACCTCAGGTGATCCATCTGTGTAAGCCTCCCAAAGGGCTGAGATGACAGGCATGAGCCACCACACTCAGCCCAGATTTATTCTTTTAGTTTGAAGTTGTCTTGGCTATTTGAGCTCTTTAATTCTTTTGTATATATTTTAGAATAGTTTTCTTTTTCTAATTCTATAAAAAAGCATCATGGATAGTCTGATAAAAATAGCACTTAATCTGTAGGTTGCTTTAGTCAGAATGACCATTTTAATTATATTCTTTGAATCCATCAGCATGCAATATTTTTCCATTTATTTGCATTCTCGCTCATTTCTTTCAGCAATGTTTTCTTCTTCTTTGTACAGATATTTTAGCTCCTTGATTTAATGTATTTCTTGTTTTTTTTTTTTGTTTGTGGCTATTGTAAATAGAGCTGTGTTTTTTATTTTGTTCTGTTTGAATATTATTGGTGTATAGAAGTGCTATGCATTTGTGTTGATTTTGTATTCTGAGGTTTTTTTGGAGTCTTTTTTCAGGCTTCAGAGTCTTCTGGTGAAATCTTTAAAGTATTCTAGGTAGACAATTCTATCATCAGTAAAGATAACTTGACTTTGTTTTCTGTTTGGATTCCTTTTATTTCTCTGGCTAGGACTTCGTAACTTCAATAGGACTGTTTAGAATGGATATTCTTGTCTTATTTTTATTCTTATGGAGAATGCTTTCAGTTTCTGCTTTTTTAGTATGATGTTGGCTAAGGATTTGTCATAGATGACTCATTATTTTGGGGTATGTTTCATCAATGTCTAGTGTGTTGACAATATTTTTATGAGTCAATATTGGATTTTCTTGAATGCCTTTTCTGCCCCATTGTGTTAAATATTTTTTATTTTATTTTTACATGGTGATCATACTTATTGACTTGCATATGATGAAACATCTTTGCATTTATGGAATAAAGTTCACATCATTGTAGCAAAATAACTTTCTGATTTGCTTTTGAATTCAGTTTGCTAGTATTTCATGGAGGATTATTGTTCCAATATTCACCCAGAATATTGAACTGTAGTTTCTGTTTTTGTTGTGTCTTCACTAGATTTTAGTTTCATGTATTTCACTGATTTCATATAATTAGTTAGGGTGAAATCCCACCTTGATTTTTTGGAATACATTCAGTAGGCTTAGGACCAGCTTATCTTCGTATATGTGGTAAAACTTGTCTGTGATTTCATATGATCCAGGGCTTTTTATGATTAGTAGGTCTATTATTACTTATTAAATGTCATTATACATCTTATACATTTTTGTTGTTAAAGATTGCTGTTATTAGGCCAGGTGCGGTGGCTCAGGCCTGTAATCCCAGCATTTTGGGAGGACAAGGTGGGCAGATCACGAAGTAAGGAGATCGAGACCATCCTGGCTAAAATGGTGAAACCCCACCTCTACTAAAAATACAAAAAATTAGCCGGGCTTGGTGGCGGGAGCCTGTAGCCCAGCTAATTGGGAGTCTGAGGTGGGAGAATGGCATGAACCCATGAGGCAGAGCTTGCAGTGAGCCAAGATCACGCCACTGCATTCCAGCCTGGGTGACCGAGTGAGACTCCATCTCAAAAACAAAACAAAACAAAAACAAACAACAACAAAACAACAAAAAAAAAGACTTCTGATTTTCTGGTTCAATCTTGAGAAGTTTTGTGCATCCGGGAGTTTATCTATTTTCTCTAAATCTTCTACTTTGCATGCATGTTCATAGAAGTCTCTGAGAATATTTTTAAATCTATGTAGAATTAGATGTGATTTCACATCTCTAACATTTAAATAAATGCAGAATAAGAGTTAAACAAAATTCAACATTCCTTCATGATAAATTTCTGAAAAAAGTAGGTATAGGACAAACGAACCTCAAGCCAATAAATGCCACATATAACAAACAAACAAAAAAAAGCACAGCTAATAACATACTAAACAGGGAAATCTTGTAAGCTTTTACTCTAAGAGCAAGAAGACAAAAATGCCCACTTTCTTCAGTCTTATTAAACATAGTATGAACTATCCAAGACAGAAATATTAGAAAATAAAATCAAAGTGCTGAGATTAGAAAAATTGTTAAATTATTCCTTTGCAATTTTTTATTTCTATACATAATCTTAAGTAAACAAAAGCCTAAGACATTACTAAAAATTAGTAGGACTAATAAACAAATTTATTGAACTTTCAGAATACAAAAGCAACATCCAAGTGTCAGTAGAATTTCTATATATTGACAACTATCTCTAAATGAAATGACAGAAATTAATACACAATTGGAAAATATTACTCCTTTATAAATTGGCATTACTAATATTGTTAAGCATCTGTATTATACAAAATGATGTACAGATATAATGCAACCTCTATCAAAATACCAGTGATATAATTAACAAATTTAAAAAACTACATCTAAAATTTATAGGGTACCACAAGAGAACCTGAATAGCCAAAGCAACCAAGCCGTAGAAAAAGTGAAGGTATCACTACCTGACTTTGAAATATATTAAAAGTTTTAGTAAAAAAAAAAAAAAAAAAGTACGGTACTTGCACAAAAACAGACACACAGGCCAGTAGAGAAGAAAAAGGAGACTAAAATATACTGATGTATTTACAGCCATCTGCTTTTTAAATAAAGGTGGCAATTTCTTAGGGAAAAGGCAGTATCTTCAATAAATGGTGTTGAGAAAACTTTATATCCACATGCAGAGGAATATAATAAGACCCTCAACTCACACCATATATAAATAAATTAGATATTTAAATAAAATAAAAACACAAAATAAATTTGATACTTAAATGTAAGGTCTAAAACTCTGAAACTACTACAAAAAATAAAGACTGAAAGCCCTGTAACATTGGTTGGGCAGTGACTTTTAAAATTTGACCTCAAGTCTCAAGGAGCAAAATGAAAAAAATAGATCAATCAGATTATTTAAATTAAAAAACTGCTGCAAAGAACATAATACAATCAACAGGATGAGACAACCAAAAAATGGAAGGAAATATTTGCAAATCATAAATGTGACAAGGGATTAATATCAAAACTATGTAACAAACTCAAATGACTATAGAACAAAAAACAAGTAACTATTAAAAATGAGAAAAAGGCTTAAATATTTTTCAGAAAAAGACATACATATGGCCAACAGATATATTTTTAAAATGCTCAATGTCAATTATTATCAGGGAAAGACAAGCAAAAAAAAAAAAGAAAAACGATGAGATATCAACTCGCTTCTGTTAGAATGACTCTAATTAAGAAGAAAACGTGATGGTAGAAATCTGAAGAAAAGAAAATGCTTGCACACTATTTGTTTGAATGTAAGTGAGGACAGCCATTATGAAAAACTTAATAGAGTTTTCTTAAAAAACTTAAAAATCAAACTACCATATAACAATTGCACCATTGTATATCCAAAACAAATGAAATCAGAATGAAGAAACATTTGCACTTCTAGGTTGTTTGCAGCACTCTTCACATGTAAAATATATAAAATCAACAGTTCAACATCTAATGAGTAAATAAAGACAATGTGGTAGATATATACAATGGAATACTATTCATCTTTAAACAACAAAAATTCTGTTATTTTCAATCACAGGGATTAACCTGGAGGACATTATATTAGTTGAAATAAGCAAGGCACAGAAAGATTCATGTCTCATGATTTCACTTACACGTGGCTTCTAAAAAAGTTCATCTCATTGACGTAGAGAGTAAAATGGTGACCACCAAGTGCCAAGGTATTTAGAAGAAATAGGGGCATTGAAAGATGTCTGTCAAAGAATATATAATTATACTTGGATAAAAGAAATAATTTCCAGAGATTTATTGTACAGCATGGTGACTATAGTTCATAATAATGCATTTGTATTTTTGAAAAATGCTTACAATTTCATGTTGTCTAACCACAAAAATGTTACCAATATGAGACAAAGCATTAATCACATAGAACTAAGCATTTGACAATGTATATACACTTCAAAATGTTGTTTTATAAAATAAATATTTTGTCAAGTTAAAAATATATTTTTAGACACTATAGAAGGATAACAATGTTCCAAATACTGTCTGTTTCTTTTATAAAACTTAGCAGTATCCTATCGTACAGTTTTTCAGCTGTTTTGCCAGTCATAACCATAGGAACGTTGATGTTCAACAGCATGTTCTGAACCCAGCACAGGGCATGGGAGAAGCCAATGACTTTAGGGCTTTTATTTTAAGCTTGCGGCACCTGGAGTTACTGGTGCTTATGGTAACAGTACGAAAGACAGGAAAAGGGCAGGTTGCTTATGCTCCCATGACTGGCCACTGTGTGATCACAGTAAACTGGTTTGCATGCAAACTCACAGGAAATGTTTTAATCCAAAAGCTGCCATTATCTCCAAAAGTTTTGAGAGAAAATGATCAAGGAGATCGCTACACTTAGGTGACCAACAATATAAACTGTAGACTAAACTTCAGCCACTAAAATTTTTATTTAAAAAGTGAGCGATACATTTCTCCAAATTGTAGTATCAATATGGAAAATAAATATTATTCCAAATTTACAGGTTATTTTATTGTTTTGCAACCTTTAACATTCACTTTAAAATAGACAATTTTGCATGGAAATGTAGGTTGTGCTCTAAGTACATCCTAAATAACTAAATTTAAAATTGCTTACTTACTATTCTCTTAAAAATTGAATCTTTATAATATACATATGGTCTAGCAAATTATGTATTTGCCACACTATGTATAAAAATCTAATATTTTTCTTTTACAAAGAAACACCATGTTGATTTAATCCTCTCTTCGGTAGACAGTGTATGTCTTTTATGTTAATTAACCAATCTTAAAGTTATACTGATAAGCAAACTTTCCAGTTAAAACCAATGTTTCAGTGCATTAAAAAATACCGATGTTCTCCTTAAAACCTACAACATACCATGTGAAATCGCATGGCATGAAAACAACAGTGAGAAAACTGTAGCCATAACACAGAAAAAGGACTGTGATGCATATATGGTTTGAGTGCACTTAAAAAGACAAAACTTAGATAATTAAGACGTGAATGAAGCATTTCTCTTTAAATTCAGCAAGATTCAGCTTTGCAGCCTGGAAAAAGATGTTCTGCTCACATGAAGAATCAATGTTATTTCTTCACAATTTGTATTTTCCATCTCTGACTTGAAGTTACAAACTTCAGCAGGAATATTTATGACTAATTATAAAGCATCTGTTACACACTGAGCACTGTCATGTTTGTTTGCTACATTTATATATAAAAGCATCCACATGACTTATGAAGCTTCCCTAGTACTTACTGAAACAAATTGACTCAATAAATAAAATTTACTTTTGTTACTTATAAAAAGTTAAGGGAACAATAACTAAAGTAAGCCTATATATGGTTCTCCCATAGAAGCTAATGGAATGTTTTAACTAAATAAAATGTAACAATACACAAATTGTGGAATTATATCTAAAAATAATTTTGTTTGCATGATGAAATTTTACAAAAATTATTCTTTTAACTACAAATCAGCTCAGATTAAATACTTCATAAACTATAAAACAAAAAAATAAGAAACAAAAAGATTATGGGTCTAGCATGAGTATCATGCAAGTAAAAACAAAATTTACATGGAAATATTCTAAATGATAAGCTATAAGATAGGTGTATAAATTGAATACAAAGCAGAGAGTATACATTTGCTTTTATTTTATTTTTTTAATTTTTGTATTTTTAGTAGAGACGGGGTTTAGTAGAGGTCAGGGGTCTCGATCTCCTGACCTCGTGATCCGCCCGCCTCAGCCTCCCAAAGTGCTGGGATTACAGGCGTGAGCCACCGCGCCCAGCCTACATTTGCTTTTAGCATTTTTGAGGATTTTTGTTTCCTAGTAAATTAGACATCTTATTAAATGCTTTGTGGTTTCAATATTCCTCTTTTCTCCTGAAAATAGTTACAAACTTACAGTCAAACAAACACACTTACTCCTTAAACCTAAGTTATATCTTTAGACTAATAGATGTGTATATTTAACTCTATGTAAGTCAAAACTAAAACTCGATTATGTGCTTTCAGGCAGAGGCCACATGTGCAAAAAATACATAATAAATTTTTGAAAATTATTCAGGACTCAGAAATATATTGATTTTATTTACACTTATTTACAATTTTTATGATGACCATAAAAATAACCATGTAGTCAATAACAATTTAATTGTACAATTTAGAATAACTAAGACTGTAGAATTGGTTTGTAATACAAAACATAAAAGCCAGAGGTTATAGGTACCTTATTTATCACAATGTGATTATTATATATTGTATGACTGTATCAAAATATGCCATCTATGGCATAAATGTATACACATATTATGTACACACAAAAACTAAGAAAAATTTAAATGTAAAAAAAATTTAACCTGCAGGAACCATATTCTTTAACTTATTTGCAGTTTAAAGCCACTGAAAAAGAATACTAGAGATGTTAGTCTATTATGTTACCAAATAGTGTATTGTTACCATCTTTTAAATATACCCTTAAGTAAGGTGGAATAGGTTAAAACTAGTGGCATAATAACACTTTATTGAATGTATAACAGTATTTAACATGTTATAAATGTTGAAATAAAAAATTAACACATAATCTAAAACTTTAAAAATGCAATTTTATCACATAAAAGTACAATTAATAAAATGACATACTAATTTAATTAATTTTAACTATAAAATATGTTATTCTCTCATAATATTCTCTCATAATACTACATTAGTACATCACTTAGAGCCAGGTGCAGTGGCTCACACCTATTATCACAGCACTTTGGGAGGCCAAGGCAGACAGATCACATGAGGTCAAAAGTTCAAGAACAGCCTGGCCAACATGGCAAAACCTTGTTTTACTAAAATACAAAAATTAGCTGGATGTGGTTGTGGGCACCTGTAATCTCAGCTTCTTGGGAGGCTGAGACAGGAGAATATCTTGAACCTGGGAGGAGGAGCTTACAGTGAGCTGAGATCATACCACTGCACTCCAGCCTGGGAAACAGAGTGAGATTCCCTCTCAAAAAAAAAAAAAAAAAAAACTCTGAATGCCTACCTCATACATCACTCAATTCTATAAGTTAATCACAAATAGCCTTCCTACTTAGATTTTCATCGTGCATCTTACATTTTAATGTCCTTAGTCATCCATAAGAAATGTCATAATGACCATGTAAAAAGTCTCCCAAATCTTTGATGCAGAAAGAATTGATCACATGCTTTTATATGGGAATACAAGAGAAATTAAGAAATAGCATGAAGCAATTTAAGAGTTGAATTCCGTCATTATTCAGTTTCCAAATAAGCTTTTTTTTTTCTTTTGAGACAATCTCATTATCACCCGGGCTTCAGTGCAGTGGCAAAATCTCAGCTCACTGAAACCTCTGGCTCCCAGGTTCAAGTGATTCTCATGCCTCAGCCTCCCAAGTAGCTGGGACTACAGGTGTGCACCACCATGTTTGGCTAATTTTTGTATTTATTTTTAGTAGACATGGGGTTCCACCTTGTTGGCCAGGCTGGTCTTGAACTCCTGACCTCAGGTGATCTGCCCATCTTGGCATCACAAAGTATTGGCCTTACAGGTGTAAGCCACTGTGTCTGGCAAAAAAAAAAAAAAAAAAAAAAAATCGGTATTTTTAAGATAAAAGTATACTTTAAATGTAAATGTAACTCTTCAAAGGTCTACTTCTTTCAAAGTCATATACAAATAATTTTTCTTTTTAACAACTTTAGTTTTGGATTTTTTCCTATACTCAGCAGTCTGATTTAGTGTAATGTCTGAAGTTTGAGAGATAGGTATTTCTACTGTGAATTATCTATATTTACATAAACAATTTTGGATTAAATATTTTTATATTTACTGTATCTGCAAAAATATATTTTAGTATAAACTCTTTTGTGTTTTATAATTCTGTAGTTTTTGTAAAAATGTTTTTCCAAATTTATTAAATTTGCACGGTCATTCAATATAAATTCCCTGATGTTTAGCAAAGTTGGAACAACTACCTAAGGTTTTCCTGTAGTACAAAATGTGTACAATAAAATCTGTGATACAAGTAAAGGCACTACAACCCTCTTTATATTTGTAATGTTTTTCCTCAAAATAAATATTCTTCTGTATTTTAAGGGCTTTTATTTTCTGAAAGATCTAGTGACAATAATTGTACTTTTAATACTTTATTTAATATGAACTCTCTGGTGTTGAATAAGATGTGAGAAGATATTAGTGGCATTCACAATTTTTTTTTCCCAGTCTCTCTGTTGCCCAGGCTAGTATATAAATGCTTTCCTTTGCAATAAGGCATGAGTATTGGTTAAATGTGTGCCACATTGTTTATTCTAGTAGTTTTCTCCAGTATATTATCTTACCTACAATCAAGTGTGACAGCCATTTAAAGGCTTTGTCACATTCTTCACATTTCTAGGATTTCTCATTCATATGATTTCTTTTATATTCAGAAAAGTCTGAGGTGTTGCCAAAAGCATTGTCACATCTTTCAGGTTTGTAGAGTCTCTCATGTATGAATTAGCCTATGTTTCTTAAGAATTGAGGATCTGTTAGAGGCTTTCCCACATTCTTCACACATGCATGGTTTCTCTCCAGTATGAGTTGTCTTATATGTAGTAAGCCTTAAGGACTGGTTAAAGGCTTTGCCACATTCCACACAATTATAGGAATTCCCTCCAGTATGAATTACATGAATGTTTAGTAAGGATTGAGGAACAGCTAAAAGGCTTGCCACATTCTTCACATTTGTAGGGTTTCCCTCCTGTATAAATTCCCTTATGTTCAGTAAGGGTTGAGAACTAATGAAAAGCTTTGCCACGTTTTTCACATTTGTAGGGCTTTTCCTCCAGTATGAATTCTTTTATGAGTAGTAAGGTGTGAGGAACAGTTGAAGTCTTTATCACATTCTTCGCATTTGTAGGGTTTCTCTCCAGTATGAATTCTCTTATGTTCCACAAGGTTTGAGGACCGGTTGAAGCCTTTGTCACATTCTTCACGTTTGTAGTGTTTCTCTCCAGCATGAATTTTCTTATGTGTAATAAAGATTGAGGACTGTTTAAAAGCTTTGCCACATTCTTCACCTTTGTAGATTTTCTCTCCAGTATGAATTTTCTTATGTTTACTAGACTGAGAATCAGCTGAAGGATTTACCACATTCTTCACATTTTTAGGGATTCTCTCCAGTATGAATTTTCTTATGATAACTAACAGTTGAGGATGACTTAAAAGCTTTGCCACATTCTTCACATTTGTAGGGTTTCTCTCCAGTATGAATTCTCTTGTGTCTAGTAAGGCTTGAGGATCTGCTGAAGGCTTTGCCACATTCTTCACATTTGTAGGGTTTCTCTCCAGTATGAATTATCTTATGTTCAGTAAGGATCGAGGACCAGCTGAAGGCTTTGCCACATTCTTCACATTTGTAGCGTTTCTCTCCAGTATGAATTATCTTATGTTTAGTAAGGATTGAGAACGTACTAAAGCCTTTGCCACATTCTTCACATTTGTAAGGTTTCTCTGCAGCATGAATTCTCTTGTGTTTAGTAAAGCTTGAGGACCAGGTGAAGGCTTTGCCACATTCTTCACATTTGTAGGGTTTCTCTCCAGCATGAATTCTCTTGTGTTCAGTAAGGCTTGAGGACCAGCTGAAGGCTTTGCCACATTCTTCACACTTGTAGGGTTTCTCTCCAGTATGAATTCTCTTATGTTCCATGAGCTTTGAGGATGAGTTGGAAGCTTTGCCACATTCTTCACATTTGTAGGGCTTCTCTTCAGCATGAATTGCCTTATGTGTATTAAGGGTTGAGACCTTACTAAAGGCTTTGCCACATCCTTCACATTTGTAGGGTTTCTCTCCAGTATGAATAATCTTATGTTTAGTAAGGATTGAGGATCGATTAAAAGCTTTCCCGCATTCTTCACATTTGTAGGGTTTCTCTCCAGCATGAATTCTCTTGTGTTCAGTAAGGCTTGAGGACCAGCTGAAGGCTTTGCCACATTCTTCACACTTGTAGGGTTTCTCTCCAGTATGAATTCTCTTATGTTCCATGAGCTTTGAGGACGAGTTGGAAGCTTTGCCACATTCTTCACATTTGTAGGGCTTCTCTTCAGCATGAATTGCCTTATGTGTATTAAGGGTTGAGACGCTACTAAATCCTTTGCCACATTCTTCACATTTGTAGGGTTTCTCTCCAGTATGAATTATCTTATGTTTAGTAAGGATTGAGGATCGATTAAAAGCTTTGCCACATTCTTCACATTTGTAGGGTTTCTCTCCAGTATGAATTACCTTATGTTTAGTAAGGATTGAGAACTTACTAAAGGCTTTGCCACATTCTTCACATTTGTAGGGTTTCTCTCCAGTATGAATACTCTTATAATAAGTAAGGGTTGAGGACCAGTTAAAAGCTTTGCCATTTTCTTCACATTTGTAGGAATTCTCTCTAGTATAAATTCTTTCATGTTGAGATAGGTGTGAAAGCATGCAAAATGATCTGACATATTCTTTACATTTCAAACCTTTCTCTCCAGTATGCCTTATCTTATGTCTGTTTGAATTTGAACATTTATGAAAGACGTTTGCATATTTGCCACATTGAAATACTTTGCTCTGTGTAGTTGTTAAACTCTGGTTAAGTTTATTATAACCTTCTTTGTGCACGTTACACTCATCCACATTGGTACAACTAATTTTTAAGTGTAAATTCTCATGTCCACATTTGTCATATCTTCTCAATATCATTTTTTGGAAAGAATCTTCTATGCCTTGCTCTGGCCAAAACTCTTGGGAAAAATGAGAACATATAACTGAAAAGAAATAAAAATAACAAATTAATCTACATATTAGACTCAGATAAGTACAGTTTCCAAATCTAACCTATAAAATTATTCAAACTACATAAGCAAGACGACATTGCAATATGACACAGGCCCTAATTCTTCATAGATATATAAATGTAATAAAAACATATAGACCAAAATACATATGTGAATAATTTATACATGAGTTAAGTGTGTGCATTTCCTCAATTAAGCCCAATGCAAAGAGCCACATAGAAAACAAGAAAAGTTTGTTAAATTTACCCAATACAACTCTTTCTGCTCCTCAATATTACCTAGTCCCTTCAGAAGCAAATTGTCCATTTCTGATTTTTTTTTTTTTTTAAGGAAAGTAAAATATTGACACATCCAATTTAATTTTTGTCTTCTATGGCTCTTTCCACACACTGGTTTCTGTCTCTCATGACATAAAGTGCTGAAATACATGGTGGTATACTTTGAAATGAAAGTTTGAGCCTGCTGAGATCAAAGGTAAATGCACTGCAGCAGAGCACTGCAGTGCCACAGAGAGAGTACAGGTGTACCAAGTGATTACTTTTCAGAAGAAACATAAATAGTCTCTTTTAACTAAAAATAAACACAAAATTTCAGACAAGACAAACCTGAAGATGTTTGAGAGACCCACATAATCTCTAGCCAAGACCATTATTTTCTGACTATGCCAGGACAAAGCTACATTATAAATTTTGTGACAGGTGGCCTTTTTAAATGTCCAAATCTCAAAGATTACAGTCTATACAAAATAGGGCAATATAATCTTATCAAAAATATTATAAAGTTTTCAGAAAGAAACCATTGAAAATGTATATACTAATTTTAAAAATTGAATAGCACTCAATGAGTGAAGCAGGAACACAAAAGACTATAGAAAATGAGAAAAATGAGGATAAGAACAAAAATAACCAGTGAATTGTCAACAAAAGATTTGCAGGATAGAAGAGAACAGTGTGATATAGTCAAAGTTCTAAAAAAAAAAAAAAAAAGCAAACAAAAAAAAGAAGCTATAAAGTGAGAATAAATACCATCAGCAAATCTGTCCTGCCTAAAAGAAAAAAAAAAAAAGAGCTTTCAAAATAACCAAATTCTTAAAAAGTATATTTTGCACTGCATACGTCTTCCATAGGAAAGATGCTGAAAGTAGTTCTTACCACTGAAAATAACATAATGTAAGAAAACAACACCTAGTCATATAAAAATACATTATTTTCTAGGAAAGATATGCACACACAAAAAAATTGAATTTCTAGCATTATTCTAATGGTGCAGAAAACATTTTTAATTATTCTCTAACATTTGAGAGATAAAAGCACAGGAATTATTATAAACATCTGTTAATGAATATACAACATAAATAGATAAACTTAGCAACATCAGTGAAAAATTTAAGAGCAGACATAATAAGGAGGACTTTTTTATGCAACTGAAGTTAATTTTTCACCTGATTAAAATATATTGTTTTATTTTTAGAGGTTTTATGTAATCCCCAAGATACCACACAAAAAAATCTGTATACATACACAAAAGAAAAATAAGAAAATGAAAGCATATCAATACGAAAACCAGAAAGAAACAAAGGAAGACAGAAAGAGAAAATGAGGGACAAGATGAAAGAATTAAATAGAATAGGTAATAAAATAAAAGTAACTCCTTTACTTTCAGAAAATTATTTAAATATACGGAAAATTAACTTTCAAATCAACAGAATTTTAATAGATTTATTAACATTTTTTCTTTTGAGACAAAGTTTTACTCTTGTTGCCCAGGCTGGAGTGCAATGACACTATCTCAGCTCACCGTAACCTCTGCCACCCAGGTTCAAGCAGTTCTCCTGCCTCACACTCCCGAGTAGCTGGGATTACAAAAGTCTACCAACACTACCAGTTAATTTATGTATTTTTAGTAGAGATGAGGTTTCACAATGTTGGCCAGGCTGGTCTGGAACCCCTCACACCTTGGGTGATCCACCTGCCTTGGCCACCTAAAGTGCTAGGATTATAGGCACGAGCCGCCATGCCCAGGTTATTTAAAAAATTTTAAATATCAAGATCCAACTTGCCTTTCTACAAGAGTCAGTTGAAATCTAATGTTAAAAAGACTCAAAGTGGCAAGATGGAAGTAGACATTTCATGCAAATATTAGTCAAGTGAGAGCAGAAGAGGTCAAAATAATATTACACAAGCTAAATCTTAAGTCAAAGACTCATATTTTATAAAATGCACTTGACAATGAAACTCCAAAGAGACAAAGAAAGATATTAAAAAATAATAGATTAACTGGGAATCTGTGAAAAATCTGAATGTGTGTATGTGTGTGTCTCACATTAGGATTACAAATATATAAAGCAAATATTGATAGAATAGAAGAAACACAAGGAGATCAATATAATTATAGTAGGATATTATTATACCACACTTTCGGTAATAAAAATGAAAATAGAGGAGGCTGGCAAGATGGCCAAATAGGAACAGCTCTGATCTGCAGCTCCCAGCAAGACTGACACAGAAGGTGGGTGGTTTCTGCATTTCCAACTGAGGTACCCGGTTTATCTCAACGGGACTGGTTGAACAGTGGATGCAGCTCATGGAGGGTGAGCCGAAGTGGGGTGCAGTGTTGCCTCACCCAGGAAGTGCAAGGGGTTGGGGAACTCCCTCTCCTAGCCAAAGGAAGGGTTTAGGGACTGTACCATAAAGAACAGTGCTCTCCAGCCCAGATACTGTGCTTTTCCATGGTCTTCACAACCCACAGACCAGAAGATTCCCTCTGGTGCCTATGACACCAGGGCCCTGGGTTTCAAGCACAAAACTGGGAGGCCGTTTGGGCAGACACCAAACTAGCTGCAAGAGTTTTTTCTTTTTTTTCCCCATACCCCAGTATAGTGCCCAGAAGGCCAGTGAGACAGAACCATTCACTCCCCTGGAAAGAAGGCTGAAGCCAGGGAGTCAAGTGGCCTGGCTCAGTGGGTCCCACACCATGGAGCCCAGCAAACTAGGACCCACTGGCTTGAAATTCTGGCTGCAAGCACAGCAGTCTAAGCTTGACCTGGGAAGCTCGAGCTTGGTGGGGGAAGGGCGTCTGCCATTGCTGAGGCTTGAGTAGGCAGCTTTACCCTATAAAGCCACCCAGAAGATTGAACTGGGTGGAGCCCACCGCAGCTAGCAAGACCAGACTGTATCTCCAGGTTCCTCCTCTTTGGGCAGGGCATCTTTGAAAAAAAAAAAAAAAAAAAAAAAAAAGGCAGCAGCCACAGTCGGGGGCATATAGTAAAAACACCCATCTCCCTGGGACAGAGCACCTGGGGGAAGGGACAGCTGGGAGCACAGCTTCAGCAGACTTAAACATCCCTGCTGGACAACTCTGAAGAGAGCAGTGCATCTACCAGCACAGCGTTCAAGCGCTGCTAAGGGTCATACTGCCACCTCAAGTTGGTCCCTGACATCCGTGTCTCCTGATTAAGAGACACCTCCCAGTAGAAGCTGATAGAGACCTCATACAAGAGAGCTCTGGCTGGCATCTGGCAGGTGGCCTCTGGGACAAACCTTCCAGAGGAAGGAACAGGCAGCAATCTTTGTTATTCTGCAGCCTCTGCTGGTGATACCCAGGAAAAAGGGTCTGGAGTGGACCTCCAGCAAGGTCTAGCAGATCTGCAGCAGGGAGGCCTGACTGTTAAAAGGAAAACTAACAAACAGAAAGGAATAGAAGCAACATCTACAAAAAGGATGTTTACTCAGAGACACCATCCGAAGGTCATCAACATCAAAGACCAAAAGTCAATAAATCCATAAAGATGGGGAGAAACCAGTGCAAAAAGGCTGAAAATTCCAAAAACCAGAATGCCTATTCTCCTCCAAAGGATCACAACTCATCACCAGCAAAAAAAAAAAAACAAAACTGAATGGAGAATGAGTTTGACGAATTGACAAATTCAAATTTGCAAATTTCAGAGGTGGGTAATAACAAACTCCTCCAAGCTAAAGGAGCGTGTTCTAACCCAATGCCAGGAAGCTAAGAACCTTGAAAAAAGGTTAGAAGGATTGCTAATGAGAATAATCAGTTTAGAGAAGAACATAAATGACCTGATGGAGATGAAAAACACAGCACGAGAACTTTGTGAAGCATGCATAAGTATCAATAGCTGAATCGATAATGCAGAAGAAAGGATATCAGAGATTGAAGATCAGCTTAATGAAATAAAGCAAGAATACAAGATTAGAGAAAAAAGAATAAAGAGAAACAAACAAAGCCTCCAAGAAATATGGGACTATGAAAGGACCAAATCTTCGTTTGATTGGGGTACCTGAAAGTGATGGGGAGAATGGAACCAAGTAGGAAAACACTCTTCAGGATATCATCCAGGAGAATGTCCCCAACATAGCACGACAGGCCAACATTCAAATTCAGAAAATACAGAGAACACCACAAAGATGCTCCTCAAGAATAGCAACCCCAAGAGAGAGAATCGTCAGATTCACCAAGGTTGAAATGAAGAAAAAAATGTTGAGGGCAGCCACACAGAAATGTAGGGTTACCCACAAAGCAAAGCCCATCAGACTAACAGTGGATCTCTCTGCAGAAACCCTACAAGCCAGAAGACTGGGGGGCCAATATTCAACATTCTTAAAGATAGGAATTTTCAACCCAGAATTTCATATCCAGCCAAACTAAGCTTCATAAGCGAAGGTGAAATAAAATCCTTTACAGACAAGCAAATGCTGAGAGATTTTGTCACCACCAGGCCTGCCTTACAAGAGCTCCTAAAGGAAGCACTGAACATCAAAAGGAACAACTGGTAAACCAGCCACTGCAAAAACATACCAAATTGTAAAGACCATCGACACTATGAAGAAACTGCATCAACTAATGGGCAAAATAACCAGCTAGCATCATAATGACAGGATCAAATTCACACATAACAATATTAACCTTAAATGTAAACAGGCTAAATGCCCCAATTAAAAGACACAGACTGGCAAATTGAATAAAGATTCAAGATCCAACAAAGTGCTGTATTCAGGAGATCCATCTCACATGCAAAGACACATATAGGCTCAAAATAAATTGATGGAGGAATATTTACCAAGCAAATGGAAAGCAAAAGAAAGCAGGGGCTGCAATTCTATTCTCTGATAAAACAGATGTTCAGCCAACAAAGATCAAAAGAGACAAAGATGGGCATTACATAATGGTAAAAGGATCAATGCAACAAGAAGAGCTAACTATCGTAAATATATATGCGCCCAACACAGGAGCACCCAGAATCATAAAGCAAGTTCTTAAAGACCTACAAAGAAACTTAGATTCCCATACTGTAATAGTGGGAGACTTTAACACCCCACTGTCAATATTAGACAGATAAATGAGACAAAAAACTAACAAGGATGTTCAGGACTTGAACTCAAGCAGACCTAATAGACATCTACAGGGCTCTACCCCAAATCAACAGAATATACATTCTTCTCAGCATCACATCACACTTATTCTAAAATTAACCACATAATTGGAAGTAAAACAGTCCTCAGCAAAAGTAAAAAAACAGAAATAATAACAAACAGTCTCTCAGACCACAGTGCAATCAAATTAGAACTCAGGATTGAGAAACTCACGCAAAACCGTACAATTACATGGAAAATTAACAACCTGCTCCTGAATGACTACAGGGTAAATAATTAAATGAAGGCAGAAATAAAAAAGTTCTTTGAAACCAATGAGAACAAAGACAAAACATACCAGAATCTCTGGGACACAGACAAAGCAGCAGTGTCTACAAAATTTGTAGCACTAAATGCCCACAAGAGAAAGCAGGAAAGATCTAAAATTGACAACTTAAAATCACAATTAAAAGAACTAGAGAAGAACAATCAAATTCAAACCCTAGCAGAATACAAGAAATAACTAAGAACAGAGCAGAACTGAAGGAGATAGACACAAAAAACCCTTCAAAAAAATCAGTGAATCCAGGAGCTATTTTTTTTTTCAAAAAGATCAACAAAATAGATAGACTGCTAGCCAGTCTAAAAAGGAAGAAAGGAGAGAAGAATCAAATAGATGCAATCAAAAATAATAAAGGGGACACCGCCACTGATTCCACAGAAATACAAACTACCATGAGAGAATACTATAAACGTCTCTATGCAAATAAACTAGAAAATCTAGAAGAAATGAATAAATCCCAGGACACATACACCCTCCCAAGTCTAAATCAGGAAGAAGTCAAATCCCTGCATAGACCAATAACAAGTTCTGAAATTGAGGCGGTACTTATGGGCCTACCAACCAAAAATGTCCAGAATCTGATGGATTCACAGCCTTTGTACCAGAGGTACAAAGAAGAGCCGATTCTTTCTGAAACTATTCCCAACAATAGAAAAAGAGGGACTCTTCCATAACTCATTTTATGAGGCCAGCATCATCCTGATACCAAAGCCTGGCAGAGACACAACAAAAAAAGAAAATTTCAGGCCAATATCCCTGATGAACACTGATGCAAAACTCCTCAATAAAATACTGGTAAACCGAATCCAGCAGCACATCAAAAAGCTTATCCACCAAGATCAAGTTGGCTTCATCCCTGGAATGCAAGGTTTGTTCAACATACACAAATCAATAAATGTAATCTATCACATAAACAGAACCAAAGACAAAAACCACATGATTATCTCAATAGATGCAGGAAAGGCTTTTGACAAAATTCAACACCTTTCGTGCTAAAAACTCTCACTAAACTAGGTAGAGATGGAACATATCTCAAAATAATAAGATGTATTTATGACAAACCCACAGACAATATCATACTGAATGGGCAAAACTGTAAGCATTCCCTTTGAAAACTGGCACAAGACAAGGATGCCCTCTCTCACCACTCCTATTCAACATAGTATTGGAAGTTCTGGTGAGGGCAATCAGGCAAGAAAAAGAAATAAATGATATTCAAATAGGAAAAGAGGAAGTCAAATAGTCTCTATTTGCAGATGACATGTTTGTATATTTAGAAAACCCCATTGTCTCAGCCCAAAATCTACCTAAGCTGATAAGCAACTTCAGCAAAGTCTCAGGATAGAAAATCAATGTGAAAAAATCACAAGCATTCTTATACACCAATAATAGAGAGCCAAATCATGAGTGAACTCCCATTTACAATTGCTACAAAGAGAATAAAATACCTAGGAATACAACTTACAAGGGATGTGAAGGAACTCTTCAAGGAGAACTACAAACCACAGCTCAAGAAAATAAGAGAGGACACAAACAAATGGAAGAACATTCCACGCTCATGCATAGGAACAATCAATATCGTGAAAATGGCCATACTGCCCAAAGTAATTTACAGATTCAATGCCATTCCCATCAAGCTACCATTTACTTTCTTCACAGAATTAGAAAAAACTACTTTAAATTTCATATGGAACCAAAAAAAAAATCTCACATGGCCAAGGCAATCCTAAGCAAAAAGAACAAAGCTGGAGGCATCATGATACCTGACTTCAAATTATACTACAAGGCTACAGTAACCAAAACAGTATGGTACTGGTATCCAAACAGATATATAGACAACTGAAACAGAACAGAGCCCTCAGAAATAACCTCACACATCTACAACCATCTGATCTTTGACAAACCTGACAAAAACAAGAAATGGGGAAAGGATTCCCTATTTAATAAATGATGTTGAAAAAACTTGCTAGCCATATGCAGAAAAATGAAACTGGACCCCTTCCTTACACCTTATACAAAAATTAACTCAAATTGATTTAAAGATGTAAAAGATTTAAAGATGATGTAATACCCCAAACCATAAAAATCCTAGAAGAAAACCTAGAGAATACTACTCAGGACACAAGCATGGGCAAATACTTCATGACTAAAAGAGCAAAAGCAATGGCAATGAAAGCCAAAATTGACAAAAGGGACCTAATTTAACTAAAGAGCTTCTACACAGCAAAAGAAACTATCATCAGAGTGAACAGGCAACCTACAGAATGGGAGAAAAATTTTGCAATCTATCCATCTGACAAAGGGCTAATATCCAGGATCTACAAAGAACTTAAACAAATTTACAAGAAAAAAAACAAACAACCCCATCAAAAATTGGGCAAAGGATATGAACAGACACTTCTCAAAAGAAGACATTTATGCAGCGAACAGACACATGAAAAAAAGCACATCATTACTGGTCATTAGAGAAATGTAAGTCAAAACCAAAATGAGATACCATCTCACACCAGTTAGAATGGAGATCATTAAGAAGCCAGGAAACAACAGATGCTGCAAAGATGTGGAGAAGTAGAAAAGCTTTTACACTGCTGAGTGGAGTGTAAATTAGTTCAGCCATTGTGGAAGACAATGTGGCGATTCCTCAAGGATCTAGAACTAGAAATACCATTTGACCCAGTAATCCCATTACTGGGTATATAATCAAAAGTTTATAAATCATTCTACTATAAAGACACATGCACATGTATGTTTACTGCAGCACTATTCACAATAGCAAAGATTTGGAACCAAGCCAAATGCCCATCAGTAATATACTGGATAAAGAAAATGTGGTACATATACACCATGGAATACTATGCAGCCATAAAAAAAATGAATTCACATCCTTTGCAGGGACACGGATGAAGCTGGAAACCATCATTCTCAGCAAACTAACACAAGAACAGAAAACAAAACACAGCATCTTCTCAAATATACAGGAATTTAACAAAACACTCGAGCACGCTCTTATGCAAAGGTTGTAATAATACTGTAAAGATGTTCATCCTGCTCAATGTAATCTACACAGTTAATGAAATGTTCCTCAAATTTCTCACTGCATTTTTGAAAAAATAGAAACAGCAACCCTAAAAGTATATAGAATCTCAAAAGACAATACCCAACAATCTTAAAATAATAATAATAATAAAGCAATGTTGCAGGCATTAAAGTTCCTGATTTCAAAAGACATTCCAAGCTACAGAATTAAAACAATCTGGTTAAGTATAAGGATGAAAAATTAGACTAATAAAATAGAATGCAACATATATATATATATATATATATATATATATATATACATACACACTTTAAGATATATGGTCATATGAGGAGTCATTTACATAGCAATAATTATTACTGTAAACTAATAAAGGCAATGCAAATTTGTTACCAAATCATTCAGTAAATATAATTTGAAATATAAAAATACTGGAATATCACTCAGTTTTCAAAAGCAGAAATTATAAAGCAATTATAAAGATAAATCTTGATAACATTATGCAAAATGAAATGAGTCAGCCATAAAAAGACAAAGATTCTATGAGATAGATAGATATAAAGCAATTACACTCTTAGAAACAGATAAAAAGAAAAAGGTCCCCTATTTGCTTAACCCCCAACAGCAAGAAAGTCTGTCAGTCATCCACGACAAAAATGTCTTAATGAGAGAATCAGACATCATGGTTAACATCTGTAATGACAGCTACATGGTATAGAAAGGTTGGAGAATTGCTGCAGGCCAAAACTTTAAGACCAACCTGGGTTATGTAGTGAGACCTTATCTCAAAAATAAGTGCCTTTAAGAGAGCTTTGAGATCCAGTGAGGGAATTGTGAAACTTTGCTAAAGCCCAAGATTGAGGAGCACCCTTTTCAGAAGGCAAGCTTTCATTCAGGTGGCAAACTAGAGGACCCCTGCTCTTGACTACAGACCAGAAAATGTCCCACCCTACTTGGTCCCACAGAGAATTTTGAACTTACTCTGTAACCATCCCAAACTCCTCCCAGCCACAGTCTGTGAGAGGTCTTGGTCCTCCAGAGGCTTGGAGACTGATACCCATTTAGAGCCATGCTGGCAGGCCTGCAGACCTTGGTCCTTACTGTCGTCCCAATAGCAGTTCCATGACTCAGTTCCAGCTTCCTAAGCCACAGTTCATGGCCAGTTCTGCCTACATAGAATCCCACAGTGACCTCAGAAATCCTCTCTGGTACTCAATGAAAAGCCATACTAATCCACATCCTAATATAAAGCCCACCATATGCAGACTTGACTGTAGAAACCTGCCCTAGCGTCTACCCTACTGAGCAACGTCCTGAAGGATATTTACTCTGTCCAAAAATAAAATGGGAATTACAACTGCCCAAGCCCCTTGTAATAAGCCAACCCTAGTGCAGAGCCAGCAGCCTTGTGACCAAGCTACAACCCCACTCTACTACAAACCCAGAGGGCATTCTATCACCCTGGGGGCCCCAAAAAAGAAGATTTTTACCCTCTGAAACCAGTTTATAAAAATTTTAAGAGGTGTTTACTCCTTCAAATTCAGACACCAATGCAAAAGCATACTGTGCCACTGACAATGCTTCTATCTTAACACAGCACTTGAAGTATGTGGAAGAAAAATTAGTCAAAAAAATTTTTAAGTCACTGAAATTGAAGGCAAATAAGTAAAACATTGCTGTTTGTAGATCATGCAATGTTCTCTATAAAAAACCATAAACAGTACATTAAAATCTTTTCAAACTAATAAATACACTCAGCAAATTAGCAAAATATAAAATTAACATACAAGTATAAGTTATGATTCCATACACTTAAACTATCTGATAAAATAGAAAAAGAAAACCATCTTATTTACAATAGCACTAAAATAATAAATATCTGAGAACAAATTTAATTGAGGAGCTGAAAAACTTTTCAAGGATTTATCAATGAAAAATGAGAGAACACAAATAAATTTAAATATATTTTATGTCTATAGATTCAAATAAATGTTAAAATATCATATTACCCAAAGTGATCTCTAGATTCAGTAAACTCTGTCAATATTCCAGTGTTTTTCTTTCACAGTAATGAAAAATACAATCATAAAATTTACATGAAGCTACAAGAAACTGTGAATAGCCAAAGCAATCTTGAGGAAAAATAAAAAAGCAGAAGGATATTATACTTTATAATTTCAAACTATATTTCAAGACTATAGTAATAAAAACAGAATGAAATGTGCAGAAAAATGAACCAAAAAAACCCCAATGATACAGAAACCACTACTCTCACACACTTCAGAGATGATGGAAAAAGAGAACTTAAAAGATAGTTTAACATGGAGTACCTTAAAATTACGCGGATATCTATGTGTCCACAAAAACAAAAAAAAGTCAGATTGCACTCTCTTGTATGCCATGAACAGTACTTTGGCTATCACTGTAAACTTGAAGGAAAATTACTTAAGGGAAAGAAGAATTCTTAGAAATTTTAAAAGCATAAGTTAGAAGATGCCCCTGTGTGAGAGAAAATTAAAAAATAAAAATAAAAATTAGCTTTCCAGAAACAACTACTTTTGGAACACAGCTTCCCAAATGACTTTAAGGACTGGCTTCCTCATTGACTTTGGACTTCTCATTCATGTTGTCTGTATTCACTCTCACCTACCTGGGGGTTCTTCCACCATCTCATGTCTCTTCATATTCCAGGGCTCTTTTCCTTGCTCCAGAAAAATGATCAGGTCTGGCTTAAAGGCAGCAATACCTGTTTTATTAAAAATGAACAACATCCATCTTGCTCATATTCTCCAATTACCAACTTAGTAATGTGCTCAGTAAAGAGGATGTAATAGAATATTCTAATACATTTATCCCAAAATACTAAATTATAACATGTCTGTTGAAGAAAAACGTTATGTGCAGTTGCTTAAAGTTCTGTTGAAACAGTCTGGAGCTCAAGTTAATTCACAAACATTAAGCTTCTTCAGAAGGTTATTGCGCATAACCCATGGTTTCTGCAGGCAGGTACTCTCACTGTGGAAAACTGGAACAGAGTAGGAGATGGATTGAAATGGGTTCGTCAAAAAGGTCTTAAAGGAGACCCTTCTGTGTTTTCTGCTTGGGGTTTGGTTTGCACGGTCCTACTGCCGCTGTCTCCTTCTTATTTTGTCAGACAACAGGAGTCAGGTTTTGAGTCTCAAGAATTAAAAAGATAATTTCTTCCTCCAACAGCGCCTATTGAAAATAATGAGCAGGAGAAAGGGAAGAATTGTCCATTTGCTAAGCAGGAAAAAGGAGAGGAGAATTGGCCTCTGCTACCCCCTCCAATAACAGAAGTAGAAACTCCCATACAAAAAATTTTGCATGCTGATGCTGCGGCTAGGGAACCTTTAGGACCTTGTGCTTTTCCTATTACTGTGAGGCCTGATCCAAACAATCTGCAACATCTTTTACATGAGCACACTCCTGTACAGTTTAAATTACTGAAAGAATTAAAAGCTAGTGTGGTTAATAATGGAGTGCAAAGCCCATTCACTATAGGGCTGTTAGAATTGGTGTTCAGAGCCATGCACCTCCCACTCTTTGATATAAAACATTTGGGTTGCACTTGCTTATCCGCCAGTGCATACCTGATATGGAGCTTAAACTGGCAAGAAATGTGTGCAGATCAGGCTAGGTAGAATCACACTGCTGGTCAAGGAAACATTAGAGAGAAAATGATGACAGGCAATGGCCCATTTTCAGATCTGGTACAATAATTAACATTCCCAGATGCTGCTTACCACTGGTCTGCCTTAGCCGCCAAGCATGCTTGGAGCACAATTCCTGAAGAGGGAGTTCCAGTGCAGTCTTTCTACATGTCATGCAGGGATCATGAGAGCCTTATGCACAATATATCACATGGCTGCAAGAGGCAGTGTGGCATCAGATCCCTAATGCCCCTGCTGCAGAAATGCTTACCATAATTCTAACCTATGAAAATGTAAATGCAGATTGCAAGTGTGCAATGGCTCCTGTGAGATCCACACAAAGCTTGGGGAATTACCTTAAAGCTTGTCAGAATGCAGGAACTGAATTTCATTGTTCTACAATGTTAGCACAAGCAATGGCTAGTTTAGTAGTTGACAGATCTAAAAGGAGCCAAGGTTCAAACCCTAAAGTGGGAAAATGTTACAACTGTGGAAAAACTGGACATTTCAAAAAGGAATGCCACCAGATCTCAGGACAGAAAGGACCTTACAATGCGGTGCTCCCCACCCCGAGCAGAAAAAACACCAGGATTCTGTCCTCGCTGTAACAAAGGGAATCACTGGGCTGTAACAATGGACATCATTGGGCGAATCAGTGCCGCTCAAAATTTCATCATAATAACACCCCCGCTAGGAAACAAGAAGGGGCCCTGGACCCAGTCCCCTCAAACAATGACGGCATTCCCAGTTCAGGCCACAACCCCACTTCAAGGGTTGGTCCCAGGAGAAACATTGATTCCCTCTCCCCAGGAACACCAGGAAGTGCACGATTAGATCTCCCAGTCAGAGAAAGAATTACATTAGTTATAGGAGACAAACCTACCAAAGTACCCACTGTCATTTGGGGACCTATACCAGCAGGATACATGGGACTAATTTTAGGCAAAAGCTGCCTTAACTTGCAAGGCATCACTGTAATCCCAGGAGTAGTTGACTCCAATTATAAAGGAGAAATCCAAGTAGTTTTAATGTCACAAGATCTTTGGGTTTTTGAACCAGGGGAATATATAGTGCAATTATTGCTTATGCCCTGCAAATTACACCCTTTTCCACAAAAGGAGAAATGAGGAAATAAAGGGTTTGGGAGCACAACTACATGAGAAATCTATCCATCACAACTCATAGCCTCTAACAGACTCACCTGTGTAGTACAAACTAAAGGAAAGAAATTTTATGGGCTTATGGAAACAGGAGCCGATGTGTCAGTAATACCCAGTAAGGATTAGCCCCCGTCTTGGCACATTTTGGGTCGCATCCCTGGGCTATGGATTTCTAATAATCTGTCCAAGCCTTGGGCTGCCACCCCTGCTTTGCACTTTGTGAAACTTCTTCTAACTCAACTTACTTATCGTGTCCGCAGACCCTTAGGCATGATAATTTTTGCTATTGTTTCCTTGGTCACACTAATAACTTCTATTGTGATGTCCTCTGTAGCTTTGCATAGTTCTATTCAACAGCTCAGTATGTGGAGAACTGGATGCAGAGGCATACAGCCAACCAAGCATGGCTACTAAAGAATAAAATTAACACTGAGTTATAAACAAGTGGCAATGTTGAAATCCATGGTTCTATGGTTAGGAGAACAATTACAAAACTTACAATTGAAAGAGCAATTGTGCTATCATTTAAATCACACTCATATATGTGTAACCAACGTAGAATATAACCAAAGCGAGTATCCATGGGACCTTGTGAAAGCCCATTTGCGGGGAGCTTTCACACCCAACATCACCTTTGATACTGGTGAATTACAAAACAAAATTCTTGATTTAAATAAGCAAACTCAAGAGTTTCAGCCTTCTTTAGAAGACTGGACCGAATTCCAGCAAGGCCTGGAGAGCCTCAATCCTTGGACCTATCTAAAGCACCACACAAACATCTCATATGTAGTTTTTGGAGTAATGCTGTTCTGTCTCTGTTTTCTGTTCATAGTCTGTAAAATCCGACGGACCAATCACAAAATGAGAGCTGCCCAACCTGGCCTTACGTTTATTTGATTAATGCATAAACAGGAAGGGGGAAATGTTGGGAGCTGAATGCCTGAGTGTTGTGACCAACTCAGCATTCCACTGGAGGCTATATGATCAAACAGCAAACTGTTTATCATGAGTGCAGAATGTGGGCAAACTTGCTTCTGCTCCTGCCACCAGAAGGTATACTGAGGACAGTCACTCCCTGGTGCCATGCTCCTTGGAGTTATCTACTGGAACATCTGGAGAGTACTGTTCAAAGAATACAGTCATGCAGGCCTGCATTAAGTCAAGCAGCTGACCACAACCTCCCCCTTCTCCCTATCTCCTTTACTCAATAAATACAAAGGGCTATAGAAGCTCAGGACCCTTGTTCACCAGAAGCAAGGAGTCCACGACCCCTTCTTCCAAATATACTCTTTTGTCTTTGTCTGTATTCTCGCATTCATCCTCCTTTGTTCAGTCCAATAAGGTCTGCAGCAAAATGAAACCTGTAGTATATACTAGGAATTGCGTATTAAAGTTATTCTCACCCAGGAAGACCAGGTTTCTGTAGTTCTCTAACATCACATTCCTATATAAATTCTGCTGTGTAGAATCCAGGCATTGCCACTCCTCCAGAGAGAATTCTATGGCCACATCCCTAAATGTCAATGCTCCCTGGAAAACACACACAAACACATATATTTACCAATTGGTCATGGGCAGAACTTTTAATGTGACTCAAGGTAAAATGGAGAGAGTAGAGAGAGCTGGTTCTGACTTATATGAATGACTGAAATTATTCAATAAAATAGTTTTCAACACAGAAATGTTCACTAATGTATTCTCTAACTCTGAGAAAAGAAAGTGGTATAAGATCCATAACATCTGTGTATATGTAATATTTTTCTAGATAATAAAGTATAAAATTGAGGGCAAAAACACTAACATGTACAATTTTGAGTGCTATATTTACATCATACAGAATTGTGTGCCAGGCATGGTGGCTCATGCCTGTAATCCCAGCACTTTGGGAGGCTGAGGTGGGCAGATCACCTGAGGTTGGGAGTTCGAGACCAGCCTGACCAACATGGTGAAACCCCGTCTCTACTAAAAACACAAAATTAGCCATGCATGGTGGCACATGGCTGTAATCCTAGCTACTCGGGAGGCTGAGGCAGGAGAATTGCTTGAACCCAGGAGGCGGAGGCTGCAGTGAGCCAAGATTCATTGCACTCTAGCTTGGGCAACAAGAGTGAAACTCCATCTCAAAAAAAAAAAAAAAAATTCATCGTGTGTATTTTTCAGATGGAAAAGACATAGTTTTGCATATTATTCAGATGGAATAGACATGTTGAGTTAGAAGGTATGACTCAAATTTTAATGTGTGCAATAAGCTAGAGATCCTGTTAATGCAATTTTTTTTTTTTCAGATCTGGGATAAAGTCTGAGTTGCTGAATTTCTAATAAGCTCATCAGTATGCCAATGTTTTTGGCCCAAAAAGACTATTTTTTAAAACATCCAGTAATAGAATGAGCCTGTGTTTTTCTGTTTTTCTGGTTTGTAAACAAAGATAAGAGCCTTCATTTTCCAAAAACAGACAAATGCAAAGGAAACCTAAGAAAGAAGGGCAGCTGTCAGATTAAATGTTTTGGTTTATTCACATCAGCTGCATAAAGATATTTAATGATGAAGAGGAAAATGATTAATTCCATAGTAAAAAAATGTGTCAGAGAGCTTATCAACCAAGTGATTTATTAACATCAATTACACTAGAACACATTTTTTTAATGTCCTGATGTACCCAGAAGGACACAGTATTACTGCTGAGATATTGCCCCCCCTCTGAAAGGTAAATTATAGTCTGAATTTAACCATAAGGAAACATTAGTTTTATGGAAAGTTCAAGATAGAGATATCTCCCATGTTCTGTAACTTTTAGTAGTGATTTTAAATAGTATTTCTTCAGCACTGAGAGAGCAGGTATCTCCTAACAATTTTTTTTAGAATTTTCTGGGTAATAAATACCACACTGCTTCAATGAGTGTTTTCTTAATCTTGTACTGCATAGACATAATAAAGAACACAGATGAAACCACAACATTACATGTTCTCTGTCTTCACTAAAAACCCCAGGTTTTCCCCAATATGAATTTTGAGTATCTACACTTTCCCATGTTCAACAGCCACAAAGGGACATTTTTAATATTGCAGATTATAAATTCATAGTGAGATTTCTGCATGGCATATAAGAAGCCATAATATAGAGAAAGCTCTGGTATATAGAAAAAAATATATTTTTCAGAGACTTTGATTATTGTAAGAATTTTTTAAAGCAGTTAAGACAAACTCATTAGGGAGGAAAAACACAGGTACACAGAAGTACAGGTTTGCAAGTACTAAACGTATGTTTCCTGGAGGAAGAATAGTGGACACAGATCTTGATCTCAGACATGTTTAGGTGAAAAAGAAAAGGCCATTTTTTTCTCTTTCTCCTCCTTCCCTAGGATTCTTTCTCAGATAAAATTTTCTAGACAAATTACACCTGCATCTTGAGAATATGCCTTTAAAAGTGTCAGCACCACAGGTCTACCTGCTGTCACCACATCCACAGGCAGAAGAACCAAGACAGAAAAACTCCATCCATTTCTGTCCTTTATAGCAGAAGAGATGAAGAAACAATGAGTAGCTCCACAGAGATAAAAATATGCTTTTCTTTATTTTGTCCTCAGGAGCCATCCCCTGACACAGGCACCAGCAATTTCTGCCACAGTAATGTAAATATGGGCCACGGTGTACTGTCCCTACCAAATCCAAACAGAACAGGTTCTTGGACCACCCTTTAATGCAAAGATGGAACTTAACTCTCATGAATGTATTATGAATTCCTCATACTTGATTCTGGCCTCACCTTAGAGTCACATGAGCCACTTAATTAAAACAACATGAATGCTTCCACCAAGAACAATAAACAGAATCCATGGAAAGGGCACAAGTAAAGAGAGTTCTGCAAAATGGCCAGGTGATACTAATTAGAAGCCTGGGCTGATAACCCCTTAACTAAGCATTTCCTCTCAAGCTCTAAGGAGCTTATAAATGACTTGGTAATTTTGGCCCCACTCTATGAAATGTAATTCTGCAGGTATGGAAAGGGTCCATAAATGGGTCACTTAAACAAGTGCGCTGTCAATAATGATGTTGCTCCCACTGGGCTTATTATTAGCATTAATTAGAGAAATGAGGCAGAACACAGATACTTCTGGTACAAATGAAAACAATCATTCTTCATCCTAAAGTATTATATTATTTGCTGACTCTTTAAAATTTACAGAGAAAACAGAAAGCAGCAATTTCTGAGTAAGTCAGCATTTGGAAAACAACGTGTGCACATGTACTAATGCAATGTTTATTAAGCAGGTACTATGTGCTCAATAGGATGTTAGAGTACTGTGATAGCACATTATGTGATTTAATCCTAATAACACCCTTTCAGTTGATACTAAGTGTTCAATAATTCCAAGGCTTTAAAGGACCCAGCATTTTTATTTCTATTTGTTTATCTGTCATTGATTTTTCAAAAAATGCATAGAATAAAAGCTAACTATAGACAGATGAAAGGGATACAGATGGAAAGAGCTTAATAAAATTTAGATAAATTTTTATTGTGTTTATATTTACTTTCTTGTGACTTGTGAATCAACTGCAAAGAATAGAAAACAGAACAGAAAACAGAAATCAGCTGCAGGAACAGAAAACAAGTTGCTAAATAATGTCTCTGCAAGCACTGGTTTTAATTAAAAATTTGTAAAGTAAGATTCTATAATACATACTTTATATTTCCCATTTATCTGCTTTTAAGTCTCAGAAAATGTTGAACACCAGCTCTAAAAAGGCAACAGTATTCATGACCCAAAACTCTGATCTCTTCTAATCAGTTCTTTGAGGCAAGACTCCAGGGTAGGGCCAGACATAAATAAGGCCTCCAAAAAGGGTGAATATGAACAGGGCTGGGGCAGAGTGTAGAGCCAATGTACAATTCTGTTCTCTATGGCACTGGGGGGTATTGTAAGTTCTTTTTTTTTAAATCTTACTTAAGTAAACTTAAATCTGAGTTTGTATAATTTTAATCTTTTTTAGCCACTGCCCTGTAAATTTTATATTACATACTAATAAGAAATTTAAAAAAAAATCCCTTAAGGTTTTCTATAATAATTTTTTTAGAAGAAAAATAAGTATTCTTAGCAGGGTAAAAGAACTACAAATAATAATAACAACTCTTCCAATTATAAGTTCAGGTGTAGACATCAGAAACCACAATATAAAGAAAGTGGCTCAAATAAAGCCCAAGTTGTTTTTTGCACATCTATTTATTGTACCCACCATATGATGCATAATTCAACCATTTTTCCAGTTGTTAGTTTAGACTAAAACTTCCAGGATGGTAGGAATCATGACTGCTTCATCAATTTTTTTTTTTTTTTTTTTTTGAGACTGAGTCTCACTTTGTTGCGGAGGCTGGAGTGCAATGGTGTGATCTCGGCTCACTGTAGTCTCCACCTAACAGGTTAAAGAGATTCTCCTGCCTCAGCCTCCCAAGTAGCCAGGACTACAGGCATGAGCCACCACACCTGGCTAAAATATGTTGGTTTATTCAACACATTATTCAATATTATTCAATATGGTGAAATCCCTATTTCACCATGTTGGCCAAGCTGGTCTCGAACTCCTGACCTCAGGTGATCCACCATCTTGGCTTCCCAAAGTACTGGGATTACAGGTATGAGACACTGCACCCAGCCTGCTTCTTCTATTTTTTTTTATGACTATATGAAATTGAAGCAATTAGTTTATCTCTTTGAGCCTCCAGACCTCCTGATTTTTTACTCAAGTACCAGGGATCTGTTCTGGACATTCTCAAATGTCTCAGAGATTCGTAGGTGATTGTGAGAGGGTTCCCAGTGAACCTGGGCTGATGGTCCAATGATAAGACAGACAGAGAAGACTCAGGATGATTCTAAATAAAAAATGGAACTACTTTGGCTGAACTCCAGAATCTGGGTTGCCTGTCCTGATTTGCTAGCTGTTGGGTAAGTAGAAGGACAAGAATACTCTACTCCAGTATCACATTTTACAAGTAGGTATAGTTGTGGTGTGGCTCTGGATACTTTGTGGCCTTAAGATGATTGTTTACACTTACAGATTCTGCCATCAGATTCTATTTACTCCTGGAGCCTCTCACATAACTGGGGCAGGTTAATGAAGATGTGAAAGGTCAAAAGGCCACACTCTCAAAAAAGGAAATTAAAATGTCTATGTTGATATCTCACAATGCAGAAAATGCCTCCTGTTGGTTTTCTGTAAATTCTCAATCCAAAGTCTGGCTTTGCCTTGTAAATTCCAGGCAGAGGCCAGGTCTTATTTACAAATTCTAGGTGAAATCAACCTCACTCTGCATTTTTGGGTGTTACAGCAAGTAAAGTGAAATGAAAGGAGAGATCCCCTCTTAGAGGCTGCTCTAGAACATTCTAAATAATATTTTACCTGAAAAAAGCTGACACAACATGAACATAAGCAGACAGTTTATTTGGGTCAAGCTTAAGGATTTTAACTTGAGACAAAATATTCAAGTTGCCTGGAATCTACACTTTCATTAGCAGCACTTACAAGTGGATTTGTAAAGGCAAAAAAAAAAAAAAAAAAAAAAAAAAAGAGGTACAGTGAATGAGCTGATACGAAATTGGTTGTGAGAAATTTTACTTATGTAAAGAAATAACTTTAATAATTGATTGCATATACATCAAGGTTAAGGGTATGGAATTTAGTGTCCAGAGTGGAATTATTGGTCTAATTTAAAGCTACTTGTGGCAATAGTGAACAGTTTCAAGAGATAAATACATAGCTGAAGAAAAGGGAGAAAAACATAACTGTGCTCATTTTAATGGCTCTCTGACTTTGATAACTAAAAGGACTTGCATTCCTCAGATAAAAACTTTTTTTTTTCTTTTCAATTCTCAAGACCTAGATTTAGAATTTGGAGCTGCAAATTCAGGTCCTGCATGGGTAAAGTAGCAGCAGGTGGTATCTGAATATTTGTGGGCATTATAGCATGAGGAGGGAGGGAGAACTGGATTCTCACGTCTACAGGTCTACTCAATGCACATATTTTACTCTGATTGGGTTTCTGTGCCCCATGGTCACTGAATCAGTTTCAGGTCTGAAGACACAAGTCATTGAAAGAGGTAAAACGGTTAATATCTGACCTATAAAGTTTGTAGAAATCTGTTCTAGCCTCTCTAAAAGTGACTGCAGAGGATGATAGATACCAAGTAGGCAGAGACACAATTCCACCTGCATATTTAGGGTACAGCATGCACTTCGCAGCACAATTGTGAATGGACTGGAAGCCTGAGTGGAAAAGGCCCATCTATAGTAAAGCTTAGTTGGTACCCTATGTGTTTATATTATGTCTGGTAATTCTAGACAAGGTTTGGAAAATACAGTTAGAAGCAAAATTTTCTTCAGCCCCAGAGGAATTAAATAATAACAGAACAGAAAGAAAACTGTTTTATTACACAATTACATGTGAATGTGACATGCATTACAGTCAATTTGCTCAAGAGATTGCAAAGACAGAAAGACAGTCACCATAATTCATCTACAAGTAGAATTTACAGCACCATGTCATACATAGTTCATCCTGAATTCATCTGGTAGCTGGGAAGGCCATCCCTGTATGCTAACTGGTTATAATCAATGACAAAGTAAAGCTTTCACATCTTCATGACTAGAGGTAGTTTTGCAACTTGAACCCCAGGGCCTGCTGAAGGTAGGCTTTGACTCTTCTACAAAAAGTGTTGATTCGGGTGCTATCTTTTTGGCTATTTACATTTTAAAGCAATAGCTCTCTACTCTCTGAGCACTGGGCTAGAACACTCCTGCTTTCCCTCTCTTGGTGGCTAGTGTACTCTCTTGACCCCACCATCTGCCACTGAGGCACAGCCCACAGCACAGGGCTCACAGCTGGAAACTCACATCTTAGGTGAACCCCATTTGCCACAGCAGCACTCCAGTGCCACATCAGACAGTGAAGCCTGAGCAGCAGGAGGAGAGCCTGCAGGCCTCCTGGGTAGAATTGCACCTTCACAATAATAGAAAAGGGAGCACTGTTTCAGCCTCAGTTTTTATTTATAATGGCGGCATGAAAAAAATACTGCTGGATTTTAGCATGAGTCCAGATAGAGATAGCTCTGAGAGTTCTCACTGTGACAGCCCACGTCTTTCACAGACACCACGGAATACTAATAGGGCTTCTGAAACAGATACACAATGCATTAGAGAGAAAAACAGCTCTTATTCTGAGAAAGATTATATTGAGAGAAAAAAGTTAAAAGTGTCTTAAGAAAAAACTGAGATTAGATATAAGATTGATCAAGTCAGCCAGAAAATATTTCCCTAAGAAGAATTTCTCTCCAAACACCCAAAGTGCATAGCTACTCTCAGCAAGAGAAACATGAGCATTATTGAATAAAGGGGGTATATTCTCAGCACAATTTTTTTTTTTTGAGATGGAGTTTCATTCTTGTTGCCCAGGCTGGAGTGCAATGGCATGATCTTGGCTCACTGCAACCTCTGCCTCCTGGGCTCAAGCGATTCTCCTGTCTCAGCCTCCCAAATAGCTGGGACTATAGACACACACCACCACACCTGGCTAATTCTGTATTTTTGGTAGAAACGAGGTTTCACCATGTTGTCCAGGCTGGTCTCAAACTCCTGACCTCAGGTGATCCACCCACCTTGGCCTCCCAAAGTGTTGAGATTACAGGCATGAGCCACAGCGCCTAGCTCTCAGCAGAATTTTAAAAGATTTATCTTCCATCTCTGCTGCTCTCTTATTTCCTAACCATTGAATGTGAGATCTACACTGGAATATATCTGACAACTTCCACCAGCACTTTTTTATAAAAAATTGAAATCTGACTGTGTTAATATAGTAGAATATATTAGAGCTTGCAACATACCTAACTGGAGAGCTATTACAGTTTTTGAGTAGCCATATCACCTGTCTTTATTTATCCTGTAATAGCAGCATACTAATTTGGTAAAATATATGACACTAAAATTATGCCTACCTATAATT
Source organism: Homo sapiens (assembly GCF_000001405.40). Taxonomy (NCBI): domain Eukaryota; kingdom Metazoa; phylum Chordata; class Mammalia; order Primates; family Hominidae; genus Homo; species Homo sapiens. The sequence goes on from NC_000019.10 coordinate 22,204,187, forward strand.
TTTCCTATTGGGTAAATTAATAAGCATGTCAGACTAACATCTACTGTAACAATTTAATGGTAAAATTTTTGGGATAGCAGATATGAATATATAAGTATGAATAATTTTATGTACTAGTCATAATGTATGTAAGATTTTTTAAAATTATCTGAACTATAATTCAGTTGAAACACTATATTTCAAAAGTATGAATAACAATATTAAAATAAGGAATTCAATCAAAGTAAATATTGTGGCCTTAAATTTATACTATTCTAGAAAATACTGTTTAATTTACATGAATGCAGGTTGTCTACAAACACTACACATAACTATACTAACTGTACTGAAGCAACCCAAGTACAACAGACTCCACTGTTCAGTTTATACACTGAACTCTTCTGGCTTTCGCAGTGTAAGTATTTCAGCCTGCAAATAATCACCTTGGATAATCGGGTTTCTGCCAAAGAACTTACTCAGGATCTTTTAGTCTTTATTATTCTGTATTGCTAAATTAATCCGATCTTTGTGCTTAACTTTATTAGGCTCTTGAAATAAATTTTACTCTCAACAAATCTGTGTCTACTTTAAAGACTAAAGATAAAAATATATATAATCTTTTGCCAAGAAAAAAGGAAAGCAATGAATCTCAGGTCCCAGATAAAGACAATTCTGAGTCAAAAGAATGACAAAAGGTTTGTTTCATTTCTAATATGATTTACATATATTTCAAAAAGCAGAAGAAATATATACATATAATCTAAACCTTTTTTTAAAAATCAGCAAGTTATCCACCCTTATTTTCACATATGAGAATAAAGCCTCTTATTTCTCATTTATATTTTCTCTTACAAAAGCCAGGTCTCTGGACAAGTTCTTGAACTCTTGGACATCTGAATTTTGCACACTGTGTGCACTTAAAAGAATGTTTATGGGGGGAAAAGCAGAAGAGAGAAAATTGTTATAAAAAAAAACCATGGGTTCACATGAATAAAGCAAATTATTAGAGACCTATGAAGAGACTTAGAATCTGACAGTAATAATCGGGGACTACATCTCACAGGCACTAATGGAGAGATCATTGAAGAAAATCAACAACAATATTAGGACCTGAACTCAACACCTGACCAAATAAATAGTCCTAATAGACATCTACAGAACTCTTCATCTAAAAAATACCATAACATACATTCTTCTCATCACCACATGGCACATACTCTAAAATTGACCACACAATCAGAAAAAAAACAATTCTCAGCAAATTCAAAAATCCCAAAACGATACAAGGCACACACACAGTTTACAGCTTAAGAGAAACACAATTCAATACCAATAAAACAACTGGAAACTATACAATTAAATAAAAATTAAATGGCCTACACTTGAATAACTTTTTTGGTAAATAATGAAATTAAGGCAGAAACCAAGAAGTGTTTTGAAACAAATAAGAACAAAAATACAACACACCAGAATCTCTGCAATACAGCTAAGGCAGTGTTAAAAGAAAAATTTATATCATTAAATCCTCAGATCAAAAAGTTAGAAAGATCTCAGTTTAACAACCTGACATCATAAATAAAAGACTGAGAGCAACAAAAGCAAATCAGCCCCTAAGCTAGCAAAAGACAAGAAATAACCAAAATCAGATCTGAACTGAAGGAGATTTAGACATGAAAAACTACAAAATATCAAGAAATCCAGGCATTAAATCTATTTAAAAAAAGTAAATAAACTATGAGCTAGATTAATGAAGATACAAATAAACACAATTAGAAATGACAAAAAGAGACATTACCACTGACCCCACAAAAATATACTGAAGTCTGCTATGCACATAAAAAAAAAACTAGAATAAAAAAATTATTGAACAAATACATCCTCCCAAAACTCAACACACACACACACACACACACACACACACACACAAAATCAAAGCCCTAAATAGATAGATAAGCTCAAAAAACTGAATTAGTAATAAGTAGCCTACCAACTAAATGAAGCTCAGGACCAAACATACTCACAGCTGAATTCTACCAGATGTACAAATAGAAGCTGATATTATTTCTACCAGAACAATTTCAAAAGATTAAAAAGAAGAAACTCCTCCCCAACTCATTATGTAAGAACAGCAATCATTCTGATACCAAAACCTAACAGAGATAAAACAGAAAAAGGCAACTTCAGGCCAATATCCTTGAAAATTGATGCAAAAATCTTCAACAAACAGCTGGGCCCGGTGGCTCATGCCTGTAATCGCAGCACTTTGGGAGGCCAAGGTGGGTTGATTCCCTGAGGTCAGGAGTTCAAGACCAGCCTGGCCAACATGATGAAACCCCGTCTCTTCTCAAAACAGGAAAAAATTAGCTGGGCATGGTAGCACACACCTGTAATCCCAGCTACTTGAGAGGCTGAGGCAGGAGAATCACTTGAACCTGGGAGTCAGAGGTTGCAGTGAACCAAGATTGCACCACTGCACTCCAGCCTGGATGACACAGTGAGACTCCATCTCAAAAAAAAAAAAGAAATCTTCAACAAACTACTAGCAAACCAAATCCAGCAGCATATCAAAAACCTAACCCACTATGATCAACTATGGTTTATTTTGGGGATTCAAGGTTTGTTCAACATACACGAATCAATAAATGTGATTCATCACATAAACAGAATTAAAGACAGAAATCACAAGATTATCTCAATAGATGCACAAAAAGCCTTCAATAAAATTTAACATTTTTCATGTTAAAAACCCTCAACAAACTAGGCACTGATGGTATACATGTCAAAATAGTAAGTTATCTATGACAAATCCACAGCCAAAATACTGAATGGACAAAACCTGGAAGCATTCCTTCTTGAAAACTGGCACAAGACAAGGATGCCTTCTCTCAACACTCCTATATTCAACATAAAATTGGCAGTCTTAGCCAGAGCAATCAGGCAAAAGATAAAAATAAAAGGCATCCAAACAAAAAGAGAGGAAGTCAAACTATCCCTATTTGCAAACAACATGATTCTACATCTGGAAACCCATATACTCTCAGCAGAAAAGCTCTTTAAACTGACAAACAACTTCAGTAAAGTCTCAGGATACAAAAGAAATGTACAAAAATTAGTAGCAACCCTATATATCAAGAACACCTAGGCCAAATCCGAATCGAAAACACAATCCCATTCACAACTGCCACAGAAAAGAATAACATATCTAGAAATACAGATAACCAGAAAGGTAAAAGATCTCTATGACAAGAATTACAAAACAATGCTTAAAGAAGCCAGAGATGACACAAACAAATGGAAAACCACTTTATGCTCATGAATAAAAAAGATCACTATCATAAAAATGGCCATACTGCTTAAATAAATCTACAGATGTAATGCTAATTCAATCAAACCACCAAAATATTTTTTAACAGAACTAAAAAAACAACTATTTTAAAATTCACATGGAACCAAAAAAGAGCCTGAATAGCCAAGGCAATCATAAGCAAAAACAAGAAAGCTGGAGGCATTACATTACCTGACTTCAAACTACACAACAGTGCTACAGTAAACAAAGCAACATGGTACTGGTACAAAAACAAACTCATAGGCCAATGCAACAGAATAGGGAGCCCAGAAATAATGCCACACACCTAAAACCATCTGATCTTCAACAAAGGTGACAACAGGAATGTGGGAAGAATTTCCTATTTAATAAATGGTGCCAGAATAACTAGCTAGCACTATGTAGCAGACTGAAACTGGACCCTTTTATAACACCATATAAAAAAATCAACTCAAGGTAAATGAAAGACTTAAATGTTAATCTTAAAAATTATAAAAAAAAAAAAAACAAAAAACCCTGGAAGATAAGAAGTGCCATTCTAGACATAGAAACTGTCAAAGATTTCATGATGAAGATATCAAAAGCAATTGCAAAAGTTGACAAATGGGACCTAAATAAACTAATGATCTTTTTTCACAGCAAAGGAAACTAGCAACACAGTAAAGAGACACCCTACAAAATAATAGGAAATATTTGCAAACTATGCTTCTGACAAAGGTTTACTATCCAGAATCCGTAAGAACTAAAACAAGTTTACAAGAAAAAAAAAAACTAACTTAAAAGAAGACCAAAAAAAAAACATGAAAAAGATGTTTGTCTTCAAAAGGAGACAAACATGTGGCTAACAAGCATATAAAAAAATGCTCATCACTAATCGTTAGAGAAATGCAAAAGAAAACCACAACAAGAAATCATCTCAAACCAGTGAGAATGGCAATTATTATAATTCAACCATTGTGAAAAGCAGTGTAGTGATTCCTCACTAAACTAAAAATAAAATTACCATTTGACCCAGTAACCTCACAACGGGGTTTATACCTAAAAATATATAAATTATTCTATCATAAAGACACATGCACAATCACATTCGTTGCAGTACTATTCACAATAGCAAAGACATGGAATCAACCTAAATGCCTATCAATGGTAGACTGGATACAGAAAATACGGTATGGTTGGGCATGATGGCACATGTCTGTAATCCAGCACTTTGGGGGCTGAGCCAGGTGGATTGCCTGAGCTCAGGAGTTTGAGACCGGCATGGACAACATGGCAAAATCCCATCTATTAAAAAGAAAAATTAGCTAGGCATGGTGGCACAAGCCTTCAGTCTTAGCTACTTGAGAAGCTTAGATAGAAGAGGATTGTTTGAGCCTGAGTGGGTGAGTTTCAGCGAGCCAAGATCACACCACTGCACTGCAGCCTGGGAAAGAAAGTGAGACCCTGTCTCCAAAAATAACAAAAAATAAAAAACCTAATAAAAACAAAATATGGGCCGGGTGCAGTGGCTCACACCTGTAATCCCAGCACTTTGGGAGGCCAAGGCGGCAGATCACCTGAAGTCAGGAGTTCAAGACCAGCCTGGCCAACATGGCAAAACCCCATCTATACTAAAAATACAAAAATTAGCTGAGTGTGGTGGCACACGCCTGTAATCCCAGCTACTTGGGAGGCTGTGGCAGAACTGCTTGAACCCGGGAGGTGGAGGTTGCAGTGAACTGAGATCATGCCACTGCACTCCAGCCTGTGTGATACAGTGAGATTCCATATCAAAACAAACAAACAAACAAATATGGTACATAAACATCATGACATCATGAAATACTGTGTGGCCATTAAAAAAAAAAAAAAGAGTATGTCCTTTGCAGCAACATGGATGAAGCTGGAGATCACTATTCTTAGAAAACTGATACAGAAACAGAAAACCAAATGCATGTTATTATTTATAAGTAAGAGATAAATAAGAACACATGAACACAGAGGGGAAAAAAGACACTGAGGCCTAGTTGAGGGTGGGAGGACTAAAAGGGTCAGAAAAAGTACATTTTTGGTGCTATGATTAGTACTGCAGTGACAAAATAATCTCCACACCAAACTCCCATGACACAATTTTAGCTGTATAACAAAGCTGCACATGTACCCCTGAACCACCCAAAAATAAAAGTTAAAAGAAAAAAATCCCTCGATTGGAGAGAGTGCAATGCAGGTGGAAGGACTGGTTTGTGCTATAGATAGTGGCCCAGGTGGGGCTGTACTCTGATTCATTTCTGGGTCCATGCAGCCAGATAAGATTATGAATCCTAGGCTGGTGGAGAAAACAGGATGCTACTGCAGATTCCGTGTCTGAAAATAGGGATATGCCAGGAGACTTGTAGACACTTTTGTAGGTTTTTGGCCAAAAAAACCACTAGGATCAAAAATGCTGTGGTAAAATTCCTGAGGGTGGTGCCTTGTCCAGAGAGGGGTGTGGACACATCAATGTCTAGTGGGTGTTTGTGAGTGGGTGGAAATCCTCTGCTGGCAGCTGTGGCAAAAGGGGGTTTGTCATCAGATCTCCTTTAAGTTTTCAGTCTTCTGTCACCCTGGGAGGAGACCTGGAATCAAAGAACAAGGGGCAGTGTGACAGCCTGTGTAGAGGAGAGCAGAGCTTCCCATTCCCAGACACCCGGAGTTTCATTCTAGGCCAGGAGTCTGTGATATCTTTCTTCTGGCACCAAATCTGCAGAGTTTGATGAACACCAACAATTCTCCAACAGCAACTCATTGTCTAACACTTGAATTCTGACACCACCCAGAGTCAGCACAGACCCTGATTCAGGGCTCAGTCCCACAACATTGTCCTCACTGCAGATGCCAGTCACAAACCCCATGGGCTCATCTATGCTTCTGACCTACTGTTTAAAAAGTGGGGACTCCCATAACCTTTTTGAAATTCAGTAATCTGATACAGCTACTCACAGAACTCAGCAGAACACTGTAGTTATATTCACTGGATTCAAATAAAATATACAACCCCCAAAAAGTCAAATGGAAGAAAAGTATAGAACCAAGAAAAAAGGTGGGAAAAGATGAAGCATATAGATAACAAACAGCTAGGATTAATAAAATTCTCTATCCTCTGTGTTCTCCAGGAACACTTATGAAAAGAAACACCCTTCCCATTGTGACTTAGATGGTGCTCTCTTTTCTTACCTACTACACAGCCAGGAAAACACTCTGCATATTTTCTTTTCTCGTTAAAAAAATCAGCTGTATTTGTCTTCAGTGGTCAACATAAAATACTTCTTAATCAAACTTCACTTATTTTCTTCCCACAGGCTCCTGAACTCTGAGCTACTCTCAGTCCGAGCCACCATACAACCTCATTTTATGCTACTGCAGATTCAGTGTCTGAAGAACACTCCTAAGAACACACTGACTTCAGGGTAAAACATTCTCTGATCTAAAATCTGATTATTTCACCCTTCATTTAAATATTCCCCTCACCTTCTTTCTAATCTTATTTGTTTTCTCTAGGAAAAAAAGGCCTTTTCTACCTAATCTTTATAATCCTTAAAGATCTTATAGTTGGTACTTCCTCCTGTTGCAATACTCCTTTGGAATTCTTTTTTTTTTTTTAATGTACATCTAGCTGGTTATTTTAAAACCTCTCAAAACTGCCTCAAAACAGTAACAATTTTATCTTCAATAAGACACTCCCAAACCCCTTCTATCTTAACCTTAACTGCATCTGCCTGTGGGGCCCCAGCTTTCCAGGGCTCTGTAGCTTCTCTCACTATAGAGGCTTCTTCCATGGCTGCGGTAAGCAGGCTGGGACATCTGCAGGAAAGGCTTTCCAGAAGGAACTAAATGGGCCTTTAATAACCTCCGTTTGCTAGCTCAAAATTAACCTTAGCTTGCAGTCATTGGGCTCAAGCTTTAATTACATGTCAGAGTCATTCACTTAGTTTTTGAAACTAAGTGTTTGAAAAATCCAGCAAAATGATTCAAAAACAGTGTTCATATAAGAAAATTTTAAGGTGCTTACCTTTTGTACCTCAGTAAGAGAAGCAAATGTATTTATTTCTTTTGGACAATAAAGCATTATTTTATTTTTTGTATTAAAAATCATGAGGTAAACAGTTATATGGGAACACTTCTAGGAGGTACCTAGTTTCATCACATAAAATTTACCATTAAACTCAGAAATCAAAATAACAGGATATAGAACAAAGATACTTACTTTTGCAAATTTACCCTGCAAAAAAAGAAACTGATGTTTTCACGAATCTATGTAACTCACCAATTATCTACCACATTTTCTTGTGGAAATATATTAATTCTCTATAGCCAAAACGGAAGAAAAAATGTTCTTATTTTTTTCCCAAACATTCCAAAAGCTAGATGGAATTGTTTGAAATCACTCAGCTATAAAAAGCACACCTGAGGGCAGGGCGCAGTGGCTCACACCTGTAATCTCAGCACTTTGGGAGGCCGAGGCAGGTGGATCATGAGGTCAGGAAATCAAGACCATCCTGGCTAACATGGTGAAACACCGTCTCTATTAAAAATACAAAAAAATTAGCTGGGTGTGGTGGCGGGTGCCTGTAGTCCCAGCTACTTGGGAGGCTGAAGCAGGAGAATGGTGTGAACCTGGGAGGCGAAGCTTGCAGCGAGCCGAGATCCCACCACTGCACTCCAGCCTGGGTGACAGAGCGAGATTCTGTCTCAAAAAAAAAAAAAAAGAAAAGAAAAGAAAAGAAAACCACACCTGAGAAAACTCCTAAATTCACTCTGAGAAAGAAAAAGGTGAATGAGAATTTTCAACAAATGAAATATATAATTAGATATTATTTTTTGATACTCACCTTTTTATGCCCTTTGTAAATATTTTCTTACCTTTCAAGCCCTACTAATAAGATGCAATTTACAGTTAAAAAACTGAGGTCAGCCGGGCACAGTGGCTCACACCTGCAATCCCAGCACTTTGGGAGGCCAAGGCAGGCAGATTACTTGAGGTCAGAATTTTGAGCTCAAACAGCCTGGCCAACATGGTGAACCCCCATCTCTACTAAAAATACAAAAAGTAGCCAGGTGTGGTGGTGGGCACCTGTAGTCCCAGCTGCTTGGGAGGCTGAGGCATGAGAATCACTTGAACTTGGGATGCAGAGGTTGCAGTGAGCCGAGATTGCACCACCGCACTCCAGCCTGGGCGACAGAGGAAAACACTGTCTAAAACAAAAAAGTCCGTGTGCGGTGGCTCACGTCTGTAATCCCAGCACTTTGGGAGGCCAAGGTGGGTGGATCACGAGGTCAAGAGTTCGAGACCAGCCTGGGCAATATGGTGAAATTCCATCTCTACCAAAAATACAAAAATTAGCCAGGCATGTGGGTGCACGCCTGTAGTCCCAGCTACTTGGGAGGCTGCGGCAGAAGAATTGCTTTAATCCGGGAGGCGGAGGTTACAGTGAGCAGAGATCATGCCACTGCACTCCAGCCTGGGCGACAGAGGGAGACTCCATCTCAAAAAAAAAGAAGAAGAAAAAAAACTAAGGTCAAAATAAGTGAACAAATCATTTAATCGTTTCAAGGTAGAGATATGTCTGATTCATGTGTCAAGTCAGGTCATCCAATTACTGAGAGATTCAGCCACCCCATCCTGTTCACTTAAGTGCTCAATAATCATTCTCTCAGGAGACTCTGAACTATGCCCCAGTGAGTGCCCCAGGTACATTTTACTTTGCAAGTTCTTGCACCATCTCACTGGGGTCAGTTTCTTTTTCTTTGTCTTTGGAGTGCTATTTTTTTCCACAAACTTTTTACCATTTTTCTTTCACTATTTTTCTGTCCCCTAGGAGAATCCAGAGGCAAAAATTATTTTGGTTTCCCCTTCAATACCGGCATCTGATTGTCTGAACAGCAATGTGTCTCCAAGAAATGGAAGCTGGGTTGGGTAAAGACAATACTAATACCTCAAGGGGTTAGCTTTCCAAAAAAACAGGGCACCAGTAGATGCCTCTCAGCCCCAGGGCATTCACCTGCTCTCCTGAAAGGCTACATTCCATACCTCGGGTTGTCCTACAGGAGATGAGAGGCTACACTCCATACCTCAGGTTGTCTTATGAAAGATAAGAGGCTACACTCCATACCTCAGGTTGTCTTATGGGAGATGAGAGGCTACACTCCATACCTCTGGTTGTCTTATGGGAGATGAGAGGCTACACTCCATACCTCTGGTTGTCTTATGGGAGATGAGAGGCTACACTCCATATCTCTGGTTGTCTTATGGGAGAAAATGACCCAGGAGCTGATATTCACTAGATACTCTTGCAGACACAGCCATGGCCAGTATCTTGGTTTTTCCCCAGACAGTACTGAATCTCAGGTCCAAGGAAAAAACTGAAGGGTGGCTGAGGACACGTCTCCCTATAACTTTTCCAAAGGGAAACCCTGACCCAAAAAACATTCTGATAAGATATCTGTGTCTAGGGAAACTAGAAGAAAAAAACATTTACAAACAGAAAACAAATCTTTTTAAATGTGCCATCAAATGCTTTGTCAAAAAATGATTACAATAGGTATCAAAATGTACACTAAAGGACAAATAGTTGATCATGTGAATAAGGGAGGGGAAACTGGCATTTGGGAATGTCAGAAGGAACTGGAAATTAAGTATTTTACTGCAAGTCAGAGTCAGGCTGGAGAAATAGGGGGTGGCAGATAGACTTGAGGCCCTGCTTGGGACACATGTGAAAAATGCAAGGAAACAGCAGTTCCCTGTGGGGTGTGAAAATAATTAAGTGGCTGGCAGTTAGACTGAGGAGGCTTTATTTCCTAATTTCTACTTTTAAAAAATCTAATTCGGCCAGGCGTGGCGGCTTACACCTGTAATCCCAGCACTTTGGGAGGCCGAGGCGGGTGGATCACTTGAAATCAGGAGTTCGAGACCAGCCTGACCAACACGGTGAAACCCCGTCCCTATTAAAAATACAAGTGGCACATGCCTGTAATCCCAGCTACTTGGGAGGCTGAGGCAGGAGAATCGCTTGAACCTGGGAGGCGGAGAGTCCAGTTAGCCTAGATGGCGCCATTGCACTCCAGCCTGGGCGACAAAGTGAGACTTGGTCTCAAAAAAAAAAAAAAAAAAAATCTAATTCAAATGTATTTTTTTTAAATTACTACATTGGGGGAAAAAAATTCAGGCTTAACACACTATAAACTGCCAATTAACCTCTGATTACATAACCAAGAAATTTCCATCTTCATGTTACAAATTAAGAAACCATGAGGCTGGGCGCCATGACTCACACCTATAATCCCAGCACTTTGGGAGGCTGAGGCGGGTGGATCATGAGGTCAGGAGATCGAGACTACCCTGACTAACACGGTGAAACTCCGTCTCTACTAAAAAATACCAAAAAATTAGCCGGGGGTGTTGGCGGGCACCTGCAGTCGCAGCTACTCGGGAGGCTGAGGCAGGAGAATGGCGTGAACCCGGGAGGCGGAGCTTCCAGTGAGCCAAGATTCCGCTACTGCACTCCAGCCTGGGCGACAGAGCGAGACTCCATCTCAAAAAAAAAAAAAAAAAAAACAACAAAAAACCAGGAAACTACATAACTGTACCTAACCAATTATTGAATGTGGTTTTCTTCATTATGCACCTTATAAAACTCTTTCCATCAAACCCCTTCAATAGACCATAAACTACAATCCATAGTTGGGTGCTCTACAATTTTGGAATCACTCTTAAATTATTTAATATTTTTTCGGCGACTTCCATAAATTTTTAATGGGAGAATACAGGAACTGGGAGCCTCACGGACCAAAGCTCTTCCCATTCATGAACCCACACCTCAAGTCAGGATTCTCCTCTGACTACCCTCCCACAGTCCGTGCACAATCTGGGAGAGACTCCGCGCTGAGGGTGCAGAGCTGCCCCAAGAGGGCTCCAGGCCAGGGCACAATCACAGCGCAGGGAAGAGACAGGACGCCCGGCGGCCCGCGCAGCCGCCATCTTATGGCTGAAGGGGACTGAGGTCGAGCTAGGCAAGGAGAACTTGTGGAGCTGACTGCGGGTAGGCTTGAGTCCCGCCACAGCCACTTCCCGCCGGTTCCAACCAGCCCAGGCCACTCTCTCAGTGTGTCGGACCCGGCACACTCACCATTTCTAGGCTTCCAGGGGGTCCTGGCGACTTAGTTGTGGATCTCCCAATACCTGCAGGTCATAGGGCCACAGAGGCTGGGACTCTAGGAACAGTAAGGACAAGGCCTTTACCTCCGGCTGCAGCGAGAGACAAAGGACCGACCACATCCCGGAAGCCGACCTGTCCCCCCCCCCAGCTGCCTGCCTGATTGGACATTCCCAGCCCAGCATCCCTGATTGGATAATGTTTAAGGCCCCGCCCTTTCAGGCCCTGAGTGACAGAAGATGTGATCAGATGCTGGGCTGAATGAAGAAAGAGAGCCAACGTAGGCTGCAGCCTTTTCAGGCAGGGCTTCCTCCCTGAGCTGAGCCAGGCCTACCCCAGAGCATGGGAAAATTCTATCTCTTCTTTATTCTCTCTTTTTAAATGTATTTGAAATGTGAACAAATATATTTTACTGTCATGTTAATAATACATAAAACTTTTGTACAAGAGTAAATCAATTTTTACTTTAGTAATAGTGTATTATCAATACTAAAGGCTGGGTGCAGTGGCTTACGCCTTTAATCCCATCAGTTTGGGAGGCCGAGGCGGGTGGATCACCGGAGGTCAGAAGTTCAAGATCAGCCTGGTTGACATGGTGAAACCCCTTCTCTACTAAAAATACGAACATTAGTCAGGTGTGGTGGTGGGCGCCTGTAATCCCAGCTATTCAGGAGGCTGAGGCAGGAGAATCATTTGAACCCGGGAGGTGGAGATTGCAGTGAGCCAGGATCAAGCCATTGCACTGCGGCCTGGGCAACAAGAGTGAAACGCCAGCTCAAAAACATGGGCAACAAGAGTGAAACGCCATCTCAAAAAACAAAACAACAAAAAAGCTAAACCTAATGTTAGTAAAACCTTATAAATAAATCCATGAAATTTGTCATTTTTGAACACTCTAGATGTTCATATATATTTTACAATCTCATATTTAACTTTTTCTATTTTATTTTAATAGCCTTTTTTTTTAACTTGAAACAACCTTAAGCTGTTTTTTGAGACGAGTCTTGCCAGGCTAGAGTGCAATGGCATGATCTCAGCTCACTGCAACCTCCCTCTCTGGGTTCAAGCGATTCTCCTGCCTCAGCCTCCCGAGTAGCTGGGATTACAGGCGCCCACCACCACACCCAGCTAATTTAGCATGGTAGCCTCACCCTGTAGTACCAGCTATTCGGGGGCTAAAGTAGGAGGATTGCCTGAGCCCAGGAGGTTGTGGCTGCAGTGAGCCCTGATCAAGCCACTGCACTCCATTCTGGGTGACAAGAGTGAGACTCTTTCTAAAAAAAAAAAAAAAGCCAAAACATATAAACTTAAACTTATGGGAGTTTGGAGGTTTTTATTTTTGTCTTAAATTATTATATTTCAATAGTTTTGGGGTACATGTAGTATTTGGTTACATGGATAAGTTCCTAAATCTTTTCTGAGATTTAGGTGCACCAATCTCCCAAGCAGTGTGCACTCTACCCAATGTGTAGTCTTTCATCCCTCACCCCCTCTCCTACCCTTCCCACTGAGTGCCCAGAGTCCACTATATAATTCTTTTTTTTAATTATATTTATTTATTGAGACAGAGTTTCGCTCTTATTGCCCAGGCCGGAGTACAGTGGCGCGATCTCAGCTCACCGCAACCTCTGCCTCCCAGGTTCAAGCGATGCTCCTGCCTCAGCCTTCCCGAGTATCTGGGATTATAGGCATGTGCCACCATGCCTGGCTAATTTTGTAGTTTTAGTAGAGACAGGGTTTCTCCATGTTGGTCAGGCTTGTCTCGAACTCCCAACCTCAGGTGATCGCCCACCTCAGCCTCCCAAAGTGCTGGGATTACAGGCGTGAGCCACCGTGCCCATCCCCATTACATAATTGTTATGCCTTTGCATCTTCATAGCTTAGCTCCCGTTTATAAGTGAGGAAATACAATATTTGGGTTTGTATCCCCTAGTTCTTTTTTCCTTTTTTTTTTTTGAGATGGAGTTTGCTGTGATTACAGGCATAAGCCACCGTGCCTGGCCTATTTTTTGATGTTTTAATTATGGTCTTTTCTGTTTGTTTGTTTGTTTGTTTGTTTGTTTGTTTTTGACATGGAGTCTGTCACACAGACTGGACTGCAGTGGTGCGATCTTGGCTTACTGCAACCTCCACCTCCCGGGTTCAAGCGATTCTCCAGCCTCAGCCTCTGGAGTAGCAGGGATTACGGACACACTCCATCGCGCCCTGCTAATTTTTGTATTTTTAGTAGAGGTGAGGTTTTACCATGTTGGCCAGGCTAGTCTGGAACTCCTGACCTCAGGTGATCCACCCGTCTTGGTCTCCCAGAGTGCTGGGATTACAGGCATGAGCCACCATGCCCGGCCAATGATGGTCATTCTTGCAAGAGTAAGGTGATATCACATTGTGGTTTTGATTTGTATTTCCCTAATCATTAATCATTAGTGATGTTCAGCATTTTTTTTTAATGTTTGTTGGCCATTTGTATATCTTCTTTTGAGAATTGTTTAAGTCCCATCTGTCTTTGTTTTTGTTGCATTTGCTTTGAGGTTCTTGGTCATGCACTCTTTGCCTAAGTCAATGCCTAGGAGAGTTTTTTCAATGCTTTAGAATTCGGGTAGTTTCAGGTCTTAGATTAAAGTATTTGATCCATCTTGAGTTGATTTTTGTATAAGGTGAGAGATGAAGATACTTTTTTTTTATTTTTATTTTTTTGAGACGGAGTCTCGCTCTGTTCCCAGGCTGGAGTACAGTGTCATGATCTCGGCTCACTACAACCTCTGCCTCCCGGGTTCAAGCAATTCTCTGCCTCAGCCTCCCAAGTAGCTGGGATTACAGGCACCTGCCACCACACCCAGCTAAATTTTTTTTTTTTTTTTTGTATTTTTAGTAGAGACGGGGTTTCACCATCTTGGCCAGGCTGGTTTTGAACTCCTGACCTCGTGATCCACCCACCTTGACCTCCCAAAGTGCTGGGATTACAGGTATAAGCCACTGCACTCAGCCGAAGATCCAGTTTTATTCTTCAATATGTGGCTTCCCAATTATCCCAGTACCATTCTATTCAATAGAATAGGGTGTTATTTCCCCACTTCATATCTTTGTTTACTTTGTCAAAGATCAGTTGACTGTAAGTATTTGGGTTTATTTCTGGTTTCACTATTCTGTTTCATTGGTCTTCATATCTATTTTTATACCCATACAATGCTGTTTTGGTAACTATAACCTTGTAGTATAGTTTGAAGTCAGATAACGTGATGTCTTCAGATTTTTTTGTGTGTTTTTGATTTTGTTGTTTTGTTTTGTTTTGTTTTGTTTTCCTAGTCTTGCTTTGACTATGGAGGCTCTCTTTTTATTTTATATAAATTTTAGGATTTTTTTTTTTTAGTTTTAGGATTTTTTTTTTTTTGGTATCCTGAAATTTTACTGCATTTATGTATCAGATCGAAAAGTTTTTTGTTTTGTTTTTTTTTCTTTTTGAGACAAGGTCTTACTCTGTCACCCAGGCTGGAGTGCAGTGGCATGATCTTGGCTCACTGCACCCTCTGCATCCCAGGTTCAAGTGATTCTCCTGTCTCAGCCTCCCTTGTAGCTGGGATTACAGCCACTTGCCACTGCAACCGGCTAATTTTTGTATTCTTAGTAGAGATGGGGTTTTACCATGTTGGCCAGGCTGGTCTTGAACTCCTGACCTCAAGTGATCCACCTGCCTCCATGTCCCAAAGTGCTGGGATTACAGGCTTGAGCCACTGCATCCAGCCCTAAAAGCTTTTTTAGTTGAGTTTTAGGGTTTCCCAGGTACACAATTATATCATTGGTAAACAGTGACAATTTGACTTCCTCTTTACCAATTTAGATTCTGTTTATTTTTTGCTTTACTCTGATTGCTTTGGCTAAGACATCCATTACTGTGTTGAATAGAAGTGGTGAGAGTGGGCATTATTGTCTTGTTCCAGTTCTCAGAAAAAATCCTTTCAACTTTTTCCTGTTCAGTGTAATGTTGGCTGTTTATCACAGATAGATTTTTTTTTTTTCTCGGACGGAGTCTCGCTCTGTCACCCAGGCTGGAGTGCAATGTCAGGATCTCTGCTCACTGCAATCTCCACCTCCCAGACTCAAGCGATTCTCCCGCCTCAGCCTCCCCAGTAGCTGGCACCACAGGCACCCACCATCATGCCTGGCTAATTTTTGTATTTTTGAACAGACGAGGTTTCACCATGTTGGCCAAGCTGATCTCAAACTCCTGACCTCAAGTGATCTGCCCACCTCAGCCTCCCAAAGTGCTGGGATTACAGGCATGAGCCACCACGCCCAGCCTGTCATAGATGGTTTTTATGACCTTACAATATGTTCCCTCTATCCCGATTTTGCTGAGGATTTTAATCATAAAGTGATGCTGGATTTTGCCAAATGATTTTTCTGCATATATTGAGATAATCATATAATTTTTGGTTTTAATTCTGTTTATTTGGTGTATAACATGTATTGACTTACCTATGTTAAATCATCTCTGCATCCCTGGCATAAAATGTTCTTGATTATGGTGTACTATCTTATTAATATGTTGCTGTGTTTGGTTAGCTAGTATTTTATGGAAGATTTTTGCATTTATGCTCATCAGGAACATTGGTGTGTAGTTTTCTTTTATTATGTCTTTTCATGATCTTGGTATTAGAGTGATACTGGCTTCATAGAATAATTTAGGAAGGATTCCCTTTTTCTCTATCTTTTGGAATAGTTTCAGTAGGACTGGTACCAATTCTTTGAATTTTGGATAGAATTGAGCTATGAATCCATCTTGTCCTGGACGTTTTTTGTTGGCAGTTTTTTTTTTTTTTTTTCTTGAGTCTTGCGCTGTCACCCAGGCTGGAGTGCAGTGGTGCGATGTTGACTCACTGCAAACTTGCCTCCTGGGTTTAAGTGATTCTCCTGCCTAAGCCTCCCAAGTAGCTGGGATTACAGGCACAAACCACCATACCTGGCTAATTTTTGTATTTTTAGTAGAGATGGGGTTTTGCCATGTTGATCAGACTGGTCTCAAACACCTGACCTCAAGTGATCCCCCCACCTCGTCCTACCAAAGTGCTAGGATTACAGGCATGAGCCACTGAACCCAGCTGGCAATGTTTTATTACTAGTTTAATCTTGCTACTTGTTATTGGTGTGTTCAGAGTTTTTATTTCTTCCTGATTTAATCTAGGAGGGTTGTATATTTCCAGGAATTTATCAAACTCCTCTAGGTTTTCAAGTTTGAGCATGTAAAGGTATTCGTAGCAGCTTTGAATGATCTTTTATTTCTAATTGAGCATATTTGGATCTTCTTTCTGCTTTTCTGGGTTAATCTTACTAATAGTCTATCAGTTGGATTTATCTTTTCAAATAACTAGCTTATTGTTTTATCTTTTATATTTTTTAAAATTTCAAATTTATTTAGTTCTTCTCTGATCTTTGTTATTATTTTTTTTTCCTGCTGGGTTTGGGTTTGGTTTGTTCTTGTTTCTCTTGTTCCTTGAGGCTAAACAATCTCAGGTTGTTTATTGTGGTTTTTTGAACTTTTTGATGTATGTATTTAATGCTATGAACTTTCCTCTTAGCACTGCTTTTGCTGTATCCCAGATGTTTTAATATGTTGTGTCACTATTATTCAATTTAAATAATTATTTAATTTCCATCTTGATTTCATTGTGGAACCAATTATTCATGAGCAGTTTATTTAATTTTCATGTATTTGTATGGTTTTGAGTGTTCCTATTTGAATTGATTTCTAATTTTATTCCACTGTGGCCTAAGACAGTACTTGATATAATTTTAATATTCTTAAATTTATTCAGGGGCTGGGCATGGTGGCTCATGCTTTAATCCCAGCACTTTGGGATGCCAAGGCAGGTGGATAACCTGAGGTCAGGAGTTCAAAACCAGCCTGGTCAACATGGTGAAACCCCATCGCTACTAAAAATACAAAAATTAGGCAGGCATGGTGGCACGTGGCTGTAATCCCAGCTACTCAGAAGGCTGAGGTAGGAGAATCCCTTGAACTTGGGAGGCAGAGGTTGCTGTGAGCTGAGATTGCACCATTGCACTCCAGCCTTGGTGACAGAGCAAGACTGTCACAAAAAAAAAAAACATCAGACTTGTCTTTTGGCCTATTATATGGTCTATCTTGAAGAATGTTTTATGTGCTGATGAAAAGAATGTATATTCTGCAGTTGTTGGGTAGAATATTCTGTAAATCTCTGTTAAGTCCATTTGTTCTAAGGTGTAGTTTAAGACCATTGTTTTTTGTTTGTTTGTTTGTTTGTTCATTTGACTTTCTGTCTTGATGATATGTCTAATGCTGTAAGTAAAGTAAAAAAGTCCCCCAATATTTTTATGTTGTTGTCTCTCTCATTGCATTTCTTAAGGGACAACTTAGGTGAAACAAGAAAATTTATACTTCTGAAGCACAGAACTAACATTTTAGGCTAAAATATATTTTTTTTTTCTTTGAGATGGAGTCTCACTCTGTCGCCCAAGCTGGAGTGCAGTGGTGTGATCTTGGCTCACTTGCAACCTCCACCTCCTGGCTCAAGTGATTCTCCTGCCTCAGACTCCCGAGTAGCTGGGACTGCAGGCACCTGCCACCACGCATGGCTAATTTTTGTGTTTTTTAGTAGAAACAAGGTTTCACCATATTGGCCAGGCTGGTTTCAAACTCCTGACCTCAGGTGATCTGCCTGCCTCGGCCTCCCAGAGTGCTGGGATTACAGGTGTGAGCCACTGTGCCTGGCCTTAAATGTACTGTTTATGTTTTTTTTAATATATAAGATTAAATGATTTGCAAACAGCAACTTTTTATTTATTTGTCTTCAATTTCAATGGCTTTAAACAATTTTTTTGCCTAGTTCTTCTGCCATGTACTTCCAGGTTTATGTTAAAGTAGAAGCATTGACAATGGGGACAATATAGTTTTGCATTGCATTGGTTTTTGTAAATTTCGTGGAGCAAAAGCCTGTTCAAGTTTATATAAACTGGTTACAAGGGGTAAAAATCTTCTTCTGTTGGGCCCCCATATTTATAGGATGCCCTCTTTATTTGTAATAGAGAGAGGTGGTAAACGCAGCAAAGCAGCTGCGTCTGCATAGGATTTACCTTTAGTTGGCTTGTTACAAAAGGCTTGGGTAGTTGTAATTCCCATTTTATTATTGAACAGATTGAATATCCTTCAGGACTTTCATCTGTAGAGCAGACACTAGGGGAAGTTGTTGCAGTCAGATCTGCATATGGTGGGGCTTACATCAGGATGTGGATGAGGATGCCTTTCACCAAGTACTAGAGAGGGTCTTCCCAGGTCACTGTGTGGGATTCTACCTAGGCAGAATTGGCCATAAACTGTGGATTGGAGTTAGAACTAAAACATTAAACTGTATGGCTACAAATGGGTGTCTTCCTCCAGGCCTCTGGAAGGGCAGAAGCTCTCCCAGGCTGTGGCTGGGAGGAGTTTGGAATGGTTATAGGATAAGTTCAGAATTCTCAGTGGGAGCAAGTTGAGTTGGCTATTTTTTGGGTTGTGGCCAAGAACAGAAATCCTGTAGTTTGCCACCTTAGTGGAAGCCTGTCTCCTGAAAAGAATGTTCCTCAATCTTGGGCTTTAGCAGAGTTTCACAACTCCGTCCCTGGATCTCAAAGCTCTTTTGAAGGTACTTGTTTTAGAGATGAAGTCTTTCTACATAACACAGGCTGGTCTTGAAATCTTGGCCTGAAGAAATTCTTCAACCTGAATGTTTTATGTAGCTATCATTACAGATATGAGCCAGGATGCCTGGATCTCTCATAAACACATTTTTGTCAGGGCTGGCTCACAGTTTTCTTGCTGTCGGGGGATAAGAAAATAGGTCACCTTTTTTTTTTTTTTAAATTTTACTGATGTCGCTCTCCCTATACATTTTTACTTTGTATTTCCTATTTCAAATTTCTCTGTTATTTTAGATTCAGACATTTAGGATAATATGTTAGAATTTACATGTTATGCCTGAAATAAATTAGATTATTAGTAGGCATTCCTTATTTACTAAAATATTTAGTTATAAATTTAAGTTTGCTGCAGGCAGAAAGGAATTATATGATTTCCATTCACTTTCTTCAGCCTATATTTAAATAATAAAATAAGTTCTTCCCTGATAATTGTTTTATATATCAGAGGCTTTAATTATATTCTGCAGACTTTTTTTTTAATTTAACAAAGTAAGACTATTCTTTGCTTCTAAAGTTAAATTACAGCAGTTTCATTTTGTGTAAGAATAGCACATATTCTTTAAGAATATATGTAGCATATATTGTGTAAGAACAGCATATATAACGATGAAATTTACCTCTAGTTTTCTTTAGTGCTTATTTATTAAAAGCTTATCATTAGAATCTTCTATTTATGATTATACTGCAATTTCTCTTAAGTTTTACTGCCATGCAGTGCATGCCGATGACTCAAAATACCTGCCTTCCATGAGTACACAGACACAGTCAAATATTGTAGTTATCTAGACAAATTTTTGTAATGGTACATCAATGTTGCATACTAGATCTGATGAGTAAACATTTCTGTTATTATTATTTTGCAGTTCTATATGTGTGCTTTTTAGCGTCAGTTTCTTAATATCAGTGAATTTTTTTTGTTTTACGTATTATAATTCTAGACAATTTGCAATTCTGTTTGTACACTTTAAGTCAATGTGGGGTTTAATTGAGAAATAAATTAGCCATATGTCTATCACAATCAGATTATATATTTGTGTGTTTTTATCTATAAATATGACTCCAATTATGGTTATGGCTTATCTTGTATATATTCTTTCTTAGCTGATTTTCAGTGGTTGTTTTATCTTGTCTAAGTGAGTAGTTGTGGAAATAATCTTATTTTTGCCTTGTGTTTAATAATGAATATATATTTTCTTTGTGTGAGAGAAACACTTTTGTGATTTGAAGGTAATTCTAGAAAAGATTTATAATTCTTCATTTAGTTTTTCTTCTAAAATAATTTTTGTAAAAACAGATAACATAAAATTGATTCTCTAAAATCTATTTAAGTGTACATTTTATGGCCAGGCATGGTAGTGGCTCACCTCTGTGATCCCAGAAATTCGAGAGGTCAAAACAGAAGGATCACCTGAGCCCAAATGTTTGAGATCAGCCTGGGAAACATATAAAGACCTGCTGTATCCAAAAAAATTTTAAAATAACAAGCCATGGTGGTGTGCACCTGTGGTTCCAGCAACCTGGGAGATCAAGGGAAAAGGAGTACTTTATCCTGGGAGTTTGAGGCTGAAGTGAGCCATAATTTTGCCACTACACACCAGTTTGGGTGACAAAGTGAGACCCTCTGTCAAAAAAAAAAGCTGTGGATTTCAGGCATGTTAAAGTATATTCACCTGGTTATGCAAAAGGCTTCTAGAGGTTTTACATCTTGTAAAACTAATACTCAATACCCACTAAGTAACAACTGCCCATTTTACCCTCTCTCCAGCCCTTGGCAAATATCTTTCAGCTTTCTGTTTTTATGAGTTTGGCTATTTAACTTATCTCAGGTAAATGAAGTAATGTAGTATTCATCATTTTGTTACTGGTTTATTTCATGTGACATAGTATTTTCAAAGTTTATCTTAAAATGTGACAAAATTTTCTCTTTTAAGGCTGAATGATATTCCATGTATGTGTATGTTAAATTTTTTGATGTATTTATAAATCAAGGGACATATAGATTACTTCAGCCTTTTGGCTTTTGTGAAATCTGGTACAATAAGCATAAATGTTTACATGTCTCCTCCAGGTTCTGTGTTGCATACTTTGGAAATCAATTTATAAATAAGATTGTTGTAATTGATTACAATTTTATTTTTAATTATCTGAGGAACATTTATAACATTTTAAAATAATGGCTGCATCTTTGTTTTCCACCAACAATCAGCATAGGTTTCATTTTCATAGCATCACCAATAGATCTGGTTTTCTTAAAAAATTGATAGTGGCCGTTCCAATGGGTGTCAGGTTATTTTGTATTTCACTGTGATATTTATGCATTCCTCTACAAATTAGTAATTTTGTGAGTCCTGTCAAATGCTCTTCCCATTTATGCTTTTGATAAAAATTTAGTTTAATTAGTTTTCCATTTCTAAATCCTGTTATTCAACTTTATTGTTCAGTTTTAAGAGTTGCTTATATATTCTGAATATTAACTTCTATCACATGTGATTTGCAAATATTTTCATTGATTTCCTAAGTGGCATTGTCACTCTCTTGAAGTTTTTTTTGATGTGCAAAAATTTTGAAGTATATTTCAGTTAAATTTTTCTGTTCTTTTCATTGTTGCTTATGCGTTTAATGTCATCTAAGAAAATGATTCCAAGGCCAATGTCATGTCTTTTCTCCATGTTTTTTTAAGACACTTATTAGCTATTTTTTATATCTAAGTATTTTATATAAATTTTTTTGTCTATGGTTCAAGGAAAGAATCCAGCTTTATCAGTATAGATATTCAGTTTTCAGCATTAATTTTTGAAGATATTATCTTTTCTCTATTGTGTGCTCATGGCAGCTTTGTGGAAGATCATTATTTACAGAAGGGTTCATTTCTGGGCTCTCTATTCTGATTTATCATCTGTTTATCTGTCTTTGTGTCAGTACTATATTGTTTTCATTATAGCTTTTAATATGTTTTGAAATGGGAAAGTTTATTACCTCCTCTATTTCATGGGTGTTTGGCTAGTTATAGTTAATAATCAAATTTTAAAATGTTAAATAATATTTCTGTTTAAAAATCCTGTGCTATTAGGAATTTTATAGAAATTACGTCAAATTTGTTTACCACTGTAGGTTGTACTGACATCTTAAAAAATTAAATTTTTTGACTCTTGAGCAAGAATATGTTAAAGAGTGTTTTATTTTTATTTTATTTATTTATTTATTTTATTTAGAGAGAGAAGGGATCTTGCTTTTTTTTTTTCCTTTGAGACAGAGTCTCACTCTGTCATCCAGGCAGGAGTGCAGTGGCACAATCTCAATTCAACACAACCTCCACCTTCTGGGTTCAAGTGATTCTCCTGCCTCAGCCTCCTGAATAGTTGGGATTACAGGCACTCACCACCATGCCTGGCTCATTTTTTTGTATTTTTAGTAGAGACGAGGTTTCACCATGTTGGTCTGGCTGGTCTCAAACTCTTGATGTCAGGCAATCCACCTGCCTCGGCCTCCCAAAGTTCTCGGGTTACAGAGGTGAGCCACTGCACCCAGCTCATGTGTTTAATTTTTATATACTTTTGGATTTTCCTGTTTTACTTTTACCTTAGGTTCAAATAATAGCATCAGCAAATCTGTCCTGCCAAATGAAAAGAGGAAAACCTTTCAAAATAACCAAATTTTGAAAGAGCATACTGGCACTGCATATGCCCTATAAAGAATGCTGAAAAGCATCCCACTTATTCTAAAATTGACCACATAATTGGAAGTAAAACACTCATCAGCAAATGCAAAAGAATGGAAATCATAACAAACAGTCTCTCATACCACAGTGCAATCAAATTAAAACTCTGGATAAGTAACTCACTCAAAACCACTCAACTACATGGAAACAGAACAACATGCTCCAGAATGACTACTGGGGAAATAATGAAATGAAGGCAGAAATAAGTAAGTTCTTTGAAACCAATAAGAATGATGACACAATGTACCAGAATCTCTGGGTCACAGACAAAGCAGTGCTTAGAGGGAAACTTATAGCACTAAATGCTCACAAGAGAAAGCAGGAAAGGTCTAAAATCAACATCCTAAAATCACAATTAACAGAACTAGAGAAGCAAGAGCAAACAAATTCAAATGCTGGCAGAAGACAAGAAATAACTAAGATTAGAGCAGAACTGAAGGAGATAGAGACACAAAACACCCTTCAAAAAATTAATGATTCCAGGAGCTGGTTTTTTGAAAAGATCTACAAAATAGATAGACTGCTAGCCAGACTAATAAAGAAGAAAAGAGAGAGGAATCAAATAGATGCAATAAAAAATAATCAAGAGGGTATTGGCACTGATCCCACAGAAATACAAACTACCATCAGATAATACTGTAAACACCTCAATGTAAAAAACTAGATAATCTAGAAGAAATGGATAAATTCCTGGACACATACCCTCTGAAGACTAAACCAGGAAGAAGTCAAATCCCTGAATAGACCAATAACAAGTTTTGAAATTGAGGCAGTAATTAATAGCCTACCAACCAAAAAATACCTGGGACCAGACAGATTCACAGCCATATTCTACCACAGGTACAAAGAGGAGCTGGTACCAATTCTTCTGAAATTATTCCAAACAATAGAGAAAGAGGGACTCCTCCCTAGCTCATTTTGGGCCAGCATCATCCTGATACCAAAGCTGGCAGAGACACAACAAAAAAAGAAAACTTCAGGCCAATATCCCTGATGAACATTGATGTGAAAATCCTCAATAAAATACTGGCAAACTGAATCCAGCAGCACATCAAAAAGCTTATCCACCATGATCCAGTCAGCTTCATCCCTGGGATGCATGGCTGGTTCAACATACACAAATCAATAAACGTAATCCATCACATAAACAGAACCCATGACAAAAACCACGTGATTATCTCAATAGATGCAGAAAAGGCCTTCAACAAAATTCAACACCCCATTCATGCTAAAAACTCTCAATAAACTAAGTATTGATGGAACATATCTCAAAATAATAAAAGCTATTTATGACAGACCACAGTTAATGTCATACTGAATGGGCAAAACCTGGAAGCATTCCCTTTGAAAACTGGCACAAGACAAGGATGCCCTCTCTCACCATTCCTATTCAACATAGTATTGGAAGTTCTGGCCAGGACAATCAGGCAAGAGAAAGAAATAATGAGTATTCAAATAGGAAAAGAGGAAGTCAAATTGTCTCTGTTTGCAGATGACATGATTGTATGTTGAGAAAACTCCATCATCTCCGCCCCAAATCTCCTTAAGCTGATAAGCAACTTCAGCAAAGTCTCAGGATACAAAATCAATGTGCAAAAATCACAAGCATTCCTATACACCAATAACAGACCAACAGAGAGCCAAATCATGACTGAGCTCCCATTCACAATTGCTACAAAGAGAATAAAATAACTAGGAATACAACTTCCAAGGGATGTGAAGGACCTTTTCAAGGAGAGCTACAAACCACAGCTCAATGAAATAGAAGAGGACACAAACAAATGGAAGAACATTCCATGCTCATGATAGGAAGAATCAATATCATGAAAATGGCCATACTGCCTAAGGTAATTTATAGACCCAATGCCATCCCCATGAAGCTACCAATGACTTCACAGCATTGGAAAAAACTACTTTAAATTTCATATGGAACCAAAAAAGAGTCCACATTGCCAAGACAATCCTAAACAAAAAGAACAAAGCTGGAGACATTACAGTACCTGACTTCAAACTATTGTAAAAGGCTACAGTAACCAAAACAGCATGGTATTGGTATCAAAACAGATATATAGACCAATGGAACAGAACAGAGGCCTCAGAAATAACACCACACATCTACAACCATCTGATCTTTGACAAACCTGACAAAAAACAAGAAATGGGGAAAGGATTCCCAATTTAATAAATGGTGTTGGGAAAACTGGCTAGCCATATGCAGAAAACTGAAACTGGACCCCTTCCTTACACCATATACAAAAATTAACTCAAGATGGATTAAAGACTTAAATGTAACACCCCAAACCATAAAAACCCTAGAAGAAAACCTAGGCAATGCTATTCAGGACATAGGCATGGGCAAAGACTTCATGACTAAAACAGCAAAAGCAATGGCAACAAAAGCCAAAATTGACAAATGGGACCTAATTAAACTCAAGAGCTTCTGCACAGCAAAAGAAACTATCATCAGAGTGAACAGGCAACCTATGGAATGGGAGAAAAATTTTGCAATCTATCCATCTGACAAAGGGCTAATATCCAGGCTCTACAAAGAACTTAAACAAATTTACAAGAGAAAAGCAACCCCATCAAAAAGTGGGCAAAGGATAAGAACAGACACTTCTCAAAAGAAGACATTTATGCAGCCAACAAACATATGAAAAAAAGCTCACTGTCACTAGTCATGAGAGAAATGTAAATCAAAATCACAATGAGATACCATCTCACAACAGTTAGAATGTAATCATTAAAAAGTCAGAAAACAACATATGCTGGGGAGGATGAGGAGAAATAGGAACACTTTCACACTGTTGGGGGGAGTGTAAATCAGTTCAACCATTGTGGAAGACAATGTGACAATTCCTCAAGGATCTAGAATCAGAAATACCATTTGACCCAGCAATCCCATTACTGGGTATATACCCGAAAGATTATAAATCATTCTACTATAAAGACACATGCACACGTATGTTTGTTGCAGCACTATTCACAATAGCAAAGACTTGGAACCAACCCAAGTGCCCATCAGTGATAGACTGGATAAAGAAAATGTGGCACATATACACCACGGAATACTATGCAGCCATAAACAAGGATGAGTTCATGTTCTTTGCAGGGACATGGATGAAGCTGGAAACCATAATTCTCAGCAAACTAACACAAGAACAGAAAACCAAACACTGCATGTTCTCACTCATAAGTGGGAGTTGAACAATGAGAATGCATGGACACAAGGAGGGGAACATCACACACTGGGACCTGTCAGCGGGTGGGGGGCTAGGAGATGAATAGTATTAGAAGAAATACCTAATGTAGATGATGGGTTGATGGGTTCAGCAAACCATCATGGCACGTGTATACCTGTGTAACAAACCTGCACATTCTGCACATGTATCTCAGAACTTAAAGTGTAATAATAAAAAAGGAAAAAAAAGAATGCTGAAGAGTTTCTTTTATTGAAAATAAAATGACTCAAGAAAATGACACATAATCATATCTATATATGAATGCATATATATGTGTATATATATGTATGTATATTATATATATGTATGTGTACATATATATGTATTTGTATATATATATATTTTTTTGAGCCGAGTTTTACTCTTGTTTCCCAGGCTGGAGTGCAGTGGCCTGATCTCTGCTCACTGCCACCTCTGCCTTCCAGTTTCATGTGATTCTCCTGCCTCAGCTTCCCAAATAGCTGAGATCACAGGTGTCCGCCACCACACCCGGCTAATTTTTTGTATTTTTAGGAGAGATGGCGTTTCACCATGTTGGCCAGGCTGGTCTCGAACTCCTAACCTCCTGATCTGCCCACCTCAGATTCCAAAAGTGCTGGGATTACAGGCATGAGCCACTGTGCCTGGCCAAAAAAAAAAGGGGGGATTATTTTCTTGGATAGATATTCACATACAAAAAAATGAAATTTCTTAGCATAATCATAATGGTGCAGAAAACATTTTTAAGTATTTTCTATAATTTGAAAAAAATTTAGAAAACAATGAAAATTTTGAGAGTAAAATCTTTGTATGCAACTGAAGTTCATCTTCTACCAGGTTAAAATGTAGTTATATCTTTTAGAAGTTTTATGTAATTTCCAAAGTACCACAAGGTATCACAAAAAAAAATCTGTATAGATATGCAAAACAAAATAAGGAAAAAGTAAAAGCATATCAGTACAAAAATCAAAACGACACAAAGGAAGACACAGAGAGAAAATTAGAGACAAAGATACAACAATCAAATGAAACAATAAAATAACATTATTAAGTCTTTCTGTTTCAGAAAGTTATTTAAACATGTATATAAAATGAACTTAATTCAGAGACATACATTTAATAAAGGAATTAGATAATTTTAAAAACCAAGATGCAACTTGCCTTTCTATAATAGAGTCATCAGAGATCTAATGATAAAAAAGACTGATAGTGGCAAGATGGATGTAGATATTCTATGCAAATATTAATTAAATTAGAGCAGAAGAGGTCAAAATAATGTTACTTTAGCTGTATCTTTATTTATTTATTTATTTTGAGATGGAGTCTTGCTCTGTTTCCAGGCTGGAGTGCAGTGGTGTGATCTTGGCTCACTGCAACCTCTGCCTCCTGGGTCCAAGTGATTCTCCTGCCTCAGCCTCCCAAGTAGCTGGGACTACAGGCGCGTGCCACCATGGCCAGCTAATTTTTGTATTTTCAGTTGAGACGGGTTTTCACCATGTTGGCCATATAGTCTCGATCTCTTGACCTTGTGATCCACCCGCCTCAGCCTCCCAAAGTGCTGGGATTACAAGCGTGAGCCACCGCGCCTGGCCTTGAGCTCTATCTTAAGTCAAAAACCGTCATATTTTATAAAATGTTTTTTTAAGTCAAAACTCTACAGAGACAAAACAAGCCATTACAAAATAATAGATTTATTTACTGGGAACCTATAACAAATTTGTATATCTGTGTGTGTGTGTGTTTTGTGCAAGTGTGTGTATGTGTATCTCACATTAGGCTTGCAAAATATATAAATCAAATATTGACAGAATTGAAGAAACACATAGAGAACAATATAGTTACAATAGCATATTTCTTTTCTTTTCTTTTCTTTTTTTTTTAGACGGAGTCTCGCTCTGTCTCCAGGCTGGAGTGCAGTGGTGTGATCTTGGCTCACTGCAACTTCCACCTCCCAGGTTCAAGTGATTCTCCTGCCTCAGCCTCCCGAGTAGCTGGGAGAACAGGCGTGCACTACCACCCCCAGCTAATTTTTGTATTTTTAGTAGAGACAGGGTTTCACCATGTTGGCCAGGATGGTCTTGATCTCTTGACCTTGTGATCTGCCTGCCTTGTCCTTCCAGAGTGCTGGGAATACAGGCATGAGCCACCACATCCAGCCTACAGTAGCATATTTCAATACCCCATTTTGTATAATAAAAATAAAACCAGACAGAATAATAGTAAGAGAACAGAGAACTTGAAGACAAGTATAAAACAATCATTCCTAACAGAGGTATAGAGAACACTCCTCAACAATATCAGGATACACAGCCTTCCCAACAGCTCATAAAACATTCTGCTTGATAGACCACCTGTTAGGCCAAAATAGAAGTCTTAACATAATTTTTAAAACTAAATTTATATGGATTACTTTCTATCACCAAAATGAAGTGACAGTATGAAACAATAATAGAAAAAAAAACCTGAAAAAAGTATAAATATATAGAAATTAACACACTATGAGCATGCTCCTGTTCAAAGGTTGAGATAAATATTTTGAAGATATCCATACTGTTCAATGTAAACTACAGATTTAATGCAATGTTCTTTAAAAGTTCACACTACATTTTGAAGAAATAGACACAGCAACTCTAAAAGTATATGGAATCTAATGAGACAATAAAATACCCAATAATCTTCAAAAAAAGAAATAATGTTAAAGGCATTACAGTTCCTGATTTTAAAACTCATTACAAATCTACAAAATTAAAACAATTTGGTGTGAGTATAAAAGTAAAAATGTAGACTAATAAAAATCAATGCAGCACATATATAAAATTTAACATATATATTCATATGAAGAATTATTTACATGCTCATAATAATTGCAGCATTGTTACAAATTTTTAGTAGAGGCCGGGTTTCGCCATGTTGCCCACGCTGGTCTCCTAGGCTCAAGTGATCCACCCATCGCTGCCTTCCAAACCGCTGGGATTACAGGTGTGAGCCATCTCACCCGGCCCAATTTATTTTCTTTTTTAAGGTTTTTTTTCTGAAAATTTTATAATATTTTGGATGGGAATGTATTGCCCTGTTTTGTATACATTGTAATCTTTGATTGATATTTGGACATTTTTTAAAAAGCTACCTGTCACAATCTTTATCACGTAGCTTTGTCCTGGCATAGTCTGAAAACAATTGTCTTTGCTAGAGATTCTGGGAGTCTTTCAAACATGTTCTTAGGATGTGTCTTGTCTGAAATTTGTTGTTTATTTTTTAGTTAAAGAAGTTTATTAATCTTTCTTCTTAATAGTCTTCACTTGCTACACCTGTTCCCTGTCTGTGGTACTGCAGTCTCTCTGCTGCTGTAACATTTACCTCTGGTCTCAGCAGACCCAAATTGTCACTCCAAAGTATACCACCATTTCATTCAGCACTTTGTCACTTTGTGACCTCTGTCTCTGCCACCATGACCATTTTGTTCATGGACCTATTGGGCAATGACAGGGGTAGCTGGGGAAAGATGCTGAGTGATGTCAACAAAACAGGTCATCCTATCCACTTGATTATCAAAATCCTCCTCTGCTGAGGTCACCCATTGGTTAGCACTCACATGGGATACAAATATCTTCACAGTTTTTGACCACTCAGGAGGTCCATCCACATACCTCTTCCCCAAATTTCTTTGTCACCAATTTTTCAATGGTGCTTCTTCCAAGTCCCTGGCAATCCAGTCAAACCATTGGCTAAAGCCCATGATTCAGTATGTAATCACACATCTGGCCATTCCTCCTTCCATGCAAAGTGCACAACCAGGTGCACTGCTCAAAATTCTGCCCACTGGGAAGACTTCCCTTCACCACTGTCTTTCAGGGATGTCCTAGAAAGGAACTGTAGCGCCACAGCTGGGTCCACTTTCAGGTGGTGCCTTCATATTATACAGAACCGTCTGTAAATGAGGCCATAGTCTTTTCTTCCTCTGTCAAATGATCATAGGGAACTCCCCATTAGGTCATCAGTGCAGGCTGGGGGAGAGAAGGCAGGGTGGCAGAAATGGAGACCATGGGCATTTGAGCCACTTCCTCATGTAACTTACTTGTGCCTTCAGAACCTGCTCAAGCCCGATCACATATATACCACATCCATTTGATGATGGAATGCTGTTGTGCATGACCCACTTTGTGGTTAGATGGGTCAGAAAGCACCCAGTTCATGATAGGCAGTTCAGGTCGCATAGTGACTTGATAAAACATAGTCAAACGTTCAGTTTTTACCAAAGCCCAGTAACAGGCCAAGAGTTGTCTCTCAAAAGGAGAGTAGTTATCTGCAGAAAATGGCAGGGCTTTGCTCCAAAATCCTAGAGGCTGCCAGGTGCAGTGGCTCATGCCTGTAATCCCAGCACTTTGGGAAGCCGAGGCAAACAGATCACCTGAGGTCAGGAGTTTGAGACCAGCCTGGCCAACATGGTGAAACCCCAAGTCTACTAAATATACAAAAATTAGCCAGACGTAGTGGTGGGTGCCTGTAATCCTAGCTACTCAGGAGGCTGAGGCAGGAGATTGCTTGAACCTGGGAGGTGGAGGTTGCAGTGAGGCAAGTTAATGCCATTGCACTCTAGCCTGGATGACAAGAGCAAGACTCCATCCAAAAAGAAGGAAAGAAAGAAAGAAAGCAAGAGAAAGAAAGAAAGAAAGAAAGAAAGAAAGAAAGAAAGAAAGAAAGAAAGAAAGAAAGAAAGAAAGAAAGAAAAGAAAAGAAGGAAGGCAGAAAGGCAGGAAGAAGGAAGTCAGGAAGGCAGGAAGGCAGGAAGAAGGAAGTCAGGAAGGCAGGAAGGCAGGAAGGAAGGAAGGAAGGAAGGAAGGAAGGAAAGAAAGAAAGAAAAAAACTCTAGAGGCCTCTGCTGTGATTCACCTGAGAAGGCTTGCCAAAGGCTGCAAATAGCATCTTTATTTTTCACCGACACCTCAAGATCCATTGGATCTCCTGGGTAATATGGCCCAAGTGGCAGAGCAGCTTGCACAGCAGCCTGGACCTGTTGCAGAGCCTTCTTCTTTTCTGGACCACACTCAGAACTGGCAGCTTTTTGGGTCACTCAATAAATGGGCCAGAGTAACACACCCAAATGAGGAATAGGTTGCCTCCAAAACCCAAATAGGCCCACTAGACATTGTGCCTCTTTCTTGGTTGTAGGATGGGCCAAATGCAGCAACTTACCTTTTACCTTAGAAGGAATATCTTGACAGGCCCTGGACCACTGGACCCCTGGAAATTTTACTGAGCTAGAAGGTCCCTAAATTTTAGTCAGACTTATTTTCCATCCTCTGGCATGCAAATGTCTCATGAATAAGTCTGGTGTGTTTGCTATTTCTTGCTCACTGGATTCGATCAGCATAATGTCATCAATGCAATGGACAACTGTGATATTTGCAAAAGCAAAAAGCGATAGAGGTCTCTTTGAATAAGATTATGACACAAAGCCAGAGAGTTAATATATCCATCAGGTAGGACAGTAAAGGTGTATTGCTGGCCTTGCCAGCTGAAAGCAAATTGCTTCTGGTGGGCCTTATGGACAGGAACAGAGAAAAGGGCATTTGCTAAGTCAATGTCTGCATACCAGGTACCAGGAGATGTGGTAATTTGCTCAAGCAATGAAACTACATCTAGTATGGCAGCTGCAATTGGAGTCATCACTTGGTTAAGCTTACGATAATCCACTGTCATTCTCCAAAATCCATCTGTCTTCTGCCAAATGAAAGAGTTGAATGGGGATGTGGTAGGAATCACCACCTTTGCGTCTTTTTAGTCCTTAATGGTGGCACTAATCTCTGAAATCCCTCCACGGATGCAATATTGGTTTTGATTTACTATTTTCCCAGGTAGAGGCAGCTCTAATGGCTTCCATTTGGCTTTTCCCACCCTAATAGCCCTCACCCTACTACTCAGGGAGCCAATGTAGGAGTTCTGCCATCTGCTAAGTATGTCTATGCCAATTTTGCATTCTGGAACTGGGGAAATGACCACAGAGTGAGTCTTGGGACCCACTTGATCAACTGTAAGTTGGACCTGAGCTAAATTTCTATTAAGTACATGACCTCCATAAGCCTCTACTTTAACTGGAGGACCACAGTGATGTTTTGGGTCCCCTGGAATCAATGTCACCTCAGAGCCAGTGTTTAATAGTCCCCAAAATGTCCAATCATTTCCCTTTCCCCAATGCACAGTTACCCCATAAAAGGCCAGAGATCTCCTTGGGGAAAGATGGGAGAAAGATTCACTGCATAAATTGTCATTAGTGTAGTGGGCTCGTTCCTCAAGGGAATCTGGCCTCTCCTTTATTCAAGGAGTTCTGGGTCTGTAAACTGGCTCAAGTCTGGAAATTGATTGAGGGGCCATGATTCTCTGTTTTTATATTTAAAATTAGTCTTTTTTCCATTTGACCTAGAAGTTTTCTGCTTGTATAAATTAAGCAGGAATGTAGTAGGTTTCCTATCAATTTTACTTCTAAGATCACTGTGATGAATCAGCCAATGCTGGAACTCTACAGAAGTCAGACTATTCTGATTGCCGTTTAGCCTCTGCTGTCCATTACAGTAGCTATGCCCACCTTGCCTTTGATGGTTGAGTGCCACCACTTGGCCCCTGCCATCATGGGATCCAATTATTCCCACTGTATTTAAATTTTGTAGTTGAGAGACCACGGTTCCCACTGTTAGATCTGACATGCAGAGAAAAGTAATTACAAGGTTCTTTAAAGATTCAGGTGCTGCTTTCACAAATCTATTTTGAAGTCAGTGGTCAAGGGTATATCTTCTGGACTTTCCATGCTGGAATTAGTAGGTCTAAAGTGACTAATCCACTCCAGTATCCCAATGTGCCTAAGCCTTTTGATTCCTCCCTCTACATTAAGCCAAGGGGCATCAGGCATTTCCAGCTCACTCACAGGGGGGCCATCTTTTAATCCATATTTCAGCTAACCAAGCAAATAAACTATTAGAAGCTTTTTTAACTCCCCAAGCTGCAACATTAAATGCAGTATTCCTACTTAGTGGGTCCAAATAAATAAATTCAGCCTGGTTCAACTCTATGTTCCTTCCACCATAATCCCACACCCTTAATATTCATCCCCAAGCCTGTTCTCCAGATATCTGTTTATATAAATTAGAAAACTCAAGCAGTTCTTTCTGAGTGTAGTGTACCTCCTCATGGGGCACACTCTCAAACTCACCTCTAGGGGGCCGCTGGGACTTTAGTCTACTTATATGCCTAGAAGCAAACAGGGGTGTTGAGGGTGGGTCCTGAGAAGAATCAACATTATTTTGCCTGGCAACTTTCTCAGGGGAGGCCATCACAGTTGCCTCAGGCAGTGCAGGGTTTATCTCAGACAAAGGTGGAAAGGCTGATGGCAGCATGCATCAGAAAGGGGATGTTGCCACTACTGGGGATGGGGAAGCTGTTTTTTCTGACAAAAAGCTCATCAGAGTTTACAAACTCAGAGCCCCTAGCTTCATCAGGGTCCTCCCATACGTCCCCATTCCAAGTGGCAGGGTCCCATTCTTTTCCAATCAGTGTCCTCACTTTAACAGTAGACACCTGGTGAGGCTGTGCATACATCTTTCATTGCAGGTCAGTCACTAACATAATAAGAGTTTGTGTGTGTTTTTCCACAATTTCATCTACAGGAGATGAGACTCTCACACAGGGCAATCTTAGCAGATTTGAGGCTCAGTAACTGCTTCTGAAGCCAAAAGATAGAATGCCTGAGTTCATCATTTTCTATCATCACTTTGTCCATTGAACTTAGGACAACCAGCTTCATTATGTTCCTTGGTTCTCCACATATGGTCAAACCTCCACCTCCCAGTTTCAAGCAATTCTCTGCCTCAGCCTCCTGAGTAGCTGGGATTACAGGCACTCATCGACACACCCGGCTAATTTTTGTATTTTCAGTAGAGAGGGGGTTTCACCATCTTGACCAGGCTGGTCTTGAACTCCTGAACTCGTGATCCACCTGCCTCAGCACCCCCAAAGTGCTGGGATTACAGGTGTGAGCCACCATGCTCAGCTGGTGAAAGGTATGTATAGAGTCACTAAACTCCTTGCCTCTCAAGAGTGATAAATCAGGAGTGTCAAATGCATTTATTTTACATAACTCTCTAAACAGTTCATCCCTAGGACTATCAGTGTTCTCCACACTATTAGAAGTAGAGTCCTTAGCATTTTTGGGTCTAATCATATTAAGCAGCCAACCCCCGAAACACCAGAATCAAAAAAAGAACTCCATCCTTAATATTCTGTTCCTCTAGAACCACTCCTGTTACCAAAATCTGTATTAGTCAGGGTTCTCCAGAGGGACAGAACTAATGGTGTGCGTATATATACATATATGTTAATTAAGTATTAACTCACACAATCACTAGATCTCACAACAGGCCATCTGTAGGCTGAGAATCAAGGAGAGCCACTCCAAGTTCCAAAACTGAAGAACTTGGAGTCTGATGTTCAAGGGCAGGAAGCATCCAGCACAGGAGAAAGATGTAGGCTGGGAGACTAGGCCAGTCTTTCTTTTCACATTTTTCTGCCTGCTTATATTCTGGCCACGTTGGCAGTTGATTAGATTGTGCCCATCCAGATTAAGGGTGAGTCTGCCTTTTCCAGCCAACTGACTCAGTTGTTAATCTCCTTTGGCAACACCCTCACAGACACATCCAGGATTAATACTTTGTATCCTTCAATCCAGTCACGTTGACACACAGTATTAACCACCACACCTAGTTAAGAGAGTCAACATCTCTCCATTTGGCTGAGTCCAGGTGAAACAGTCATCACCATTTTTCTAAGCTGAATCCAGAAATGAGTCAGCATTCTACCTGTGGGCAGATTCACATATCACAGTCACAATTCCAACTGTGAATTTTTTTTTTTTTTTTTTTTTTGAGATGGAGTCTCGCTGTGTCACCCAGGCTGAAGTGCAGTGGCACGATCTGGGCTCACTGCAACTCCTGCCTCAGCCTCCCGAGTAGCTAGGACTACAGGCACCCGCCACCATGCCCGGCTAATTTTTTTTTGTATTTTAACTAGAGACAGGGTTTCACCGTGTGTTAGCCAGGATGGTCTCAATCTCCTGACCTCATGATCCGCCCACCTCGGCCTCCCAAAGTGCTGGGATTACAGGTGTAAGCCACTGTGCCTGCCCCAAACTGTGAATTTTTTTGGTGTGTGAGATTTAGAACCTCACCAGTGGGCTCTGTTTATATGTGAAGGTGACAATACTAAGTGTTAGCTTTGTCTGCGTATTAAAGTCACAATCTCACTTGCATACTGGGCCCTGGGATAAAACTTTGGACTGCCAGAGGGCTTTATGTAATTTCCATAAGTGTCATAATCTTCTGTGACTCTCATAGGTAGGAGCTCAGGCAGGAGAGTCACAACATTTGGGTGCTGGGCTCAGAGTTATGCCACAATCCCTTTTTTGGGCATGTCTCCTGCAACAGAGAAGAGGCACATTATGTAGAAAATTGGTTCAGGGATTTGTCACAATGTCCCCTTTGGATGGTGCACAGGCAGGTGAGGAGAGTCACATCACCCAGATAATGGAACTAGCAATATATCACAATGCCCTCTGATGGAAGGACAAAGACAAGAAAGTCACATAACCTAGGTGAGAAAACCTGACATAGGTCACAATTCATGTTATGAGTAGGGATCATGGAAAAGAGGAGAGTCACATAACCTAGGGGATGCACCCAGATATATGTCATAATCACTGCAGTGGGCAGGGCCTAGGCATGAGAATCACATCACATAAATGCTGGGCCTGGCCATATGTCACAATCCCCACGGTATACAGGTCCCAGAATAAAGTAGAGTCACATCATCTACATGTTGGGACCAAAGATATGTATCAATGACACCTGTGGGCAGGGGCCAGGCAGAAGAGCCACAGCACCTGTGTGCTGGACCCTGTGATAAGTTACTATTTATCTGTTGGCATGGCCTGGTCAGAAGAGGCAAATCAAACCACCTGGGTGCTGGGCCCAGTGATATGTCTCAATGTCTTCCATAGGCAAAGCCCAGGTAACAGAGGAGACTCACATCAAATAGTTGATGGGCCCAGAGATATTTCACAATGCTCCCTGTGAGCAGGGTCCAGGCAGGAGACTCACATCACCTTTGTGCTGGGCCACTATTTTTTGTGTGAGCAGAACATAGGAAAAAGAGAAGCGTTGGCTGGGCACAGTGGCTCACGCCTGTAATCCCAGCACTCTGGGAGGCTGAGGAGGGTGGATCACCTGAGATCAGGAGTTCAAGACCAGCCTGACCAACAAGGTGAAGCCCCATCTCTACTAAAAATACAAAATACACCAAGTGTGGTGGCAGGCTTCTGTAGTCCCAGCTACTCAGGAGACTGAGACAGAAGAATTACTTGAGCCCAGGAGCGGAGTTTTCAGTGAAACAAGATCATGCTACTGCACTCCAGCCTAGGTGACTGAGTGAGACTCCATCTCAAAAAAAGAGAGAAAAGCATCACATCACCTGAGTGCTGAGCCCAGATATGTCCCAATCCCTCTGTGAGCAGAATCCATGCAGAAGAAGAGAGTCAACATACATGGATGATGGGCACAGAGATATTTCATAATGTCCCCTGTAGGAAAGGCACAGGAAGAAGTGTAACATCACTTGAGTGTTGGACAGTGCAATATGTCAAAATAGCCAATGTGGTCAGGGCACAGGCAGAAATCACATAACCTGGGTGCAGGGCCTGACAGTGCATCACAATGTCCTCTATGGGCAGAGCCAAGGCAGGAGAATAGGTCACATCAGCTAAGTGCTTGGCCAAGTGATACGTCATAATCCCTACTGGGGGCTGGACCGAGGCTGGGAAGTCAAAGCGCTCAGATTCTGGGCAGAAGCATACATCAGAATCACACCAGCAGGATGATCCTGAAATGAAATTAACAATCCCACACATGTCCCAGTTTCAGGTATGAGAGTCAACACCTTTTGTAGGTTTGGTTTAAGTACCTGCATCACAATTTCAACAATGGGCTGGATTTGTACACAAAAGACCCAATCCCTCCTGAAGACTGTGTCCCCTTAATGAAGCCACAGCCTCACAGCTGTGGGGAATCTTGGTCTGAGAGTAACCAACCCACCTATGGATCAGAGCCACATATAAGAGTTAATTCTTCAACTTCCCACTGCCTCTGAGTGGGAGATTCAGAGCCTCAACTGTGGTCTGTGTTCATGTGGAAGGATGACCATCTTTACTATTGGCTACCTGTGCATAAGAGTGTCACAATATTACCTGTGTGCTGGGCCCTGTGAGGACGGTCTCTCTATCAATCAAGGGCTTTTTATGTTATGCATGAGAGTCAGAATTTGCTCTGAGACCTCCATGCTGGTATGAACCCATGATTGTACTCATGGCCCTAAACCCATGTATGAGAGTCAACATCTCTTTAATTGACCTGCTCCGGAGAGGAGATTCCTCAATTGCCCATGAGATGGTTTTAGAAATGAGTCACCATCTCATTTGTGGTCAGGTGTTTACATATGACAGTCACAATTCCAACTGTAAGCTGCATCCATGTATGAAGTTCAAGAACTCTCCAGTACACTGTGTCCTTGTGTGAATGCAATAATCCTAATAATTGGTGGGGTGTGCACACAAGATAAACAGTCTCGTCTGTGTGCTGGGCCTGTGATGACACTCTCTGTATCACCTGAGGGCTTTATACAGTATGTGAGGGAGTGGAAATAATCTATGACCTTCCTACAAAAAGGAGACTCAGGATCTTACCCATTTCTCTAAGCTTAGCTACAAGAGACAGTATCTCTCCTGGTGACTGGTATGAGAGTTATTATTGCACCTGTCAGCCAGGCCAAGATGTATGTAACAATCCCATTTGTCAGTAGAGAGTGAGCAGGATGGTCACATCACATGAGTGCTGGGAAAGGGTAAAATCACAATCATTTTTGAGGCCAGGGACCAGGGATAAAAGAAACATCACCTTAGTGCTAGGCCAAGGGCTATGTTCCACTGTTTTCTGTGGGCAAGGTGCAGGCAAAACAAATTCATCACCTGTTGCTGGGCCCAGCGATGTGTCACAATTTTCCCTGTGGGCAAAGTGGAGGCTAAAAACAAGGGTCATATTTCTTGGGTCATGATGCAGAGATACATCACAAGGCCTCCTGTGGACAGGCCACAGGTAGAAATCGCCAATTTCCTAGGTGTTGGAGCCCACGATATGTCAAAATACACAATGTATGCAAGGCCCAAGCAGGAGAAAAGATTCACATAACTTAGATGCTGAGCCTAGCAATACATCCCAATTTCTTCTTGGACAGATCCCAAGAGATAGAAGAGTCTTATCACACAGGTTTTGGGTCTAGCTATGTGTCAAAATATTCCCTGAAGGGAGAGATCAGAAAGGAGTGTAACCTCACCTAGGTGAGAAGCCCAGAGATGTTTCTGATTCTGTGTAAGGCTCAGGAATAAGGTAAGAGTCAGGTAACCTAGAAACTAGGCTAGATTATATGTTGCAATTACCCAAGTTGGGGGGGGGCTCTCATGAGAAGGGAGTTACATTATGTAGCTGCTGAGCTAAACAATGCATCACAGTTCCCACTGTGTACTGGTCCCAGAAAGGAGAGTCCCATCATCTAGGTGATGGGCCCAGAAATCTGGCATATGCATCCTGCGGGCAAGTAACAGGCAGAAGTATCTCAGCATGTCTGTGGTAAGCCCAGTATTAAGTTACTCTCCCTTCTATGGGCATGATCCAGGCAGAAGAAGTCACATCACCTAGGTGCTGGGCCCAGAGACATATCACAATCTCTTTTGTGGGAAAAGACAAGGTAAAAGAAGAGACTCACATCAAATAGTTGATGGGTCTAGAGATATGTTACAATCTTTCTGTGGGCAGGGTCTAGGCAGGAGACTCAGTCACTGTGGTCCTGGGCATAGCACTGTGTAAAAATGCTTTATTTTGGAAGAGCCAAGGCAGAAGAATATCACCTGTCTGTTAGCCTAGTGACATGTCACAACATCCCCTGAAAACCAAACCTTGAAAGAAAAGTAGAATAATGTCAGCTAGGTGCTGGTCCCAATTATTTGTCAAAATCCTTCTTTTGAGCAGAAATTGGTAGAAGAGGATTATCAAAACACAAAGTTGACTGGTGCATAGATATGTTACAGAAAACCTTGTAGGCAGGACCAGGCCAGAGAGTTACATCACCCAGGTATCAGACTCAGCAACATGTCAAAATTGCCCATATGGGCAGGGCACAGGCAGGGGTTTTCACCTGTGTGCTGGGCTCTGTTGGAACACTTTCTGCACCGCCTGAGGGCTTTGTAGAGTGTGCATAAAAGTCACAGTCTGCTCTGAGACCTTTCTGAGCATAGTTGGCAAGGTCCAGATTACAGAGTCCCCACTCTCTAGTTGACAGGGTCTAGATCAGAGAGTCTTCACCTACCTATGTACTGCATTTATTAATGAGTCACCACCTTAATTGTGGCCAAATGTTAATATATGACAGTCACAATTCCAACTTTGAACTGTGTCCACCTGTGAGATTCAGGAGCTCACTAGCTGGCTTTTGCCATGTGTAAGGGTGACAGTCCTAACAGTTGGCAGTTTCTGCATTTTAGAAACAATCTCACCTGTGCGCTAAGCCCTCTGAAGACATTCTTTGTGCCACCCAAATGGTTTATGAAACACACCAAAGATTGGTAATTCTTTCTTTCTTCTCTTTTTTTTTTTTTTTTTTGAGAGGGAGCCTCATCTCACTCTGTCACCCAAGCTGGAGTGCAATGGCATGGTCTCAGCTCACTGCAACCTCTGCCTCCCGGGTTCAAGTGATTCTCCCACCTCAGCCTCTTGAGTAGCTGGGATTACAGGCACATGTCACCACACCCGGCTAATTTTTGTATTTTTAGTAGAGACAGAGTTTCACTATGTTGGCCAGGCTGCTCTCCAACTCCTGACCTCGTGATTCACCCACCTTGGCCTCCCAAAGTGCTGGGATTACAGGCATGAGCCACACTGCCCAGTCAGATTGATAACTCTTTATGACATTCATACAAAGAGGAGGCCCAGGATCTTACTTGTTTCCCTAGGCTACAATACAAGAGACACTATCTCCCTATTGGCTGATTCCAGGTACGGGAATCATCATAGCACCTATGAGTTGGGCCAGGATATTTGTCACAATCCCAACTATAAGTAGAAAATGAGCAGAAGAGTCACATCACCTGGGTGCTGTATGAGGAATGTCACATTTCCAGGAAGCAGGGCACAGGCAGAAGGGTCACATAACCTGGTGGCCGAGCCCAGTGATATTTTACAATGCTCCCTGTGGGAAAAGACCTGCCAGAAAAGACACATCACCTGGTTACTGGGCCCAGCGATATGTCACAATCTTCTCTATGTGCAGGATGCAGGCAGAAAAAGAGTCACATCACTTTGGTGATAGATGCAGACATATGTCACAAGGCCGCCTATGGGCAGGGCTTATTAAGTAGCCTCTGATCCAGTCCTGTAGGTGTTCGGTCCAGCTACATGTCACAATACCAAAAATATGCATGGCTCAGCAAAAGAAAAGATTTACATCACCTAAGTGCTGGATCCAGTGATATGTCACAATCCTCTTCTTTGGCATGGCCGAGGAAGAAGTAGAGAGTCACATCACCTAGGCGTTGGACCAAGCCATATGTCACAATACACAATAAATGCAGGGCTCATGAAAAGAGAGTCAGATCTCTTAGGTGTGGAACAGTGGTACATCACAATTTCTCGTTTGTCAGAGCCACATCACCTAGGTGCTTGGTCCAGTAATATGTCAAAATTCCCTTGAGAGGTGAGCCCAGGAAGGAAAGTCACATCATTTCGGTGAGAAGCCCACAGATGTGTCACTATTTTCCCTGTGAATAGGGCTCAGGAAGAAAAGGATAGTCACATCATTTAAATGATGGGCCCAGAGATGGATTACAATGGCTCCTGGGTACAAAAACAAGGCAGAAGAATTACATCACCTGTGTGCTGGGTCCAGTGATGAGTCACTTTCCCTTGTGTGGGCATGGCTTCAGCAGGAGACAAGAGTCACATCACTAAGGTTCTGGTTCCAGAGATATGTCATAATCTCTCCTATTGACAAAGCATGGGTAGGAGAGGAGAGTCAAATGAAGCAGTTGATGGGCCCAGAGATATGTCACAATGCCCCCCCCCCCACCCCCAATAGGCAGAGTACAAGCAGGTGCCTCCCAATTCTTTAGGTGTTATGGTCAGGGACATGTCACAATACTTAAAAAATGCAAGACCCAGGCAATAAAACAGAGTCACATCACCTAGGTGCTAGGTTCGGTGATATATCACAATCCCTAATTCAAGAGGGCTCAGGGAAATAAAAAGAGTCACATAACCAAAGTGATAAAGGTAAAGATATGTCATAATACTCCTGTGGGCAGAGTCCATTCAGGAGAGTCACATTACCTTGATGTTGGACCCAGCCATATATCACAATACACAGCATATCCAGGGCTCAAGCAGGGAAGAAAAATCACATCGTCTAGTTGCTGGGTTTGATGATATGTCACAATCACTTGTTTTTGCAGAACCCAGACAGAAAAGAAGAGTCACATCTCCTAGTTCATGGATGCAGAGATAAGCCAAAAGGTTCCTTGTGGGCAGGACCCAGGCAGGAGGCTCTCGTGCCCTAGGTGTTTGTCTCAGCCATACGTCACAGTACCTAATATATGCAGGGCCCAGGCAAACAAGGAGAATCATAACACCTTGGTACTAAGTTTAGTGATATGTTACAATCCCCACTTTTGGCAGGGCCAGGATGCACACACATGCGAACAAAGGCACATCACATAGGTGATTAAAAAAAGAAAAAAACATATGTCATAATACCCCTGTAGGCAGGGCCCATGCAGAAGAGTCTCATCAACTAGGTTTTAGACCCAGTTATTTGTCACAATACACAATTTATGCAAGACTCAGACACAAGAGGAAAGTCATGTAACCTAGGTGCTGGGTCCAGTGATACATTAGAATCTCTCCTTGGGTAGAGTCCAAGCAGTAGAAAAGAGTTACATTACCTGGGTACTTGCTCCAGGAATATGTCACAATACCTCCTGAGGAAAGAGTCCAGGAAGGGGAGTCACATCACCTAATTGAGGGGCCCAAAGATATATTTCCCAGTGCTCCTTGCAGGTAGAGCTGGGGATAATCAAAAGAGTCACATAACCCAGGGGCTGAGCCCAGCTATATGTCACAACTACCCTAGGTGCAAGTCTCTGGTATGAGAGAAGAGTCACATTACATAGGTACTGGGCCAAGTAATATGTCACAATCTCCACTGTAGGAAGGTCTCAGGAAAAGAGAAGAGTCACATTATCTGGGTGATGGGCACAGGAACGTATCACAATTACCCTAGACAGAAGCGTTACATCACCTGTGTGTGAGGTCCAGTGATAAGCCACTCTTCCTTTTGTGCACAGGGTCCAAACAAAAGATGAAAGTCACATCACCTAGGTGCTGGGCTTCCAGAATTGTCTCAATCCCTCCTATGGTCAAAGCCAATTTAAGAGACAAGAATTATATTAGCTGCTCTGCCTATGGAGCAGCTTTTTTTGTTTGTTTGTTTCTTTACTTCTCTAATAAACTTGCTTTCATTTTACTGCATGGGATCACCCTGACTTCTTGGGGTCTGGATTAAAAGCCCTTTTCAGTAACAGCTTTCTGGCAAATTATAAAGGGACTATACTGAGGAGAAAACTGAACCAAAGGAAATAAACTGCAGCACCAATTAGCCAACTTTGGGTAACTAGTGGGGTATATTCTACCAGGGTAAAAAATGGGATTGGGTTAGAGGCCCAATATAGAAGCAGTACAGTCTCTCCTAAGACATATTGGGTTAAAGACCTCTCTTAATAAAAAGCTTGAGGACCCAGTTATGAAGGTTCAAGTCCTTTCTAAGATTTAAGGGGTTGGCCAGGCACGGCGGCTCATGTCAGTAATCCCAGCACTCTGGGAGGCTGAGGCAGGTGGATTACCTGACGTCAGAAGTTCGAGACCAGCCTGACCAACATGGAGAAAACCCATCTCTACTAAAAATACAAAAACTAGCTGGGCGTGTTGACATATGCCTGCAATCCTAGCTACTCAGGAGGCTGAGGTGGGAGAATCACTTGAACACGGGAGGCAGAGGTAGCGGTAAGCCAAGATCGTACCATTGCACTCCAGCCTGGGCAACAAGAGGGAAACTCTGGCTCAAAAAAAAAAAAATTTAGGGGGTTAGAGGCCCCTCTCAGTAATGTCACTCTTGGTTAAAAAATCGACGAGGCAGGCCAGGCACGGTGGCTCATGCCTGTAATCCCAGCTACTCAGGAGGCTGAGGCAGGAGAATGTCTTGAACCTGGGAGGCAGAGGTTGCAGTGAGCCAAGATCGTGCCACTGCACTTTTTAGAT
This sequence comes from Homo sapiens, assembly GCF_000001405.40. Taxonomy (NCBI): domain Eukaryota; kingdom Metazoa; phylum Chordata; class Mammalia; order Primates; family Hominidae; genus Homo; species Homo sapiens. The sequence goes on from NC_000019.10 coordinate 22,247,761, forward strand.
TAATTTTCCCTGTGCTCTTTGCTGACAGTTGTGCGTGACACGATTAGGCATGTACAGGATCATAAGACATGGGGAGCTTCTATTCTCCTCAAAAGGGGAAACTTTAGGTATATCTCCTAATGCTATCCCTCCCCCCTCCCCCTACCCCACAACAGGCCCCAATGTGTGATGTTCCCCTTCCTGTGTCCAAGTGTTCTCATTGCTCAATTCCCACCTATGAGTGAGAACATGCGGTGCTTGGTTTTTTGTCCTTGTGATAGTTTGCTGAGAATGGTGGTTTCCAGCTTCATCCATGTCCCTACAAAGGAAACGAACTCATCATTTTTTTATGGCTGCATAGTATTCCATGGTGTATATGTGCCACATTTTCTTAATCCAGTCTATCATTGTTGGACATTTGGGTTGGTTCCAAGTCTTTACTATTGTGAGTAGTGCTGCAATAAACATATGTGTGCATGTGTCTTTATAGCAGCATGATTTATATTCCTTTGGGTATATACCCAGTAATGGGATGGCTGGGTCAAATGGTATTTCTAGTTCTAGATCCCCGAAGAATCACCACAGTCTTCTATAATGGTTGAACTAGTTTACAGTCCCACCAACAGTGTAAAAGTGTTCCTATTTCTCCACATTCTCTCCAGCACCTGTTGTTTCCTGACTTTTTAATGATCACATGTAACAAACCTGCACGTTGTGCACATGTACCCTAGAACTTAAAGTATTTTATATATATTAAAAGAAAGGGGGAAACTTGAGAGCTAATGAAATTGCTGGAAAAGATCCCTTCATGACTGAGAAGTCACCGCCTGAATTTCTCAGTGCCGCTGCAATGGGTGGGTCTTTCACTGGCGTCCCTGAGCTCCTCCCTTTCCCCAACCTGCCTCAGGCAATGCTTTTCTTTCCTTCTCTCCTCTTTCTTTCTTATCTTTTCTGTTATTTAGTGCAACTGTCCTTTGTGGTTTTTTGTTTGTTTGTTTGTTTGTTTTGAGATGGAGTTTCACTGTTGTTGTCAGGGCTGGAGTGCCATGGCGCATTCTTGGCTCACCACAAACTCTGCCTCCTGAGTTCAAGTGATTCTCCTGCCTCAGCCTCCTGAGTAGCTGGGATTACAGGAACTTGCCACCATGCCTGGCTAATTTTTGTATTTTTAGTAGAGACAGGGTTTCACCATGTTGGTCAGGCTGGTCTCGAACTCCTGACCTCAAGTGATCTGCCCACCTTGGCCTCCCAAAGTGCTGGGATTACAGGCGTGAGCCACCACACCCGGCCATGTGTGATAGTTATATATGAAAGAGTTCTGATTAATTGGCTTAAAAATAATAAATGCTTAAGTCTAATTTTTTTTCAGAAAAGGAACAAACGTAATGCCTTTTATCTCATGTGACATAAGTAATCTTTGGGAACTAAAAGCAGTTTTACATGCAAGGTGTGTAAGAAAAGTAGAATGTGCTTTTGGTAAATGATCATAAGATGGCATAAAAATGTTAATTTTTTTGGCCTAGTTTAGAGGGCTAAAGAGTTGTTTTAAGTTAGGATTGAGCTGAAGGTTTGAGCAAGTTTTGGAAGGTTTGTAAAAATTAAGCTTGTAAAAAAAATTCTGTGTGTGAACATATTGGCTAAAGTTAAAGAGATATTATTCAGTTTTTTTTGTTTTTTCTTTTTTGTTTTTGAGACAGAGTTTCGTTCCTGTTGCCCAAGCTGGAGTGCAGTGGCGCAATCTCAGCTCACCGCAACCTCTGCCTCCCAGGTTCAAGTAATTCTCCTGCCTCAGCCTCCCTAGTAGCTGGGATTACAGGCATGTGCCACCATGCCCAGCTAATTTTGTATTTTTAGTAGAGACGGGGTTTCTCCATGTTAGTCAGGCTGGTCTCAAACTCCTGACCTCAGGTGATCCATCAGCCTTGGCCTCCCAAAGTGTTGGGATTACAGGCGTGAGCCACCATGCCTGGCCTGTATTCAGTTTTTTTAAATAAATTAAACATTGGAATATAAGTACAACGGGTTTTTTTTTTTTTAAAGCACAGATCTGTTCCTTAACAAAAATTGCAGAGTTATTAAACGTTTATGAAAATCTTGCCTTATGGTCAAACTGATTAAGATTGGATAGACTTGTATATAAGATTTTATTAAAAACTTGTTTTGGCCAGGTGCAGTGGCTCACACCTGTAATCCCAGCACTTCAGGAGCCAAGGAGGGAGGATCACTTGAGGTCAGGAGTTTGGGACCAGCCTGACTAACATGGTGAAACCCGTCTCTACTAAAAATACAAAAATTATCCAAGTGTGGTGGCACATGCTTGTAACCCCAAATACTAGGGAGGCTGAGGCAGGAGAATTGCTTGAGCCCAGGAGGCGGAGGTTTCAGTGAGCCAAGATCATGCCACTGCACTCCACCCTGGGTGACAAGAGTGAAACTCCATCTCAAAAAAAAAAAAAGAAAAAACTGGGTTTGAAATCAATAGTACACTAATTCATACGTGAAATGTAGGCTTCTCTTTTAAACAAGATTTTTATATTATATTTTGAAAAATGAAAAATTTTTGTCTGCCTTTTGAATAAACTACAAGAAAAAAAAGACAGGAGACAAATAGTTTGGAAAGCTAAGTCTTTATCAAAAAGGAAAGGTTTTTGCCTTTTTAATAATCTTTAAGAAGGCAAGTTATTTTTATTATTATTTTTGAGATAAAGTCTCACTCTGTTGCCCAGGCTGGATTGCAGTGGCGTGATTACCTCACTCCAACCTCCACCTCCCGGGTTCAGGTGATTCTCATGCCTCAGCCTCCTGAGTACCCGAGATTATAGGAACACATTACCCTGCCCACCTGTTTTTTGTTTGTTTGTTTGTTTGTTTTTTGGTCATTGTTTGTTTGTTTTTGAGATGGAGATGGCTTCCAACTATGTCTACACAGTCCCTGTGCAGGGTTCCTGACCCATGGTAAGTAAGGAATGTCATTTCTTTTTTTTTTTTTTAAGACAGAGTTTCCTTCTATCACCCAGCCTGGGGTACAATGGTGTGATTTCAACTAACTGCAACCTCTGCTTCCCAGGTTCAAGTGATCCTCCTGCCTCAGCTGCCTGAGTAACTGAGACTACAGGTGCATGCCACGACACCCAGCTAATATTAGTATTTCATGTCAAGATGGGTTTTCACCATGTTGAGCAGGCTGGTCTCAAACTTCTGACCTCAGGTGATCCACTCACCTTGGTCTCCCATAGTGCTGGGATTACAAGTGTGAGCCACTATGCCTGGCCAGGAATGTCTCTTTCTGACAGAATCAGGAGCCTGAAGTTGTCTTGGGACCCCAAGAAGAGAGAAATTCACCCAACTCACAGGTATCTGATGGTACAAACCCATGGCTGGGCTTGGCTTTTAAAAAGTCTTTTCTGATATTCCTTTAATGGAACATAGTTATATCAAAGCCAATTTTAAAAACCTATGTGAAAAATAATTATTTTTGCTGCACTTTATACAAATAATCAGGCCAACTATAAGACTAAAGCTTTTTATGCAAGTAAATCAGTTTTACCATGATTTGTCTTTAGTAGAAATGGAAGACTGGAGAGAGAAAAAAATCATGTTTCAAGAACTATGGTACACCTGTTGTTACACACTAGTCTCATTTGTTGTTTTTGAGTATTTTCCCTGCTATTTAGACTAATTCTGCTTATTCCTTTGAACACACCAGTGATCTCTGACTGCAGCTCAAAAGAAACAAGAGAGATGGGTAATATAAAAATCCAGATCAGGCACCAGGCACGGTGGCTCATGCCTGTAATCCCAGCACTTTGGGAGGCCGAGGTGGGCAGATCACGATGTCAGGGGTTCGAGACCAGCCTGGCCCACATGGTGAAACCCTGTCTCTGCTAAAAATACAAAAATTAGCCGGGCGTGGTGGCACGTGCCTGTAATCCCAGCTACTGAGGAAGCTAAGGCAGGAGAATCACTTGAACCTGGGAGCCAGAGTTGCAGTGAGCCAAGATTGCACCACTGCACTCCAGCCTGGCCGACAGAGCAAGACTCCATCTCAAAAAAAAAAAAAAAAAATCCGGATCACTAATCTAATTCTGAACACATATTGGAATCAGGTAGCAAACCCATATCAGCTTCTTCCCAACATTTGCCCTTATTTAGTTTACTTGGGATAATTTTACTTATTTTACTTTACTTGGGATAATTTTACTTATTTTACTTTACTGTTGTGGATTATATTGTTGTTGTGCTCTTTGTGTAGAAATGCAAGATAAGCTTGCTCAATGTTTTCTTAAGTAGAACACTTAATTTTGCAGATATCAACATTTGTTAAGAACTCAAGACTTATAAATGATCCTTGTAATATTGATGCTTTCTCACCTGGCTGGGCATGGTGGTTCACGCCTGTAATCTTAACACTTTGGGAGGCCAAAGCAGGTGGATTGCCTGAGATCAAGAGTTCAAGACCAGCTTGGCCAACATGGTAAAACCCTGTCTCTACTAAAAATAGAAAAATCAGCTGGGCATGGTGGTGGGTACCTGTAATCCCAGCTTCTCATGAGGCTGAGGCAAGAGAATCGCTTGAACCCAGGAGGCGGAAGCTGCAGTGAGCTGAGATCGTGCCACTGCATTCCAGCCTGGGCAACAGAGTGAGACTCTGTCTGAAAAAAAAAAAGAAAAGAAAGTAGGAAAGAAAGAAAGAAAAGAAAAAAAAAAAAGAAGAGTCAAATCACCTAGGCGCTGGGCCCAGAGATACTCTATAACCCCTCACTGGGCACAGCCAAAGCAGGAGAAAAATTTACATAACCTAGATGCTGGGTACAGCAGTATGTCCCAATACCCCTTGAAAGAAGGGTGAGCCAGAGAGTAATATCACCCATGTGAGGGACCAAAAGGTATGTTACAATGCCTTCTGTAGGCAGAGGACAGGGTGGAGGATTACATCACCTTCATGTTGGACTCAGCAATATGTCACAATGGCCCATGTGGGCAAAACACAGGCACGAGAGTCACATAACCTAAGTGCGAGGAGCCACAATATGTCAAAGTTGTCTCTATGGGCAGAACCAAGACATTGACTAAGCGCTGGTGCAGAAAGATGTCACTACCCAGTCTGTGGGCTGAGCCCAGGCAGGAGCATAAAATTGCTCAAGTGCTAGGCTGAGGTATATGTCACAGTCACAGCTACATGAAGGTCCAGAGATGAGATTAACCATCCTGATCATGTCTTGGTTCTAGGTATGAGAGGCACCACCTCCTGTATGTTGGGTATAGGTGTATAACCCACAATCTCAACAGTTTGCTGAATCCATCCATAAGAGCCTCAATCCCTCCTACAGACTGTGTCCCTTTAGTGGAGTCAAAGCCTCACAGATATGCTGGATCTTGGTCTTAGTGTCACCAACCCACCTGTGAACCGAATCCATGTATGAACCAGTTTTCCATCTTCAACTTTCTTTGGATGTGAGATTCAGAACCTCAACAGTCAGCTGTGTTCATGTGGAAGAATGACAATATTTACTGCCAGCTGGGTACATATATGAGTGTCATAATCGCACCTCTATACCATGCTCTGTTAGGACACCCTTTGTATCACCTGAGGGATATGTATATATGATAATGGGTGTGTGTGTGTGTGTGTGTATATATATATATATATATATATGATAATGTGTATATATATATATGATAATGTATATATATATGATAATGTGTATATATATATGATAATGTGTGTATATATATGATAATTTGCATATATATATGATAATGTGTATATATATGTATATATACACATTAAAGTCACAGTATGCTCTGAGACTTTGTGCATCTACAGACTCATGATCCTACCTGTGGCCCCAAACCCAGGACTAAGAGTCAACATCTCTCCATTGAATGCATCCAGGTAGAAAGGATCTAACTTGCCAGAATTAGAAATGAGTCACCATGTCAACTGTAGCTGGATGTTCACATATGACGGTCACAATCCAAACTGTGGGCTGTGTCAATGTGTGAAATTCAGGACCTCTCCAATGGGGTCTGTCCATCTGTGAGGGCGACAGTCTTAACAGTTGGTGGTATGTGCATATAAGAAACACAGTCTCACCTGTTTAGTGTGCCCTGTAATGACACTTTCTGTACCACTCAAGGGCTTTATATAATATGTAAAAAATAGTAGTCTTTTATGACCTTAATACATAGAGAAGACCCATAATCTCTCTCATTTTCCTAAGTCTGGTTATGGGAGACAGTATCTCTTCTATTGGCTGGTTTGAGGTATAAGAGCATTTAATAAACCTGTGAGCTGGACAAAATATATGTCACAATTCTACCTGTGGGTAGGAAGTGAGCAGCAGATTCACATCACATAGGTTTTTGGCAAAGATATGTCACAATCTTTCCTGAGGTCAGAAACCAGGCAGAAGTCATATCACCTAGGTGTTCAGCCACAGATATATTACAATCCCCTCTTAAAGCAGAGTACAGGCAGCAGAGTCATTTCACCTGGGTGCTGAGCCCAGTGATATGTCAAAATGCTCTCTGTGGGCACAGCCTTGGCAGGAGAGACACATCATCTGGTGACTGGGTCCAGCAATACATTACAACATTTTCTGTGGGCAGGATGCAGGCAAAAGAAGAGAGTCACATCTCTTAGGTGATGGAGGAAGAGACATCTTACAAGGCCCCTCATGGGCAGGGCACAGGCAGGAGCCTCCCACCCTGAAGGAATGATGCCCAGCTATATGTAACAATACCCAAGATATGCTGGGCCCAGGGAAAACAGAAGAGTAGCATCACTTAAGTGCTGGGTTTAGTGATGTGTCAAAATCCCCCATTTTGTCAGGGCCCAAGCAGAAGAGAAGAGTCACATCACCTAGGTGATGAATGAACAGATATGTTATAATACCTCTGTAGGCAGGGCCCAAACAGATTTGCATCACAAAAGTGTTTGGTCCAGGCAGGAGAGGAAAGTCACGTCACCTAGGTGTTAAGCCCAGTGACATATCACAATCTGTTCTTGGGCAGAGACCAAGAAGTAGAGGAAAGTCACTTCCCCTGGGTTCTAGGGCCAGCAAAATGTCACAATGCCCTCTGTGGAAAGTGCTAAGGCAAAAGTGTAGTCTCACACCACCTAGATGCTGGGTTCAGTGATATGCCACAATTTCACCTGTAGGACCTAGGCAGAAGGGTCAAATCACTCAGTTGCTGGGAAGAGCTGTATGATACAATCACACATGCAAGATGGTGTAAGAATGAGATTAACGATCCCATACATGATCTGGTTCAAGGTACGAGAGTCAATACCTACTGTATGTTGTGTCTAATTACACGAGTCACCATCTCAAAGGTGAACTGGATCTGTGTATTAAATCCTCAATCCCTCCCATGAACTGTGTTCCCTCAGTGGAGTCAGAGGCTCACAGGTGTGCTGAATCTTGGTCTGAGAGTCACCAACCCATCTGTGGACAAGATCCATGTATGTGATTCAATTTTTCAACTTTCAACTGCCTTTGGGTGTGAGGTTCAGAACCTCAAAATTGGCTGGGTTCATGTGGGAAAATGACAATCTTTACTATTGTCAGGGTGCGCACAGGAGTGTCATAATCTCACCTGTGTGCTTGGCCCTTTAGGACACTCTCTGTACTACCCTAGGGCTTTACATGGTTTGCATGAGAGCCACAATCCAGCTTGAGATTTTCATGCTGGTATAAACCTATGATTGTATCTGTGTCTCTAAGCCCAGTTATGAGAGTCAACATCTCTCCAATTTTCTGGGTTCAGATAGGAGAGCCCTCACTTTCCTATGAGCTGCATTTAAAAATGTTTTGCTATCACTGGGTGCAGTGGCTCACACTTGTAATGCCAGCACTTTGGGAGGCTGAGGTGGGTGAATCACAAAGTCAGGAGATCGAGACCATCCTGGCTAACACGGTGAAACCCTGTCTCTACTAAAAATACAAAAAATTAGCCAGGCGTGGTGGCGGGTGCCTGTTGTCTCAGCTACTCAAGAGGCTGAGGCAGGAGAAGGGCATATACCTGGGAGGCAGAGCTTGCAGTGAGCCGAGATAGTGCCACTGCACTCCTGCACTCCTGCACTCCAGCCTGGGTGACAGAGCAAGACTCCATCTCAAAAAAAAAAAAAAAAATAGTTTTGCTATCCCAAATCTGGATGGACGGTCACATATGACAGTCACAATTCCAACTGTGGACTGCATCCATGTGTGGGATTCACAATTGCAGTCTGTCCACCTGTGAGGGTCACAATTTTAACAGGTGCTTGGTTGTCCATACATGCAAGTCAATCTCATCTGTGTGCTGGGCTCTGTGATGACACACTGTGTACAATCCAAAGGCTTTATACCATAGGTGAGAGTGTGGTAATCCCCTCTGACCTTCATAAAAATAGGAGACCCTGAATCTTACCAATTTTCCTAAGCCTAGCTATGAGAAGCAGCATATCAACTGTCGTCTGGTTTAAGATATGAGAGTCATCATCTCACCTGTGAGATGGGACATGTAACCTGTGAGTAGGTAGTGAGTAGGAGAGTCACATCACCTGAGTGCTTGGCCAGAGATTTGTACAATATTCCCCGCTAGAAGGGACCAGGCAGGAGAGGACTATCACCTGGGTGCTTGGCCAGAGATTTGTACAATATTCCCTGATAGAAGGTACCAGGCAGGAGAGGAACATCACCTGGGTGCTGAGCCCAGTGATATGTCACAATGCTCCCTTTGGGCAAGGTTCAGGCAAAAGAAACACATCATCTGGTCAGTAGGCCCAGCAATATGTTACAGTCTTCTCTATAGGCAGGGTGCAGGTAGAAGAGGACAGTCATATCTCACTGGTAATGGATGCAGAGATATGTCACAAGGCCTTCTGTGAGCAGGACGCATGCATGTGCCTCCTATCCCCTATGTGTTGAGTCCAGTGATATGATACAATACCCAAATATGCAGGGCCCAGGCAAAATAGGAGTGTCACCTCACCTAGGTTCTGGGTCCAGTGATTCATTACAATCCCCTTTTATTGGCAGGGCCCAGGCAGAAGAGAAGAGGCACATCACCTAGGGGATGAATGAAAAAATATATCTTAATACCCCTGTAAATAGAACCCACGCATAAGAGTCACATCAACTAGGTGGTGGACCCAGCCATATGTCACAATACACAATGTAGGCAGGGCCCAAACATAAAAGGAGAGTCACATCTTCTAGGTGCTAGGACTAGTGATACATCACAATCCCTCCTTGGGCAGAGTCTAAGCAGGCAAGGGGAGTCACATCACCTAAATGCTGAGTCCAGCAATGTGTCACAATAACTCCTGAGGGAAGAGTCCAAGCAGTATTGTTATATCACCTGGGTGCTGGGACAGGAATATGTTGCAATCTTCCTTGAAAGCAAAGACTAGGCAGGAGAATCACATCACCTAGTTTCTGGGACCAGCAATATTGTCACAGTGCTTCCCAGTGGACTAGGCCCAGGCTGGAGAAACACATGACCTGGTTGCCAGACCCAGTCACAATCTTCCCTGAGGGTAGAGAACAGGCAGGAAAAAGGCACAACCCCTACAAGATAGATGCTGAGAAATACAATAAGCCCCCTCTAGTCAGGGTCAAGGTAAAAGTCTCTTATCTCCTAGGTGTTGGACCCAGCAATATGTCCAATACCAAAAATACGCAAGGCCCAGGTAAAAGAGGTGAGTCACATCACTAAGATGCTGGGTCCAGTGATAAGTCACTATTATTCTTTCTGGCAGGGACCAGGCAGAAAATGTGATTCACATCACCTAGGTGACTAACGACATGATAGGTAATAATGTCCCTGGGGGCAGAGCCCATACAGGAGAATCAAATGACTCAGACATTGCACCCAGACACATGTCACAATAGCAATGTATGTACAGCCCAGGCAGGAGAGGAGAGTCACATAACCTAGGTGCTGGGCCCAGTGATAAATCACAGTTTCTTATTGGGCAGAGCACAAGTGGTAGAGAAGAGTCATATCACCTAGTTGCTTGGTCTGACAATATGTAACAATACCCCCTGAGGAGCAGGCTCAGGCAGGAGAGTCACATCACCTAGGTGATGAGCTCAGAGATATGTCACAATGCCCTCAGGTGCGTAGGGCTTAGGAAGAAAAGAAAAATTACATAAACTAGGTCCAGGGCTCACCCATATGTAATGATCACCCCAGTGGGGGAGCACCCAGGCATGACAAGAGAGTCACATCATGTAGGAGCTGGCTCAAGCAATATGTAGCAATCTCCATTGTGGACAGGACTGAAAAAAAGACTGGCCACATCAGCCATCAACCATGTGATGAAATCAGAAATATGTCAAAATTATTCCTGTGAGCAAAGACCAGGCAGAAGAATTACATCATGTGTGCTGGGCTTAGTAATAAGTCACTCTCTTCTCTGTGGGCATGGTCCAGGCAAAAGAAAAAAGTCACATTACCTAGGTGCTGGGCCCAGAGTTATGTCACAACCTCTTCTATGGAGAAAGCCCAGGTAAAAGAGAAGAGTCACATCAAATAGTTGATGGGCTCAGAGATATGTCACAGTGCCCCTTGTTAACAGGGTCCAGGCAGAAGACTTACATCTTCTTCGTGCTGGGTTCAGCAGTATTTCACAATGTTGTTTGAGAGCAGGACCAAGGAAAGAGAGTAACATAACCTTGGTGTTGGGCCCAGTGATATGTCACAATGTCCCCTGTGGGCAAAACCTAGAAAAAAGAGAGGAATCACATTATCTAGGTGCTGGACCTGGCAGTCTGTTTCAATACCCTCTGTAAGCAGGAACTAGGCAGGAAAGGAGAGTCACATCACCTATGTAATGGTCACAGCGATACGTCAGAATGCTCTCTGTAGGCAAGGCCTAGGCAGGAGATTTACATCACCTGGGTGTTACACTCAGGAATATGTCACAATGGCCCATGTAAGGCACAGGCAGGAGAGTCACATAACCTGGATGTTGGGTGCAGTGATATGTCACAGTGTTCCCTATGGGCAATGCCAAGTCAGGAGAATAGATTCCCATCACCTAGGTCCTGAGTTCAGCGATGTGTCACAATCCTATCTGTGACCTGAGCCCAGGCAGGAGAGTCAAATCACTCAAGTGCTGGACAAAGGCATATGTCACAATCACAGCTGCAGGGTGGTCCATAAATGAGATTATCAATTCTGCACATGTTCAGGAGTTACAATCTCAACTGGGGACTTTATCTCTGCATGAGAGCTTCTATTTGTCCTGCACGCTGGGTGTCCTTAGTGGAGTCAAAGTCTCTTAGGTTTCAGGTATCCTGAATCTTGGTCTGAGAGTCACCAACTCATCCTATTGCTGGGTCAATGTTGCAGCAGACCTGTACCCATACGGATTCACTGCCAGTAACAGGTAACAGGTAGGAGAGAACAGTAACATCTCCTAGGTGCTTGATCCAAACATGTCACAATAGCCTCTTTGGGGAGGGCTCAGATGAAAGAGTCCCATTATCTAGGTGAAGTGTTTAGAGATATGTCACAATGCTCCCTGTGGGCAGGACTCAGGAAGAAGAGAAGAGTCACATAACCTAGAAGCTGTGCCCAGCTGTATGTCACAACCAGCCCAGTGGGAAGAGCCAAGGCATCAGATGAGAGTCACATCACATAGGTGCTGGGTCAAGTGATATGTCACAATCTCCTTTTGTGGACAGGACCCAGGAAGAAAAAAAGTCTCACATCATCTAGGAGGAGAGCCCAAAAATATGTAACGATGATTCTCGTGGGCAAGAATCAAGGCAGTAGAGTGAAGTCACCTGTGTGCTGGACCCATGGGTAAATGATTCTTCCTTTTGTAGACATGGCCCAGGCACAATTACATCAACTAGGTGCTGTGCCCACAGAAATATTACATTCTCTCCTATGGGCAAAGAGCTGGCATAACAAGATAATCGCTTCAAATAGTTTTGAGCTTTCAGAGATATGTCACGATGATCTCTGTGGTCAGGGACCACGCAGAAGACTCACATCATGTTGGTGGTGGGCCCAACAATATGTCACAATGTTTTCTGAGAAGAAGGTCAAGGTAAAAGAGTAATGTCACTTTGGTATTGGGCCCAGCAATATGTCACTATCTCCCATGTGAGCAGAGACCAGGTAAGAGAAGAGAATCATATCACCTTAGTTATGAGCACAGACATATGTCACAAAGCCCCAAGTAGGTAGTGCCAAGGCAGGAGAATACTGTCACATTACCTAGGTGCTGGATCCTGTGATATGCCGCAATCCAATTTGTCAGCTAAGACCTCACAAAAAAGTCAAGTCACTCAGGTGCTGGGAGATGCAGGAAGATTCGGGGGTAAGATTAATAATTCCACACATGGCAGGGTGTCCACAGTTCTGGCCCCAGACCCCAGGTCCCGGCCAGATTCCCCAAAGTCAGAGGCTGGAATCTGGTGGTGGATGTAGGGTGTCAGCTGAGCCCAACCCCTGCCCAGCGGTGGCCAGCATCTAATAATTAGTAACTCCACACAGCGGCTCACACCTGTAATCCCAGCAATTTGGGAGGCTGAGGTAGACGGATCACCTGAGGTCAGGAGTTTGAGACCAGCCTGGCCAACATGGCAAAACCCTGTCTCTACTAAAAACACAAAAATTAGCCGGGCATTGTGGCACATGCCTGTAATCCCAGCTGCTCAGGAGGCTGAGAAAGAAGAAACGCTTGAACCTAGGAGGTGGAGGTTGCAGTGAGCCGAGATCATGCCACTGCACTCCAACGTGGGTGACAGAGCAACAGTCCATCTCAAAAAAAGAAAGAAAATAATGATAATAATAATTCCACACATGTCCCAGTTCTAGGTATGAGGGTCAACACCTCCTGAATGTTGAGTCTAAGTACATGAGTCACAATCTCAACAGTAGACTGCATCAAAGCCTCTATTCTTCCTGCAAACTTTGTCTTCTTAGTAAAGTCACAGCCTTACAGGTTTGCTGAGTCATGGTGTGAGAGTCAACAACCAGCCTGTAAACCAGATCCATGTGTGCAAGTCAATTTTCCATCTTTTGACCACCTTTGGGTGTAGGATTCGGAACCTCAACAGTGGGCTCTGTGAAGTCACCAGCTGAAGGGCTATTCATGCACGAAAAGTTGTTATTTTATCATCATTGTTTCTATTGCTTTTACCTTGCTAAGAATACATGTGTAGCTTATAATTGTGCTAGAAAACCATAAGGGTTTTGGTTAAATTACCCGTTGTTGTATGTTATGAAATAGACAAAAAATTGGCAAAAATAGATTAAAATTATACAAACTTGGTGTCAACTTTCTCTTGGGCAAGTTTAGGAAAGACAGACCTGGAAATACCCCAGTAAAAGGCTAATCAGAATCTCAGAAAAATTGCAACCATTAGTCCTTTATCTACCTATGACCTGGCAGCTCCCGCCCTGCTTCGAGTTCTCCCACTTTCCTGGACAATGTACACCTTCCATATATCGATTAATGTCTCCTGACTCCTAAAATGTATAAAATCAAGCTGTGACCCAACCACCTTAGGCCCGCGTTGTCACGACCTCGTGAGGCGGTGTCACGGGTGTGTCTTTAATCTTGGCAAAATAAACTTTCTAAATTGAGACCTGTCTCAGATACTTTGGGGTTCACTTTACTAATTTTAGGTAGAATTTAAAATTCTTAAAATAGAAACAAACATAAGGACTAAACTGAGAAAAACTTTAAAAAGTATACTCAAATTCACTGACACAATCATGGGTATATCTAAATAATGAGATTCCGTTTTAAGTAAGAAGAAAATACGTAATTACGAAGGAGGCTTTACCTTTGGGAAAACAAAAAGCCACTTTTGACCAATTATTCCCACAGATACACACCCGGGTCCCCAACCACCCGCCAGGAGGGCCCATCCTGGTGCCTGGAAGGCGGGGGTTCCTGCGATCTGGGGTTGGGATTTCGGCTCAGGCCGTGCGCGGTGGCCTTGGGTCGCGCCCGCCCTGCCTGGGCCCCCAGCCCAAGGGACCGAGCGGGTGCGGGCGGGGCGGGCGGGGCGGGCGGGGCGGGGGTGTCGGGGGCTCGGACTCGGAGCCGTCCCTGCCAGTGGCTTTCGTGGGCGGCCCCGCCTTGGAGCCCAGGCCAACGAGCCGCGCGGGACGGAAGAGCTGCGGGTGGGGAGGGACAAGCGGGCGGAGAAGGGGCGGCCCTGCTGGAGGCCCAGCGAGTCTGAGTGATTGACAAGTGAATGAGCTGGGAATGAAGACTCCTGGGGCCGGGAGGGAGAGAGGGGGTTGGAGGGTGGTGAATGCCTGGGCCTCTGGGGCTCCAGGCTGCCAGTGGCCCGACCAGGCTCTCGGTGTCCTCCTCCAACCTCAGTTTCCTCACCTGTCCCAGAGGACGAATATGACTGTTGTGATGATTAGGCCAGATAATCCTGGTAAGCATTTATTAGCCTGCCTGGTCTCTGGATATTTTTTTTTTCTTGGTAAAGACATTTTGCCGCCCAATATCTACTATTGGAGAGAGAGTTTGGGAGGCAGAAGGTAGGACTCACCCTTGGCTTCAGAGTCCCTTATGGGTGCCCCATCCCCTTAGGTTCAATTAAAGCACATAGTTGGAAACAAGTCCCCTACCCAGGACAGCTACAGAGTCCAGAACCAGAAGATCTTGTTTTCTGAACCAAGGACTTTGTCTTATCCCCAAATCCTAATTCCTCAGGGTGGTCAGCTTCAGACAGGAGTCTGAAATTGATTCTCGCTCTCCGGGGTGGATCCAAGGCTCTTGTGATGCGGTGTTGTTCTACCCCATCCCACCCCTGTGCCTCCCCCAATGCATTGGGAGTCCTTAACCGTAGTGACTTCAATTTGGAAACAATGCTCCCAAAGCAGGAGATGTGGCCCTCCCCAGGCAGCTGGCCTGATAAACATCTGTCCTGGGGCAAAAGACCCAGAGCAGGGAGGGACTCTCACTTCCCACTTTCACATGCTATAGTCATTTAATGGGCTGTGGTGACATCTCTGGGTCACCTAGCCTGCAGAATGGGATGTTGACTTTGTGCCACAATGAGGGAAACGGAGGCACAGGGCTAGTGAGTGAAAAAAATCAGAAAGACTCTGTGACTAGGAAACACTATTCAGGCCCACGGCCCCTACAGGACTCAGCATCCTTTGGGGTGCACCAGTGGGTGGTATGCGGCACCCTGGTTGCCATCTGTACCTTATGGGGGTGAGGGTGACGGTGAGTGTCCTGGCAGGACAAGGTGCTCTAGGACCCACGAGGTAGATAGACATTGCCCGCCTTTCCCTGGCTGTGGGCACAGCAAGAGTTCTGTTCTCTAATGTATGTGAGGACCAGTGCCTACATGCAATAGACACTTCTCATTTCAGACATTCCAAAGATTTTAGGGGCTGCATAGAAAGAAACTGAGACAGACTCTAACCACATCCTCACACTGACAGGAGCCTCCAGTCTAGGCTCAGCTCTGACTCTTCCTGGGGAGGTTTGCTCCACCCTCGTCCTTCCAACTAGAACCCACTCCCGGTAGGCCTGTGCACGCCCATCTTTTACAGCAGCAGCATGTCTTGGTAACTTGACATTTTCTGCAATAATCTTGCTGTTTGTTGTTTACTTCTTTAGTGTTTGTTCCTGGCAGCTGTGTCTAGTTCACCACTGTGTTCCCAGTGCCAAGCACAGTGCTCGGCCCGTGGGAGGTGCTCAATGAGCAGTTGTTTAATCAATGAACAATGGCTCTGTCTATGCCAGGGAAGCAGGAGTAGGTCAGAGCACACCTTAGCTCACCCATTTCCTGTCTGGGTGACCTTGGATAAGTCCTGAACTTTTTTCCTTTCAGTCACCTTGTCTGTGACATGGAGATTAATTAAACTTACCTGAGTTATTTCTGATGAGAATTTAATGCGCAAAAGTATCTAAAATGCTTCTAAACACAGGCTGGCACAGTGAGAGTGCGGCACACATGTGAGCTGTTTGCATTATCATGCCGCAGGTTGTTGGAATTCTTTTTCACTCATCATTTGGATCTTGAAACTCTGTTTACCTCATTGCATATAAGGAAAATACATTTTGAATTATGTTTAGTATTTCACACTGAAATTATTTAAAATGTCTATAGCTAGGTAAGATGTGGTTGCTCATGCCACCATCAAACCACAGCACTCCAGCCTAAGTGATAGAGTGAGATCCTGTCTCAAAAAATACATGTAAATAGTTGGCTGGGCGTGGTGGCTCACACCTGTAATCCCAGCACTTTGGGAGGCCGAGGTGGGCAGGATCACAAGGTCAGGAGATCGAGACCATCCTGGCTAACACAGTGAAACCCCGTCTCTACTAAAAATAAAAATAAAAAATAGCTGGGCATGGTGGCGGACACCTGTAGTCCCAGCTACTCCGGAGGCTGAGGTAGGAGAATGGTGTGAACCCGGGAGGCGGAGCTTGCAGTGAGTTGAAATAGCACCACTGCACTCCGGCCTGGGCAACTGAGCGAGACTCCATCTCAAAAAAAAAAATACATATAATTAATTGATATTTATATATGATTCCTGTGTGCTGCATAACTCTTGTAGCACAGAGTTGTTTATTTTTTAGATAATGTACATTACACAGAGTTGTTTATTTTTTAGATAATGTACATTATTTGCCTTTTTCAGTGATATTTTTGTATTTTATATTCAGTTGAAATAGCATTTCTATTAGTTGTACAAATAAATATATTATTTCCTATTTTCAGCTAATAACCATAGCTGCATAGTTTTAAAATATTTTATTAACTTATCTGGAAGAGTTGATAAGATAAACTTATTTTATATTTTGTGTATGAACATATAAATATATTTTATGTTTTTGTGTGTGAATATATAAAAATATTTTATATTTTGTATTTGAACATATAAATATCTGGACACTGTAATAAACTGATAATACATTTCAAATGCTTTTGTTAATCACTCTATTTTTAATCACTCTATTTTAGATTCATCCTTTTTATACATTCTATGAATGGATGGATGGAGAATACGTAGACAGATAGTATATAAATGTATGTGTAGATAAATGTAGATGCAAATACACATCTGTTGAGACAATGCTGCTTTCAAAATCACAGAGAATGGTCACATTTTAACCTTTTATGGAATTAAATAAAACAAAAGATTTTCTATTTTTAATTACATTTACATTTTAATAATACAATACATAAATAACATATTTTTAATAAAATTCTGGATTCCATTTAATATTATATTATTAGAACTTCTGTATCTATTCTGACACTTGAGATTAACTTTAACTTTCCTTTTGCTGAGTTTGCCCAGTTTTTATTTGAAGTAATACTACATCATGGGATCACCTTAGAGGCTTTCTATATTTATATGTTTTGCATCAGTTTCTAAAATCTGGAAATTATCTCATTTTGAATTTCTTATGGAAATAGAATCTTCCCCACTAAAAATATCCCATTAGTATACTGCACTTTATTATTATTATATTTTTTTTTTCCAAGACAGAGTCTAGCTCTGTTACCCAGGCTGGAGTGCAATGGTGCGATCTCGGCTCACTGCAACCTCCGCCTCCTGGGTTCAAGCAATTCTCCTGCCTCAGCCTCCGAAATAGCTGGGTTTACAAGCGCCTGCCACCACGCCCAGCTAATTTTTGTATTTTTAGTAGAGATGGGGCTTCACTGTGTTGGCCAGGCTGGTCTCGAGCTCCTGCCCTTGTAATCTGCCCTCCTCGGCCTCCCAAAGTGCTGGGATTACAGGCGTGAGCCACTGTGCCTGGCTACTGCACTAAATGTTTCTCTTTCTGGTTATATTATCTATATAATATTTAGTTATTTTTATTTATTTTAATTTGCTTTCAATTTTCGTATTTGCTTTTGAAATTACTTTTTTAACTGGCATAATATTCCCTTGGATTCTATTAATGAACGTCCGTGCTGTTTTATATTTTGATATTAAAAATAAAACCTCAGTGTGGATGTGATGGCTCATGCCTGTAATTCCAGCATTTTGGGAGGCTGAGGTGGGAGGATTACTTAAGTCCAGGAGTTTGAGACCAGACTGGGCTACATAATGTGGCTGCCTGTTGTCTAAGTCATCTGAACTCCCTTGGGGAGGGGCAGCAGCCATCACTGCAGCTGCTAGCTACCAATGACACTAAGCCCCTGGGGTGCAGGGGAGGGTGGCAGTCATCACTGTAGCTCCAGGCCATGCTATTCCCCTGTTGGAGCCAAGGAGGTTAGACCGCTTGGTCCCAAGAGGCATTCCCCACAGCACAGCACACCAGCTGTTGCAGACAATGGCCTGACTCTCTCTTTAGGCCAGACCTTCATCCATCCCTTCTCACTGAGTGGGGCCTCCCTGCAGAAACTCCAACAACTCCAGCTGGGAGCTCAGGGACAAAACCTTGATCTTCCTGGGCCTGACCCCCTAGGGGGAGAGGTTGCCATAGTCTCCATGGACCAGCAGACTTAGTCTTTCCTCTTGCTAGCTCTGCAAAATTCAGGCAGCCCAGATGAGTCAGTTTCCCTCCACCACAGCACACCCCCTCCACCAAGGGACAGCCAAAATGCTTCCTTAAATGGTTCCTGGTTCCCATGCCCTCAACTGTGTGAGACCCCCAATAGGGGTCTCCAGACACTTTATACAGAAGCATTCCTCCTGACATTAGGTCACTGTCCCTTGGAGTCAGAAATCCCAGAGGAAGGAGGAGGCACCCATCTTTGCTGTTCTCCAGCTTTCTCTGTGGGCATCTCCAGGTGCAGGAGTGACCCAGATAAATAGGCCTGAAGTGAACCCCCAGCAAACCACTGTAGCCTTACAGAAGAGGAACATGCCTATTGAAAGAAAAACAAATAAAAGGCTACAGCAACAATGTCAACAAAAAAAGTTCCTACAATGGCCGGGCATGGTGGCTCACAACTGTAATCCCAGCACTTTGGGAGGCTGAGGCAGGTGGATCATGAGGTCAGGAGTTTCAGACCAGCCTGGCCAAGATAGTGAAACCCCGTCTCTACTAAAAATACAAAAATTAGCCAGGTGCCATGCTGGGCACCTGTAATCCCAGCTACTCGGGAGGCTGAGGCAGTAGAATTGCTTGAAGCCAGGAGGTGGAGGTTGCAGTGAGCTGAGATCATGCCACTGCACACCAGCGGGGGTGACAGAGCAAGACTCCATCTTGAAAAAAAAAAAAGTCCCCACAAAAACTTCAGCTAAGAGTCAGCAGCCTCAAAGATCAAAACTGGACAAACTCATGAAGATAAGAAAGAATCAACACAACATTGCTGAACACACAAAAGACCAGAGTGCTTCCTCTCTAAATGATCACAACACCTCTCCAGCAAGGGCACAGATCTGAACAGAGAAAAGACTGATGAATTGACAGAAGTAGGCTTCAGAAAGTGGGTAATAACAAACTTCAAGGAGGTAAAGATGCATGTCCTCACTCAATGCAAAGAAGATAAGAACCATGATAAAAGATTACATGAGTTGCTAACTGGAATAACCAGTTTAGAGAGAAACATAAATGATCTGATGGAGCTGAAAACACAGCACAAGAACTTTGTAAAGTATACACAGGTATCAGTAGCCAAAGCTA
The DNA here is from genome assembly GCF_000001405.40 of Homo sapiens. NCBI lineage: Eukaryota > Metazoa > Chordata > Mammalia > Primates > Hominidae > Homo > Homo sapiens. The sequence continues at coordinate 22,267,319 of NC_000019.10, forward strand.
TCAAGCAGAAGAAAGAATATCAGAGCTTGAAGACTATCTTGCTGAAATAAGGCAGGCAGACAAGATGAGAGAAAAAAGAATAAAAAGGAATGAACAAAACCTTTGAGAACTATGGGACTATGTAAAAAGACCAAACCTATGACTGATTGGAGTTCCCAAAAGAGATGGGGAGAATGAAACCAAGCTGGAAAACACACTTCAGGAGATCATCCAGGAGAAATTCCCCAACCTAGAAAGACAGACCAACATTCAAATTTAGAAAATACAGAGAACCTCAGTATGATACTTCATGAGAAGATCAACCCCAAGACATATAATCATCAGATTCTCCAGGGTCGAAATGAAGGAAGAAATGCTAAGGCCAGCCAGAGAGAAAAGTCAGGTCATCTACAAAGGGAAGTCTATCAGACTAAAAGCAGATCTCTCAGCAGAAACTCTACAAGCAGAAGAGAGTGGGGGGCCAATATTTAACATTCTGGAATAAACTAATTTTCAACCCAGAATTTATATCCAGGCAAACTAAGCTTCATAAGCAAAGGAGTAATAAAATCCTTTTCAGACAAGTAAATGCTGAAAGAATTCATCACCACAAGGCCTGCCTTGCTAGAACTCCTGAAAGAAGCATTAAATATGGAAAAAAACAAACAAACAAACAAACACCCATAACAGCCACTGCAAAGACACACTGAAATACAAAGATCAATGACACTGTGAACAATCTGCATCAACTAGTGTGCAAAATAACCAGCTAGCATCATGATGATGGGATCAACTTCACACATAACAATATTAGCGTTAAACATAAATGGGTTAAATGGACCAATTAAAAGATATAGACTGGCCAATTGGATGAAGATTAAAGATTTATTGGTGTGCTGTATTCAAGAGACTCGTTTCACATGCAAAGACACACATATGCCCAAAATAAAAAAAAAAAAAAAAAAAGGAAAATTTACTAAGCAAATGGGAAGCAGAAAAAAGCAGGGGTGGCAATTCTAGTTTCCTACAAAACAGGCTTTAAACCAACAAAGATCAAAAAAAGCAAAGAAGGGCATTACATAAGGTAGCAAGACAAACTGCAGACAAAACCCCTCAGACACCGAGTTAAAGAAGGAAGGGCTTTATTCGGCCGGGAGCTTCAGCAAGACTCATGTCTCCAAAAACCGAGCTCCCCCAGTGAGCAATTCCTGTCTCTTTTAAGGGCTTACAACTCTAAGGGGGTCCATATGAGAGGGTCATGATCAATTGAGCAAGCAGGGGGTACGTGACTGGGGACTGCATGCACTGGTAATCAGAATGGAACAGAACAGGACAGGGATTTTCACAATGCTTTTCCATACAATGTCTGGAATCTATACATAACATAACCAATTAGGTTAGGGGTCAATCTTTAACCAGGCCCAGGGTGAGACACCAGGCTGTCTGCCTGTGGATTTCATTTCTGCCTTTAGTTTTTACTTCTTCTTTCTTTGGAGGCAGAAATTGGGCAAAAGACAATATGTGGGGTTGCTGCCAGAGCCCTTAGACATGGAGGCCAGCCTTTGGAAACCCCATCTAGTTGTTTTGAGAGATAGGCCACTGGCCTTGGCCAGGGCCCCACAGCCTGGGTTGAAACTCCAACTGCCATTATTTCTCTTTCTGACACATAGAGTGTAAAGGGTTTTGTCAAGTCAGGTATCCCCAGGGCTGGGGCCAACATCAGTTTTTCTTTTAACTCATGAAAAGCTCATTGCTGTTGGTTATAATAGAAGTAGTTTATCCAATCTACATTTTTATTAAGTGTCGTCCACCAAAATATTGTCTCAAATCCTGCAGCTATTTGATTTCAAGCTTTAAATTGATCTGGTATTCCCCATGGGACTCCAATTACATCTAAATAGATGTGAGAGTCGAAAGACCCATAAGGGGCTTCTCTCACTTTATGGTGTCTTATTTTTCCTCCCTCTTGTTGATGAAATGCCAGGGTGAAAGGGATAGCCAATTGGACTAAAGTACAAATTCCACTCCAGTTATTTGGCAGAGTGCCCAGTAAAGGTCCATCACAATACCACCACACATCCATGCCAGGATGAACAAAGGGCTGACTGATTGATAAGCTCTTGAAAATTCTTAAGCTCAGTACATCCCTTCAGGTTTCCAAGGAATGCTAAGTTTCCTCCCTATCATGAGAGATGCAAAGTGAACTTAGTGTTGGGAGATGGAAGCTGGATGGCCCTTGGGGGCAGATCCACAGGGTGCCAGACTTAGGGATATAGCAGAGAGAGCTTGGCATGACTTATTACTCCAGGCTATAGAATGCTGGAAAACAGCTACCATACAGCCCATGCCTGGGCAACTGGAGGACCACCTTAGTGGAAAGGGGACAATCAGGGCCTCTGGCCTGCCATGTGCTCAAGCATAACAATTGTCTTTGTTTAATGTGTGGATGGAATATTTGATCCATTCCAACCAGGCATTTGCATCTTGGTATCCTGTCTTAATTGCCAAAGTTTGTTTTAAGTCTTTAACTTCTATGATCCTCTAGTAAAATGAATGTATGATTTTAGGAAATTACAAAAACTGGTTGGGGCAGTCCATCCTTGCTCTTTAGTGGTCCACAGAAAGTTGGACCAGCTATGGCATAAAAGCTCTACATTGGGGGCCAAGAATCCTGGTTGACATTGGAGTCTTTATCAAAATTTCCCCAGATTAAATGGTCCTAATTTACTAATGCCCAGTCTGAGGAGAGTCAGGAGGGACAGAGGTACTTTTCTGAAGTAGAGAGCTGTCTTTGACTTGGCAATTCCCCACAGGGTATAACAACGCAAGCATTAAAGGCAATGGCTTGAGGCGAAATTGACTTGGTTATGTTAATAACCCTAGAAGGTCAGCAATAGAGCAAGGAAAAAAGAAAGAGTAATAGAATAGATGAAAGAGTTAAATTTTTCTCAGCTTTAGTTTGGTAGAGTTTTCCGCTGGGACTATGGCCCATGACTCTGGAGGGGGTGGTGCTTTCTTGACTCGGGTGTGATGAGTCCATCATTTTTTCACTGTACAAACAGCAGTCTTGGTGGTTAACAGCACAAAGTAGGGTCCTTCCTAGGCTGGCTCGAGTTTCCTTTCTTTTCACCCTTTGATAAGAACGTGATCTTCAGGCTGGTGCTGGTTTGCCGGAAATTCTTGGAGTGGTACATGTGCTAAAAGACTTTTAGTTTTGAGGGAAGGGAAAGTGGAAGATAAACCAAGTATATGATTCTTAAGAAACTGACCTTTTTTTTAAATTGACCTTTTTGTTTTAAAAGTCCGTCAGCAGAGGACTTTACAGTCCTTGGTGCCTTTTACTGAGAAATTTCCTTTAGCATCTATTTTCATTAGTTTTTAGACCAAAGAAGCCAAACACCATCTTATAGTTGACAATGCTTCCTGTATGATTTTTATACCAGATAAGCTAAATGTCACCTTTATATTAGTGTGTTATTAATGTTAAACTTAGTTTTATTAAAACTTTGTAGACATGTTTATTCAATTTTTAATGTCAGACCATAAGGTAAGATTTTTATAGACTCTTTTTAACCTTTTATAATCTTTCTTGAAGAGCAGGTTAGTGCTTTAAGAAAAATCTGTTGTGTTTTTACTTTAATGTCCAGTTCACAGAAAAACTGGATGATACCCCTTTAACTTTAGCTAATATGTTAACACACAGAATTTTCTTTATAATTAACATTTTAAAACTTGCTTAAACCTTCAAAACAAATTTTTTTTAACCTTTCAATGTAGGTAAAAATTTACATTCTTATGCCTCCTTATAATCATTTTACCAAAGGTATATTTTAGTTTCCTTATACACCTTGCACATAAACTGTTTCTTCAATAGTACTCAGGAGGCCTAATTACTTTTAAAATATACAACATTTCTTGCATAATTTCTTTTTTATAACTTTTTTTCTCTTTCACGACTTTTGCAGATAATTCTTCGACATGCCTCAACTTTCTGACTTATTACAAACATTTCTTTCTTTAAACAACCAGTTAATTTGTTTCAGGACAATAATTTACCATATAACATTCTTTTTACATAAATTCTGCCCCCCCTTTTTTTCCCTTTTTTTTTTTTTTAAGATGACAACCATTCTTTTCAAAAAGCAAACTTGCTTTATGTCTGTGGACCAGACTGTCTAAGGCCACAAGATTAAAAGTTACTATAATACATGTTACACTATTAACTTTTAGCAAACTTTACTTTTGTTGAAAACCTTGTAAATTTGAGATTCCAACTATCCTTTGCTATTAATAGGACCTTGTTTAGTCCAAATTAACTTAAAATTGGTATAGATGGCTTTTTTTTTTTTTTTCATTTACCCAGTAGGAAACATCTATCATCCTGTCCTGAAGGGAGTTCCTCCTAGGTCTGGTTGGACCTTTGTATGGTAATTAAGATTTAGATCCCCTGTTAGGAAACCTGCTGGGTTAAGTGAATTTTCAGCGGTTAATGTTAAGTCTTTTTTTTTTTTTTTTTTTAACTCAGGATACTTCTGAACTGGTGAGGTGTGCTCACAATGAGGTTTCCTCTAAATTATTTTTCTACTTTCTTCTGTGAGCAAAGCAGTTGCCACTACAGATTGAATGCATTTGGGCCATCTTTGGGTTACTGGGTTAAGGATTTTTGATAGGAAGGCTACAGGTTGTCAGGGGCCTCAGTGCTTTCGGACTACGCCCTTGTTTACACTTACAAGGTGGTATTGGAGTGTTGTAGGGTCATGGAGAAGACCTTCAATTATCAATTATATTTGACTTTCTGTCTCTCTCTCTCTTTGGCTTTCCTTTTGCCTTTGTCTCTTCCTCTCTCTCTGCCTCTCTCTTTCTCTCTCTCTCTTCTTGACTCCCTCTTTGTCTCTCTGTCTCTTCCTCTCTGTCTTTTCCTCTCTCTCTTTGCTTCTTTTTCTCTCTGTCTCTTTCCTCTCTCTCTCTCTGCTGGTCTTTCCTTGCCTCTGCAAGCTGCTTATGCTGCTGTTCTCTCAACCACTGTGGGGTGGGGGGGGGGTCTAAAACCAGCTGTAACCAAGTGTCTATATACAGGAACTGGTCTGGGTGTCCTGGCTTACAGGTTACCTTGTGCCATACCTTTGTAACACGGGACCTGTCCAGGCTTCCTTCTGATAGTCAACCCACCTCTAATGCCAGTCTATCTTACACAAAGTTTTAAGTTTTCCTGCTGTCATAGTACTCCATAGTCTCCCTTAGATCCTTTCTTGAAATTTTTCAACATAGTTCCTGGTGGGGTGGGCTTACTTTGTGCCTGACCCATGCTTTCTTGAGACAAGACACCATGCTCACACCACATGCATACCACAAAACAAAGAACGGGTTAAAAGGGCACACACATACTTTTACAGTTTACACCAAACCAGAATCAAAACCAAAATCAGAGTATCAAGAAATCCAAGCCAGGTCAAAACCAAAACCAAAGTATCGAGCAATCCAAATCAAGTCAAAAACAAAAACCAAAGTGCTGGTACAGGCACATTGTGGGTGATCAGGCCACACTTCCACTCAAATGGAGTAGGCAAGTTACAAAGACCAGTCTTACCAAGTTTCAGATGTCTGGACTCCAAGTGCCATTTCCTTCCCAGTGTTCAGCCACTGCATTGATCCTCCGTGGGGGCCTGCCTTGCACCACTCTGACAAGGCATTCCACCGAGGCAAATGCCTACCCAGGAGCACTCTCAGGATCCACGTCACTCAAGCTGGCCGGAGTTCCCCATAGGGATGCTCCACAGGGCAGGCCTAAGCCACCTAAGGGGCTGCCTCAACGGTCCATCCATTAATCACCTCGCTTCCCAGTCAGGGAACCAAGAAATGTAGCAGGACAAGCCACAGACAAAACCCCTCAGACACCAAGTTAAAGAAGGAAGGGCTTTATTCAGCTGGGAGCTTCAGCAAGACTCACGTCTCCAAAAACCAAGCTCCCCGAGTGAGCAGTTCCTGTCCTTTTAAGGGCTTACAACTGTAAGGGGTTCAGTGTGAGAGGGTCATGATCAACTGAGCAAGCAGGGGGTATGTGACTGGGGGCTGAATGCACCATTAATCAGAATGGAACAGAACAAGACAGGGATTTTCACAATGCTTTTCCATACAATGTCTGGAATCTATAGATAACATAACCAGTTAGGTCAGGCGTCATACTTTAACCAGGCCCAGGGCACGGCGCTGGGCTGTCTGCCTGTAGATTTCATTTCTGCCTTTTAGTTTTTACTTCTTCTTTCTTTGGAGGCAGAAATTGGGTATAAGACAATATTAGGGGTGGTCTCTTCCCTTAATAATTATAAAGGAATCAATTCAACAAGAAGAGCTACCTATCCTAAATATATAGGCATTCAATACAGGTGCACACAGATTCATGAAACAAGTTCTTGGAGACCTACAAAGAGACTTAGACTTCCATACAATAATACAGGGAGACATTACCACCCCACTATCAATATTAGATCAATGAGAAAGAAAATTAATAAGAATATTCAGGACTTAAACACAGCTCTGGATCAAGTGGACCTGATAGATATTTACAGAACTCTCCACCCCAAAACAACAGAATATACATTGTTCTCAGTGCCACATGGAACTTACTCTAAAATTGATTGTATAATTGGAAGTAAAACACTCTTCAGAAAATGTAAAAGGACTCAAATTATATGATACTGTCTCTCAGACCACAGTGCAATCAAATTAAAACTCAAGATTAAGAAACTCACTCAAAACTACACAACTACATGCGAATTGGACAACCTGCTTCTGAATGACTTCTGGGTAAATAATGAAATTAAGGCAGAAATCACGAAGTTCTTTAAAGTCAATGAGAACAAAAAAACAATGTACCAGAATCTCTGGGATGCAGCTACAGCAGTGTTAAGAGGGAAATTTATAGCACTAAATGCTTACATTAGAAAGCTAGAAAGATCTCAAATCAACACCCTAACATTACAACTAAAAGAACTAGAGAGGCAAAAGCAAATAAATTTAAAAGCTAGCAGAGGATAAGAAATGACTAAGATCAGAGCAAAACTGAGGAAGATAGGGAGATAGAGACACAAAAAACCTTCAAAAGATCAATGAATTCAGGAGCTGGATTTTTGTTTTGTTTTGTTTTGTTTTGCTTTGTTTTGTTTTGTTTTTTGAGACGGAGTCTCACACTTGTTGCCCGGGCTGCAGTGCAGTGGCAAGATCTTGGCTCACTGCAACCTTGGCCTCCTGGGTTCAAATGATTCTCCTGCCTCAGCCTCCTGAGTAGCTGGGATTACAGGTATGCACCACCAAGCTTGGCTAATTTTTATATTTTTAGGAGAGACGGGGTTTCACTCTGTTGGGCAGGCTGGTCTCGAACTCCTGACTTCAGTTGATCTGCCTCTCAAAATGCTGGGATTACAGGCATGAGCCACCATGGCTGGCCCAGGAGCTGGCTCTTTTGAAGAAATTAATAAAATACATAGACCACTAGCTAGACTAATAAAGAATAAAAGAGAGAAGAATCAAACCCAATAAAAAATGATAAATAGGATATCACCAGTGACCCCACAAAAGTATAAACTACTAACAGAGAATACTATAAACACCTCTATGCAAATAAACTAAAAAATCTAGAAGAAATGGATCAATTTCTGGACACATAAACCCTCCCAAGACTAAACCAGGAAGAAGTCAAATCCTTGAAAAGACCAACTAAGTTCTGAAATTTAGGCAGTAATAAATAGCCTACCAACCAAAAAAACACACACAAAAAGCCCAGAACCAGATGGACTAATGGTTGAATTCTACCAGAGGTAAAAAAAGGAGCTGGTGAAGCAGCATTGTTGTCTGGGGTAAATACCCAGGGTTCATCATCTAATGCTGAGAAGGTTAATGACACAGACACACACACTTGGAGTGTGTTTAAAGAGCAGAAAGTTTAATAGATGAAAGAAAGAAGAAAGAGAGGGAGAGAGAGAGCTTTCTCATGCAGAGAAAGTGGGGCACCCAAGGTTTCCAGGATGCAATTGACTTTTAAAAGAGGCTTGAAGAGGGGGTGATTGATTTACATAGGGTTCAAAAGATTGGTTTGACCGGGTGTACCATTTACATAACCTGCAAAAAAACTTGCCTTCCCACCCCAATCTTTTATTATGCAAATGTGGCCTCTACCTGGCTGGATCCATGACAACTGCACACGAGGGGACAAAGAAAAGGAAGGGGGAATTGCCATATTGGGTGGACCTGGCTTTCAGTACAGCTGCCCACGTTCATCTATGCAGGGTTCTAGCTTGCTTATCTATGCTTGTAGCTTGACTTTTCAGGCTGCTTTATGTTAGAAAAGAGATGGTTTTTGGCTGATTTCTATTAAAGAAAAATTTCACTGAGAACATTTTTACACTTGCTAAGTGACTAAAATAATTTCCTAATAACTGCTATATTACTGGTACCATTTCTTCTGGAACTATTCCAAAGAATTAAAAAGGAGAGACTCTCCTCCCTTCTCGTTTTATGAGGCCAGCATCACCCTGATGCCAAAACCTGGCAGAGACACAACAAAAAAAGAAAACTTCAGGCCAATATCTCTGAAGAACATTGATGTGAATATCCTCAATAAAATACTGGCAAACCAAATCCAGCAGCACATCAAAAAGCTTATCCACTACAAACTAGTCGGCCTCATCACTGGGATGCAAAACTCATTTAACATACACAAATCAATAAATGTAAGCTATCACATAAACAGAACCAATGACAAAAACCACATGATTATCTCAATAGATGCAGTAAAAGTCTTCAGTAAGGGCTGGGCATGATGGCTCACGTCTGTAATCCTAGCAATTTGGGAAGCCGAAATGGGTGGATCATGAGGTCAGGAGTTCGAGACCAGCCTGACCAATATGGTGAAACCCCATCTCTACTGAGAATACAAACATTAGCCAGGGGTGGTGGTGTGCACCTGTAATCCTGGTTACTTGGGAGGCTGAGGCAGGAGAATCACTTGAACCCAGGAGGTGGAGGTTGTGGTGAGCTGAGATTGTGCCACTGCACTTTAGCCTGGGTGACAGAGCAAGACTCCCTCTCAAAAAAATAAAATAATAATACTAATAATAAAGTCTTCAATAAAATTTAACATTCCTTGGCTGGGCGCGGTGGCTCACACCTGTAATCCCGTAATCCCAGCACTTTGGGAGGCTGGGGCAGGTGGATCACGAGGTCAGGAGTTTGAGACCAGTCTGATCAACATGGTGAAACCCCATCTCTACTAAAAATACAAAAATTAGCCAGGCATGGCGGTGGGGGCCTGTAATCCCAGCTACTCTGGAGGCTACTCTGAGGCTGATGCAAGAGAATCCCTTGAACCCAAAAAGCAGAGGTTGCAGTGGGTTGAGACCATGCCACTGCATTCCAGCCTGGGTAACAGAGTGAGACTCTGTCTCAAACAAACAAACAAAATTCAACATCCCTTCATGTTAACAACTCTCAATAAACTAAGTATTGAAAAATCATACCTCAAAATAATAAGAGCTATTTATGACAAACCCGCAGCCAATATCATACTGAATGGGCAAAACCTGGAAGAATTCTGGAAAATCAGCACTAGACAAAATGCCCTCTCTCACCACTCCTATTCAACGTAGTATTTTAAGTTCTGACCAGAAAAATCAGGTCAAAGAAAGAAATAAAGGGTATTCAAATAGGAAGAGAGGAAGTCACATTGTCTCTGCAGATGACATGATGCTATATCTAGAAAATCCCATTGTCTCAGCCCAAAAGCTCCTTAAGCTAATAAGCAACTTCAGCAAAGTCTCTAGATACAAAATCAATGTGGAAAAATCACAAGTACCAACAATAAACAAGCAGATTGTGAAATCATGCATGAACTCCCATTCACAATTGCTACAAAGAAAATAAAATACCTAGGAATACAGCTAACAAGGGATGTGAAGGACCTCTTCAAAAAGGACTACAAACTACTGCTCAAAGAAATAAGAGAGGACAAAAACAAATGGAAAAAATTTCATCCTCATGGATAGGAAGAAGCAATATTATGAAAATGGCTGTACTTCCCAAAGTAATTTATACATTCAGTGCTATTCCCATCAAACTACCACTGATGTTCTTCACAGAACTAGGAAAAACTACTTTAATATTCATGTGGAACCAAAAAAGAGCCTGTATAGCCAAGAAAATTCTAAGTGAAAAGAACAACGCTAGAGGCATCATGCTACTTGACTTCAAACTATACAACAAGGCTATAGTAACCAAAGCAGCATGGTACTGGTAAAAAGAAAAACAGACACATTGACCAGTGAAACAAAATAGAGACCTCAGAAATAAGACCACACGTCTACAACCATGTGGTATTTGACAAACCTGATAGAAACAAGCAATGGGGAAAATATTCCCTATTTAATAAATGATGCTGGAAAAAAATAAAGTCAGAAAAACTAACCTTCTCTCTTTCTGGTCATATTATCTATATCTTATTTAGTCATTTTTATTTATTTCAATTGCTTTCAATTTTAGTATTTGCTTTGGAAATTACTTTTTTAATATGTATAACATTTTCTTGGAGTCTATTTATGGACATCAATGCTATTTTTCATATTTTGATATACAAAATAAAACATCAATGTGGATGTGATGGCACCTGCCTGTAATTCCAGCATTTTGGGAGGCTAAGGTGGGAGGATTACTTTAGCTCAGGAGTTCGAGACCAGCCTGGTCTACATAGTGTGACCTCACCTCTAAAAATAACAGTAATAAATTAGCTGAGCATGGTAGCACATGAGTGGGGTCCCAGATACTCAGAAGGCTGAGATGAGAAAACTGCTTGAGCCCAGATGGTTGAGGCTGCAGTGAGCTGCAGTCATGCCACTGCATTCCTGCCTGGCTGAGAGAGAATCTTTCTTAAAAGAAAGAAAGAAAAAGAAGGCCAAGGTAGGTGGATTACTTGAGGTTAGGAGTTTGAGACCAGCCTGGCCAACATGACAAAACCCTGTTTCTGCTAAAAATACAAAAATTAGCTGGGCATGGTGGCATTTGCCTGTAACACCAGGTTCTCGGTAGGCTGAGGCATGAGAATCGCTTGAACTCGAAAGGCAGATGTTGCAGCGAGTGGAGATTGTGCCATAGGACTCCAGCCTGGGCAGCAGAGCAACACCTTGTCTCAGAAAAAAAGAAAAGAAAGAAAGAAAGAAAAAGAAAACCACAGAGAATAAACTATAATTTTTTTTTAATGTTTGTAAAGCTCTAATTGCATAGCAGATTTCTGGAAGTCAGTTTCCAGAATCCAAGGCTAATCCCTAAGCATTTTATACATTTCTTTCTGCATTGATTATAAAATTCAGGTTTCCCAACAGAAATGGAAAAAAATAAAGCATGAATAACAATGAGATAGCACACAATTATGATAATGGCAATCATGAAAAGAAAAATTTCAAAGACCGTCAATGAAAATTTGGATTAAATAGATCTAGAAATATGAAATGGTAGAGTAGCTTTGGAAAATAGTTTAGTGGCTTATTATAAAGTTGAGTATACACTTATTATGTTACCAAGACATCCCACTGCTAGGTCATTACTAAAGTAAACTGAAAACTAATGCTGAAATGAAACTTTTTATGGATGTCTATTGCTCACTTTATTTGTAATTGCAAAAAGCTAGATGTAAACTAGATGCTTTTCAACAGGTGAATGAATAAACAAACCAGTGCATACCTACAATAGAATCCTAGTTGTCAATAAAAAAAAAAACTATTGATCGACATCACAGTATAGATGAGTCACAAATGCATTTCTTTAATTGAAGAAAGTAAAATCCAGTTTACAGATTATATAATCCAAGTATATGGCATTGTAGAAAAATAAAATTATAAGGATTGATAATAATCAGTCCAGGCTTGATGGCTCAAGTGTATAATCTCAGCACTTTGGGAGGCTGAGGTGAGAGGACTGTTTGAGCCCAGGATTTTGAGAACAGACTGGGCAACATAGAAAGACCTTCCTACAAAAGAAGAAGAATAAAAAGAGAATAATCACTGATTGCCAAAGAATAGATGAGGGTAGACTTAACTACAAATAGGAGGCATCGGATAATTTTGGGGGCAATGAAACAGTTCTGTGTGGTACTGTGAAGATGGCTATGTGACTCTAGACAGTTTTCAAAACCTATGGAACTGTACATCACAAAGAATAAATTTTCCTCTCTGAAAATTAGAAAAAACAAGGATTGGGGGAAAATTCAGATAAAATGCAGGGAGTAAAAAGAAGAGTTCACCCTTACTAGAAATGTATCACCTAACCCTATTGAAGAAGGTTGGAATGAAAGGACTTGGTGTAAATCACTTTGAATAACACTATTTTGATTAAATACTGCAAGACTCAAGAACTGAACACAAACATTGTGTTCTGGTATGTATTGCTTGTCTATAAGCATATAGACTAGCAATTTTTAAAAGCACTCTATATGTTAGTATGTATATATATATATATATATATACATAAATAAATATAATTAGTGCCTGCATCTCTCTGAAGTTGAAAAAAAAGAGAATTCTAGAATGGAGTTGAGAATATTTTGATAAATGCATGTATCATAACATATCTATTGAGAGAGACAGAAAGAGAGAGATGTGTTCATACAGGAGTCAATATTAATATGTACCTTTCCAAACTCTGTTTGCTGAGAGGTTGCAGAAGCAGTGACACCCCAATATTAATGGGCACACCTAGCTCTCATATCATGGTTTCTAAGTACTATTCTTCAACAAAAAAAGCAAGACTACTTGTAATAATAGACAATTCTAGCACTGGAGTGGAAAATCCAAGTTAAGGTAGAGTATTGTTAAGCTAAAAAGTTTAAAGTGCTTTATGAACAACAGAAGCAGCCATGTCAGAGAAAGTCAACCTGAAAGACTTCCCAGGAGCCCAAGCTGGAAAAATGTGAAAAACACAATAAACATTATTAGCATTGGATTAACACCCAGAGAATTAAAAAAAAATCCATGAATCCATAAAGATAGAGAAAAATACAAATAAGAAAAAAAGAAGGCCAGTCGCCGTGGTTCATGCCTGTAATCTCAGCACTTTGGGAGGCTAAGGAGGGTGGATCACCTGAGGTTGGGAGTTCAAGACCAGCCTGACCAACTTGAATAAACCCCGTCTCTACCAAAAATGCAAAATTAGCCGGGCGTGGTGGTGTATGCCTGTAATCCCACCTACTTGGGAGTCTGAGGCAGGAGAATCATTTGAACCTGGGAGGTGGAGGTTGCAGTGAGCTGAGATCACGACATTAAACTCCAGCCTGGACAACAAGAATGAAATTCCATCTCAAAAAGAGAAAGAGAGAAAGAGAAAGAGAAAGAAAGAAAGAAAGAAAGAAAGAAAGAAAGAAAGAAAGAAAGAAAGAAAGCAGTAGAAAAAAGAAAAAAATTTTCTTTAGAAAATTCCAAGTATACTAATCAATGTAGAAGATAATGCAAAATAGAAAATCACCACTAAGACACCACAGTAATAATTACTGTAGACAAGATGTACTTAAAAATGCAAACATTGTGGATAAAATTTAAAGGAGAAACAGTGTTTCTGTTAGCCCCAAAGTATCTGCCTCAAATATTTATAAATAGCCCCAAAGTAATAGCCCCAAAGTATCTACCTCCAAATATTTATAAATACTATTTCCTCTCAATTTCTTTATAAGACTTATGACTAAGGAAAAATTATAACACAGTATTGTGAGATATATGTGTAGATGTAAAATATATGAATAGCACAAACAATAGAAGGAAGTAATTGTAACTCTTCAACAGCAAGGTTTTCATATTTTACATTTATTAAAATAGTACAGTATAAACTCTAGGTAGATTGTGATATGTTACAAATGCATATAGTTATCCCTGGAGAAACCACTAAGAAATGTAAGGAGGTGTCACTTAAATGCTATTAAAGGAATTTAATTATATACCAAAAAGTATTTGTACAAGAATGTTTATAGAGCTTTTAGTCATAATAGCTTAAAGCAGGGAACAGCCTAAATATCCATCGCTAGAAATATAGATGAACAAATTATATCTCATTCATACAAGAGAATACCACCCAGCCATAGAAAAAAATGAACTACTAAATCACACAACCTGGATATATCTCATAAACCTGCCAGATAAGACAAGCTTGAAATAAAATAATACGTATTGTATGATGTCAAGCAAAATGAACCAATGATTAAAAAGAAAAACACCTCTGGTAGAGAATAAAATCATCTGGAAAAAAGCATGAGGAAATTATCTGATAATTTTTTAAAAATCCATTATTCTGTGGAGTCACTCATGCTAAATGTGATATAAACTAAAAATGTAAGGAAATAGGTGATCCTAAAGCAGTTCGGGTTTTGTTTTCTTCTGTAAACAGCAGATTTTAACACAAGGAGTTCCTTTCTACTGTAATTCTTTTTAAAAATAATAACCTGAAGTCCTTGTTTTTACTTTACAAAACCCACAGTTCTGCTATTTCACAGTGGGATTTGAGACTAAATAAGTATACTTTTGATGGTAACTGATGCTATCAATGTCTAAAGTTTGGGTCTGTCTCTCAAAATTGGGAAGATGACCAAAAAGGAGAAATTATTAAATCAATTATAGCCTAAAGCTGCCTTCTTTTCTGTTTAATTTTTGTCAATAGGTTCTCTGTACATAGCAAACTGAAACCTAACTTGATATGTAAATAGACTGTAACCCACTCTTGTACCAACTACTGTGTTTTTGGCAATAAAAGGACATCAGCTGTTTAAACCATGTTCGAGTAAGGCAAATCTCGAGCTGTAATCAATCTGGCTGTTTCTGTATCTCACCCCCATTTTCTGTATGTCACTTTGCTTTTTCTGTCCATAAATCTTTTTCCACCATGTGGCTATGCTGCAGTCTCTCTGAGCCTACTCTGGCTCCACAGGCTGCCCAATTTGCAAATCATTCTTTGCCCATTTAAACTCTTTAAATTTAATTTTTCTACAGTATTTTCATTTTAAAAGTTTTCCATTTTATTCTATGATGAAAAATAAATAATCTGTTGTTGGCATTTGATTTTCTAAACTTATCCATCACCTACAAATATAAAGTATTCTTTGTCTTTTTAAAATCCTTCTGCAATTTCTTTCTTTCTTTTTCTTTCTTTTTTTCTGAGACAAGGTCTTACTCTATCACCCAGGCTGGAGTGCAGTGGTGTATCCAAACATGGCTCACTGCAGCTTGACCTTCCAGGCTGAAGTGATCCTTCTGCTTCTGCATCTGCCACCTGAGTAGCTGGGGTTACAGGCATGCACCACCATGTCTGGCTAATTTTTAAATTTTTATTCATGAAGACAGATTCTTACTATGTTGGCTGAACTTGAACTCGAGCTCACGTTATTCTCCCATGTCAGCCTCCCAAAATGCTAGGATTACAGGTGTGAGCCACTGTGCACTTCTGCAAATTCTTGACAGGATTATTCCCAATGATAAACAGTACTATATTGGCACAAATGTAAAAGGAATGTAGGCTGGCTGCAGTGGCTCACGCTAGTAATCCCAGAACCCTGGGAGGCCGAGGCAGGCAGATTACTTGAGGTCAGGAGTTTGAGATCAGCCTGGCCAACATGGTGAAACCTGTCTTTACTAAAAATACAAAAATGAGTCAGGTGTGATGGCAAGCACCTGAAATCCCAGCTACTTGAAAGGCTGTGGCAGGAGAATTAATTGAACATGGGAGGAGGATGTTACACTGAGCCAAAATTACACTACTGCACTCCGGCCTGGGTGACAGAGTGAGACCCCATCTCAAAAGAAGTTAAATAGATTAATAAAACTAAAATAAAAGGAATCTGGCCTCTATCGTAGAAGTGTCACTCTCCAGGATTTCAAGGGTCTAGGGCAGCTACTTTAGTAGTGTCATCTATGGAGGTGGATGGGCTTTGGAGTCTGACAGAGTTGATCCTGAGTCTCAGCCCAGCCACTTAGTAGCTGTGTGTCTTTGGACAAGATTCTTGATGTGAAAGAGTTCTATAAACCACATATGCAAAATAAAAAAAAAAAAAGCAGAATGACACTGATTTCAAAAATGGTAGCAATTTCTAGTTTTTTCTGTATCCATGCCCATTGCCAGGTGCTTTTAAAGCTGTTCCCATCAAGATCCAGGATGTTTTCCAAACCCTAGATTTTGCTGGCCTTATTCACTCAGGGCAGTAGAAACCTGTGAACATGACAATGTAACAGTTTGAGGCCTAGGCTCATGTGGGGAAAAGCAAGAGAGATCAGATTGTCACTGTGTCTGTGTAGAAAGAAATAGACATGGGAGACTCCATTTTGTTATGTACTAAGAAAAATTCTTCTGCCTTGAGAGTCTGTGACCTTACCCCCAACCCCGTGCTCTCTGAAACATGTGCTGTGTCAAACTCAGGGTTAAATGGATTAAGGGCGGTGCAAGATGTGCTTTGTTAAACAGATGCTTGGAGTCATCACCACTCCCTAATCTCAAGTACCCAGGGACACAAACACTGCGGAAGGCCGCAGGGACCTCTGCCTAGGAAAGCCAGGTATTGTCCAAGGTTTCTCCCCATGTGATAGTCTGAAATATGGCCTCGTGGGAAGGGAAAGACCTGACCATCCCCCAGCCCGACACCCGTAAAGGGTCTGTGCTGAGGAGGATTAGTACAAGAGGAAGGCACGCCTCTTGCAGTTGAGACAAGAGGAAGGCATCTGTCTCCTGCCCGTCCCTGGGCAATGGAATGTCTCGGTATAAAACCCGATTGTACATTCCATCTACTGAGATAGGGAAAAACCACCTTAGGGCTGGAGGTGGGACATGCGGGCAGCAATACTGCTTTGTAAAGCATTGAGATGTTTATGTGTATGCATATCTAAAAGCACAGCACTTAATCCTTTACCTTGTCTATGATGCAAAGACCTTTGTTCACGTGTTTGTCTGCTGACCCTCTCCCCACAATTGTCTTGTGACCCTGACACATCCCCCTCTCGGAGAAACACCCACGAATGATCAATAAATACTAAGGGAACTCAGAGGCTGGCGGGATCCTCCATATGCTGAACACTGGTTCCCCGGGTCCCCTTATTTCTTTCTCTATACTTTGTCTCTGTGTCTTTTTCTTTCCTAAGTCTCTCATTCCACCTTACGAGAAACACCCACAGGTGTGGAGGGGCAACCCACCCCTTCAGCTCAAAAGGTCTTGAATGCTTCTGTTTTTCTTTCAGAATGCTACCATTTCCATGAAAAATGGCCGATGTTAGCAAGCTGGAGGATAAGATACCATGGGGAGGAGAAGCAAGGTGCCCCTGTTGACAGCCCCAGAAGCAGAAGCTCATCCCCAGAAGCACAGCTGCCTATTCAACAAACAGCTGAAGATACATGTCTGGAGGAGCTCAGCTGAGACAAAAAGAACAGCCTCACTGAGCCCAGCCTAAATAGCTGACCATCTCAATTATGGGCAAATAAGTTTTGAATGATTTGTTATGCTGCAATAGCTAATTAATACATGCACCCAGTGCAGACAGGATGCCAGGATTCATTGACAAGTTGATTACTAGTTCTCTTCTAACAGTGGGCACCCTATAGGTACTGATTTTTCCCCCTGATTTGAAGTTGGATGCCAAGTAAGAGAATGCTGAGTAATGCAGAAATATATATGGATATGTATGCATGTAATTGGTGCCTATACTCACACAGTCCCCCATACCACAGGAGAAAACAGATAACCACGGCCTGACATTAGGGCCAAGGACAAATAGAAAAGTAAGTTTGCCTTTAATCTGTTTTCTTCATATCTAAACATTGGAGGTCAAGACTGTGCACAGGTTTGAAGACATAGAGATTTCTTCTCCTGTGGCCTTATCATCCTTTGTTCACCTTCTGATCTCTGGAAGAAAGGTGGAAAATGGGTGGCCAGCAGTGGTCTACCTGTGGTTGTTTTTTTCTTGCTGTCCTCTGATTTTTCTATGGCTACTATCTGTTCCTCCCTCAGAGCTGAAGAGAAATGTTGGTAGGGAAAGGCTCTTTTTTCAGCTTTGGCAGAAAAGTTTTTTCAGGCCCTTCGCTCCCGAGGTCAGAGCTGCACTTCAATGTGGCAGCTACTGGCCATGTGTGGCGACTGAGTGCCTGGAATGTGGCTGGTCTAAACTGTGATATGCTGGAAAGGTAAAATACAGAGTTAGTTTCAAAGATGAAGTTCCAAAAAATATCTACACTTCATTTATAATTTACATTTTGCTTACATATTAAAATGATAATATTTTGGATATACTGGTTTAATTAAATTGCTACAATAAATACCGCATTTTTTGTTTGTTTTTCTTTTTAAAGTTTGGCTACTAGAAAATTTAAAATTCACATGTAGCTCACATTTTATTTCAGAGGATTGCCTTCTTTTTAAAATCTCAGGCAATCTGATGGAAAAAACAGAAGTCAGGGAGGTCATAAAATCAGAAATTTTTAGATAATTTTTATTATATTCTTTTCATTTGTGTATAACCATATAATACATTATTTACGAAAGAATATGACCTTATACAAAAGGTTAAATGCAAATACCCTCTGGGGTTGGCCTGGCTTACTTAGCTCAGGGAAGAAGCCCTGCCTGAAAAGGCTGCAGCCTAGACTGTCACTCTTTACTTTTTTTTGGGGGGGGGGGCGGGGGACAGACTGTCTCTCTGTCAACCAGGCTGGAGTGCAGTGGTGCGATCTCGGCTCACTGCAACCTCTGCCTCCCGAGTTCAAGTGATTCTCGTGCCTCAGCCTCCGGAGTAGCTGGGATTACAGGCGCCCGCCACCACGCCTGGCTAATTTTTATTTTTAGTAGAGACGAGGTTTTGCCATGTTGTCCAGGCTGGTCTCCAACTCCTGACCTCTGGTGATCCACCCGCTTGGGCTTCCCTCCCAAAGTGCTGGGATTGCAGGCGCGAGCCACCGCGCGGCCTATCAGTCTTCATTCTGTCCAGCATCTGATCACATCTTTTGTCACTCAGGATCTGAGGAGGCGGGGATTTAAGAATTATCCAATCAGGGACTCTGGGCTAGGAACCGTCCAATCAGGCATGCAGCTGGAGCGGAAAAGGCGGCATCCGAGATGTGGCGGGGCCGTTGTTTCTGGTTGCAGCCGCAGTTCCCGGTCTCGCCTTCACTGCTGTGTGTCCTCAGCCTCTGTGGCCCTGTAACCTGCGGCATTGGAAGATCCACAGCTAACATGCCAGGTGCCCCTGGCAGCCTAGAAATGGTGAGAGTGCCGGGTCCGACATCCCGAGAAGGGGAAGGGGCTGATTGGAACCGGTGGGAAGTGGCTGTGGCGGGACTCCGGCCTCCCCGCAGTCAGCTCCACAATCTGCGCCTGGAGTTCTTTCCCATCTCGGCCTCAGTCTCCTTCAGCCATAAGATGGCGAATGCGCTGACTGCGGGACCCTGGGCGACCTGTCTCCTCCATGCGCTGTGACTGTGCCCTGGCCTGGAGCCCTCTCTGGGCCGCTCTGCACCCGCATGGCCGCGTCTCTCCGAGATTGTGCAGGGACCACGGGAGGGGCGTCAGGGGAGAATCCTGACTCCGGATGCGGGTTCATGAATGGGAAGAGCTTTGGTCCAGTGAGGTTTCCAGTCCCTCTTTTCTTCTGTTAAAAATTTATGGCGGTCACCACTAAAGTAATAAATAATTTAATCAAAGTGATTCAAAAATTGTAGAGCACCCAGCTATGGTTTGTAGTTTATGGTCTATGGAAGGGATTTGACGGAAAGATTTTTTTAAGGTGCACAATGAAGAAAACCAAATTCAGTAATTGGTTATGTACAGTTACGTAGTTTCTCAGTTTGTACAATCAAGATGGAAATTTCCCGTTTATATAATCAGAGGTTAATTGTAGTTTATAGTTGGTTAAGCCTGAGTTTTGTTTCCCCCAATGTATAATTTACAAAAAAAAAAATGCACTTGAATTAGATTTTTTTTTTTCTTTTTTTGAGACGGAGTTTTGCTCTTGTTGCCCAGGCTGGAGTGCAATAGCGCGATCTCCTCTCGGTGCAACCTCCGCCTCCCGGGTTCAAGCGATTCTCCTACCTCAGCTTCCTGAGTAGCTGGGATTACAGGCATGTGCCACCACGCCGGGCTAATTTTGTATTTTTAGTAGAGACGGGGGTTTCTCCATTTTGGTCAGGCTGGTCTCGAACTCCCGACCTCAGGTGATCCGTCCTCCTCGGCCTCCTAAAGTGCTGGGTTTACAGGTGTGAGCCGCTGCGCTCGGCCGAATTAGATTTTTTAAAAAGTAGATATCAGGGACTAGAGCCACCTCAGTCTAATTGCCTGCCACTTAATTATTCTTAATTATTTTCACACTCCTCGGAGGACTGATTTTTTTTTTTTTCCCTTGCATTTTTTACAGGTATCCCAAGGAGAGTATTATGTGTACTCCCAAACCCCCATTCCTGCAGCCTATCTCTGGCTTGCAGTAAAATATAAAATTTCCAGTTCATTGTTACCTTCCCAAATGTCAATTTTTTCCTCTCTGATTCACATTACTATTTGTCCTTTTTTTTTTTTTTTGAGATGGAGTCTCGCTCTGTTGCCCAACCTGGAGTGTGGTGTCCTGATCTTGGCTCACCACAACCTCCGCCTTCCGGGTTCAAGCAATTCTCCTGCCTCAACCTCCTGAGTAGCTGGGACTACAGGCATGTGCCACCATGCCTGGCTACTTTTTGTATTTTTAGTAGAGACAGAGTTTCACTATGTTGGCCAGGCTGGTCTCGAACTCCTGACCTTGTGATCTGCTCGCCTCAGCTTCCCAAAGTGCTGGGATTACAGGCGTGAGTCACCGTGCCCAGCCTACTATTTGTCCTTTAGTGTACATTTTTGATACCATGTTTTAATTATTTTTTAACAAAGCATTGGATGGCACTTTTCCTAATATTTGTTTTCTGTTTGTAAATATTTCCTATGAGAAGAAAGCAAAAAATTATCCCCTGACACTGCGTTGTAAAAAGTCTTTGTACTGTTTTTTTTTTTTTTTTTCCTCCTAGGCCCACAGATTTTATCAGAATGTTTCGGGGGTAAATGTTTTCCTTTGGAAACTTTATGGAGTGATGTGTTTTCAGCCATTCTTCAGATTTTTTTCCTGGTCCTGGGTTTCAGTACTGTCTGGGAATTAACTAAAATACCCCCCATGGCTATGTCTGCTAGAGTGTCTAGTGAATATCAGCTCCTGGTCATTTTCTCCCATGGGACAATCTGAGGTATGGAGTGTAGCCTTTCAGGGAAGCAGGCGGATGCCCTGGAATTGAGAGGAATCTCCTGGCATACTCTTCCTTTGAAAAGCTAACCCTTGAGACATTAAGATTGTCTTCACCCAACCCAGCTTCCAATTATTGAAGACCCAACCCAGCTTCCATTTCTTGCTGGTCAGCCAATCAGTTGCTGGTATTGCGGGAAAAAGCATTGAAATAATTTCTGCCCCCTGCATTCTCTAAGGGGGCAAAACAATAGGGAAAGAAATATAATGAAAAAATAGTGAAAGAAAAATAGTGCGAATCTTTGAAATCAAAAATAATATCCCAAAAGAAAAAAAAACAGTGATCCAGTGAGATGGTGTAAGAACTTGCAAAGTAAAATACATCTGGGGCACTCACTGGGGCTTAATTCAGAGTCTCCTGAGAAGGGGTTATTGGGCACTTAAGTGAGCAGAATGGAGTGGGAGAATCTCTCAAGTGATTGGATGGCCTGATTGAAACATGAGTCAGACACATCTGTACCTTGAAAAGATTTGGTCGCTTATTTTGACCTCAGTTTTTTAACTGTGAATTGCATTTTGTTAGTAGGGATTGAAAGAAAGATAAGAAAATATTTACCAAGGGCAAAAAAGAGATGGATTTCAGAATAAAATTAATATTTAATTATATATTCCATTTGTTAATTTTTTTTTTTTTTTTTGAGACCAAGTCTCACTCTGTCGCCCAGACTGGAGTGCAGTGGCGCAATCTCTGCTCACTGCAACCTCCATCTCCCAGGTTCAAGTGATTCTTCTGCCTCAGCCTCCTGACTAGCTGGGACTACAGGCGCCCGCCACCACACCCGGCTAATTTTTTGTATTTTTAATAGAGATGGGGTTTCACCGTGTTAGCCAGGATGGTCTCGATCTCCTGACCTTATGATCCACCCGCCTCAGCCTCCCAAAGTGCTGGTATTACAGGTGTGAGCCACTGCGCCCGGCAAAAATTTGTATTTACCCTTTTCTCAGAATGAGTTTAGGAATTTTCTCTGGTTTGTTTTTTATGGCTGGGTGTTTTTAAACAATTTCAAGGCTTAACTTTTAGAATGCTACCAGGGAAAAAAATAGGAAAAATCTCTCTTCCATTTTGGCTTCAGAAAATGCACACATTTCCACAAGAAAATATGGTAGGTAATTGGTGAGTTATGTAGATTCATGAAAACATCAGTTCCTCTTTTTGCAGGGTAAATTTGTAACCGTGAATATCTCTATTCTATATCCTGTTATATTGCTGTCTGAGTTTCATGCTAAATTTTATGAGCTGAAACTTTGTACCCTCTAGAAGTGTTCCCATATGACTGTTTACTACATGATTTTTAATGGAAATAGTAAAATAATATTTATTGTCTGAAAGGAATAGATACTTTTGCTTATCTTACTGAGACATAAAATGTAAGCACCTTAAAATTTTCTTCCCTTACATGTACACTGTGTTAGAGTAATTCTGCTGAATTTTTCAAACACTTACTTTCAAAAACCACATGAATAACTCTGACATGAAAATTAAAGCCTGAGCCTAGTGACTCTAAGCTAAGGCTAATACTGAGCCTGCAAAAGGAAGTTATTAAAGGACCACTTAGTTTTTTCTGGGGAGTCTTCTCTGCAGATATTCCAGCCTGCTCACCCCAGCCATGGAAGACGCCTTTATCCTGAGAGAAACTACATAGCCTTGGAAAGTTGGGGACCCACAGCCAGATGCAGTTAAGGTTAAGATGAAAGGGGATTGGGAGGGTCTTACTGAAGATGAAATTGTTATTGTTTTGTGGTAGTTTCTAGACTTTGTAAAGTAAAACAAAGTTAGATTTATGTTGGAAAAAGAATTGAATTCCAAAAGAGTATTGCAAGAGGACGAAGTACCAACTCTGAGATCTTCAAGGATTGCAAAGTTTAGGCAGACAAGGGCCTTGTTTCATATGGAAGAGCAAACAGTATTAGGAGGTGGGAGGGGATGGCAAATGGAGGGTGAAAGAATGAGATTTTAGATCAGAGAATGTTTTACCCTGAAGTCATCATGTTCTTAGGAACTACATAAAATGGGGTTGTATGTTGACTCAGACTGAGGGTAGCTTAAAGTTCAGAAAGCTGTTGAAAGGAAATAAACTTAAGTAATGTTTGATTAAGAAGTATTCTAGGTTGACCACTGAAAACAAATTCAGCTGATTTATTTATTTTTTTTAATGAGAAAAAAGAGACAGTGTGCAGAGTCTGTGTCTGGCTATGTGACAGGTAAGAAAAGAGCACCATCTAAGTCATAATGGGAAGGGTATTTCTTTCTGACTTTTCCTGGATTGTATCTTTTCTAATAAACTGATAAATGTAACTAGGTTGTTTTCCTGAGTTCTGTGAGTAGCTGTATAATATTATTGAACTTGAAGAAGGTTATGAGAGTCCCCAGTTTTTAAACGGTAGCTCAGAAACAGATGGGTCTATGGGGTTTGTGACTGGCATCTGCAGTAAGAACAATGTTGTGAGACTGAGCCCTGAATCAGGGTCTGTGCTGACTCTGGGTGGTGTCAGAATTCAAATGTTAGGCAATGAGTTGGTGTTGGAGAATTGCTTGGTGTTTACCAAGCTCTACAAATTTGGTTCCAGATAAAAGATATCACAGAGGCCTGGTCTGGAATGGATCTCTGGGTGTCTGGGAATGGGAGGCTCTGCTTTTCTCTACACAGGCCATCACACTGCCCATTATCCTGTGATTTCAGATCTCCTCCCGGGGTGAGAGAGGATAAAAACTTAGAGTAAAAAAGTTCTGATAACAGACCCCCTTTTTCCACTGCTGCCACCACAGGATTCCCACCTTCTTACAAACATATCCACTAGACATTGACTTGTCCACACCCCTCGTAGGAATAGGTACCACCCCCAGCAATTTCACTACGGCATTTTTGATCCTAGCGTTTCTTGCCAAAAACTCACAAAAGTGTCTACAAGTCTCCTGGCATATCCCAACCCCCAGACACTGAATCTGCAGCAGCAACCTGTTTTCTCCACCAACCTGGGGTTCTGGACAACCTGTTCATAATCTCATCTGCCTGCATGGACCCAGAAATTAATCAGAGTAGAGTCACACCTGGGCCACTATCTGTAGCACAAACCAGTCCTTCCACCTGCATTGCCCTCTCCCCAACCCATAAAGTTCTTTTATGTTTTGTTTTTGTTTTTGTTTTTGAGACAGTTTCATTCTTGTTGCCCAGGCTAGAGTGCAGTGGCACGATCTCGGCTCACTGCAACCTCAGCCTTCTGGTTTCAAGCAATTCTCCTGCCTCAGCCTCCTGAGAAGCTGGGACTACAGGTGGCTGCCACCACGCCCCGCTAATTTTTGTATTTTTAGTAGAGACAGAGTTTCACCGTGTTGGCCAGGATGGTCTCAAACTCCTGATCTCGTGATCCGCCCACCTCAGCCTCTCAAAGTGCTGGGATTACAGGCGTGAGCCACTGTGCCCAGCCAGCGAGTTTTTTGTTTTAACTTTTATTTTTGATTCAGGGGTACATGTGCAGGTTTGTTACATAGGTGAAATTGTGTCGGGGGGTTGGTGTGCAGATTATTTTGTCATTGAGGTATTAAGCACAGCACCACACAGGTATTATTTTTCTGATCCTCTTTGTCCTCCATCCTCCACCCTTAACTAGAACTCAGTGTCTGTTGTTCCCCTCTTTGTGTCCATGTGTTATTATTTAGCTCTTACTAATAAATGAGAACATGCATTTGGTTTTCTCTTTCTGCATTAGTTTTGTAAGGATAATGGTCTCCAGCTCCATCCATGTTGCTGCAAATGACATAATCTTGTTCACTTTTTATGGCAACACAGTATTCCATGATGTTTATGTACCATATTTTGTTTTCATTAAATCTTTTATTTTATTTATTTTTGGAGACTGGGTCTCACTCTGTCACCCAGGCTGGAGTATAGTGGCATGATCTCAGCTTACTGCAGCCTCAACCTCCTGGGCTCAAGCAATTCTTCTACCTCAGCCCCCAAGTAGCTGGGACTACAGGTGTGTGCCACCAAGCCCAGCTAATTTTTCTTGTATTTTTTGTTGAGATGGGGTTTTTCCATGTTGTTTAGGCCTGTCTTGAACTCCTGAGCTCAGGCAATTCACCTGCCTCGGCCTCCCAGAGTGCTGGAACTACAGGCATGAGCCACCACACCTTATCATACCATATTTTCTTTATTTAGTTTACCATTGATAGGCATTTAGGTTGATTCCATGTCTTTGCTATTGTGAATAGTGCCGCAATGAACATGTATGTGCAGGTGTCTTTATGACAGAATAATTTATATTTTATTGGGTATATACCCAATTATGAGGTTGTTGGGTCAAATGGTAATTCTCTTTTTAGTTCTGTGAGGAATTGCCACACTGCTTTTCACAATGGTTGAACTAATTTACACTCATGCCAGCAGCACATAGCCGTTTCTCTGAAACCTTGCCAGCATGTTATTTTTTGACTTTGTAATAACAGCCATTTTGACTGGTGTGAGATGGAATCTGGTTGTGGTTTTTTCTTTGCATTTCTCTAGTGATGAGTATTTTTTTCATATGCTTGTTAGCCACATATATATCTTATTTTGAAAAACATTTGTTCATGTTTTTTGTCTACCTTTTTTTTTATAATTGAGACGAAGTCTCACTCTGTCGCCCAGGCTAAAGTGCAGTGGCATAATCTCAGCAAACGGCAATCTTCACCTCCTGGGTTCAAGCGATTCTCCTGCCTCAGCCTCCTGAGTGGATGGAATTACAGGGACTTGCCACCATGCCCTGCTAATTTTTGTATTTTTAGTAGAGACAAGGTTTAACCTTGTTGGCCAGGCTGGTCTCAAACTCCTGACCTCAAGTGCTCTTTCCTCCTTGGCCTCCCAAGGTGCTGGGATTACAGGCGTGAGCCACCACTCCTAGCCTTTTGTCTATTTTTTTTTTTTTTTTTGAGACAGTTTCGCTCTTGTTTCCCAGGCTGGAGTGCAATGGTGTGATCTCGGCTCACTGCAACCTCCGCCTCCTGGGTTCAAGAGATTCTCCTGCCTCAGCCTCCTGAGTAGCTGGAATTATAGGTGTCCACCACCACACGTGGCTAATTTTTTGTATTTTTAGTAAAGACAGGGTTTCATCATGTTGGCCAGGCTGATCTCAAACTCCTGACCTCAGGTGATCCACCTGTCTTGGCCTCTGAGAGTGCTGGGATTACAGGCATAAGCCACGGAGCCCAGCCACCTTTTGTCTACCTTTTAAGGAGGTCGTTTGTTTGTTTCTTGTAAACTTAAGTTTTTTATGGATTCTGGATATTAGACCTTTGTCAAAAGCATAGTTTGGAAATATTTTATTTTATTCTATAGGTTTTGTGTTTACTCTGTTGATGGTTTCCATTGCTGTGAAGAAGATATTTAGTTTAATTAGGTCCCATTTGTCAATTGTTGCTGTTGCCATTACTTTTGGTATTTTCATCATAAAATCTTTGTTAGTTCCCATGTCTAGAATGGTATTTTCTAGGTTATCTTGAAGGGTTTTTTATAATTTTAAGTTTTACATTTAAGGCTTTAATTCATCTTGAGTTGATTTTTGTATATGATGTAAGGAAGGGGTCCAGTTTCAATTTTCTACACAGTGCTAGGTGTTTATCCCAGCACCATTTATTAAATAGGGAATTCTTCCCACATTCCTCTTGTTAGTTTTGTCAAAGATCAGTTGGTTATAGGCGTGTGGCATTATTTCTGGGCTCTCTATTCTGTTGCATTGGTCTGTGAGTCTGTTTCTTGTACCAGTATTATGCGGCTTTGGTTACAGTAGCCCTATTGTATAGTTTGAAGTCAGGTAATGTAACGCCTCCAGCTTTGTTCTTTTTGCTTAGGATTGCCTTGGCTACTCGGGCTCTTTTTTCCTTCCATATGAATTTTAACATAGTTTTCTATAGTTCTGTTAAGAATGTTTTTGGTAGTTTGATAAGAATAGCATTAAATCATTTCTTTTTTTGGGCATTATGGCCATTTTAATCATTTTGATCTTTTCTACCTATGAGCATAGAATAGTTTTCCATTTATTTGTGTTATCTCGGACTTTTTTTTTTTTTTTCTTTTTCTTTTTTTTTTTTTTTTTGAGTCCGAGTCTCACTCTGTCACCCAGGATGGAGTGCAATGGCACAGTCTTAGCTCACCACAACCTCTGCCTCCTGGGTTCAAGCTATTCTCCTGCCTCAGCCTCCTGAATAGCTGGGATTACAGGTGCCTACCACCATGCCCAGGTAATTTTTGTGTTTTTAGTAGAGATGGAGTTTTACTGTGTTGGCCAGGCTGGTTTCGATCTCCTGACCTCAAATGACCCACCCGGCTCGGCTTCCCAAAGTGCTGAGATTACAGGCATGAGCTACCGTGCCTGGCCGTCTGTGACTCTTTAAGCAGTGTTTTGTGATTCTTGACATAGAGATCTTTCACTTCTCTGGTTAGGTGTACTCCTAGATATTTGTGTGTGTGTGTGTGTGTGTGTGTGTGTGTGTGTCAGTTGTGAAGGGGATTGTGTTTTTGATTTGGCTTTTGGCTTGCATGTTGTTAATATACAGAGATTCTGCCAATTTTTATACATTTATTTTGTATTCTGAAATTTTGCTGAAGTGATTTGTCAGTTTAAAGAGCTTTTCTGCAGAGACTGTAGGGTTTTCTAGATACAGAATTATGTCATCTGCAAACAGGGATAGTTTGACTTCCTTTCTTCCTGTTTGAATGCCTTTCATTTTATCTCTTGTCTGATTGCTCTGGCCAGGACTTCCAATTCTCTTAAATAGGAGCGGTGAGAGAAGGTATGCCAGTTTTCTTTCTTTTTTTTTTTTTTTTTTGAGACAGAGTCGCTCTGTCGCCCAGGCTGGAGTGCAGTGGTGCAATCTTCTCCGCTCACTGCAAGCTCCGCCTCCCGTGTTCACGCCATTCTCCTGCCTCAGCCTCCCGAGTAGCTGGGACTACAGGCGACTACAGGCGCGCACCACTACGCCCGGCTGATTTTTTGTATTTTTACTGGAGACGGGGTTTCACCGTGTTAGCCAGGATGGTCTCGATCTCCTGACCTCGTGATCCGCCCGTCTCGGCCTCCCAAAGTGCTAGGATTACAGGCGTGAGCCACCGCGCCCAGTCGATATGCCAGTTTTCAAAGATAAACGCTTTCAGCTTGTATCCATTCAGTATGTTTACTTTGGGCTTGTCATAGATAACTCATTATTTTGAAGTGTGTACTTTGAATGCCTAGTTTGTTGAGGATTTTAAACATGAAGGCTGATAAATTTTATTGAAATCTTTTTCTGCATCTATTGAGATAATTTTTTTGGTTTTTATCTTTAATTCTCTTTATGTGATGAATAACATTTATTAATTGTTGCATGTTGAACCAACCTTGCATCTCAGGGATAAAGCCTACTTGATCATAGTGGAGTAGCTTCTTGATGTGCTGCTGGATTTGGTTTGCCAGCATTTTGTTGAGGATTTTTTCATCAATGTTTATCAGGAATATTGGCCTGAAGTTTTCTATTTTTTGTTTCATCTCTGCCAGGTTTTGGCATCAGAATGTTGCTGTTTCTATATAACGAGCTAAGGAGGAGTCCCTTCTTCTCAATTTTGGAATAGTTTTAGTAGAATGGTTCAGGCCCTTCGTTTTACGTCTGGTTGAATTCAGCTGTAAATTTGTCTAATCCTGGGCTTTATTTTGGATGGTAGGCTATTTATTACTTATTCAATTTTGGAATTTGTTATTGGTCTATTCAGGAATTTAGTTTCTTTTTTGTTCAGTCTTTGGAGAATGTATTTGTCTAGAAATTTATGTATTTCTATTAGGTTTTTTAGTTTGTGTGCAGACAGGTGTTCATAGTAGACTTCAATAGTTATTTGTATTTTTATGGGGTCAGTGATAATTTCTCTTTTGTCATTAACTGTTTATTTGAATCTTCTCTTTATTCTTCATTAATCTAGCTATTTACCTTATTTATTTATTTCAAAGATTTATCTCGGATTTCTTGTTCTTTTGTATAGTTTTTCATATCTAAATCTTCAGTTCTGATCTTATTTATTTATTTTTTTTGTCTGCTGATAGCTTAGGAGTTGCTTTGCTCTTGCTTCTCTCGTTCTTTTATTTATGATGTTAGGTTGTTAAATTGAGATGTTTTTGATGTGACCATTTAATGCTATTAATTTCCCTGTTAACACTGCCTTAGCTGTGTTGCAGAGATTCTGGTATGTTGTATCTTTGTTTCAAAAACTTTTAAATTTCCACCTTAATTTTATTATTTACCCAAAAGTCATTCAAGTGCAGGTTAATTTCCATGTGATTGTATGGTTTCAAGTGGTTTTCTATGTATTGAATTGTAATTTTGTCAAGCTGTGGTCTTTGTGATTGGTATGGTTTGAGGATTTTTGAATTTGCTGGGGATTGTTTTATTTCTGATTGTATAGTCAATTTGAGAGTATGTGCCATGTGGTGATGAGAAGAATGTATATTATGATGTTTTTAGATGGAGAGTTCTGTAGATGTCTACTAGGACTCTGGTCAAGTGCTGAATTTAGGTTTAAATATTTTTGTTTATTTTCTGCCTCAATAATCTGTCTAATAGTATCTGTGAGGTCTTTTAGCCTTCTACTATTGTGTCAGAATCTACATCTCTTCTTAGGTCTCTAAGAACTTGTTTTATTTATGTGTACCAATACATTTTTTATAACACCTTTTTCTCTTCTGTTTTTTTTTTTTCCCATAAGCATATTTTCAAGTGCACACAGTGTGCCCAAGGATACTCCTTAGATTTTGAGTGTCTGCTGAAATTCAGATGTCCAAGAATTTAAGAATATATCAAAAGACCTGGCTTTTGTAGGAGAAAATACAAATTAGAAATAAGAGGATTTATTCTCCTATAGGAAAATAAGAAAATATATTTTGCTTATCTTTTTTAAAGCATTTAGATTTTATGTAGATATTTTTCTCTACTTTTTTGAAATATATATAAATCATATTAAAACAAAATGAACCTCTTATTATTCTTTGTGACTCAGGATTCTTTTTATTTAGATTCATTGCTTTGTTTTTGCTTTGGTGTAGATATATATATATATATATATGGTCTTTAAAGGAGACAAAGATTTGTTTAGATTAAAGCTCATATTAAGAACACGTAAGGCTGGGCGCAGTGGCTCATGCCTATAATCCCAGCACTTTGGGAGGCCGAGGCGGGCGGATCACCTGAGGTCAGGAATTTGAGACCAGTCTGACCAACATGGAGAAACTCCGTCTCTACTAAAAATACAAAAAATTAGCTCGGCATGGTTGTGCATGCCTGTAATCTCAGCTACTCGGGAGGCTGAGGCCAGAGAATTGCTTGAACCCAGGAGGTGGAGGTTGCAGTGAGCCGAGATCACCCCATCGCACTCTGGCCTGGGTAACAAAAGCGAAACTCCATCTCAAAAAAAAAAAAAAAAAAAAAACACAAAACATTGAGCACAAAGATAGGATGAAATTTAGCAATACAGAATGATAAAAGCTGAAAGATACTGAGTACATTTCTTTGACAGAAAACCGATTATACAAGGTATTAGCATAGTTACGTGTAGTGTTTGTAGACAACCTGCATTCATATAAATTAAACAGCATTTTCTTCAGTAGTATGAATATAAGGCCAAAACATTTACTTTGACTGAATACTCATTAAATAGTCATTTTAATATTGCTGTTCATACTTTTGAAACATATAAAGTATATATACATATAAAAAATATAGTGTTTTAACTGAATTATGGCTACAGACAATTTAAAAAATTCTTACATGCCTTATATCTAATACATTAGTTATTTATACTTAGATATTTATTTCTAATATCCAAATAAAATTTACTACCAAATTGCTAAAGTAGATATTAGTCTGACATGTTTATTAACTTATCTAATAGGGATAACTATAGGTAAGCATAATTACAGTGTCTTCTTTTTTGAGACAGAGTTTCGCTCTTGTCACCCCGGCTGGAGTGCAATGGCATGGTCTCGGCTCACTACATCCTCCACCTCCTGGGCTCAGGTGATTCTCCTGCCTCAGCCTCCCTAGTAGCTGGGATTACAGACACCCACCACCATGCCTGGCTAATTTTTGTATTTTTAGTAGAGACGGGGTTTCACCGTGTTGTGCAGGCTGGTCTCAAACTCCTGAGCCCAGGAAGTTTGCCCACCTTGGCCTTCCAAAGTGCTGGGATTACAGGCATGAGCCACCATGCCCAGCCTATTTATAGCGTCTTTCATTTCACTATGTTGGAATGCTGCTATTACAGGAGAAATAAACACAGATGATGTGGCCACCGCAAAACCATAATAGCTCTTTAGTTAGCTATGTGGCAAGCTTAAATACATTCCACTATATGAACAAAGTCAGATTATACATCTTCATC
The DNA here is from genome assembly GCF_000001405.40 of Homo sapiens. Classification (NCBI taxonomy): domain Eukaryota; kingdom Metazoa; phylum Chordata; class Mammalia; order Primates; family Hominidae; genus Homo; species Homo sapiens. The sequence continues at coordinate 22,298,979 of NC_000019.10, forward strand.
AAAAGTGCTGGTGGAAATTGTGAGATGTATTTCAATATATAACCCCCCATTCAATGGCTAGGAGATGAGAGAGCAGCAGAGATGGAAGAGAAATCTTATAAAATTCTGCTGAGAATATATCCCTTTTCTTCATAATGCTCATGTTTCTCATGCTGAGAGTAGCTGTGCACTTTGGTTGTTTAGAGAGAAATTCCTTTTAAGAGAATATTTTCTGGCTGACTTGATCAATCTTATATCTAAATTGAGTTTTTGTTTGTTTGTTTGTTTTTGAGATAGAATCTCACTCTGTCACCCAGGCTGGAGTGCAGTGGCGCAATCTCGACTCACTACAACTTCCACTTCCCAGGTTCAAGTGATTTTCCTGCCTCAGCCTCCCGAGTAGCTGGGACTACAGGCTTGTGCCACCAAGCCTGGCTAATTTTTTATATTTTTAGTAGAGATGGAGTTTCACCGTGTTAGCCAGGATGGTCTCGATCTCCTGACCTCATGATCCACCTGCCTTGGCCTCTTAAAGTGCTGGGATTACAGGCGTGAGCCACCATGCCCGGCCTAAACTGAGTTTTTACTTAAAATGCATTTAACTTTTTTTTTTCTCTAAGCATAATCTTGCTCAGACTGAGAGCTGTTTTTCTGTCCAATGCTTTGGGTGTCTGCACTATTAAATATTCCCTGTTGTCTGTGAATGAGGTGGGCTGTCACAGTGAGAAATTTTGGAGCTATCTGTACTTGGACTTAATGTTGGAAATCCAGCAGTAGTTTTTCCATGTCACATTGTAAATAAAAACTGAGGCTGAATTACTGTTCCAATGTCCATTAATGTAAAGGTGCAGTTCTCCCCAGGAGGCCTGCAGGCTCTCCTCCTGCAGCTCAGGCTTCCCTCTCTGGGGTGACACTGGAGTGCTGCTGTGGCAGTTGTGGTTTATGTAAGATGTGAGCTTTCAGATGTGAGCCCTGTGCAGTGTGCTCTGCCTCAATGGCAGATGGTAGTGGTCAAGAGAGGACACTAGCTAACGGAGAGGGCAAGCAGGAGAGATGTAGCCAAGTGCTCAGGGAGTAGAGAGCCATTGCTTTAAAGTGTAAATAGCCAAAAAGATAGCACTCTATTCAACCATTTTTGTAGGAGATTGAGAGCCTACCTTCAGCAGGCACCTGGATTCAAGTTGCAAAATTACCTCCTTTCATGAAGATGTGAAAAGTTTATTTTGTCATTGAACATAACTGATTAGCCTGCATGGCTAGCCTTCCCAATTACCAGGTGAATTTAGGATGAACTGTGTATGACATGGTGCTATACATTTTTCTACTTGTGAACTAATTACGGTTACTGTCTTTCTATCTTTTCAGTCTCTTAAGCAGATTGACTGTGATGCATGTCACATTCAGGTTTAATTGTGTAATAAAACAGTTTTATGTCTGTTCTATTGTGGAGTTTCTCTGGGGCTGAAGAAAATTTATCTTTTAATTATGTTTCACAAAAACTGTCTAGAATTATCAGACATGATATATAAATATAAGGTGCCACCCAAGCTTTACTCTAGAGGAAACTTTCCCTCTCAGGCTATCAGTCAATTCACAATTGTGCTGCAAAGTGCATACTGTCCCCTAAATATGCAGGCAGAATTGCTTCTCTGCCAATTTGGTATCTTTAATCCTCCACAGTAACTTTTAGAGAAGCTAGATCAGAATTCTACAAACTTCACAGGGCAGCAATCAACCATTTTATGTTTTTCAGTGACTCTTGTATCTTCCGAACTGAAACTGATTCACAGACTATGGGGCCCAGAAACCCAATCAGAGTAACATATGTGCATTGAGTAGACATGTACACTTGGGAATCTGTACTTCCTTTTTCTTCATCTTGCTAAAATGCCCACAAATGTGCAGGGAAAACCTGCTGCTATCCCATCCATTCAGAACCTAAAACTGCAACTTCAAATTCTGAATCCAGGTCTTCAGATTTGAGAAAAAAGAAAAACTTTCTTTCTGAGAGATGCAAGTCCTTTTGGTTGTCCAACTTATAGAGACATTAAAATGAGAGCAGAATTATGTTTCTCTTTTTGTTTTTTGAACTATGTATTCATCTTTTGAAGCTGTTTGCTATTGCCACAAGTAGCTATATATTAATAATGCACACTGGACACTATAACTTGTACCGTAAAACTTAATGGTGTATATCCAATCAATAATCAATGTTATTCCTGTAAATAATAAAAATTTCTGACAAACAACTTTGTATCAACCCACTCTCTGTCCATCTTTTTTAGCCTTTACAAATCAACTTGTAATCACACTGCTAATCAAGTGTATGTTGCGGGCAACTTGAATATTTGCTCCCAGGTTACAGTCCTCAAGCTTGGCCCAAATAAACTGTCAACTTAAATCTATATTTTCTCAGCTTTTTCGTTTTAGGTAGACATATTTAGAATGTGCCAGAGTAGTGTCTATGATGAGATCTCTCCTTTGATTGTACTCTGTTTGCTGTAACACCCAAGGAGGCAGAGTCTGGTTGATCCCACCTGGAATCTGCACATAAGATCTGGCCTCTGCCTAAGATTTACAAGACAGGGCCAAACTTTGAATTGAGAGTATGCAGAAAACCAGCAGAAGACATTTTCTGTATTGTGAGATGTCAACGTAGAGATCTTAAATCTTTTCTTTGAGACTGTGGCTCTGTGAGATTTTCAGATCTTTTCCAGTGACCTGTTACAGGTATGTGAGAGACTCCAGGTATAAATAAAATCTGATGACAGAATCTGTAAGTATAAACAGGCATCTTAGGAGTGAGAGATCAAGGCCACAGAGTAACCAGAGCCATGACTACAACTATACCTACCTGTAAAATGTGATACTGGAGTAGAGTATTGTTATTTCTCTTACCCAAGAGCTAGCAAATCAGAAGAGGTGATCTAGATTCTGGAGCTTAACCAGGGCGGTTCCATTTTCTATTTATAACCAGCCTGAGTCTCTTCTGCCTGGCTCATCATTGGGTCATTAGCCCAGAGTCACTGGAAACCCTCTCACAATCACCTAGGCATCTTTGAGACATTTGAGGATGTCCAGAGCAGAACTGTGTCAAGCTGACAAAAGTGGTTAATTCTGCTTCTGTCTCAGTATAAGAGAAATGAGTCATCCTGTGTTTGTTCCTCCCCTCATACAAGAGATACCTTTAGTTGGTACCCAGACAAGAGTTTCTCCAGTTTCTTGGTACTTGGGTGAAAAACAAGAAGGAGGTCCTGAGACTCAAACAGGTAAACTAATAGCTTCCATTTCATGTGGCCATTAAAAAAATAGATGAGGGAGTCATGGTCCCTACCACCCAGGAACTTATAGTCTAGACTAGCAACTGGGTACATGGTTGAATTAAACGTCATCATATCATTGGTACAATAAACAGATGTGTGCAGAAACGCTTGGGCTTTATTTGGACTACTTTATATTCTTCTGACTTCTGATGTCATCACTTGAAGGGATGTTTATGTTTATTTCTATTTATTTTACCTTGGTAGAATACATATGTATATTTTAATAAAATTACCCTAGGAACCATAAAAGACTGGTTTAAATTGCTTATTAGTATATGTCATAAAATTGGGCACTGTCTAAAAAAATATTTAAATTACACAGATTCTGGGATTTAAGTGCATCTTAGGTAAGCTTAGGAAAAACAAAACTGGAAGCACTCCCAGTAGCATAGAGAACAGAATTCTACATAGGGTCCACTCCCTGGCCAAGTTCTGTTTAGATCCACTGTTTTTGGAGGCCTTATTTAGGTCAGGTCCCACCCTGGAGTCTTACCTCACAGAACTGGATAAAAGAGATTAGAGTTTTGGCTGGGGAATCCTGCTTCATTTCTAGAGCGGGAGTGCAGTGGCGCAATCTCAGCTCACTGCAACCTCCACCTCCTGAGTTCAAGTGATTCTCCTGCCTCAGCCTCCAGAATAGCGTGCCACCATGCCTGGCTAATTTTTGTACTATTATTAGAGATGGGGTTTCACCATGTTGGCCAGGCTGGTCTTGAGCTCCTGACCTCAGATGATCCACCCACCTCAGCCTCCCAAAGTGCTGGGATTACAGGAGTGAGCTACTGCGCCTGGCCTTTTAAGTATCTTTATGCAGCTGATGTGCACCAGTGATCACATTTAATCTGGCACCTGCCTTTCTTTCTTAGATTTTCTTTGCATATATCTATCTTTGGAAAATGAAGTCTCTCATCTTTGTTTACAGGCCAGAAAAACTGGGAAAAACACAGGTTCCCCCACTTGCTGAATGTTTGACAAAAGATTCTTTTTTGGGCCAAAAACAGGCATCACTGGTGAGCTTGTCAGAAATTCAGAAACTCAGACTTTATTCTAGATCTTCTAAAATAAATATGCATAACAAGATCTCCAGTTAATTGTACACATTAAAATTTGAGAGGTGTCTTCTAACTCAGCATGTCTTTTTGATCTGAAAAATATACAAGACTTATTCTGTATGATGTAAATATAGCACAAAAAATGTACATGTTTGTTATCATGCCATTAGTTTTATACTTTATTATCCAGAAAGGTATCTTATCTACACTGGTGTTGCGGATCTTATGCCATTCTTTTTTCTCAGAATTTGAGACTACATTAGATAATATTTCTGTGTTGAAAATTATTTTATTGGATATGTTCGGTCATCCCTATAAGTTAGAATCTGTTCTCTTTATTCTCTCATTTCACCTTGAGTCAAATTAAAAATTTCTGCCCATGGCCACTTGGGAAATGTATATGTGTCTTTCGTTGTGTTTTTCAGGGACCATTGACATTTAGAGATGTGACCATAGAATTCTCTCTGGAGGAGTGGCAATGCCTGGACACGGTTCAGCAGAATTTATATAGGGATGTGATGTTAGAGAACTACAGAAACCTGGTCTTCCTGGGTGAGGATAATTTTAATTAAGCAATTCCTATTATATTCTATAGGTTTAATTTCTCTTTTCTGTAGAATGTGTTTTGGTGATTTATGCTTACTATAAATGAGTTTCACATCCCTGTTTTCTGGAAACAGGGATTTATAAGTGTAGAAAGGAATTTTTTTTTTTTTTTTTTTTGAGAAGGAGTTTCACTCTTGTTGCCTAGGCTGGAGTGCAGTGGTGCAATCTCAGCTCACTGCAACCTCCACCTCCCAGGTTCATGCAATTCTCCTGCCTCAGCCTCCCAAGTAGCTGGGACTATAGGCATGCGACACCACACCCGGCTAATTTTTTTGTATTTGTAGTAGAGATGGGGTTTCACCATGTTGGCCAGGATGGTCTTGATCTGTTGGCCTTGTGATCCACCCGCCTTGGCCTCCCAAAGTGCTGGGATTACAGGCGTGAGCCACCGTGCCAGGCCAAAAGGAATTTTTTAAAGATGTTTCATTTTTACCTGAACTTTTCACATTTCTGAGCAGATCTGTATTTTTCACTCTAGATTAGTGGAAATTGCTGAAATTGAGTGGCATAAAATACAGTTGCCACACCTTAAAATCTCATTGCCACCAACAATTTTTGATTCAGTAGTACCAGGTAGTAAAATTAAGGGCCTGTACAAATTGAAAATACTTTCTAAATATTTAGAAATGTATGTTATAAATTAGTATTGGGGGATCAATTTACTAGAATATTCTATTACATTCTCTTTAATGAGCATATTATTTGGGTAATATGACCAATATTTATGTTATTTATTTTTAATAAAACAGGTATGGCTGTCTTTAAGCCAGACTTGATAACTTGTCTGAAGCAAGGGAAAGAGCCTTGGAATATGAAGAGACATGAGATGGTAACTAAACCCCCAGGTATGTGAGAGTGAATACAACAGACAACACAGATAAGAGGTCCAGAGGTCAAGGAGAAAGCCAGTTCTCAAAATGTGACCTGAGAAGCTGTGCTCCAAAGGAAGTAGTTTCTGGGAAGACTGAGATTTTTTAAATTTTGCTCTCACGTAGAGGCATCTTCTGTCTTATGCTTTAAAATTCTCTAAGGATTCTGTTTTCATTTTGGTGATCTCCCTTCAAGTTTACAATGAGAGCCAAAGTCGTGTTCATGGCGTATAAGGGACTGCACAGTCTGACTGCTTTTCCATTGTTATTGGGGACACACAAATATCTGTATAGTTTTGAGAAACTATGTTAAAAGAACCTGGCTCTTTTACCTCACACTTGCTCTGTCTTTTACCGTGTGATATGTCCAGTTCCTTTTCGCCTTCCACTGTGATCATAAGCTTCCTGACCTGAGACACTCACCAGAAACAGATACAGGCACACACTTCTTGTACAGTCTGCTGAACTGTGAGCCAAATAAACCTTTTTTCTTTATAAATTATCTACTCTCAGATATTTTTCTGTATGCAAAATATTATAGTCTATAATGTTACCTACATTTTGTTTTCTTAATCTTTTACATGAATTTTCTATTTTTTATTATTATTGAAAATGGGGTCTCAGTGTCTGCAACAGTTATGTTGCTATATATTTCTTGCTTCACCTTTGTCAATATTTATGTATTTTGGAGCCCTGTTGTTATACCTACCTGTACATATAAATATAATAATTATAGATTCCTGGTAAATTGACCCATATTACTATTATATAATATCAATTTTTGTCTCATACTAGTACTTGACTTAAAGCATATTGTGTCCAATATAATTATGACTGTCTCACCCAATTGTGGCTACTATTTGCATGAAATATAAAGTTTTTAAATTCTGTTACTTACAGACTATTTGACTCTGCTAAAATTGGTCTCTTGTAGGAACATATTGCATGCTTTTTTCCTTAAGCCACTCAGTCATCTTCTTTCTTTTTCTTTTAATTAATTAATTAATTAATGAAATAGGGTCTCACTCTGTCAGCCAGGCTGGTTTGCAATGGTGTGATCATGGCAGTGAGCTGCAGCCTCAGCCTCTCAAACTCAGATAATCCTCTAGTTTCAACCTCTTAAGTAGCTGGATTACAGGCACATGGCATTAAACCTAGCTAGTTTTTTTGTTTTGTTTTGTTTTGTTTTTTAGAGACAGGGTTTTGCCTTGTTGCTCAGGCTGGTCTCACACTCCTGGAGTCAGGTAGTCAGCCCACCTTGGCCTCCCAAAGTCCTGGAATTACATTTCTTTTTATTAAGTAGTTTAAAAAATTTATATTTAAAATGATTTCTTAAAGAAATAAAGTTTTGCACTGGGCACAGTGACTTATGCCTGTAATTCCAGCACTTTGGGAGACCAAAGCGGGCAGATCACGAGGTCAGGAGTTCAAGACTAGCCTGGCCAACATAGAGAAACCCCGTCTCTACTGAAAATACAAAAATTAGCCAGGCATGGTGGCACACATCAGTAGCCCCAGCTACTCAGGAGGCTGAGGCAGGAGAATCAGTTGAACCCGGAGGTGCAGGTTGTGGTGAGCTGAGATCATGCCACTGTGCACCAGCCTGGGCAACAGAGTGAGACTCCATCTCAAAAAAAAAAAAAGAAAAGAAAAGAAATAAAGTTACATACCAGTTTCATTGTTCTGTTTTATGTTTTTTTTTTTAACATGTTTTTTCTCATTTCTTGTTTAACTATTTTTTGTTTAATTTTGTAGTGGCACGCTTTGCTTATTTTATTTTGTTTTGCATAGTTTCTATAAAATTTTTGTAGTTATCTTGAAAAACGGACATTATGTAAAATATCTTAAGATTAAATCAGTATGTTTTAATCTCATAACAATTTCAATGGAACAAAAAACTATATTTTTATATTTTCCAGTTTGTTATTAATATTATAAATTATTTCATATTGTGTATTCAGATTTATGCAGATTTACATTTTGTTTTTATATTCTATAGAAGAATTTTAAGGGTTTCTGCACTATTATTATAGTAAGAAATTTTATATATGTCTGTATATTTACATTTAATAGAAAGCTTTTTTTATGTTATCTAGAATCATTTTATTTTCAACATGAAAGACTCATTTTAGCATTTCTTTTTTTATATGTGTCTGTATATTTACATTTAATAGAAAGCTATATATTTATATATGGATTTTTGATACTGTCTAGCATCATTTTATTTTCAATATAAAAGACTCATTTTAGCATTTCTTTTTTCTATATGTGTCTGTATAATTATATTTAATAGAAAGCTATATATTTATATATGGGTTTTTGATGCTGTCTAGCATTTTATTTTTCAACATAAAAGACTAATTTTAGCATTTCTCTTGTTATATATGCAGAGTCTCACTATGTTTTTGTGCTGATCTTGAACTCCTGGTCTGAAGTTATCTGACTGCCTTGGCCTCCTAAAGGTGTAGGATTACAAGCATGAGCCACTGTGCGTGTCCACAATGTAGCATTTTTTTTTTTTTTTTTTTTTTTTTTAGCTGTGCTAGTGGTGATGAACACCCTTACCTTTCATTTTGGAAAGTCTTTATTTTTTACTGTTTTTAAAGTAAAATAATTTCTGATCAAGTGTTATGGATTAAGAATATTTTTTTTTCAGCCGGACGCGGTGGCTTATGCCTGTAATCCCAGCACTTCGGGAGGCCAAGGTGGGTGGATCACCTGGGGTATGGAGTTTGAGACTAGCCTGACCAACATGGAGAAACCTTGTCTCTACTAAAAATACAAAAGTAGCCGGGCATGGTGGTGCATGCCTGTAGTCCCAGGTACTCGGGAGGCTGAAGCAGGAGAATCGCTTGAACCTGGGAGGTGGAGGTTGTGGTGAGCCGAGATCCCACCATTGCACTCCAGCCTGGGCAACAAGAGCAAAACTCCATCAAAAAAAAAAAAAAGCATATTTTTTTCTTTTATTACATCAAAATTTGGAAAGCTCTGTGTTTTTTTTTTTTTTTTTTTTTTTTGTCTTTAAGTAACCTGTATACTACTTTATTTTTATTTATTTATTTTTTCTTAAGTTATTGGGGTACAAGTGGTGTTTGGTTACATGAGTAAGTTCTTTAGTTCTTTAATGGTGATTTGTGGGAGTTTTATGCACTCATCACCCGAGCTGTATACACTGCACCCTATTTGTAGTCTTTTATCCCTCGTTTCCCTCCCGCTCTTCCCCTCAAGTCCCCAAAGTCCACTGTATCATTCTTATGCCTTTGCATCCTCATAGCTTAGCTCCTACATATCAGTGAGAACATAAGATGTTTGGTTTTCCATTTCTGAGTTACTTCACTTAGAATGATAGTCTCCAATCTCATCCATGTTGCTGTGAATGCCATTAATTTATTCCATTTTATGGCTGAGTAGTGTTCCATCATATATATAATCTCACAGTTTCTTTATCCACTCATTGGTTAATAGGCAATGGGCATTTGGGTTGGTTCCATGATTTTGCTATTGTGAATCATGCTGCTATAAACATGTGTGCAAGTATCTTTTTCATGTAATGACTTCTTTTCTTCTGGGTAGATACCCAGTAGTGGGACTGCTGGGTCAAATGGTAGTATGACTTTTAGTTCTTTAGGAATCTCCACACTGTTCTCCATAGAGGTTGTGCTAGTTTACATTTCCATCAGCAGTGTAGAAGTGTTCCCTGATCACCACATACACACCAACATCTACTGTTTTTTTGATTTTTTTTTTATTATGGCCATTTTTGCAGGAGTAAGGTGGTATCGTATTGTGGTTTTGATTTGCATTTCCCTGATTATTAGTGATGTTGAGCATTTTTTCATGTTTTTTGGCCATTTGTATATCTTCTGTTGAAAATTGTCTATTCATGTCCTTAGCTCAGTTTTGATGGGATTGTTTTTTTTCTTGCTGATTTGTTTGAGTGCATTGTAGATTCCAGATATTAGTTCTTTGTCAGGTGTATAGATTGTGAAGATTTTCTCCTACTCTGTGGGTTGTCTGTTCACTCTGCTGTTTCTTTTGCCTTGCAAAAGCTCTTTAGTTTCATTAAGTTCCCGTTTTGACACTATTCCACAAGATACAGAGAGAACCCTCCCTAATTTATCTTTGTTTTTATTGCATTTGCTTTTGGGTTCTTGTATATGAAATCCTTGGCTAAGCCAATGTCTGAAAGGGTTTTTCCAATGTTATCATCTAGAATTTTTATAGTTTCAGGTCTTAGATTTAAGTCCTTAATCCATCTTGAGTTGATTTTTGTATAAAGTAAAAGATGAGGATCCAGTTTTATTCTATGTGTGGCTAGCCAATTATCCCAGCACCATTTGTTGAAAAGAGTATCCCTGGCCGGGTGCGGTGGCTCATGCCTGTAATCCCAGCCCTTTGGGAGGCTGACATAGGTGGATCACGAGGTCAGGAGTTCGAGACCAGGCTGACCAAGGTGGTGAAACCCCATCTCTACTAAAAATACAAAAATTAGCCAGGTGCAGTGGTGGGTGCCTGTAATCCCAGCTACTCGGGAGGCTGAGGCAGGAGAATTGCTTGAATCCAGGAGGCAGAGGTTGTGGTGAGCTGAGATCGTACCACTGCACTCTAGCCTGATCAACAGAGCAAAACTCCATCTCAGAAAAAAAAGAAAAGAGTATCCTTTACCCACTTTATGTTTTTGTTTGCTTTGTCAAAGTTCAGTTGGCTGTAAGTATTTGGGTTTATTTCTGGGTTCTCTATTCTTTTCCATTGGTTTATGTGCCTATTTTTGTACCAGTACCATGCTGTTTTCATGACTGGCTTTATAGTATAGTTTGAAGTCAGGTAATGTAATGGCTTCAGATTTGTTCTTTTTGCTTTGTCTTGCTTTGGCTATGCAGGCTTTTTTTTTTTGTTCCACATGAATTTTAGAATCATTTTTTCTAATTCTGTGAAGAATGATGATGCTGTTTTGATGGGAACTGCATTGAGTTTGTAGATTGCTTTTGGCAGTATAGTCATTTTCACAATATTGATTCTACTCATCGATGAGCATGGGCTGTGTTTCCATTTGTTTGTGTCATCTGTGGTTTCTTTTAGCAGTGTTTCATAGTTTTCCTTGTAGAGATCTTTTACCTCCTTGGTTAGGCATATTCCTAAGTTTTTGGGGTTTTTTTTTTTCACGGCTATTGTAAAAGGGGTTGAGTTATTGATTTGACTCTCTGCTTGGTCGCTGTTGGTGTATAGAAGAGCTACTGATTTGTATACATTAATTTTGTATCTGAAAGCTTTGCTGAATTATTTTATCATTTCTAGGAGCTTTCTTGAAAAGTCTAGGGTTTTCAAAGTGAACAATCATATCATCAGCAAACAGTGACAGTTTTACTTCCTCTTTACCAATTTCGATGCCCTATCTTTTTTCTGCTTGCTCTGGCTAAGACTTCTAGTACTGTGTTGAAGAAGCATGGCGAGAGTGGGCATCCTTGTCTTGTTGCAGTTCTCAGAGGGAATGCTTTCAACTTCTCATTCAGTATTATGTTGGCTCTGGGTTTGTCATAGATGGCTTTTATTACATTGATGTATGTCCCTTGTATGCCAATTTTGCTAAGAGTTTTAATCATAAAGGGATGTTGGATTTTGTTGAATACTTTTTCTGCATCTATTGAGATGATCATATGATTTTTGTTTTTATTCCTTTCTATGTGGTGTATCACATTTATTGACTTGCATTTGTTAAACCATCCCTGCATCACTGGTATGAAACCTATTTGATCATGGATTCTCTTTTTGATATGTTACTGGATTCAGTTAGCTACTATTTTAAGGATTTTAGCATCTATTTTCATCAGGGACATCAGTCTGTGGTTTTCTTTTTTGGTTAATGCCCTTTTCTAATTTTGGTATTAGGGTGATGCTGGCTTCATAGAATAAATTAGGAAGGGCTCCCTCTTTCTCTGTCTTGTGGAATAGTGTCAATAGCATTGCTACCAATTCTTTGAATGTCTGGTAGAATTCTGCTAAATTCTGTCTGGTCCTAGACTTTTTTTGTGGATGATTTTAAAATTACCATTTCAGTCTCGCTGCTTGTTATTGGTCTGTTCAGGGTATCTAATTCTTCCTGATTTAAGCTGGGTGGGTTGCATTTTTCCAGAAATTTACCCATTTCTTTTAGGTTTTCTAGTTAGTGCACTTAAAGGTGTTCATAGTAGCCTTCAATGATCTTTTGTATTTCTGTGGTGTCAGATGTAATATCTCCTGTTTCCTTTCTTATTGAGGTTATTTGGATTTTCTTTTTTTCTTGGTTAATCTTGCTTATGGTCTGTCAATTGTATTTATCTTTTTAAAGAGCCAGGTTTTTGTTTCATTTATCTTTTGGTTTTTGTCTGTTGGTTTGTTTCAATTTCATTTCATTCTGCTCTGATTTTGATTATTTTTTTTCTTCTCCTGGGTTTGCGTTTGGTTTTTTCTTGTTTCTCTAGTTCTTTGAGGTGTGAATTTAGAGTGTCTGTGTTCTTTCAGACTTTTTGATGTAGGTGTTTGGGGCTATGAACTTTCCTCTTAGCACCGCCTTTGCTGTATCCTAGAGGTTTTAATAAGTTGTGTCACTTTTGTTGTTGAGTTTGAAGAATTTTTTTAATTTCCATTTTGATTTCATATTTGACCCCATGATTATTCAGGAGCAGGTTTTTTAATTTACATGTATTTGCATGGTTTTGAAGGTTCCTTTTGGAGTTGAATTCCACTTTTATTCCACTGTGGTCTGAGAGAGTGCTTGATATAATTTCAGTTCTCTTAAATTTATTGAGGTTCATTTTGGGGCCTATCATATGGTCTATTTGGAGAAAGTTTCATGTGCTGTTGAATAGAATGTGTATTCTGCAGTTGTTGGATGGAATGTTCTGTATATATTTGTTAAGTCCATTTGCTCCAAGGTATAGTTTAAATCCATTGTTTATTTGTTGACTTTCTGTCTTGATGACCTGTCTAGTGCTGTCAGTAGAGTATTGAAGTCCTCACTATTATTGTGTTGGTGTCTATCTCATTTATTAGGTCTACTAGTAATTGTTTTATAAATTTGGGAGCTCCAGTGTTAGGTGCATGTATGTTTAGGACTGTGATATGTTCCTGTTGTACAAGACCTTTTACCATTGTATAATGTCCCTCTTTGTTTTTTTTAATTGCTGTTGCTTTAAAGTATATTTTGTCATATGTAAGAATAGCCCTTATAAACCTCTTGTTTAGCATGATATTGTGGGGTTCTCTGGCTTAGGTGAATAGCAAGCCATTTTCATGAATTACCTCATGCCATTAGGGGAAGAGGTATCCTCATTTTTTTCAATTTTTTATAGTGATCTGTGTTCCTGTTTCTCTCATTCAGTGTTATTTAATTTATTTGAAATTTTAAAAATTAATTTATTAATCTTCATTGTTTTATGGTTGCTTTCTAAAAATTTTATACTTTTTTTGATTGGGCCATGTTGTCCTAATATTCTATATACATTGTAATCGTTGATTAAAATTTGTACATCAAAAAAGCTACCTGTTGGAATCTTCATAATGTAGCCTTGTCCTGGAATAGTCTGAAACCAATTGTCTTGGCTAGAGATTCTGGGAGTCTGTCAAACATGTTCTTAGAATGTGTCTTGTCTGAAATTGTGTGTGTGTGTGTGTGTGTGTGTGTGTGTGTGTGTTTAGATAAAGAACGTTATTCAGGTTTCTTCTCAATAGTAATCACTTGCTACATCTATTTTTTGTGTGTGTGGTACTATATTCAGTGCTGCTGTAACATCTAACTTTGGTCTCAGCAGACTCAAGCTGTCATTTTAAAGTATGCCACCATTTCTTTCAGCACTTTATGTCATCAGAGACAAAAACCAGAAAGGCCCCTGGAAGCCAGAAATAAATATATATGTGCTACTGGTTTTTTTGTTTGTTTGTTTTTTTGAGACAGAGTTTCACTCTTTTTGCCCAGGCTGGAGTGCGATGGCATGATCTCGGCTCACCTCAACCTCCGCCTCCCAGGTTCAAGCAATTCTCCTGCCTCAACCTCCCTAGTAGCTGGGATTTCAGGCGTGTGCCACCACGCCCAGCTAATTTTCTATTTTTAGTAGAGATGGGGTTTCTCCATGTTGGTCACGCTGGTCTCGAACTCCCGACCTCAGGTGATCCGCCCACCTCGGCCTCCCAAAGTGCTGGGATTACAGGCATGAGCCACTGCGCCTGGCCATGCCACTGTTTTATTTGTCTTTAAACAATAAACCAGGAGTTGGCAATTTCCTTTTTTTTTTGAGACAGGGTCTCACTCTGTCACATGGGCTGGAGTGCACTAGCATAATCTCATCTCACTGCAATCTCTACTCCCCAAGTTCAAGTGATTGCCTCAGCCTCCCAAGTAGTTGGGACTACAGACGTGTGCCACCACATCTGGCTAATTTTTGAATTTTTAGTAGAGATGAAGTTTTTCCATTTTGACCAGGCTGGTCTTGAACTCTTGATCTCAGGTAATCCACTTGCCTTGGCCTCCAAAAGTGCTGGGATTACAGGCATGAACTGCTATTCCCAGTCAGCAATTTACTTCTAAAGAGCCTATGCTATTTTTGGTAGCAGGAAGAGCTGCATTGGGAAACTGTAACCGACTTCCCTTTCCTTCTGTGTGGCTCTTTGCATTGTGCTTACTTGGGGTACTTAACTTACATATAAATTTTCCACAAATGTATTTGGTCAGTATGTTTTTGTTACATTTATATGTCTATGAAGAAATTAGGGCCTGTCTTATTTTGCTGTGCCATCTTATGTGGTTTGCATAATTTTATAGGTTAGATTTGTAAAGTATATTCATCTGAGTCTAGCAAGTGGAATAATTTGTTATTTTTATTTCTTCTAGTTATGCGTTCTCATTTTACACAAGACCTTTGGCCAGATCAGAGCACAAAAGATTCTTTCCAAGAAGTAATACTGAGAACATATGCAAGATGTGGACATAAGAATTTACGATTAAGAAAAGATTGTAAAAGTGCCAATGAGGGTAAGATGCACAAAGAAGGTTATAATAAACTTAACCAATGCAGGACAGCTACCCAGAGAAAAATATTTCAGTGTAACAAACATATGAAAGTCTTTCATAAATATTCAAATAGAAATAAGGTTAGACACACTAAAAAGAAAACTTTCAAATGTATAAAATGTAGCAAATCATTTTTCATGCTTTCATGCTTAATTCGACATAAGAGAATTCATATTAGACAGAATATCTACAAATGTGAAGAACGTGGCAAAGCCTTTAAATCGTTCTCAACCCTTACTAAACATAAGATAATTCATACTGAAGACAAACCTTACAAATATAAGAAATGTGGCAATGCCTTTAAATTTTCTTCAACGTTCACTAAACATAAGAGAATTCATACTGGAGAGACACCTTTCAGATGTGAAGAATGTGGCAAAGCTTTTAACCAGTCCTCAAATCTTACTGACCATAAGAGAATTCATACTGGAGAGAAAACCTACAAATGTGAAGAATGTGGCAAAGCTTTTAAGGGGTCCTCAAATTTTAATGCACATAAGGTAATTCATACTGCAGAGAAACCCTACAAATGTGAAGATTGTGGCAAAACTTTTAACCATTTCTCAGCCCTTAGAAAACATAAGATAATTCATACTGGAAAGAAACCCTACAAGCGTGAAGAATGTGGCAAAGCTTTTAGCCAGTCCTCAACCCTTAGAAAACATGAGATAATTCATACTGGAGAGAAACCCTACAAATGTGAAGAATGTGGTAAAGCTTTTAAGTGGTCTTCAAAACTTACTGTACATAAGGTAGTTCATACTGGAGAGAAACCCTACAAATGTGAAGAATGTGGCAAAGCTTTTAGCCAGTTCTCAACCCTTAAAAAACATAAGATAATTCATACTGGAAAGAAACCCTACAAATGTGAAGAATGTGGCAAAGCTTTTAACAGTTCCTCAACCCTTATGAAACATAAGATAATTCATACTGGGGAGAAACCATACAAATGTGAAGAATGTGGCAAAGCTTTTAGGCAATCCTCACACCTTACTAGACATAAAGCAATTCATACTGGAGAGAAACCCTACAAATGTGAAGAATGTGGCAAAGCTTTTAACCATTTCTCAGACCTTAGAAGACATAAGATAATTCATACTGGAAAGAAACCCTACAAATGTGAAGAATGTGGGAAAGCTTTTAGCCAGTCCTCAACCCTTAGAAACCATCAGATAATTCATACTGGAGAGAAACCCTACAAATGTGAAGAATGTGGTAAAGCTTTTAAGTGGTCATCAAAACTTACTGTACATAAGGTAATTCATACTGGAGAGAAACCCTGCAAATGTGAAGAATGTGGCAAAGCTTTTAAGCATTTCTCAGCCCTCAGAAAACATAAGGTAATTCATACTAGGGAGAAATTGTACAAATGTGAAGAATGTGGCAAAGCTTTTAACAATTCCTCAATCCTTGCTAAACATAAGATAATTCATACTGGGAAGAAACCGTACAAATGTGAAGAATGTGGCAAAGCTTTTAGGCAATCCTCACACCTTACTAGACATAAAGCAATTCATACTGGAGAGAAACCTTACAAATGTGAAGAATGTGGCAAAGCTTTTAGCCATTTCTCAGCCCTTAGAAGACATAAGATAATTCATACTGGAAAGAAACCGTACAAATGTGAAGAATGTGGCAAAGCTTTTAGCCATTTCTCAGCCCTTAGAAGACATAAGATAATTCATACTGGAGAGAAACCCTACAAATGTGAAGAATGTGGTAAAGCTTTTAAGTGGTCATCAAAACTTACTGTACATAAGGTAATTCATACTGCAGAGAAACCCTGCAAATGTGAAGAATGTGGCAAATCTTTTAAGCATTTCTCAGCCCTTAGAAAACATAAGGTAATTCATACTAGGGAGAAATTGTACAAATGTGAAGAATGTGTCAAAGCTTTTAACAGTTTCTCAGCCCTTATGAAACATAAGGTAATTCATACTGGAGAGAAACCCTACAAGTGTGAAGAATGTGGTAAAGCTTTTAAGTGGTCCTCAAAGCTTACTGTACATAAGGTAATTCATACTGGAGAGAAACCCTGCAAATGTGAAGAATGTGGCAAAGCTTTTAAGCATTTCTCAGCCCTTAGAAAACATAAGGTAATTCATACTGGAAAGAAACCCTACAAATGTGAAGAATGTGGCAAAGCTTTTAGCCAATCCTCATCCCTTAGAAAACATGAGATAATTCATAGTGGAGAGAAACCATACAAATGTGAAGAATGTGGTAAAGCTTTTAAGTGGTTGTCAAAACTTACTGTACATAAGGTAATTCATACTGCAGAGAAACCCTGTAAATGTGAAGAATGTGGCAAAGCTTTTAAGCATTTCTCAGCCCTTAGAAAACATAAGATAATTCATACTGGAAAGAAACCCTACAAATGTGAAGAATGTGGCAAAGCTTTTAATGATTCCTCAACCCTTATGAAGCATAAGATAATTCATACTGGGAAGAAACCATACAAATGTGCAGAATGTGGCAAAGCTTTTAAGCAATCCTCACATCTTACTAGACATAAAGCAATTCATACTGGGGAGAAACCCTACAAATGCGAAGAATGTGGCAAAGATTTTAACAATTCCTCAACCCTTAAGAAACATAAGCTAATTCATACTAGGGAGAAATTGTACAAATGTGAAGAATGTGTCAAAGCTTTTAACAATTTCTCAGCCCTTATGAAACATAAGATAATTCATACTGGGGAGAAACCCTACAAATGTGAAGAATGTGGTAAAGCTTTTAAGTGGTCCTCAAAACTTACTGAACATAAGGTAATTCATACTGGAGAGAAACCCTGCAAATGTGAAGAATGTGACAAAGCTTTTAAGCATTTCTCAGCCCTTAGAAAACATAAGGTAATTCATACTGGAAAGAAACCCTACCAATGTGACGAATGTGGCAAAGCTTTTAACAATTCCTCAACCCTTACGAAACATAAGATAATTCATACTGGGGAGAAACCCTACAAATGTGAAGAATGTGGCAAAGCCTTTAGTCAGTCCTCAATCCTTACTAAACATAAGATAATTCATTCTGTAGAGAAACCCTACAAATGTGAAGAATGTGGCAAAGCCTTTAACCAGTCCTCACACCTTACTAGACACAAAACAATTCATACTGGAGAGAAACCCTACAAATGTGAAGAATGTGGCAAAGCTTTTATTCAGTGCTCATACCTTATTAGACATAAAACAATTCATACCAGAGAGAAACCTACAAATGTGAAGAAAGTACCAAAGCTTTTAAGCAATCCTCACACCTTACTAGACAAAACAATTCATACTGGAGAGAAACCCTACAAATGTGAAGAATGTGCCAAAGCTTTTTAACCATCCTTCAACCCTTACTAAACATATGATAATTCACACTGGGGAGAAACCTTAGAAATGTGAATAATGTGGCAGAGCTTTCAACCATTTTATAAACCTTAATACACATAGGATAATTTATACTAGAGACAGACCCTGCATATGTGAAGAATGTGGCAAAGCTTTTAACCAGTCCTCAAGCCTTACTAGACATAATTCATACTGGAGAGAAACCCTACAAATGTAAAGAATGTGGCAAAACTTTTTTTTTTTATACTTTAAGTTCTAGGGTACATGTGCACAATGTGCAGGTTTGTTACATAGGTATACATGTGGCATGTTGGTTTGCTGCACCCATCAACTCGTCATTTACATTAGGTATTTCTCCTAATGCCATCCCTCCCGCAGCCCCCCACCCCCTGACAGGCCTGGGTGTGTGATGTTCCCCACCCTGTGTCCAAGCGTTCTCATTGTTCAATTCGCACCTATGAGTGAGAACATGTGGTGTTTGGTTTTCTGTTTTTATGATAGTTTGCTGAGAATGATGGTTTCCAGCTTCATCCATGTCCTTCCAAAGGACACGAACTTATCCTTTTTTATGGCTGCATAGTATTCCATGGCGTATATGTGGAATGTGGCAAAACTTTTAACCAATCCTCAAACCTTACTAGACAGAAAACAATTCATACTGGAGATAAACCCATCAAATGTGAAGAATGTGGCAAAGCCTTTGACCAGTCCTCACAGCTTAAATACGCATAAGATAATTGATACTGAAGGAAAACTCTACAAATATCATAAATGTGGCATAGCTTCTAACCATTGCTCAGCTTTTACTCAAAATGAGAGAATTCCTAAAGAAGATAAACTCCACAAATGTGAATAATATGGCAAAGCTTTTGACCGGTCCTCAAATCTTACTGAACATAAGATAATTCATGCTAGAGACAAACACTACAAATGTGAAGAATGGGCAAAGCTTTTAACCAGTTCTCAAACCTTACTCAAAATAATTTATAGTGGAGAGGAACGCTACAAATTCAAAGGATTTGGCAAAACTTTTAAGTGTTTCTCAAAACTTACTGAACACAAGATAATTCATATTAGAGAGATACTTTACAAATGTGAAGAATGTGGCAAAGCTTCTAACGGGTTCTCAAATCTTACTGAATGTGAGATAATTTATATTAGAGAGAAACCCTACAAATGTGAAGAATGTGGCAAAGCTTCTAACGGGTTCTCAAATCTTACTGAATGTGAGATAATTTATATTAGAGAGAAACCCTACAAATGTGAAGAATGTGGCAAAGCTTTTAACTGGTCCTTAAACCTTACTGAACATAAGATAATTAATACTAAAGGAAACCCTAAACATATAAAAAATGTGACAAAGCTTTTAACTGGTTTTGAGACCTTACTCAAAATAAGATAGTTTATACTGAAGACAAACTCTATAAATGTGAAGAATGTGACAATGCTTTTAATCAATTCTCAGACTTTACTAGACGTAAGAAAATTCGTACTGGAGAAAAACCCTACAAATGTGAAGAAAGTGGGAACACTTTTAGCCAGTCCTCAACTCTTACTAAACAAGATAATTCAATGGGAGAGAAACCCTACAAATGTGAATAATGTTATAACCATTCTATTTATGTGTTTACATGTTTAGTGTTGAAATAATGTTTATTTTTCATATTGATATTACAATTTGGAGACATTTTTCACTCACAATTTTTGAAGTGGGTGAATTTCAGTCTACAGTTTTTATTTTTAGTCACTTCACTGTAGGCAACTCTGGTAATTTTCTCTGGAAAAATTTTGGAGACGAAGTTGTAATGGCTTTCAGGTTAAAACATTTCCTGTTATTTTGCATGCAAACTTGTTTACGGTGTTCAAACAGTGGCCAATCTTTAGGTCATAAACAACACCTACCCTTTTAATGTCTTTCATACCATTGCAATTAGCACCAAAAACTTCTGCTGTCTTAAACTTAAAATAAAAGCCCTAATGTACGTTGGCTCCTCCCATGCACGGTACTGAGTTCAGAACATGCTGTTAAATGTCAGAGTTCCTATGGTTATGACTGAAAAATTAAATGACAAGACAGCACAAAACTATATACTTTTGATACCATTTAGCCAAGTTAATGACAAAGACAGAGAATATTTGAAAAAATTGATATCCTTCTATAATGTTTTAAATATATATTTTTCAACTTGACAGATAAAGCATGTATTCTGTAAAACATGATGTTTTGAAGTATATATATACATTGTCAAACTTAATTTTAGGTAATTAATGCTGTACCTCACATAGTTAACATTTTTGTGGTGAGAGCACATGACATTGTCCTAGCATTATTCAAAAATACATTATTATTAACTATAGACACCATGCTGTACAACAAGTCTTTTGAATATATTACTTTTATCTAACTATAATTATGTATTATTCTTTGACAAACATCTTTCTAAAGCCCTCTTTTAGATACCTTGGCATCTGGTGGTTACAATTTTATTCTGTGCTTCAGTGAATTTAAGTTTTATATCATTCATGTTTAGGTGAAATCATAAAATTTTCTTTCTGTTCCTGGCTTATTAAAAGATAAATAGATAAATTTTATATATATACTACTTTGTCAGTATTTAATCATTAGATGTTGAACTGTTGATTCTATATTTTGGCTATTATGAAGAGTGTTGCAGACAACATAGAAATACAAATATTTCTCATTCTGATTTCATTTGTTTTTAAATATATATATATCCTATAGTGAAATTGCTGCATTATATGGCAGTTTTATTTTAAATTTATTGAGAAATCTCTATTTCGGTTTTCATAATGGCTGTTCTCATTTACACTCAGACTAGCAGTGTGCAAGCATTCCTTTTACTTCACATCTTTACCAACACTTTTTTTTCTTTTTAATAAGAGTCATTCTAATATGAGTGACTTTTTATCTCATAGATTTTTTGGCTTGCCTTTCTCTGATAATAAGTGTAATTGAGCATTTTAAAATATCTCTTGGCCATATGTATGTCTTTTTAAAATATTTAAGCCTTTTGCTCATTTTTCATAGTTATTTGTTTTTTTATTGTATAGTCACTTTCTTACATGATCTTGATATTCACCCCTTGTCACAAGTATGGTTTGCAAAAATGTTCTCCCATTTGTCTTGTTGATTATATCAGATTCTGTACAGCAACTTTTTAATATGAAGTAATCTGACTCATCTATTTTTCCTTTAGTTCCCTGGGATTTTGAGGTTAAATTAAAAAAAATTACTGTTGAAACCAATGTTACGGGGCTTTCAGTCTATATTTTTTGTAGTAGTTTCAGAGTTTCAGGCCTTACATTTAAGTATTAATATATTTTCAGTTGATTTATATATGTGGAGTAAGATGAGAGACTCATTGCTCTGCATGTGGCTATAGTTTTCTCAACACTATTTATTGAAGATACTGTCATTTTCCTAAGAAATTGTCACCTATATAAAAAATCAGTTAGCTTTAAATACATGGATATATTTCCTGTCTCTTGTGCTCCATTGGCCTGTGTGACTCATTTTGTTCAAGTACCATACTGTTTTCATTACTATAGCTTTGCAGTATATTTCAAAGTCAGGTAGGATGATACCTTTAGCCTTTCTTTTTTGCTTGAATGCTTCTGCTATTCAGGGTCTTTTGTCATATCATATAAATTTTAGGGTTTTTGTTTGTTTTTGTTTTATTTTAGACAGAGTTTCACTCTTGTCACCCAGGCTGGAGTGCGATCGTGCAATCTCAGCTCACTGCAACCTCTGCCCTCAGGTTTAAGTGATTCTCCTGCCTCAGCCTTCTGAGTAGCTGGGATTACAGGCACACACCACCATGCTGGGCTAATTTTTTTTTGTTGTTGTTGTTGTTTTAAAAATGTGTGGGTTTTTTTATAGTATTTATTGATCATTCTTGGGTGTTTCTCGGAGAGGGGGATTTGGCAGGGTCATAGGACAATAGTGGAGGGAAGGTCAGCAGATAAACATGTGAACAAGGGTCTCTGGTTTTCCTAGGCAGAGGACCCTGTGGCCTTCTGCAGTGTTTGTGTCCCTGGGTAGTTGAGATTAGGGAGTGGTGATGACTCTTAAGGAGCATGCTGCCTTCAAGCATCTGTTTAACAAAGCACATCTTGCACCGCCCTTAATCCATTTAACCCTGAGTGGACACAGCACATGTTTCAGAGAGCACGGGGTTGGGGGTAAGCTTATAGATTAACAGCATCCCAAGGCAGAAGAACTTTTCCCAGTACAAAACAAAATGGAGTCTCCCATGTCTACCTCTTTCCACACAGACACAGCAACAATCCGATCTCTCTCTCTTTTCCCCACATTTCCCCCTTTTCTATTCGACAAAACCACCATCATCATCATGGCCCATTCTCAATGAGCTGTTGGGTACACCTCCCAGACGGGGTGGCGGCCGGGCAGAGGGGCTCCTCACTTCCCAGACGGGGTGGCCGCCGGGCGGAGGGGCTCCTGGCTTCTCAGACGGGGCGGCCGGTGGGCGGAGGGGCTCCTCGCTTCTCAGACGGGGCGGCTGGGCAGAGACGCTCCTCAGTTCCCAGACGGGGTCGTGGCTGGGTAGAGGCACTCCTCACATCCCAGACGGGGCGGCGGGGCAGAGGTGCTCCCCATATCTCAGACGATGGGCAGCCGGGCAGAGATGCTCCTCACTTCCTAGGCGGGATGGCGGCCGGGAAGAGGCATTCCTCACTTCCCAGACTGGGCGGCCAGGCAGAGGGGCTCCTCACATCCCAGACGATGGGCGGCCAGGCAGAGACGCTCCTCACTTCCCAGACGGGGTGGCAGCCAAGCAGAGGCTGCAATCTCGGCACTTTGGGAGGCCAAGGCAGGTGGCTGGGAGGTGGAGGTTGTAGCGAGCTGAGATCACGCCACTGCACTCCAACCTGGGCAACATTGAGCACTGAGTGAACAAGACTCCGTCTGCAATCCTGGCACCTCGGGAGGCCGAGGCTGGCAGATCACTCACGGTTAGGAGCTGGAGACCAGCCCGGCCAACACGGCGAAACCCTATCTCCACCAAAAAAATATGAAAACCAGTCAGGCGTGGCGGCGCGCGCCTGCAGTCCCAGGCACTCGGCAGGCTGAGGCAGGAGAATCAGGCAGGGTGGTTGCAGTGAGCCGAGATGGCGGCAGTACAGTCCAGCCTCGGCTTGGCATCAGAGGGAGACCGTGGAAAGGGGAGACGAGGGAGAGGGAGAACGTAGAAAGGAAAAGGGAGAGGGAGAGGGAGAGAGCTAATTTTTGTATTTTTAGTTGAGATGGGGTTTCACTGTGTTGGCCAGGCTGGTCTTGACCCCGCCTCTGCCTCCCAAAGTGCTGGGATTATAGGTGTGAGCCACTGTTCCCAGGCTTGAGCACACTTTTATTAGTTTTTCTCTGTTTAGTCCTTTTGTTTGTTTCTATTTTAATAAGAATTTTAATTTCTACCTGAAATTACTAATTTGAGCCCAAAGTATCTGAGATGTCAGAGTGTCAGGAGGTTGTGACAATGCGTGCCCAAGGTTGTTGGGGCACATGTTGGTTTTATACATTTTAGGGAGACAGGAGACATCCATCACTATATGTAAGATGCACATTGTTCAGAAAAGGACAACGCGAAGTGGGGCGGGAGCTTCCAGGTCATAGGTAGATAAAGGGCAAATGGTTGCAATTTCCTCTGAGCTTCTGATTAGCCTTTTACTGGGTTTTTTCCAGGTCTGTCTTTCCTAAGCCTCCAAGTTTATCTGGAGTCAAGAGAAACTTGACTCCATGTTTGTAGAATTTTAATCTATTTTGGCCAATTTTATGTCTACTTTATAACATATAACAACAGGTAATTTAACCAAAACCCTTATGGTTTTCTTGCACAGCTATAAGCTACACATGTATTCTTAGCAAGGTAAAAACAACAGAAACCATGATGATTACAATAACCACCCTTCTGTGCATGAGTAGCCCTTCAGCTGGGACATCACACCCCACTGTAGAGTTTCTGAATCCTACACCTGAAGGCAGTCAAAAGTTGGAAAATTGTCTTGCACACATAGATCTGGTCCACAGGTAGGTTGGTGACTCCCACACCATGATTCAGCACACCCACGAAATGGTGAATTTACTAAGAAGACAAAGTTTACAGGAAGAATAGAGGCTCTGATGCAGTCCACTGTTGAGATTGTGACTCATGTACTTAGACTCAACATTCAGGAGGTGTTGACTCTTATACCTAAAACTGGGACATGTATGGAATTGTTAATCTCACCGTGGATCTTCTGTAGATGTTATTGTGACATATGCCTCTCCCATGACATATGCCTCTCCCAGCACCTGAGTGATTTGACTCTCTTGGGTCCCAGCTGACAGATGGGATTGTGGCATATCACTGGACACAGCACCTAGGTGATGTGACACTATTCTCCTGCCTTGGCACTACCTACCTGGGGCTTTGTGACACGTCTGTGCTCATAACTAAGGGGATGTGATTCTCTTCTCTTGCCTGATGTCTGCTCACGTGGGAGACAATGACATATCGCTGGGCCCAATGCCAAAGTGACATTGCTTTTTTACCTTGACCCTCTTCTCAGAAAACATCGTGACGCATTGTTGGGGCACAGTCAACGTGACGTGAGTCTCCTGCATGAACCCTGACCACAGAGACCATCGTGACATAATCTCTGGAAGCTCAACTATTGGAAATGATTACCTTGTTATACCTGCTCTTTGCCCATAGGAGAGAATGTGACATATCTCTGGGCCCAGGACTTAGTTGATGTAACTCTGCTCTCCTGCCTGGGCTATGCCTACAGAAGAAAGAGTGACTTATCACTGGGCCCAGCACACAGGTGATGTGATTCTACTGCCTTGATCCTTGTCCATAGGAATCATCATTACATACTTGTGGGCTCTTCTGCTGGATGATGTGTGTCTCCTTTTCTGTCCACAGAGGAGATTGTGACATATCACTTGACCCAGCACCTACATGATGTGCCTCTCATGCCTTGGCTTTTCCCACTGGGCTAATTGTGACATATAGCTGGGCACAGCTTCTAGGTAATTTAACTCTTCTCTTCCTGAGTCCTACCCACAGGGGGCATTGTGATGTGTCTCTAAGCACTTCACCTAGGTAATATGACTCTTTTCCTTGACCCTCCCCTAATACGGTATTGTGACATATTTCTGGACCACCACCTAGGTGATGTCACTCTTTTCTCCTACCTTTTACTGGAAGTGAATTCATACGGGTATGAGTGCAGGAACCTCGATTCTTGCCTTAGAAGAAACAACTCGACTGAGGGGCATAAAGCAGGAGAGACCGAAGCAAGTTTTAAAGCAGCAGTAAAAGTTCATTAGAAAGCTACAGAACAGAAACAAAAGGAAGGAAAGTACACTTGGAAGAGGGCCAAGTGGGTGACTTAAAAGGCAAGTGCACGGTGTGACTTTTTGACTTGGGATTTTGTATGTTGACATACTTCCGGGGTCTTGCATTACTTCCCCCTACTTGCCCAACTCTTGAGATCTTATTGGGAAGCTGCTGATCACTAGTTGTAGGTGATCCACTAGTTGCCCACTTGAGAACAGAGGAGATACTGGAGTGAACTGTGGCCCCCTCTTCATCCTTGGGGTTCAAGTCTTACCATGCACACCTAGCTTTTGATCTCTGTTTTATGGGTCTCTTGCACCTGTGGCCTTGGCCTGGCCTACATCATTGACTCCATTGACCTCTAGTGACTCTAGTTAAGAGCATTCTAGCAACAAAATAAGTATTTCTCTTCTCAGATTTCCACTTCCCATGTTCTTTTAGTATATGTGAAGCCCATTTTTCAGCTAACTGCCCAAAGGGGGCTAGACTTCCCTCCCCACTCTTTTTATATATGACCTTGAAGGTCTTGATGCATATTGAGAAGGGCAGGAAAGTAATTAGAAAAATGGAGGCTACAGAAGAAAGTGAACGGAAGTGAGAGGAATACTCAAGGGAAGACTTCATATGCTTAACAAAACAGCAGCCCTTGGATTCAAGAGGATAATAATGTTCATCCAAAGCAGGTGGACAAACTGCTTCAAAAGTCACTGAGAAACTCATTCCTGGGGCATAACAGAAATGAGAAGTATATGATAAGTCATAAGCTGTCAGAGCCAGAGTTGGAATTAGTGTGGATTAGTGGAATTAGATTAGAGGCTTATGTCTGGACCCTATCTACAAGGAAATTGTGACATATCTGCGTTCATCAGCAAAAAGTAGTGACTCTACTTTTTTCTACTGGGAAGATTGTAACCTATTACTGGGCGCAGAAAACAGGTGACATGCTTCTCCTGCCTGGGCCTTGGCCACAAAAAGTTTTGGGATATAACATGGCTCAGCACCCAGGTGATGCAACTCTGCCACCTGTGCCCTGCTTTCAGGTGGGGATTGTAACATATTCCTGGCTAAGCATCAAGGTGATGTGACTCTCCTGCCTGGTCTTTGCCCTCCGAAAATATTGTGACATATTCCTGGGCCAGTGCCAAGGTGACGTAACTCTCTTACTCATTCCCTACACACAGGAGGGATGTTGATATATATATTTGCTGAGATCACTGATATGATGATGACATTTATACAAAAAAAAAGTTATACCACTCCCTCACATACAGTATAAAGCCGTCAAGTGGTACAAACTCATCACAGGACACAGCACAAATATGAGATTGTTTTTTGTGTGTGCAACCTGCCAACCTTTAAAGTCACCCACACACATGGACAGGGTCCAATTTTGAAGTCCTGAAACTCACAAGTAGACACAGTTCAAAGTTAAAATTGTGACTGTCATATGTGAACACCTGGCCACTGTTGGGTTAGTGACTGTTTAATAAACCCAGCTTATAGGCAGGTAAAATCTTTCCAATCTGGACTCTCCTAATTGAAGAGATGTTGACTCATACCTGGGCTTAGGGCCACGGGTACAATCACAGGTCCATATCAGTACAAATGTGTCAGAGTAGATTGTGACTTTCATACATAATGTATAAAGCCCTCGGGTGGTACAGAGAGTGTCCTAACAGGACCGAGAACACGGATGAGAATATGACACTCATGCATACTCACCCAACAGTCAAGATTGTCATCTTTCCACATGAACACAGCCCACAGCTGAGGAACTGAATCTCACAACTGGAGGCAAAGGGTGGACTTTTCACATGTGGAACCAGTCAAAAGGAGGGCTGGTGACTTTCAGACCATGACTCAGCATACCTGTAAGGCTGTGACTAAGGAGACACAGTCCACAAAAGTGATTGAGGCTCTCATGCACGATTCCAGTCCACCATTGAGATTGTGACTCCTGTATTTAGACATAACATACAAGAGGTGTTGACTCTTGTACCTGGAACCAACACACGTGCCAAATTCTTTTCTTTTTTCTTTCTTTTTTTTTTTTTGAGACAGTCTTGCTGTGTCACCCAGGCTGGAGTGCAGTGGCATAATCTCTACTCATTGCAACCTCTGCCTCCCGGGTTCAAGAAATCCTCCTGCCTCAGCCTCTCGAGTAGCTGTGATTATAGGCACACGCCACCACAACCAGCTAATTTTTTGTATTTTTAGTAGAGATGGGGTTTCGTCATGTTGGTCAGGCTGGTCTCGAACTCCCGACCTCAGGTGATCCGCCTGCCTTGGCCTCCCAAAGTGCTGGGATTACAGGCATGAGCCACCACGCCCAGCAACTAAATTGTTAATCTCATTACTAGACCTTCCTGTAGGTGACAGTGTGACATATGCCCCTGCCCACCACCTGAGTGATTTTGAGTTTTCTGCCTGGGCTCAGTCAAATGTAAAATTGTGAGATATCTCTTGACTCAGTATCTAATTGATGTGACTATTCTGCTTTGTCTGTAACCACAGGTGACATTGTGACATATTTCTGGGCCTTGTACGCAGGTGATGTGACTCTCCTCTCTTGTCTTGGCGATGCCCCAGAGGGCACTGTGACACATTACTGGATCCTGCACCCCGGATATTTGGCTCTCCTACCTGTGCCCTGCCCACATGGGCCATTGAGACCTATTGCTGAGTCCCAAGACCCATGTGATGTAACTTACCTGCTAGAGCTCTTTCTATAAGGGGCATTTGACCTATCTCTGCCTATTATCCAGGTGACGTGACTCTTTTCTCCAACCTGGTCTCAGTCTACAGGAAAAATTGTGACATATCTCTGAGACTAGCTCCTAGCTGATGTGACTTTTCTCTTTTTCCTAGCTTCTGCCCACTGGGGAGATTGTAACATGCCCCTTGTCCCAGCACTATGTTGATATTTACTCTTGCCTTCACGCTGCAATCAAAGATATTGTGACATATTTCTGGGCCCAGCGCCAAAGTGATGTGAGTCTCCTGCCTGGATCCTGCCCATAAGGGGTATTTTGACATATCTTTGGACCCATCAATTCATTGATGGGACCTTGTCTCCTATGAGCTTTGCCCTGGACCATCTGCACAAAATAGAGAACGACTTATCACTGAGCCCAGCACACAGATAGTGTGACTCTCCTGCCAATTCCCTACCCTCAAAAATGATTGTGACATATTCCTGGAGAAGGACCCAGATGATGTGATTCTCCTGCCTGCTCCTTACCCACAAGTAAGATTGTGACATATATCTTTGCTCAGTTTACAGGTGTGACCATGACTTTTTTACCTCAAACCAGCCAATATGGGTAATACTATGGGTCTTCCCTTTGTTCGAAGGTAATAGAGGGTTACCACTTTGTTGCATATCATATAAAGATCTTGGGTGGTACAGAGAGTGTCAACACAAAGCCTGGCACACAGGTGAAATTGTGTTTTACATACACCCTGCCAACCATTTCATTCATCACATTCACACATAGACAAAGCCCACTGGTGAAGTTTTAAAACACACAGGAATGCAGCTTACAATTGGAATTAAGACTTTCATATGTGAAGATTTGGCCACACTTGGAATGGTAACTTATTTTTAAATCCACTCATAGGTGGGACTCTCCTATCTGGACTGAGCCAATAGGAGTGATGTTGACTGTCATATCTTTGCTTAGGGCCACAGGTACAATCATTGGTCCATACCAGCATGAATGCCTCAGAGTGAATGGTGACACTAACATACACTGTATAATGCCATCAGTTGGTACAGAAAATGTTTTCACAGGGCCCAGCAGACAGGTGAGATTGTGACCCTCATATGAACATCCAGCTGAAAGTAAAGATGGTCAACCACCCAGCTGAAAGTAAAGATGGTCAAGTAAAGATGTAAGTCATACATACATCAACACAGTGCACCATTGAGGTTCTAAATCTAACAACCAGAGGCAGTCAGAAGATTTTTTTTAAAAAAGGCTCTTATACATAAATGTGGTCCACAGGTGGGTTGGTGACTCTCAGACCAGGATTCAGCACACCAAGAAAACTGGGACTCCATTAAGTCAACACAACATGCAATAGGAATTGAGGCTATGACGCATAGATCTGGTTCACTGATGAGACGTGCCTCATGTAGTTGGACCCAACATTCAGGATGTGTTGACTGTCATATCTGAAACTGGGATATGTGCAGGATTGTTAATCTCATCCCTGGACCTTCCTGCAGGTGTGACTGACAACATGTGCCCAGCACCCAGCATAATTTGAAGTCTCCCACCTGGGCCCAGCTCACAGTTGAAATTGTGACATATCACTGAACTCAGAACATAGGTGATGTTATTCTACTCTTCTGCCGTGGCCCTGCCTACATGGAGCATTGTCACATGTTTCTAGGCCCCACACTCAGCACTCAGGTTATATGTCTATTCTGCCTGTGCCCAGCCCATGTGGATCATTGTGATATATTTTTGGGGCTGACATTTATGTTTTGTAAGCCTCCTGCCTGGGGTTTGCCAGTAGGGAGCATTTTGACATATCTATGTGCCAATCGTGCAGGTGATATGAACCTTTTCTACTGGCTGGTTTCTGCTCACAGGGAAGATTATGACCTATCAGTAGGCCAACAGGTAATTGGTGTAACTCTTAGTCTCAGGTTCTGCCTACAGGGGAGATTGTGACATATTGCTGGGCTCAGCAACAAGATGATTTGGGTCTTCTGCCTGGACCCTGCCTTGTAGGAGCATTGTGACATAACTCTGAGCCAATCACCTAGTTAATGTGAATTTTCTCTTCTCTTACCTGAACTGTGCCCATAGAATAGATTGTGGCATATCTCTAGGACCAGCGTCTAGGTGATATGACTCTCCTCTCTTACCTGACCATGCCCACAGAAGGAAGTTACTTATGACTGGGCCCAGCACACAGGTGACAGGGGTCATGGAGACCTATCTCTGGGCCCATCACCTGGATGATGTGACTCTTCTTTTCTTCATAGGGCCCGTCCATGTGAGGAATGTGACATATTGCTGGGCCCAGCATCTATGTGATGCATCACTTCTCTTGTGCCTTATCTCTTTCAACTGGAGTGATTGTGACATGAAGCCCCTAATTTATGTGACTCCTCTTTTCCATCTGAGCCCTACCCACAGGGGGCATTGCAACGTATTTTTGAGACCCTCCCCTAGGTGGTGTGACTCTCATGAGTGAGCCGTCCACTCAGTTGGTATTGTGACACATTTTTGCACACAGCACTGAGGTGATGTGACTCTCTTCTACTGCTTGGGCTCTGTCCAAGGAGGTATTGTGATATACCACTGGGTCCAGCACCTAGGTTATTTGACTTCCCTCTACTGCCTGGGCCCTGCATACATTGTGTATTGTGACATATGGCTGTGTCCAAAACATAGGGGATGCAACTCTCCTGCATTGGCTTTGCCCATAGAAGTATTAGAAAAGACTAATAAAAGAGAATAAAATATCTTAATTATTCATCTAGGTGATTTGACTCTTCTTTTGTGCCTGAGCACTGCACACAGCTGAGATTGTGACAGTGATATGCACACCCAGCCAACAGTATAGACTGTCATCATCCCACCTGAACACAGCCCACTCTTGAGGTTCTGAATCTCACACCCAAAGCCAGTCAAAAATAGTGAATTGACTCTATATGCAGATTTCATTCACATTTGGGTTTCTGACTCTCCAACCAACATTCAGCAAACCTGTGAGGCTGTCACTCTACTAAGAAGACAGTCCACAGGACAGATTGATGCTGTCATGCATGGATCCAGTACACCATTGAGATCATGACTCATGTACTTATACCCAACATGACATTTCACTGGGCCCAGCACCAAGCTGATGTCACTCCTCTATTATCCAGGTTCTCACTCTCACCTAGTTGACGTGACTGTCTTACCTGTGCTGTCTTGTCAAGGGATATGGTGACATATTACTGGACCCAGCACCTAGTTGATGTGACTTTTGCTGCTCCTAGGGCTCACAGTCCTAAAAAAGAATTGAGTTGTACTGCTGGGCCTAGCACCAAGGCGACAATACTGTTAGCTGTGTCTGCATATCAAAGTCATAATCTCACCTGTGTGCTGGCCCCTGTAATAAAACTCTGTACTGCCAGGGGGCATTATACAATATGAATAAGTTTCATAATCTGCCGTGACTTTCATACAGGTAGGAGACTCAGGACCCTACCAGTTTCCTTAAGCTCAGCTATAAGGGTCAACATGTATTTTATTGGCTGGGTCTAGTTATAAGAGTCATCATGGTGCCTGTGAGCTAACATCACGCCTGTGGCTGGATCTACATATGACAGTCAAAATTCCAGCTGTAGGCTGTGTCCATATACGAGACTCAGGACCTCACTAGAGGTCTCTGTTCATGTGTGAGAATGACACTCATAACTGTTGGCTGGATGAGCATACAAGAGTCACAGTCTCATCTGTGTACTGGGTGCACTTATATGTTAAAATCCCACTTGTGGAAAAGAAAGAAGCTAAGAGAGCCACGTATTTTAAGTGCTGGGCTAAAGATATGTTAAAATATCCCCTGTGGGCAGGGCCCAGGAAGGAGAGTTAAATTACCTGCATGCTGTGACCAGTGATATGTCACAATGCCTTCTATGGGCATGGCCCGGGCAGGAATTTCACATTACCTTTATGCTGTCCCAAAGATATATTTCAATCCCCCTCCATTGGCATGGCTTAGAGAGAATAGAAGAGTCACAGCACCTAAATTATGGCCACAGAGATAAATCACAATACCTCCTGTGGGCAGGGCCTAGGATAGAAGCTTACATCACCTGTAATCTGGGCTTGCTAAAATAATTCATCCTCCTGTTGCCATGACCCAGGCAGAAGAGGAGAATCATATCATCTAAGTACTTGGGCCTGTGGTATGTCACAGTCCATTTTCAAGGGGCAGAATGCAGGCAAAAGAAAAAAGTCACATCACCTAGGCAACGAGTTCAGAGGTATGTCACAATACCTACCGTGGGCAGGGCCCAGGCAGTACAGTCACATCACCGAGGTACTGGGCTCAGTGATATCTCACAAATGGCTTTCTGGGCAGGGCCCAAGCTAATGATAAGAGTCAGATGACCCAGTGATATTTCACAATACCCTCTGTGGGCAGGGCTCAAGCAAGAGAATCACATCACCTAGGTGCTTGACCCAGGTATATGTCACAATCTCCCCTGAGGGCTGTGCCCAGGCAGGAAAGTAAAATCACTCAGGGGTTATGCAGAAGTATATGTCACAATCACACTTGTGGGAAGGTCCAGGGATGAGATTCACAGTTCCACATATGTTCCAGCTTCAGGTGGGAAAGTCAACACCTCCCATGAGTTGCATCCAAATGCGTGAGTCACAATCTCAATGACGGACTAGATTCATGCATGAGACCCTCAATTTTACCGGTAGGCTGTGTACTGGTATCAGAGGCAAAGCCTCACAGGTATAATGAATCCTGGTCCTATAGTTACCGTCTACCTGGAGACAAAATCTACATGTAAGGATTATAATTCCAACTTTCAACTGTGTCCAGGTGTGAGATTCAGAAGCTCAAGAGTTGTCTGTATTCATGTGGGAGGATGACAATTTTTACTGTGGGCTGGAAGTGTATATGAGAATCACAATCTCAGCTGTGTTCTGGGTCCTCTTATGACACTCTCTGTACCACCAGAGGGCTGCACATTGTTTGGGTGAGACTCACAATCCCCTGTGAGACATTAGTGCTGTATAAATGCATGATTTTACTTGTTGCCCCACTCCCAGGTATGAGAGTCAACATTTCTCATATTGGCTGTGTCCAGGTATAAAAGTCATTGCTCTGCCTCTTAGTTGGGTTCAGATATGAGTCACCATCCCAGTGGTGGCTAGAGGTACACATGACATTAAAAACTCCAACTGT
The DNA here is from genome assembly GCF_000001405.40 of Homo sapiens. Taxonomy (NCBI): domain Eukaryota; kingdom Metazoa; phylum Chordata; class Mammalia; order Primates; family Hominidae; genus Homo; species Homo sapiens. Next base: position 22,332,479 of record NC_000019.10, read on the forward strand.
GGATTGCATCTGTGAGTAAAATTCAGGACCTCACCAGTGGGTTCTGTCCGTGTGTATGAATGGCAATTCTCTACTGTTGGCTGAGTGTGCATCTGAGAGTCACAATCTCAACTTTGTGCTGAGTTATGTAATGGCACTTTCTTTACAACCCTGGGGGCATTATACAATATAAGTGAGTGTGATAATCCTCTGTGACATTTATACAAGCAGAAAACCCAAAACCTTACCTGTTGCCCTAAGCCTAGGTACAAGAGTCAAAATATCTTCTATTGGCCAGGTTCATTGTGCAAGTGAGTTGGGTACAGAAATTTGTCACCATCCAACCTGTGGCTGGATCCATATATGACAGTCACAATTTCAATGGTGGAATGGGTTCATGTGTAAGATTTAGGACATCACCGGTAGGCTCGGTCTATGTATGAGCATGGCAATTCAAACTGTTGACTAGGTATGTATAAAAGAGTCACAATTACACCTGTGGACTGGGCCCTGCAATGACAGTATTTCCCAAGAGCTTTATACAACATATGTGAGTGTCATAATCTTCTGTTACTTTCCTACAAGTAAAGGACCCAGACCCCAAAGCCTAGCTACCAGAGTCAACATCTCTCTTATTAGCTGGGTCCAGGTATGAGTCATCACCATTCCTGTGAGCTGAATCCAGAGTGAGTCACTATCTCACTTCTGGCAAGATATACATATGACAGTCCCAATTCCAACTGTTGGCTGTGTTCACATATAAGACTCAGGACCTCAAAAGTGGTCTTTGTTCCTGTGTTATAGTGACAATAGTAACTTTTGGCTGGGTTTGCATACAAGAGTAAAACTCTCATCTGTGTGCTGGGCCGAGTTATATGTCACAGTCTTACCTTAGGGAAAGGCTGAGAAATAAGAGTAACGCCACCTTGATTCTTCACCTGGAATATGTCTCAATCCCCTCTATGGAAAAGGCCCAGGCAGAAGAGTCACATCACTTGTGTTCAGGGCCCAGCAGCATATAATATTTCCTCTAGGCAGAGCCCAGACAAGAGATTCATGACATTTGGGTCCCGAGCCCAGAGATATGTCACAGGGGACTAAAGAATCTTTTCTTTAGGCATGTTTTTGGCAGCGGAGAGAAGCACATTATGTAAAAAATTGGTTCAAAGATATCTCACAATGTCCCCTTCGGGTGGTATGCAGGTAGGTGAAGAGAGTCACATCATCCAGATAATCAGCCCAGCAATATGTCAAAATGCCCCCTGATGGAAGGGCAAATAAAAGAAAGTCATGGCCGGGCACAGTGGCTCACACCTGTAATCCCAGCACTTTGGGAGGCCAGGTGGGCAGATCACCTGAGGTCAGGTGTTCGAGACCAGCCTGACCAACATGGAGAAACCCTGTCTCTACTAAAAATACAAAATTAGCTGGGTGTGGTGGTGCATGCCTGTAATCCCAGCTACTCTGAAGGCTGAGGCAGGAGAATCACTTGAACCAGGGAGGTGGAGGTTGCAGTGAGCCGAGATTGTAACATTGCACTCCAGCCTGGGCAAAAGAGTGAAACTCCATCTCAAAAATAAATAAATAAATAAATAAATAAAAATTAAAAATAAAGTCACATAACCGAGGTGAGTAAACCAGAGATTTCACAATGCATGCTATAAGTAGGGACCATGGAAAAGAGGAGCTTCACATAACCTAGGGGCTACACCCAGATATATGTCACAATCACCCCAGTGGGCAGGGCCTAGGTATAAGAGGAGAGTCACACCACACAAATCCTAAACCAAGTGATATGTCACAATTCCCACTGTGGATGGGTCCAAGAAAAAAGAAAAAAGTCACATCATCTACATGTTGGGGCCACAGATATGTATCAATGTTCCCTGTAGGTATGGCCCAGGCAGAAGAGGTAAGTCAAGTCACCCGGGTGCAGAGCTGAGAGATACGTCACAATGTCTTCTATAGGCAAAGCCCAGGTACAAAGGAGAGTCACATCAAATAGTAGATCAGCCCAGAGATATGTCACAATGCCCCTGTAAGCAGAGTCCAGGCATGAGACTCAAATCACTTTTGTGCTGGGCTCATCAATATGTCACAATGCCTTTTGAGAGCAGGACCAAATCAAGAGTAATATCACCTTGTTTGACCTAGTGATATGTCACTATCTTTTGTTTGCACAAAATATAGGAAAAAGAGACGAGTCACATCAGCTGGGTGCTGAGGCCAGAGACATGTCAATCTCCCCATCAACAGAAATCACGTAGGAGAAGAGAGTCAAAACACATGTATATGATGAGGCGCGGTCACTCATGCCTGTAATCTGAGCACTTTGGGAGGCCAATGCAGGTGGATCACCAGAGGTCAGGAGTTTGAGACCAGCCTGGCCAACATGATGAAACCCTGTCTACTAAAAATACAAAAATTAGTCAGGCGTGATGATAGGCACCTGTAATCCCGGCTACCTGGGAGGCTGAGGCATGAGAATTGCTTGAACCTGGGAGGTGCAGGTTGCAGTGAGCCAAGGTCATGCCACTGCACTCCAGCCTGGGTAATAGAGTGAGACTCTGTCTCAAAACACACACCACACACACACAGACATACAGATAAAGGGCACAAAAATATTTAATAATGTCCCCTATAGGAAGGGCCCAGGCAGAAGAGTAAAATCACCTGGGTGTTGGACTGTGCAATATGTCAAAATAGCCAATGTGGGCAGGCGATAGCCAGAAATCACATAAACTGGGTGCAGGGCCTGTAAATATATCATAATGTCTTCTATGGAGACAGCCAAGACAGGAGAATAGATCACATCAGCTAAGTATGGAAAAAAATGACATGTCATAATCTCCACTGGAGCATAGACTCAGGCAAGAGGGTCAAATCACTCAGATTCTGGGCAGAGATACATCAGAATCACACCTACAGGAAGGTCCAGGGACAGGATTAACAGTCCCACACATGTCCCAGTTGTTGGTTTGGTCTAAGTATATGAGTCACAATCTCAAAAATAAACTGGATCTGTACAAAAGAGACTTAACTCCTTCTGAAGACTGTTTCCCCTTAGTGCAGTCACAGCCTCACAGATGTGGGGAATCTTGGTCTGAGATTCACCAACCAACCTAGGGACAAGATCCATGTATGAGAGTTAATTCTCCAACTTTCCACTGCCTCCAGGTGGGAGATTCAGAACCTCAACGGTGGGCTGTGTTCATGTGGAAGGATGACAATCTTTACTATTGGCCACCTGTGCAAAAGAGTGTCATAATTTTACCTGTTTGCTGGGCTCTGTGAGGACAGTCTCTCTACCATTCAGGGGCTATATATGCTATGTATGAGAGTCAACATCTGCTCTGAGACCTTCATGCTGTTATGCACCCATGATTGTACCTGTGCCACTAAGTCCACATATGAGACTCAACATCTCTCCTATTGGCTGAGTCTAGATGGGAGAGTCCTGACCTCTCTATGAGCTGGGTTTAGGAATGAGTCACCAGCACAGCTGTGGCCAAGTGTTCACTTATGACAGTCAGAATTTTAACTGCAGACTGCGTCTGCATGTGAGATTCAGCATTTCACCAGTGGGCTCTGTTTAGATGTGAGGGTGACAATCCTAACAGTTGGCTGGGTGAGCATATGAGAAACACAATCTCGCTTGTGTTCTGGGCCCTGTGATGACATCTTCTCTACCACTGGAGGACTTTATATAAGATATAAGAAAGTGGTAGTTCTCTATGACTTTAATACACAGAGGAGACCCAGGATCTTACCCATTTCACTAAGTCTAGCTATGAAAGTATCTTATATTGACTGGTTCGAGGAAAGAGGGTCAGCACCCTACCTGTGAGCTGGGCCAAGATATGTCATAATCCCACCTATAGGTAGAGAGTGAGCAGGAGGGTTATATCAACTGGGAGCTGGACAAGGCATATATCACACTCTTCCCTGAGGACAAAGACCAGCTAGAAGAGTCACATCCCTTCATGCTAAGTCAGGGATATTTTACAATGCCTTCCTGAAAGCAGGGAACACGATGCATACTCACATCACCTAGGTGCTGGGCCCAGTGATATGTCACAATGCTCCCTGTGGACAGTACCCAGGCAGGAAAGACACATCATCTCAATGGTGGGCCCAGCAATATGTCCCAGTCTTTCCTGTGGGCAGAATGCCGGCAGAAGAGGAGAGTCACATATCCTAGGTGATGGATTCAGGGATATGTAAAAAGTTTTCTGTTAGCAAGACCAAGGCAGGAGCCTTAAGTCCCATTGATGTAGGGCCCAGCCATATGTCTCAATACCCCAAATATGCAAGGCCCAGGCAAATAAGACAGTCACATCACCTAGGTGCTCGGTCAAGGGACATGCCCCAATCCCCTTTTTCTGTCAGGACCCAGACAGAAGAAAAGAGTCACAACACCTAAGTGATGAACAAAAAGATGTCATAATACCCCTGCTGGCAGGGCCCAGGTCGAAGAGTTGCATCACTTAGGTTTTGATCCCAGCCATATGTCACAACATAGAATGTATGCAGGGCCCTGGCAGAAGAGGAGGAGAGTCACAACACCTAGGTTCTTGGCCCCGTGATACATCACAATTCCTTCTTGGGCAAAGTCCAAGCAGTAGAAGAGAGTCACATCATCGTCATCTAGTTGCTGGGTCCAGCAATATGTCACAATACCCCCTAAGAAGAGGGCCTAGGCAGAAAAGTCTCCTCACCTAGGCAAGAGGCCCAGAGGTATATCCCAATGCTTTCTGTGTTAGGGCTCAGGAAGAAGAAAGTCACAAAGCCTATGGGATAGACCAAGTTATATTTTACAGTCACCCTAGTAAGCATGGTTGAGGCATGAGTGGAGAGTCACATGATGTAGGTGCTGAGCCAAGTGATATGTCACAATGCCCTCTGTGAGCAGTGACCAGGCAGGAGGAAGAAGTCAAATCACCTAGGTGATAAGTGCAGAGAGATGTAACAATATTCCAGGCAAGAGAGTAACATCACCTTGGTGTTGGATTCAGAAATATATCACAATGTCCCACGTGAGAAAGATACAAGCAAGAGAGTCACAAGAACTGGGTGCAAGACCTGGCAATATATCATAATTTCCACTGTGGACAGACTCAAGAAACAAAAGGAGACTCACATCATATAGGTTATGGGCCCCAGAGATATATTCCACTTACCTCTATTGGCAAGGACCAGGCAGAAGTATCACACCACCTTTGCGCTCAGTAACGTACTAGGTCATATCACCTAGGTGATAAACAACAATACATCGCCGTTTCTTTTCTGAACATAGCTCAGGCAAGAGAGGGGCATTGCATTTCCAAGGTGCTGGGCCCAGATGTATGTCACCATATCCCTTATGGGCAAAGATGTGGTAAGGGGGGATAGTCAAATCAAATAGTTGATGGGCCCAAAGATATGTCACAATGCACTCTATGGGCAGGGTCCAAACACAAGACACACTTCACCTTGGTGCTGGTAACAGCAATATGTCACAAGGCCTTCTGAAGACAGTGCCAAGGCAAAAGAGTAACATCACCATGGTGTTGAGCCCAGCTTTATGTCACAATCTCCCCTGTGAGGAAAACCTCAGAAGGCAAGAGAAGTCACATCAGCTCAGTACTGAACAAAGTGATATGTTCCATTCTCCCCTGAGAGCTAGGATCAGGCAAATGAAGATACTCACATCACTTGGTGACAGGCCCAGGATATGAAACAATTTTCTGTATAGGCAGGGCTTAGGCAGGAGAGTTAAATCAAATGGGCATAGGACCCAGTGGTATGTTACAATGCCTCCCGTGGGCAGCGTCAAGGCATGAGAGAAGACATCACCCGAGTGCAAGGCCCAGTGGTGTCAAAATGTCCCAGCACCCAGTTATATGTTACAATGTCATATGTGAGCGGGGTCCAGGCAGTAGAGTCAAATCACTCAGGTGCTGGACTGCGGCATATGTAACAATAACACCTACAGGAAGGTCCAGAGTTGAGATTAACAATCTCACACATGTCCTGGTTCTAGGTATGAGTCAATTTCTGTCTGGTCATTCTAAGTACACAAGTCACAATCCCATTGGCCAACAGGATCTATGTTTGACAGCCCTATTCCTTCTGGGGATTGTGTTTTGTAAGTAGAGTCACAGCCTCACGGGTTTGCTGAATCTTAATCTGAGTGTCATGAACCCACTTGGGGAACAGATTCATGTATGAGAGTCAAATTTGCAACTTTTAGCGACCTCAGGCTGTGAGATTCAGAACCTCAACAGTGAGCTGTGTTCATGTGGGACAATGACAATCTTTATTCTCACCTGGGTGTGCAGATGAGAGTTGCAATCTCACTTGTGTACGGAGCCCTGTTAGAACACTCTCTGTACCACTCGAGGGCTTTATTCAACATGCATGAGAGTCAAAATTTGCTCTGAAACCTCCATGTTAGAAAGGATCTTTGATCATGCCTGTGGCCCTAAGCCCAGGTGTGAGAGTCAACATCTTTCTTATTGACTGTGTCCGGATAGGAGAGTCTTCACCTGCCTATAAGTTGGGATTAAAAATGAGTAACCATTCCAATTGTGCCTTGATGTTCAGATATGAAAGTTGCAATTTAAACTGTGGACTGACTGCATTTGTGTGTGAGATTCAAAACATCACCAGTAGGTTCTGTGAATGTGAGAGGGTGGAAATTTTAATGGTTGGTGGACTGTGCACACGAGAACACAATCTCACTCATGTTCTGGGATTTGTGATGACATTGTAGTACCCGAATGCTTTATGTGATATGTGAGACTGGCAACTTTCTTTCTTTCTTTTTTTTTTTTTTTGAGACAGAGTCTCACTCTGTCGCCCAGGCTTGAGTGCAGTGGTGCGATCTCGGCTCAGTGCAACCTCCGCCCCCTGGGTTCAAGCGATTCTCCTGCCTCAGCCTCCCAAGTAGCTGGGATTACAGGCACCTGCCACCACACCCAGCTAATTTTTGTATTTTTAGTAGAGATGGGGTTTCACCATCTTGGCCAGCTGGTCTTGAACTCCTGACCTCGTGATCCACCTGTCTCAGCCACCCAAAGTGCTGGGATTACAGGTGTGAGTCACTGTGCCCAGGCTGAGAGTGGTAACTTTCTATAACCTTCATACAAAGAGGAGACACAGGGTCTTACTCATTTTTCTAAGCCAAAATATGAGAGTCAGTATCTCTTCTGTTGGCTGGTTCATCTCACAAGGTATGATGGTCATTATTGCACCTGTGAGCTGAACCAAGATATATGTCACAATGCCACCTCTCAGTAGGGAGCGAGCAGGAGAGCCACATCACCTAGGCACTAGGCCATGGATATGTCACAGTCTTTTCTGAAAACAGGGACCAGGCTGGAGAGTCACATCGTTAGCATGCTTAGCCAAAAATATTTAAAAATCTCCTGAAAGCAATGCAACAGGAACAGAATCACCTCACCTGGCTGCTGTGCCCAGCAATTTTGTCACAATGCTCTCTCTGGGAAAATCCCAGGCAGGAGAGACACATCAACTGGTTGCTGGGTGCAGAAATATGTCACAGTTTTCCTTGTTGGCAAAGTTCAGGCAGAGAAAGATTCACAATTCTTAGGTCATGGATGCAGACGTATGTCACAAGGCTCACTGCAGGCCAGGCTTAGGCAGGAGCCTCATGTACCCGAGGTTCTGGGCCTAGTGATGTGTCATGATACCCAAAATATGTGGGGCAAAGCAAAAAGAGGAGAATTACATCATCTAGAATCAGGGTCCAGTGATATGTCACAATTTTTTTTTTTTGGCAGTGCCCTGATGAAAGAAGAGTCACATCACCTTTGATCTGGGTCCAGTAATACATCACAATCCCTTCTTGGTCACAGCCCAAGCAGCAGAAGAAAGTCAAATCACTTAGGTCCTGGGTTTGGAAATATGTCCCTATGAGGAGAGGGCCCAGGCAAGAGAGTCAAATCACTGAGGTACTGGGCAAAGAAATATGTCACGATCACACCTGCAGAAAAGTCCAGGGATAAAATTAACAATCATGCACATGGCCCAGTTCTAGGTATAAGAGTCAACACATTCTGTATGTTGGGTCTCAGTACAAGAGTTACAATCTCAACAGTGGACAGGATCCTTGCATGACAGCCACAATCCCTCCCGTGCACTGTATTATTTTCAAAGGGTCACAGCCTCACAGGTGTGCTGAATCTTGGTCAGGTGGGTTGCTGACTCTCCACATAATGAGAATCAGTTTTCCAACTTTCGACTGCCTCCTGGCATGAGATTCAGGACTTTAACACTGGCTGTGTTCATGTGGTTGGATGACAGTCTTTATCATTATCTGGGTGTGCATATGGGTGTCACAATCTCATTTGTGTGCCCGGCCCTGTAAGGACCCTCTCTGTCTTACTGAGGGCATTATGCAGTATGCATGAGAGCTGCAATCTGTTCTGAAACTTTTGTGCTTGTGTGAACCCACAATTTTACCTGTGATTCTAAGCCCAGATATGAGAGTGAACATCTTTAATAATGGCTGAGTTTAGATAGGAGGGTCTTCATCTGCCTATGAGCTGGGTTTAGAAATGAGTCACCATTCCAACTGTAGCCAGGTGTTCACGTATGCAGTCACAATTTCAACTATGAATGGCATCCACGAGTTTGATTCAGGACCTCACCAGTGGGCTCTGTTTATGTGTGACGGTGACAAGGCTAATGGTTGGCTGGGTGCGCATACAATAAGAAAAATTTCTGTTGTGTTCTGGATACACTCCCTGTGTCACCTGAATTTATGCTCTCCATATCACCCAAGGGCTTTATACAATGTGAGAGGAAGTGGCGATTTTTTATGATCTTTGTACAAAGAGGAGACCTGGAATCTTACCTGTTCTCTCAGCCTAGCTAGGACAGAGAGTGCCTTTTTTTACTGGCTAATTTGATATATGGACCTGCCAATAGGGGAGATTTTGCCTTTTTTATTTTAGGCTTAGGGCAGTGGATAAAGTACTGGGTCTCCTATGTGAGGAAAGGTCACATAAGATTATGGACACTCAAGCTTATCCTATAAAGCTTTTGTGTTACATTGAGAGTATAATAACAGGATCCACTACACAGGTGAGATTGTTACTCTCATAGGCACACCTAGCTGAAAATTAGGATTGTCACCCTCACACATAAGAAAAGCCCACTGGTGAGGTCCTGAATCTCACAGGCACACTCCAAAATTAGATTTGTGACAGTCATATGTGGGTCCTGGGACAGTTGGTATGCTGACTTATTTTTGAAGCCAGCTTACAGACACTTTGAGATGACTGTCATACCTATATCTGGCCAATAAGAGAGCTGTGACTCTCACACTTGGGCATAGGGCAATGGGTACAATCTTAGGTTCATATCAGCATGAAGGTCTCAAAGTGAATTGCAACTGCCTCTTAAAGCATATAAAGCCTGTGGATAATACAGAGAGTGTCATAACACAACCAAGAACACAGGTGAAATTGTGACTCTCCTATGCACACTCAGCCAACAGTAAACATTGTCACTGTCACACATGGAAACTGTCCACTGTTGAGGCTGTGGATCTCACACATGGGGGCAGTCAAAAGTTGGAATTGTGACTCTCATACATGGATCTGCTTAACAGGTAGAATGGTGACTCAAAGACTAGGATTCAGAACACCTGTGAGGCTGTGACTCTTAGATTCAGAAATAGTTTTCATTTGGAATTGGGGCTCTCTTGCAGGGAGTGAGTCCACCATTCAGATTGTGATTCATGTACTTGGACCCAACTCAAATGAGGTCTCTTGACTCTCATACCTGAAGTCAGAAAATGTGTGGAATTTTGAATCTCATTTCTCAACCTTCTTGCTAGTGTGATTGTGATATATACATTTGCCCAGCACCTGAGTGATTTGACTCTCCTGCCTGGGTAAAGCCCAAAAATAAAACTGTGATGTATACCTGGGCCAAGCATTTAAGTTATTTTACTTTCTTGCATAGGCCTTGTCCTCAGGGGAAATTGTGACATATCACTGGGCCCATAACCTAGGTTATATAATCATCCTCTCCTGCTTGGGCCCTGCCAATACAGATAGTTGTAGCATATAATTGGGCCAATCACCTAAGTGATGTGACTTTACTCTTTTGCATGGGCTTTGCCACAGAGTGGGTTGTGATATGTCACTGAGCCCTATGCGTAAATGATATGACTCTCCTGCCTTGGTCCCTCCAAAAGGAGGCATTGTGACCTATCAATAGGCCCAACAACTGGGTATTGTGACTCTCCTCTCTTACCTGAGCCCTGTACACAGGGTGACATATTGCTGTGCCCTGCATGCAGATAATGTGTCTTTCCTGCATGAACCTTGCCCACAGAAGGCATTGTGACATACTCCTGGGCCCAGTACCCAGGTTATGGGACTTCTCTGCCATGGCCCTCCCCACAGAGTGGATAGTGACATGTTTTTGGTCCAGCATTCAGGTGACATGATTCTCTTTTCTGGTTTATTCACACAGGCTAAGCTTTAACATATGGTTTTTCCAGCTCACAGGCGTTATGATTACACTCATATAAGAACCCAGACAATAAGAATGATTTTGAAGCTCTTAGACTTTAGGCAGTAGGTAAAGTCCTGGGTTTCCTACTTTTAGAAGGGTCACAGAGATGTATAAAATTTATGCATATCCTATATATACTTTGCTACAGAGAATGTAATAATAGGACTCAGCACACAAGTGAGATTGTGATTCTCACAGGCATACCAAGCCAACAATTGGGATTGTCAATTCCAAACATGAAAGGTCACTGGTGAGCTTCTGAACCTCACACGCAGATGCAGTCCACAGTCAAAAGTCTGACTGTCATGTGTACATCTGGAAACAGGTTGAATAGTGACTGATTTCTGGACACAGCTCAGAGGCACAGTGATTAGTTGCATACCTGGACCTAGCAAACAGGAGATATGTTGACTCTCATAGGGAGCCTTCAAGCAATGGGCAAGGTCCTGGGCTTTCTACTTGTATGAAGGTCACAGAGGATTACAAAACTAATGCGTATTGTATGATCCCTTCGGTGGTACAGAGAGTGTCATAAGAGATTCCAGCACAAAGTTAAAATTGTGATTCTCATAGGCATACCCAGCAAACAGTGAGAATTGTCACTCCCACACGCGGACAGAGACCACTAGTGAGGTCCAGAGCATCACATGTGGATGCCATCCACAGTTGAAATTTTGACTGTCATACGTGGATCTGGCCACAGGTGGGATAGTGACTTCTTTCTGCCGCCAACTCACAGGCACAGTGAGAACTCTCATATCTGACACTAGCCAACAAGAGAGATGTTAGCTCTTATTCCTGGGCTTACGACAATGGGTAAGATCATGAGTTCATAACAGCATGTAGATCTAAGTGTGGATTGTGACTTTCACCAGAGAAAGCCCTCAGGTGGCACCAAGACTGTGATAACAGGGCCCAGTGCACAGGTGAGATAGTGACCCTCATATGCATGTCCAGTTGACAGTAAGAATTTTCACCCTCTTAAATAGCCACAGCCTGTTGTTGAGGTTCTGAATCTCACACTTGGAGGTAGCTAAAAGTTGGAATTGTGAGTCTCATACATGAATCAGGTGAATACCTGAATACAGATGAGATAATGACTCACAGACCAAGATTTGTCACACCTCTGAGGCTGTGACTACTGCCAGGACACAATCTGAAGGTTGAATTGAGACTCTCAGGCACAAATCCAGCCCAGTATCCAGATTCTGACTTGCACACTAGGACTGAACACACAGGAGGTGTTGACTGTCCTCCCTAGAGCTGGACATGTTTGGGATTCTGTATCTCATCCCTGGACTTTTCTGCAGGTGTGATTGTGACATATGCTTTTGCCCATACCCTGAGTGATTGTAGTTTTCTTCTTGGGCCCAGCCCACAGATGAAATTGTGACATATACCAAGGCCAAGGACCAAGGTAATATGACTCTCCTCATCTGCCTGAGCCCATTACTTAGAAGTGATTTTTACATATTTCTGAATTCAACACCTAGGTAATGTGACTCTCCTCTTGTGCCAAAGTTTTGATCACACAGAAAATTGTGACATATCACTGGGCCCAGCACCTAGATGATGTGCTTGTTCTGCCTTAATTCTCCCCACATGGGACATTATGACATATTTCTTAGTCAAACACCTAGGTGAAGTAACTCTTCTCTCCTGCCTGGGTCTCAGCTTCAGAAGAACATGTGACATATTGCTGCACCCAGCACTTAGGTGATTTGAGTCCTCTGCTGCCTAATCTTTGCCTACAGTGGGGATTGTGAACTATTGCTTAACCCAGCACCTAAATTTTGTGACTCACTTCTTTTGCAAAGTTCTGCTAACAGTGGGAGTTGTAACATATTACAGGAACCAGCAAACAGGTGACCTGACTGTCCTCTCTTCCCTGGGCCCTGCTTATATTGGGCATTGTTACATATTGCTGGGCTCATCGCCTAAGCAATGTTATTGTTCTCTTCTGCTTGGGACCTGCCCACATGATGGACTGTGGCATATCACTAGGCCCAGAACCCAGCTGATATGACTCTTCTTCCCTGATCCTGCTCATAGTGAGGACTGACATATTCCTCTTCTAGCATCCAGGTGATGTGACTCTTCTGCCTGGTCCCTGTCTGCATGTGGGATTGTGATATACATCTGGGCTAAACTCACTGGTGCAATGATGACAATCATACTTGAACCCAGCAAATAGGAGAGATATTGATTCTCTTTGCTAGGCTTAGGGCAATGAGTAAGGTCTGGGTGTGTTTCCCGTACAAAGGTCAGAGAAAATTACAATACTCATGCATATTGTATAAGGCTTTCAGTTGGTACAGAGAGTATCTAACAGGGCTCAGCACACAGATGAGACTATGACTCTCAAATGCACACCCAGCTGACAGTTAGGATTTTAACTTACACATGTTAAGATCACAAATGTCACATGTAAATGCAGTTTGCAGTTAGAATTGTGACTTATATGTGGATCCAGCCACAGGTGGGATGGTGACTCACTTCCGAATCCAGCCGACAGGCACAGTGATGATTCTCATTCCTGGATGCAGCAAATTAGAGAGAGAGGTTGACTCTCATACTGGGCTTAGGGCAACAGGTAAAATAGGTCATACCAGCACAAAACTCTCAGAGCAGACTGTGACTCTCATGCATATCATATAAAGCCTTTGGGTGATACAGAAAATGTCATAACGGTGCCAATCACACAGGGAAGATTGTGATCCTTAAATGCACACTCACCCAAAAATAAGAGTTGCCACTCTCCCACATGGACACAGCTCACCTTTGAGGTTCTGAATCTGACATCCAGAGACAGTTGACAGTTAAAATCATGACTTTCATACATGGATCCCATCCACAGGTGGGGTGGTGACGCTTGGACCAGAATTCAGCACACCCATGGGCCTGTTACTCTCACACCAGAACACAGCCCCTAGGTGGGGCTGGGACTCTCATGCACGGATCCAATTTACTATTGAGATGATGAGTCCTGTACTTGTGCGTAACTCACAGGAGGTGTTGACTCTCATACCTAAAGCTGGGACACGTGCAGAATTGTAAATCTAACCACTGGACCTTCTTGCAGGTGTGATTTTTATGTATACATTTGCCGAGCCCTTGAGGAATTCCACCTGCCTGGGTAGGCCAAGCCTACAGTGACATTAATTAAATCAAGCATCTAGGTGACATACTCTCCTTCCTGGGCACTGCCCTCAAGGGAGATTTTGAAATATTTCTGGGCCCAGCACATAAGTAATGGGATTCTTTACTCCCGCCTGGTTCCTGCACACTGGGAGCATTATAACATATCACTGGGCCCAACACCTAGGTAATATGACTCTCTTCTCACGTCTGGGCCCTGCCCATTTTAGGAATTGTGACATAGCACTGGGCCTAGCACCCAGGTGAAGTAAATATCCTTTTCCATTTGGGTTCTGCATACAGGGGGCATGATAATATAATGCAGTGCCCATCATTAAGGTGATGTGACTTTACTTCATGGGCAATGTCCACAGGGAGCATTGTGACATATCTCTGGACCCAGCACCTAGATGATGTGACTCCCTCCTGCCTAGGCCCTGCATATAGGGGGAATTATGACATATTGCTGAGTCTAGCACCTGGGTGATGTGACTCTTCTGCCTGAGCCCTGCTCACAGGGGGCATTTTGACATAACTTTGGGTTCATCACCTAGATGATATGACTCACTTCTTCTGCCTGTGCTTTGCCCACAGGAAAACCTGGACCATATCACTGGGCTGAGCACCCAGATAACGTGACTGTCTTTCCTGGGCCTTGCCCACAGGGGGCATTGTGACATTTCACTGGGCACAGCGCTGAGGCGATGTGACTCTCTTGCCTGGGTCCTGCCCGTAGAGGAAATTGTGACATATTCCTGGTCCAGCACCCAGGGAATGTGATGATCCAGCCTCATCCCTGCAGCCAACAGGGATGAAGATGACTCTTAAGCCTGAACTCAGCTAATAGGAGAGATGGTATCTTTCATAGCCAAGATTAGGGCAAACAATAAAGTCCTTAGTTTCCTAATTGTATAAAGATCACAAAGGATCACATCACCCACGCATACTATATAAAGCACTTGAGTAGTACAGAGAGTATCATAACAGGGCTCAGCACACAGTTGAGATTGTGACTCTCATATGCACACCCAGGCCACAGTTATAACTGTCACTCTCTCACATGGACAGAGCCTGCTGGTAAAATTCTAAGCCTGAATTGCGAACACAGTCCACAGTTGGAATTGTGATTCATATGTGAATATGGCCACAGTTCCAATGGTGACTCACTTATGGACTCAGATCACAGGAATGGTGATAACTCTCATACCTGGATCCAGCCAATAAGAGATGTTCAATCTCCTACCTGATTCTAGGGCAATGAGTAAGATCAAGGATCCATACAACCATGAAGGTCTCAGAGCAGATTGCGACTCTCAGGTGTAGGGATATATATATATATATATATATATATATATATATATATATATGCACACACACACACATATATATACACACATATATATGTATATATATACACACATATATATGTATATATATACACACACATATATATGTATATACACACACACACACACACACACACACACATATATATATATATATATATATATATTTTTTTTTTTTTTTGAGATGGAGTCTCTCTCTGTCTCCCAGGCTGGAGTGCAGTGGCGTGACCTTGGCTCACTGCAAGCTCCACCTCCCGGGTTCACGTCATTCTCCTGCCTCTGCCTCCCGAGTAGCTGGGACTACAGGTGCCCGCCACCACGGCTGGCTAATTTTTTTGTATTTTTTTAGTAGAGACGGTGTTTCACCGTGTTAGCCAGGGTGGTCTCGATTTCCTGACCTCGTGATCTGCTCACCTCAGCCTCCCAAAGTGCTGGGATTACAGGAGTGAGCCACCACACCCAGCCCTCAGGTGTATATTTTAAAGCCCTCAAGTTGTACAGTGTGTCATAATAGGACCCAGCACACTGATGAGATTGTGACTCTTGCATGCACACCCAGCTGACAGTAAGAATCGTCATCTTCCCACTTGAATACAGCACACTGTTGAAGTCCTAAATCTCATAGCTGGAGGCAGTCAAAATTTGGAATTGTGTCTCAGACAAGAATCCAGTCCACAAGTGAGATAATGACTCTCTGACCTGGATTTAGCAGCCCTGTGAGGCTGCGAGTTCCCTACTGGGATATAGTCTGCTGGTGAGATTGAGGTCCCATGCACATGCCCAGTCCACCGTTGAGTTTGTGACTCATGTACGAGGACCCAACACACAGATGTTGAATCTCATACCTAGAGCTGGGACATATAAAGGTTTGTCAATCTCATCCCTGGACCTTCCCACGAATGTGATTATGACAAATTCGTTTGCCCAGCCCCTTAGCAATTTGACTTTCCTGCCTGGGCCCAGGCCAAAACTGGAATTGTGACATATACCTGGGCCAAACACCTAAATGCTGTGACTTTCTTCTTTTGCCTGGGATCTGCAAACAGAAAAGATTGTGACATATTGCTAAGCCCAGCATTTAGGCGATATGACTCTTCCTCCAGGGACATGGTGACATATTCTTCCCCAGAATATGGGACATTGTGACATTCCTCCCTGTTCCTACAGGGACATTGTGACATATCCCTGGGAACATTAACTAGATTAAGGGACTCCCCTCTCATCCCTGGGTCATTCCCTCAGGGGGGATTATGACATATCACTGAATCCAGAACCTAGGTGATTTTTTTTTTCTCCTCTACTGCCTGGACCCCATCCACAAGATGAATGGTAACATATTGCTGAGCCCAGCAACCAGATGATGTCACTTTCCTCTCCTGCCTGGAATCTGCTCAGAGGTGGAGAGTTACATATCACTGGGCCCAGCACATAGGAAATGTGACTCTCCCCTCCTGTTTGGGCCCTCCCAACAGTGGGAAATGTGAGATGTCACTGGGCTCATCACCTAGATGATGTAATGCTTCTTCCCTTTATTGATCCACCCACAGTGGGAATTGTGACATATTACCATGATCAACAGCTAAATGATGTGACTCTTTTCTGCTGATTGAGCCCTGCTTATAGGGGGCATTGTGACATTTAGCTTCACCTTGAACCCAGATGATTTAACTCTCTTATCTGGGCTTTGCCTATGGAGAACACTGTGACATATCTCTGCACCGATCATCTAGGTGAAGTGACTCTCCTCTCCTGTCTGGTTCTGGCTCAAAGAAGGGAATGTAACATGTCACTGGACCCAGCACCTAGGTAATGTATCGCTATTTTCTCTTAGGCCCTGCTTTCATGGTAAATTTTGACATATATTTGGATGTATCACCTAGATGATGTAACTCTCTTTTCATGCCTGGGCAATGCCCAAGGGGAGATTGTGACATGTTGCTGAGCCCAGGACCCAGGTGATGTTAGTCTCCTGCCTGGCCTTGCCCGCCTACAAAAGGCATTGTGATACATCTTTGTGCTCATCACCCAAATAATGGGAGTCTTTTTACCTGCCAGAGCCCTGTTCTTAGGGAAAACTGTGACATATTACTGTATCTGGCATGTAGGTGAGGTGACTCTTCTGCCTATGCATTGCCCACAGGAAGAATTGTGACATATCACTGAACCCAGAACCTAGGTGATGTGACTTTTTTCCTGTGCCTTACATGCAAAAAAATAAAAAATATCACTGGGCCCCAGAACTAGGCGAGGTGACTCTTCTCTACTACCTGGGTGAACCCCTTATAGGGGCATTGTGACATATCTCTGGCCCCATCACCTGGGTGAAGTGACTATGCTCTTGGCTGAATAGGTGCTGCCCACAGCTGTGATTGTTACAAAATGCTGGGCCCAGCACTCAAGTGGTTTGACTCTGCTGCATGGGCCCTGCCCACAGAGGGCATTGTGATATATGTGTGGGCCCATCAACTAAAATTGTGACTTTCTACATTAGTCTGTTCTCATACTGTGAATAAAGTCATCCTCAAGACTGGGTAATTTATAAAAGAAATAGGTTTAATGGACTCACAGTTCCACATGGCTAAGGAGGCCTCAGAATCATGGTAAAAGATAAAGGAAGAGCAAAAGGCATCTTACATGGTGGCAGGCATAAGGGCAGGGGAACTCCCTTTTATAAAACCATTAGATCCCACGAGACTTATTCACTACCCCAAGAAGAATATAGGAGAACCACCTCCGTAATTCAATTATATTTACCTGTCCTTGCTCTTAACATACAGGGATTGTTAAAATTTAAGGTGAGATTTGGGTGGGGACACAGCCAAACCATATCAGTGTTTTCTCCTGCCTGGCCCCTGTCCATAGGGGAGATTTTGACATATCACTGAACCCAACACCTTGGTGATGTGACGCTCCTGGTCCCTGCCATAAAAGAGAATGGTGACATGTCACTGGGCTCAGTACCTAGGTGATGTGACTCTTCTCTCCTGTCTGGACTCTGTCCTAAAAGAGAATTGTAAGATATCACTGAGACTAGCCCTTAGGTAATGTGATTTTCAGCTCCTACCAGGGCCCTGTCTACAAGGGGCAAGGTGACACAGTGTGGGGACTATCTCCCAGGTGATGTGACTCTTCTGCATTGGCCTGGCCTAAAGGGGAAATTGTGACATATCTCTGGGCCTACCACCTAGCTGATGTGACCTTCCTCACCTGCTTGTGCTCTGCCCACAGGAAGATTTCCACGTATATCTGCGTCCAGCACCTAGGTAATGGGACTCTTCTGCCTAAGCACTGCTTACACAAGCCATTGTGATGTATTCCTAGGCCCAAGACACAATGATGTGACTTTTCACTCCTGCTTGGCACTGTGATATATCATGGGGCTCATCACCTAGATGATGTAATTCTTCTTTTGCTTGGGCCTTGCCCACAAAATAAATAGTGACATATTGCTGGGCATAGCACCTAGGTGATGTGATACATCTGCTCTGGCCTGTACCACAAAGGGCACTGTGACATGTTCCTGAATTTAGTGCTCAGGAGATGTGACCCTGGGGCCAGAGCTGAGTCCACAGGTGGATTGTGACGTATTCCTTGCCCAGAACCTAGGTGACATGACTCTTTCTTCCTGCATGGGCCCTGACTTCTGTGAGGGTTTTGACAATATTACTGGGCCCTACACCCAAATGATGTGACTCTGCTGCCTGAGTTCTGTCAAAGGAGGGATTGTGACCTATCCAGTAGGCCAGAACCTACATGACTTTCCTCTCCTTCCTGAGCCCTAAACAGAATTAATTGTGAAATATTGCTTTACACAGAACCCAGGTGATGTGGTTCTCTAGGCTAGGCCCTGCCCACAGAGGCATTTTGACATATGGCTGAGCTCAGCACTCAAGTAATGTGACTTTCTTGCCAGGGCCCTGAACACAGGGGGTTATTGAAATATTCCTAGACCAACATTCAAACAATGTGACTCTCCTGTCTGGTCTTCCCACAGGTGGGATTGTGACATACCTAGGCCTAGCTCACAGGCGTGATGATGACTCTCATATGTGGACCCAACAAACAGAAAAGATTTTGACTCTCATGGCTAGAATTAGGGGAATAGGTAAGGTCTTCTGTTTCCTACTTGTGGTAATGTCACAGAAGATGATGACACTCATGCATATCCCATAACATCCTTGAGTGACACAGAGAGTGTCCTAACAGGACTCAGCACACAGGTGAGATTGTGCATCCCACAGGCACACCCACCTGACAATTACAATTGTCACTCTCACACATGGACAGAACCCACTGTTGAGGTCCTGAATCTCACATGTGGACATGATCCACAGTTAGAGTTGTGACTGTCCTATGTAAATTCAGCAATGTGTGAGATGATGACTTATTTCTGGATCAAGCTCACAGATGCAATGATGACTCTCATATACTTGGATTTAGCCAATAGAAGAGGTGTTGATTCTTGTAGCTGGGCTTAGGGCAATGGGTAAGGTCCTGAGTCTTCTACTTGCAGAAAGTTCTCAGAAGATTACCACACTCATGCATATAATATAAAGCCCTTACGTTTCACCAAGAGTTTCATATTAGGTCCCAGTACAAAGTTGAGATTGTGACTCTTCTATGCACACCCAGCTGACGGGATTATCACCCTCACACATGGACAGAGCCCACTGCTGAGGTTCTGAGTCTCACTTGTGGATATAGCTCACAGTTTGTATTGTGACTTTTATATGTGGATCTTGCCACAGGTGGGTGTCTTATTTCTGGACTCAGCTCACAGACACAGTGATGACTCTCATACCTGGACCCAGCAAAGAGGAGACATGTTGAATCTTGTATTAGGATGTTTGTGTGTGTGTGTCTGTGTGTGTGTGTTTTAGTTCCTTGAGCTTTGGAAATTGATTCTACAGTATCTTATACAGATGTAAATGTATCAGGCTTTTTTTGTAAAGCTATATATATATATTCCTCCTGTTTATTAAAATATTGTCATTGGTGTTATGTAGATATAGTTGTAGACCTCAAAACAGAAAATAATATTGTAAATATTATAGCTTAATAAATGTTTATGGTATCTAAATAAAAAATGTAAATTATACATATTTGGAAGGTAGTTATTTACAATTGCTTAGAGCTTACCTGGTCAGCCAAGGCCTGCCTTCAATTGCACCTGCTTGGTTACAGTATCTCCTGGGGTGAAATGGCCCTCACTGAGAATGGTCAAAATAAGAAAAAAATTTTGGCAGATAAATCTTACGTGTAAAGAAACAGAGATGTGGAAAAAAATGTTCAGAGAAGGATAAATAAATCAATTTTACCACAGTTATTTTTAAGACAGTAAATGCTTTAGGCCAGGTGCAGTGACTCACTCCTGTAATCCCAGCACTTTGAGAGGCCGAGTTGGCAGATCACGAGGTCGGGAGTTCGAGACCAGACTGGCCTGCATGGTGAAACCCCGTCTCTACTAAATACACAAAAAATTAGCTGAGGATGGTGGCACGTGCCTGTAATCCCAGCTACTTGGGAGGCTGAGGCAAGAGAATTGCTTGAACCCGGGAGGCAGAGGTTGCAGTGAGCCGAGATCACACCATTGCACTCCAGCCTGGGGGACAGAGTGAGACTCCATCTCAAAAAAAATAAAAATAAAAATAAATAAACAGATTCTTCAAAGTCAAATAAAATTTATTTAATTAAAAATTGCAGACACTGGGTGCGGTGGCTCATGCCTGTAATCTCAGCACTTTGGGAGGCCAAGGTGGGTGGATCATGAGGTCAGGAGTTTGAGACCAGCCTGGCCAACATGGAGAAACCCTGTCTCTACTAAAGATACAAAAAATTAGCCGGGCGTGTTGGCAGGCACCTGTAATCACAGCTATTTGGGAGGCTGAGGCAGAAGAATCACTTGAAACCAGAAGGCAGAGGTTGCAGTGAGCCAAGACCATGCCATTGCACTCCAGCCTGGGCAACAGGGCAAGACTCCATCTCAAAAAATAAAATAAAATAATTGCAAATTGGAGTGAGCCGAGATCATGCCACTGCAATCCATCCTGGGTAACAAGAGTGAAATTCTGTCTCAAAAAAATAAAAATAAAAATAAATAAAGTGCAAGACGGCCTATAGAAGCACTGAAAAATCTGGAAAATTAGCAAAATGTTCATGAACAGTTGAATAAATAAATTGTAGTGTATTTATATGATGTCATATTGTAGATCAATAAATATGCAAACCACAAGCAGCAAAATTCAGATAGTGGTCACTTTCGGGAAGTAGGCTTATAGAAGACTTTAGAGGTATGTACTTTATGAGAGTATGTGAGGATTATATGAAGCCAGACTGAAAGTTTCCTGAGAGTAGAGACCAAAACTTTCTTTTTATTTTTTGAGATGGAGTCTCACTCTGCTGCCCAGGATACAGGTATCTGGGCCCAGCTAATTTTTGTATTTTTAGTAGAGACAGGGTTTCACTATGTTGGCCAAGCTGGTCTCGAACTCCTGACCTCATGATCTGCCCACCTCGGCCTCCCAAAGTGCTGGGATTACAGGCATGAGCCACCACGCCAGGCCAATACTTTCTTTTCTTAATTTTATCTCCCAAGGCTAGCAAAAAGCATAGCACAACGTGTATGCTCAATGCACATTTATTGGTTAAATGAATAAATACATACCCTTTGTAAACTGTCAAGCCCTATGCAAATCAAGAATTTATTTTTATTACTTACTACAGTTTAGTTAATAGAATCATATAAAAGGTAATCAAAGTTAAGATTCAGAAAGCACTATTCAAAATTTAATGTTACCCCAGCATTCTTAGGCAAAATAAAGTAAAATTTATAGTTTCTAAATTTGTGACCATTATAATTACATTTAAATTTCCATGTGAGGCTGGAACATAAAATCTTCCATCAGGTGAGCATAATTTGAGAGAAAAATACATTTAAAAATAAAGAAAAAACAGGAAAAAGAATGAAAACTTGGTTGGGTTAGATCTGCAAGTTCTATTCCATACTTCTTTTTTTTTTTTTTTTTTTGAAATAGCTTCCCATACTCCTGGTGCAGAGGGAGGCTGAGGAGCCTGGGTCCCTCTGTCCTTCCACTGTGGCAGTGGCTGATCTCTGCTCAGGCATGAGAAGTGCTGCCCTGTGCTGGGTCTGAGGCTGCCCTGCCCAGCCCCTCCTCACTCCCTTGGACTCTTCACAGTGTCTCCAGGCTCCTGTGCCATCCTGAGCATCCCTTTGATGGAAAGGGAGGTGGCAGCAGGAAGCCAGTAGGAGGAACTGGCCCTGCAGACCGAGAGATCTTGTCCAGGAAATGCTCTGGTTGGCCTTGGCTTTTGGTGCATGGAGCTGGACATCAACCCTGGGTTGTAGCTAAGGTGTCCCTGGGCTAGGTGACCCTGGGCATGGATGCTCCAGTTGCTGCTGCCATTCCTGCTGTGCTCAGCTGGGCCGCAGCTGGAACCATTGCCAGTCAGAGGTGCAGGAGCAGCCCTCCAGGTGGGAGGAGGCCATAGCCATGCATGGTTCCTGGAAACCAGGCCCTGCTGACAAATCTTAGATGCCAGGAACAGAAGAACCAGGAGAAACTGCCTAGAGCTTGAGGCAAATGGATGGACTGTTGGAATGGCTGAGGGTGAAGCTGCCCAAAATCCTCAAAGTGGAGTAGCAAAGCAAGCATCAGAGATGGACAAGAAAAATAAAAGTCAAAAAAATTAGCAGAAACTGTAGCAGGATGAGCCGCAGACAAGAACCCCTCAGACACCAAGTTGTGGAAGGAAAGGGCTTTATTGAGCTGGTAGCATCAGCAGACTCACGTCTCCAAAAACTGAGCTCCCCGAGCGAGCAATTACTGTTCCTTTTAAGGGCTTACAACTCTAAAGGGGTCCACGTGAGAGGGTCGTGATCGACTGAGCCAGCAGGGGGTACCTGACTGTGGGCTGCATGTACCGGTTATTAGAACAGAACAGAACAGGACAGGGATTTTCACAATGTTTTTCCATACAATGTCTGGAATCTATAGATAACATAATTGGTTAGGTCAGGGGTCGATCTTTAACTACCAGGCACAGGGCATGGTGCTGGGCTGCCTGCCTTTGGGTTTCATTTCTGCTTTTTAGTTTTTACTTCTTCTTTCTTTGGAGGCAGAAATTGGGCATAAGACAATATGAGGGGTGGTCTCCTCCCTTATTCCCCCACTTTGAGAACCTCACTCATTAGTGGGAGTTCTCACTTTCATCCTCACTACCCATGTCTTCTTGCAAGACAGATTGATAGTGATTCATATAGTACACTTGTGCTGAAGCATTTTGATGCACTAAAGTAGTAACAAAACTTTTCATTACTTGAAGGAGCAAAGGCAGCACACAGGGAAGCAACATGCAGGTTTCTATTACTATTATAATTCCTATTATAGTAGTTTTAAATCCTCCTAGTGCTGGAAACCATTTTCCAAACATGGACCTAGGATTAAACCCATGCCACACCTGCATGGGAACATGTGCCAGCTTTGTTATTTTAATTATATCTTCAACTATTTGCCCTTGGTCATCTATGTGCAGACAGCAATTGGTCATGTTAAACTTTCCACAGATCCCTCCTTCAGCTGCTAGCAAGTAGTCTAGGGCTAGTCTACTTTTATAGATAGCATTTCTCATCTGGATTTCTTGCAGGGCTAAAACAGTTAAAGCTCTGCCAGTTTTATTAGTGATTATTTCCAAGACAGCTTGTAACTGTGTGATTCGGTTGAGCATATAAATGGGGGTTCAGTATCCCTACGAGCCATCTTGTGCCCAAGTGGCAGGCCCATAGTACTGTATGATTCTTTCAGGGGACCACTTGTCATCTTCCCAGTCGCCTATAGCTATCCTTCTCTTTTCTCGGGGAGCATAGACATGACAGCCTAGGAGCTTGCCTGTTTTTATGGGCAGTAGGAAAAAGGACAGTTTAATGGTGCCAATAACACAACTACCTGCCCATTGGTCAGGTAACTTGGCATAAGCTCTATGCCCACATATTCGGTATAATTCAGAGGAGGCTGTCCAGACCTGATGGGACTCCGGGTGTCTCCATACAGTTTGCAACTTTGGAAATTTGCTAAACGGATTTCTTTCAGTGTGGTTTGAACTCCACCAGGTGGCTGCTTTTGTAGTGTACAGTTTTTGCCCAAGGCAGCTGTCTTCCCACAGGAAGGGTGAAGTCCTTCCTCACCCGTGCTATACAGTATTGTCTAATAATTGAGGTTTTTCAGAACCCAGAAGTTGCCAGTCTTTAATCTTATTTTAAAAATGGTAGTCATAGGGGGCTTAGATGGGTTATAGCACACATCAGGCTGGTCACTTCCTGGGCTACATACCCTGTATAGCATTATACAAATAAGTTCCTCTTAGAGTCCCGGTACACTTACAATAACCATAAAATAATAGGGCTGTAGTAACCTTTTGTCTTACCTCAGTGACTTGATGTATATGTAGGGAACAGTCCTCAGTCTGAGGAAGGTCAGTTGAAGTCCTTACTGTACAAGTCCAAATTTTAAGGAAAATGAGTCCCAAAATGAGTTTCCTCATGCTTTGGCCATGTGTGGATCAGTCAGCTTCTGGGTATGACTGGATCAGGGCTTGTAGTCTTCTGAATCACTTTGCAAGGGTTGGTGAAGCTGCTCCCATCCATGTACCCAGTCTACTGATGTTTAAGGATGGTCTTGGAGGTTGGGCCTGCTAGAATAAACTGAGTCCAACACCTCTACACAGTTATGTTCAACTGCGCTCTCTGATACTGGGAGCAAAGTGGCGGGGTTCAGAGTGTTGCAATCTTCAATGGTTATGCGGGAATTTTCACAGAGCAAGCTTTGGTATTTAGTTAGCCTAGCATTTGTTAGCCAATGATGGCCTTTGGTATTTATTAAAGTCACTACAGCATGGGGGGCCTTTATGTTTAGGTTTTGCATACGAGTTAGCTTACCCACTTCCTGTGCTAGCTGGGCTGTTGCTGCCAAGGCCCTCAAACATGGGGGCCAACCCTAAGAAACCCCATCTAGTTGTTTAGAGAGGTAGGCCACGAGCCTCGGCCAGGACCCCACAGTCTGGGCCAAAATTCTAACTGCTAATTTTTGTCTCTCTCTGACACATATAGTGTAAAAGGTTTTGTCAGGTCAGGTAGCCCCAGGGCTAGGGCCAACATGAGTTTTTCTTTTTAACTCATGAAAAGCTTGCTGCTGTTGGTTGTAATAGATGTAGTTTATCCAATCTACATTTTTATTAACTGTCACTCACCAAAATATTCACTCAAATCCTGCAGCTATTTGATTTTGGGCTTTAAATTGACCTGGTGTTCCCTGTGGGACTCCAATTGTGTCTAAATAGACGTGAGCATCAGAAGACCCATAAGGGGCTTCTCCCACTTTATGATGTTTTATTTTTCCTCCCTCTCGTTGATGAAATGCCAGGGTGAAAGGGATAGCCAATTGGACTAAAGCACAAGTGCCACTCCAGTTATTTGGCAGAGTGCCCAATAAAGATCCACCACAATACCACCACACATCCACCAGGGATGAACAAGGGCTGACTGATTGATAAACTCTTGAAAAAAAATTTTTTTTGAAATGGAGTCTCACTCTGTCACCCAGGCTGGAGTGCAGTGGTGCGATCTTGGTTCACTGCAACCTCTGCCTCCCGGGTTCAAGCTATTCTCCTGCCTCAGCCTCCCGAGTAGCTGGGACTACAGGTGCCTGCCACCATGCCCGGCTAATTTTTGTATTTTTAGTAGAGATGGGGTTTCAACATGTTGGCCAGGCTGGTCTCAAACTCCTGACCTTGTGATCTGCCCACCTTGGCCTCCCAAAGTGCTGGGATTACAGGCGTGAGCCACTGCGCCCGGCCCAGCTCTTGAAAATTCTTAAGCTCACTGCATCCCTTCAGGTCTCCAAGGAACACTGTTTCCTCCCTGTCCTGAGAGACACGAAGTGAACTTAGTGTTGGAAAATGGAGGCTGGATGGCCCTCAGGGGCTGACCCGCAAGGTGCTGTATTTCGGGATATAGCAGAGAGAGAGCTTGGCATGACTTTTTACCCTAGGCTGTAGAATCTTGGAAAAGAGCTACAATGTAACCCAGGCCCATTTGACTGGAGGACCACCCTAGTGGAAAGGGGACAATCTGGGCCTCTGGCCTGCCATGTGCTCAAGCATAACAATTGCTTTTGTTTAATGTGCGGATGGAATATTTGATCCACTCCAACCAGGCATTTACATCTTGGTATCCTGTCTTAATTGCCAAAGTTTGTTTTAGGTTTTTAACTTCTATGATCCTCTAGTAAAATGAATGTATGATTTTAGGAAATTACAAAAATGGTTGGGGCAGTCCACACTTGCTCTTTAGTGGTCCACAGAATGTTGGATCAACTATGGCATAAAAGCTCTACATTGGGGGGCAAGAATCGTGGTTGACACTGGGGTCTTTATCAAAATCTCCGTGGATTAAATGGTCCTAATTTACTAATGCCCAGTCTGAGGAGAGTCAGGAGGGACAGAGGTACTTTTCTGAAGTAGAGAGCTGTCTTTGACTTGGCAAGTCCCCACAGGGTATAACAAGGCAAGCATTAAGTGCAACAGTTTGAGGCAAAATTGACTTGGTTATGTTAATAACTAGATGATCAGCAATAGAGCAAGGAAAGAAGAAAGAGTAATAGGATAGATGAAAGAGAGTTAAATTTTTCTTAGCTTTAGTTTGGTAGGGGTTTCCCCTGGGACTATGGCCCACGACTCTGGAGGGGGTGGCACTTTCTTGACTCAGGTATGATGAGTCCATCCCCTTTTTGCTGTATGAACAACAGTCTCAGTGGTTAGCAGCACAAGGTAGAGCCCTTCCCAGGCTGGCTCAAGTTTTTCTTCTTTCCACCCTTTGATAAGAACATGATCTTCAGGCTGGAGCTGGTTTACCAAAAATTCTAGGGGTGGTACATGTGCTAAACCAAGTATATAATTTTTAAGAAACTGACCTTTTGTTTTAAATGTGAGGACATCAGCAGTGGATTTTATAGTCCTTGGTGCCTTTTTACTGAGAAATTTCCTTTAGCGCCTATTTTTATTAGTTTTTAGACCAAAGAAAGCCAAACACCATTTTATATTTGACAATGCTTCTTGTATGATTTTTATACCAGATAAGCTAAATTTCACATTTATATTCGTGTGTTATTAATGTTAAACTTAGTTTTAATAAAACTTTGTAGACATATTTATCCAATTTTTAATTTCTGACCATAAGGTAAGATTTTTATAGACTCTTTTTAACCTTTTATAATTTTTGTTAAACAGCAGATTAGTGCTTTAAGAAAAACCTGTTGTGTTTTTATTTTAATGTTCCGTTCACAGAAAAACTGGATGATACCCTTTTAACTTTAGCCAATATGTTTACACACAGAATTTCCTTTACAATTAACATTTTAAAACCTGCTTAAACCTTCAAAACAAATTTTTTTAACCTTTTCATGTAGGTAAAAATCCACATTCTTATGCCTCCTTATAATCCTTTTACCAGAGGTGTATTTTACTTTCCTTATACACCTTGCACATAAACTGTATTTTTCAATAGTTTTACATTCAGGAGGCCTAGTTACTTTTAAATTATACATTTATTGCATAAATTCTTTTTTTAAAACATTTTTTTCACAACTTTCACAGACAATTCTTTGACATGTCTCAACTTTCTGACTTATTACAAACATTTCTTTCTTTAAGCAACCAGTTCATTTATTTCAGGACAAGAATTTACCATATAACATTCTTTTTACAAAAATTCTGCTGCCTATTTTTTTTCCCTTTTTGTTTTTTCTAAGATAACCATTCTTTTCCAAAGCGAACTTCCTTTATGTCTGTGGACTAGACTAAGGCCACAAGATTAGAAGTTACTATAATACATGTTACACTGTTAACTTTTAGCAAAGTTTACTTTTGTTGAAAACCTTGTAAGTTTGGGATTTCCATTATCCTTTGCTATTAATAAGACCTTGTTTAGTCCAAATTAACTTAGAATTGGTATAGATGGCTGTTTTTGTTTGTTTACCCAGGAGGAACCATCTATCAACCTGTCCTGAAGGGAGTTCCTCCTAGGTCTGGTCGGACCTTTGTATGGTAATTAAGATTTAGATCCCCCATTAGGGGATTTTCAGTGGTTAATGTTGTCATCTTTTTTTTTTTTTTTTAACAGAATAGCCCTATACTTTAAGATTTTTAAGTTAGTAAGCTACCTTCTTGCTTTTTTTTTTTTTCCTTAGGGTACTTCTGAACCAGTGGGGAGTGCTCACAATGAGGTTTTCTCTAAAAGTTATTTTTCTACTTTCTTCTGTTAGCAAAGCAGTTGCCACTACAGATTAAATGCATGTAGGCCATCTGCAGATTACTAGGTTAAGGATTTTTGATAGGAAGGCTACAGCTTGTCAGTGGCCTCAGTGCTTTCAGGCTATGCCCTTGTTTACAGTCACAACAAGGTGGTATTGGAGAGTTGTAGGGTCATGGAGAAGACCTTCAATTATCAATTATAGGTTTTAAATTTATCCTGGAATAGAGTACACTTTTTTTCTTAACTACTTGTATATCTCTCTTTCTCTCTTTGATTTTCTCTCTCTTTGACTTTCCTTTCACCTCTGTCTCTTTCTCTCTGCCTCTCTTTTTTTCTCTCTCTCCTTGACTCCAACTTTGTCTCTCTGTCTCTTCCTCTCTCTCTTTGCCTCTTTTCCTCTCTGTCTCTTTTTTTTCTCTCTCTCTCTCTCTCTGCTGGTCTTTCCTTGCCTCTGCCAGCCGCTTATGCTGCTGTTCTCTCAACCACTGTGGGAGGGGTGGGGGGAGTCTAAAACCAGCTGTGACGAAGTGTCTATGTATGGGAACTGGTCTCGGTGACCTGGCTGACAGGTTACCTTGTGACATACCTCTGAAACAAGGGACCTCTCAAGGCTTCCTTCTGATGGCCAACCCACCTCTAATGCTGGCCAGTCTAAGTTACACAAAGTTTTAAGTTTTCCTGGTGTCATAGTATTCCATAGTCTCCTTTAAATCCTTTCTTGAAATTTTTCAACATAATTCCTAGTGGGGTGGGCTTACTTTGTGCCTGATCCATGCTTCCTTGAGACAAAACACCTGCTCACACCACACACACACCACAAAACAAGAACAGGTAAAAAGGGCACACACACACTTTTACAGTTTACACCAAACCAGAATCAAAACCAAAATCAGAGTATCAGGAAATCCAATCCAGGTCAAAACCAAAACCAAAGTATCAAGCAATCCAAGTCAAGTCAAAAACAAAAACCAAAGTGCTGGTACAGGCACACCATGGGTGATCAGGCCATGCTTCCACTCAAATGGAGTGGGCAAGTTCCAAAGACCAGTCTTACCAAATTTCATATGTCCAGACTCCAAGTGCCAATTCCTTCCTGGTGTTCAGCCACTGTGTTGATCCTCCGTGAGGGCCTGCCACATGCTTCTCTAGTAAGATGTCCCACCGGGGCAATTGCCTACCTGGGAGCACTCTTTGGATCTGCGTCACTCAGGCTGATTGGAGTCCCCCACAGGGATGCTCCACAGGGCAGGCCTCAGTCACCTAAGGGGCTGCCTCGACAGTCCACCAATCACCTCACTTCCTGGTCAGAGAACCAAGAAATGTAGCAGGATGAGCCACAGAAAAGAACCCCTCAGACACTGAGTTGTGGAAGGAAAGGGCTTTACTTTATTCAGCTGGGAGCATCGGTGGACTCATATCTCCAAAAACCGAGCTCCCCGAGTGAGCAATTACTGTCCCTTTTAAGGGCTTACAGCTCTAAGGGGGTCCAGGTGAGAGGGTCGTGATTGATTGAGCAAGCAGGGGGTATGTGACTGAGGGCTGCATGCACTGGTAATCAGAACAACAGAACAGGACAGGGATTTTCACAGTGCTTTTCCATACAATGTCTGGAATCTATAGATAACATAATCGATTAGGTCAGGGGCCGATCTTTAACTACCAGGTCCAGGGCACAGTGCCGGGCTGTCTGCCTGTGGATTTCATTTCTTCCTTTTAGTTTTTATTTCTTCTTCTATCTTTGGAGGCAGAAATTGGGCATAAGACAATATGAGGGGTGGTCTCCTCCCTTAAAACCAAAGGCAGATGCTAAAGCAGTGCAAAACTGTTCATGTCACAATGGAAACGGAGTTGATGAAGGAGTCTGGGAAACGAATCTTAGTCACAGCAAGAAAGGACATAAGTGAACATGGCAAGGTGCTGACAATTCTGGTCTACTGGATCCCACCATCCCTAGGACAGTCACCACCCAGCAAGCTACAACTGCATCATTTCCTGTTTGTTCCAAAATGAATAAAGGTGATTCTTATCACAAGGGCAAATAAAAAGTCATTTTTTTTTTTTTTGAGATGGAGTCTCTCTCAGTCACCCAGGCTAGAGAACAGTGGTGCAATGTTGGCTCACTGCAAGCTCTGCCTCCTGGGTTCACACCATTCTCGTGCCTCAGCCTCCTGAGTAGCTGGGATTACAGGCATCTGCCACCACGTCCAGCTAATCTTTTTGTATTTTTAGTAGAGATGGGGTTTCACTGTGTTAGCCAGGATGGTCTTGATCTCCTGACCTCGTGATCCACCCACCTTGGCCTTCCAAAGTGCTGGGATTACAGGTATGAGCCACCGTGCCCAGCCAAAAGTCATTTTTTAAAACTAAACTGTCATGGTTTTGTTTACTTTTTGAAAGTTCTTATAATTTTGA
This sequence comes from Homo sapiens, assembly GCF_000001405.40. Lineage (NCBI taxonomy): Eukaryota > Metazoa > Chordata > Mammalia > Primates > Hominidae > Homo > Homo sapiens. The sequence goes on from NC_000019.10 coordinate 22,363,211, forward strand.
AAGTTCAGTTGACACTTGTATGATTTAGGAAGTTTTCAATAGTCTTACAGTACTTGAATTGTTCAAAGTACAGTATATTTTAAATTAAGAAGAGTAAACTGTATGTGTTATACATATTTAAGGCTCAGACTCACAAATAATGCTCCTGTTTATGATTTGAAAACTTTGAAGTTTGGTTTTCCATCTGTACATACACAGAACAGTGTAGCGTGCAAAAACATTTGTTCTTTAAAGAGGCAGCCACACTTTTTGTCTGTCTGGATATATTTTGGACTTTGTATATTAAATGTAACATAAAACCGTTCATTTTGTTTTAGAAAATCTAAGATTGATGTACACAAACTTTAGAAATTACTGTAGCAATCAGCAAACCATGTATATAATGTGAAACTAATATATCTATTTTTGATGTCTAAATCTTTTTGTAGAAAAAATTGGTTTCTTTAAAAATGTCTCCACAAACTCAGGCTTATTTTATAAAATGGCAAAATAGTAAAGAAATGGGTGGTTTGGCATACTATATGAATACTGGCACTCAATTAAAATACAGAATATTTTTATCAAAATTATTTAGAAAGTAGATTTAAATAATTTGGTTTTTCACTTCAGTGATAGACATTCACAAACATTTAAAAAATCAAATCTGGCTGGATGCAGTGGCTCACACCTATAATCCCAGCACTTTGGGAGGCTGAGGCAGATGGATCATGAGGTTAGGAGTTTGAGACCAGTCTGGCCAACATGGTGAAACCCCATCTCTACTGAAAATACAAAAAATTAGCCAGGCATGGTGACAGGCACCTGTAATCCCAGCTACTCAGGAGGCTGAGGCAGGAGAATTGCTTGAACCTGGGAAGTGGAGGTTGCAGTGAGCCAAGACTGCACCACTGCACTCCAGCTTGGGCAACAGAGTGAGACTCTATCTCAAAAAAACCCCGCAAATCTATTAGTATTAGGTTTGATTTAGTGTTGATATATACATAAGATCAAAAATCTGTTAAAAATAAATATTTTTCATCGCTAATTTGGTGTGTTTTTTTGTTTGTTGTTTTGTTTTGTTTTTGAGATGGAGTCTCACTCTGTCGCCCAGGCTGGAGTGCAGTGGCTTGATCTTGGCTCACTGCAAGCTCTGCCTCCCAGGTTCACGCCATTCTCCTGCCTCAGCCTCCTGAGTAGCTGGGACTACAGGCGCCTGCCACCACGCCCAGCTTATTTTTTTGTATTTTTTTAGTAGGGACGGGGTTTCACCGTGTTAGCCAGGCTGGTCTCGATCTCCTGACCTCGTGATCTGCCTGCCTTGGCCTCCCAAAGTGCTGGGATTACAGGCGTGAGCCACCACGCCTGGCCTAATTTGGTGTTTTTAAATACCCAGATGTCCCATTTTAATCAGATTAAGTCTGGGGAAAGTTGACTAATCTTATTTAATTTTTTGTACAGTATGTTCAAAATGTTCTGGTTTAACCTAATAGCAATTAATGATGAGTAAACAATTTTTCTTTCAAATCTCAGGCCTGTTAAATTGCTGAAGCTATTTTTAATTTAAAAATTTTGGGCCGAGCCTGGTGGCTCCCGCCTGTAATCCCAGCACTTTGGGAGGCCAAGGCAGGTGGATCACTTGAGGTCAGGAGTTCAAGAGCAGCCTGGCCAACATGGTGGAACCCTGACTCTACTAAAAATACAAAAAATTAGCCAGGCATGGTAGCATGTGCCTGTAATCCCAGCTACTCGAGAGTCTGAGGCACAAGAATTGCTTGAACTCAGGAGGTGGAGGTTGCAGTGAGCCGAGATTGTGCCACTGGACTCCAGGCTGGGCGACAGAGCAAGACTCTGTCTCAAAAAAAAAAAAAAAAGTCTTTAATGTTGTTTAAAGGGACTTAGGTCTACTCTAATCTTCTCAACCTGTTAATCAGTGTCAGGTGCCAAATTCCAATTTATTTTCAGGGTGCCTGAATGACTTTTCTTTGCATAGTCTTTGAATTAAATTTCCATTAATAAGGACAGATTTCAGTACATTTAACCAGTTGCTTTTAGTACCTCCAAAGGTAGTATACAAAGAATTCTCATGTTATTTTCTAAGAAAACAGATTCTACTGTTACCTGAGAAATCAACTGGAAGGCATTTTTATAACCTTGCACCACATAAAAAAATGCAATGTAGTACTAATAAATGCAGGCTACATCACACAAAAAATGGTAATCAAGAATACCACTTTCAATATTTAAATATTTGAAATTTTGGTAAAAAGTGTGGTAAAGTATAACTTTTAGTAAGCTTTGTGCAGCTAAACATCAGCATAAAGTAGGAAAAGATCTTTAAAAATGAAAACAAATGAAAACCGACACCAAAAAAACTAACATCCACCATTGCATACATATTGATCTCTGTTTCAAAAAAGTCTGAAGCAGAACGTTTGGTGAACTTCATGCAGTTATTTTCACTACACTGGAATACTGATAAAATCATTTATATTTAATTTGAGTAAAGCATGTTCACATCTTAAAAACACTGCTTTGTAGCTGGGCGTGGTGGCTCACATCTGTAATCCCAGCACTTTGGGAGGCTGAGGTGGGCAGATTACGAGGTCAAGAGTTCAAGACCATTCTGGCCAACATGGTGAAACCCATCTCTACTAAAAATGCAGAAATTAGTCATGTGCGGTGGCTTGTGCCTGTAGTCCCAGCTACTCAGGAGGCTGAGTCAGGAGAATCGCTTGAACCCAGGAGGTGGAGGTTGCAGTGAGCCAAGATCTCACCACTGCACTCCAGCCTGGGTGACAGAGTGAGACCCCATATTAAAAAAAGATACTGCTTTGTACTATGAATAATAAATGTAAAATCTTTTTATTTACTTATTTATTTTTAATTTATTTTGAGACATTCTTGCTCTGTAGCCCAGGCTGGAGTGCAGTGGCAGTGATCTCGGCTCACTGCAACCTCTGCCTCAGCCTCCCCAGCAGCTGGGACTACAGGCACACACCACCACACCCGGCTAATTTTTGTATTTTTAGTAGAGACGGGTTTCACCATGTTGGTCAGGTTGGTGTCAAACTCCTGACCTCCTAATCCACCTGCCTCAGCCTCCCAAAGTGCTGGAATTACAGGTGTGAGCCATCGCGCCTGGCTATAAAGTCTTTATACTCAAGAGAATCCTGATTCTCAACTCAACATATATGGGCAACCCTTTCCTCTGGTGTCTTTAAACGGAAGCCTCATTAAGGCTCAAATATGGAGTGAAAGGGACTCAATAACAGCATTTGAAGCAAAAAGGATGAGGTAGGATGGTCAGCTCTGAGGCTCAGGGATTGCCTGGGGGACTCCAGTATGATGTAACTATGAAGCTTACTGCATACAAGTAAACATTAACAGCCGAAAACACCATGGCTTGAAATTGGTGAGATAGAATCTCTGAAATCATAAACAGTTGCACCAAAAAGATTGACCCAGAGTGACAAGTAACTAAGGATTACTAAGGGGGAGTGTTTACAAGCACGTAAGTTTTTGTTCCAAATCTTATTACAGTAGCAATATGCTTTTCTGTAATGTCAGCTTCCCCAAGCTACAGATGCTATAGACAAACTACAAGTGCCTAATATGTTGTTTGCAGTCAGTGTCTTAATTTAGAAAACTTTCAATAATTTCATGAATTTCATTGAAATCTGTTTCATGTATAAATCTCACTGAAAGGCATTATTCAGTAGCTATTTCCCTCAGTATTTTGGGGAATTTTCTATTGCTTGATTTCAAACCAACTTTACTTGAATCCTAGTCATTTCTAAAGCCCCAGATGTAATAGCAGAAAGACAGCAGAAATGATGCCAAGTTACTCCAAACAGTTCACGTCTAATATATTTGGTTCCCCAAATGAACCAGAAACCACACAAGCTAAACAACAGTGTATTTGAAATTCAACCTAAATTCAACAGTAACAGTCAAAACCCTATGCAAATATCAGCACAGTCACAATGTAGAAACCCTTAGTCTTTTATTCCAGAGAAAATAAAAAAATTCTTACTTTGGCATTTTCTGGAAAGGATAAATACATTAAACATGACAAAATATACCAACTCACATAATATATTTGAAATGTGAATATTTATTCTTAAATATTTACTGTAATATTTAAACAAGACTTTCAGTGAAAAATACAGCTACCATGTGTTAAAACAGCCCTGAGTGAGATAGTATTTTTTATTAATAATGAAGATTGAAGCTTCAGAAATGCAAAATAAATAATCCTGGGCACACAGCTAGAGGAAGGTAACTTAAAGTATTTGAAAGATGTTCTCTAAGACTCTAAAATTATTTTGTTTTAGCTTATATAAAAAATGATTAAGCATTTTTAATTTTCAAAAAATGTAAGTGCATTCTGTCAGGTTTTTCTGAAGAATTTAAATAGAATAGAGTAAAATTATACTTATCAAAAGGTAAACTTTTCTATTAATAGAGCAGTTTAATTTTCACACCCTGAGTAAAATCTTACAAAATTTATTGCAATTTAATCAGAAACTTCTTTCTCACACTGGGAGAGATGACACAAAGATGCAGCTTTCATGTTGGGTGAGAGAAGAAATGATCACCGGAGGTAGATAATTGTTGTTTCACTAATCAATGTTGATTTTTATTGCTATTTTGTCTCAAATTATGTTAATAATGAAGTAATGGCCTTGATCCAAGAATTTTTTTTTTTTTTTTTTGAGATGGAGTCTCACTCTGTCGCCCAAGCTGGAGTGCAGTAGCGCGATCTCGGTTCACTGCAAACTCCACCTCCCGGGTTCAAGCGATTCTCCTGCCTCAGCCTCCCTAGTAGCTGGGACTACACGTGCATGCTACCACGCCCGGCTAATTTTCTGTATTTTTAGTAGAGACAGGGTTTCACCATGTTAGCCAACATGGTCTCAATCTCCCGACCTCGTGATCCACCGGCCTCGGCTTCCCAAAGTGCTGGATTACAGGCGTGAGCTACCGCGCCCGGCCCCCAAGAACTTTTTTAACAATTTATTTTTAAAATTAGCCAAAATATTATCCATAAGGCAGAAAAATGAAGATATTAACAGTCATAATTTGTATTTTAAATTAAAATACTTTTAGAAATAAAAAAGAAAAAATATATAAAAACAAATGAAAGAGAAGGAAGTAGGTTACTCACAATAGCTAAGATAGAGAATCAACCTAAGTGTCCATCAACAGGTGAATGGATGAAGAAAATTTCGTGTATTTACACAATGGACTGCTATTCAGCCCTTAAAAATAAAGAAATCTTGTTATTTGCAACAACGTTGATGAATCTGGAGGACATTAGGCTAAGTAAAAAGAGCCGGCACAAAGAAAAAAGGGAAACAAAAACATACCACATGATCTCGTTTTTTTTTTCTCAAAAAAGTTTCAATTTTATTTAGCTTTGTGACTTTGTACTTGTGCCTTCAACACTTTCACAACGATTTTCTGCTCCCCGATAAGGAAAGCACGCTTGATCCTGCCACGAACACATTTAGCACACATGGAACCACCATAGGCCCTGCTGACATGTTTCTTTCTTTTTGACAATTTCATAAGAACTTTAGGTCTTACAGCACGAACCCCTCGAAGTCTTCCTGGGCACATGCCACTTGCAGATCTTGGTGCTTTCCCAACCTTCTTGGTATAAAGGTAAACAATTCTATTACCAGGGGTTCGGGGCAGTCTAGTTTTGTTGGACGCTGTATTGTAGGAAAGCCTACATTGGTATGTCAAACGCTGGACCATTCTGAGTGCCTACAGACAACGTCACTGGAAGAGCCACATGATCTCATTTCTCTGTAAAGTAGAAAAAAATTCTAATTCGGCCGGGCGCAGTGGCTCACCTGTAATCCCAGCACTTTGGGAGGCTGAGGTGGGTGGATCGCCTGAGGTCAGGAGTTCAAGAACAGTCTGGCCAACATGGTGAAACCCCGTCTCTACTAAAAATACAAAAATTAGCTGGGCGGGGTGGTGGGCGCCTGTAGTTCCAGCTACTTGGGAGGCTGAGGCAGGAGAATCCCTTGAACCAGGGAGGCGGAGGTTGTGGTGAGCCGAGATCACTCAATTGCACTCCAGCCTGGGCAACAGAGCGAAACTCTGTCCCCCCGCCCCGCCCTCCTCCCGCCTCAAAAAAAGGCCGGGCATGGTGGCTCACGACTGTAATCCCAGAACTTTGGGAAGCCAAGGCGGGCAGATCACCTGAGGTTGGGGGTTCGAGACCAGCCTGACCAACATGGAGAAACCCCATCTCTTCTAAAAATACAAAATTAGCCAGGCGTGGTGGCGCATGACTCCCAGCTACTCGGGAGGCTGAGGCAGAATAGCTTGAACCCAGGAGGCAGAGGTTGCCGTGAGCAGAGATCACCCCATTGCACTCCAGCCTGGGTGAGCAGAGCAAAACTCCGTCTTGAAAAATAAAAAAAAAAATTTAACTCATAGAAGCAGAGAATAGAATGATGATTGGCTGGGGGTGGAGATATTGGTCAAAGGTAATGGGTCTTTCCTATATCTCTTACTTTAATAAATAAGTTATTCTTTTCTCAGTTTTGATTCACCAGGGAATTGTGTCATATCCTGAAGAATCAAAACGGGAAGAATAATATATTAATTAAAGCAATGCAAGTTGTATACTAAAATTTCAGAGGCTTAGTAAAATAATATATTTTATGGTCACATAACAATTTTTTTCTCATTAAGAGGACTTCTATATGATCTTTCAGGGATCATATCTTCTTTCATCTTCTTTCTGCGTCCTTCTCTTTCTTCAGCCAATGGATGAAAAAATAGATGCAGAGAAGACACATTTGGTTCTTATTCACACTTCACTTCCACTCACTATTAGTCAGTGTGGATAGAGCCGAGAATAGCAGTTTCCTGGCAGGACAGCCACTTCTCAGCAATAAACAACACACTGAAAGAAAAGTATATATCTTTCATCAAAAGCTAATGGATTTTAAGCAAAATAAGCATATGCATCAATAATAAAATGCTTGTGGTAAAATAAAGATGAATTTTATTGATTTCTATTGAGTTCCGGTAATATTTGACCAAAAGCTAGCAAATATACAGCAAAAAAAGGAATATTATTTGAAATAAGAATATTGTGAATTAAGTTATCCTGTCAACAGAAGTAAAAATATTATGGCATCATACTAATAATTTCATCTATAGTTGTACAACATCAAATGCTTTTTATTAAAAACTGTATTTTATATCAATATTCCATTTATATCACCCTCGTTCACTATTTCAATGCCGTCTCCACTTTATATCAGTGGAAACAGGCCGGCCTGCTCAAGGAGAGCACGTGGTGCCATTGCTATGTTAATGACGATGATGAAGAGAACTTGTTTGGGTGGTGCTCAAAGTACTGGTTTTCTGTTTTTCTCTACATTTACAAATAAAATAAAATTCTTAGCTAAAAAGACTCTATCTCATTGAAATATGTTTTATGAAATTTGGTTGACATTTAAGTGCCACTGATTTATCTGGAATATTGAAATTTTTATGAATCCAAATTGAGTACTATAAGCAATCTTTTACTAAAAGCCTTTGTGAGTCAGAATAAGATTCATTTTTTTTTTGTTTTTTTTTTTTTTGAGATGGTGTCTGGCTCTGTCGCCAGGCTGGAGTGCAGTGACACAATCTCAGTTCACTGCAAACTCTGCCTCCCAGGTTCAAGCGATTCTCCTGCCTCAGCCTCCCAAGTAGCTGGGACTACAGGTGCGCATCACCATGCCAAGCTAATTTTTCTATTTTTAGTAGAGACGGGGTTTCACCTTGTTGGCCAGTATGGTCTCCATCTCTTGACCTCATGATCTGCATGCCTAGGCCTCCCAAAGTGCTGGGATCACTGCAAGCTCCGCCTCCCGGGTTCACACCGTTCTCCTGCCTCAGCCTCCCGAGTAGCTGGGACTACAGGCATGCGCCATCACGCCCAGCTAATTTTTTGTATTTTTTTTAGTAGAGACTGGGTTTCACCATGTTGGCCAGGATGGTCTTGATCTCTTGACCTCGTGATCAGCCCGCCTTGGCCTCCCAAAGTGCTGGGATTACAAGCCTGAGCCACCATGCCTGGCTCAAATGGTTTTTCTAATTGTTACTTTTATCATGTTAATCTAAGAGAAACTATGTGCATACTGATTATGCATTCAAGACATATTAATATTAAAGATCTGCCCACCTAGGCCTCCCAAAGTACTAGGATTATAGGCGTGAGCCACCGCGCCCGACCGATCATGAAATTTTTATAATATGAAAGAAATGTGTTAATCATGTTCCTAGTAATCACTTTAAACACAGCATTATCAGTTCCCAGTATTCACCCTGAGTCACTCAGGGGAAATTGTATTAAACAATTAATATTAAAGTGTTTAAAGTTTAATATTATATCACAGCATGGAATCCTCTAAAATGAGTTCATTATTAATAAATTCATTATGTTTTCGAGGTTTTTCAATTGTGAAAACAAATAATAAGATATGCTTTTTCATGATAAGCTCAATTCTAGGAAGTTACCCACTGGTCTCCACGTTATTTCTGTAATGTGTAGTGTAACACTGGGCCACCAGAATGGTGCAGATATGCTGATTTAATGAGAATAAAAATGAGTACAGCCTCCTTGGCTGACTATTGCTATCCCAGAGGCTGATCATTCACTACAACTTAGTAAATGCTGCTCCATCATGCCAGTGAGCCCTTTCAACCAGGTTGCCCTTTTCCTCCCATTGATTTGCTCATGTTGTGGTCTCCTCTCTTTATCTTAAGCTATCCCAGATGAGAGGTGATTATTTCTTGAATGAAGGATATCCCCTTTTTATCTCTGTCATGAGATCCTCCCTTCCTTCCTACTGGAAGCAACATGTGGGAGGCAGGAATGATGATAATATACAAGTATATTTTCTTCCATGTGGTCACCATAAGCAGCTTACATGTTCCACGTAGAAGTCACTCACTTCCAGGCCAGCAGGGTGGTTTTTCTACGATGTGTCTCTTTCTCATAAAAGCACCTCTGACTAAGTTTAGCCCAATCAGGATAATCTTCCTTTTGATGAACAGAACATATTAGCAGCCTAATTTCATGAGTGATTTTCCACCACAGTAAGTCACATTTTTTTTACACTCCAAAGGAGAGGATTACACAGCTGGTGTGCAACAGACTGGGAATCCTGGTGATCATCTTAGAATTTTGCCTACCCACCTGCATAGACTATTAAAGTAGTTTTGAAGTTTCTTTTGTTATCTAAGTAAACAAAGATATCATTTGCAAATAATAATTAACTACCTTCCCATTTTATTACAAATATTAACATCTTTTTTCTGGCTTATTTCTTTTTCATGTACCATTTTATACATTTACACTCATATATAACAATGAAAATGTATTCAACTATTCAATTGAATACAATTGAAGCATATCAATCATTTTATTAAAAATGATTGTTAGGCTGGGTGCAGTGGCTCACGCCTGTAATGCCAGCACTTTCGGAGGCCAAGGTGAGTGGATCATCTGAGGTCAGGAGTTCAAGAACAGCCTGGCCAAAATGGGAAAACCATGTTTCTACTAAAAAATAGAAAAATTAGCCAGGCCTGGTGGCGGGCACCTGTAGCCCCAGCTACTTGGGATGTTGAGGCAGGAGAATCACTTGAACCTGGGAGGCAGAGGTTGCAGTGAGCCGAGATCATGCCACTGCACTCCAGCCTGGGTGACAGAGTGAGTCTCAAAAAAAAAAAAAAAAAGTATAAATACACAATGGAATACTATTCAGCCATAAAAAGGGATAAATCCAGCCCTTTAAAACAATATAGATAAATTTGGAAGACATTATGCTAGCTGAAATAAGACTGACACAAAAAGACAAATACTGCATGATCTCATTTACATCTAGAATTTAATAAATTCTACCTCAAAAAAGCAGAAAGTGGAATAATGGTTACTGGAAGCTGGGTGTGGTGGGAAGGAAATAGGAAGTTGTTGATCAAAGGGTACAAGGTTTTAAATAGAAAGGATAAGTAGATTTCCAGATCTATTGCACAGCAGGATGATGACAGTAAACTATAAAGTTCTTTTTCTTTCTTGTTTCTTTCTTTCTTTTTCTTTCTTTCTTTTCTTTCCCTTCCTTCCCTTTTCTTTCTTTCTTTTTTTTTTTTTTTTTTTTTTTGACGGAGTTTCGCTCTTGTTGCCCAGGCTGGAGTGCAATGGCACGATCTCGGCTCACCGTAACCTCCACCTCCTGGGTTCAATCGATTCTCCTGCTGTAGCCTCCCGACTAGCTGGAATTACAGGCATGCACCACCATGCCTGGCTAATTTTGTATTTTTAGTAGGGACGGGGTTTCTCCATGTTGGTCAGGCTGAGTCTTGAACTCCCAACCTCAGGTGATCCGGCTGCCCCCCTCGGCCTCTCAAAGTGCTGGGATTACACAGGCATGAGCTACGGCGCCTGGCCAAGTACTTTATTTCAAAATAACTAAATTTCAAATGTATCACCACAAAAAAATGATTGGTAAGCAAGTTGATATGTTATTAAACTCGACTTATATCATATATATGCATATATTGAAACATCACATTTTACGCCATAAATTATACAACTCTGATTTGCCAATCAAAAATACTATTAATATTGGGTTTTTTTAAATGAGAGAAACTTTAAGAAATTGCACCAGAGAAAAAAGTGTTCATTCATTTTAAAATTTCAGAAAACATATACATATTTTATTTCAATGGCTTGCTCAGTTAGTGATGTAAGTTAGTAAACTTTTAAAACTATGAATAGTCTGAACCAACACTCAAATAAAGTATGTTGATTTTTAATATTCAAAATAATATACCTTAAAAGACAGACTCTAAACAACTGGAGTAAAACCTCTCTAAATTTGTAAATAAATAATTTTTTTCACTTGTTAGACAAAAAAAGTTCTTTAAATATATATATTTTAAATACATTTAGGCCAGGTGTGGTGGCTCACGTCTGTAATCGCAGCACTTTGGGAGGCCGAGGTGGGTGGATAGCCTGAGGTGAGGAGTTTGAGACCAGCCTGGCCAACATGGTGAAACCCTGTCTCTACTAAAAATACAAATAGTAGCCAGGTGTGTTGGCGGGTGCCTGTAATCCCAGCTACTCGGGAGGCTGAGGCAGGAGAATTGCTTAAACCTGGGAGGTGGAGGTTGCAGTGTGTCGAGATCACACCACTGCATTCCAGCCTGGGTGACAGGGTGAGACTCTGTCTCTAAATAAATAAACGAATAAATAAATAAATTTAACCAAATAAACATAAATCACAAGTTTATTAAACAAGTAATGAAACAATTTGCTTCATTCTCTAATTATAAAACTGACACTCAGCATTTAAGTGGTTGTATGTCTAGTGTTACTAGTGTACTAGACAGCAATTCTCAATGAGACATTTTTTCATAATATTTATATCCATGCTGTATGTGAATATATGGGAATTTGCCAAGGATAGTGTTAGAAACATTCAACTACTATTATAGCCCCAGATGGAAGAATTAGAATGAACATGGGTTACAAGCCAGTGGTATGGCCATCTTGTTTTCAGGCTTAACATTTGTCATGATCTAACAGAATCAACAAATAAGAGCTAATAAACTTCCTGTACACTAGCTATGTGCTGGGCATTTTTATGGCTCCTTTATTTGCATTAACTGCTTTAATTTTACCAAAACCCTAGGATTTAGGCCCTATTATCCTCACTGTACAGCTGAAGAGTCATGCACAGAGAGGCAAGAAACTGTGTTTAGGTCATATAACCGTTAAGTGGCCGAACTGGGATGCAGTCAGGAACAACCAAACACTGAGTTTCAATTTTAACCATTATGCTCAACCCCACCTCAACCAATGTTTGTTTTTATTCTTGACCTAATATTTTGGCTTTAAATTTTAAATTTAATAGAAATACATAGGAATTTAAAAACCACTTCTTTTTACCATAGGTAGTATTTACAAATCGATTTTTGGTTTAAAGTACTCATTACTGGCCGGTCACAGTGGCTCACACCTGTAATCCCAGCATTTTGGGAGGCAGACGCAGACAGATCACTTGAGGTCAGGAGTTTGAGACCAGCCTGGCCAACGTGGTAAAACCCCGTCTACTAAAAATACAAAAAATTAGCTGGGCGTGGTGGCGGGCGCCTGTAATCCCAGCTACCCAGGAGGCTGAGGCAGGAGAATTGCTTGAGCCCAGGAGGTGGAGACTGCAGTGAGCTGAGATACCGCCACTGCACTCCAGCCTGGGAAACAAAGCGAGACTCCATCTCAAAAAAATTGCTAAGCTTAACACACTTTGGTAAATAGATACTAACAATGGTTTTCCTCTCATGATTTCTAGGAGCCACCAATTTTACTTTTGAAATATATTGAATTTTTGTATTAAAAGCAAGAATGAGCCTATTATTATATAATTTGTGGTATCCATGTACATTATTGTATATTGAGTGATCTACAGTTTCTGAAAGTTTCAGAAACTGTATAACTTTTTTTGATTGAATAATTTAAGAATATTAAGTCTTCTCAGTGAATAAAATAGATTGAAATTACTGATTAGTCACTTATAATGCAGCATTAAATGTTATTTAATAAATACTTGAAGCTTTTTAAACTCATTTTAACAACTTCTATTGCTATTTCACTTTTATTAGAAAGAAATATTAACATTTACATTACTTACAGGCCTCTGAATTTTATTCAAATCTAAACATAGTGCTAATTTTAGGAGATCTGTATGATTAGGATTATGGAAAGCCTTTCCTTTATTTACAAGTAGAAGATAAATAACTGCTTTCCAGTAAACACAAAGAAGCAAATTTGATTCACAAAAGCTATTAAAATATTAATACTATCATCTAGATGAAACTTTTAGGTATCTGCATTTTCAAGTTGTTTAACACATAACAATTCAGAAACTAGTTTTTATGAAATATAAATAACTAAAAATATAAAGTTATCAATTTTTTTCAGTTTTGAAATACTGTCATTATTTCCAGTTGACATAACATTAAATTTCAGAGCTGTGGCTGTTGAAACTAGGAAGTCATGGTTGACTCTGCTTTACTTGCTGCCTTCTTATTTCACACAAACACAGCAGCCCAAAGATCAGAAATGTTACACCTTTATTGTAAACACAGCAGTAGCTTTCTAGGGAGAATATATATGTGTGTGCATGTTAACTTGAAATTCACAGCTTCTTTTGTTGAAGTACAGACTTCTATATGAAAAATAATGGGCTGGGTGCAGTGGCTCATGCCTGTAATCCCAGTAATTTGGGAAGCCGAGGCAGGTGGATCACCTGAAGTCAGGAATTCGAGACCAGCCTGAACAACATGGTGAAACCCTGTCTCTACTGAAAATACAAAAATTAGCCGGGTATGGTGGTGAGCACCTGTAATCCTAGCTACTTGGGAGGCTGATGCAGGAGAATTGCTTGAACCCAGGAGGTGGAGGTTGCAGTGAGCTGAGATCATGTTATTGCACTCCAACCTGGGTGACAAGAGCGAAATTCCAACTCATAAAAAGAAAAAAGAAAAAGAATGAAGCAAATATAGAATCAAAAAAATTCTAAAAATTCCTTCTGACCGATTATTGTTTTTTCCTGAGAATGATTGTGATGGAATGGTTGCAGCAGTGTGGTTTTAACACACAATCTCTGTTTCATCATTCTTCAGCTATGGTCATAAGACTTCTATGCTTTTTTAAAGAAAAATATTTTCTCTTGTTAACTCAGTAATTTACATGATCTTCACAGCCTCATATTTTCAAAAATAGTTCATTCTTTAAAAAAAGAAAAGTAATTAAATCACCTACCACTTTTCCTCAAAAAGAGTAACAAATTAATCATATAGTCTAGTGTATAGTTAATACATAAAAAATACAGGTGTAGAGTCATCTTTTTTAAAATTATACTTCAAGTTCTATGGTACGCGTGCATGTTTGTTACATATGTATACATGTGCCATGTTGGTGTGCTGCACCCATTAACTTGTCATTTACATTAGGTATATCTCCTAATGCTATACCTCCCCCTTCCCCACACCCCACAACAGACCCCGGTGTGTGATGTTCCCCACTGTGTCCAAGTGTTCTCATTCTTCAATTCCCACCTATGAGTGAGAACATGCGGTGCTTGGATTTCTGTCCTTGTGATTGTTTGCTCAGAATGATGGTTTCCAGCTTCATCCATGTCCCTACAATGGACATGACCTCATCCATTTTTATGGCTGCACAGTATTCCATGGTGTGTATGTGCCACATTTTCTTAATTCAGTCTACAATTGATGGACATTTGGATTGGTTCCAACTCTTTGCTATTGTGAATAGTGCTGCAATAAGCATACTTGTGCATGTGTCTTTATAGCAGCATGATTTATAATCCTTTGGGTATATACCTAGTAATGGGATGGCTGGGTCAAATGGTAGTTCTAGTTCTAGATCCTTGAGGAATCACCACACTGTCATCTGCAATGGTTGAACTAGTTTACAGTCCCACCACCAGTGTAAAAGTGTTCCTATTTCTCCACAGCCTCTCCAGCACCTGTTGTTTCCTGACCTTATCATTATTATCATTATACTTTAAGTTCTATGGTACATGTGCACAATATGGTTTGTTACATATGTATAAATGTGCCATGTTGGCATGCTGCACCAGTTAACTCATCATTTACATTAGGTATATCTCCTAATGCTATCCCTCCCAGCTCCCATCACCCCACGACAGGCTCCAGTGTGTGATGTTCCCCACCCTGTGTCCAAGTGTTCTCATTCTTCAATTCCCACCTATAAGTGAGAACATGTGGTGTTTGGTTTTCTGTCCTTCTGATAGTTTGCTCAGAATGGTTTCCAGCTTCATCCATGTCCCTATAAAGGACATGAACGTGTCCTTTTTTATGGCTGCATAGTATTCCATGGTGTATATGTGCCACATTTTCTTAATCCAGTCTATCATTGATGGACATCTGGATTGGCTCCAAGTCTTTGCTGTTGTGAATAGTGCCGCAATACACATATGTGTGCATGTGTCTTTATACCAGCATGATTTATAATCCTTTGGGTATATACCCAGTAATGGGATGACTTGGTCAAATGGTAGTTCTAGTTCTAGATCCTTGAGGAATCGCCACACTGTCTTCCACAATGGTTGAACTAGTTTACACTCCCACCAACACCGAAAAGTGTTCCTAATTCTCCACATCCTCTCCAGCACCTGTTGTTTCCTGATATTATTATTATTATATTTTAAATTCCATGGTACATGTGCACAACGTGCAGGTTTGTTACATATGTATACATGTGCCATGTTGGCATGCTGCACCCATTAACTCGTCATTTACATTAGGTACATCTCCTAATGCTATGCCTCGACACTCCCCCCTCCCCATGACAGGCCACGGTGTGTGACATCCCCCATCCTGTGTCCAAGTGTTCACATTGTTCAATTCCCACCTATGAGTGAGAACATGTGGTGTTTGGTTTTCTGTCCTTGCAACAGTTTGCTGAGAATGATGTTTCCAGCTTCATCCATGTCCCTACAAATGACATGAACTCATCCTTTTTTATGGCTGCAGAGTATTCCATGGTGTATATGTGCCACATTTTCTTAATCCAGTCTATCATTGATGGACATATGGGTTGGTTCCAAGTCTTTGCTATTGTGAATAGTGCCACAATAAACATATGTGTGCATGTGTCTTTATACCAGCATGATTTATAATCCTTTGGGTATATACCCAGTAATGGGATGGCTGGGTCAAATGGTAATTGAGGAATCGCAACACTGTCTTCTGCAATGGTTGAACTAGTTTACACTCCCACCAATAGTGTAAAAGTGTTCCTATTTCTCCACATCCTCTCCAGCACCTGTCTTTTCCTGACTTTTTAATGATTGCCATTCTAACTGGTGTGAGATGGTATCTCATTGTGGTTTTGATTTGCATTTCTCTGGTGGCCAGTGATGATGAGCATTTTTTCATGTGTCTGTTGGCTGCATAAATGTCTTCTTCTGAAAAGTGTCTGTTCATGTCCTTCACCCACTTTTTGATGGGGTTGATTTTTTTTCTTGTAAATTTAAGTTCTTTGTAGATTCTGGATATTAGCCCTTTGTCAGATGAGTAGATTGTAAAAATTTTCTCCCATTCTGTAAGCTGCCTGTTCACTCTGATGGTGTTTTCTTTTGCTGTGCAGAAGCTCTTTAGTTTAATTAGATCCCATTTGTCAATTTTGGCTTTTGTTGCTATTGCTTTTGGTGTTTTGGTCATGAAGTCCTTGCCCATGCCCATGTCCTGAATGGTATTACCTAGGTTTTTCTCTAGGGTTTTTATGGTTTTACGTCTAACATTTAAGTCTTTAATCCATCTTGAATTATTTGTTGTATAAGGTGTAAGGAAGGGATCCAGTTTCAGCTTTCTACATATGGCTAGCCAGTTTTCCCAGCACCATTTATTAAATAGGGAATGCTTTCCCTACTTCTTGTTTTCATCAGGTTTGTCAAAGATCAGACGCTTGTGATGTGTGGTATTATTTCTGAAGGCTCTGTTCTGTTCCATTGGTCTATATCTCTGTTTTGGTACTAGTACCTTGTTGTTTTGGTTACTGTAGCCTTGTAGTATAGTTTGATGTCAGGTAGCATGATGCCTCCAGCTTTGTTCTTTTGGCTTAGGATTGTCTTGGCAATGTGGGCTCTATTTTGGTTCCATATGAACTTTAAAGTAGTTTTTTCCAATTCTGTGCAGAAAGTCATTGGTAGCTTGATGGGTATGGCATTGAATCTATAAATTACTTTGGGCAGTATGGCCATTTTCACGATATTGATTCTTCCTATCCATGAGCCTAGAATGTTCTTCCATTTGTTTGTGTCCTCTTTTATTTCATTGAGCAGTGGTTTGTAGTTTTCCTTGAAGAGGTCCTTCACATCCCCTGTAAGTTGGATTCCTAGGTATTTTATTCCCTTTGAAGCAATTGTGAATGAGATTTCACTCATGATTTGGCTGTTCGTCTGTTAATGGTGTATAGGAATGCTTGTGATTTCTGTACATTAGTATCCTGAGACTCTGCTGAAGTTGCTTATCAGCTTAAGGAGATTTTGGGCTGAGACCAATATACAATCATGTCATCTGCAAACAGGGACAATTTGACTTCCTTGTTTCCTATTTGAATACACATTATTTCTTTCTCTTGCCTGATTGCCCAGGCCAGAAATTCCAACACTAAGCTGAATAAGAGTGGTGAGAGAGGGCATTCCTGTCTTGTGCCAGTTTTCAAAGGGAATGCTTCCAGTTTTTGCCCATTCAGTATGATATTGGCTGTGGGTTTGTCACAAATAGCTCTTATTTTGAGATACGTCCCATCAATACCTAGTTGATTGAGAGTTTTTAGCATGAAGGGCTGTTGAATTTTGTCAAAAGTCTTTTCTGCATGTATTGAGATAATCATGTGGTTTTTGTCTTTGGTTCTGTTTATATGATGGATTACATTTATTGATTTACATATGATGAACCAGCCTTGCATCCCAGGGATGAAACTAACTTGATCGTGGTGGATAAGCTTTTTGATGTGCTGCTGGATTCGTTTAGCCAGTATTTTATTGAGGATTTTTGCATCGATGTTCATCAGGGATAATGGTCTAAATTCTTTTTTGTTGTGTCTGTCAGGCTTTGGTATCAGGATGCTGCTGACCTCATAAAATGAGTTAGGGAGGATTCCCTCTTTTTCTATTGATTGGAACAGTTTCAGAAGGAATGGTACCAGCTCCTCTTTGTACCTCTGGTAGAATTCAGCTGTGAATCCATCTGGTCCTGGACTTTTTTTTATTGGTAGGCTATTAATTATTGCCTCAATTTCAGAGCCAGTTATTAGTCTACTCAGGGATTCAACTTCTTCCTGGTTTAGTCTTGGGAGGGTGCATGTGTCCAGGAATTTATCCATTTCTTCTAGATTTTCTAGTTTATTTGTGTAGAGGTGTTCATAGTATTCTCTGATGGTAGTTTGTATTTCTGTGGGATCTGTGGTGATATCGCCTTTATCATCTTTTATTGCATCTACTCTCTTTTCTTATTAGTCTTGCTAGCGGTCTATCAATTTTGTTGATCTTTTCAAAAAACCAGCTCCTGGATTCATTGATTTTTTTAAAGGGTTTTTTGTGTCTCTATCTCCTTTAATTCTGCTCTGATCTTAGTTCTTTCTTGACTTCTGCTAACTTTTGAATGTGTTTGCTCTTTTTTTTTTTTTTGAGATGGAGTCTCGCTCTGTCGCCAAGGTTGGAGTGCAGTGGCACAATCTCAGCTCACTACAAGCTCCACCTCCTGGGTTCACACCATTGTCCTGCCTCAGCCTCCCAAGTAGCTGGGAATACAGGCGCCTGCCACCACGTATGGCTAATTTTTTTTTTTTTTTGTATTTTTAGTAGAGACGGGGTTTCACCGTCTTAGCCAGGATGGTCTCGATCTCCTGATCTCATGATCTGCCTGCTTCGGCCTCCCAAAGTGCTGGGATTACAGGCATGAGCCACTGCGCCCGGCCGCTTCTCTAGTTCTTTTAATTGTGACATTAGGGTGTCAATTTTAGATCTTTCCTGCTTTCTCTTGTGGGCATTTAGTTCTATAAATTTCCCTCTACACACTGCTTTAAATGTGACCCAGAGATTCTGGTCTGCTGTGTCTTTGTTCTCGTTTGTTTCAAAGAACATCTTTATTTCTGCCTAAATTTTGTTATGTACCCAGCAGTCATTCAGGAGCAGGTTGTTCAGTTTCCATGTAGTTGAGCAGTTTTAAGTGAGTTTCTTAATCCTGAGTTCTAGTTTGATTGCACTGTGGTCTGAGAGACAGTTTGTTATAATTTCTATTCTTTTACATTTGCTGAGGAGTGCTTTACTTCCAACTATGTGGTCAGTTTTGGAATAAGTGTGACGTAGTGTTGAGAAGAATGTATATTCCGTTGATTTGGGGCGGAGAGTTCTGTAGATGTCTATTAGGTATGCTTGGTGGAGAGCTGAGTTCAATTCCTGGATATCCTTGTTAACTTTCTGTCTCATTGATCTGTCTAATGTCAACAGGGGGGTGTTAAAGACTCCCATTATTGTGTGGGAGTCTAAGTCTCTTTGTAGGTCTCTAAGGACTTGCTTTATGAATATGGGTGCTCCTGTATTGGGTGCATATATATTTATGATAGTTAGCTCTTCTAATTGCATTGATCCCTTTACCATTATGTAATGGCCTTCTTTGTCTCTATTGCTCTTTGTTGGTTTAAAGTCTGTTTCATCAGAGACTAGGATTGCAACCCCTGCTTTTTTTGTTTGTTTTCCATTTGCTTGGTAGATCTTCCTCCATCCCTTTATTTTGAGCCTATGTGTGTCTCTGCAGGTGAGATGGGTCTCCTGAATACAGCACACTGATGGGTCTTGACTCTTTATCCAATCTGCCAGTCTGTGTCTTTTAATTGGGGCATTTATCCCATTTACATTTAAGGTTAATATTGTAATTTGATCCTGTCATTATGATGTTAGCTGGTTATTTTGCTGGTTAGTTGATGCAGTTTCTGCCTAGCATTGATGGTCTTTACAATTCGGCATGTTTTTGCAGTGGCTGATACCGGTTGTTCCTTTCCATGTTTAGTGCTTCATTCAGGAGCTCTTGTAAGGCAGGCCTGGTAGCGACAAAATCTCTCAGCATTTGTTTGTCTGTAAAGGATTTTATTTCTCCTTCACTTATGAAGCTTAGCTTGGCTGGATATGAAATTCTGGGCTGAAAATTCTTTTGAGAATGTTCAGTCAGGCGCGGTGGCTCAAGCGTGTAATCCCAGCACTATGGAAGGCTGAGGTGGGTGGATCATGAGGTCAAGAGATTGAGACCATCCTGGCTAACACAGTGAAACCCCATCTCTACTAAAAATACAAAAAATTAGCTGGGCATGGTGGTGGGCGCCTGTAGTCCCACCTACTCAGGAGGCTGAGGCAGAAGAATGGCATGAACCCGGGAGGCGGATCTTGCAGTGAGCCGAGATCGCACCACTGCACTCCAGCCTGGGCAACAGAGCAAGATTCCGTCTCAAAAAAAAAAAAAAAAAAAAATAGAATGTTGAATATTGGCCCCCAGTCTCTTCTGGCTTGTAGAGTTTCTGCCGAGAGATCCACTGTTAGTCTGATGGGCTTCCCTTTGTGGGTAAGCTGACCTTTCTCTCTGGCTGCCCTTAACATTTTTTCCTCTATTTCAACTTTGGCGAACCCGACAATTATTTGTCTTGGAGTTGCTCTTCTTGAGGAGTATCTTTCTGGTGTTCTCTGTATTTCCTGAATTTGAATGTTGGCCTGCCTTGCTAGGTTGGGGAAGTTCTCCTGGATAATATCCTGAAGAGTGCTTTCCAACTTGGTTCCATTCTCTCCGTCACTTTCAGGTACACCAATCAGACGTAGATTTGGTCTTTTCACATAGTCCTTATTTCTTGGAGGCTTTGTTCATTTCTTTTTACTCTTTTTTCTCTAAATTTCTCACTTCATTTCATTCATTTGATCTTTGATCACTGATACTTTCTTCTACTTGATCAAATCAGCTACTGAAGCTTGTGCATGTGTCAGTCACGTAGTTCTCTTGCCATGGTTTTCAGCTCCATCAGGTCATTTAAGGTCTTCTCTATGCTGTTTATTCTAGTTAGCCATTTGTCTAATCTTTTTTCAAGGTTTTTAGCTTCTTTGTGATGGGTTGAAACATCCTCCTTTAGCTCAAAGTTTATTACTACCCATCGTCTGAAGTCTTCTTCTCTCAACTCGTGAAAGTCATTCTCCATCCAACTTTGTTCCGTTGCTGGCAAGGAGCTGCTTTCCTTTGGAGGAGAAGAGGCACTGTGGTTTTTAGAATTTTCAGCTTTTCTGCTCTGGTTTCTCCCCATCTTTGTGGGTTTTATCTACCTTTGGTCTTTGATGATGGTGACGTACAGATGGGGTTTTGGTGTGGATGTCCTTTCTGTTTGTTAGTTTTCCTTCTAATAGTCAGGACCCTCAGCTGCAGGTCTGTTGGAGTTTGCCTGGGTATCACCAGCGGAGGCTGCAGAACAGCAAATATTGCAGAATAGCAAACGTTGCTGCCTGATCCTTCCTCTGGAAGCTTCGTCTCAGAGGGGCACCCGGCCATATAAGCTGTCAGTCAGTCCCTACTGGGAGGTGTTGCCTAGTTAGGCTACTTGGGGGTCAAGGACCCACTTGAGGAGGCAGTCTGTCCATTCTCAGATCTCAAACTCTGTGCTGGGAGAACCACTACTCTCTTCAAAGCTGTCAGACAGGGACGTTTAAGTCTGCAGAAGTTTCTGCTGCCTTTTTTTTGGCTATGCCTTGGCCCCAGAGGTGGGAGTCTACAGAGGCAGGCAGGCCTCCTTGAGCTGCAATAGGCTCCACCCAGTTTGAGCTTCCCAGCCACTTTACGTACTGAAGCCTCAGCAACGACGGATGCCCCTTCCCCAGCCTCACTACAGCCTTGCAGTTTGATCTGACTTCTGTGCTAGCAGTGAGCGAGGCTTCGTGGGCACAGGACCCTCCAAGCCATACGTGGGATATAATCTCCTGGTGTGCCATTTGCTAAGACCATTGGAAAAGCACAGTATTAGGGTAGGAGTGTCCCAATTTTCCACATACCATCTGTCATGGCTTCCCTTGGCTAGGAAAGGGAATTCCCCAACCCCTTGCGCTTCCTGGGTGAGGTGATGCCCCGCCCTGCTTCGGCTCACTCTCCGTGGGCTGCACCCACTGTCCAACAAGCCCCAGTGAGATGAACCCAGTACCTCAGTTGGAAATGCAGAAAATCACCCGTCTTCTGTGTCACTCAAGCTGGGAGCTGTAGACTGGAGCTGTTCCTATTTGGCCATCTTGGAACCTCCCTTAAATCCAGAGTCATCTATTTTAACTGCACACTTGGGAATAAAAGACATCTTGGGCTATAGGCCAAGAGCTTTCAGAGAAGATAGCTTACAAAATGTGGGGCGACTGGGTATAGAAACATTTACCCCTATGCCTTAAGGAGTAAATAATTCTTTCACTGCTAATTCCAACTATTAACTTGGAACTACAGAAATATAACATTTCATTGCACCACAAAACATCTTGTTATTTCTATTTTAGATTCAGGGAATACACCTGCAGATTGGTAGCATAGGTATACTGCATGGTGTTGAAGTCTGGACACTTTTAACTATCCCATTGCCCAAGCAGTGTACACTACACATGGTAAGTAGTTTTTCAGTGTTTGTCTCCCTTTCTTCTTCCATCTTTTTGGAATTCCCAGTGTTTACTGTTTTCATCTTTGTTTCCATGTGCACCCAGTGTTTACCTCCCACATAAAAGTGAGAACATGTGGTATTTGTTTTACTGATCTCTGTTAATTTGCTTACATTAATGGCCTTCTGCTGCATTCATGTTGCCACAAAGGACAATATTTCATTCTTTTCTGTGACTGCATAGTATTGCAGTCTGTAAGTACCTCATTTTTCTTATGCAATCTAAGATTTATAGGCACCCATTTCTCCTGAAGTCAGGATGAAGTTGAAACAGCTGTTTCTCCACAACTTCAACATGTAATTTTTTGACTTATAACAGCCATTCTAACTGGTGTGAAATGGTATCATATTGTCATTTTGATTTACATCTCTGATGATTACAGATGTTAAGCATTTTTTGAATGTTTATTGGCAACTCTTATGTCTTCCTTTGAGAAGTGTCAATATTTTCTGCTTTGTCAAATTAAATTTCTTATAGATTCGATATATTAATCAGTTGTATGCACTTTGCAAATATTTTATTTCATATTGTAAGGTGTCTGTTTCCTTTGTTGATAGTTTCTTTGGCTGTGCAGAAGCTCTTTAGTTTAATTAGATGCAAATTTTTGATTTTTATTGTTGTTGCACTTTTAAGATGTTATTCATAAATTCATTCCAGAGGCCAGTGTCTAGAACAGTCCTTTCTAAATGTTCTTCTAGGATTTGTGTAGCTTGAAGACTCACAGATAAGTCCTTAATCTATCTTGACTTGCATTTTCTATATGGAAAGAGGTAGGAGTCCACTTTTTTCTGCACATAACCAGTTTTCCCTGTACCATTTATTATTATTATTACTTTTGAAACAAAGTCTCACTCTGTCACCCAGGCTGGAGTGCAGTGGCGCCATCTTGGCTCACTGCAATCTCCCCCTCCCAGGTTCAAGTGATTCTTCTGCCTCAGCCTCCTGAGTAGCTGGGACTACAGGTGCCTGCTACCACGCCTGGCTAATTTTTGTATTTTTAGTAGACAGGGTTTCACCCTGTTGGCCAGGCTGGCCTAGAACTCCTGACCTCGTGGTCCACCAGCCTCAGCCTCCCAAAGTTCTGGGATTACAGGTGTGAGTCACTGCATCCAGCCCCCACTTATTAAATAGAGAGTTATTTTCCCTTTGTTAATTTCTGTGGGCTTTGTGAAAATTAACTTGGTTGTAAAAGTGTAGATTTCAGGGCTTTCTCTTCTCCATTGATCTAAATGTATATTTTCATACCAGAACCATGTAATACTGGTTACTGTAGCTTGTAGTACAATTTTAAATCAGGTAATAGGAGGCCTCTGGTTTTTGTTTTTTTTTTTTTTTCTGACGTTGCCTTGACTATTTGGGCTTTTATTCTTTCACATAAATTAGTTTTCTTTGCTGGGCGCGGTGGCTCATGCCTGAAATCCCAGCACTTTGGGAGGCCGAGGCTGGCGGATCACGAGGAGTTTGAGACCAGCCTGGCCAACATGGTGAAACTCTGTCTCTACAAAAATACAAAAATTAGCCAGGCATGATGGCGGGTGCCTACAATCCCCGCTATTTGGGAGGCTGAGGCAGAACTGCTTGAACCTGGAAGATGTAGGTTGCAGTGAGCCCAGATTGTGACACTGTACTCCAGCCTGGGTGACAGTGAGGCTCTGTCTTAAAAAATAATAATTTAATATGGTTCACTTACCATAAACTCTCTAAAATTCTAATTTCTATATTTTCTAGGAAATTTTATATTTGTCACACTTTGGATAAGAATCTAGTAAGACTCTAACAATATTTTTTCTTTTTACAAAGAAAGCAGCACAACACTAACTGATTTAATCCTCTCACCTGTGGACATGTATGCCTTTTATCTTAATTAACTGATCTGAAAGTTATATTGATAAGCAAACTCTCCAGTTAAAACCATTTTTTCAGTTCATTAAAAAATACCAAACTTCTCATCAAAACCCACAAAATACCATGTGAGATGACATGGCATGAAAAAAACAGTGGGATAACTGCAGCCAGTAACACAGAAAAAGAAGAAGGGCTATGATGTATACGTGGGTGGAATACACATAAAAAGACAAAGCTTAAGATAATTAGAAAATAAATGAAGCAGAATTTCTTTTTAAATTCAGTAAAATTCAGCTTTGCAGCCTGAAAAAAAATAAAATGTCCTCTCCACATGAAGAATCAATGTTATTTGTTTACCTTTGATATTTTCCACCTGACTTGCAGTTTGCAACTTTCACAGAAGTATTTATGCCTTATTATGGAGCATCTGTTATACAGCAAGCACTGTCATGTTTGTTTGCTACATTTATGTATAAAAACATTCTCATGACTTATGAAGTTTCCCTAGTACTTACCTGAACAAATTGCCTAACGAATAAATTTACTTATATCCATCACAAAAAGTGAAAAAAAAATAACATAAGAAAAGTAGGCTTATATAGGGTTCTCCAATTAAATGAAATGTTCTAACTAAATAAAATATAATTTAATGCACTAATTTTAGAATTACAGCTAAAAATTATTTTGTGTACATGACTAAGTTTATTTTATTTTGAAGTGGAGTCT
Organism: Homo sapiens; assembly: GCF_000001405.40. Classification (NCBI taxonomy): domain Eukaryota; kingdom Metazoa; phylum Chordata; class Mammalia; order Primates; family Hominidae; genus Homo; species Homo sapiens. Next base: position 22,388,047 of record NC_000019.10, read on the forward strand.
TGCTCTGTCACCCAGGCTGGAGTGCAGTGGCACAATCTTGGCTCACTGTGACCTCTGTCTCCCGGGTTAAAGCTATTCTCCTGCCTCAGCCTCCCAGTAGCTGGGATTACAGGAGCATGCCACCATGCCTGGCTAATTTTTGTTATTTTTGGTAGAGATGAGGTTTCACCATGTTGGCCAGGTTGATCTTGAACTCCTGACCTCAAGTGATCCACCCACCTCGGCCTCCCAAAGTGTTGGGATTACAGGTGTGAGCCACTGCACCCAGCCCATAACTAAATTTCATTAAAATCATTCTTATAATCACAGAGCAGCTCACAAAATGAATACCTCATAAACTATAAAACAACAAATATATATCAGAAACAAGAAATTTATGGGCCTAGCATGAGTACCAGACAAGTGAAAACAAGAGAATTTGAATGGCAAGATTCTGAACCATAAGCCGTAAAATTATACAGTAAAATTCAATACAAACCAGAGTATAGATTTGCATTCATTTTTGAGGATTTTTGTTTTCTAGAAAAGTAGACACCTGACCAGGTGTAGTGGCTCACGCCTGTAATCCTAGTACTTTGGAAGATTGAGGCGGGTGGATCACCTGAGGTCAGGAGTTCAAGACTAGCCTGACCAAAATGATGAAACCCCATCTGTACTAAAAATACAAAAATTATCTGGGCATGGTGGCCTGCGCCTGTAGTCCTTCCTACTAGGGAGGCTGAAACAGGAGAACTGCTTGAACCCAGGAGGCAGAGTTACAGTGAGCGGAGGTCACGCCACTGCACTCCAGCCTAGGCAACAGAGTGAGATTCTGTCTCAAAAAAAAAGAAAAGAAAAGAAAAAGAAAAGAAAATTAGACACCTTATTAAAATGATGTCTTGTTCCAATATTATTCTGAAAATAGTTACAAACTCATACTCAAACACACTTAATCCATAATCTTCTTACACCTAAGGTTTATATTTAGACTAATAGATGTGTACATTTAACTCTATGTAAATCAAAACTAAAAGCCTGTATCTGTTTGCAAGCAGAGAGGCCACATATTCAAAGAAAAATATACAAGAAATTATTTTTAAGTATTTATTCAGGACTCAGAAATGTGTAAATTTTATACGTCTATATAATTTTTATTATTATAAAAATAACCCTGTAGTCAATAATAATCGTATATTTTAAAAAAACTAAAACTGTACAATTGAACTGTTCATAATACAAAAAATAAATACTAAAGGTGATGGATACCTCATTTACCCTAATGTGATTATTATATATTGTATGCCTCTTATCAGAATATGCCATATATAACATAAATATTATGTGCCTGAAAAAACTAACAAAAGTAAATTTAAATGGGAAAAAATAAATAAAAGTTTTACCTACAGAAACAACATTCCTTATTTGCAGTTTAAAGCCACTGGAAAAAAGATTAGTACTACAGATGTTAGTGCATTCTTTTACCAAATAGTGTATTGTTACCACCATTTATTTTATTTACTTATTTATTTTTTGAGAGGGAGTCTCACTTTGTCACCCAGGATGGAGTGCCATGGCATGATCTCGGCTCACCGCAACCTCTGCCTCCTGGGTTCAAGTGATTCTCCTGCCTCAGCCTCCCGAGTAGCTGGGATTACAGGCATGCGCCACCATGCCTGGCTAATTTTGTATTTTTAGTAGAGATGGCGTTTCTCCATGTGGGTCAGGCTGGTCTTGAACTCCTGACCTCAGGTGATCCGCCCGCCTTTGCCTCCCAAAGTGCTGGGATTACAGGCGTGAGCCACCGCGCCTGGCCTTGCTACCACCTTTTACCTACACCCTTGAGTAAGGTGGACTAGGTTAAAGTAAGTGGAATAATGTGACTTGATTGAATGCACAATATTTAAACTGTTTAAAATGTTGAATTAAGAAATTAAGTTCACACATAATCTAAAATTTTTAACATACTGCCTTTTTTTCATAAAAGTACAATTAGTAAAATAATATACTAATTTATTTTTAATTTTAACTAAAACAAAATTTGTCTCTCAATATAATGCAGAATATTACTCGGAACACCTACCTCATGCATCACTCAGTACTGTAAGTGAATCACAAAGAACCTCTTTACTTAGATTTTCATCATGCATTTTAATGTCCTTACTCTTTCATAGAAGAGGTCATAAATGCTCACCTAATAAAAAATAATCTCTCATATCTTTTGGTCACATGCTTTCACATATGAATACAATAGGAATAAAGAAACAACATCAGCCAGGAGCAGTGGCTAACACCTGTAATTCCAGCATTGTGGGAGGCCAAGCTGGGCGGATCACCTAAAGTCTCGAGTTCTAGACCAGCCTGGCCAACATGGCAAAACCCTGGCTCCATTAAAAATACAAAATTTAGCCAGGCATGGTGGTTTGTGCCTGTAATCCCAGCTACTTGGGAGGCTGAGGCAGGAGAATCACTTGAAACCTGGAGATGGAGGTTGCAGTGAGCTGAGATCGTGCCACTGTACTCCAGCCTGGGTGGGCGACAGAGCAAGACTCCATCTAAAAAAAAAGAAAAAGAAAAAAGAAAAAGAAAAACTAATTTCTTTAGCATGAAGTAATTTGAGAGTTAATTACAACATTAACATGAAGTAATTTGAGTTAATTACATTATTTGTATGAAGTAATTTGACAGTTATTTACTTTTAAAAAAATCTGTAATCTTTCTAAAAAAAAGTATACTTGTAACTCTCCAAAGAATCTTCTACTCTTTTAAAGTTATAAACAAATAATTTTTCTACCAAGTTTAGTTTTGGATTATTTTCTAAACTCAGAACTCTGATTCAGTGTAAAGTCTGAAGTGTCATTGCCTTATATATTTCTAATGTAAATTCTCTGATATTTACATAGACTTACCATTGAATTAAATTTTTTTTCTATTTACTGTATATGCAAAAATATTTTAATATGAACTCTGGAATTTTCTAACCTGTAGTTTTTGAATAAATGTTTTTTTCTAAATTTATTACATTTACAGGGTTTTTCTTTGATATAAATTCTCTGATGTTGAACAAAGTTTGAGCAATTGCCTCAGGGTTTGCTCTAATACAGAATGAATACAACAAGATCTGTGTTACAAGTAAAGTTACCACAACTTCGTTTATATTTGTAATGTTTGTCTTCAAAATAAATCCTCTTCAGCACTTTAAATGCTTATATTTTCTGAACTCTTTTGACAGTAATTGCACCTTTAATGCTATTAAGTATAAATTCTCTGATGCTGAATAAGATGTGTGCAGATATTAATCACTTTTTTACTTTCTTTATATTTGTACATTTGTTCTCATCAAGTATAAAGGCTTTCCTGTGCAATAAGGTTTGAGCATTGTGTAAGTTTTGCCACACTGTTCACACTTGTAGAAGTTTTCTCCAGAATGAATTACCTTACCTACAATCCAGTGTGATAACCATTTAAAGGCTTTGTCACATTCATATTTCTATTATTTCTCACCAGCACAATTTCTTTTATATTTGGAAATCTTTGCAATGTTGTCACAAGCATTGTTACAACTTTCAGGTTTGTAGAGTTTCTCTCCAGTATGAATCATCTTATGTCTGTTAAGAATAGAGGAGTTGTTAAAGGCTTTGCCGCATTCTTCACACTTGTAGGGTTTCTCTCCAGTATGAATCATCTTATGTGTAGTAAGGTGTGAGGACTGGTTAAAAGCTTTGCCACATTCTTCACATTTGTAGGGCTTCTCTCCAGTATGAATTACCTTATGTTTAGAAAGAGTTGAGGACTGGTTAAAAGCTTTGCCACATTCTTCACATTTGTAGGGTTTCTCTCCAGTATGAATTATCTTATGTGTAGTAAGTTGTGATGATAGGTTAAAAGCTTTGCCACATTCTTCACATTTGTAGGGCTTCTCTCCAGTATGAATTCTCTTATGTGTAGTAAGGTGTGAGAACCGGCTAAAGGCTTTGCTACATACTTCACATTTGTAGAATTTCTCTCCAGCATGAATTCTCTTATGTGTAGTAAGGGTTGAGGATTGTTTAAAAGCTTTGCCACATTCTTCACACTTGTAGGGTTTCTCTCCAGAATGAATTCTCTTATGTGTAGTAAGGTGGGATAACCGGCTAAAGGCCTTACCACATTCTTCACATTTGTAGAATTTCTCTCCAGTATGAATTATCTTATGTGTAGTAAGGGTTGAGGACTGGCTAAAAGCTTTGCCACATTCTTCACATTTGTAAGGTTTCTCTCCAGCATGAATTATCTTATGTGCAGTAAGGGTTGAGGACTGGCTAAAAGCTCTGCCACATTCTTCACATTTGTAGGGTTTCTCTCCAGTATGAATTCTCTTATGTGTAGTAAGGTTTGCAGATTGGTTAAAAGCTTTGCCACACTCCTCACATTTGTAGGGTTTCTTTCCAGTATGAATTATCTTATGTGTAGTAAGGTGTGAGAGCCGGTTAAAGGCTTTTCCACACTCTTCGCATTTGTAGGGTTTCTTTCCAGTATGAATTCTTTTATGTGTAGAAAGGTTTGAGGCCTCATTATAGGCTTTCCCACATTCTTTACATTTGTAGGGTTTCTCTCCACTATGAATTCTTTTATGTTGAGCTAAGTGTGAAAGCATGCAAAATGACTTTTCACATTCTTTACACTTGAAAGATTTCTTTCCAGTATGTCCTATCTTATGTCTGTTTGAATTTGAAAATTTATGAAAGACTTTCACATATTTGTCATATTGAAATATTTTGTTCTGGGTAGTTGTCAAACACTGGTTAAGTCCATTGTAACATTCTTTGTGCACCTTACACTCATCCATGCTTTTACAGTATTTTCTTAACTGTAAATTTTCACGTCCACATTTTTTATATGTTCTCAGTATCACTTTTTGGAAATAATTTTTTTTGCCCTGCTTTGGCCAAAGGTCTTGGGCAAAATAAGAATATACAACTGAAAGAAATAAAAATAATAAATTACTTCACTTACTAGACTCAGATGAATGTACTTTACAAATCTAACCTATAAAATTATACAAACTACATCACAAGATGTTACAGCAAAATATTACACGCTCTAACATTTTCACAGACATATAAAAGCATACAGAACAAATTACATTTCTGAAAAATTAAAGTAAGTTAAGTGTGTGCAGTGCCCCAGATGAGCCCAATGCAAAGAGCCACACAGAAGAAAGAAAAGTCTGTTACATTTACCCAGTGCAGATCTTCCTGCTTCCCTATATAACATAGTGACTTTAGAAATAAATTGCCAACTCCTGGTTTCATTTTCAAAAGACAAGTAAAATAATGGCTTATACATCTTTATTTCTCAATGGCAAGGTCTTTTACACTGGTTCCTGTGTCTCATTGCATAAAAGTTCTGAAAGAAATAGTGGTATTCTTTCAAATGACAGTTTGAGGCTGCTGAGATGAAAGGTAAGGTACCAAAACAGATATATAGACCAATGGAACAGAATAGAGACCTCAGAAATAACACCACACATCTACAACTATCTGATCTTTGACAAACCTGACAAAACACAAGAAATGGGGAAAGGATTCCCTATTTAATAAATGGTACTGGGAAAACTGGCTAGCCATATGTAGAAAGCTGAAACTGGATCCCTTCCTTACACCTTATACAAAAATTAATTCAAAATGGATTAAAGACTTAAATATTAGACCTAAAACCATAAAAACCCTAGAGGAAAACCTAGACAATACCATTCAGGACACAGGTATGGGCAAGGACTTCATGACTAAAACACCAAAAGCAATGGCAACAAAAGCCAAAATTGACAAATGGGATCTAATTAAACTAAAGAGCTTCTGTACAGCTAAAGAAACTACCACCAGAATGAACAGGCAACCTACAGAATGGGAGAAAATCTATGCAATCTACCCATCTGACAAAGGGCAAACATCCAGAATCTACAAAGAACTTAAACAAATTTACAAGAAAAAAACTAACAACCCCATCAAAAAGTGAGCAAAGGATGTGAACAGACACTTCTCAAAAGAAGACATTTATGCAGCCAACAGACACATGGAAAAATGCTCATCATCACTGGCCATCCGAGAAATGCAAATCAAAACCACAATGAGATACCATCTCATGCCAGTTAGAATGGTGATCATTAAAAAGTCAGGAGACAACAGGTGCTGGAGAGGATGTGGAGAAATAGAAACGCTTTTACACTGTTGGTGGGACTGTAAACTAGTTCAACCATTGTGGAAGACAGTGTTGCGATTCCTCAAGGATCTAGAACTAGAAATACCATTTGAGCCAGCCATCCCATTACGGGGTATATACCCAAAGGATTATAAATCATGCTACTATAAGGACACATGCACACGTACATTTATTGCGGCACTATTCACAATAGCAAAGACTTGGAACCAACCCAAATGTCCATCAATGATAGAATGGATTAAGAAAATGTGGCACGTATATACTACAGAATACTATGTATTCATGAAAAAGGATGAGTTCATGTCCTTTGCAGGCACATGGATGAAGCTGGAAACCATCATTCTGAGCACACTATCACAAGGACAGAAAACCAAACACCGCATGTTCTCACTCATAGGTGGGAATTGAGCAATGAGAATACCTGGACACAGGGCGGGGAACATCATACAACGGGGCCTGTTGGGGTGTGAGGGGCTGGGGGAAGGACAGCATTAACCACCATGGCACATGTATACCTATGTAACATAACTGCACGCTGGGCACATGTACCCTAGGACTTAAAGTATAATGAAATAAATAAATAAATAAGAAAGGTAAGTTTTACAGCAGCAGAAAGACTGTGGTACTACAGACAGGAAACAATTATAGCAAGTGATTATTGGTTATTAAGGAGTTTGGTGGCTCAAACCTGTAATCCTAGCACTTTGGGAGGCCAAGGTGGGAGGATCAACTGAGGTCCGGAGTTTGAGACCAAGCCTTGGCAACATAGTGAAACCCTGTCTCTACTAAAAATACAAAAGTAGCTGAGCATGGGGTCACATGCCTGTAATCCCAGCTAAGTGGGAAGCTGAGACCAGATAATCACTTGAACCGGAGAAGTGGAGGCTGCAGTGGGCTGAGACCATGCCATTGCACTGCAGCCTGGGTGACAGGAGCAAAACTCTGTTTCAAAAAGAAAAAAAAAAAAAAAAAAAGAAAAGAAACACGAATAAACTCCGCTGACTAAAAACTAAACACAAAATTTTAGACAAGGCACATCCTAAGAACATGTTTGAGAGACTCCCAGAATCTCTAGCCAAGATAATTGTTTTCAGACTATGTCAGAAAAAAAAAACATTTTAAAGACTGTGACAGGTAGCTTTTTTGATGTCCAAATCTCATTCCAGATTACAATGTATACAAAACAGGGCAATATAATTTCATCAAAAATACCATATAAACTTCAGAAAGAAACCATAAAAAAGATGTACACGTTTTAAACACTAATAAGTTGAATAATATCCAATGAGTGAAACAGGAACACAGTCCACTGTAGAAAATCACAAAAATGAGAATAAAAACAAGAATATCAAAATATTAAAAAAAAACAATTTGGTGGTAAAAAATAGAAAAATAAACAACTGGAAAATCCTAAAAGAAAAATGATGTAAAAATGAAGTTCAACAAACAAATTAGGATACACACACAGATATTTAAACAAATACATATTAAGCACATTTTCAAAAATCACAGACAGGAAGAAAGTCTTAGGAGCAGCAAGGTAAAAGTAATGTGTCATTTACAAACATAGTCTTATGATATAACCAGTGAATTATCAACAAAAATTTTGCAGATCAGAAAGATACCGTGTGACACAAAGTCCTGAGGGGGGGGAAAAAAAAAAGCTATCAAGTTGAGAATAATACCATCAACAAATCTGTCCTGCCACATAAAAAGAAAAAACCTTCCAAAACAACCAAATTCTGAAAAAGTATATTAGCACTGCATATGCCCTACATATAAAAGATGATGAAAGCAGTTTCTTAAACTGAAAGTAAAAGTATTAAAAAAAAACACATAATCATATAAAAATACATTATTTTCCAGGAAAGATATGCACATACATAAAAACAGAATCTTGTGGCATTATCATAATGGTGCAGAAAACATTTTAAATTATCTCTAAATTTTGAAAAATAAAAGCACAGAAATTATAAACATCTGTTAATGAATATACAATGTAAAAACATAATTAGCAACATCAAAGACAAATTTCAGGGCAGATGTAATGAGGAAGATTTTTTTATTCAACTGAGATTTATTTTATACCAAATTAAAACTATACTGTTGTTTCTTATAGAAGTTTTATGGAACCCCCAAGGTGCCACCAAAAAAAAATTCTGTACAAATATACAAAAGTGAATTAGAAATAAGTAAAAGCATATCAATACAAAAATCAAAAAGACACAAAGAGAGAAAATGAGAAACAAAGATGCAAGAATCAAATAAAATAATTAAAAATGTAACAGTCTGTCTTTATCAGACAGTTATTTAAATGTATATATAAAATTAACTTTTAAATCAAGAGACATACTTTCAACAGATTAAAAATTTTAAAAACCAAGATCCAACTTTTTTTTTCTACAAGAGTCAGTAGAGATCTAATGATAAAAAACACTAAAAGGGGCAAGATGGAAGAATACATTTCATGCAAATATGAATCAAATGAGAGCAGAAGAAATCAAGATAGTATTATGCAAGCTACATCTTAAGTCAAAAACTGTCATGTTTTACAAAATGTACTTGAAGTTAAAACTCCAAGGAGACAAAAAAGGACATTAAAACTTACAGATTTAGGCTGGGCATGGTGGCTCACGCCTGTAATCCCAGCACTTTGGGAGGCTGAGGCAGGTGGATCACTTGAGGTCAGGAGTTCGAGACTGGCCTGGCCAACATGGTGAAACCGACTCTACTAAAAATACAAAAATTAGCCGGGCATGGTGGTGGGCGCCTGTAATCCTAGCTACTCAGGAGGCTGAGGAAGGAGAATCACTTGAACCTAGGAGGCAGAGGTTGCAGTGAGCCGAGATCACACCACTGCACTCCAGCCTGGGACACAGAGTGAGACTCTGTCTCAAAAAAAAACAACAAAAAAAAACCACTTCAGATTTACTCACTGGGAACCTATGACAAATCTGTATGTACATCTGTGTGTGTGTGTGTGTGTTTTTGTGTGTGTGTGTGTGTGTGTGTATCTCACATTAGGGCTCCAAACATATAAAGCAAACATTGACAGAATAACAGAGACACATAGAGAGCAACATAATTATAGTAGGATATTTTGACACTGCACTTGCCGTAATAAAAATTAAATGAGAATATTAGTAAGGGAATAGAGGACTTCCAGGCAGTGTAAGACAATTATTTCTAACAGAGGTATAGAAAACACCCCTCAACACCAGGACACACATGGTTCTCAATAGCTAATACAACATTTTCCTTCATAGACCTCCTCTTATTACAAAAAAAAGAAAATTAAGTCTTACCAGTTTTTTTAAAACTGAAATTTTATAAATTACTTTCTATCACCAAAATGAAATGAGTATACAACGAGAAAAAAAATCTGAAAAATTAACAAATATATAGAAATTAAACAACACACTCTTGAGCATGCTCTTGTGAAAGGCTGAAAAAGGTAATACTGTAAAGATGTCCATCCTGCTCAATGCAATCTACAGATTTAATGCAATGTTTTTCAAATTTCTCACTGCATTTTTGAAGAAACAGAAACAGCAATCCCTCGAGTATACAGAATCTCTACATACAATGAAGTACCCAAAAATATTAAAAACAAAACAAAACAATGTTGGAGGCATTACAGTTCCTGATTTCAAAACACAAAGCTACAGAATTAAAACAATTTGGTATGAGTATAAAGGTGAAAAAGTAGACTAATAAAATAGAATGCAGCACATATATAAACTCTCACATATATGGTCACATGAAGAGTCATTTGCATACCCACATTTATTTTAGCATTGTTACTAAAAGCCAGTAGGTAAAAGCAAGGCAAATTTCGGTCACCAAATCGTTCAGCAGATATAATTTGAAATACAAAAATGCCAAAATATTACTCAGTTTGAAAAAAAGCAGGAAATATTCTAACAACTATAAAGGTAAATCCTGATGACTTTATGCAAAATAAAATGAGCCAGCCACAAACAGATTTTATGAGATATACAAAGCAGTTATACTCTTAGAAACAGAAAACAGAATGGCATTTGAAAAGTGCCAGGAAATGGGAAAAATTGGTAGTTGTTTAATGTGTATTGTAAACTTTCTAGAAATCTTTTATAAAATAATGTAAATATACTTAACATGCCTGAAATGTACAGTGTTTTTGAGTCAGGGTCTCACTCTGTCACCCAAGCTGGGGTGCATGGCACAATTACAGCTCACTGCAGCCTCAAACTTCCAGGTTCAAGTAATCCTCCCTCCTCAATCTCCCAAGTAGACAGGACCACTTCACCATGTCTGGCTACGTTTTAAAATGCTTTACAGAGATGAGGTTTCCATATGTCTTCCAGGATGTTCTCAAGCTTTTGGGCTCAGTCTTCCTGCCTTGGCCTCCCAAAATCCGGGGATTACAGACGTGAACCACCACGACTGGCCATGAAATGTACATTCAAATAGATTTAAGATGGTAAATTTTAGGTTATATGTTTGTACAATTGTTTTTTAGAAGAATAACTGAAGATCCAGAATTATAAACCTTTCCAAAAATTACCTTCAAGTCACAAAAGTGTTTCCCTCACACATAGGAAATATGTTTATTATTAAACACAAGGTGAAAATAAGACTATTTCCATGACTACTCATTTAGACAAGATAAAGCCACCATTAAAAATCAGCTAAGAAAAAATATATACAAGATTAGCCATAACCAAAATTGGGGTCATATTTATAGATAAAAACACACACACATATAATCAGATTGTAATAGAGATAAGGCTGATTTATCTCTTAAACCCCACACCGACTTACATGTAAAAACAGAATTGCAAATTGTCTAAAATTGTAAAACCAAAAAACACAATAAACTTATGTTAAGAAACCTACACTGAAAAAACGCATTAATATGAAACTAAAAAATAATAATAAATGTTTACTCATAAAATCTGGTATGTAACTTGATGTAGCATTAACAAAGAATTTGTGTAGATAACTGGAATATTTTACTGTAACTGTGTACTCATTGAAGGTGGCTATTTTGAATCATTGGCATGCACTGTAATGCAGTAAAAGTTTCAGATAAAATGCAGTATAATCATAAACAGAAGACTCTAATGACAAACTGATAAATAAGCATTTTAATAAATAAGATCATTTCTAAGTTTTAAATATATGCTATTCTTACACAAAATAAAACTGCTGTAATCCAAATTTAGAAGCAAAAAATAGCCTTACATTGCTAAATAAAGAAAAAATATATCTATTTTGCAGAATATGGTCAGGGCCTCTGATATATAAAACAAATATTTGGGAACAAATTATGTCATATTTTAGGTACTAGCTGACAAAAGTGAGTGAAAATCCTGTCTTTTTTTGCCTGTCTATATTTCCTTTTTGTCTGTCTACTAATTATCTAATTCACCTCAGACATAACATGTCAATTTTAGTATATTGTCCTAAATGTCTAAATCTAAAACTACTGACAAAATTGAAATAGAAAGTAGAAAGTAAAAATGTACAGGAAGAGTGACATCACTAAGATGGAAAAATAAATGGTGCCTTATTTGCTTATTTTCTGACAGCAAGAAAATTCATCAGCCTGATAAAAATGCCTTTATGAGAGAAACAGGAATCATGACTCAAACCTGTAATGAGAAATGCTTTAGGACAGAACTTCAAGATCAACCTGGGTCATGTAGCAAGAACCCATCTCCAAAACAAGTGCCCTTAAAGAGCTTTGAGATCTATGGAGGGAGTTGTGAAACTCTGCTAATGCCCAAGATTGAGGAATATTCTCTTCAGAAGGCAGGCTTTCATTCAGGTGGCAAACTACAGGACCCCTGTTCTTGGCTACAGACCAGAAAATGGCCCACCAAACTTGGTCCCACTGAGAATTCTGAACTTACCCTGCAATCATCCCAAACTCCTCCCAGCCACAGTCTGGGAGAGGTCTTGCCCTTTCAGAGGTCTGGAGAGAGACACCCCTTTATAGCCACGCAGCAGGCCTGCAGACCTTGGCCATTACTGTGGTCCCTGAAGCAGTTTCATGACTCAGTTTTATCACCCTGAGCCACAGTTCATGGCAAGTTCTGCCTATGTAGAAACCCACACAGTGACCTTGGGAAATCCTCTCTGGTACTCAGTGAAAGCCAAACTCATCTACATCCTAATATAAAGCCTACCATATGCAGACCCAAGTGCAGAAATCTGCCCTAGCGTCTGCCCTACAGAGCAAAGTCCTGAAGGATACTCACTCTGTCCAAAAATAAAATGGGAATTACAACTACCTAAGCCCCTTGTAACAAGCCAACTAAAGGTGGACCCTAATGCAGACCCAGCAGCCTTTGTAAACAAGCTACCTACCCCTCTCCACTACAAACCCATAGGACATCCCATCACCCTGGGGGCTCAACAAAAGATCTTCACTTTCTGAAACCAATTTATAAAAACTTGAAGAGGGCCAGGCGCGGTGGCTCACGCCTGTAATCCCAGAACTTTGGGAGGCCAAGGCGGGTGGATCACCAGGTCAGGAGTTCAAGACCAGCCTGGCCAACATGGTGAAACCCCATCTCTACTAAAAATATAAAAATTAGCCAGGCATGGTGGCACGCACCTGTAGTCCCAGCTACTCGGGAGGCAGAGGCAGGAGAATCACTTGAACCTGGGAGGTGGAGGTTGCAGTGAGCCGAGGCCGCGCCACTGCACTCCAGTCTCAGCGACAGAGTGAGACACTGTCTCAAAAAACAAAACAAAACAAAACAAAAAAAAAACAAGAAAAACTTGAAGAGGTGTTTACTCCTTCAAACTCACAGACACCAATGCAAAAGTTTATTATGCCCATTCTCAATGCTTCTATTTTAACACAGCACTGGAAGTATGTGGAATAAGTAAAAAAAAAAAAAAAAAAAATTTAAGTCACTGAAATTGAAGACAAATAAGTAAAAAGTTGCTTTTTGTAGATCATTTGATCTTGTATATAGAAAACCATAAACAGTACATTTAAAACCTAATTAAAGTAATAATTACACTCAATAAGTTAGCAAAATAGAAAATTAACATACAAGTGTAAGTTATGGTTCCATACACTTTAAACAAACTATCTGACAAAAGAGAGACAGAAAGCAATCTTATTTACAATAGCACTAAAATAATAAATTTCTGAGAACAAATTTAACCAAGGAGCTTAAATATCTTTCAAATAAAAGATACATCAATAATTGGAGAAGACAAAAATAAATTTAAAAACATTTCATGTCTATTGATTGAAAGAATTTTTTTTTTTTTTTGAGATGGAGTTTCACTCTTGTTGCCCACATTGGAGTGTAGTGGTGCAATCTCAGCTCACTGCAACCTCTGCCTACCAGGTTCAAGCAATTCTTCCGCCTCAGCCTCCCAAGTAGCTGGAATTACAGGCGCCTGTCACCACGCCTGACTAATTTTTTGTATTTTTAGTAGAGACAGGGTTTCATCATGTTGGCCAGGCTGGTCTCAAACTCCTGACCTCAGGTGATCCACCTGCCTCAGCCTCCCAAAGTGCAGGGATTACAGGCGTGAGCCACCATGCCCGGCTGAAAGAATATTATTAAAGTGCCGTGTTATCTACAGTGATCTCTAGATTCAATAAATTCCCTATCAAAATTCCAGTATTTTTTTTTTACAGTAATAGAAAATACAATTCTCGGTCAGGCACGGTGGGTCACACCTGTAATCCTAGCACTTTGGGAGGCCAAGGCAGGCGGATCACAAGGTCTAGGAGTTCGAGACCAGCCTGGCCAATATGGTGACACCCCGTCTCTACTAAAAATATAAAAATTAGCCAGGCATGGTGGCTCGCGCCTGTATTCCCAGCTACTCAGGAGGCTGAGGCAGAAGAATCGCTTGAACCCAGGAGGCAGAGATTGCAGTTAGCCAAGATGATGACACTCCACTCCAGCCTGGGTGACAGAGCAAGACTCCATCTCAAAAAAAAAAAAAAAAAAAAGAAAGAGAAAAAGAAAATACAATTCTCACATAGACTTACAATAAACTTTGAATAGCCAAAGCAATCTTGAAAAAAAAAGGACAAAGCAGAAGAACATCATACTTTATAATTTCAAACTATACTTCAAGACTATAATAAGACAGAATGCAATGTGCAGAAAAATTAGCAATAAAAAACCAATGGAACAGAAACCACTGCTCTCACACATTTAGGACATGATGTAAAAACAGAACTTGAAAAACAGTTTAACATAGAGTTTCTCAAAATTATGCAGATTATCTATGTGTTTTCAAAAACAATGAAAAAGCAGTCAGATTTCACAGTCTCTTATGTGCCATGAAGAGGGCTGTCTTGGCTGTCACTGTAAACCTGAAGAAGATCACCAAAGGGAAAGTAAAATCTTTAGAGATTTTAAAAATATAAGACAGAAGATGCTTCTATGTGAAAGCAAAATTTAAAAAATTCAAGTTTCCTAGAAACTATTTCCTTTGGAACACAGATTTCAAATCATTTTAAGGAATGGCTTTTTTTTTTTTTCTACTTTGGAGCTCTCATCTGTGTCGTCTGTTGTATTCACTTTCACTCTCACCTACCTGGGGGTTCAGTTACCATCTCATGTCTCTTCACATTCCAAGGTTCTTTTCCTTGCTCCAGACAGGTGATCAGGTCTGGCTTAGAGGCAGCAATACCTGTTTTATTACAAATAACATGAATCTTGCTCATATTCTCCAATTACCAATTTAGTAGTGTGTTCAGTAAAAAGGATGTAATAGAATATTCTAGTAAATTGATTCCAAAATACTAATACACAACAAAAAATTTTAAATATTTAGGAAATATTTTAATTTTGTAAGTTCTTAATTTCACTACCTGATACTACTAAATCAAAAACTGGTAGTGGCAATTAGATTTTAAGATGTGGGCAACAGTATGTTATGCCACTAAATTTCTAAAATTAACACTAATCTAGAGTGAAGAACACAGATCAGCTCAGGAGTGTGGAAAGTTCAGATCAAAATGAAACATCTTGAAATTCTTTTCTACATAGACAAATCTTGAAGTTAAAAAAAAAAAACAAAAAAAAAAAACAGAGATCTGAAAGCATAAACTACCAAAAAAACCATTCTACAAAAAAGAGAAATAAAATTTATAGGGTATATTAGGGAATTGTATATTGAAGTTATCCTCACCCACAAAGACCAGGTTTCTGTAGTTCTCTAACATCACATTCCTATATAAATTCTGCTGTGCGGTGTCCAGGCATTGCCACTCCTCCAGAGAGAATTCTAAGGCCACATCCCTAAATGTCAACACTCCCTGAAAAACATACAAACACACATACATATTTACCAAGTGGCCATAAACAGAATTTTTAATTTGACTCAAGGTAAAACAAGAGTAAAGAGAACTGGTTCTTACTTATAGGAGTGACTGATATATTTAATAAATAACTTTCAGCACAGAAGTATTCTCTAATGTATTCTCTAACTCTGAGAAAAGAGAGTGGCATAAGATCCACAACATCGAGGTATAGATGATACTTTTTTGGATGATGAAGTATAAAACTGAGGGCATTAACACTAACATGTACACTTTTGAGTGCTACATTTACATCATACAGAATAAGTTGTGTAAATTTTTCAGATGGAAAAGACATATTCAGTTAGAAAATACTGCTCACATGTTAATGTGTAAAATAAACTGGAGATCTTGTTAATGCAGATTATTTTTTCAGAAAATCTGGGCTGGGAGCGATGGCTCACGCCTGTAATCCCAGCACTTTGGGAGGCTAAGGCAGGTGGATCACGAGGTCAGGAGACCGAGACTATCCTGGCTAACACAGTGAAACCCTGGCTCTACTAAAAATACAAAAAATTAGCCAGGCGTGGAGGCGAGAGCCTGTAGTCCCAGCTACTCGGGAGGCTGAGGCAGGAGAATGGCATGAACCCCAGAGGCGGAGCTTGCAGTGAGCTGAAATCGCGCCACTACACTCCAGCCTGGGTGACAGAGCGAGACTCCGTCTCAAAATAAAAAAAAGAAAAGAAAATTTGGAATAAAATCTGAGTTTCTGAATCTCTAACAAGCTCACCAGTAATGCCCATGTTTTTGGTCCAAGAAAACTATTTTGTCAAACATCCAGTAAGTGGAAGAGCCTGTGTGTTTTTCAGTTTTTCTGGCCTGTAAACAAAGATGAGAGCTTTCGTTTTCCAAAGACAGATAAATGCAAAGAAAACCTAAGAAAGGTCAGCTGCCAGATTAAATGTGATTGTTTATGCACATCTGCTGAATAAAGATACTCAATAATGAAGAGAAAAATAATGAACTCTATAGAAAAAAAAATCTGTCAGAGTTCATTAACCAAGTGAGTTATTAACATCAACTGCATGAAGATAAATTTTTATGATGTGCTGATGCACACAGAAGGACACGGCATCACTGCTATGGTATCTCCCAGCCAAAAGTAAATCATAGCCTGAATTTAATCATAAAGAAACATTGGTTTTATGCAAAGTTCCAGATACTGATATCTGCCATGTTCTGTAAATTTTAATAGTGATTTTAAGTAGTCTTTCTTTCACACCCTAAAGAGCAAGTATCTCCTAATAATTTTTTTTTCAAAACTGTCTGGGTAATAAATGCCATCCCATTTAAGCAAGCATTTTCTTAATCCTGTTCTGCATAGAGTTAATGGAGAACAGAGATAGAACCTCAACATTACATGCTCTCCATCTTTACTACGGACTCCAGCTTTTCCCCAATAGGAATATTCAGTATCCACCCTTTCCATGTTCCACAGCCAGGAAAGAAACCTTCTTAATATTGCAGTTCATAAATTCATGGTGAGAATTCTTTATGACGTGTAAGAAGCCATGATGTTGAGAATGTAAAGAAGACTCTGGTATATAGGAAAGAAATATTTTTCAGACACCCCTGACTATTATAAGAACTAAAAAGCAGTTAAACTCATTAGGAAGAAAAAGCACATGTAGAAAAGTAAAGCTTTGCAAGTACTGAACATATGGCATTCTAGGACACAGAGTGGACACAGCTCTTCATCTGAGACATGCTTAGCTAAAAAAAAAAAAAAAAAAAATTAGGGGCAGGGCAAAGATGGCCAACTAGAAGCAGCTGCGATCAGAGGCTCCCACCAAAAAGAACCATAATGGCCTGTGAATCCTGCACTTGCACCTGAGGTATCCAGGTTCTCTCATCAGAACTGACTAGGCAGCTGGCATGACCCACGGAGAGGAAGAAAGAGCAGTGTGGTGCAGCAACCCACCTGAGAGCCATACGGGGAAGGGGAGCCCCCACCCCCCAGCCAAGAGAGATGGTGAATGAATGTGCTACTTAGCCGACAAAACCATGCTTTTTCCATGGAACTGTGCAACCCACAAACGGAAAGATTTCACTCGTGAACCCATGCCACAGGAGCCTAGGGTCCCAACCCCAGAGCTGTGCAGATTCTCAACAACCTCTCAGCTAAAATCTGTTTAAGCCTGCTGAGTTCCCAGGGGAGGGGTGACCAGCACCACAGGTGTGGCTGCCTGCTGTCTAAGCCATCTGAGCTCCCCGGGGAGGGGCAGCAACCATCTCTACAGCTCCTGGCAGGCTTGGTTCCAAGAAGTGTCCCCCACAGCCCAACACACCGGCTGTGCCAGACTACAGCTACAGCACCTCTTCAGGCCTGACTCTGACCCATCCCTCCTCATTTTGTGGGGCCACCCTGCAGGAACTCCAACTCCAGCCAGGGGCTCAGGGACAGAACTCTGATCTCCCTGGGCCTGAGTCCCTAAGGGGAGAAGTGATTGCAGTCTCTGTGGGAACAGCAGACTTAGCTTTTCCTCCTGTTAGTTCTAAGGAATCCAAGCAGCCCAGAGGAGTGGTTTTAACTTCAGTGAAGCATACCCCCTCCACCAAGGGACAATAAAAGTGCTTCATTAAATGGGTTCTGTTCCTCGTGTCACCCAATGGGTGAAATACTCCAACTGGGGTTGTCAGACACTCTATACAGGAGTGTTCCTACTGGCATCAGATTGTTGTTCCTTGAGGTCAGGCAGCCCAGAGGAAGGAGAAGGCAACCATCTTTGCTGTTCTCCAGCCTCCTTGAGTATTATCTCCAGGTGCAGGAGTGAACCACGTAAATAGGGCCTGAAGTGAACCCCCAGCAAATCACAGCAACCATACAGAAGAGGGACCTGACCACTGAAAAAAAACAAACAGAAATGAACAACAGCAATAAAAAAGTCCCCACACTAACCTCATCCAAGAGTCAGCAGCCTCAAAGATCAAAACTAGACAAACTCATGAAGATGAGAAAGAATTAATGAAAAAAACGCTGAAGCCAGGTGTGGTGGCTCATGCCTGTAATCCCAGCACTTTGGGAGGCTGAGGCGGGCAGATCATGAGGTCAAGAAATCGAGACCATCCTGGCTAACACGGTGAAACCCTGTCTCTACTAAAAATACAAAAAATTAGCCGGGCATGGTAGTCCGCACCTGTAGTCCCAGTTACTTGGGAGGCCGAGGCAGAAGAATGACGTGAACCTGGGAGGCAGAGCTTGCAGTGAGCTGAGATCGCGCCACTGCACTCCAGCCTGGGCAACAGAGCAAGACTCCGTCTCAAAAAAAAAAGAAAAAAGAAAAAGACACTGAAAACCCAAAAGGCAAGAGTGCCTCTTCTCCAAATGATTGCAATGCCTCTCCAGCAAGGGTGCAGAACTGGATGGAGAATAAGATAGACAAATTGACAGAAGTAGGCTTCAGAAGATGGGTGATAACAAACTCCACTGAGCTAAAGGAGCATGTTCTAACCAAATGCAAAAAACCTAAGAACCTTGATAAAAAGTTAGAGAGAGGAGCTGCTAACTAGAATAACCAGTTAGACAGAGTCTCACTCTGTCGCCCAGGCTGGAGTGCAGTGGCGCGATCTTGGCTCACTGCAACCTCCGCCTCCTGGGTTCAAGCGATTCTGCTGTCTCAGCCTCTGGAGTAGCTGGGATTACAGGCGCGTGCCACCATGACCAGCTAATTTTTCTACGTTTAGTAGAGATAGGGTTTCATCTTGTTGGCCAGGTTGGTTTCGAACTCTTGACCTCAGATGATCCCCCTGCCTTGGCTTCCCAAAGTGCTGGGATTACAGGCGTGAGCCACTGTGCCCAGTCCTATTTTGTTAATTTTTTCAAAAAACAGCTCCTGAATTCACTGATTTTTTTTTTTTGGAGGGTTTTTCATTTCTCGGCTGGGCACGGTGGCTCACGCCTGTAATCCCAGCACTTTGGGAGGCCAAGGCGGGTGAATCACAAGGTCAGGAGTTCAAGACCAGCCTGGCCAACATGGTGAAACACTATCTCTACTAAAAATCCAAAATTTAGCTGGGTGTGGTGGCTCACGCCTGCAGTCTCAGCTACTCAGGAGGCTGAGGCAGAAGAATTGCTTGAACCCGGGAGGCGGAGGTTGCAGTGAGCCGAGATAATGCCACTATACTCCAACCTGGATGACAGAGTGAGACTCTGTCTCAAAAAAATAAAAATAAAAGCAAAAACAAAACAAAACTGGCAAACCAAATCCAGCAGCACATCAAAAAACATCCACCAGGTCGGGCGCGGTAGCTCACGCCTGTAATCCGCCACTTTGGGAGGCCGAGGCGGGCAGATCACGTGAGAACAGGAGTTCGAGACCAGCCTGACCAACATGGAGAAACCCCGTCTCTACTAAAAGTACAAAAAATTAGCCAGGCGTGGTGGTGCATGCCTATAATCCCAGCTACTAGAGAGGCTGAGGCAGGAGAATCACTTGAACCCAGGAGGCAGAGGTTGCAGTGAGCCGAGATCACGCCACTGCACTGGACAACAAGTGCGAAACTCTGTCTCAAAACAAAACAAAACAAAAAAACTGATCCACAACAATCAAGTCGGCTTCATCCCTGGGATGCAGGGCTGGTTCAACATATGCAAATCAATAAACGTAATTCATGACATAAACAGAACTAAAGACAAAAACCACATGATTATCTCAATAGATGCAGAAAAGGCCTTTGATAAAATTCAACTTTCTTTCATGTTAAGAACTCTCAATAAACCAGGTGTTGATGGAACATATCTCAAAATAGTAAGTGTGTTTATGACAAACCCACAGTCAATGTCATATTGAATGGGAAAATGCTGGAAGCATTCTCTGAAAACCAGTACAAGACAAGGATGCCCTTTCTCACCATTCTTATTGAACATAGTATTGAAAGTTATGGCCAGGGCAATCAGGTAAGGGAAAGAAATTAAGAGTATTCAAATAAAAAAACAGGAAGTCAAATTGTCTCTGTTTGCAGATGACATTATTCTATATTTAGAAAATTCTGTCATCTCAGCCCAAAAACTCCGTAAGCTGATAAGTGACTTCAGCAAAGTCTCAGGATACAAAATCAATGTGCAAAAATCACATGCATTCCTATAAGCCAACAACAGACCATCAGAGAGCCAAATCGTAAATAAACATCACAATTGCTACAAAAAGTAAAATATATAAAAATACAGCTAACAGGGAATATGAAGGACCTCTTCAAGGAAAACTACAAACCACTCCTCAAGGAAGTAAGAGAGCACACAATCAAATGGAAAAACATCCCATCCTTATGGATAGAAGGAATCAACATCATGAAAATGGCCATACTGCCCAAAGTAATTTATGGACTCAATGTTATTCCCATCAAACTACCATTAACATTCTTCACAGAATTAGAAAAAACAATGACTTTAAATTTCATATGGAACCAAAAAAGAGCCCATATAGCCAAGACAATCCTAAGCAAAAAGAACAAAGATAGAGGCATCACACTACCTGACTTCAAGCTATACTACAAGACTACAATAACCAAAACAACATGGTACTGGTCCAAAAACAGACATACAGACCAATGGAGCAGAAAAGAGACCTCAGAAATAACACCACACATCTACAACCATCTGATATTCAACAAACGTGACAAAAACAAGCAATGGGGAAAGGATTTTCTGTTCAATAAATGGTCCTGAGAAAACCGGCTAGCCATATGCAGAAAACTGAAACTGGACCTCTTCCTTACATCTTATACAAAAATTTACTCAAGATGGATTAAAGACATAAATGTAAAGCCCAAAACCAGAAAAACCCTAGAAGAAAACCTAGGCAATACCACTCAGGACATAGGCATGGGCAAAGACTTCATGACGAAAACGCCAAAAGCAATTGCAACAAAAGCCAAAATTGAAGAATAAGATGTAATTAAACTAAAGAGATTCTACACAGAAAAAGAAACTATCATGAGAGTGAACCAGCAACCTACAGAATAGGAGAAAATTTTTGCAATCTACCCATCTCACAAAGGTCTAATATCCAGAATTTACAAGAAACTTTAAAAAATTTACAAGAAAAAAACAAACAATTCCATCAAAAACTGGGCAAAAGCTGGAAGTGGTGGCTCACACCTGTCATCCCACCACTTTCGGAGGCCGAGATGGGTAGATCATTTAAGGCCAGGAGTTCTAGACCAGCCTGGCCAATATGGTGAGACCCCGCCTCTACTAAAAATACAATAATTAGCTGGGCATGGTAGTGGATGTCTGTAGTCCCAGCTACTCAGGAGGCTGAGGCAGAAGAATGGCTTGAACCCAGGAGGTAGAGGTTGCAGTGAGCAGAGATTGCGCCACTGCACTCCAGCCTGGGAGACAGAACGAGACTCTATCTCACAAAAAAAAAAAAAAAAAAAAAAAAGTGGGCAAAAGATGAACAAACACTTCTAAGAAGGCATTTATGCAGCCAACAAATATATGAAAAGATGCTCAATACCACTGATCATTAGAGAAATACAAATCAAAACCACAATGAGATACCATCTCACACCAGTCAGAATGGTAATTATTAAAAAGTCAGAAACAATAGATGCTGGTGAGGCTGTGAAGAAACAGAAACACTTTTACACTGTTAGTGAGAATGTATTAGTTCAACCATCGTGGAAGACAGTGTGGTGATTCCTCAAGGATCTAGAACCAGAAATATCATTTGACCCAGCAATCCCATTACTGGGTATATACTCAAAGAAATATAAATCATTCTACTATAAAGACACATGCACACGTATGTTTACTGTAGCACTAATTACAATGGCAAAGACATGGAACCAACCCAAATGCCCATCAATGACAGACTTGACAAATAAAATATGGTACATACACACCATGGAATACTATGCAGCCATACAAAGAAATGAGATCACGTCCTTTGCAGGAACATGGATTAAGCTGGAAGTCATCATCCTCAGCAAACTAACACAGGGATAGAAAACCAAAAACCGCATGTTCTCATTCATAAGTGGTAGTTGAACAATGAGAACACATGGACACAGGGAGGGGAATAACACAAACCAGGGCCTGTTGTGAAGTGGGGGCAAGGGGAGGGCACCTAGAAGGGTCAGTACATGCAGCAAACCACCATGCCACACATATACGTATGTAATAAACCTGCACATTAACTAAGCACTGCCTCTCAAGCTTTAATGAGCTTATAAATCACTTGGTAATGTTGGTCTCACTCTATGTAATGTGATTCTGCAGGTATGGAAAGGGTCCATGAGTGGGTGTTTTAAATAAGTCCCGTCAAGGCTGATGTTGCTCCCCCTAGGCTCATTATTAGCATTAGTTAGAGAGCAGGCACAGCACAGAGTCTCTTACACTTGGCACTCTTGTCACAACACAATTACTTCTGAAACAAATGACAACCAACCTCCATCTTAAAGTATCATAATCTTTGTTGGCTTTTTAAAGTTTACACAGAAAACAGAAAGTAGCAATATCTGACTGAGTCTGCATTTATTTTTATTTTTATTTTTATTTATTTACTTATTGAGTCTCGCTCTGTTGCCCAGGCTAGAGTGCAGTGGCGAGATCTGCACTTACTGCAACCTCTGCCTCCCAGGTTCAAGCTGTTCTTCTGTCTCAGCCTTCCGAGTAGCTGGAACTACAGGCATGCGCCACCATGCCTGGCTAATTTTTTTTGTAGAGCCAGGATCTCACCATGTTGGTCAGGCTGGTCTCAAACTCCTGACCTCAAATGATCTGCCCATCTCAGACTCCCAAAGCGCTGGGATTATAGGTGTGAGCCACCGCACCCAGCCCTTGCTTTTGCATTGTAAGTACTTCAGCCTGCAAATAATTACCTTGGATAATCAAGTTTCTGTCAAAGGAACTTACTCTGTATCTTTTAGTCTTTATCATTCTGTATTGTTAAATTTAATTCTACCTTTGTGTCCAACTTTCATGTGCTCTTAAAATGAGCTTTACTCTGAACAAATCTGTGCGTACTTTTAATGACCGAAAATTAAAAAAATAAATCTTTGCCAAAGCAAAAACAAAGCTATGAATCTCAGGTTACAAATAAAGACAATTCTGAGTCAAAAAGAATGATAAAAGGTTTACTTAGCTGTTAATATAATTTACATATATTTCAAAAAAGCAGAGAAAAATATCTACATATAATCTAAATGCGTTAATAAAACAGAGATAAACAAAATATCCTCCCTTATTTTCACATATGTGAATAAAGCCTCTTATTTTTAATTTGCATTTTCTCCTAAAACAACCAGGTCACTGGACATGTTCTTGAACTCTTGGACATCTGAATTGTGAACTTGAAAGAATGTTTATGGTAAAAACGCAGAAGAGAGAAAGGTGTTATAATAAATTGATGGGTGCACACAAATAAATCAAGTTGTTAGAGACCGATGAAGAGAATGAGATACTGACACAATAATAGTGGGAGACTACAACACCCATGGGCACTAATAGACACATTATTGAGGCAGAAAATTAACAAAGATATTAAGACCTAAACTCAACACCTGACTAAACAGTCTTAATAGATTTCTACAGAACTCTCCATCTAAAAAGAACATAGTATACAGTCTTCTCATCATTACGTGGCACATACTCTAAAATTGACCACACAGTCAGAAGCAAAACAATCCTCAACAAATTTAAAAATTCCAAAATTATATGAACCACACACAGAGGCCACAGCTTGATAAAAAAGTAATTCAATACAAAGAAAATCACTTGAATTATACAAGTACATGGAAATTAAACAACCTGCACTTGAATTACTTTTGGGTAAATAATGAAATTAAGGCAAGAACCAAGAAGTTCTTTGAAAAAAATGAGAACAAAGATACAACATACCTGAATTTTTGCAACACAGCTAAGGCAGTGTTAGGAGAAAAATTTATGGCATGAAATGCTTACATTGAAAAGTTAGACTTCAGTTTAACAACCTGACATCATAAGTAAAAGGCTGAGAGAAGCAAGAGCCAATCAACCCCTAAGCTAGCAGAAGACAAGAAATAACCAAAATCATTTCTGAACGGAAGGAGATTTTCACATGAAAAACTATACAAAAGATCAAGAATTGCAGGAGTAAAATCTTAAAAAAAAAAAAAAAGATAAATTCTCAACAAAATATTGGCAAACCAAATTGGGCAGGACATCAAAAACCTAACCGACTATGATCGAGTAGGGTTTATTTTTGGGATGCAAGGTTAATTCAACATACACGAGGTGGGGCGCAGTGGCTCACACCTGTAATCCCAGCACTTTGGGAGGCCGAGGCGGGAGTATCACGAGGTCAGGAGATCGAGACTATCCTGGCTAACATGGTGAAACCTCGTCTCTACTAAAAATACAAAAAAATTAGCCAGGCGTGGTGGCGGGTGCCTGTAATCCCACCTACTCAGGAGGCTGAGGCAGGAAAATGGAGTGAACCCACGAGGCGGAGCTTGCAGTGAGCCGAGATTGCACCACTGCACTCCAGCCTGGGTGACAGAGCGAGACTCCGTCTCAAAAAAATAAAAAATAAAAATAAAAATAAAAAAAAATAATAATAATGAGTTATCCATCACAAACCCACAGACAACATACTGAATACACATAACCTGGAATCATTTTTCTTTGAAAACTGGGACAAGACAAGGATGCCCCTCCTCTCAACACTCCTATTCAACATAAAACTGGAAGTCCTGGCCAGAGCAATTAGGCAAGATAAAAAAATAAAAGGCATACAAACAGGAAGAGAGGATGTCAAAACCTATTTCTGTTTACAGATGACATAATGCCGTACCTGAAAAACCCTATAATCTCGGCAGAAAAGCTTTTCAAACTGACAACTTCAGTAAAATTTCAGAATACAAAATAAATGTACAAAAATTAGTAGCATCCCTGTAAATCAAAAACATGCACGCCAAAAGCCAAATGAAAAACGGAATCCAATTCACAATCACTACAAAAAGAATAAAATATCTAGGACTATAGCTAACCAGGGAGGTCAAAGATCTTTATGACAACACTGTGAAAACACTGCTTAAGGAAGTCAGAGATGGGCCAGGTGCGGTGGCTCACACCTGTAATCCCAGCACTTTGGGAGGCCGAGACAGGCAGATCACCTGAGGTTGAGAGTTCAAGACCAGCCTGAACAACATGGAGAAACCCCGTCTCTACTAAAAACACAAAATTAGCCAGGGTGGTGGCGCATGCCTGTAATCTCAGCTACTCAGGAGGCTGAGGCAGGAGAATCGCTTGAACCCGGGAGGCAGAGGTTGTGGTGAGCAGAGATGGTGCCATTGCACTCCAACCTGGGCAAAAAGAGCAAAACTCCGTCTCAAAAAAAAAAAAAAAAAAAAAAAGTCAGAGATGACACAAACAAATGGAAAACCATTTTATGCTCATGGATAGAAAAGATCAATATTGGCCAGGCAAAGTGGCTCACACCCATAATCCCAACACTTTGGGAGGCTGAAGCGGCTGGATCACAAGGTCAGGAGTTCAAGACCAGCCTGCCAACATGGTGAAACCCTATCTCTACTAAAAATACAAAAATTAGCCGGGCGTGGTGGCAGGCATCTGTAATCTCAGCTACTCGGGAAGCTGAGGCAGAGAACTGCTTGAACCCGAGAAGGAGAAGTTACAGTGAACCAAAATCATGCCACTGCACTCTAGCCTGGGTGAAGAGCAAGACTCCATCTCAAAAAAAAAAAAAAAAAAAAAAAAGAAAGCAAGCAAGAAAGAAAAGATCAATATTATTAAAATGGTCATACTGTCAAAAAATTAGATTTGCTATTTTTATCAAACTACCAAAAACATTTCTTAACAGAACTAAAAAAACAAAACAAAACAAAAAAACTTTTAAAACTTATATGGTACCAAGAAAGGGCCCAAATAGCCAAGCCAATCATAAGCGAAAAGAACAAAGCTGAAGTCATTACATTACCTGAATTCAAACTATACTACAGGGTACAGTAAACAAAGCAACATGGTACTGGTACAAAAACAAACTCACAGACCAATACAACAGAATAGAGAGCCCATAATAATACCACACACCTACAACCATCTGGTCTTTGGCAAAGCTAACAAGAGGAATCTGGAAAGAATTCCCTATTTAACAAATGATACTGGAATAACTAGCTAGCACTATGTAGAAGATTGAAACTGAACCCCTTCATTACACCATATACAAAAATCAACTAAAGATAAATTAAATATTTAAATGTAAAACTTCAAATTATATATTTAAAAAGATCCATGAAATACCATTCTAGACACAGAAGCCGGCAAAAATTTTAAAATAAAGATACCAGAAGCAATTGCAACAAAAGTACTAATTGACAAATGGAACCTAATTAAGCTAAAAAGCTTCTTCACAGCAAAGGAAACCATCAACACAGTAAACAAACAACACACAGAATAAAAGAAAATATTTGCAAACTATGCTTTTGACAAAGGTCCAATATCCATAATTTATAAGAAACTTAAACAAGTTTACAGAAAAAAGAAAGGCCTCACTAAATGGTAGACAAAAAACATGAAAAAGATTTTTTTTTCAAAGAAGACACACATGTGGCTAACAAGCATATAAAAAATGCTCATCACTAATCATTAGAGAAATTCAAAGAAAAACCATAATGAAATATCATCTCACACCAGTGAGAATGGCTAGTATTAGTCAAAAGGTAACAGATGCTGGCAAGGTTACAGGAATGCTTATACCAGTGGGAGTGTAAATTAGTTCATTATAAAAAGCAGTGTGACGATTCCTCACAGAACTAAAACAGAATTACCTGTTGACCCAGCAACCTCAAAATCGGGCATATACCCAGTAAAATACAAATTATTCTATTATAAAGACATACGCATGTTCATTGCAGTACTATTCACAATAGCAAAGACATGGAATCAACCTAACTGCTTCTCAACTGTATACTGGATAAAGAAAATATGGTATGGCTGGCCATGATGGCTCACACCTGTAATCTCAGCACTTTGGGAGGCCAAGGCAGGTAAACTGCCTGAGCTCAAAAGTTTGAGGCCACCCAGCGGAACATGGCAAGACCCCATCTCTACAAAAAATACAAAAAAAAAAAAAAAATTAGCCAGGTCTGGTGGTGTGTGCCTGCAGTCTCAGCTATGTGGGGGGCTAAAGTAAAAGAAGATTGCTTGAGCCTGGGAGGTTGAGGCTGCAGTGAGCTGAGATCATGCCACTGCACTCCAGTCTGGACAACATAGTGAGAACCTGTCTTCAAAAATAAAATAAAATAAAAGGCTTAGGCCAGGCACAGTGGCTCACGCCTGTAATCCCAGCACTTTGGTAGGCCAAGACAGGTGGATCACAAGGTCAGGAGTTCGAGACCAGCTTGACCAACATGGTGAAACCCCGTTCCTACTTAAAAAAAAAAAAAAAAAAACTACAGACACACACACACACACACACACACACACACACACACACTTAGCTGGGCGTGGTGGCAGGTGCCTGTAGTCCCAGCTACTCGGGAGGCTGAGGCAGGAGAACAGCTTGAACCCGGGAGGCAGAAGTTGCAGTGAGCCAAAACCGTGTCACTGCACTCCAGCCTGGGCAACAGAGCAAGACTCCGTCTCAAAAAAACAAAACAAAACAAAAAAATTTAAGAAAAATAAAGTATGGGCCAGGCGTGGTGGCTCACACCTGTAACCCCAGCACTTTGGGAGGCCAAGGCGGACAGATCATGAGGTCAGGAGATCGAGACCATCTGGGCTAACACGGTGAAACCCCGTCTCTACGAAAAATACAAAAAATTAGCCGGGCGTGGTGGTGGGCATCTGTAGTCCCAGCTACTGGGGAGGCTGAGGCAGGAGAATGGCGTGAACCCGGGAGGCGGAGCTTGCAGTAACCGAGATCGCGCCACTGCACTCCAGCCTGCGTGACAGAGCAAGACTCCGTCTCAACAACAACAACAAAAAAGTATGGTGTCCGGGTGCAGTGGCTCACGCCTGTAATCCCAGCACTTTGGGAGGCTGAGGCGGGTGGATCACCTGAGGTCAGGAGTTCAAGACCCTGTCTCTACTAAAAATATAAAAATTAGCCAGGCCTGGTGGTGCACACCTGTAATCCCAGCTACTTGGAGGCTGAGGCAGAAGAATCGCTTGAACCCAGGAGGCGAAGGTTGCAGTGAGCCAAGATCGTGCCACTGCACTCCAGCCTGGGAGACAAGAGAGAAGCTCCATCTCAAATAAATAAAATATGGTACATAAATTATCATAAAATAGTGTGTGGCCGTTAAAACATGCACACACACACATACACACACACACACACAGATCATGTCCTTTGAAGCAACGTGGATTAAGCTGGAGACCATTACTCTTAGAAAACTAACACAGCAGCAGAAAACCAAATGCATGTTATTTCTAAGTAATAGCTGAGGCTGGGCACAGTGGCTCACGCCTGTAATCCCAACACTTTGGGAAGCCAAGGCAGGCAGATCACCTGAGGTCAGGAGTTCCAGACCAGCCTGACCAACATGGAGAAACCCCATCTCTATTAAAAATACAAAATTAGCCAGGCGTGGTGGCACATGCCTGTAATTCCAGCTACTTGGGAGGCTAAGGCAGAAGAATTACTTGAACCCAGGAAGCGGAGGTTGCGGTGAGCCAAGATCGCGCCATCGCACTCCAGCTTGGGCAATAAGAGCAAAACTCCATCTCAAAAAAAAAAAAAAAAAAAAAAAAAAAATTAAGTAAGAGCTGAATAATAAGAACACATAAAAACAAAGAGGGAACAACAGACACTGAGGCGTAGTTGAGGTTAGAGGACAAAGAGGATCAGAAAAAGTACCTGCTTGGTGCTATGCTTAGTACCTCAGTGACAAAATAATCTGCACACCAAACCCCCATGACACAATTTTAGCTGTATAACAAACCTGCATGTGTACCCCTGAACCAAAAATAAAAGTTAAAAAGAATAAAAATCTATGAGTGGGAAACAGTGCAATGCAGGTGGAAGAACTGGTTTGTGCTACAGATAGCGGCTCAGGTAGAGGTATACTCTGATGGATTTTTGTGTTTATGCAAGCAGATGAGATTATGAACAGGTGGTCCAGAACCCTCAGTTGGTGGGGAAAACAGTTTGCTGTTGCAGATTCAGTGTCTGGGGGTTGGGATATGCCAGGAGACTTGTAGACACTTTTGTAGGTTTTTGCCAGGAAACACTAGAATCAAAAATGCTGTTGTAAAATTTCTCAGCATGGTGCCTAGTCCTGGGAGAGGTCTGGACACATTAATATCTAGTGGGTATGCTCGTGAGTGAGAGGGAATCCTGTGGTTACAGCTGTGGGAAAAGGGGGTCTGCTGTCAGAGTTTCTTTACTCTAAGTTTGGATCCTCTCTCATCCTGGGAGACCTGGAATCACAGGACAATGGGCAGTGTGACAGCCTGTGTACAGGAGAGTAGAGCCTCCCATTCCCAGACACCCAGAGTTTTATTCCAGGCCAGGCCTCTGTGGTATCTTTTTTCTTGTACCAAATCTGTAGAGTTTGCTGAACATCAAGACATTCTCCAACACCAACTCATTGTCTAACATTTGAATTTGAATTCTGACACCACCCAGAGTCAGCACAGACCCTGATTCAGGGCTCATTTTCACAATATTGTCCTAATTGCAGATGCCAGTCACAAACCCCATAGGCCCATCTATGCTTCTGAGCTACTGTTTAAAAATTATGGACTCCTGTAACCTCCCTCAAGTTTCATAATTTGATAGAGCTACTCGCAGAACTCAGCAAAACACTGTAGTTACATTTACCAGCTTATAAAAAATATAACCCCCAAAAGAGTCAAATGTAAGAAATGTATAAGACAAAGAAAAAAAATGGGGAAAGATGAAGCACATAGATAATCCTGGTAAATAGCTGTGATTAATAAAATTCTCTATCCTTTGTGTTCTCCAGAAACAGTTTATGGAAAGAAACATGCTTTCCATTATGACTTAGTTGGTGCTCTTTTTTCTTACCTATCACATAGCCAAACAAAGACTGTGCACATTTTCTTCTTCTTCTAATTTTAAAAAATCAGCTGGCTGGGAGCAGTGGCTCACGCCTGTAATCCCAGAACTTTGAGAGGCTGAGGCAGGTGGATCACCTGAGGTCAGGAGTTCGAGAGCAGCCTGGCCAACGTGGTGAAACCCCGCCTCTACTAAAAATACTAAAAAAATTAGCCAGGCATTTTGGTAGGTGCCTGTAATCCCAGCTTCTTGGGAGGCTGAGGCAGGAGAATCGCTTGAACCCAGGACGCAGAGGTTGCAGTGAGTGATCGCACCACTGCACCGCAGCCTGGGTGACAGAGCAAGACTCTGCCTCAAAAAAAAGCTGAATTTTTCTTCAGTGGTCAAAATAAAATACTTTTTAATCAAACTTCACTTAAGTTTATCTCCGCCCCATAGGCTCCTTAACATTCAGCTACACTCAATCTGAGTCGAAATACAACCGCATTTTATGTCCTTCCTAAGGACATGCTGAGTTCGAGGTAAAACATTAATCTAGAATCTAACTTTTTCACCCTCCATTTGCCATTTCCCTCCCACTTTCGTTCTAATCTTGTTTGTTCCTTCCTTGTCTGCCTGAACTTGCAATTTTTAAAGATCTTATAGTAGGCATTTCTTTCTGTTACAATACTCCTTTGGAATTCAATTTTTACATTAATCTAACTTTGGTTTATTTTAAATAGTCTAGAAACTGCTTCAAAACAATAACTTCATCTTCACAAGAATCCTGCCAGTTCTTTTCCTTCTTAACCTTAACTGCATCTCTCTGTGGGGCCCCAGTTTTCCAGGGCTCTGTAGCTTCTCTCACTATAAAGGTTTCTTCCATGGCTGGGGGTGAGCAGGCTGGGACATCTGCGAGAGAGGCTCTTCAGAAAAAAACTAATTGGGCCGTTAATAACCTTCTTTTGTAGGCTCAATATTAATTAGCCTTAGCTTGGAGTCACTAGGCTCATGCTTTGATTTCCATTGTCAGAGTTACTAACTTGGTTTTCAAAATTACGTGTGTGAAAAATTCAGCAACATTACTTAAACACAATGTTCATATAAGGGGATGAAATTATAAGGCGCTTTAATTTTATACCTCAATAAGAAAAGCAAAAGTATCAATTCCTTTCAGACAATACATGTCTTATTATTTCCATTAAAAATCATGTAGTAAACAATTAGTCATATGGGACCATTTCTAGGAGGTACCAAGTTTTATCTCATAAAATTAAGCATGAAACTCAGAAGTCAAGATAACAGGATACAGAACAGAGATATTCACTGTCACAAATTTACCCTGCAATAAAATGAAGTGATATTAGATGTGTAGGCTGGGCACGGTGGCTCAGCCTGTAGTCCCAGCACTTTGGGAGAACGAGGCAGGCAGATCACCAGGTCAGGAGTTCGAGACCAACCAGGCCAACATGGTGAAACCCTGTCTCCACTAAAAATACCAAAAAAAAAAATTAGCTGGGTGTGGTGGTGCATGCCTGTAGTCCCAGCTACTCGGGAGGCTGAGGCAAGAGAATCACTTGAACGTGGGAGGCGGAGGTTGCAGTGAACCAAGATCGCGCCACTGCACTCCAGCCTGGGTGACAGAGCTAGACTCCGTCTCAAAAAGAAAAAAAGAAAGAAAACAGATGTGTCTGACTCATGGGTCAATTCAGATCATCCAACCACTTGAGAGATTCTCCCACTCCAACCTGCTCACTTAAGTGCTCAGTGACCACTCTCTTAGGAGACAGTGCACTATGCTCAAGTGAGTGCCCCAAGTGTATTTTACTTTGCAAGTTTTTGTACTATCTCACTGAAGTCAGGTTTTTTTTCTTTCTTTTGTCTTTTGGGATACTATTTTTTCTTTCACAAATCTTAGAGCATTTAGGGGGCAGAAATTATTTCTGTTTTCCCCTCAATATCAGCATGTGATTGGTGGACCAGCAATCTGTCTCCAAGAAATGGAAGCTGGGTTGGGTGAAGACAATTGTAATGTCTCAAGGGGTTAGCTTTTCAAAGGAAGAGTACACCAAGAGATTCCATCTTTTCCCCAGGGTATCCACTGGGGAGGCTGCACTCCCTACCTCAGGTTGTCCTATGAAAGAAAACGACTTAGGAGCTGATATTCACTAGATACTCTAGCAGACATAGCCACAGCAGTTATCTTGGTTTATTCAGAGACAGTACTAAAACCCAGGAACAAGAAAAAACGACAGGGTTGCTGAGGACAAATCACTCCATAACGTTTGCAAAATAAAAACATCTTGACACTAAAACATTATCATAAGACCTTTGTGCCTAGGGAAGACAAAAGAAAAAGAGGCACAGAGACTTTTTACAATTCACTATCAGGGGATTATTCTTTGCTTTCTTCTCATGGGAAATACTTACAAACAGAAAACATATCTTTTTCTTTTTCTTTTTTTCAATTTTAAATAGTTTTATTTAAGACATTGCATTTTCCACTTACAATACAGTGTTTATAAAGTGCAATGCTATTTCCTTCCCCTGTGCATATGTTCCATATTCAAATACTGAGAATGCCCAGTAACTTACTATAGCAGCTTAACTTTTTAAACCTCCCACAGAATTTGCTACAAATTTAGGTCCTTCAAATGAGAAAACATCTTTTTCAATATGCCATCTAATGCTTTGTCAAAAAATGATTAATTAAAATACGGTATATAAAAGGTACACTAAAAAACAAATAATAAATAATGTAAATTAGGGAGAGGAAGTTGGCATTTGAGATTTTCAGAAGAAACTGAAAATTCAGTATTTTACTGCAAGCCAGAGTTAGGCTGCAGAAATGGGGTGTGGGGGGTTGCCTTGAGACCCTGCTTGGGACCCATGTGAAACATGCAAGGGAAAATCAGTCCCACGTGGCGGCAAATAGACTGAGGTGGCTCCAATCCCTGGATTCCTAATTTTAAAAAATCTAACTCAAATGCATTTTTTTAATAGAAATTACTACATTGGGGGAAACAAAATTCAGGCTTAAAAAATGATAAACTGCCAAGTAAGTTCTGATTACACAACCAGGAAATTTCTAGGCTTAAAGTGAAAATTAAGAAACTACGTAAATGTACCTAACCGATTACTGAATTTGGGTATTTTCATCATGCATCTTTCCTTCAAGATCTTTTCATGGCCCACAAACTACAACCCATAGCTGGGAGCTCTACAATTTTTGAACCGCTCCTTGTTTAAATTCTTAAGTACTGTCGCGATAATTCCCATACATTTTTAATAGGCGAAAAGAGGAACTAGGAACCCCATAAACCAAACAAAAGCTCTTTCCATTCATGAACCCTCACCCCCAGCACCCCGAGTCAGGATTCTGCCGACGACCCTCTCGTGGTCCCTGCACAATCTGGGAGAGACGCGGCACTGCGCGTGCAGAGCTGCCCAGAGAGGGCTCCAGCTCAGGGCACAGTCACTGGGCAGGGAAGAGACAGGACGCCCGGAGCCTGGCTGTCAGCGCAGCCGCCATCTTATCGCTGAAGGGGACTGAGGCCGAGCTAGGCAAGGAGAACTAGGGGCACGGATTGTGGAGCTGACAGCGGGGAGGCCTGAGTCCCGCCACAGCCTCTTCCCACCGGTTCCAACCAGCCCCTTCTCCTCTCTAGGGATGTCGGACTCGGCACTCTCACCATTTCTAGGCTTCCAAGGGGTCCTGGCATCTTAGCTGTGGATTCCCAATACCTGCAGGTCACAGGGCCACAGAGGCTGGGCCTCTACGAGCAGAGGACACAGAAGGGCGAAGACGAGACCAGGAACTCCGGCTGCAGCGAGAGACAAAGACCCCGCCACATCCCGGAAGCCGCCCTTTCCGCTCCAACCGCGTGCCTGATTGGACAGTTCCCAGGCCAGCGTCTCTGACTTGTTAACGTTTAAGATCCCTCGCCCTCACGCCCTGAGTGACAGAAGATGTGACCAAATGCTGGGCTGAATGAAGAAAGACTGACAGCCGAAGGTGCCCCCTTTTCAGGCAGGGCTTCCTCCCTGAGGTGAGCTAAGCCCACCCAGAGGGTGTTTGCCTTAAACCTTGTATATAAGGTCTCATGTATTTGTAAATAATATACTATACGGCTGCTCACACATGGAAAGAATAGAATAACAATTATTTTTAAATTTCTGCTTTTTTTTTTTTTTTGAGACGGAATCTCGCTGTGTCGCCCAGGCTGGAGTGCAGTGGCACGACCTCAGCTCACTGCAACCTCCGCCTCTCGGGTTCAAGCGATTCTTCTGCCTCAGCCTCCCGAGTAGCTGAAATTACAGGCGCGCGCCACCACGCCCTGCTAATTTTTGTATTTTTAGTAGAGACGGGGTTTTCACCATGTTGGTCAGGGTGGTCTACGATCTCCTGACCTCATGATCCGCCCGCCTCGGTCTCCCAAAGTGCTGGGATTACAGGCGTGAGCCACCGCACCTAGCCTGAATTTCGGCTTTTATAACCTTCCTGGCTCTGGTCCTTTGAACAGGCAGCCTGAGATAGTTTTTGTTTTGTGTTAAGATGGAGTCTTGCTCTGTCGCCCAGGCTGGAGTGCAATGGCGCGATCTTGGCTCACTGTAACCTCTGCCTCCCGGGTTCCAGTGATTTTCCTGCCTCAGCCTCCCGAGTAGCTGGAATTACAGTCATGCGCCACCATGCCCGGCTAATTTTTTTGTATTTTTATTAGAGACCAGGTTTCACCATGTTGGCCAGGCTGAACTCCCAGGTGATCCGCCCGCTTTGGCCTCGCAAAGTGCTGGGATTACAGGCGTGAGCCACCGCGCCCAACTAACCTGAGGTTTTTAAAAGGACACAATCCTTCTAAGTAAAATGTGAGCCACATGTGAATTTTAAATTTCCTACTAGCCAAACTTTAAAAACAAGGAACACACGGGGCACGGTGGCTCACGCCTGTAATTCCAGCACTTTGGGAGGCGAAAGCGGGCGGATCCCGAGGTCAGGTGTTCGAGATCAGCCTGCCCAACATGGTGAAACTCCGTCTCTACTAAAAATACAAAAATTAGCGTGGTGTGGTGGCGGGCCCCTGTAATCCCAGCTACTCGGGAGGCTGAGGCGGGAGAATGGTTTGAACCTGGGAGGCAGAGGTCACAGCAAGCTGAGACTGTACCACTGTACTCCAGCCTGCACGACAGAGTGAGACTGTCTCAATGAAATAAAAATAAAAATACTTTGGCCGGGCGCGGTGGCTCACACCTGTAGTCCCAGCACTTTGGGAGGCTGAGGCGGATGGATCATGAGGTCAGAACATTGAGACCATCCTGGCCAACATGGTGAAACCGCGTCTCTACTAAAAATACAAAAATTATCTGTGCGTGGTGGTGTGTGCCTGTAATCCCAGCTACTCAGGACGCCGAGGCAGGGGAATCGATTGAACAAGGGAGTTGGAGGTTGCAGTGAGCCAAGATCGCGCCACTGCACTCCAGCCTGGGCGACAGAGTGAGACTCCATCTCAGAAAAAAAATAAAAAATAAAAACGCTTTTTGATACGTGTGGGCTATTTATGATTTTCAACACTGATTAAAAGTACTGTGCCTGAACCAACCTCTTACCTTAAAATCAAATGACTATAGACAGACCTGCTAGGAAGACATTTCATTTCTTTCTTACTTTTTTTTTTTATTTTTTTAGAGTCTGGCTCTGTTGCTCAGACTGGAGTGCAGTGGCGTGATCTCGGCTCACTGCCACCTCAACCTCCTGGCTTGAAGCCATTCTGGTGTCTCAGCATCTCGAGTAGCTGAGAATTCGGGCGTGCGCCACCATGCCCAGCTGATTTTTCTATTTTTATTAGAGATGGGGTTTTGCCATGTTTGCAAGGCTGGTCTCAAACTCCTGAACTCAGGTGATCCGCCCACCTCGGCCTCCCAAAGTGCTGGGATTACAGGCATGAGCCACCCCGCCTGGCCTGTATTTTGATTTTTAAAATAGCAGAGCTGCTGTTGAAGATTTCAAAGTCAGAAGCAGCCGTGGGACAAATCTCAGAAGCACACGTGGAAATCACACACAGTGAATGCATCCCTCACCCTGAACCAATTGTTTTCACCCAAGTCTGCATGTAAAAATCACCTGGGGGGGTCTTTAAAAATCCCCCAAACATAAGTTGCCACACCCCAATTAAATCAGGATTCCTGGAGTGGAAACTGGGCAACAGTTTAGTTTAATTATCTCTAGGTGATGACAGTACAGCCAAGCTCAAATGCCTCTGCTGTAAACCAACACTTTTAGTGACCTAGTTGCAAATTATTTCTCAAATGAATGAAAAAATGTTTGTCCCTAAGTCATGGCCTTTCAGTCTTACCAATATTACCAAATTATTGTTCTTTGCAGAACCAACTTTACTATTGGTTTTGTTCCTGAATCAACCCAGTTCCATACACATTGAATGCACTCTATGTGCAAGGCACTGTGCTAGGTGCCCTGGCATTGGTGATCATTACTGTGGGGGAAGAATTTTCTGGAATAAAGGTTGCATTCCCCCAAAATTAAAAACATGCCATGAACCGAACTGGGGCTAAAATAAAAAGACGTATGGTCTCATTTAAGAGTTAGGGCTTGTTCGGGTGCGGTGGCTCAAGGCTGTAATCCCAGCACTTTGGGAGGCCGAGGCAGGTGGCTCATGAGGTCAGGAAATCGAGACCATCCTGGCTAACACGGCGAACCCCTGTCTCTACTAAAAGTATAAAAAAATTAGCCGGGTGTGGTGGCACGTGCCTGTAGTCCCAGCTACTCAGGAGGCTGAGGCAGGAGAATCGCTTGAACCAGGGAGGTGGAGGCAGCAGTGAGCTGAGATTGCGCCATTGCACTCCAGCCTGGGCAACAAGAGCAAAACTCCGTCTCAAAAAAACACGTTGGAGTGGGGACTGTCAGAAGTTTGCACCTTATGCAAAGGACACAATGACATACCTAGTCCTGACTGGTTTGTCGCACCTTATGTAAATGAAGCACCTCTCCCGATCAGCTTGTTTATAAAATCTCTTGGGCTTTTCACTTTAAAATGGCAATCCTTTTTCCTGGGAGTCCTCTCTGTGCCAGAGAGCTTTCTTCCTTTCGCTTATTAAAATTCTGCTCTAACCTCACCTTTGGAGTGTCCGCACCCTTGATTTCATTGGCTCTGAGACCAAGAACTTCATGTGACATCCCAGATAATGAGGACAGATTCAGTGCCTTCTCAATAGTGTCCCACCAGTGACCCTCACAGCTAAAGCACACATGGGGCAGAAACATCAATCACCTGCCTGGGACGGCCAGGTGGGCAGGAGCAAGCAGGGACTCGGTGAGAAAACCAGAATGTGTGTTCAAGGGCAGGGGCCGAGGATTCAGCTGAGTTGGAAAATTCCGTTTCTCTTTCAGAATGTGCTCCTCTCCTGGTATCTGCTTATCTCCTGGAATCTGAGACACAACATAGAGCAACCCCCAGGCCAGCCATGACTGGAGCCTCCCAAGTTGCAGGGAAGGGCCCTGTACTAGGCCAAGAACCTATCCTGACCAGTTCACCCACCCTGTCCACCAGGTGCAGGCAGAGGCCAGGGACCCCAACTTCAGACAGAGGTAGGCAGCAGGGTCACCGCCTCCGGCAATCCCATGCCAGGGATTACAGGGTCCCTGGGGAGACCTAGCAGTGGCTGAGTTGAGAGATTCAGGCAGGGGGATCCCAGGTGAAAAAGTAAGGGACTGGGCATGTGTGGGGACTAAGAGGGAAGTGTGTGGCTGTCCCTGGAGAAGTGACAGCAAGGCACAGACAAGCTGAGTACCCAGATGCCACACCCAACTGTCAGGTACACAAGCCCCAGAATCCCCTAAGCAACCCCAGGAAGGGTTTTATTTAATCAAGAAAAAAGGAGTCCCACCTCCACTCACACAGGCACTGGTCCTTACATACATTAGAGAACAGAACTCTTGCTCTGCCCAAGGCCAGGGAAAGAGGGCAATGTCTCTCTATCCCGTGGGTCACAGACCTTGTCCTGCCAGAACACCCACCCTCAGCCCCAGAAAGGTACAGATGACAACCAGGGTGCACATGGCAACCACTGGTGCAACCCGAAAGGAGCTGAGTCCTGTAGGGACTTTGGGCCTGGGGAGTGCTTCCCAGTCACAGAGTCTTTCTAATTGTTTCACTCACTAGCTTTGCCCCTCAGTTTCCCCCACTGTGGCAAAAAGTCAAAATTCTATCCTGCAGGCTAGGGGACCCTGAGAGGTCACCACAGCCCATTAAATGCCTGCAGCATGTGAAAGTGGGGGGCAGTGAGAGGCCTCCCTGCCCTGGGTCTTTTGCCCTAGGACTGATTTTTATCAGGCCAAGGCCAGGCCAGCCTGCTGAGGAAGGCAATATAACCTGCCTGGGGAACCTTGCTCCCAATTACAGGTCACTACATTTAAGGACCTCCAATGCATTAGGGCAGGAAAAGGGTGGAATGGGGGTAGAGCAACGCTTCATCATAAGGGGCTTGGGTCAACCAATTGTTTTCTCAATTGAGAAAAACAATTCAGACTCCTGTCTGAAGCTGACCACTCAAAGAGATTTCGATTTTCGGATAAGAAAAGGCCCTTGGGTCAGAAAACAAGATATTCTGGTTCTGGACTCTGCAGCTGTCTTGGGTAGGGGAGTTTTGCCAGCTTTGTGCTTTCATTGAGGCTAAGGGGGTGGCGGGGGGGGGGCACGCGGAAGAGACTCCGAAGCCAAGGGTGAGAGTCCTGCCTTCCTGCCTCCGCAGCCCACTTTCCAAAAGCAGAGGTTGGGCAGCAAAGTTTCTTAACAAAGTCAGAAAAAATAATATCCAGACCAGGCAGGCTAATAAAGTTTACCAGGATTATCCGGCCTAATCACCGAAACAGCCCTGCCATATTCGTCCTCTGGGACAGGTGAGGAAACTGAGGTTGGAGGAGGACACCGGGAGCCTGGCCGGGCCACTGGCAGCCTGGAGCCCCAGAGGTCCGGGCATTCACCGCCCTCCAACACCCCGCCCCCCGCCCCCAACCCCCGCCCCTTCTTCCCGGCCTCAGGTGACTTCATTCCCAGCTCATTCACTTGTCAATAATTCAGGCCCGCGGGGCCACCAGCCCTCCCTCAAGCCCCCCCACACTCATCAGGTGACGACCTCCCTGTGTGTGGCTGCCAGGCTGGGGGTGGGGGTGTCTGTGCTTCCCTCGCCCAATCTGAGAGTGGCCTGTTCCAGGGGGCGGGCTTCCTCTTTGTTTGGCAGCCAGGAGTCTGGAGCGCAGGTGCCGGGCAGGCAGCACTGGGAGCGCTCGGCGACTTGGCTGGAGGCCGAAGGTGCCGCCCCTGGGGAACCAGAGCGCCTTTGCAAGGTGGGCTCGGCGTACACTCCCCTATCCTTCTGTGGCCCCCGGGCCCCTCCTAGAAGACCGTCCTCATCTCCGAGGACCTTGACCGCCAGCAGCCCCACACCCGCTCCCTCTGCCTGGCGTTGGGTGCGCACTTCTAGGGGCAGACGGATCTAAGGAGCCCAGCGGGCTTGACAGGCAGTGGGGCCTCCAGAGACTGTCACCGCGTTATGCTGGCCACTGCCGGGCAGGGGCTGGTCTTAGCTGACACCCTCACCTCCGCCCTCCAGATTCCAGCCTCTGACTCTGGCCAATCTGGCCAGGACCTGGGGTCTGGGGCCGGGACAGTGGACGCCCCTGGGCCGGGCTACCAGCTGGGGCCTCGCACTTGGATGGGGACCTTAAGGCTCCAGGCGCCACACACACCAGTGCGCCCTCTCTGGCCGTGAATTTCAGGGAGGGGCGGCAGCAGAGCCCGCGGGCTGGCCTGGTGGGGACGATCACCTTTTCCCACCTAGTCGCCCTTGCCAGTCCCCGCGTCGCCTGCAGGGCCGCCCCTCCTCCGCCCGCTGGTCCCTCCCCACCCGCAGCTCTCCAGTCCCGCGCGGCTCGGTGGCCAGGGCTCCAAGGCGGGGCCGCCCACGACAGCCACTGGCAGGGATAGCGGGGGCAAATTTCCCAGAGCGGGAAGCCTGCCCCAGCCGGCCCTACGGCAAAGATGGCTCTGAATCCGAGCCCCCGACACCCGGCCCAACCCACCCCTACAGCACCCTGCGTGGCTGGCTGCCAGCCCGTCGGGTACCTGCTCGGTCCCTCGAGCTGGGGGCCCCGGCAGGGCGGGAGCGATCCAAGGCCACCGCGCGGGGCCAGAGCCCAAACCCCAATCCC
Organism: Homo sapiens; assembly: GCF_000001405.40. Taxonomy (NCBI): domain Eukaryota; kingdom Metazoa; phylum Chordata; class Mammalia; order Primates; family Hominidae; genus Homo; species Homo sapiens. Next base: position 22,428,725 of record NC_000019.10, read on the forward strand.
AGACCGCAGGGACCCCGCCCACCAGGTACCGAGACAGGACGGCCTGGCAGGTGGCTGGGGACCGGGGTGTGTACCTGTGGGGGGGTCAAACAACTGGTCAAAAGTGGCTTTTTGATTTCCCAAAGGTAAAGGCTCCTTCGTAATTATGTTTTTTTTTCTTATTTACTTAAAACGGATATAATCTAGTTAGATTTACCCATAATTCTGTCAGTAAATTCGAGCACACTTTTATTAATTTTTCTCAGTTTAACTAGTTCTTTTGTTTGTTTCTATGTTAAGAATTTTAAATTCTACCTGTAATTAGTAGTGTGAATTCAAAAGTATCTGAGACAGGTCTCAATTTAGAAAGTTTATTTTGCCATGGTTAAGGACACACCTGTGACACAGCCTCAGGAGGTCTTGACAACATGTGACCAAGGTGGTTGGGGCACAGCTTGGTTTTATACATTTTAGGGAGACAGGAGACATCAATCAATATATGTAACATGTACATTGTCCAGAAAGGTGGGACAACGTGAAGCTGGGTGGCAGCTTCCAGGTCATAGGTAGCTAAAGGACAAATGGCTGATTTTTGTTTTTTTTGTTTGTTTTTTTTCTTTTTTTTTAGTTTCTGATTAGCCTTTCACTGAATATGCAATTTACAGCGATAGTCACTTATGCGTTAGTCTGGCTTAGTGAAACAATAGCGCAAAGAAAGCAATCAGATATGCATTTGTCTCAGGTGAGCAGAGGGGTAATTTTTGAGTTCTGTCTGTCCTTTGTACACAGGGATTTTTTTTGTGGGCAAATTGTGAGGGTTGTCTGTAGCCTTTTTCTCTTCATAGTTATCTTATTTGGAAATAGAATGGGAGGCAAGTTCCCAGATTGGCTTTTCCTTTTGGCCTGGTGATTTGGGGGTCCAGAGATTCATTTTCCTTTCATATTTCTTCCCTTTTCTTTTTAAAATCTTTCAGAGAAAGCATTTTAGAAAAAAATAAGTCATTGGTTTCAGATTTTGCCTGATCTCTTACGGCTAGAACAGTTTATTCCGAGAAGGGTAGGTCCCACATTATTAGGAAAGATCATTTTTAGCAGGTTGTGAAGTCTCACATCCTTCAAAGAGAAGCAGGGAAAGGAAGAAAGAAAAACAATAAAAACAAAAAAAGCAAGAATAATTTTGGAAAATCAATATAGGTCATATTACTCTGAAGTCTTTACATCAATAGGCAGGTATAAAGGTAGTTTATGTATTTAAATAAGTTGTTTTCTTTTTTTCGAAGTTTAAGTTTGTCTGGCTTCAGTTTGCAGGGCTTTAAGAAAGCACAACTTAGGTTTTAGTTATTTGAAATCAGAAAAAAAAAATGAAAAAAGAAATAAAAAAAGGAAAAAAATGTTTGAGACTTGTAGCCAGGGACATTGTAGAATTTAGTCCAAACTGTAAAAAGTAATAAAAATTGCAAAAAAAATCAGTTAAGACCAGAAACTAACTACAGGTGTACTAGAGTTTATTCTGACACAGAATTTTTCTCTCTTTAGTCCCATTTTCACTAAAGACAAATCATAGGACGAACTCACTTGTAAAATAAGTTTTAGTCTTATTATACTTAGCCAGAGAATTTGAATCAAGTCAGCAAGAATAATTATTTCCCTTATAGGCTCCACTTTTTTTCTTATATTGGCCTTGCTGGAACTTTATTTTATTATGGAAGCTCCGATTCAACTTTAATGTCTTAAGCCCATCATGTGCCTGCAAATACCTGTATTAGTGGGGTGAATATCTCACCTCATTTAAAGAATTTAAAATTGTATTAGTCTTCTTCAGGCTTCAGAAGCAATGCTAGGCTTCTGACCAATACATAAGCTCATGTGGGCTAAGCATCTACATGGAGAGTAAACACCCATCAGTCATGAGAAACTTCAAATAAGACAGGGCGTATGCTATAGAACTTCTCAAAACTTGGGAATCTGACCAATTCTCTGTGTTTCAGAACATCCTGAGACACAAACTAAAAGATTAAGCATTATTGACTAAATCTTGAAGGCTGCACATTTGAATGCTAGCTGACAATGTCAGCCACTGGCCCGATAATGTAAGCTGGCAGCCTCCTACTGCTCTCTTGAAGTCTCACCTGTAGAGTAGATGCACTACCCAGGGATTCTTCTAACTGGAACTCCAGATGGCTGTTTTTTGGAACTTCCCAGCACTGCTTGATCTGGATGTAGGTATCCTCCCGAACTTGGTGAATATATATGTGTATATACGTACATATTTTCCTTTTCTCCCACTTTAGCCTTTGCTAAGTTTACCATTATACTGTTTTACTACATTAATCATTAAACTTTTCTCCTAACTGCATTTGAGTGTAATATTGTGGTTTCTTTTGCTCATGAATCCTCAAACCTATGATGAAAGTAAATCTTTCAGCAAAACACCCCCAGGTTACAAAAAACTTGGGCTCCTTGGCCTGTCAGAAAGTGGAATTCTTTACTTACCACAGGTAAGGAACCTGCACAGGAACTGTGTAGAAGAGGTGTAAGGCCAGCTTGTTCGAAGAGCTTATATTATTTCTATAAGCCAACTATGATACCTTAAAGGGGTCTGTATCTGAAAGCATGACATTCCAGGCAATACCTTGGTAAAACAACCAGTGTCTCCAATTGTGTTCTGTTACAAAAAAAAAAATAGATTTTTTTTTTGAGACAGTGTCTTGCTTTGTCACCATGGCTGGAATGCATTGGTGCAATCTCAGCTCACTGCAACCTCTGGCTCTTGCACTTAGGTGATCCTCCCACCTCAGCTCCCAAGCAGCTGGGACTACAGGTGAGTGCCATCATGCCTGGCAAATTTTTATATATTTTTTGGTAGACAGGGGGCATCTCATAATGTTGCCCGGACTGGTCTTGAACTCCTGGGCTCAAGCAATTCACCCAACTCAGCCTTTCAACGGGCTGGGATTTACAGTTGTGAGCCACTGCACCCAGTAAGAAAATAGATTTTTATTGCACTTAATGCAAATAACTATATTGTTATAAGTTAAGAATATTCACAACAGGGCACAGTGGCTCATGCCTGTAATTCTAGCGCTTTAGGAGGCCGAGGTGGGTGGATCACAAGGTCAGGAGATTGAGACCATCCTGACCAACATGGTGAAACTCTGTCTCTACTAAAAATACAAAAATTAGCTGGGCGTGGTGGCGCATGTTAGTTATCCCAGCTACTCAGGAGGCTGACGCAGGAGAATCGCTTGAACCAGGGAGTCAGAGGTTGCAGTGAGCCAAGATTGCACCACTGCACTCCAGCCTAGTGACAGAGCAAGGCTCCACCTCAAAAAAAAAAAAAAAAAAAAGGGAATACTCACAACTAGTTTTCAAATTTTGGAGAAATCAGGTGGAGAGAATTATGCTCCAAATTTTGTTTATAATAATATATTTTACTCAATCTAATTCTCTGTTCAAGTTGCCAAGAACCTGGACACCCTCCACTAGTAACACTTCCTCTATGCTGCATAACTTTTGTAGTACAGAGTTGTATGTCTTTTAAATAATCTACATTATCTGACTTTTTCCATGATACATTTTGTATTTTGTATCCAGTTGGAAAAGCATTTTTATTATCTGTGCAAATAAATATATTCTCACTTATTTTCAGCTGATAACCTTAGCCACATATTTTTAAAATATTTTTTAATTATCTGTAAGATGATATAATAATCTTACTTTATATGTTCTGAGTGAACATGTAAGTATCTGGACACTATGTAATCAACTAATTTTTATAATACATTTCAAATGCTTCTTTTATCAGACACTCTACTTATTTTAAATGCATCCTTTTAAAATACATTCTATGAATGGATAAAAAATGACCAGATGTCATAAATATATGCGAAGGTAAATGTAAATGCAAATACACATCTGTTTAGACAATGCTGCTTTCAAAATCACAGAGAATGGCCACTTTTTAACCTTTTATTGTAATTAAATAAAATAACAGATTTTCCATCTTTTTTTTTTTTTTTGAGATAGAGTTTCTCTGTCACCTAGGCTGGAGTGCAGTGGTGAGATCTCGGCCCACTGCAACCTCCACCTCCCAGGTTCAAGTGATTCTCCCGCCTCAGCCTCCCAAGTAGCTGGGATTATAGATGCCCACTACCATGCCCGGATAATTTTTGTATTTTTAGTAGAGACGAGGTTTCACCATGTTGGCCAGGCTGGTCTTGAACTCCTGACCTCAGGATCTGCCCGCCTCCGTCTCCTGAGTGCCGTGTTTACAAGCGTGAGCCACAGCAACCAGCATGTTTAGGGGTTTTAAAAAGCCCCCCGGGTGATTTTTACATGCTGGCTGGAGTAAAAACAATTGGTTCAGGGTGGGGGATGCTTTCACTGTGTGTGATTTCCATGTGTACTGCAGAGATTTGTCCCATGGCAGCTTCTGACTTTGGGGTCTTGAAAAGCAGCTCTGGCATTTTAAAAATCAAAAGACAGGATGGGGGTGGTGGTTTACGCCTGTAATCCCAGCACTTTGGGAGGCCGAGGCGGGTGGATCACCTGAGGTTAGGAGTTTGAGATCAGCCTGACCAACATGGTGAAACCCCATCTCTACTTAAAATACAAAAATTAGCTTAGCCTCAGCTACTCGGGAGGCTGAGGTTGGAGAATCACTTGAACCCAGGAGGGGGAGGTTGCAGTGAGCCAAGATCGGGCCACTACACTCCAGCCTGGGTGACAGAGTGAGAACCTGTCTATAGTCACTTGATTTCAAGTTAAGAGGTTGTTTCAGGCAAAGTACTTTTAGTAAGTGTTGAAAATCATAAATAGCCTACAAATATCAAACCTGGTTTAACTTTTTTTTTTTTTTTTTGAGATGAAGTCTCGCTCTGTCGCCCAGGCTGGAGTGCAGTGGCGCCATCTCAGCTCACTGCAATCTCCAGCTACTGAGTTCGAGCGATTCTCCCGCCTCAGCATCCCGAGTAGGTGGAATTACAGTCGCCCACCACCATGCCCGGCTAATTTTTTTTATATTTTAGTAGGGACGGGGTTTCACCATGTTTGTTGGTCAGGCTGCTCTGGAACTCCTGACTTCAGGTAATCCAGCCATGGCCTCCCAAAGTGCTGGGATTACAGGTGTGAACCACTGGGCCCAGCCTATTTTGAGATTTTGTTTTTGTTTTTGTTTTTGTTTTGAGACAGAGTCTCTCTCTGTCGCCCAGGCTGGAGTGCAATGGTGCGATCTGGGCTCACTGCAACCTCCGACTCCCTAATTCAATCGATTCCCCTGCCTCAGCCTCCTAGGTAGCTGGGATTACAGGCACATGCCACCATGCCCAGCTAATTTTTGTATTATTAGTGGAGACAGGGTTTCACCATGTTGGCCAGGATGGTCTCGATCTCCTGACCTCGTGATCCACCCGCCTCAGCCTCCCAAAGTGCTGGGATTACAGGCGTGAGCCACGGCACCCAGCCCTATTTTGAGCTTTTGACATAATTGCCAGGCTTCCCGAAATCAAATTTCAGCTTAAAAATTGTCTTCTTTTTGACCCTTAACTTTTGGGTGCTACAGAGCACCAACGCAGCATCTAAAACAATGATAAACAGAATTACTTGGTATGTTTAATTACATGGGAAGCATTGTCAAATTAAAAACACTTTTTGGGTCAGGTGTGGTGGCTCATGCCTGTAATCCTAGCACTTTGGGAGGCTCAGGCAGGTGGATCACTTGAGGTCAGGAGTTTGAGATCAGCCTGGCCAATGTGGTGAAACCCTGTCTCTACTAAAAATACCAAAATTAGCTGGGCATGGTGGCCCGCTCCTGTAATCCCAGCTACTCAGGAGGCCGAGGCAGGAGAATCGCTTGAACTCAGTAGCTGGAGGTTGCAGTGAGCTGAGATTTTCCCACTGCACTCCAGCCTGGGTGACAGAGCTAGAGTTCCTCTAAAAAAAAAAAAAAAAAAAAAACCCAAGAATTAAATAAAAATGATGTTTGACCTTCAACTTATATTTTAATAAATATGTGATTAATATTTATATCAAAATCATATGAAATTTCAAAAATTTTATGTATCTGAGTATATTATAGTAGTCATAATTGTGATTTTGATAAATTATTGTAGGCCACAGATATAATCAATTTTTGTTTCTTTATAACCATTTTAAGTTATTTCCACAGTTAATGGTTTAATTCTGATGTAGTTTCTAAAAACCTCAAAAGCTTGCAAAATCCTAGAGTATTATGTCTTTAAGGAGGTTCATGAAAAGTTGGAAAAGGCCCACACAAATTGAGTACAGGTTTCTGACCATTTTAGGATCATATTATTTATTCTGGTAAGGCTTGTGAGAATTCTAATAAACAGACCAATTCTTATAAAACTGCTAACCTAGGCAAATCAAAAGTATTTGAATATTAGGAAAATACTCTGTGTAAAATAATGTGGCAGAGTATTTTAAGATATTATGCTAAAACAGCCTGTACAAAAATTTTTTAGATATACCATTTTAGTAAACTCTGTGGTCTAAGTCAAACTACCTATGATAACCCCTCAGTTATCAGAGCTATGCTCCTAAATTGGAGAAACAAACCTAGTATTTAAGAGGACATAAATTTAATGTTAAGTGTGGACTCATTAAGAACCTAGACAGCCAACAGCCACTTACTCATTCCTGAGTTCTTAAAACTTCCATTCTTAACAGCTCTGCATTCCATTACTCATCACAGAAGAGATAAAATAATCTAAATTGAATATAAATTAAGTGTGTGTGGTGATTATTCTATAATAAATTACGAAAATAGGTTAAGACCAATGTTTTCTTATCAAACATTTAATCCTGAGAAGACAATCAAAACTTCATGTATGTTTCTGCTACCTGATGGGCCATTTAATCATGGTTACAAAAATTTTATTCAATTATCATTTTTAATACATATTTTCTGGTAATATAAAAGCTTTCTTATGCAAGAAAACTGATGTTATAACAGTAGCTAAAAGGATATAAATAAATACATTTTTCTCATGGAACATTTCTGAAAAAGCCTCCAATGATAAAGATGTTTATTTCACTAGACAAATTGTAAAACTGTTACATAAGGAATTACAGATACAATAGTATTGTGCAAAGCTAACTACATTGACTGGATTGCTTTTGTAATTGCAGATTGATGACAATCAGATCCACTGAGAGAGGAAAAAATATGTTGTCCTGGTGGGTGTGGTTGCTCATGACTGCAATCCCGGCACTCTGGGAGGCCAAGGTGCGTGGATCAGGTTAGGAGTTCGAGCCCAGCCTGGCCAATATGGTGAAACCCCATCTATACGAAAAATACAGAAATTAGTCGGGCATGGTGGTACGCACCTGTAGTCCCAGCTATTTGGGAGGCTGAGGCAGAACAATCGCTTGAACCCGGGAGGTGGAGGTTGCAGTGAGCCAAGATTGTGCCACTGCACTCCAGCCTGAGTGACAGAGTGAGACTGCATCTCAAAAAAAAAAAAAAGTTGGCCCATATAATATACTCATTGGAAGGCCTATGCACCTAATAAAAGCTCATGTATCTTCTGCTACTGAAGTCCAGTGTTTTTTGTTTTTTTTTTTTAATTTACTTTAAGTTCTGGGATACATGTGCAGAATGTGCAGGTTTGTTACATAGGTATATGTGTGCCATGGTGGTCTGCTGCACCTATTGACCCATCTTCTAAGTTTTGCACCCTTGCCCCCAACCTCCCAACAGGCCTTGGTGTGTGTTGTTCCCCTTCCTGTGTCCATGTGTTCTCATTGTTAAACTCTCACTTATGAATGAGAACATGAGGTGTTTGGTTTTCTCTTCCTGTGTTTGTTTGCTGAGGATGAGACCTTCCAGCTTCATCCATGTCCCTGTAAAGGATATTATCTCATTCTTTTTTATGGCTATGTAGTATTCCATGGTGTATGTGTACCACATTTTCTTTATCCAGTCTATCATTGATGGGCATTTGGGTTTTCCATGAAAGTCTAATATTTCTTTTTTTTTTTAGACAGAGTTTCACTCTTGTTGCCCAGGCTGAAGTGTAATGGCATAATCTCAGCTCCCTGCAACCTTGGCCTCCTGGGTTCGACCGATTCTCCTGCCTCAACCTCTCAAGTAGCTGGGATTACAGACGCCCACCACAATGCCCAGCTAATTTTTTGTATTTTTAGGAGAGATGGGGTTTCACCATGTTGGCCAGGCTGGTCTCAAACTCCTGACCTCAGGTGGTCCACCCACCTCGGCCTCCCAAAGTGCTAGGATTACAGGCGTGAGCCACTGCTCCTGGCCAGAAGTCTAATATAGCATATTTTCACCAAGTGAAGAAAGTCTTGAACAGTCTATTGACTGAGGATAGTAGAACCCTTTATAATCTAGAATCCAGAGACTGAGTCTTACTGCCATCTACCCTGAAGCAAGACTTCAAGACCTTGAACATTGGGTTCATAGTCTCACAACTTAGAAGGGCCTATCCAAACTCTTTCAATTGTAAACTCATAGGAGATCTTAAGCAAAGGTAAGCAGGAAAGTTTCTCCTCAAAAGAAGATAGCAATCTTGATCTAGACAGCTTTCTTTATAAGATCAAAAATCAAGGCCGGGCGTGGTGGCTTACGCCTGTAATAACAGCACTTTGGGAGGCCGAGGTGGGTGGATTACGAGGTCAGGAGTTGAAGACCAGCCTGGCCAACATGGTGAAACCCTGTCTCTACTAAAAATACAAAAATTAGCAATTAGCCGGGTGTAGTGGTGTGCGCCTGTAATCCCAGCTACTCAGGAGGCTGAGGCAGGAGAATTACTTGAACCTGGGAGGCGGAGGTTGCAGTGAGCCAAGATTGCACCACTGCACTCCAGCCTGGGCAACAGAGCAAGACTCCATCTCAAAAAAAATAAAATAAAATAAAAAGTATAAAAATTAGCTGGGCATTGTGACACGTGCCTATAATCCCAGCTACTCAGGAGGCTGAGGCAGGAGAATTGCTTGAATCAGGATCCAGGAGGCGGAGTTTGCAGTGAGCGGAGATTGCACCACTGCACTCCAGCGTGGGCTACAGAGCGAGACTCCGTCTCGAAAGAAAAAATCAAGACATCTCTGCTATCATAGCAGAGTTTGTTCACAGTTTTCTAATGGCTCTACAAACAACAGAAATAAAAAAGGAATCTCTTGTATGCACTCATGGGGTATACTCATAGGTAGAGAATTTTGCTGACAACATTATATATAACAAAACTTTTGCCTTGATAGGTAAAAGATGAAGAGCTAATGTGGGTGAGAAGTTTTAATGAAACATTTGTTGCCTCATAATTTCAGAAAAAGAATATCGATCCACTGCTTTAAACTTACTTCATAAGTTAAAAATAACTTCTTCAGAATGGGTTAAAGAGCATTGCCAGCAGGCCATTACTCTTCTGAATGGGCATCATTTGTTAGATCATTTTTTCCATGGCTTAGCATAAATGAAGCAATGGTAAGAAATTTATCCCCAAAAATAGGGCTCTATAGCAGATTCTAATGTAAAGACTATGGTTACGCAACAGGTGTTAAATGTTGTTACTAAAGTTGTGCTAAATAATAGAATTTCTTTTGATTACTTACTGGATAAACAGAGAACTACCTGTGCTGTTGCTGATACTTGTAGTTGCACATGGTAGAATACATTGGGTATTACAAAGATGCAATTGTAGGGGATTAATGAACAGGCTGCTTGGTTGAAATGAGATCATTTATCTAGCTAATTATTTAATCTATTGAATTTTAGTTGGTTGTTCATGGGGACCCTGGCTAAGAAGCATGGTTTCAACATTTTTTTTTTTTTTTTCTGAGACAAAGTCGCACTCTGTAGTCCAGGCTGGAGTGCAGTGGCATAATCTCGACTCACCGCAACCTCCACTTCCTGGGTTCAAGTGATTCTCCTGCCTCAGCCTCCCGAGTGGCTGGGATTACAGGTGCACACCACTGCACCTGGCTAATTTTTAGTATTTTTAGTAGAGACGGGGTTTCACCATGTTGGCCAGGGTGATCCTGAACTCCTGACCTCAGGTAATCTGCCCTCCTCGGCCTCTCAAATTGCTAATATTACAGGCATGAGCCACTATGCCCGGCTGGTTTCAACTCTTGGTATTATCCTCCTGAAAATCAAAATAGTAGTCTCCCTACTGCACCGTATTCTCTCAAAAGTTCTAAAGGTTTGCATACAGTCATCTCTAGAATGTCAAATGGTGTCTTTTTAATGGGAATGACAGAAACTCAAAGACATATGTGACTATGAAGACACCATAACCTGTGAATAACATTATAAGGACAAAAACCCTAAATAATGGAAATTGAGAGTGGCACTAAGGCCCTGAGTTTTGGTCACACTCTGACCTACGTAAGAACTTTACCAAAAAGGGAGAGTTTTAAAAACAAAGTTGGCTCAGCGCGGTGGCTCACACCTGTAATCCCAGCACTTTGTGGGCCGAGGAGGGCAGATCACAAGGTCAGGAGATCGAGACCATCCTGCCAACAGGGTGAAACCCTGTCTCTAACAAAAATACAAAAATTAGCTGGGTGTGGTGGTGCGTGCCTGTAATCCCAGCTACTTGGGAGGCTGAAGCAGGAGAATGGCTTGAACCCACAAGGCAGAGGTTTCAATGAGCTGAGATCACACCACTGCACTCCAGCCTGGCGACAGAGCGAGACTCTGTCTCAAAACAAAAAGTTATTGGAGTCCATCATTGTAAACTGAGCTTGTGCACTAGTTCCAAACAGACCAAACCAAACTGAACCAAAACAAGTCACTTGTGCTAAATGTGACATAATCAAACTGAAAATTTAAGAAAATAGGTAGATCCTAAAACAGGCCAGGTTTATATTTTTCTTCTGGAAACAGCAGATTTCAACACAAGGAAGCCCCTTCTAACCTTTTAAAAATAAATAATAGGCCTGGTGCAGTGGCTTATGCCTGTAATCCCAGTACTTTGGGAGGCTGAGGCAGGCAGATCACCTGAGGTCAGGAGTTCGAGACTAGTCTGGCCAACATGGTGAAACTCTGTCTCTACCAAAAATACAAAAATTAGCCAGCAGTGGTGGCAGGCACTTGTAATCACAGCTACTTGGGAGGCCCAGGCAGGAGAATTGCCTGAAGCCAGGAGGCGGAGTTTGCAGTGAGCCGAGATCACACCATTGCACTCCAGCCTGGGTGACTGAGCGAAACTTCATCTCAAAAAATAAAAACACAAATAAAATAAAATAACCTGAATCCATGTTTCCACTTAAAAAACCCCCACAGTTCTGCTTTTTTACAGTAGGATTTGACACTAAATAAGTAAATTTTTATTTTTATTTTTTGAAACAGTCTTGCTTTGTTGCCCAGGTTGGAGTGCAGTGGCGCGATCTCGGCTCATTATAACCTCCGCCTCCCCAGTTCAAGTGATTCTCCTGCCGCAGCCTCCCAAGTAGCTGGGATTATAGGCACTTACCATCATGCTCGGCTAATTTTTGTATTTTTGTAGAGACAGGGTTTCACCATGTGGGCCAGCCTGGTCTTGAACGCTGACCTTAGGTGATCTGCCTGCCTCGGCCTCCCAAAGTGCTGGGATTACACACGTGAGCCACCATGCCAGGCCAATAAGTACATTTTTGATGGTGACGGAGTGATATTAATATCTAAAGTTGGTTTTTTTTTTTTTTTGAGATGGAGTTTTGCTCTTGTTGCCCAGGCTGGAGTGCAATGGCGCGATCTCAGCTCACGCGCAACCTCTGCCTCCCGAGTTCAAGCAATTCTCCTGCCTCAGCCCCTCTAGTAGCTGAAATTACAGGAATGCACCACCATGCCCAGCTAATTTGTATTTTTAGTAGAGACAGGGTTTCTCCATGTTGGTTAGGCTGGTCTTGAACTCCAGCTCAAAAAAAAAAATAATTATGGGAGCCACCACAAAAATATTAAAGAATTTAATCAAAGAGAGTTGTTCAAAAATTATAGAGCACCCCTATGGGTTGTAGTTTGTGGTCCATTGCAGGGGCTTTAAGAAAAGACTTTTATAAAGTGCATGATGAAAAAATCCAAATTCAGTAATCAGATATAGTTACGTAGTTTCCTAATTTCCACCTTGAGCCTACAAATTTCCTGGTTATGCAATCAAAGCTTAATTGGCAGATTATAGTTGGTTAAACTTGAATTTTGTTTCCTCTAATGTAGTAATTTATAAAAAATCGAACTCATTTGAGTTCGATTTTTTTTTAAATAGGAATCCTTCTTTTCTCTTCTCTCTTCTCTTCTTTTCTTTGCTTCTCCCTCCCTTCCTTCTTTCTTTCTTTCTTTTTTTTGAGACGGAGTTTCGTTATTGTTGCCCAGGCTGGAGTGCAGTGGCGCGATCTCAGCCAACGGCAACTCCGCCCCCCGGGTTCAAGCGATTCTCCTGCCTCAGCCTCCCGAGTAGCTGGGATTACAGGCACCCGCCACCATGCTCGGCTGTTTACATGTTTTTCAAGCAGGGTCTCGAATGTACCCCCCAATAACTTTTTTTTTTTTTTTGAGATGGAGTCTCCCTCTGTTGTCCAGGCTGGAGTGCTATGGCTCACCGTAACCTCCGCCTCTCGGGTTCAAGCAATTCTCCTGTCTAGCCTCAGGAGTAGCTGGGATTACAGGCGCCTGCCACCACGCCCGGCTAATTTTTTTTTTTTTTTCCAGATGGAGTCTCGCTCTTGTTGCCCAGGCTGGAGTGCAACGGTGCAGTCTTGGCTCACTGCAACCTCCACCTCCCGGGTTCAAGCGATTCTACTGCCTCAGCCTCCTGAGTAGCTGGGATTACAGGCATGCACCACCATGCCCGGCTAATTTTTGTATTTTTAGTAGAGAAGGAGTTTCACCATGTTGGTCAGGCTGGTCTTGAACTCCTGACCTCAGATGATCCATTCACCTCAGCCTCCCAAAGTGTTGAGATTATAGGTGTGAGCCACTGAGCCCAGCCTTTTTTTTTTTTTTTTTTTTTGAGATGGAGTCTCTCTCTGTTTCCCAGGCTAGAGTGCAGTGGCATAATCTCAGCTTTGCCTCCCGGGGTTCAAGCAATTCTCTTGCCTCAGCCTCCCCAGTAGCTGGGACTACAGGTGCATGACACCGCATCCAGCTAATTTTTTTGTTTTTGTTTTTGTGTTTGTGTTTTTTTTGAGTTGGAGTTTTGCTCTTGTTGCCCAGGCTGGAGTGCAATGGTGGGATCTCAGCTCACCACAACCTTCAAATCCCGGGTTCAAGGGCTTCTCCTGCCTCAGCCTCCTGAGGAGCTGGGATTACAGCCATGCACCCCTACGCCCGGCTAATTTTGTATTTTTAGTAGAGATGGGGTTTCTCCATGTTGGTCAGGCTGGTCTCGATCTCCTGACCTCAGGTAATCTGCCTACCTCGGCCTTCCAAAGAAAGTACTGGGATTATAGGCGTGAGCCATCATGCCTGGCTTTTTTTTTTTTTTGTATTTTAGTAGAGATGGCTTTTCACCATATTGGGCAGGCTGATCTCGAACTTCTGACCGCAGGTGAATTGCCTGCTTCAGCCTCCTGTTTTTAATATTTTCATCATAAAATCTTTGTCAGTTTCTATGTCTAGAATGGTATTTCCTAGGTTGTTTTCCAGGGCATTTCTTCCTTATAATTTTAAATTTTACATTTAAGTCTTGAATTCATCTTGAGTTTATTTTTGTATATGGTGTAAGGATGGGGTGCAGTTTCAATCTTCTACATAGTATTTGCTAGTTATTTCAGCATCATTTATTAAATAGGGAATTATTCCCGCATTCCTCTTGTCAGCCTTGTCAAAAATCAGATGGTTGTAAGTGTGAGGCATTATTTCTGGGCTCTCTGTCCTGTTGCATTGGTCTATGAGTCTGCTTTTGTACTAGTACCATGCTGCTTTGGTGTCTATAGCCCTGTAATATAGTTTGAAGTTGGGTAATGTAATGCCTCTAGCTTTATTCTTTTTGCTTAGGATTACCTTGGCTGTTTGGGCTCTTTTTTGGTTCCATATGAATTTTAAAATAGTGTTTTTTAGTTCTATTAAGAATGTTGCTGGGTGTGGTGGCTCACGCCTGTAATCCCAGCACTTTGGGAGGCCGAGGTGGGTGGATCACAAGGTCAGGAGATTGAGACCAACCTGGCTAACACAGTGAAACCTTGTCTCTACTAAAAATACAAAAAATTAGCCAGGCGTGGTGGCACCCGCCTGTAGTCCCAGCTACTTGTGAGGCTGAGGCGGGAGAATCACTTGAACCTGGGAAGTGGAGGTTGCAGTGAGCCAAGACCACGACATTGTACTTCAGCCTGGGTGACAGAGTAAGATTCTGTCTCAAAAAAAAAAAAAGAAAAAGAAAAAAGAAAAGAATGTCTTGGTAGTTTAATAGAAATAGCACTAAATCTGTAAAAAAATTTTAGGCAGTATGGCTATTTTTTTTTTTTTTTTTTGAGACTGGGTCTCACTCTGTGGTCAGGCTGGAGTACAGTGGTGCCGCCTTGGCTCACGGCAACCTCTCTCTCCTGGGTTCAAGTGATTCTCCCACCTAAGCCTTCCCAGTACCTGGGACTACAGGTGTGTGCCACCACATCATCTAATTTTTGTATTTTTTTGTAGAAACGGGGTTTCACTATGTTGACCAGCCTGGTCTCAAACTCCTGACCTCACGTGATCCAGCCACCTCAGCCTTCCAGGCTATGAAACAGTTTTCCATTTGTTTGTGTCATCTCTGACTTCTTAGCAGTGCCCTGTAATTTTCGTCTTAGAGATCTTTCACCTCCGTGGTTAGCTATATTCCTAGATATTTTATTCTTTTTGTGGCAATTGTGAATGGGATTATGTTTTTGATTTGGCTTTTGGCTTGGATGTTTTTTATGTACAGGGATGGTACTGATTTCTTTACATTTATTTTTTATCCTGAAACTTTGCTGAAGTTGTCAGTTTAAGAAGCTTTTCCAGGCCAGGCATGGTGGCTCACACCTGTAATCTCAGCACCTTGGGAGGCCAAGGCAGGTGGATCACCTGAGGTGAGGAGTTCGAGATCAGCCTGGCCAACATTGTGAAACCCGTCTCTGCTAAAAATACAAAAATTAGCTGAGCATGGTGGCGCATGCCTGTAATTCCAGCTACTCGAGAGGCTGAGGCAGGAGAATCGCTTGAACCCAGGAGGTGGAGGTTGAAGTGAGCTAAGATCATGCCATTGCACTCTAGCCTGGGTGACAGAGCAAAACTCTGTCTCAAAAAAAAAAAAAAAAAGAAGAAGCTTTTCTGCAAAGATTATAGGGTTTTCTAGATATAGAATCATGCCATCTGAAAACAAGGATAATTTGATTTTTTTTTTCTTTTTGGATGCCTTTTATTTCTTTCTCTTGCTTGATTGCTCTGGCCAAGACTTCCAATTCTATGTTGAATACAAGTGGTGAGAGAAGGCATCCTTGTCTTGTGCCATTTTTCAAGAAGGAATGCTTGCAGCTTGTGTCCATTCTGTATGGTATCTATGGATTTCTCATAAATAACTCATTATTTTGAAATATGTGCTTTTAAGGCTTTTAGTTTTTTGAGGGTTTTAAACATGAAGGATGCTAGATTTTATTGAAATATTTTTCTGCATCTATTGAAATAATCTTGTGATTCTTGTATTTAGTTCTGTTTATGTGATGAATCAGATTTATTAATTTGTGTGCACTGAACCAACCTTGCATCCCAGGACTAAAGCCTAATTGATCATAGTGCATTAGCTTTTTAATTTGCTGCTGGATTTGCTTTGCCAGTATTTTGTTGAGGATTTTTGAAGCAACATTCGTCAATGATATTGGCGTGAAGTTTTCTTTTTTGTTTTGTTTCTATCAGGTTTTGGTGTCAGAATGATGTTGTTCTTACATAATGAGTTAAGGGTTAAGGGGGAGTCCCTTCTTTTCAATTTTTAATAATAGTTATAGAAGGTATAATACCAGCTTTTCTTCGTACATCTGCTAAAATTCAGCTGTGAATCTGTCTGGTCTTTTTTTTTCCCCTGTTTTTGGTTGGTAGGCTATTTACTACTAATTCAATTTTGGAGCTTGTTATTGGTCTATTCAGGGCTGCAATTTAGTATTTTTTTAGTCTTGGGAGAGTTTACTCATCCAGGAATTTATTCACTTCTTTCAGATTTTCTAGTTTGTGTGCATAGTGGTGTTCATAGTAGACTTCAATAGTTATTTGTATTTTTGTGGGACTCAATGGTAATGTCCCTTTTGTCATTTCTAATTGTGTTTATTTGGATCTTCTTTCTTCACAGTCTTGCTATGGTTCATCTCATTATTTTTTCCAAAAGATTTAACTCCTGGATTTCTTGATACTTTGTATAACTTTTCATGTCTAAATCTCGTTCAGTGCAGATCTGATTTTGGTTATTTCTTGTCTTCTGCTAGCTTAGGGGTTGGTCTTCTCTTGCTTCTCTCATTCTTTTATTTATGATGTTAGGTTTTAAAATTTATTTTTAACTTTTTTATTTGAGTTTTTAGTGCTATAAAGTTTTTTCTTAAGACTGCCTTAGCTGTGTTGCAGAGATTCTGGTAGGTTGTATCTTCGTTGTCATTTGTTTCAAAGAACTTCTTGATTTTTGCCTTAATTTCATTATTTTCCCAAAAGTCATCCAGGTTCAGATTGTTTAATTTCCATGTAATTATATGGTTTCAGGTGGTTTCCTATATATTGAATTATATCCTTATCAAGCTGTGGTCTGTTTGTGTTTTTGGTATGATTTTGGGAAGACTGAATTTGCTGAGAATTGTTTTATTTCTGATCATGTGGTCAATTTTAGAGTATGTGACACGTGGTGATGAGAAGAATGAATACAATGTTGGTTTTAGATGGACACTTCTATAGATGTCTAGTAGGACTATTTGATCAAGTGTTGAGTTTAGGTTTTAAAATCTTTGTTAATTTTCTGCCTAATAATCTGTCTAATAGAGTCTGTGGGGTGTTGTAGTCTCCCACTATTATTTTTTCAGAATCTAACTCTCTTCATAAGTCTCTAAGAAATTGCTTTATACATATACACCCATGCATTTTTTAGAACACTTTTCTCTCTTCTGCTTTTTTGTTTTTGAGATGGAGTCTCACTCTGTCGTCCAGGCTGGAGTGCAGTGGTGCGTTCTCGGCTATTTTTTATGTTTTTAGTAGAGACAAGGTATCACCGCGTTAGCCAGGATGGTCTCGATTTCCTGACCTCTTGATCCGCCTGACTCGGCCTCCCAAAGTGCTGGGATTACAGGCGTAAGCCACCACGCCCGGATATAAGCATTCTTTCAAGTGCACACACGGTATGCCCAAGGCTGCTTCTTAGATGTCTGAATACAGTGTCTAATTAAATTCAGATGTCCAAGAGTTTAAGAACATGTCCAGAGACTTGGCTGTTGTAGGAGAAAATATAAATTAGAAATAAGAAGCTTTATTCTGTTAACTGAAAATAAGGGAGGATATTGTGTTTCTCTCTTTTCTTAAAGCATTTAGATTATATGTACATATTTTTCTCTGCTTTTAAAAAATATTTGTAAATCTTTTTTGTTGTTGTTTGTTTTGTTTTGTTTTTTGAAATGGAGTCTTGCTCTGTCGCCCAGGCTGGGGTGCAGTGGCACAATCTCAGCTCACTGCAGCCAATCTCTGTCTCCCAGGTTTAATCAATTCTCTGCTTCAGCCTCCCAGTACCTGGGATTACAGGCACCCGCCACCACGCCCGGCTAATTGTTTTGTATTTTTAGTAGAGACGGGGTTTCACCATCTTGGCCAGGTTGGTCTTGAACTCCTGACCTTGTGATCCACCAGCCCTGGCCTCCCAAAGTGCTGGGATTACAGGCGTGAGCCACTGCACCTGGCCAATATTTGTAAATCATATTTACAGCTAGATCAATCTTGTGGTTTTTTGTTTTGTTTTGTTTTTTACTCAGAATCGTCTTAATTGAGAACCACAGAACCATTGCTTTGTTTTTGCTTTGGCAAAAGTATATACATATATATATATTTTTTTTTAGTCTTTTAAAGTAGACATAGATTTGTTTAGATTAAAGCTCATTTTAAGAGCCACAAAAATTGAACACAAAGATAGGATTACATTTAGCACTACAGAGTGATAGAGATTAAAAGATGCTGAGTAAGGTTCTTTGACAGAAAATTGATAATCCAAGGTAATTATCTAATATTTGCAGGCTGAAGTACTTACACTGCAAAATCAAAAACCGTTCAGTGTATAAACTGAACAGTGGAGTCTGTAGTTGTATTTGGTTTCGATTTATTACTTCAGAACAATTAGCATAGTTATTTGTAGTGTTTGTAGACAACTTGCATTCATATAAATTATGCAGTATTTTCTACAATAGTATGAATATGACACAATATTTAGTAAATTTTTTTTTTTTTGAGATGGAGTCTCACTCTGTTGCCCAGGCTGGAGTGCAGTGGTGCCATTTTGGCTCACTACAACCTCTGCCTCCTCGGTTCAAGCAGTTTTCCTGCCTCAGCCTCCTGAGTAGCTGGGATTATAGGAGCACGCCACCACGCCTGGGTAATTTTTGTATTTTTAGTAGGTACGGGGTTTCACCATGTTGGCCAGGCTGGCCTCAGACTCCTGCCTCCCAAAGTGCTGGGATTTCAGATGTGAGCCACCATGCCTGGCCACAATATTTACTTTCAATGAGTTTCCTTTATTTTTTTTTTTTTTTGAAGCAGAGTCTTGCTCTGTCTCCCAAGCTGGAGTGCAGTGGCACAATCACGGCTCACTGCAACCTCTGCCTCCCAGGTACAAGCGATTCTCCTGCCTCAGCTTCCCCAGTAGCTGGGATTACAGGCGCGCACCACCATGCCCGGCTAGAATTTCTTAAATAGTTATTTTAATATTGTTATTCATACTTTTTAAATATAAAATGTTTTAACTGAATTATGGTTACAAGTAATTTTTAATAATTCTACATTATGACTAGTACATTAAAATTATTTATCCTTAGATATTTATATCTAATATCCAAAGAAAATTCACTACAAAATTGTTGTAGTAGATATGAGTCTGACATGCTTATTAGTTTATCCAATAGGGATAATTATAGGTAAGCATGATTTTAATGTCTATTATGTCACTAAATTTGAATGCTGCTATTACAGGACAAGCAAACATGACAAGTGATGTGGCCATGCCAAGATTGTAATAGCTCTTCAGTTAGCTATGCTGCAAGCTCAAATATATTCCAGTGTGTAAACAAAGCCAGATTCAAATTCTTCATCTAATGTGCTAGTGGAAATTGTCAGATGTGTTTCAATATAGTTCCCCCATCTAATGGTTAGGAGATGAGACAGCAGCAGAGATGAAAGAGAAACCTTATAAAATTTTGCTGAGAATTTGTACCCCCTGCTTTTTTTTTCGAGACAGAGTCTTGCTCTGTTGCCCAGGCTGGAGGGCAGTGGCACGATCTCGGCTCACTGCAACCTCTGCTTCCCAGGTTCAAGCGATCCTTTTGCCTCAGCCCCCCTAGTAGCTGGGATTACAGGCACGCAACACCAGGCCTGGCCAATTTTTGTATTTTTAGTAGAGACGGGGTTTTGCCATGTTGGCCGGGCAGGTCTTGAATTCCTGTCCTCAGGTGATCCGCCCTCCTCAGCCTCCCAAAGTGCTGGGATTACAGGAGTGAGCCACCACGCCTGGCTCATCCCCTTTTTAAATAATGTTCATGTTTCTCATGCTGAGAATAGTTGTGCACTTTGGGTATTTAAAGAGAAATTTTTAACTTTTTATTTTCTCTCAATATAATCTTGCTCAGATAGAGAGCTGTTTTTTGCTCAAATCCTTTGGGTGTCTGTTTCAGGGGTCCTATTAGTATCCCATGGTGTCTGTGAATAAGGTGGGCTGTCACAGGGAGAATTCTTAGATCTATCTCTATCTGGACTCATGCTGGAAATCCAGCAGTATTTTTTTCATGTCACCATTATAAATAGAAGCTGAGGCTGAAACACTGCTCCCATTCCCATTATCGTGAAGGTGCAATTTCACCCAGGAGGCCTGCAGGCTCTCCTCCTGCAGCTCAGGCTTCATTGTCTGATGGGACGCTGGAGTGCTGCTGTGGCAACTGGGGTTCATGTAAGATGTGAGCTGCCAGTGACAAGCTTTATGTTGTGGCCTCTGCGTCAGTGGCAGATGGTAGGCGTCAAGAGAGGACATGGCCATCAGGAGAGGGCAAGCAGGGTGCTCTAGCCCAGTGCTAAAGGAGTAAAGAGCCATTGCTTTAAAATATAAATAGCCAAAAAGATAACACCCTATTCAACCATTTCTGTAGGAGAGTGGGAGCCTACCTTCAGCAGGCACCTGGCTTCAAGTTGCAAAATTACCTCCTGTTATGAAGATGTGAAAAGTTTATTTTGTCATTGAATATAACCAATTAGCATACACGGATGGCCTTGCCAATTACCAGCGGAATTTAGGATGAACTACGTATGACATGGTGCTGTAAATTTTTCTACTTGTGGACTAACTATGGTGACTGTCTTTCTGTCTTTGCAATCTGTTGAGCAGATTGACTGTGATGCGTGTCACATTCAGGTTAAATTGTGTAATAAAACAGTTTTCTTTCTGTTCTCTCATTTTGGAGATTTTCTGGGGCTGGAGAAAATTTTTCTTTTAATTATATTTTCCATACACTGTCTAGAATTAGCAGACATGATATAAACACATGCCAACCAAGCTTTACTCTAGAGAGGATTTTTCCTCTCAGGCTTCCAGTCAGCTCATACATTTCTACAAACTTCACAGGATGGCAATCAACCATTTCACCTCTTTCAGTGACTCTTGTATCTTCAGACCTGAAACTAATTCAGAGACCAGGGGGCCCAGAAACCCAATCAGAGTAACATGTGAGTGTTGAGTAGACATGTAGATATGAGAATCTCCACTTTCCCCTTCCTCCTATTGCTAAAATACCCACAAATATGCAAATAACACCTGCTGAAGCTCCAAATTCTAAATCTAGGTCTTGAGATTTGGAAAACAAAAAAAAAAACAAAAAACCTTTCATCTGAGGAATGCAAGTTCTTTTAGTTGTCAAACTCAGAGAGACATTAAAATGACAACACAGTTTTGTCTTTTTCCCATCTTTAAATTATGTGTTTTTTTTTTTTTTTTTTTTGAGACAGAGTCTTGCTCTATGACCAAGGCCAGGGTACAGTGGTGCGATCTCTGCTCACTGCAACCTCCGCCTCCTGGGTTCAAGTGATTCTCCTGCCTCAGCTTCCCAAGTAGCTGGAATTACAGGCACGTGCCCTGGCTAATTTTTGTATTTTTAGTAGAGACAGGGTTTCACCATGTTGGCCAGGCTGGTCTTGAACTCCTGACCTCAAGTGATCCACCTGCCTCGACCTCCCAGACTGCTGGAAAATTACAGGCGTGAGCCGCTGCGCCCGGCCCTGAATTATGTATTTATCTCTTAAAACTGTTAGCTACTGCCACCAATAGCTATAAATTAAACTAATAATGCCACACTGGACACTATAACCATACTCTAAATTTTAACGATGTATATCCAATCAATAATCAATGTCATTTCTGTAAATTAATGAAAATTTCTGATAAACAATTTTATATCAGCCATCTCTCTGTCCTTCTCTTTTTGCCTTTTCGGATCGACTTATAACTGCTCCTAATCAAAGTGTAGATGACCTGCAACTTGAAGGTTTGCTCCCAGGTTACAATCCTCAAGCTTTGCCTCAATAAACTGTCTACTTATATTCATGTTGCCTTAGCTTTATTTCTTTTAGGTAGACATATCATTTAGAACGTGCTAAAGCAGCCTCTATAAAGGGATCTTTCCTTTGATTGTACTCTGCTTGCTGTAACACCCAAGAATGAAAAGCCAGGTTGATCCCACCTAGAATCTGTAAATAAGGTCTGGCGTCTTCCTGGAATTTATAAGATAAGGCCAGACTTTGAATTGAGAATGTAGAAAAAACCAACAAGAGACATTTTCTGCATTGTCAGATGTCAACATAGACATCTTAAAGTTCCCCTTTGAGAATGTGATTCTTTCAGCTTCTCAGATCTTGTCCGGTGACATGCTACAGTTATGTAAGGGGCATCAGGTATAAATAGAATCTGATGGCAGAATATGTAAGTGTGAACAAGTATCTTCAGAGTGAGAGATCAAGATGATAATGTATCCAGAGCCATAACCAAAACTATACCTACCTATAAAATGTGGGACTGGAGTAGAATATTCCTGTTCTTCCTCTTACCTAAGAGCTAGATAATCAGGACAGGTGATCCAGATTCTCGAGCTTCTCCAGGGCAGTTTAATTTTTTATTTAGAATTAGCCTGAGTCGGCCGAGCGCAGTGGCTCACACCTGTAATCCCAGCTCTTTGGGAGGTCAAGGTGGGCAGATCACCTAAGGTCAGGAGACCAGCCTGGACAACATGGTGAAACCCTGTCCCTACTAAAAATACAAAAATTAGCCAGACGTGTTGGCATGTGTCTGTAATCCCAGCTACTCAGGAGGCTGAGGCAGGAGAATCGCTTGAACTTGGGAGGTGGAGGTTGCAGTGAGCCGAGATTGTGTCACTGCACTCTAGCCTGGGAGACAGAGCGAGACTCCGTCTCAAAGAAAAAAAAAAAAAAAGAATTAGCTAATTAGCTTGAGTCTCTCCTGCCTGGCTTATCATTGGGCCATCAGCCCAGGGTCACTGGGAACTCTCACAATCAGCTGGGTGTCTTTGAGACATTTGAGCACGTCCGGAGCAGAATTGTGCCAGGTTAACAAAAGTGGTTAATTCTGCTTGTCTCAGTGTAAAAATTGAGTCATCCTGTGTTTGCTCCTTCCCTCACACAAGAGATGACTTTGGTGGGTACCCAGATGAGAGTTTCTCCAGTTTTCTGGTACTTGGGTGAAAAACAACCAGGATGTCTGGAGACTCAAACGAATAAACTAATTGCTTTTATTTCATATGGCCATTAGAAAAATAGATGAAGCAGTCATAGTTCCTACCATCCAGGAACTTTTAGTCTAGACTAGCACCTGAATAAAGGGTTGAAGTAAGCATCGTATGGTTGATACAATGAACAGATGTGTGCAAAAAACCTTGGGCTTTATCTGGGCCCCTTTCTTTATCTTGTAGTGACTTCTTATGTCATCAACTAAAGGGATATTTATGAAAAGAAGAGTTGTTATTATTACATGCATTTCTATTACCTAAGAATATATATTTATCTTCTAATAATTACCCTAGAAAGCCTTACGATATTTATTTAAATTGCTTATTAGTATGCATTATATAATCGACAGGGCAGTGGCTAAAAAAAAATTATATAAACTCTGAGATATAAGTTTCTCTTAGGCAAGCTTAGGGAAACACAACTGGAAATACCCCAGTGGCACAGAGAACAGAATTCTACATAAGGTCCACTCCCTGCCCAGTTCTGTTCAGATTCACTCTATTTGAGGGTCTTATTTAGATCTGGCCCCACTCTGGAGTCTTGCCTCACAGAACTGATTGGAAGAGATCAGAGTTTTGGCTGGTGAATCCTGCTGCCTTTCTAAAGCTGGTACTCACAATTTTCTGCACCCCGAAGGAGATAAATGGGAAAAATAAAGTATATATTTTAAGGTCTTCATTTTTAAATTTTCTATTAAATCAGTGCTTGCAGAGACATTCCATTTAGCAACTTGTTTTCTATTCCTGCAGATTCAGTAGTTGCTCCACAAGTCACAAAAAAGCAAATATAAACCACAATAAAAGTTTCTCTAAACTGCATTAAACTTTTCTGTATTCCAGTCATCTGTCTACATTTAGCTTTTATTGTATACATTTTCTTTAAAAAACCAAGAACAGAAACAGAAGATGAAATACATATGCTGGGCCCTTAACCTAATGCTGGGAATTATCAAACACTTAGTACCAACTCCCAGTGTGTTATGAGGATTAAATCACATAATGCATTATTTCTAGCGCAGTGCTCTGCAACATACTCTTGCTTACCTAGTACCTGCTTAGTAAACATTGCATTAGTCCATGTGTACATGTTGTTTTCCAAATGCAGGCTTATTCAGGCACTGCTACCTTTTGTTGCCTCTGTAAACTTTAAAGAGCCAGCGAAGAATTTGATGCTTTAGGATGGAGATTAGTTGTCTTCATTTGTGCCAGAAGTATTTGTGTTGTGACAACAGTGCCAAGTATAAGGGACTCTGTGCTGTGCCTGCTTTCTCTAACTAATGCTAATAATGAGCCTGGGGGAGCATCATCCGCATTGACAGGGGACTTATTTAAAACACACATTCATGTACTCTTTGAAAACCTGAAGAATCACATTACACAGAAAGAGATTAAAATTACCGAGTGGTTTATAAACTCATTAAAGCTTGAGAGACAATGCTTAGCTAAGTGGTTATAAACCCAGGGTTCTATTAGTTTGGTGCAAAAGTTATTACAGTTTCTGCCATTGTAATTAATGTGGATTACTTAGATGTGGATACTCAGATTACATGGCCAATTCACAGAAATATCTTTGCTCGTGCCCTTTCCACGGGTTCTTTTTATTGTTGGACACATCCATGTTGTTTTAATTAAGAGCCTCATGTGATTCTAAGGTGAGGCCAGAATCACGTATGAGGGGTTGAAGATACACTCATGAGAGTTCAGTTTCACCTCTTTACTACAGGGTGATCATAGGGCCTGTTCTGTTTGGTTTTGGTATGGACAGGGCAGTGTGGCCCATATTTTCATTACTGTAGCAGAGATTGTTGGTATCTGTGCCAGGGAAGGGCACCTAAGACAGGAAAGGAGAAACACATATTTCTATAATCATGGAGCAACTAATTGTTCCTGAATTTTTCATGTTATAAAGGACAGAAATGGGTGGACTTTTTCAGCGGGTCTTGGTACTTCTGCCTGTGGGTGTGGTGGTAGCAGGTAAACAGGTGGTGCTGACACCTTTAAAGGCATATTCTCAAGATGCAGGTCTAATTTGTCCAGAGAATCTCAACTGAAAAGGAATCCCAGGGAAGGAGGAGATACGGAAAAAATATGCCTTTTTTTAAGCTAAACACGTCTCAGATCAAGAGCTGTGTCCATTCTGCCTCCTGAAATTCCATGCGTTTAGTACTTGCAAACCTTTACTTCTCTTCTTGTGTTTTTCCTCCCTAATGAGTTTAACTACTTTTTAAAAATTTTATTGATAGTCAAGGGTCTCTGAAAAATATTTCTTATTTATTTATTTATTATTTTTATTTATTTATTTATTTTTTTAGAAGGAGTCTCGCTCTGACACCCAGGCTGGAGTGCAGTGGCGCGATCTCGGCTCACCGCAAGCTCCGCCTCCCGGGTTCACGCCATTCTCTGCCTCAACCTCCCGAGTAGCTGGGACTACAAGCGCCTGCCACCACGACCGGCTAATTTTTGTATTTTTAGTAGAGATAAGGTTTCACTGTGCTAGCCAGGATGGTCTCGATCTCCTGACCTCGTGATCCGCCCGTCTCGGCCTCCCAAAGTGTAGGGATTACCGTCGTGAGCCACCACGACCGGCCCCTGAGAGAAGGCATTCTTGTCTTGTGCCAGTTTTCAAAAAGAAATGGTTTCAACTTGCATCTATTTGGTATATTGGCTGTGGGTTTTTCATAGATAACTCATTATTTTGAAGAATGTACCTTCAATGCCTAGTCTATTGAGGGTGATAACATAAAGGATGTTAAACTTTATTGAAAGATTTTTCTGCATCTATTGAGATAATCTTGTGGGTTTTGTCTTTATTTCTGTTTATGCGATGAATCACTTTTATTGATTTGAAGCAACCCTGCATCCAGGGATAAAGCTTACTTGATCATAGTCGACTGACTTTTATTTTATTTATTTATTTTTTGAGATGGAGTCTCATTTTCTCGCCTAGGCTGGAGTGCAGTGGCGTGATATCAGCTCACCGCAACCTCCGCCTCCCGGGTTCAAGCGATTCTCCTGCCTCAGCCTTCCAAGTAGCTGGGATTACAGGTGCCTGTCACCATGCCCGCCTAATTTTTGTATTTTTAGTAGAAACGAGGTTTCACCATTTTGGCCAGGCTGGTCTCGAACTCCTGACCTCAGGTGATCCACCCACCTCGGCTTCCCAAAGTGCTGGGATTACAGGCGTGAGCCACCACACCCAACCCATAGTCGATTAACTTTTTGATGTGCTTCTGGATTTGGTTTGTCAGTATTTTGTTGGGAATTTTTTATCAATGTTTATTAAGAATATTGGCCTGAGGTTTTCTTTGTTTTGTTTTGTCTCTGCTAGGTTTTGGTATCAGAATGATGCTGTTCTTATATAACGAGTTGGGGAGGAGTTCCTTCTCAATTATTTGGAATAGTTTTAGTAGGAATAATAGCAGTTCTTTGTACATCTGGTAGAATTCAGCTGTAAGTCTGTCTGGTCCTGGGCTTTTTTTGGTTGGTAGGCTGTTTATTACTAATTAAATTTTGGAGCTTTTTATTGTTCTATTAAGGGATTCAGTTTTTGTTGTTGTTGTTGTTCAATCTTGGGAAGATGTATTTGTCCAGGAATTCATTCATTTCTTCTAGATTTTCTAGTTTGTGTGCGTAGAAATGTTCACTGTAGACTTTAATTATTATTTGTATTTTTGTTGGGTATTGTCTGTTTTATCATTTCTAATTGTTTCTTCATTAATCTAGCTAGTGGCTTATTTATTCTTCATTAATCTAGCTAGTGGCTTATTTATTCTTCATTAATCTAGCTAGTGGTTTATATTATTAATTTTTTCAAAAAATTTACTCTTCGATTTCTCCATCTTTCTTGTAGTTTTTTATGTTTAAATCTTCTTCAGTTCAGATGTGATTTTTGTTATATCTTGTCTTCTGCTAGCTTAAGGGTTGATTTGTTCTTGCTTCTCTCATTCTTCTATTTATGACATCGGGTTGTTAAATGGAGATTTTTCTAACTTTTTGATGTGAGCACTTAGTTTATAGCACTGCCTTAGTTGTGTTGCAGTGATTCTGCTGTGTTGTATTTTTGTTCTCACGTATTTCAAAGAACTTCTCAATTTCATTTTAGTCATTCAAGTGTAGGTTGTTTAATTTTTTATGTGTCTGGTTTCAAGTGCTTTTATTTGTATTGAATTATATTTTTATCAAGCTGCAGTCTGAGTGTGTTGCTGATATGATTTGGGGATTTTTGAATTTGCTGAGGATTGCTTTAGTTTTAAATGTGTGGTCAGTTTTAAAGTATGTGCTCTGTGGTAATGAGAACGATGTATATTATGTTGTCTTTAGATGGAGAGTTCTGTAGGTGTCTGTTAGGACAATTTGGTCAAGTGTTGAGTTCAGGTCCTAATATCTTTGTGGTTTTTTTTTCCTCAGTAATCCATTTATTAGTGTCTGTGGGGTGTTGTAGTTTCCTCCTATTATTGTGTCAGAGTCTGTCTTCATAAGTCACTAAGAACTTGCTTTATTTATTTGCACCCATAAATTTATATAACACATTTTTCTCTTCTGCTTTTTTCCCCATAAACACAGTGTGCCCAAGGCTATTCCACAGATGTCTGAATTCATTGTCTACTGAAATTCCGACGTCTTGACAGTTCAACATGTTCCAGGACATGGCTGTTGTAGGAAAAAATATGAATTAGAAATAAGAGGATTTATTCACATACCTTAAAATAAAGGAGAATATTTTGCTCTTCTCTCTTTTCTTATAGCATTTATATTATATGTAGACAATTTTCTCTGTTTTTTTTGAAATATATGGAAGTCATATTAACAGCTAAATAAACCTTTTGGCATTCTTTTTTACTCGGGATTGTCTTTATCTAGGACCTTAGATTCATTGCTTGTTTTTGCTTTGGCAAAAGTTTATATTTTTTGTTATTAGCCTTCTAAGGTAGACACAGATTTGTTTAGATAAATGTCATTTTAAGTGCACACAAAAGTTTGGCACCAAGATAGGATTAAATTTAGCAATACAGAATGATTAAAGCCAAGAGATACTGAGTAAGTTCCTTTGACAGAAAACTGATTATCTGAGGTAATGATCTAATATTTGCAGGTTGAAGTACTTACACTGCAAAAGCAAGTGTAGTTCAGTGTATAAACTGTGGAGTCTGTAGTTGTACTTTGCTTTCTATTTTATACTTCAGAATAATTAGCATAGTTATGTGTACTGTTAGTAAACAACCTGCATTTATATAAATTAAACGGTATTTTCTACAATAGTATTCATACAATAGTAGGAATATAAGGGCAAAATATTTACTTTGAATAATTGTTTTAAATAATCATTTTAATATTGTTAATCATACTGTTGAAATGAAGTTTTTTAACTGAATTATGGCTACAGATACTTTTAAAATATTTTACATACATTATGACTATTACATTAATTTATACTTATTTATATCTAATATCCAAAAAATTGCTACCAAATTGTTACAGTAAATATTTGTCTAACATGCTTATTAATTGATCCCATATGGGTAGTTACAGATAAGCATAATTTTAGTGTCTTTCATTTCACTAAATTGGAATGCTGCTATTACGGGACAAATAAACACCAGTGAAGTGGTCACTGAGAAACCATAATAACTGTTAATTTAGCTGGGTTGCAAGGTCAAATGTATTTCACTATATAAACAAAGTCAGATTTCAATTTTTCACCTACAAGGGCTTATGAAAATTGTCAGATGTATTCCATTGTAGATCTCCCATTCATTGGCTAGGAGATAAGAGAGCAGCAGAGATAAAAGAGAAACCTTATAAAATTCTGCTGAGAATATTTTTTCCTTTTTCATAATGCTCATGTTTCTCATGCTGAGAGTACCTGTGCACTTTGGGTTTTTTTGTTGGTTTGTTTTTTGAGACAGAGTCTCGCTCTGTCACCCAGGCTGGAGTGCAGTGGCGTGATCTTGGCTCACTGCAACCTCCTCCTCCCAGGCTCAACTGATTCTCCTGCCTCAGCCTCCTGAGTGGCTGGGATCACAGGCACACGCCACCAAGTCCAGCTGATTTTTGTACTTTTAGTAGAGATGGGGTTTCACCATGTTGGCCAGATTGGTCTTGAACTCCCGGCCACAAGTGATCCGCCTGCCTCGGCCTCCCAAAGTGCTGGGATTACAGGCATGAGCCACCACACCCAGCAGCACTTTGGGGTTTTAGAGAGAAATTCCTTTAAGGAGAATATTTTCTGGCTGATTTGATCAAGTTTATGTCTAATCAAAGTGTTGTTCTTAAGATGCCTTTAACTTTTTTTTTCTCCATATAATCTTGCTCAGACTGAGAGCTGTTTTTCTCTCCAGTGCTTTGTATGGCTGTTTCAGGGATCCTGTTAGTATCCCATGGTGTCTGTGAATAAGGTGAGCTGTCACAGTGAGAATTCTTAGACCTATTTCTATCTGGACTCATGCTGGAAATCCAGCAGTATTTTTTTCATGTCACCATTATAAATAGAAACTGAGGCTGAAACACTGCTTTCATTTCCATTATCATGAAGGTGCAGTTCTACCCAGGAGGCCTGCAGGCTCTCCTCCTGCTACTCAGGCTTCATTGTCTGATGGGACGCTGGAGTGCTGCTGTGGCAACTGGGGTTCATGTAAGATGTGAGCTGCCAGCTGTATGCCCTGTGCTGTATGTAGGCTGTACCTCAGTGGCAGATGGTAGGGTTCAAGAGAGGACACTAGCCATCAGGAGAGGGCAAGCAGGATTGCTATAACCCAGTGCTCAGGGAGTAGAGAGCCATTGCTTTAAAATGTAAATAGCCAAAAAGATAGCACCCTAATCAACCGTTTGTGTAGCAGAGTGAGCCGACTTTCAGCAGGCATCTGGCTTCAAGTTGCAAAACTACCTCATATCATGAAGATGGGAAAAGTTTATTTTATCACTAAATATAACCAATTAGCATACATGAATGGCCTCTCCAGTTACCAGGTGAGTTCAGGATGAACTATGTATGACATGGTGCTATATATTCTTCTACTTGTGGACTAATTATGGTGACCACTAATTATGGTGACAGACTAATTCTGTCTTTGCAATCTGTTAAGCAGATTGACTGTGATGCATGACACATTCTCGATTAATTGTGTAATAAAACATCATTCTTACTGTTCTGTCATTGTGGTGTTTCTCTGGGGATGCAGAAAATTTTTCTTTTAATTATATTTTCCAAACACTGTCAAGAATTATCAGACACAATAAAAACATATAAGGTGCCAACCAGAATTTACTATAGAGAGGACTTTCCCTCTCAGGCTTCCAGTCAACTAACAAATTTGCTGCAAAGTGCCTGCTTTCTCTTAAATATGCAGGCAGAATTATGTCTCTGCCTGTTAGATACCTGTAGTTTTCTATAGTCACTTCTAGAGAGACTAGACCAGATTTCTACAGACTTGACAGGGCAACAATCAACCATTTTACCTCTTTCTATGACTCTTGTATCTTCAGTCCTGAAACTGACTCACAGACCCTGGACCCCAGGTACCCAATCAGAGTAACGTGTGCACTGAGTAGACATGTGGAAATGAGAGTCTCCACGTTCCCCTTTCTCCTCTTGCTAAAATGCCCACAAATGTGCAGGTACCACCTGCTGCTACTCTATCCATCCAGAGCCTAAATCTGCAGCTCCAAATTCTGAATCTAGGTCTTGAGATTTGGAAAATAAAAAAAAACTTTTCTCTGAGGAATGCAAGTCTTTTTAGTTGTCAAACTCAGAGAGAGATTAAAATGAGAGCACATTTATGTCCTTCTCCCCTTTTTGAATAATGTACTTATCTCTTGAAAGCATTTGCTATTGCCACCAGTAGCTATAACCTAAACTAATAATGCCACTCTGGACACTATAATTCATACTGTAAACCTTAATGATGTACATCGAATCAATAATCAATGTTATTTCTGTAAATAAATAAAAATTTCTGATAAATTTGTACCAGCCCCATCTCTGTCCATCTTTTTTTGGCTTTACAAATCCACTTGTAACTGTTGCTAAACAAAGTTTAGATTTCAGGCAACTTGAATCTTTGCTCCCAGGTTATAATCCTCAAGCTTGGCCCAAATAAACTGTCTACATATATTCATGTTACCTCAGCTTATTTCTTTTAGGTAGGCATATTATTTAGAATGTACTAGAGCAGCCTCTATGAGGGGATTTCTCTTTTGACTGTACTCCACTTGCTGTCACACCCGAGAATGCAAAGCCAGGCTGATCTGACATAGAATCTGCATGTAAGATCTGACCTCTGCCTGGGATTCACAAAGCAAGGTCAGGCTTTGGATTTAGAATGTACAGAAAACAAACAGGAAACATTTTCTGCATGGTGAGATGTCAACATAGATGTCTTGAAGTTCCCATTTGAGAATGTGGCTCTTTGAGTTTTTCAGGTCTTGTCTAGTGACCTGCTGCAGTTATGTGAGGGGCTCCAGGTGTAAATAGAATCTGATGGCAGAATCTATAAGCGTAAACAAGCATCTTCAGAGTAAGAGATTAAGGCCACAAAGTATCCAGAGCCTCCACCAAACTACACCTATGTGTTAAATGTGATACTGGAGTAGAGTATTCTTGTCCTTTGTTTGTTTGTTTGTTTTTAACCCAAAAGCTAGCTAATCAGGATGGGTGATTAAAGTTCTGGAGCTTCACCAGGGCAGTTCAATTTTTCATTTAGCCTGAGTGTCTCTTCCCGGACTTATCAATGGGCCATCAGCTCAGAAGCACTGGGAACCTCTCACAATCACCAGGACATCTACTAGAAATTTGAAAATGTCCAAAACAGAATTGTGTCGAGCTGACAAAAGTGTATAATTCTGCTTTTGTTCAGTTTAAGTAAAATAGTTTACTCTGTGTTTTCCTCCCCTCATACATGAGATATCTTTGGTTGGTACCCAGATGAGAGTTTCTCCAGTTTCCTGGTACTTGAGTGAAAAACAAGGAAGATGTCTGGAGACTCAAACAGATCAACTAATAGTTTCCATTTCATATGACCATTAGAAAAATAGCTGAAGTAGTTATGGCCCCTACCATCCAGGAAATTTTAGTCTAGGCCATCAACTAGAGAAAATGGCTAATTTGAGCATCATATGGTGGGTACAATGAATAGATGTGTGCAACAAAACTTGGGCTTTATTTGGGTCACTTTCTTTATATTGTTGCGACTTCTGATGTTATCACCTAAAGGGATATTTATGGAGAGAAGACTTATTATTTCTGTTCTTTTTACCTTGCTAGGAATACATATTTATCTTCAAATAAAATTATCCTAGAAAACTTTAAGAGATTTGTTTAAATTGCCTGTTAGTATGTGTTATAAAATTAACAGGGCAGTGGCTAAAAAAGATTAAAGTTACACAAACTCTGGGATTTAAGTTTCTCTTAGGTAAGTTTACAAAAACAGAACTCAAAATACCCACTGTCATAGAGAACAGAATTCTGCTTAGGAACCTCTCCCTGTCCCAGTTCTGTTTAGATTCACCCTCTATGAAGGCCTTACTAAGGTCTGGCCCAACCCTGGAGTTTTGCCTCACAGAACTGATAAGAAGAGATGAGAGTTTTGAATCCTTTTGCCTCTCTAGAGCTGATGCTCAAAATTTTTTAAAAATCCAAAAGCAGATGAATGGGATAAATAATGTATTTTAGGTTCTTAATTTATTATTATTATTATTATTATTGAGATGGAATTTCACTCTTGTCACCCAGGCTGGAGTGCAGTGGCGTGATCTTGGCTCACTGCAACCTCCACCTCCAGAGTTCAAGCGATTCTTGTGCCTCAGCCTCCAAAGTAGCTGGGATTACAGGCACCCGCCACCATGCCTGACTAATTTTTCATATTTTTAGTAGAGGTGGGGTTTCATCATGTTGCCCAGGCTGGTGTCCAACTCCTGACCTCAGGTGATCCACCCACCTCAGCCTCCCAAACTGCAGGGATTACAGGTGTGAGCCAATGTGCCTGGCCTTTTTTAATTTTTTTAAACAGTGCTAGCAGAGACAGTCCAAGTACTACTTGTTCTCTATTTCTGCAGATCCAGTAGTTGTTCCACAAGTCACAAAAAAAGTAAATATAAACACAATACAAATTCTGCTAAACTATACAAACTCTTTCTATATCCCTTTCACCTGTCTATATTTAAGTTTTATTCTATACATTTAAAAAAAGTCAATGACAGATAATCAGAAGAAGACATAAAAATGCTAGCCCCCCCCTCTCTAAAATCTGGGAATTATTAAAGACAGTACCAGGGAATTATTAAAGACAGTACCAGCTCCCAGGGTGTTATGAGGATTAAATCACAAAGTACGTTATACCCAGCACAGTGCTCTGTAACATACTCTTGAGCACATAGTACCTGCTTAATAAACATTGCATTAGTACATGTGCACATGTTGGTTTCCAAATGTAAATTTATTCAAACGTTGCTGACTTCTGTTTGTTCTGTAAACTTTAAAGAACCAGCAAAGAATAAGGAAATTGGTTGTCTTCATTTGTCCTAGAAGTATGTGTGTTGTGACGAGGGTGTTCAGTGTAAGGGACTCTTTGCTGTGCCTGCTTTCTCTAATTACTGCTAATGATGAGCCCAGGGGAAGCAACATCAGCATTAACAGGGAACTTGTGTAAAATACCCACTTACAGACACTTTCCAAGCCTGCAGGATTATATCACACAGAGTGGGGCCAAAGTTACCACGTGATTTTAAAGCTTATTAAAGCTTGAGGGGCAATGCTTAGCTAAATGGTTATCAGCCCATGTTTCTAGTTAGGATTACATGGTTAATTTGCCAAAATCTCTTTACTTATGCCTTTTTTATTTTACAGGTTCTATTTATTATTCTGAGTAGAAGCATCCATGTTGTTTAAATTAAGTGCCTCATGTGACCCTTAGGTGAGGCCAGAATCAAGTATGAGAGGTTCGAGATACATTTATGAAAGTTAAGTTCCACCTTTGAACTAAAGGGT
Organism: Homo sapiens; assembly: GCF_000001405.40. Lineage (NCBI taxonomy): Eukaryota > Metazoa > Chordata > Mammalia > Primates > Hominidae > Homo > Homo sapiens. Next base: position 22,462,602 of record NC_000019.10, read on the forward strand.
GGTCACAGGGCCTGTTCTGTTTGGATTTGGTAGTGACAGGAAAGTGTAGCTCATATTTTCATTACTGTAGCAGAAATTGATGGAGTCTGTTAAAAGGGAGGTCACCTGAGGACAGGAAAGAAGAAGCTTTTACTTTTATTTCCATGGAGCAGCTCATCATTCCTGAGTCTTTATTTTAATATAAAAAACAGAAATGGGTGGACTTTTTTTGCAGCTCTGGGTCCTTCTGCTTGTGGGCGTGGTGGTAGTAGGTGAACATGTGGTGCTGACACCTTTAAAGGCATATTCTCCAGATCCAGGTGTAATTTGTCCGGAGAATCTCATCTGAAGTGAATTTCCAGAGAAGGAGTAGAAAGAGGAAAAAATGACTTTTTTTCAGCTAAACATGCCTCAGATAAAGAGCTGTGTCCACTCTGCCTCCTGGAATGCCGTGCTTTCAGTACTTGCAAACCTTAATCTCTCTACTTGTGTTTTTTCTCCCTAATAAGTTTGTTTTAAGTATGTTTTAAATTTTTTATGGTAGTCAAAGTTCTCTGAAAAATATTTCTTTCCTATATACCAGAGCTTTCTCTACATTCTCTACATCATGGCTTCTTATATGCCATGCAAAATTCTCACCAGGAATTTATGGTCTGCAATATTAAAAATGTTCCCCTTGTGGTGTTGAACATGGGAAGTCACGGATACTGAAGATTCCTATTGGGAAAAGCTGGGGTCCTTAGTAAAGATGAAGAACATCTAATGTTGAGATTCCATCTGAGCTCCCCCTTAGCTCTATGCAGAACACTGTTTAGAAAATGCTGATTTAAACAAGATGGTATTTATTACACAAAAACTTCTAAAAAATTTATTAGGAGATACTTGCTATTAGAGTGTTAAAGACAGACTATTTAAAATCACTACTAAAAATGACAAATTTTCGAGGTAACTTCTAACTCAACATATCTTTTACATCTGAAACATATACATAACTGATTCTCTATGATGCAAGTAGAACACTGAAAAGTGTACACATTTGTGTTTATACTTTATCATCCAGAAAAGTATTATAGATACACTGGTGTTGTGGATCTTATGCCATTCTCTTTTCTCAGGATTAGAGATATTAGGAAATATTTCTGTGTAAATAAATATTTTATTGGATAATTTCAGTCACTCCTGTAAGTCAGAACCAGTTCTTTTTACTCTCTCATTTTGCCTTTAGTCAAGTTATAAATTTTGCTGGCTACCTGGTGTGTGTGTGTGTGTGTGTGTGTGTGTGTGTGTGTGTGTGTGTGTGTGTGTGTGTATGTGTCTATGTGTGAGTGTTTGTGTTTTTCAGGGACTGTTGACATTTACAGATGTGGCCATAGAATTCTCTCTGATGGAGTGGCAATTCTTGGACACTGCACAGTGGAATTTATATAGGAACGTGATGTTAGAGAACTACAGGAATCTGGTCTTCCCAGGTGATGACAACTTCAACACACAATTCCAAATATACCCTAATGGTTTCATTTCTCTTTTTTGTAGAATGTGTTTTGGTAATTTATGCTTTGCATAAATGAGTTTCAGATCTGTGTTTTCAAGAAAATCTTGGGGATTTGTCCATGTATAAAATAACTTTTTCAGGATGTTTCATCTTGACCTGAAATTTCCACATTCCTGAGCTGATCTGTGTCCTTTACTCTAGATTAGCAGTAATTTCATTAATTTAGTGACATAAAATATTGTTGTCCATAACTTAAAATCTAATTGCCAACACCAAGTTTTGACTCAGTATTACTGGATAGTGAAATTAATAACCTACAAATTTAAAATATTTAATAAAATTCCCTGTTAGAAATCAGTATTTTGTGATTACTTTATGAAAATATTTTATTACACCCTCTTTTCTGAACACAGAAGTAGGTTGGTAACTGGAGAATATGAGCAAAATTTACATTATTCATTTGTAATGAAATAGGTATTGCTGTCTCTAAGCCAGACCTGATCATCTGTCTGGAGCAAAAAAAAGAGCCCTGAAATATGAAGAGACATGAGATGGTGGATGAACACCCAGGTAGGTGAGAGTGAAGGTGAATACAATGTTTAACACAAATGAGAGGTCTAAAAATTAAGGAGAAAGCCAGTTGTTAAAATATGAGTTGGAAAGCTGTGTTTTATAGGAAATAGTTTCTGGGAAGCCTAAGGGTTTTTTGTTTGTTTGTTTTGTTTTGTTTTATCTCAAATTTGGACATCTTCTGTTTTATGCTTTTAAATTTTCTAAGGATTCTGCTTTCTTTTTAGTGATCTTCTTTCAAGTTTTCAGTGCGAGCCACTACCCTGTTCATGGCATATAAAAAACTGCACAGTCTGACTACTTTTACATTCTTTTTGGGAACACACAAATCTGCATAATTTTAAGAAACTCTGTGTTAAACAATTTTTTAAGTTTTCTTTTTGTATCATGTGTAAAATGTGAATTGTAGTTTCTGTTCCTTTTTTTTGGTTCATTTTTCTGCACATTTCATCTTGTTTATATTACTATAGTCTTCAAATATAGTTTGAAGTTAAAAAGTATGATGCCCTGTGCTTTGTTTTTATTTTTAAGATTGCTTTGACTATTCAAAGTTTATTGCAGTTTCATGGAAATTCTAAAATTGTATTTTCCATTACTTAAAAAATTGCCACTGAAATTTTGATAGAGAGTTTATCGAATCTATAGATCACTTTGGATAACACGGCACTTTAACAGTATTTATTTTTTAAATGCATAGACATGAAATATTTTTAAATTTATTTATGTCTTTTCTAATTTCTATTACTGATGTATCATTATAAAGACTTTTTACCTCCTTTGTTAAATTTGTTCTCAGAAATTTATCATTTTAATGCTATTGTAAATAAGATTGTTTTCTTCCTGTATTTTATCAGAGAGCTTGTCTTAAGTGTATGGAACCCTAACTTGTAAGTTAATTTTATATTTTCCTAATTTATTGATTGTATTTAGTAGTTTAGACAGGTTTTAATGTACTGTTTATGATTTTATATACATAGGATCATATGATCTACAACCAGCAACTTTTTACTTGTTTTCCATTTGAATGGCTCTTTTTTATTTTTCGACTAATTCTTCTGCCACATACTTTCAATGCTATGTTAAAATAAAAGCATTGACAATGGGCACAATATAGTTTTGCGTTGGTGTATGTGAATTTGAAGGAGCAAAGACCTCTTCAAGTTTTTTAAACTGCTTTCAGGAGGTAAAGATCATCTTTTGTTGGGCCCCCAGGGTGATGGGATGCCCTCTGGGTTTGTAGTAAAGAGGGGTTGCAGCTTGGTCACCAGGCTGCTGGATCTGCACTAGGGTCCACCTTTAGCTGGCTTGTTACAAGGGGATTTGGTAGTTGTAATTCCCATTTTATATTTTGGATAGATTGAATTTCTTTTGGTACTTTGCTCTGTAGGGCAGACACTAGTGCAGGTTTCTGCAGTCCAGTCTGCATAAGGTGGGCCTTATGTCAAAATGTGGATGAGTACAGCTTTCACTGAGTACCAGAAAGAATTTTTCCAGGTCATTGTGTGGGTTCCTAGGTAGGCAGAACTGGCCATTAACTGTGGCTCATGGAGCTGAAACTGAGTCATTGAACTGCTTCAAGAACCATGGTAAAGGCCAAGGTCTGCAGGCCTGCCTGCGTGGCTATAAATGAATGTCTTCCTCCAGGCCTCTGGAAGGGCAGGACCTCTCTCAGATTGTGGCTGGAAGGAGTTTGAGATGGTTACACCGTAAGTTCAGAATTTTCTGTTGTGCCAAGCTAGGTAGGCCACTTCCTAGTCTGTAGTTAAGAACTTCCTAGTCTGTAGTTTACCACCTAAATAAGGGCCTGCCTTCTGAAAAGAAGACTTTTCAATCTTGGGCTTTATCAGATCTTCACAACTCCCTCTCTGGATCTCAAAGCTCTCTTAAAGGCACTTATATTTGAGATGGGGTCTTGCTACACAATCCAGGCTGGTCTTGAAATCCTGGCCTGAAGCAATTCTCTAACCTGAATGTACCATGTAGCTGTCATTACAGGTTTGAGCCATGAGGGCCTGGCTCTCTCATGTAGGTATTTTTGTGAGAGATGGCTGACAAATTATCTTGCTGTGCAGGGAGTAAGAAAATAGGGTACCCTTCCTTCTTCCATCTTACTGATTTCACTCTCTTTATACATTTTTATTCTTTATTTTCTATTACAAATTTGTAATTTTAGATTCAGAGATTTAGAACAATATTCTAGAATTTACATGTTATGCCTGAAGTAAATTAGATAATTAGTAGACACTCCATATTTACTAAAACAGTTACTTATAAATTTAAGCTTGCTGTAGGCAAAAAGGAATTATAGGATTTGCACCCACTTTTTCAGCCTATATCTAAATAATCACATAATTTTCTCCCATATATTTGTTTTAGGCTCTAACCATATTCTGCTTACATTTAGCAATGTAAGGCTATTCTTTGCTTCTAAAGTTGGGTCACAGCAGTTTTATTTTGTGTAAGAATAGCATATATTTAAAACATAAAAATTATTTCTAGTTTTAAAAAAATGTTTAAAGTTTCTCATGAGAATCTTTTATTTATGACTATACTGCAATTTCTCTGAAATTTTACAGCCATATAGTGTATGTCAATGATTTAAAATACCTGCCTTCCATGAGTACACAGTTAGTCAAATACTGTAGTTATCTAGACAAATCCTTTCTTCATAGTACATCAATATTGCAAACCAGAATTTATGAATAAACATTTCTCTTATTATTGTTTTCCAGTCTATATTGGTGTTTTATAATGTTGGTTTCTTAACATCAGTTTATTGTGGGTTTTGATTTTACTTAGGTACTATAATATTAGACAATTTGCAATTCTATTTGTACACTTTAAGTCAATGTGGGGTTTAATTATAAATCAGCCATATGTCTATCACAATCAGATTATATACATGTGTGTGTATCTATAAATATAACCCTAATTTTTGTTATGGCTTATCTTGTATACATTCTCTCTTAGCTGAATGGTTGTTTTTTCTTGTCCAAGTGAAAAGTCAAGGAAATAGTCTTATTTTCACCATGTGTTTAATGATGAATATATATGTCCTTTGTGTGAGAGAGGCACTTTTGTGATTTGAAGGTAATTTTTGAAAAAAATTATAATTCTGTATTTTTTCAGTTTTTCTTTGAAAAACATTGTTGTAAAAACATAAAATTTACCATCTTAAATCTATTAAAGTGTACATTTCAGGGCTAGGCATGGTGGTGGCTCACATTTGTCATCCCAGGATTTTGGGAGGTGAAGACAGAAGAATCGCTTGAGCCCAAAAGTTTGAGAGCAGCCTGGGAAACATATGGAGATTCTCTCTCTACAAAAAAATTATAAAAATAGCCAGGCATGGTGGTATGCACCTGTAGTCTCAGCTCTTTAGGAGATTGATGGTGGAGGATTACTTGAGCCTGGGAGCTTGAGGCTACAGTGCGCCTCAAGCTTGGGTGACAGTGAGACCCTGTCTCGAAAAAAGAAGCTGTACATTTCAGTATTGTTTAGTATATTCATATTATATAAAAGAGTTCCGTAAATTTTTCATTTTGAGAAACTAAAACTCAATACTCATTAAGTAACAACTGCCCATTTTACCCTCTCCCCAGCCCTTGAGACTCATAGAAACAAAACACCCTTCCATGTTTTGTTTCTATGAGTGTGACTAATTAAGATATCTCATATAAGTGAAATCATATAGTATCCATCATTTTGTTACTGGCTTATTTCAGGTAACATAGTATTATCATAGTTTATCTTAAAATATGACAGGATTTACTTAAGGCTGAGTAATATTCTACTGTGTGTGTATGTGTGTGTGTGTTCGTGTGTGTGTGTGTATAACATGGTTTTTGATGTGTTTATAAGTCAAGGAATATCTAAGTTGCTTCAGCCTTTTAGCTTTTGTGAGCACTGGCACAAAAAACACAGATGTTCAAACTTGTCTTTCAGGTCCTGTGTTGCATATTTTGGATATAAATTCATAAATGAGATTGCTGTATTTGATGATACTTTTATTTTAATAACTTGAGGAACATTTATACATTTTGAAATAATGACTACATCCTTGTTTTCCACCCACAATCAACATGACTGTCATTTTTATTGAATCATCAACAGATTTGGTATTTCTAAAAAATTGATATCTGTCATTCTATTAAGTATAAGGTGATCTTGTTTTTCAATGTAATTTTTATTCATTTCTTTACAAATGGTAATTCTGCATGTTTTTTCAAAGCGTTTTCCCATTTGTGTATTTTTTTGATAAAAATTTAGTTCAATTATTTCTAAATCAAGTTATTCAACTTCATTGTTCAGTTTTAAGAGTTGCTTATATACTTTTAATATTAATTCCTATCATATGTGATTTGCAAATACTTTCACCCACTTTCTGAAAGGCATTGTTACTCTATTGAATGTTTTCATTGACATGCAGAAATTTTGGAGTATAGTGTAGTTAAATTTTTCTTTTTTTCTTTGTTGCTCATCCATTTAATGTCGTATCTAAGAGAATGGTGCCAAGACCAATGTCATGTCTTCTCCCTATATTTTTTTCTAAGAGATTTGTTAGTTTTTTAATGTCTAAGTATTTTATTTAAAATACTTTTCATATTTGGTTCAAGGAAATGATCTAACTTTATTTTATCGGTGTTGATATCTAGTTTTCAACATTATGTTTTGAAGAGATTAGCTTCTCTCTATTGTGTGCTCATGGCAACTTTGTGGAAAATCATTTGATTATACGTGGAAGGGTTTATTTCTGGGCTCTCTATTGTCTTTCACCTGTTTATCTATGTGTTAGTACCATATTGTTTGTCTTATTTAGCTTTTAATACGTTTTGAAATCAGGAAATATAATGCTTCCTTGTTTTTTAATGGGTGTTTGGCTATAGTTTATCATTAAATTAAAAAATTTTAAACAATATGTTTGTAAAAAATTGTGCTATTCAGATTTTTATAGAGATTATAATAAATCTGTTCACCACTCTAGGTTGTATCGACATCTTTGAAGGATTAAATATTTTTACCCTCAAGCCAAGAATATGCTAAAGAGTGTGTTTTATTTTCATATATATTTGGATTTGCCAGTTTTACTTTTGCTCTTAATTTCTTGTGTTATTCAGTTCTGGTCAGAGAACACATATGATTTTGGTCTTCTTAAATTTATGTCTTGTTGTTTGAGGCAGGATCTTACTCTGTCACTCAGGCCGTAGTGCAGTGGAATAATTTTGGCTCACTGCAGCCATAACCTCCCAGGCTCAAGTGATCATTTCAGCTCAATCTCCCAAGTAGCTGACACTATAGCAATGCATTACCCTGCCTCACTAATTTTGTGATTATTTGTAAGGACAGGGTTTCACTGTGTTGCCCAGGCTGGTCTCAAATTTCTGGCTCCACATGTTTCTCCCATCTCAGTTTTCCAAAATGTTGAGATTATAGGCATCAGCCACTGCACCCAGCTGGTATTCTCAAATTTAATAAGACTTGGTATGTGTCCTAACAGAATATACCAGGCACAAATAAGAATATTGTGTATTCTCTTGCTTTTGATTAAAAAGGTTTGTATATGCCTGTTAAGCCTGATTGGTCTGCAATATTGTTTGGATTTCCATGTTCTCCAAATCTTATGCTGCAATGTAATCCTCAGTGTTTAATGTGGAACAGGTGGGAGGTGTTTGTGTCATGGGGGCAAATTCCTCATGAATGGCTTGGCACTAGCTTGTTAATCAAAGTGTTTACACTCTGTTAATTCAAAGATTGGTTCATTAAAAGAACCTGGCTTCATTATCTCACACTTGCTCTTTGTCTTACCATCTAATACGTCCTGTTACTCTTTGCCTTTCACCTAATTGTAAGCTTCTGAGATTCTCACCAGAAGCAGATGCTGACACACACTTTTTCTACAGTCTGCCAAACTGTGAGCCAAAAAAACCTCTTTGCTTGATGAATTATCCACTCTCAGGTATTCCTCTCTGCAAAACAATTGAATTTGGCAATTTGCTTCTAGAGGCATTATGTTATATTGGGGAGCAGAAAAACCGTGTTGGGTAAATATAACAGACTTTTCTTTTTCTTCTGTGAGGTTCTTTATATTGTGCTCACCTGGGACACTGTCCACACTTAACTCATTTATAAATTTTCCACAAAAGTATTTTGGTCAGTATGATTTTGTTAACTTTATATGTCTAGGAAGAAATTATGGTCTGTGGTATTGTGCTATGTCATCTTGCTTATGTAGTTTGTGTAATTTTATAGATTAGACTTAGAAAGTATATTAGAGTCTAGCAATTAAAGTAATGTGTTATTTTTATTTCTTTCAGTAATGTGTTCTCATTTCACCCAAGACTTTTTGCCAGAGAAGAACATAGAAGAGTCTTTGCACAAAGTAACACTGAGAAGATATGAAAAATGTGGACATTAAGAAATTTCTGTTAAAAGAAGGCTATAAAAGTGTGGATGAGTGTAAGGTGCACAAAGAAGGTTATAATGAACTTAACCAATGTTTCCCAACTACCCAGAGCAAAATATTTCAATGTGATAAATATGTGAAAGTCTTTCATAAATTTTCACATTTAAAAGCATATAAGATAAGACATGCTGATAAGAAACCTTTCAAATGTAAAGAATGTGGCAAATCATTTTGCATGCTGTTACACCTAATTCAACATAAAAGAATTCATGCTACAGTGAAGTTTTACAAATGTAAAGAATGTGGAAAAGTCTATAACAGATCCTCAACCTTTACTACACATAAGAGAATTCATACTGGAGAGAAACCTTACAAATGTGAAGAATGTGGCAAAGCTTTTAACCAGTCTACAAACCTTACTAGACATAAGAGAATTCATACTGCAGAGAAACCCTACAAATGTGAAGAATGTGGCAAAGCTTTTAACCATCCCTAAAACCTTACTGAACATAAGAAAATTCATACTTGAGAGAAACCGTACAAATGTGAAGAATGTGGCAAAGCTTTTAACCAGTCCTCAATACTTTCTAAACATAAGAAAACTCATACTGGAGAGAAACCCTACAAATATAAAGAATGTGGCAAAGCTTTTAATCGGTCCTCAAATCTTACTACACATAAGATAATTCATACTGGTGAGAAACCCTACAAATGTGAAGAATGTGGCAAAGCTTTTCACCAATCCTCAAAACTTGCTAAACATAAGAAAATTCATACTGGAGAGAAACCCTACAAATGTGAAGACTGTTGCAGAGCTTTTACAGACTCTGCAACCCTTACTAGACATAAGAGAATTCATACTGGAGAAAAACCATACAAATATGAAGACTGTGGCAAAGCTTTTACATATTCTACAACCCTTACTAGACATAAGATAATTCATACTGGAGAAAAACCATATAAATATAAAGACTGTGGCAAAGCTTTCAACGAATCCTCAATGCTTACTACACACAAGAAAATTCACACTGGAGAGAAACCATACAAATGTGAACAATGTGGCAAAGCTTTTACAGACTCTGCAACCCTTACTAGACGTAAGAGAATTCATACTGGAGAAAAACCATACAAATATGAAGACTGTGGCAAAGCTTTTACAGACTCTGCAATCCTTAGTAGACGTAAGAGAATTCATACTGGAGAAAAACCATACAGATGTGAAGAGTGTGGCAAAGCTTTCACAGACTCTGCAACCCTTCCTAAACATAAGAGAATTCATACTGGAGAAAAAAACCATACAAATGTGAAGACTGTGGCAAAGCTTTTAACGAATCCTCAACACTTACTGCACATAAGAGAATTCATACTGGAGAGACACCTTACAAATGTGAAGAATGTGGCAAAGCTTTTAACCATTCCTCACACCTTACTACACATAAGAGAATTCATACTGGAGAGAAACCATACAAATGTGAAGAATATGGCAAAGCTTTTAGCCAATCTTCATCACTTACTAAACATAAGATAATTTATACTGGGGAGCAACCTTACAAATGTGAAGAATGTGACAAAGCTTTTAACCTATCTGCAAGCCTTATTAAGAATAAGAAAATTCATACCAGGGAGAAACTCTACAAAACCAGAAAGTGACAATGATTTTGACAACACCTCAAACCTTTTCTAAATATAAAAGAAATTGTACTGGTGACAAATCCTAGAAATGTGAAGAATGTGACAAAACCTTTAAAAGATTGTCCCACTTATTTTTAAGTAAGATAATTTTTACTGGAGAAAACACCTACAAGAGTGAACAATATTGTGAAATTTCTAATTAATAGTCGCAAGTTATTGCACAGGAAAGCATTTATACTTGAGAAAAATTGTATAAATACAAATAATGTGAAATAACCATTAATATCTGCTCACATCTTACTCAACGTTAGAGAGTTGGTAAATAATAAAAGCATTATAAATGCAATTACTGTAAAAAAATGTCAGCCTTTAAAGTGAAGAAAAGGCTGGGCACAGTGGCTCATGCCTGTAATCCCAGCACTTTGGGAGTGCTCAGGTGGGTAGATCATGGGGTCAGTAGTTTGAGACCAACATGGCCATAGAAACCCCATCTCTACTAAAAATACAAAAATTTAGCCAGGCATGTTGGTACACACCTGTAATCCTAGCTACTAAAGAGGCTGAGGCAGGAGAATTCCTTGAACCTGGGAGGTGGAGATTGCAGTGAGCCGAGATCATACCACTGCACTCCAGCTTGGGTGACAGAGCAAGACTCCATCTCATAAAAAAAAGTGAGGAAGAGTATTCATTCTGAAGACAAAGATTACGAACATAAAGAGGGTTGTAGTACCCTTACTTGTATCACAGATTTTATTGCACACATTTTGTACTACAAAAAAACCCTGAAGCAATTTCTCAAACTTGGCTCAACATCAGGAAATTTATGTTGGGAAAAAAATCTTGCAAATGGCAATAAATTTGGAGAAAAATTGTTTCAATAACTATTTCTTAGAAAACACCAGAGGTTTCATACTAAAATATATTTTTGCAGATGCAGTACATAGGAAACAATGTTTAATCCAAAATGAAATCAATGTAAATATCAGAAAATTCACAGTAGAAATACCTAAGGCACTGAAGCTGTAGACATTACACTAAATCAGAGTGCTAAGTATAGAAAATAATCTAGAACTAAGTTGGTAAATAAATTATTTGTACATCACTTTAAAAGAAATAGAATTTTTTAAATGTTATAATTACAAGTATACTTTGGTCCTTAAAATTAGATATTTTAAACAAGAATAATGATGCAATTCTACTCTCAAATTACTTCATGCTCTATTTTCCTTCCTACTGTATTCACCTGTGAAAGCATGTTACTAATTGCTGCATCAAAAATATAAGAGGTTTTTTTTTATTAGGTGGGCATTATTTATGACCTTTTCTATGGAAGAGAAAAGGCATTATAATGTAAGACGTGATGAAATTGTAAGTGGAGAGACTCTTTTTAGTTAACACGTAGTATTAAGTAATGCATGAGTTAGATGTTCAGAGTAATATTCTACATTATGGTGATAACATTTTTAATTTTAGTTAATTAAAATTTATTAGTAGTATATCATTTTACTAATAGTACTTTTATGTAATAGAATATAGTACATTATTAAATTTTTAGATTAAGTGTGAACTTATTTTTTTTTTGAGACAGAGTTTCCCTCTTGTTGCCCAGGCTGGAGTACAGTGGCACGATCTTAGCTCACTGTAACCTATGCCTCCCGGGTTCAAGTAATTCTCCTGCCTCAGCCTCCTGAGTAGCTGGGATTACAGGTGCCCGCCACCATGCTCGGCTAATTTTTTTGTATTTTTAGTAGAGGCAGGGTTTCCCCATGTTGGTCAGGCCGGTCTCGAACTCCTCACCTCAGGTGATCTACCTGCCTCAGCCTCCCAAAGTGCTGGGATTACAGGCATAAGCCACCGCGTCCGGCCATGTGAACTTAAATTTTTAAAGTTTGTTAAAACCATTGTGCATTCAATAAAGTGTTATTATGCCACTAACTTTAATCTATTCAACCTTACTCAAGGATGTAGGTAAAAGATGGTAACAATATACTATTTGGTAACATAATGGACTAACATTTCTAGTAATCTCTTTTGCCAGTGACTTTAAAGTGCGAAGAAGTTAAAGAATATTGTTTCCATAGGTTAAATATTTACTCGTTTTTTCTTATTTTAGCTTATTTGTCTTAATTTTTGTGAGTACATAGTATGTGTAGGTATTTATGCTATATATAGCCTATTTGGATACAGGAATAAAATAGGTAATAATCACATCAGGGTAAATTAAGTATCCATCATCTCCAGTATTTATCCTTTGTATTAGAAACGAATTCTACATTTTTCGATATTTTAAAATGTACAATTAAATTGTTATTCACTACAAGGTCATGTTTATGATCATAATAAAAGTTATATACAATTATAAATAAAATCCATACATTTCTGAGTCCAAAATAAACATTAAAAATTGTTACATATCTTTCTTTGAATATATGACATCTCTGCCTGCAAACACATACAGACTTTTAGTTTTGATTTACATAGAGTTAAATATACACATACATTACTCTAAAGATAAAACCTAATTTTCTTAGGTTTAAGAAAATTATGGAGTAAGTAAGCATGTTTGAATGAGTTTGTACCTATTTTCAGAAGAAAAAAGCAATATTGGAAGAAAATGAATCATTTTAATAAGGTGACTAGAAGACTAAAAACCTCAAAAATGCTAAAAGCAAATTGATACCCTCTGCTTTTTATTGAATTGATTACTGTAAAATCTTACAGCTAATGGATCAGAATCTCCTTATGCAAATTTTTTGTCTTTATTTGTCTGGTACTCATGCTAGACCCATAATTTTCTTGTTTCTCATAATTTTTCCCTTTTATAGCTTATGAGATTTTCATTATGTGAGCTGGTCGAGGATTGTATGAATGATTTTTATACAACTTAGTAGTGCACAGAAAATAATTTCTAGATGTAATTCCACAATTCGTTTATTAAGTTATATTTTATTGAGTTAGAACATTCCATTTAGTTCTTTTAACTGGAGAACCCTATAGAAGCCTACTTTTTTTAAGTTATTGTTCCTTTCACTTTTTATAATTGACAGAAGTAAAATTGACCTATTGATCCAGCCAGTTTGTTCAGGTAAGTACTAGGGAAGTTTCATAAGTCATGAGGATGTTTATATATATAAATATAGCAAACAAACATGGCAGTGTAACTGATGCTCCATAGAAAGGCAGAAATATTCCCGTGAAAGTTAGTTTCAACTTCATGTAAGAGATAGAAAATATTAATGGTGAACAAATAACTAATTCTTCATGTGAAGAGTCATTTTTTTTTCAGGCTGCAAAGCTGGATCTTGCTGAATTTAAAGAGGAATTTTGCTTCTTTTATATTCGAATTATCTTTAGTTTTCTTTGTCTAATTCTGTGTTTTTCAACTGTGTGTGCATCACAGCCCTTCTTTGTCTTTTTCTGTTTTATGGCTACAATTTTCTCATAATCATTTTCATGCCATGTCATTTAGGATGGTAATTTGTTGGTTTTGATAAGAAAGTTGGTATTTTTAATGCACTTTAAAAAATGGTTTTAACTGGAGAGTTTGCTTATGCATATAGCTTTCAAATGAGTTAATTAAGATAAAAGGCACACACTGTTCACAGGTAAGAGAATTAAATCAGTTAGCATCATTTTTCTCTGTACACAGAAAATCTCATTAAATTCTTACAAAGTTTGGCAAGTATAAAATGTGCTAAAATATATATCTTAGAATTTAAATTTTTAAGAGCTAATAAGTGAATTGTAAATTTAATTTTCTATGATATAGAACAATGTACATTTCCATGCAGAATCTTCTATTTTTAAGTGTAATGTTAAACATTTCAAAGTAATAAAGTGACCTCTGTAGATTTAAAATTTGGAATAATATTTTTTGCATATTGATATTACAATTTGGGGAATTTCTCACTCTTATATCAGTTTTTTTGGTGGGTGAAGTTTACAGTTTTTATTCTTAATCACCTAATGGTAGACAACTTTTTGGTCATTTTCTCTGGAAAACATTTGGAGATCATGTCAGATTTTGGATTAAAGCTTTTTTTAATTATTTCGTATGCAAACTTGTTTACTGTGTTCTGAGTGGCCAGTCATGAGACCATAAGCAACACCTGCCCTCTTAGTGTCTTTTGTACCATCTGTAATGAATAAATGTAAATTTATTCTGTAAAACATGACATTTTGAAGTATGTATATACATTGTCAAATGCTTAATTCTGGGTAATTAATGCTTTACCTCATATAGTTAGTTAACACTTTTGTGGTGAGAGCACATAATATTGTCTCAGAATTTTTTAAAAAATGCAAATACATTATTATTAACTATAGTCACTGTGCAGTAGAAAAAAATTTTTGAACTTATTTCTCCTCTCCAACTATAGTTATGTATTCTTTGACAGACATCTTTCCAAACCCCCCTTTCTTCTAAATACTTTGATATCTATTGATCATAATTTTACTCCCTACTTCAGTGAGATTAAGTTGTTTAGAAGCCATGTATAAGTAAAATGAAATAATTATCTTTCTGGCTCTTATTTCAATTAATATGTACTCTAGGTCAATCCATGTAATTGAAAATAATAAAATTCGCTTTTTTTTTTTTTTGAGATGGAGTCTCACTCTGTTGCCCAGGCTGGAGTGCAGTGGCATGATCTAGGCTCACTGCAAGCTCCACCTCCTGGGTTCATGCCATTCTCCTGCCTCAGCCTCCCAAGTAGCTAGGACTACAGGCGCCCGCCACCAAGCCCAGCTAATTTTTATTGTATTTTTAGTAGAGACGGGGTTTCACCATGTTGGCCAGGATGGTCTAGATCTCCTGACCTCATGATCCGCCCACCTCAGCCTCCCAAAGTGCTGGGATTACAGGCGTAAGCCACCGTGCCCGGCCTAAAATTTGCTTTTAAAAAGATGAATAGTATTCTCTTGTGTATATACACCACATTTTTGTTTTGTTTTGTTTTGTTTTGTTTTGAGATGGAGTCTCACTCTGTCAACCAGGCTGGAGTGCAATGGTGCAATTTTGGCTCACTGCAACCTCAGCCTCCCAGGTTCAAGCGATTCTCCTGCCTCAGCCTCCTGAGAAGCTGGGATTACAGGCGTATGCCCCCACGCCTGTCTAATTTTTGTGTTTTTATTAGAAATGGGGTTTCACCAAGTTGGTCAGGCTGGTCTCAAACTCCTGACCTCATCATCTGCTCGCCTCAGCCTCCCAAAGTGCTGGGATTACAGGTGAGAACCACTGCACCCAGCCTACCACATTGTCTTGATGTACTCATTAGATACTGAACAATTGATTCTATATTTTGGCCACTGCGAAGAGTGTTGCAAACTACACAGAAGTACAAATGTTTCTTTATTCTAATTTTATTTGTTTGAGATATATATCCAATATTGCAATTGCTGTATTGTAGTTTGATTTTAAACTTTTTCAGGTATCTGTATTTTGTTTTCCATAACGGTTGTCATTTACATTCAACCCAGAATGTGGAAGAATTTCCTTTTCTTCCCACCTTTGCTAAGACTTTTTTTTTTAAATAAGAGTAATTTTAACAGGTGTGAGTTATTTCCTAGGGTTTTTTTTTTTCGCTTTCCTTTCCCTGATAATAATTGATATTGAGTAATTTTGTTTTTGAGACGGAGTCTCACTCTGTCACCCAGGCTGGAGTACAATGGCACAGTCTTGGCTCACTGCAACCTCTGCCTCCCAGGTTCAAGTGGTTCTCCTGTCTCAGCCTTTGGAGTAGCTGGGATTACAGGCGCCTGCCACCAAGCCTGGCTAATTTTTATATTTTTAGTAGAGAAGGGGTTTCACCATGTTGGCCAGGCTGGTCTCGAACTGCTGACCTTGTGATCCACCCACCTTTGCCTCCCAAAGCGCTGGGAGTACAGGCATGAGCCACTGTGTGCGGCTGATATTGAGCATTTTTTTATACATCTCTTGGCCACATGTATGTCTTTTCTTGAAAATATTTACTTAAGACTTTTGCTCATGTTTATTTGTTTTTGTTGTATAGTCATTTGAGTTTCTTATATATTTTTGACATTAACTCCTTGTTACCTGCGTGATTTGCAAATATTATCTCCCATTTTTCAGTTGTTTAATTTTGGTGATTGTATCAGATTGTGGGCAGCATTTTAAAAATTTCAAGTAATCTAACTCATCAATTTTTGTTTGTTTTCTGGAATTTGAAGATTAAATAAAAACAGTCACTGCCTGTTATGGGGCTTTCACTCTATTTTTTTGTAGTAATTTTAGAGTTTCAAGCCTTACTTTTAAGTATCTAATTTATTTAGGGTTGATTTTTATATGTGGTATGAGATGCAGATCTTGTTTTATTGCTCTAAATGTAGCTATAAAGTTTTCTAAACACCATTTATTTAGGATACTGTCCCTAAGAAATTGTCACCTATTTATATAATCACCTATTTATATATAACTGATATAATCAGTTAGCTGTAAATACATGGATATGTTTCTGCTCTCTCCCTTTTGCTCCATTAATCTATGTGTCCACTTTTATTCAAGTACCATACGTTTTTGTTATTATAGCTATGTAGTATATTTCAAAGTCAGCTAGGGTGATACCTTCAGCCTATTTTTTCTTTACTGTTTTGACTATTGAAGGTCTTTTTTGGTACTGTATACATTTTAAATACGTTTTAAAAGTTATATTTAGTATGTTGCTGGTATTTTGATAGAGGTTGCATTATATCTGTAGATCATTTTGTGTAATGCAGGTATTTAACATTATTAAAAATACCAATTCATGAATAATATTTTTTCATTTTGTATTAGTTTATTTTAACGTTCCTCAATTTATAATGTAAGGTGTTTCAAATTTTTGTTTAAATTTAATTCAAAGTATAGTTACTATACTTTATAACTAATTCCAAGTATAGTTATTATAGATGAGATTGTTTTTTATTTTATTTTGAGATAGTTAATTGTTAGTATATTGAAATTCTACTGACTTTTGTATGTTGATTTTGTATACTGCCAGTTCAATAAATTGGTTTACTGGTTCTACTGGTTCTCAGTAAAGTGTTAGGCTTTTCTCTACTTAAAATTATGTCATCTGCAAACAGCTATAATTTTTTTCCAATCTGGATGCCTTTGATTTTATTTTCCAATTTTTCTGTCTTGGACATTTAGTACCATGCTTAGTAAGACTGAAAAGCTTATAACATTTCCATGTTTAGTATGTTAACTGTGCAATTTTTGTTATAAGCAGCATTTATTAACTTGAGGTGCATTTGTCCTATACCTAATTTTTTCAGAGATTTATTATGAGGAAATGTGACTTTTGTCAAATTTTTATTCTGCATGTATCTAAATGTTATGGATGTGAAATCACAATTTATCCCACTTAAATACAAAACATCTTCGGAGACTACTATGAACATCTCTATGCATGCAAACTAGAAAATTTAGAGAAAATAAATATACTCTTGATATACAAAACTTCCCAAAATTGAATCAGGAAGGAACAAAAATCTTGGGCATAGCAAAAATGTGTAATAATATTGAATTAGTGATATAAAACCCACCAACCATAAACAGCTCTGGATCAGACGAATTTACAGCCAAATTTTACTACATATAATAAAGATGAGCTGGTACTAATCCTACTAAATGTATTCCAACAATCAAGGTGGAAATTATTTCTAACTTATTATATGAAACCAGCATCATTCTAATACCAAAATCTAGTAAAGATACAACAAAAAAGACAACTATAGGCCAATATTGTTGGTGAACATAAAACAAAAATTCTCCATTAAATACTAGCAAGCTGAGTTCATAAGCACATCAAAAAGTTATTTTTCCACAATCATGTGAGCTTTACTTCATGACTGCAAGAATGTTTCATCATGTGCAAGTCAATAAGTGTGATTCACCAGTAAAGATGATTAAAAGCAAAAACTTATTATCACAGTAAATGCAGAAAAAGCATTCAAGAAAATTCAATATTCATTCATAAAAATATTCTTAACAAACCAGAAATTGAAGAAACGTACCTCAAAATAAAAGCCATTTATGACAAAACTTTATTTGACATCATATTGAACAGGCAAAAGCTGGGTGCATTCTCAATAAGAAGAAAAATAAGACAAAAATATCCACTCTGAACGCTTTTATTTAACATAGTTCTGGAAGTCCTAGCCAGAGCAATCCAACAAAATAGTGAAATAAAAGGTATCCAGATAGGAAAATAAGTCAAATTGTCTTCACAGAAGATATAATTCTCTACCTGGGAAACTTCAAAGATTTCCCCCAAAGATTCTTAAGCCTAAAAAATGACTTCAGCAAATTCTTAAGATAGAAAATCGACATACCCAAACGAGTAACATTTCTGTATACCAATAACATTAAAATCAAGAACACAGTTCTGTTTACAATAGCCACAATCAAAAAATAATATCTAGGACTACATTAAATCAAGGAGGTAAAATATCTCTACAAGGAGAATTACAATACACTACTGAAAGATATCAGAAAACACAAATAAATGGAAAAGCATTCCATGCTCATGGATTTTGAAAACTCAATATAATTTAAATGTCCTAAAGCAACGTACAGATTAAATGCTATCTCTATCAAACTGTCAATGCCATTTTTTATAAATTCAATAAAACTATTATAAAATTTATATTTATAATAAAAAAGCCTAAATAGCTAAAGCAACATTAAAAGGAATAAACCTGGAGGTGTCACATTACCTGACTTCAAACTTTACTACAAGTTACAATAACCAATATAACCTAGTTCTGGTACAAAAATATACATATAGACCAATGAAATAGATAAGAGATATCTGAAATAAAGCTACACTCCTGCAACCAACTAATTTTTGACAAAGTCAACAGAAATAAAAAGGAAATAAATCCCTATTTAATAAATAGTACTGGGAAAACTTGTTAGTCATATGCAGAAGAAAATTAGACCCTTACCTCTCATTATATAAAAAATATAACTTAAGATAGATTAAAAACTTAACTGTGAGACTTCAAGCTATATAAATGTTAAAAAAACACTTAGTACTCTAGACACTAGAAAGAATTTGTAGCTAACACTATAAAAATGAATGCAACAAAAATAAAAATAGAAAATTGGCACCTACTTAAACTAAAGAGCTGCACAGCAAAAGAAGCTATTGACAAAGAGACATCCTACAGTATAAAATAAAATATTTGCAAATTGCAAACAACAAAGAATTAACAAATACTATCTATCAGAATTTATTAAAAAACAGACAAATAATATGAATAGACATTTTTAAAAGGAAGACATAAAATCTGCCAATAAACATGCAAACAATGCTCAACATTCCTAGTCATCAGAGAAATGTAAATCAAAATGACAATGTGATACCATCTCACACCAGTTAGAATGACTTATTAAAAGTTAAAAACTGACAAAGACAAAAGTTGTGGAAAAAAGGGAATCTTTATATACTATCGGTGGAAATGCAAATTAATTCAGCCCCTGTGGAACACAGTTCGGAGATTTCTCAAAGAACTACAAATAGAATTGCCATTTGACCCATCAATACAATTACTGAGTATATATCCAAAATAAATTATTTGACACAAAAGTCCTGCACTCACATGTTTACTGCAGCACTATTCACGATAGCAAAGACACAGAATTAAACCAGGTACCTTTGAATCTTAGATCCATGTTGCTGCAAGGAACATTTTTTTTTTTGTGGCTGCATAGTATTGCATGGTGTATAAGTACCTCAAATACCACCTGTTCTCACTTATAAGTGGGTGCTAAACATTGGACAAATACAGAAACAAAGATGGAAATAATAAACACTGGAAGTTGTTTTTTTAAAGGAAAGCATTGAAAAACTACTTATCAGGTGTGATGTACACTACTTCGGCAATTTTTACTAAGTGCCCAAACCTTAACATCTTGCAGTATACGTATGTTACAAATCTTTTCATGTACCCCTTGAATATAAAATAAAAATAATAAAATGTCCTGTGGTATAATGACATGTTACATTTCTCCAGTTCTGGGGTGGTAATTTATATTAGAGGTGAAAGAAACAAAATTATGCTCCCTTTGGGCATTGGGGTGAATGTTTCTCCAGGTCTGCCCACATCCTGAAAGCTAACATATCTGAAAGGTCTTGCCCTTTAACCCAAGAAGTGTTTTATTCCCAAGTGTGCAGCTAAAATAAATGACTATATCTTTATGTTTTATTTTAGGGCTATAGGGTTAACTTGTTACTCCACTCTTTTTGGGAAAATCATGGTAAGTTGTTTAATCACATGTCTTATTTTAGAATAAACCATTTTTGTAAATGTGAGGCTGTGAAAATTATGTTACATTCCTGAATTAAAATAAAAACATTTTTCTAGTGAAAAAATGCATAAAAATCTTATGGCCATAGCCCAAGAACCATAAAACAGAGAGTGTTGGTTATTTAAGACCACACTCCTGAAACCATTTCATCACAACCATACTGGTGAGTAAAGGAATAATGGATCAGAAGGTTCTTTCAGAATACTTTTCTTATTCTATTGCAGTGCTAAATTTTTACTTGTCTTTATTATTTGCCATATAGAAGTCTGTACTTCTAAAAAAGATGCCATGAATTTCAGGTTAATATGCTCACACATATATGCTCACCAGAGCCTCTAGAAGGATTCTGGTGTGTTTGCAATCGAGGTGTGTCCATTCTGGCCTTTCTTGTGTTGCTTTGTTTGTGTAAAATATGAAGGCAAGAAGTAAAGCAGAGTCAACCAGGACATTTCTAGTTTCTACAGCAACAGCAGCTACATTTTCATGTTAGGTCAACTAGAAATAATGATAGTATTCCAAAACAAAAAAAAACTGATACTTTATATTTTTTTTCTTACAATTTATAGCATAAAATTTTTATAGTGTCTGAATTATAGAAGTTAAACAACTTGAACATAAAAGTGTCATCTAGATAATAGTATTATTTCAATAGCTTATTGTGAGTCACAATTGCCCCATTGGGTTTACCGGAAAACACTTATTTATTTATTTATTTATTTATTTATTTATTTATTTATTTATTTTTTGAGACTGAGTTTCGTTCTTGTTGCCCAGGCTGGAGTGCAATGGTGCGATCTCGGCTCACCGCAAACTCTGCCTCCTGAGTTCAAGCGATTCTCCTGCCTCAGCCTCTGGAGTAGCTGGAATTACAGGCATGTGCCACCACACCTGGCTAATTTTGTATTTTTAGTAGAGACGGGGTTTCTCCATGTTGGTCAAACTGGTCTGGAACTCCCGACCTCAGGTGATCTGCCTGCCTTGGCTTCCCAAAGTGCTGGGATTACAGGTGTGAGCCATCATGCCCGGCCTGGAGAGCACTTATTTATCTTCTAAGTGTAAATAAAGAATAGGTTTTCCATAATCCTAAGCATACAGATCTTTTAAGACTAGCGGCTGAGCACGGTTGCTCATGCTGTTGCAGGAAATTAAGGAACCAGAGATACTGATAGGGATGCAGGAGAGCTTTTATTTTAGGTGTACACCAGCTCAGCAGACAAGTGTCCTCAAAGTCTGATCCCTGAACAAAGAAAGCGAGCAACTTTTAAGCGTTTTGTGGTGGGAAAAACGTAAAGCAGGAAGCAGGTTTACGGAAGTGAGAACAAAAGCGGTTAATCATTCATGCCATGTCTTACAACTTAGGAGAAACATGAGTTGCAACTTTCACTTATCTATCTTGTGACCTTGCAGCTGCACAGCAAGAATAACAGGGACTTACAGAACTTACAAAATATGTGGGAAAGAGGTATGGTTAATGTTTCACAGACCCTTAGAGGCCTTTAGAGGAGCAGTTAATATTCTTTTTATACCTTTTCTTCAGGGGGTTACTTCACGCCTATTCTAACCTAACCTAAAAGTGTAAATTTAATTTCTTTTTAATTTTCTACTTCATCCCCCCCTTTTGGTGCTCTATATATAATAATGTTTAATAGACAGCACCACAATTATCTAGTTCTTCTTGGGTTGGTATATATTCTTCTTGGGGCGAAGCCTGATACTTAGCTAATGCCATTATTTGGGTAGTGGTGTGTGGCCATGATTGCCTCTATAGTTGACTGAACACTTCTGATAAGAAAAGGCAGGAGACAAGGGAGAATTAGGCAGGCACCTGTGATAAGGAGGAACCCACCTATTAAGATCTTGAACCCATGAAAGGTAAAAAACCGTCCTCTAAACAGAGAATTTGGAGATCATCTTGACCAGGTTTGAACTGGAACATGGGCTAACATCTGCATCCTGGCCGTAATTTCCATGACAGCTCACCTATTATCATCTATTTCTAGACAGCAGTTTGTTGAGTTAAACTTTCCACATACTCCTTCTTCTGAGGCTAGGAAGTAATCTAGTGCCCGCCTGTTTTGATATATGGCATTCTTCATTTGTGTAGCTTGTACAGCCAGTAAATGTAAAGCTCTTGATGTTTCATTGATTATTATTTTGAGCACAGTTTGGAGCCTTATGATACAGTTGAGCATGTAAACTGGGGTGCGGTACCCCCATGACTCATCTTGTGCCCAGGTAGCAGGCCCATGGTATTTGATGATTTTTTCAGGAGGTCACTCATTATCTTCCTAGTTCCCTATGTCTACATCCTTTTGATGTTTGTGTCTATTCTTGTGATTATGCTTCCTTTAGTTCTTCCATTTTCATCATAAACTGATTATCTTAAGAGTTCCCCTTGCTTTAGAGGAATTAGAAAGAAGGTGGCTTGATTGTTCCTAATACACATGTCCCTGACCGTTTAGCCAGCAGTTGCTGATATGCCTGCACTCCACAAATCCAATATAGGCCAGAGGGTGCTTTCCAAGCATTTGGAGCCTCTAGTGGATGCCAAGAATGGCTTAGAATAGAGAATCAAGAGAAAAAGTTTGGATCTGGTAAGCAGGAGTCATTCTGGGCATTTCTCCATAGAGTCTTATTTTTAGTCTCAAGATAATACTGTTGCCCTAGGCAGGTAGCCTTATGGAAGGCTGCACCTTTGAACCTTGCTTGACCAATATTAAAGTACAAGGATAAGGTTCCTTTGTAGGTAGATGAGACCCAGGTTTTATTTAGAAGGGCTCCTTCTATTGACCCATCGTGGGTCTCAAATCTCCAGGCACAAGTTCAGGCTCATAGCATATATAAAGCTGGCCATCTCCTGAGTCACAGGATGAGTAGGTTGTTTGGTTGTAAGTACAGAATCCTAAGAGAGTCCTGGTGCATTCATAGTATGTATGGTATAATAAAGTTTTAACTACTGTGTTTCTCTCCATGTGGAATGTATGCAATGTGGATATCTTTCTTTCAATTGTATTTCTTTTTGCTTAGCCTCAAGTACCACTATTAGTAAAACAAGCAAGCAAACAAACAAACAATATTTTTATACTAGACATGGGCAGGTAAGGTTTTTCCCTAGACAGAAAGACTGGCAATAATGATAGCATAGTAACACGGCAATCAACAACACTAAGACAGCAATAAAACTTAAAATTTCTATCCACATTTACTTATCTGATGACAACTCCTTAAGCTTTGGCTGAGTGTAGACTACTCAGCTTCCAGTGTGACTAGAGCGGGGCTTGCTATTTTCTCAAGCTTCCGCCATGTGTAGACTGGTCAGCTTCCGAAGTGACCAGAGCAGGGCTGTTGTCATCTCCACTGACAATGCGATCTCGTCGCAGGATCAGCCAGGTTGGATGGTCTGGGTCCTGTTGGCTGGTCCACTGGTCCTGGGCTGCTGGTTTTAGCCAACTGTGGTGGATTTAAGGCATGATAACCTGCAACTTTAACAGCAGTGGGAGTGGACAAAATTACAGTATGGGGCCCTTCCTATATAGGTCCCAGAGTAGTTGGATTCCACTTCTTAACCTAAACAAAGTCCTCAGGTTTGAAAAAGTGTGCTGGGTCTGCCACATTTATAGGCATTTTTTTTTTCTTGCACCTAACAATGAATCTTTTGCATAGCCAGCCCTAAGTCTTGCATCTGCCTTTTTAAAGTTAATTCCCTTAGTTCCTGTAGGTCACCTTTAACCTGATTTATAACTGGGGGTGGCCGACCAAACAAAATCTCATAGGGCTAATACCCAGTTTGTTTTGTGGGGCTGCACCTGACTCAGAGGAGGACCATGGGCAAGACCTGATGCTATCTTAGATGAGTTTCTTGACAAAATTTCTTCAACAGCTGCTTGAGTGTCCAGTTAATGCGCTCCACTTTTCCTGAGCTCTGCAGCTGGTGGGCTATGAGTAACTTCCACTTTATTTTTGATAGTCAAGTTAAGTCCTGAACTATTTCAGCCACAAATGCTGGTCCATTGTCTGATCCTAGAGTTAGAGGCAGTTCAAATCTGGGGATAGTGTCTCTTAACAACACTTTGATCACCTCTTGTGCTTTCTCCATCTGGGCGGGGAAGGCCTTGACCCATCCTGAAAAGGTGCAAACGAATACCAACATGTATCAATAACCCCCCGCTTGCAGCAATTTGGGGAAGTCCATAAGCAGGTTTTCACAGGGTGTGGCTCTTGTTTCTTCAGTTCTCGGTGGCCGGGTAGGCCCTTGATGAGGGTTGTTCTGAGCACAAGTCAAACACTGCTCACAAACAGTTTGAGTGATGGCAGTGAGCTATGGCACACAGAAATGACGCTCTAATAATGTCTCTAGTGCCGTCTTTCTTATGTGAGTTCCTTAGTGGAACTATTTCAAAAATCTGGGGGCTACCATCTCAGGTATGGCTAGTTTTCTATTGGAGAACTTCCACCATCCTCCTTCAATATAATTCCCATATTCCTGGGCAAACCAATCCCTTTTATTAGGAGCGTTGCTTGGGGTCTCTGGGAAGGGGATCTCCGGGAGGAGAAGCATAGCTAAAGCTTCCTCTTCAGAAGGTGGATATGTCATTGCAGCCCACTTTGCCTTTTTGTCTGCCTTTCTGGTTTTTGTTTGTTTGTTTTTGGTGTCTAATGTTCCTGCCTTCTGGTGCCCCTTGCAGTGCATTACTGCTACTTGTTTTGGGGCTCATACAGCATCTAAGAGCTGTAGAATTTTTCCTTATATTTTATGTCTTTACTTTCAGCAGGTAAGAGTCCTCTTTCTTTGTAAATAGCCCCATGAACATGCAAAGTAGCAAAAGCATATTTGGAATCTGTGTAAATATTTGCCTTCTGGTCTTTTGCTAGCCAGAGAGCTCTTGTTAGAGCTATTAGCTTTGCCTTTTGAGCAGAAGTTCCCATAGACAAAGACTGCACCTCTACTACTGAGTCAAAAGTCACCACTGCATACCTTGCTCGGTGGACCCCCTGTAGTATGAAGCTGCTTCCATCAGTGAAATATTTAACGTCCAGGTCCCTGAGGGGCCTATCTGTCAAATTTCTCTGGCCTGAGAACACTTCATTTGTCACATCCACTTAGCAATGAAGGGGGGCCTCCTGGCACTGACTCGATGTGAAGCAAGGTAACCAGGTTTAGGGTATTCACAGTTTCTAAAGTTATGCAGGGACTTTTACATTAGATCCCTTTGTATTGGGTTATTTTCGGATTTGATAACTAATGGTGCCCCCTTAAGTCCATTAAAATTATAACTCCCATAACCCAGTGTGGTACCCAGTTTGTTAGTTGTTGTCTTAAAGTCAGTTTATTAGCTTCCTATGCCAGCAGGAAAGTAGTTAATTATTATTTGCAGATGATATCTTCATTTACTTACATAACAAAAGCAACTAAAAGACTGTTTTAAAAGTCTATTGAGACGGGTAGGCAAAATTCTAAGATAATCCCCAGGATTCCCAGTCTGTTGCACACCCACTGTGTAATTCTTTTTGAGTGTAAAAATATGTGTGAATGTGGTACGAAATGTCTCATAAAATTTGATTACTCGTGTTGACTTTGTGTTTTTCAAAAGAGACATTATCCTGATTGGGCTGAACTTAATCAGAGGTGTTTTTTAGAGAAAGAGACACATCATAGAAAAACACTCCTGCTGACCTGGAAGTGAATTCTAATTGGGCTATGTTGTAAGCTACTTATAGTGGCCACATGACAGAAAATATATTTGTATATTGTCATCATTCCTGCCTCTTGCATATTGCTTCTGGTAAAGAGGGCAGGAGGATCCCATGGCAGAGGAATAAAAGAGGTTCTTATTCACGCAAGAAATAATTACTTCTCATCTGAGATAGCTTAAGATAAACAGAGAAGATGACAACATGACTATATCAATGGCAGGAGAAAGAAAATCTGGCTGAAAGGGCTCACTGGCATTATGGAGCAATATTTAGTAAGCCACAGTGAGTGATCAGCCTCTGAGATATCAACAGTCCACAAAGAAGGCTGAACTCATTCTTATTCTGATTAAATCAGCATGTGTGCCCTATTCTGGTCGCCCAGTTTTACCACCATTACAGAAATTACCATGGAGACCAGTGGGCACCCTCCTAGAATTAACATTATCATGAAAAAGCATACCTAAATATTTGTTTTTACAGTTGAAAAATATTGAAAGCCTAATAAACTTATTAATAATGAATTTATCTTCTGATAATTTTAGAGGAATTCTCCTATACTGTAATACAATACTTAGCTTTAAACACCTATATACATATGTATATATATTTCTTTTTTTTTGGAAGTAGAGTCTCACTCTGTTGCCCAGGCTGGAGTGCAGTTGCATGATTTCGGCTCACTGCAACCTCCACTTTCTAGGTTCAAGTGATTCTTCTGCTTCAGCCTCCAGAGTGGCTGGGACTACAGGTACACACCACCACACCTGGCTAACTTGTGTATTTTTAGTAGAGATGCAGTTTTACTATGTTGGCCAGCCTAGTTTCAAACTTCTGACCTCAAGTGAGCCACCCACCTTGGCCTCCCAAAGTACTGGGATTACAGGTGTGAGCCACTGCACCTGGCTATAATATAAATGTTTCTTAACTGCATGAGCAAATATGTAGATAGTTTCCCTTAGATTAACATGATAAAGTTACAATTAGAGAAAGCATCTGAAATTAGATAAAATTAAAACCACATTTTTTCAGTGGCTTGGAATAACTGCCCTACTTTATGAAATGGCCAGATTACTAACTAGAAGCAAAGACAAGATTTTGGCTTTGCTCAATTATTAAGTCCTTGACCTTTTAAAATCTAAAATCATGACTAATGGATTTGAATGGACTATTTTTTAGGTGTCTTCCTAGGATTTCCAAGGCAATACAAAAAGAATTTTAATAGGCAAAAAAAATGCACTCAACACACACACATTGTTTTTTTCTGATTTCCTGTATTATTGAAAAGTTGAAGATTGCAAATCTAGTCTATTAATTTAGAGTTAATAACAAAAGATTTTTCAGTCAAGCAAATAATTGTGTAAAACTAATGGGTAATGGATGCTCTTAGCTGCCAAATAATAGTATGACTAGATTCAGTAAGTATCCAGCCATGCAAATGACAGCCCAATTAAATTAAGACCCTAATAGGTGCATGTGGAAAGCACTGATGTGCAATATGGTGCACCTTCACTCAGCACCTTTATCTGCTTGTTTACAGAAATGCCAGTTTCCCCTGAATGACTCTGGGTAAATGCTAAACCATATTGAAAACATGGTTAACACATTTCTTCTATATTATAAAGAAATTTCATGAATTTTACTCTGCCTCAGAAAGGCTTTTAGTAAAAGAGTATTCATTTATAGTATTCTTTGGATGCATTAAAAATTTCAATATTCCAGGTAAGTCAGAGACATTTAAATGTCAACAAAATTCCATAAAACGTATTTCAATGAGATCAAGTCTTCCTAGCTAAAAATTTTATTTTATCAGTAAATTTAGAGAAAAATAGAAAATCAGTACTTTGGGTCAAATAACAGTGTTTGGAATGTGAGTATCACCCAGATAAATGCTCTTAATCATTATTATTAAAGTAGCAATGGCACCACGTGCTTTCCTGAGACCCGCTGGTCTGTTTTCCACTGATATAAAGTGAAGAAGGCATTGAAATAGCGAAGGGAGGTGATACAAATTGAATACTCACATAAAATACAATTTTTAATAAAAAGCATTTAATGTTGTACAAGTATAGATGAGACTATTAGTATGAGGTCATAATATTTTTACTTCTATTGACAGAATAACTTTATTCACAAAATTTTTATTTCAAATAATATTGTTTTTTCTGCTGTATATTTGCAAGCTTTTAGTCAAATGTTATCTGAGCTCAATAGAAATCAACAAAATGAATCTTTATTTTTCCACAAGCATTTTATTCAGGCATATGCTTATTTTTCTTAAAATATGTTAGCTTTTAATGAATGATTTATACTTTTTTTCAGTGTGTTGTTTATCGCTAAGAAGTGGTTGTCCTCCCAGGAAACTGCTATTCTCAGCTCTACCTACATTGACTAATAGTGAGAGGAAGTGATGTGTGGATAAGAAGCAAATGTGTCTTCACTGCATCTCTTTTTTAATTCGTTCACTGAAGAAAGGAGGATGCTAAAAGAAAATGAAAGAAGATATAAGCCCTGAAAGATCATGAAGAAGTCCTCTTAACCAGAAAAAAAAACCCACAGGGGATGGTGATGTGAGCAGAAAATATATTATTTTGCTAAGGCTCTGAAATTTCAGTAAAAAACCTGCATTGCTTTAACAAATATATTGTTTCTTCAGTTTTGATTCTTGAGGATACGATTCAATTCACTGGTGAATCAAAACTGAGAGAATAACATATTTGTTAAGGTAAGTGATGTATGGAAGACCCATTACGTTAGACCAACATCTTCTCCACCTCCAGCTGCAGACAATCATCATTCCACTCTCTGTTGCCATGAGTTTGAAAGTTTTTAACTTTACACAGAAATGAAATCATGTGTGTGTGTGTTTCCTGTGCTGGCTTATTTTACTTAGCATAATATCCTTCAGGTTTATCAATGTTGTATCAAATAACAAGATTTCCTTTTTTTTTTTAAGGGCTGAATAGCATTCCAATGTGTAAATATACCACATTTTCTAGAAGTGTTTTAATTTTAAACTATAAACTATGACTGTTAAATACTTTTATTTTCATGCCTTCTTTTGATTCATATTTTGGCTGATTGACAAACTATGTTTTAAAAAAATTTCTTGGATCAAGATTATTGATATGGGAGGGGGGCATGGAGGTGTTAGGTAGAGAAGGGTGGGGTCCCTGGTGAGGACTCTGCCCACAGGCCTGTGCCCACGGACCTAAGTGAGAACAGGCACTCTTGTTTTTGCATGCAAATGTTGCATTTTTCAAGACCACTCTGGCCCACCATGCCTCCATTGCTGTGCCCATATAAACCAAGACCTTAGTGGGCACACACACAAACAACTGAATGAGAGGAGTAGAAGAACACAGTGGCAGACAGCAGAAGAAAGTGGCAGAGAAAAAGGAAAGAGGCATCTGAATGTTGAGAGGAGTTCAGCCGAGAATGGCCAAACTCCAGGGGAAGATTATCTCCTCTCCCTCCACCTTCCCACTACAGCTCCCCATCCTGCTGTAAGTCACCTCCACTGCTTAATAAAGTCTCTGCATTTATCACCTTTCAAACAGTATGTGTGACCTGATTCATCCAGAATGCCAGACAAGAATCCAAGGCGGGGTGAACACTCAGCTGTTCCTGGATGGCAAGGCTAAAAGAGCACACTGTAACACACATCCATTGGGCTCCAGCATCTGCCTGTCTGAGTGCTCCTGCTTCCCTCAGGGGTTTGAGCTGTGGGGTGACTGAACAGGTGAGCCACACCCCTGTTGCACATCCTTCAAGGGGAATCAGGGAACTCTCTTGTTTCAGCCGAAGGCTTGTCTGGGATAATCATCAGCAGAGTGATTTACAAATGTGAAATTGTTGGATGTGCCTCTTTTGTAAGACCCTGTCACCCCTCTCTTTTCTCGGGTAAAAGCCTTTGTTTCCCTTCACAGAGGTCTCATTGGCACACGGGACTGGAGCAGAGACCTGGGGCAACTGAAGACATCATTTGCTGGAAGACTCCGACACTGAACTTTGTCAGCCAGGACCCCCAGACTTCACTTGGTGTCTTTTCTTTTCTCACAGTTTACAGTGGCTCTTATCACTTCCTTTATAATGTTAAGGGTTTTGCTACAGGCTGCAGCAGTGATATTAAATAAAGTGAGCATTTGGCTCAGCTATCAAAGGTACAAATCAGAGCAATGTGGTTTTCATTTAGAGGTGCCATCCTTACTCCCACCCTGGTAGCCAAAGGGGCACATGGCACAGGACACCTCCTCTCTGTACCGCCTCCCCTCCCAGCTCAGGTGCCTGGTGTGTCCACTGCATGCAAAAGCTGTGCCCAACAACCATGAAGGGTGGAAGAAAACCACAGCTGCTTCTGGGACCCCACAGGGCTGGCTGGCCAGTGCTTCCTGCTCACCACACCAACAGAACTTTTTACCCTGGCCAAGGAATACAAACAGTCTGAACCAACAGAAAGATACAATGATCAAAGGGACCTATTTGCACTGTGCAAGGGCTACCTCCTCTTTTGCCTTTAAACTCCTTTTTCTTTTCTTTTCTTTTCTTTCTTTTCAAGTGAAAGCATTTCCCTCCCCAGCACGCTGCTTCTGACAGGGAAGTTAACAGAGGAGTGACCCCTGCTGGCAGATAACTGTAAATTTGGCAGGGCTCATTTGAGACAATCTAAACAGATAGCTTCAGCCCCTTGAAGTATTTTTAGTCCCAAATTTGATTCCAAGCTTCAGGTTGAGTCCCTAGAAAGAAAAATCAGATCTGAGGGACCCAAAGCCAGGCAGCAGGCACAATGTAAATGGGCAGGACAAAATTCTGCTGACTAAACCCCCGCCCCATGGAAGGAGGCCATGCCCCTTGGCATAAATGAGGCCCAGGGAACTCAAAGGTTGTCAACAGCAGGGGGAGATGGAGGCATAGGTGAGGACAGATCATTCTTTTGATTTCTTTCTTTCTTTCTTTTTTTTTTTGGTTTGTTTGTTTGAGAGACAAAGTTTTGCTCTTGTTGTTCAGGCTGGAGTGCAATGGCACAATACTGGCTCACCCCAACCTCTGCCTCTTGGGTTCCAGTGATTCTCCTGCTTTGGCCTCCCGAGTAGCTGGGATTACAGGGATTTGCCAACACACCCAGCTTTTTTTGTATTTTATTAGTAGAGACGGGGTTTCTCCATGTTGGTCAGGCTGGTCTTGAACTCCTGACCTTAGATAGTCTGCCTGCCTCGGCCTCCCAAAGTGCTGGGATTACAGGTGTAAGCCACTGCGCCTGGCCTCAGATCATTCGTTTTCTATGGGCCTTCCCTGCTTCATAGATGAATGCTACATTGGCACTCATGGGTGGCACCTGCCAAGGTCACCAGGACTTGGTGATAAAAAGATGAAAGAGAAAGGGAAAATGCTTGCTTTCTCTCCCCATCACACCTTGAGTTTTCACTGAAAGAAGGAAGGGAAATGAGGAATGCCTGTATTCCCTGTCTTTCAAAACAAGCAAGTAGCTCTCTTCACCACTCCTAGCTTATACTTCTTTGGAGTGTATCCTGAACCATTGCAACTGCCTTGACCCTCAGAATCTGGAGGAAAAATGCTTCATAGCCCTCTGTACACAGGTTTGGCCAAATTATGACTTACAACAAAGACTAGCTTGGCCTTAGGAATGAACCATTCATTCTGATGCCATGTGGCTATTAGACCTTTTCTGCAAACATGAGAACAAGTGGTCTGAGGCCCGATATGTGCAGGCTTTCTATATTTTTCAGGGCAATCCCAACCTTTGCCATCAGCGGGATTGATCCAGCTTTCCTGTATGCCATCTCAGGAGAGGCTGCCAGGAGCAATCTCAGGGAACTAAAGAAACAAACTCCAGATGTTCCCCCAGCAGAGAAGCCAGTTCCCTCTAGCCCTGCTCATCCAGGCCACCCTGACCTCCCAATTCAGCTTCAGCCTCTCACTTGCCCCCTCCTAGAAATTCTCACCCTAGACAAGCCCTGGTTTCACTCTTGCTCCTTCAACAGATGCCTGGTAAATTTGGCCCCAGTAAGGTCCAGATCCCCTTCTCTCTACAGGGTTTAAAACATATTAAGGGGAATCTTTGAAACTTATCAGATGACCCTGAAAGACATATAAAGGCTTTCCAGAATTTCATCCAAATATTTGAACTCTCCTGGAGAGATATTATGTTACTTTTGAATTAGACCCTGATGGACAGTGAGAAGCAAGCCCCTTTGCAGGCAGTAGAGAGATTTGGGGATGAGCTTTGTGTTACCTATGGCATGAGGAAAGGGGGCAAATGTTATTCAACTGGAAGAGAAGCAGTACCAGTAAATGACCCTGGATGGTATTCCAATGATGAGATGGGAGACTGGATAGGGAGACAGTTTCAGGTGTGCATAAGGAGGGCTTATGTAGGGCCAGGACCAAACATCTCAATTATACTACGTTATCCATGATGGACCAGGGATTTGATGAAAATCTCACTGCCTTCTTGGAAAGGCTAAGAGAGGCCTTGGTAAAGCACACCTCTCTATCTCCTGATTCAGCCAAGGGACAACTAATCCTAAAGGATAAATTTATTGCTCAGGCAGCCCCTGATATCAGGAGGAAGCTGCAGGAACAGGCCCTGGGACCAGACAGTATTTTAGAGAACCTCTTGAAAGTGGCCACCTCGGCCTTTTGCAATAAGTCACTGGAATAGATTCTTGAATTCATTATACCCAAGTAAAGACCTGGGAATCTGATGGAGCCACCTCTGTCAACCCAGAAGAGTACCCAAAGTACCAATGTGAAGAGATCA
This sequence comes from Homo sapiens, assembly GCF_000001405.40. Classification (NCBI taxonomy): domain Eukaryota; kingdom Metazoa; phylum Chordata; class Mammalia; order Primates; family Hominidae; genus Homo; species Homo sapiens. The sequence continues at coordinate 22,495,462 of NC_000019.10, forward strand.
GAGACCTCCAGCTAAAAATCACAAAAGGTAAGTGTTAATAATTAACCTTCCATGGATTTCCTCTTTATAGTCTTGTCTATGCTTGCTGTTCTTACCTTTGTTCTGATCTATAACCACAGGGCACAATAGTGTTTTTAGAATAATTAGTATATTTCACTTTTTATTTCTGAAATCTTTGGCACTAAATTCTTTACTAGTATAATACATGTTTTACCCCTGCGTATCTAACCTTATGGAAGTTTTTTTTCTTTCTCACACCTAGAGGCCATCAAATTCCAAAAAGGCAAGCAACTGAGGTCTCGGACAATGACTCCCCTTTGCCAGGAACCCTTAGGTAGACATCTGGGACAAATCTGACTGCTGTTTTTCTCAAAACAATGCCCCCTATTGGCAGGAAGTAGCTAATACCAGTGGTCATGTATATTCTAACGGCGATTAGATGTGCCTCTTCAGAGGGGAAAATGATACGGGAGGGGACAAGGAAGTGCTTGGTAGAGAATAATAGGGTCCCTTGTTAGGGCTTCATCTTCAGGCCTGTGCTCGCAGATCTAAGTGAGAACAGGCCCTCCTGTTTTTGTACCCAAATGTTGCATTTTCCAAGACCCATCTGGCATGCCATGCCCCCAATTATGTGCCCATATAAACCTGAGACCTTAGTGGGCACACACACAAGTGGCTGAATGCCAAGTGGAACAGAGGAACAGAGTGGTGGAGAGTGGCAGAGTACAGCAGGGCGGCACAGCAGAGGAGGGAAAGGGTGTCTGAACGTCCAGAGGAGTTCAGCAAAGAATGGCCAAACTTCAGGGGAAGATTATCTTCCCCACCTCCACCTTCCCACTCCAGCTCCACATTCTGATGGAAGCCACCTCCACTGCTCAGTAAAGTCTCTGCATTCACCACCTTTCAAACAGTTCATGTGACCTGATTTATCAAGGACGCTGGACAAGAATCTGGTGGGGTTAACACTCAGCGGTTACTGAGCAGCAAGGCTAAAAAAGCACAGTAACACACACCCACTTAGGACCTAGCATCTGTCCATCGACATCCTCCCCCTTCTCTCAGGGGTTTGAGCTGTGGGGCGACCAAACAGGCAAGCCACGCACCTTCGCACATCCTGTGAGGGGAATCAGAGAACCATTACTTCATCATCAGCATAATTCAAGACAAAATGGTAATGAAAATCAACCTTGATTAGTGAAACAACAATTATCTGACCCCTGGTAATCATTTTCACTCCCACCCAACATGAAAGCTGCATCTCTGTGTCACCTCTCCCAGTTGTAAAAAAGAGGATTCTGATAAAATTAATCAGCATAAAGTTTTCTGACTTTTTTGGTCTGAAAATTTAACTGATCTCTTACCAAAAAAGTTGATATTTTACATTTATCATTTTACTCTATTCTATTAAATTTTTTAGAAAACCGAATCTGACAAAGCATACATTTAAAAATTAAAAATACTTATGAAACATTCTTATAGAAACTAAAACTAAAAATAATTTTAGATTCTTAGAGAGCATCTCTCAAATACTTCAAATTATATGCCTTTAACCATAGATATTTATTTTTTATTTTGCTGTGATACAGTTTGGCTGTCCTTTGTGTCAAACTCCATCATCATTTTTATTCTATTTTGTTGTGTAGTATTTATGTTATGCATTTTATATATTTAAAAGTTGTAGTCCCGGCCAGGTATGGTGACTCAGGCCTGTAATCCCAGGACTTTGGGAGGCTGAGGCAGGCAGATCACTTGAGATCAGGAGTTTGAGACCAGCCTGGCCAACATAGCAAAACCACGTCTCTACTAAAAATACAAGCAAATTAGCTGGGCATGGTGGCACACACCTGTAATCCTAGCTACTCGGGAGGTTGAGCCACAAGAATCGCTTGAGCCTGAGAGGCAGAGGTTGCAGTAAGCCAAGACTGCATCACTGCACTCCAGCCTGGGTGACAGAGTGAGACTCCATCTCAAAAAAAAGAAAAAGACTAACTTGAAAGTGAAGAAGCTTGGCAGTCACCACCTTAAGCAAGTGATCAAAGTGAGTATCATTAGAAATAGAATAAATCAAATTCTGCCCCATAGAATACAATGAGTAGAAAATGGCATCGCTTCTGTTATTCCTGCCAACGATGCATATCTGAATCTAATGGAAAGGAAACGGACAAATGCAGATCAAGACACACACTACAAAACAACTGGCCTGTCACCTCCAAACATGACATGGGTTTAAGTCACAGAAGCACCAAGGAACTCTTCCAGACTGAAGAAGACAGCAGACGCATGGCAACTAAATGCAACGCATGATTGTCAGCTGGGTTCTTTTGCTAGAAGGGACAATACTGAGACTACTGGTGAAACTTATATGGGACCTGAGGATTGCATGGCAGTAACACAACATCAATCCCCTGATTTAGTGGTTGCATTGTGGCTATGCAGGAGAATGTCCGGTTGTAAGAACTGTACACCAAAGCTTTAGGGGTGATGGGACATCAGGTTGGCAATTGACCCTCAAATGGGTCAAGAAAAAAGTTCTTTGTACTGTACCTGCAACCATTCTCTAAGTTGATTATTGTTTTGGAATGATTTATTGTAAACATTTATTTTTAAAAATTATTTTTAAAATGACATTTTGAATTTCAAAGGATGAGAAATTCTTGACAAAACTGATGAAATCTTAAAATGCTTCTGCAAATCAGGCCTCAGAAGTCATGCTGTGTCCGGAATGGGTGGGTGTCTTGGTCTCACTGACTTCAAGAATGAAGCCGCGGACCCTCGCGGTGAGTGTTACAGCTCTTAAGATGGCGCGTCTAGAGTTTGTTCCTTCTGATGTTCAGATGTGTTCGGAGTTTCTTCCTTCTCGTGGTCTCGCTGGCTCAGGAGTGAAGCTGCAGACCTTCCCCGTGAGTGTCACAGCTCTTAAGGCGGCGTGTCTGGAGTTGTTGTTCCTCCTGGTGGGCTCGTGGTCTCGCTGCCTTCAGGAGTGAAGCTGCAGACCTTCGCAGTGAGTGTTACAGCCCATAAAAGCAGTGTGGACCCAAAGAGTAAGCAGTAGCAAGATTTATTGCAAAGAGTGAAAGAACAAAGCTTCCACAGTGTGGAAGGGGACCCGAGTGGGTTGCCACTGCTGGCTGAGGCAGCCTGCTTTTATTCTCTTCTCTGGCACCACCCACATCCTGCTGATTGGTAGAGCCCAGTGGTCTGTTTTGACAGGGCGCTGATTGGTGCGTTTACAATCCCTGAGCTAGACACAAAGGTTCTCCACGTCCCCACCAGATTAGCTAGATACAGAGTGTTGACACAAAGGTTCTCCAAGGCCCCACCAGAGTAGCTAGACACAGAGTGTCGACTGGTGCATTCACAAACCCTGAGCCAGACACATGGTGCTGATTGGTGTGTTTACAATCCCTGAGCTAGACATAAAGGTTCTCCACGTCCCACCAGACTCAGGAGCTCAGCTGGCTTCACCCAGTGGATCCCGCACCGGGGCTGCAGATGGAGCTGCCTGCCAGTCCCGCGCTGTGCGCCCGCACTCCTCAGCCCTTGGGTGGTCGATGGGACTGGGCGCCGTGGAGCAGGGGGTGGCGCTCGTCCAGGAGGCTTGGGCCGCACAGGAGCCCACAGAGTGGGTGGGAGGCTCAGGCATGGCGGGCTGCAGGTCCCGAGCCCTGCCCCACAGGAAGGCAGCTAAGGCTCGGTGAGAAATCGAGCACAGTGCCGATGGGCTGGCACTGCTGGGAGACCCAGTACACCCTCCTCAGCCGTTGGCCCAGGTGCTAAGCCCCTCATTGCCTGGGGCCGGCATGGCCGGTCAGTTGTTCCGAGTGCAGGGCCTGCCAAGCCCACGCCGACCCGGAACTCCAGCTGGCCCGCAAGTGCCACGCGCAGCCCCGGTTCCCGCTCGCGCCTCTCCCTCCACACCTCCCTGCAAGCTGAGGGAGCGGGCTACGGCCTTGGCCAGCCCAGAAAGGGGCTCCCACAGTGCAGTGGTGGGCTGAAGGGCTCCTCAAGTGCCGCCAAAGTGGGAGCCCAGGCAGAGGAGGCGCTGAGAGCAAGCGAGGGCTGTGAGGACTGCCAGCACGCTGTCACCTCTCAATACTTGATAGAAGTGACATACACTGTGTATAAAAATCTCAAACACTGATTCCTCCTTGGTTTGTTTTACAAATTAGCACTCTTCCAATTAACAAACTTGGTTAGCTAAAAACACTAAAAACTGAGTGTCTTGTTCCCTTTTGTGAATAAAATTCCAGCCAGAACATTTGTTTTTTACTAGGAAACATTAGTCCCCACTCTAAATTAAAGTACTATACGTGGCCTATGCCCGGGATCAATTATCCTTGGAAAACAAGGACCTCCCGTACATACTTGCTACTAGTACTGCCAAGCAAAGGCCTGCTATGCTACTGCAGAGGCTCCTGTCCCAGCCCAGATCCAACAGGACTGGCAGGAAGGTGTAGCCAGGGGGGTCACCATGAGAATGACATGATGATACCTACCTGACAAGGCTCAATGAGAATTAAATGCAAGTCAGATTTTCACCTTGATACTAGCATTTGTGGAAGCATTACTCGTTTTTGTTTTGTTTTGTTTTGTTTTTGTTTGTTTTGTGTTTGTTTGTTTGAGACAGAGTCTTGCTCTGTTGCCCAGGCTGGAGTGCAGTGGCACGATCTCAGCTCACTGCAACCTCCGCCTCCTGGGTTCAAGCAATTCTTCTGCCTAAGCCTCCTGAGTAGCTGGGATTACAAGTGTGTGCTACCATGCTTGGCTAATTTTTGTATTTTTAGTAGAGACAGGGTTTCACCATATTGGCCAGGCTGGTCTCGAACTCCTGATCTTGTGATTTGCCTGCCTTACCTCCCAAAGTGCTGGGATTACAGGCGGAGCCACCTCGCCCAGCCGAAGCATTACTCTTATTAACTTAAATATCAGGTTTGAGGTCTAGCTCACATCATTTCTTCACTCCTTTTTGTTCTGTTCTCAGTCATTCCATGACAGTTCATGTAGTAGTAACAGGATTTCTGTCTCCTATGGGTTGACTGGCCTGGGAAATCTTTTATCTCAAGTGGTCAGAATGTGAAAATCTAGACTAAGCATATGTACAAATGAATTCTTAGAACACAGTAATCAAATCAGAAACAAAAGCCAAGGCCACCCCCCACCCACCAGCCAGCAGGAAGCCTGCAAGACCTCAAATCAGAGCACAGCATTGGTGAGAGCCGAGTGAGAAAACTCAAAAACTCTGGCTGCAAACAGAGCTGGCATGCCTGTGGCTTATTATTGCTCACTAATCAATGTTGATTGCTCATGAGTCCAGAAAATTTGATGATATCTGTTCAACTGAACATTGACATGACAGGTACTATGCCAGATACTTTGCTGACATGATGTCACTTGAAGTTAGTTATCTTATATACAGGGTAGGTACAATTATTATACTCATTCTTCAGACAGTAAAACTGAGGACTAGAGAAGTCAGTAGCTCATTCAAGGTCACACAGCTAGCAAGTGCTAAAACCAGGGTTTAAACCTCAGCAATTGGTCTCCACAGCCTACCCTCAACTTCTACTCTAAACTGCCTCTCACCAACCATAATTTGTGACTCAACGGCACCCAGTCTCTTATATCACACATGCGACATGTTTGTCACAGCACACTTGCTTCACATTTCCACACACCTTCCTTATTTCAACAGTAACTGTGTTGCAGGGTAACATAAAGCATGGGGCCTCATTTGTGTAACACTAGTTCACAGCAAAGGCAAAAAGTCCACCTTCTGGACTTGGAGACGCATGCTGCTACTTCTGGGTTTCTCTTTAGTTGACAAAGTAATAAGAGCTGTTACAATAAACTTCTTTGTTATTTCATTTAAAATGTTGCCTTTTTTTGCCAGGCAAAAAAAAAATTTAGTATAATCATGCATGCATGCCTCTTTATGTATGGCAAGCTACTTACTTCTTTTTTCTAGAGATCATAGGGTCCAGAAAACCTTTCGATGGGTTAAATAGGGTCATTTAAAAGAGAAACTTAAGTCTACATTGGATGGTTCTGGAGGAGTTTCCCCTTCCCTGGAGCTGCTCACCAGTTAATTTAGGAATAAAATAGTCTCCCAACCTAGCAAATCCCACCACCCTACCCAGGGGTTTTCACAAAATTATCTTGTTTTAATCATGTTTTAGCATGGAAAAATGACACATATCTCAAAGTATACATTTTGAGGTTTTTGATATGTATATGGCTAATTTAGGAAGGAATATTTTACCACACTCCTGGTTTAGGAGATAACTCCAGTCACAGATGTCACACTCTGGTGACAAGTGTGTGCCAGCTCACCACTGCCACCATCTGCCTAGGGCCTTTCCTCTTCATTCTTCAAGCCAAAAGCACAGCTGATTTGTTGGGTAATGTTTCTTGATAGCTCTCTAGCCAAAAATATATGTGGTTCAGAAGTGTTGTTACTATAGCTCTACTCAGCTGGGTCTCGTTTCTGGAAACCATATTTAGTTGTCAAACAGTATAATGTGACAGAAAGATTTTGATGACTTAAACCAATAAATTTCAAAGTTTTCAATAGTAAGGTTTCATTTAAGTGATAAGGGCAATGCTTAAGTTATGATGGCGAGAAAAACATTGCTCAATTGACTGTATTTTGTTCTTCTATAATCTTAAAATGTTCCACAACAGGCAACTGCATTAAAAATATTGTAGCATGGAACAGATCCTCTACTTTACAATGAACAAAGCACTTCTGTTACACAATTAACATGCAAGGAAAAACTAAGGTAGCCACCTGCACATGTCCAAACACTGTGACCATATCACAACCCAACCATCCAGTTTGGCCAACAGGAAAATCTACTCCTGCTATTGCAGAATGACATCTGTCTTCTGGTGTCAAGCTTGGAACCCACTTATTTGACCCATACTGCTATTATTTAAGTTTTTCTGCTCCGAGCTCCATCTTGAGCTCCAAGCTCCATCATTCCTGAGCTCCATCTTGCTCTCAGCTTTCTCTTGCTCCAGCCTCCATCTCCTTCAAACTCCATCTGGTTTGGAGCTCCATTTGGCTCATAGCTCTATATGCTCTGAGCTGCATCTTGATCTGAGCTCCACCTTGCTCGGATCTCCATTTGCTCTGAGCTCCATCTGCTCTCAACTCCATTTTGATTGGAGCTCCATCATGCTCAGAGTTCCACCCTACTCTGAGCTCCATCTGCTCCAAGCTCCATCTTGTTTTGAGCTCCACCTTCTTTGGAGCTTTATCTTGCTCTGAACTCCATCTGGCTTGGAGTTCCATCTGCTTTGAGCACCATCTTGCTCCAAAATCCTTTTACTCCTTGCTCCATCTTGCTTGAAGCTTGACTTTGCTCAGAGCTCCATCTGCTCCAATCTCCATCTGTTTGAGTTCCATCTGCTCGGAGCTCCATCTTGCTAAGAATTCAGAGCTCCTGCTCTGAGCTGCATCTTGCTCGGAACTCCATCTACTCATCTTGCACAGAGCTCCATCTGCTCAGAGCTCTGACTTGCTGGGAGTTCCATCTTGCTCGGAGCTGCATCTGCTCAGAGATCCAACTTGGTTGAAGCTCCATCTGTTCAGAACTCCATCTTCCTGAGAGTTCCACCTGCTCTGAGCTCCATCTTGCCAGCAGCTCCATCTTGCTCAAAGCTCCATCTTGCCAGAGTGCCATCTGCCCAGAGCTTCATCTTGCTCTGATCCAGCTACTCTGAGCTCCATCTGCTCTGAGCTCCCTCTTGCTCTGAACTCCATCTTGTTCAGAGTTCCATCTTGCTCAGAATTCCATTTGCTCTAAACTGCATCTGCTCAGAGCTCCATCTGCTCTGAGCTCCCTCTTGCTCTGCTCTGAGTACCATCTTGCAGGAGCAGACAAGGAGTTCAAGTCTGTTTGTAGGGTAGTACCATGCTGCCAGGTTACCGCTGGGTAGTTTCCCCTGCCCTGCAGCATGAAAACCAAAAGGACGTTTCCAAGGTCCATAAGATGGAATGGGTCAGAAAGAAAAACAAAGTTCTGATGAGCAGGACCTCCTCCCACTAAGGCTGACAAATACAAGATGAACACACAGTGAGGGAGGCACCCATGCCCCCTGGGCTTGGGAGGCCAACAAGAGCTGCCCACACACCCATCACAAGTCATCACCCAGCTTAGGGGTGACTTGTTTTTAATCTGAAAGGTCAATGTTCTACAGCAGAGCACAAAGCGCAGATGTTTCCACTGAACTAAGAGACAGTGTGGGGGCAGAACTTAGCACTATGACTGGCACATTGCACTCAAAAATGTTGGCAGACATGGTGGTCCTTCCCCTCTGCTCGCCTCTGTCCTCATGAGCCTTGCCACCTGGCATGGCATGTGTCTGCCTGGTGCAAGCATAGCCCATCTGGCTGGGAACTTCCTGAGGCAGGAGCACACTTTGCACATCTCTGTATTCCTAAGAACCCAAAAGCAAATGCAACAAGAACAAAAATAAGTAAATGGGACCTAATTAAACTAAAAAGCTTCCACACAGCAAAAGAGATAATCATCAGAGTAAAGACAACTCACAGAATAGGAGAAAATATTTGCAAACTTTCATCCATTAAAGTACTAATATCCAAAATCTACAAGGAACTCAAATCAGCAAGAGAAAAAAGGAATGTCATCAAAAAGTGGGCAAATCACATGAATAGGATCTGAGCCCCCTCCCAGCCCTCAGAGGTGTCATCTTTGGGAGCTCCAGGGAGATGTCTTGGGGAAACCCTGGCCTTTGGGACAGGTGAAGTGCAAGGCCTTCTTGGGCATTGCTAGGTGGGCCTGGCTGGCCAGAGGGGTGCAGAGGACCCAGGACTAGCAGGAACCCTGGCTCGTCACTGTCCTTCATTCTACCCATCCTCACCCCACCCTCACCCAGGACCCTCACTCAGGGCCTTTTCCTCCTCATTCACCTCTGGCCTTGCAGAGACAGATTCCTCCTTCCATCTGCTATATCATCCAAGCCTCACGGAACCATGCAGGGAGGCAGGAGAGGGAGGACCGTGCCCATTTCACAGCATGAACATTGAAGCTCAGGAGATCAAGTGGCTTGCCCAAGGTCACAGTAGCCAGGAGGTGGAAGAGCTGTTGCTTGAAGCCAGGGCTCTAGACTCCAAGTCCAGTGCTCCTCAGTTCCACCCTCGAGCTTCCCTTCCTTTCCTCTCCCCACTGCTACCCAGGCCCCTCTCTACAACCACCTCCACTCCTTCTGTCTTTCCTCTTTTCTCTTTCTGTCTTTTGGTTCCACCAAACCCCTGTGGAGGTGAGGCAAGGAATGCCCCATGAGGAGAAAGGGAGGGGTGAGACTAGAGCAGGGAGCTGGAAAGTGGAGGTCAGGCTGCTGTGCTGCAATCCCAGCAGGTGGCCTCTACACCATGGTTTATATGAATGGAGTTGTGCAATGCAGGGCCTAGGCAGCTGGATGCTGCAACCCTAGAGACAGGGAATGGTGCTGAGCTTTGGAGTCAGGATGAAGCAAACTCCAGGGCAGTGGGAAACTTAGAATTGAACAGGATGGGTGGGCGAGGTCCTGGCCTTGTGCTTGTTCCAGTCAACTTCTCAGGAGAATCCAAGGCTTGGACAAAGATGGCACTGGGAGAGAGCAGGCAGGCTCAGTGTGGCCAAGGAGTGGGGGAGGATCTGAACTCGGCAGGGGTCTTGTATGCAGCAGGGGCTTGGTCCCTCACAACATGGAGCCCAGGGAATGCTTGGCAGCACCTGGGAGGTGCCAATCCCCAGTGGCAGTAGAGAGGGCTGGTTCCACACTCACACTGTCTTCTGTTCTATCTGTGTCAGCATCCCTCTCTCTCCTTTCCCATGCCTGTGACATCCTCTCCACCCCTGGATTCCTGTCCCTGCTTGGCTGCCAGCCCCCTTCTCCTCCCCACCCACGACTGCTCCTCCTACTGTCCCCACCTTCTCCCCAGGTGCAGGATATGCCTCTTCACACCTGACCTCGCTTTTGAAGCCACAGTGAAAAAGCAGATGCAGAAGCTCTAAGAGCCCAGTATCAAGTGTGTGGATATTGTAGTCAGTGAGTTCACAGCCACCATCAGAAAGTGCAGTGAAAAGGTAGGACAGATGCCTGGGTGGGGCTGGACTTGACCATCCATCCTCGTGGCCATAGCTTCCTGTAGCCAGAACGATCTGCTGACCAGGCCTCTCAGCCACCCACAGGGACCCAGCCCTAGTGTGTCCTGCCAGCTTCTAACCCTGGGTCTATTTGCACTTTTGACCCTCCAGACCCCCATCCCTGCCCAAGGACTTTACTCCAACCCAAGTTTCCTTGGTGGCATCTTTGCATCAATAAGAATGCCAGTGATTAAAATGATGTTAAGGAGATGGCAGCTGTTTATTGAGCACCTACTATGTGCTGAGTACTGGGCTAAGCACTTGCCCTTACTATCTGACTCAGTCCTCTCAACCACCCTAAGACATGGGTAGTGTTGTTTTTCCCATCCTACAGACAGCAAAACAGAGTCTCAGAAAGGAAAAGCAGAGAGTGATTCATATTTAGGAAGGTCAGAGGAAGGGTTCTGAGGTCTGGACCTCCTGGGCACAGGGAGCTGTCTTGGTTCCTCAAAACCAATTTGCCTAAAGGCATATTAAATTACTTGCTTTACAATAATCCACATGTGATGGGGCAGCCTCTTTTGAGTTGTCTGTAACTTCTTTTTGTTTGTTTTTTGAGATGGAGTCTTGCTCTGTCGCCAGGCTGGAGTGCAGCGGCACGATCTTGGCTCACTGCAACCTCCACTTCCCAGGTTCAAGCGACTCCCCTGCCTCAGCCTCCCAAGTAGCTGGGACTACAGGCACGCACCACCATGCCCGGCTAATTTTTTGTCTTTTAGCAGAAACGGGGTTTCACCATGTTGGCCAGGATGGTCTCAATCTCCTGACCTTGTGATCTACCCACCTCGGCCTCCCAAGTGTCTGTGACTTTTTAGATGCCTTTTTCCTATTTGTCTGCTTTTGGGCATTTTGAGGATTTTTAACCAGGTTTTCTAAAGCAGTTCTTCCCAGGGGAGTGCAAAAGAATCAACTGGCTGTAGGAGCTTCTCCAGCAGACTGCATCAGAGCTGCTGGGGCAGAGCTCAGCCTTGCCTGTATCTGAAGGAGTTCGCTATGCTGGGGGGTGGAGGCACATCCTCCTTAGCTTCAAGTTTCAAGTAAGCATCAATCATCTCCTTTCTTTTTTACTGAGCAGTGTGTTGTGGAATCCTTGTATATTGCTACACAAAGATTAGTCTCATGCCCCCCACCTTTTTTTTTTTTGAGACAGAGTCCCACTCTCTTGCCCAGGCTGGAGTGCAATGGCATGATCTTGGCTCACTGCAACCTCTGCCTCCTGGGTTCAAGTTAAGTAAAGATTGGTCTCATGAACTTGAACTTTACATTCAAGCGATTCTTCTTCCTCAGCCTCCCGTAGCTGGGATTACAGGCACATGCCACCATGCCCGGCTAATTTTTGTATTTTTTTTTTTTTGTAGAGATAGGGTTTCACCATGTTGGCCAGGCTGGTCTCGAACTCCTGACCTCAAATGATCCACCCGCCTCAGCATCCCAAAGTGCTAGAATTACAGACGTGAGCTACCACACCAGCTGGTCTCATGCCCATTAACTGCTGAGTTGTATTTCACATGATTCACATGTTCGATGTCCTATTGATGGACATTTAGGTTTCAACTTTTTTACTTTTTTCTTTTTTTTCTTGCCTTCACAGTGCTACAATGAACATCTTTACACATGTATTTGTAGTACTTATCCCATTGTTTCTTTCTTTTTTAGAGACAGGGTTTTGCTGTGTCACCCAGAGTGAAATGCAGTGGCACGATCGTAGCTCACTGCAGCCTCAAACTGGGCTCAAGCAATCCTCCCGCCTCAGCCTCCCAAGGAGCTGGGACTACAAGCGTGCACCACCACACCCAGCTAATTTTTTTGTTGAGACAAGATCTTAATATATTGCCCAGCCTGCTCTGAAACTCCAGGCCTCAAGCAATCCTGCTCAGACTCCATCAGTCCCTTCTTGATAGATATTTGGGTTGTTTCCAAATTTTACTGTAATTACTTCTTTCCTTTTGGAAGGAGAATCAAAGTGTTCCATGGTTTTTAAATGTTTATATCTAACAATCAATCTTCTAGGAATCTATCCTAAGGAAAAAATCCTAGAGAAAGAGAAACAAAATTCTTTATCCACAAAGATATTCATTGTTAGGTTATTTAGAATATTGAGAAATCAGAGATTATTAAAATGTCCACTAATAGGACAATGGTTAAGTAAACTTAAATAAATCTATCCAATAAGATATTATGCACCCATTAAAAATGTTTATTTAGGCTGGGCACTGTGGGTCACGCCTATAATCCCAACACTTTGAAAGGCTGAAGCGGGAGGTTGCTTGAGGCCAGAAGTTTGAGATTACCCTGGGCTACACAGAAAAACCCTGTCTCTACAAAAGCTTAAAAAAAATTAGCCAGGCATGGCTGTGTGCACCTGCAGTCCTAGCTACTCAGGAGGCTGAGGCAGGAGGATTGCTTGAACCGAGGAGTTCAGTTAAACCACTGCACTCCAGCCTCTGCAACAGAGTGAGAGACCCTGTCTCTAAAATCAATTTTAAAAAAGTTAGAGACCAGCCTGGGCAACATAGGAAGACCCCATCTCTACAAAAAATAAAAAAGTTAGGTGGGCATGGTGGCTCATGCCTGTAGTTCCAGCTACTTGGGTGGCTGAGATGGGTGGATTGGTTGAGCCTGAGAAGTCAAGGCTGCAGTGAGCCATGATTGCGCCATTGCACCCCAGCCTGGAAGACAGAGCAAGACCCTGTTTTTAAAAACAAAACAAAAAAGGGATTCACATGTCCCGCCACAGTGTACTGTGGGAAAAAAAGGGAGTTTCTGAAAAGAATGTATGGTATTTTGGAGAAAAAATAGTATTTATGAATGATAAAATCCCAAAGGCATATTCACCACAGAAATATTTTCATGTCCAAGTCACAAATTTTAGCCATGCTCTAATCTTTTACAGTGAGTCTGTGTGATTTTTGTGGGCAGAAAAAACTGATCAACAAAATCTTTGAAAAGAAAAGCTTTAGTCTAAAAGGAGGAAAATAATACTTTTGCCTTTTGATTTGTTTAAGGATCATAATTATTTTTTCTTTATAGGCAAAACTCACCCATCTTTGTATACTCATATTTTTCCTCTCCAAGTTTCTAAGTTTAGCAAGCCACTTCTGCCAGAGGTTTGATAAGTGTTAATAAGTGAATCCTAATTAATCCTAGCCCTGCTGGGATTAGACTTGCCATCTCTGAATAAAATCTAGAGTTTAAGGCCAAGGTGGGTGGGTCACTTGAGGTCAGGAGTTCGAGACCATCCTGGCCAACAGGATGAAACCCTGTCTCTACTAAAAATACAAAAATGCACCCTCAACAGAATCCTAACAACAACTGAGATCTGGCCAGGCACTCCCCACTTTCCCCAGCCTCTGCCTTCCAAGCACAAGCTCATTGAATCCAAACAGCCTTCGGTGGTAGGTACTGCTATCAACCCTCTTCCTGAGGCCCACATGACCAAACCACTCAGCCAAGGCCACACAGCAAGGCAGTGCTGAAGTGAGGATTCAAACCCAAGCAGACCAGCTTCAGAGCTGTGCCATGCAACCCAGAGGCATCCGGGAGTCCAAAACACGGGCCCTGGTGAGAGAGGGCTGCACAATGTGTACCCTGAACTGTGCCTCCTCACACGGCCCAGACAACCCGCAGGAGGCTGGGACTAGGCCAGAGGCAGGGGGGTCCCTAAAAGTACAAAGTCCCAGTGGCACAAGGTCCCCAGGCAGGACTGGATGTCAAGTGATACCCACCTATTAAGGGCTGGGTTTTGGGCTATCTCATTATCATTTATTCCCCATAAAACAAAAACCCTGAGGTAGGGATTCTTTTATCCCCATGTGACAGATGAGGACACAGACTCAGAAAGGCCAAGTGACTCCCCGAAAGCCACACACTGGTTAGCAGTGGAGCCTTGATTCAAACCCAGAAGGGCAAACCCAAAGCCCCTTCCTCTCACACCTCATCCCTCCTCACCTCAAGGCCAGTTTACTGAGCAGAGAGGAACTCACGCTTCCAGATTCACCCCATACATTTAACCTGCTGCGCAGCAAATGCCTGGACTTTGCCTGGCAGAAAATGATCATGAAATCCCTGGGATGGGGGCAGCCTGGGCCCTCAAGAAACATCCCAACCCACATTCCCATTGCCCTTGTTGAGGAGGTCAGTCCTGGGAAATCCTACTCCCTTGTTCCTTCCCAGGTTCCATCTGAGCTAAGTGCCTCCAGGAAGGGCAGGGAGCCCCATCTCCACACACAGCACGGGAAGAGGGGGTGTGACACAGGCCTACATCAGAACTCTCACCAGCCTCAGCCCCTGCAGACCCGGTGGGACTGGGCTTTGCTTCTTGTTAGACTAAGGGAAAGGGGGCTTCAATGACAGTCTAGCTCACTAGAGGCAGAACAAACTGCCACCAGTTCCCTGCCCACTTCTTGCCTGGAGAAAACACCCGCTCCTAGGTGGTGAGTGTGAGCAGCAAATTCAGGCCCACGTGGGCCAGGTAAATTGGGCTGGCTGCCATGCCCCTCTCACCTCTCCCAGGCTTCCCGCACAAGCACGCAGGCAGGTTGCTTCAGCCCCAAATACAGCAGCAGAGGTGGTGGTGGCAAAGGGTGGGGCAGGAGGTGGAGGGTCAGGCTTACAGACGGGACGGACCCTCAGGCACAGTGACAGCAGCCCAGCCACTAGGGCCTGTCCACAAGCCAGGGCTGGCCAGGATCAAGCGAGTCACTCAGGGTCCTCCCAGCTCCTTCCTTCCCTCCAACACTGAAGGCTCTCAGAAGAACCAGCTCCAAAAAGGGAGCTTGAAGCCTCTTTCCAACCTCCCAGTGCCCACCTCAGAAGCAGGGCTGAGGGCAGAGATGTTTTATAAGCCAGGACCCCTCCCCATGCAAGGGTCGTATGGACCGGTGTGTGTAGGGGCAGACCTGTGACTGACATCCACCTACACCTGACCCTCATCTCTGAACTCACCCCACTTCCTTGCATACATTGAAGAGGAAATGGCCCACACTCCATGAATGCCGGGGTCTGAGGTGGGTGACGGCACCCATGAGCCCCTGCCAGAGTCTGTCCACTTCCCAACAGACCCCTTTCCCACCTTCCCATCCCCAACCATGCCAAGGCCTTCAGGGATGGAGAATGAAATCCTTCCTCCTGCCTCACAGGAACCACTCACCCACACCTGCAGCCTCTTTCCATACAGGACTCTGGGACACAGGGCCATCAGCTCCAGCAGCATCTAACACGAGCAGGTCCACAGCAACCTTGCTGGTAGCCTCTCTTCTGCTACTTCCTGGGTCCACACTCAGCCTAGGTGGGACCAGCCTCCCCCCTGCCAAGGTGAGGACAGGAAGAGGCATGGCTAGGGAGCTGTCAGTCATACCTCATGGTGGTAGGCAGCATTTAAAGCCAGGTGGCACCTCTCACCTGGTTACTCGTCACCCCACTCACACAGCCTGACACAGCCTCACTGCCTCCCCATACTCACAGAGAAGCAGATTCAGCTCCTGCTGCTCTAGGCTGGGAAAGGAGCAGCGGGTCAGCCTCTACCCTCTTTCTCTGAGAACCAGACCATGCCCCAGGCTGCACACTGCTGGCAGAATCAGCCTAGGGGGTAAAAAGCTTGGGTTCTCAGCCCACTCCAGGACCAGGATGGGGCCTTTCATCTAGGCTTCTGACACCCACACACTCGGAGGTCCTGGTCCCCATGGTACCCCAGTGCCCAGCACAGAGCCTGGCACAGATCAGGTGCTCAAATATGTGTTAAATGAAAACAAAATAGGATGAGATCAGTCCCTTACTCCTACTATATGAAACTGCTTCTCCCTCCATCGTATGGCGTGTGGACCAGGAGGCCTCGGGTCCTTCCGGACCAGACAGTCTGTGATAGCCATGAGCACCTGAAGCCTGGGGTCCATGGTTCCCTGAACCTGTTACAATCTCTGCCAGGCAGAGAATGCACTGACCAGCTCCCAGAGTGGATAGGGACCCAGGTGTCCCTGAGCCATCCCAGGTGCCAGAGCGTGACCTAGCTCTGAATGGAGACACAGGTTTCTTCTGGACTGACCCAGGACTGGCAGGAGCAGGATCAGAAGGGCCACCTTAACCTGCTCACTCCTCCTCTGTACCAGCCAAATGTCCACAGCCAGGCCAAGTGTCTAGATTTGCTCAGCCTGACCTCTCGACACATGTTAGCACAAGTGGTTTCCCACCCGTCTTTGTTGTTGTTTAGCATCTGTTGAGGGCTAAGTGCTGGGGTGAATGCCTCGCCTATATCACTCAACCTTCTCAGCCTATCTATGAAGCCGGGTTTTTGTTTGTTTGTTTGTTTTGTTTTGTTTTTTGTTTTTTTGAGATGGAGTTTCATTCTTGTCACCCAGGCTGGAGTGCAGTGGTGCAATCTCGGCTCACTGCAACCTCTGCCTCCCAGGTTCAAGCGATTCTCCCGCCTCAGCCTCCCAAGTAGCTGAGATTACAGGCTATGCCACCACACTCAGCTAATTTTTGTATTTTTAGTAGAGATGAGGTTTCACCATGTTGGCCAGGCTGGTCTCAAACTCCTGACCTCAGGTGATCTGCCCGCCTTGGCCTCCCAAAGTGATGGGATTACAAGTGTGAGCCACCATGCCTGGCCGAAGCAGGTATTTTATCATGACTCTGCAGACAAGGAAATAAAGGCTCAGAAAGATTATGTCATATGCCTAAGATCACACAGCAGGACAGTGATGGGACAGAATCAGAACTCGGGACTGTCAGCCTCAGGGCACACTCCCCTAGACCAGCACCCAAGTCAGACTATGCCCAGCCAACCCTGGACATCCAGGGCTCACCCCATGGGGTCCACCACATCTCTGGGAAAGCTGCATGATGGGCTGCCTGGAGGCAGTGGCCAGGCCAGAATAACCCATGCCAGCATTCTTCCATCTCACTCTTCCCGAGACCAGCCTCCAGCCCTGACCCTGGGGTACCCTGCTGCCTTAGCCCTTTCCCATCCTGGAATTAGCACCACCAACCCAAGGGGCAATATGTTGATTCCAGAACAGGCAGATGTGCTGATGAAGAGAGAGGCAGCTGCTAGGACTCTCCTACCTGTCACTGGGCCAGGTGTGGAAGGAGGGGCAGGAGCCAGGGGAAAGCAGAGAAGCAGGGGATTACACGACAGAGCCTTTGCAGGGGCGAGGGTTACATATCCGGACTAGGAGCTCCCCAGAGCCCACTGTCTGTCCCATCCACCCAGGTGCTCATGCTCCCAACTTGTTAGTGCCAACTCCTGGCCATGGGACAGCAAAACCTCAGACAACATCTACTCATCCCTCAACCAACCCACGTCAAATCTTGCCTGGGCCCAGCCCAATCTCTTCTACGGCCTCCTGCCTCATCTCCTTCCCTCACCCCCTGCCGTTCAGCTAACTTCCTAAAACAAAGGTGGCAATTGTGCCATTCCCTTCCTTCCAACCTACTGTGCCTATCCATCACCTGGCTGGGCGAACCCTTCCACCTTTCTCTACCCACATGTCCACTACCCACACCTCTCCAGTCACCCCATCTCTCCAGGCTCTTGCTCTTGCAGTTTTCTTGGCCAAGTAAGTGGCCCTTCCCAACAGAGCAAAATTCTACTTACATGAGAAGGCCCAGCTACCCCTTCCCCGAGGCTCCCCAGCAGACTCATGGCAGCATCCCTGAACCCACAGCTCAAAGTTCTGTGGACATCAAGCACCGTGTCTTGTTGGAGAACCACTTGTGTGGGGTTGACTTCCCAGCCTCACAGAGCTTCCTGAGGGCAGGGCTAGGTCTGATTCATCTCTGGAGTATAGGTGTAGAGCAGAACCTGGCACAGAGAGGGAACCAGCACACCCTGTTTTAACTGACTGCCCAGTGAGCCTGGTCAGCAGACATTGGGTAGGCCGTAGGGCTTGTCCACTTGAGCTTTCCAGGCAAAAAAAACTGTCAGAGCTGGGGATTCGTGCTTAGTTTGGCAAGGCTCAGTATTAGAGGCTGAAGAACCCTTGGCAGAACTGCCAGCCCATCCAGTTGCGGCAGTGCCACCCCACAGCATAGCAAGAGGCTACATTGGCAAGCCCTGACTCACCATAGGTTGTAAGAACAGCCAGACGCCCATGGGGTGCTAGTGATGCTGGGTTCATCTATGACTGCAGTACTCTGGACATTCTGAGCTGCTCATCTGGTTCCACTAGATCCCCAGGCCCTCTCCCAACTAGGCGGTTTGAGGTCTAAGGAAATGCCATATCCCCTGGGTATGGAGCTTGGAATCTTACCTCTTCAGCCATTCTGCTGACCCCTAACCCTGCCCTTTTAGCCCTCAAGGGCCTACAACTACCGCAGGAGAGCTGAGGGGTGGAAAGCACAGAAACAGCATGACATAAGCCCAAAGAGTGGCCAGAATCTGAATGGCTTGGGCTGATAGCACTGGCCCCAAATGGAGATGGAAAGAGGGATGACAACAAGAGGAAGCAGCGGACCAAAGTCTGGCAGAAGCTAGGGACTCATAGTGGTATCATCCACTGTATTTGAAAATCCTTGAGTAGCCGTGGGCAAGGAGAACTAGACTCAGACAAGTAGAAAGCCCGCAAATGGATTCCCGGGGCAGAAGTCCAGGCTAAATCTGGAAGGCGCTTCAAGCTCACAGGGGAGGGGTCTGCAGGGCCAGCTGGAGGATTTTCCTACCCTTTCCTCAGCAACCAAAACTACCCTCCCCAAAGAAGCCCTGGCCCACTAGGTCCATCCATGGGGCAGAACCCCATGGAGGCTCCTTACCATGCAGGGTTGTCCTAGTGGACAGCGATGGAGCAGAGTTTGGGGGAGATGCTGCAGCTCTGGTGAGAAGCCACCCAGTCTCACCATAGGGCTCCACATGGAACTTGTAGGGATGGGGGGTGAGCCGGCACTCACTGCCACCCCAGCCAACTGCCCTGAGTACCCGGCAAAGCCCAGCAGCATCAGCAGCAGTAACAGAGTCAGGTCCAGTAGTAACAGTAACAGGTCCGACATGGCTCTGGACCCCTGCACCGCACCCCAAGGCAGCTGCAACAGAGAAAGAAGGGAGAGGAGGCTGGTAGCCATCTCCAACAATGTGCCCACCTGACCACCAACCAGTTCTGCCCCCAGCTCCTCAGCCCTGCCTTGGGTGCTTTGACCCAGGAGGTGGAGGGGCCAGAGGTGTCAGCACATAGTGACCTAGAAGAGAGCTATAAAGGATGACTGAAGCCACAAGCCTCTTTATTTCTTAATCACAGTAGGTGAGGATCTCAGAACAGCTTTACCTGTCAGCTGGCAGCCCTGGTCACACCTGGGGAAACTGAGTCACAGAGGGGCACAGAAGTGAGTCATCCAGGGACATACTCCTGGCCTGGACAACTCTACCCCAAGATATGGCAGATGCCAGCCAGCCTGCCTTTCTTCCACAATACCATACTCCTTGCCTGGACAAGTCTCCCCCAAGATGTGCCAGATGCCAGCCAGCCTGCCTTTCCTCCACAATACCACTTCTTTCCCACAGCAGAGCCACACTGCCAGTCCAGCCTCCTGAAGCCTCAGGGGCTACTGCCAGAGGGAGGGCAGACGAATACCAGGGTCCACACACCTATCAACAAACAGGGAAACCATAAGGAACAAAATTCCCTGGGGGGAAATGTGAGACGGGAAGAGAATTTCATAGGAAACTCTCCTTTGCTAAGTACATCTGGCCTGCAGGGACCTTGCTCTCCAGCAAGCTCACCCATCCAGAACCAGAGGGAAGACCACAGCAAAATGGCCTGAGCAGCTAGAACAAAGTCCACCATTAAGCTTCCCAGACTTGAACCACCCATGTTAACAAGCCTCATCCTAATTTTCTACCCCGAAGAAACAGTGAGGAGTGAGAGGAAAAGGTTGCCAGAAGGGGAGTCTCAGAACAGGAAGCAGTAACAGTTACGCATAGAGGAAGGGAAGCTGTTCAAGAGCGGGCCCAGGAACACAACACAGAACCACTGTGTGAGCTATTCCAGGCAGGCTGCCTAGGTTTCCAGGCAGCTCGGGACCAGAGGCCTAACCCTCTTACACAGAGGCCTTGACCTGAGTTGCCTGGAGAGGGGGGAATTGTAGCCCAGAGAATACTGTTTAAAGAGGAAGGGAAGCATGTGACCCACTGGGGGAACATTCCCACCCCAATTATTTAAAACTAATACTTAACATTTAAAAGGTTTTGAAGCTGAAAAGGCCACACTGCAGCTTTGTGGAAAACTTAGCTCTGTGGAAATATTTGTTCCCTGTAGGTTCTGGGTGTTGATTTTACATTTAAAAAAATTATTTTTGGAGTCAATGAACACACAGTATTTGCTCACAAAGAGGCAAAGTAAATTTCTTTCTTTTTTTTTCTTTTTTTTTTTGAGATGGAGTTTTGCTCTAGTTGCCCAGGCTGGAGTGCAGTGGTGCGATCTTGGCTCACTGCAACCTCCACCTCCCTGGTTCAAGCAATTCTCATACCTCAGCCTCCTGAGCAGCTGGGACTACAGGCACTTGCCACCACACCCGGCTAATTTTTGTATTTTTCGTAGAGATGGGTTTCACCATGTTGGCCAAGCTAGTCTCGAACTCCTGACCTCAGGTGATCTGCCCGCCTCAGCCTCCCAAAGTGCTGGGATTACAGGCGTGAGTCACCGGGCCCGGCAAAGGTAAAGTAAATTTCTAAACTTTTGGTGTCAGGACACAGAGGTGCTGCCCACTGGTCTCAGCCATCTGTGCTCCTACCCATCAGTATCTCTCTCTCTTTTCTGCCTGTCCTACTCATCTTGTCTCCAGTTAGTTTCATTCCTGTTGTCTTTGATGATAATGATAAGAAATCTTCCACCGAGCACTTACTATACGCCAGGCACTAAGTGTCGAAACACAGCTGCTTCATTCATCCTCAAAGCAATCCGACAAGACAGGTATGGCTAAGGGCGCAAGAGGTTAGAGGTTAAGAGACTTGCACAAGGTCACACAGGTATTAAACAGAGCCACGTGGACCAAAATGCAGGCAACATGAACCCAAACACTCAGACTCCAGGCCCCCATTTCCACTTCCTCTCTCCTCTCTGGTGACTGGCTTCCAGAAAGACTCAAGAATTTAATCTTTGTTGGACATCTCTGAGCCCAAAGCTGCAAAACTCTTAGCATCTAGGCCCCCCACTTGCCATGGGAATGACAAGCCCTCACTCTGATCTGCCATCTCAGCTGAGCACTTCCTGTCCCCTGAAGGGAACTTAGTATCCACCTTTCTCTTCTTCTCACCTCCCAAACTGTTCAGAAAGGGGAAAAATGCACCTGCAGGCCCCAGGGCTTTGGTCAGCACGGGGAGGGGTAATGTAAATTTCCCCTGTATTCAAGAGAAAAGGGGCCGGGCATGGTGGCTCAGGACTGTAATCCCAGCACTTTGGGAGGCCAAGGCGGGCAGATCACCAGAGGTTGGGAGTTCAAAACCAGCTTGGCCAACATGGTGAAACCCGGTCTTTACTAAAAATACAAAAATTAGCCGGGTGTGCTGGCGCGCGCCTGTAATCCCAGCTACTCGGGAGGCTGAGGCAGGAGAATCGCTTGAACCCCCAGAAGGCGGAGGCTGCAGTGAGCCGAGATCTCGCCGCTGCACTCCAGCCTGGGGGACAAAGTGAGACTCCATCTCAAAAAAATAAAAAGAAAAAGAAAAGAGAAAAGGAAGACGGGCTGGGAGCTTGCCTGAAACTCCAGGCTTACGTTAGTTAACTCATGGCCTCCAGTGTGGCCGGTACGAGTGCTTCAATGCCGGGAGCTGAAAAGGAACAGTCACTCCGGAACAGGAAATAACCTCTGAGCCGAGCACCACGCCCTGACTCCCTTCTTCAGGGAAAGCCCCCCGGGGCCTCTGAAGCACCCTCGCCCCACTCTCAACCCCCTTGGGGGAAATCAGAAGCCAAACCTAGATTCACAGTGTCAGGGATCTTCCCTAGAGTCTGGGTCACGCCCCTCTTCCTGGAGGGCTTCAGGCACACCTGGCGCCCAGGAACTGCCGCCGACCGGGCTGCGCCCTCTCTCAAGCCTGGGTGTCCCCTCCGCTCAGAGGTCGGCGCGGGCGAGCGTCAGGGAAGGCTGTCCCCGCGGGCTTCCTGCTGCCGACCCCGTGCGCGGGGCCCGGAGGCCGGGTCCTTTAGGGTCCCCGCCGCAGGCTAAACTTCAGTGCTGGAGGTGCAGGGGCCACCGCCTCGCGCGGTCGGATTCCAGCCCCTGCTCACCCTGTCCTCGCCTGTTAACTTACAGCTTTTCTTGTCTCCCACCTCCTTGCCGAGTCCCGCACATCTGTAACTTCAGCGACGCTGAAGTTTGCAGCCCGCGTGAGAGGCGCGGCCCTGGGGGACAGGGCAGAGTTAAAACGCGACTCGGGCCTCCCTCCCCAGCTCCACTGCCCCGGGCGTGCCCTGAGCCTGCGGCCTTGGCAGTGGGCCCGGAAGGGTGGGTGCTGCCCCAAGGTCGCATCCAGGCCCTCGGACCCTGCCGGGGCCAGTAGTGGGCAAGACGAGACTCCAAGAGCGGCCGGGCCGCTGGGGTCACTGGGGATAGTCCTGAGGTCTTGCCGGGTAGGATGGGGGTCCCAGACCCACGCTCCAGCGGGGACGCCCCGACTCCAGCCCGGCCCCGGCTCCGGACCGGCCGGGTCTCCGACACCGTCCGCCACGCACGCCGATCCGCCCCCTCTCTGGCAGAACTGGGCCCTGGGCGTGGCCGTGGCCGTGGGCGTGGCTCTACCCATGGCCTGAGCGCGCGGGACCCGGAGGGCTGATGCCTCCCCGCCCCGTCTCCACAGCAACGGGCGTGTGCGGGGACCCAGAGCTGGCTGGGGTGGAAACCGCGGCCTACTTTCCCGCCTCCAGCAAACTCTGCAATTGCTGAGGTTGATTTAGCAGCACCCAAGGGATCTGGGTCGGCAAGAGCACCTCAGTGACAGCCTGGCACCGGGGTCCGCAGGAGAAGGCCAGGCTGGGGCCAGGGAGCTGAGGCTGAGGAGGAGCGTTTGCACAGGCTAGGGAGACACGGCACAGCAGTATCCGCCTCAGACATTTGTAGCACCGTTAGTCCTGCCACTTTCTCTCACTGTAGCTTCGCAACAGACTTGGGAACCAAGCAAGGCATGGCTGAGGAAGCTTAAGCCCAGTCTGGGCTCGCGGAAGAAGCTGGTGGATCCAAATATCTGCTTCCTGCCTCCACCCACCCCTCCCCGCTCCGTGAGCACATTCATCCATCCAACATTTATGATCACTCCCTGCCAGGGCAATTCTAGGGGCTGGGGATACAGTGAACAAGACCAAGGCTCCGCCCTCCTGGAGTCCACATCCCAGGGACATGCCCTTCTTCCAGGCTCCTCCCTCAGTGCCCTGGTGGTGGCTGGGGGAGGCTGGTCTGCCTTTCTGGTTAGCGATAGCTTAGGTGACTCCCAGGTCAAGTGTAAGCTCCTTGATGATGGCAGGAAACTGGTGGTGGAAACAGTCAGTAATCATGGGGTGGTTCACCTTGTGGATCCCACTACTGCATTAGCAAAGAGCAGGCTGGGCACACAGGGGCAGTCATCATCCCGCTTCCTTTCTCTCTGCTTCACGTTCTTCCTTCCGCAGGCAGGGGAGATGGAACCTGGTCCACAGGGCCAAGCCTGTCCCAGCCCTCCAGGCAGACCGGCGGAATAGGTAGCTGGCCCCTCACAGGCACTGCGATCCGGGTCAGTGCAGATCGCGGCAGTTATTTTACCTATGAACGCCCAGCACACCGTCAAACGCTCAGCTCAGGTGCCCCAGGCGGGCAGGCTTTTCACTTGGGAGCATTTCCTTTGACACAAAGGGGACCATGGCACTGGCTCAGAGACTAACAGCCTCTGCCTGCAGGGTCTGCTGGTCAGTTCTCCTGCTTCTCAGGAGGTGGTCAACTTTTCCCAGGAAGCCATTGTAAGGAGGCGCCCATTCTTCATCTTGTCCTCTCTGCTCACTTCCTTTAGCGTGGTTGGGGAACTCCAGAGCCCCACATCACAGTTCAGCACGTGCCTCAGGAGCTTCAGCACCTCCTTCGTGAAAGGAGAGTCTGCCGGTAACGGGGGAAGCAGGCCATCAGCCTGCCCAGCTTCATCTCAGGCCGCTTCCAACAGCGCCAAGCAAACTCCCTTGGCAAGATCCATGCAAGGCCGCGGCTGACCACCGGGAGGCAGCAGCCTACTCTGCAAGGCACTCTCTTTACCCGACCCCCACCCCCTTTTAACAGGTGGCAGGAAACCTGCTGGCCCAGCCATCTGCCGCACCCACCCTTCACTCCCAGTCCCATCTCCCCATAGCACAGATTTCCCTATCATGAGCCCAGACGTGGCCTGCATCTCCTCTTGCCTTCCTCTGCCCAAGGAATCCCTACAGAGATTCTTTCTCTATCTTCCTTTATACATTTCCACAGAATTGTTTCCCCAGGGCCCCTCCCCTTGAAGAAATTAGACAGGAAGCTGGAGTAGATGGTTCCCTCTTTCCCACCTCTCACACTCCCAAGCTCTGGTTAACTCTCTGTGGGCCAGTGGCTAGATTCCCCAACACAGATGACAACTGAACAATACACATGCAGCGTAAGAATGTTGTCGCTGCCACCAGCCACTTACAGATACACCATTGCTAAGGTCCACCCAACTGGACTGTTTCCCCCTTCCATAGACTAAGCCCCAAAGGCCAAAAATAAAACCCCCTACCCCAAACCTGCCTATAACTGTTTGACCAGAGGCCAGCTGTCCCAGGATGCGGTTAAGATGTCTACCTTGCACAACAGAACTGGCAAGAAAAACATCTCCAGGAAGCGGTCAGATACACGGCACAAAGGACTCCCCCCTCCCCGCTTTTCCTTTTCCTTCACCCTGACCCAGTTCTACGCCCTGTAAGACGTTGCTCCAGCCTATAAGTGGGGCTGCCTCCTCTGCTTTTGTCAAGAGATAGCCCGGCAGGACTGACAATAAATCAGTTTGCCTGAACTTGGGTCTATTGGCCTCATTCCTTTCTTGGCTGTCCTTCCAATTATCCCTTACAACCATCTCCCACCCTCTGAAGGCACTGCACCCAATCCCCAGCCGTTCGCAGTCTGGTCAGGGCTGTCTGTGCAGGACTTGTCATGGCTGAGGCCCACATAGCCTCAAGCCACTCTGAAGTCAGCTTGCTGTTTCCCCTGGAGCCTGGAAATACATCCCTCTTCAGGTAAACAAAAGCAGAAAAAGCCCAGTGAACCCCACTGTAACAAAGAAACTGCCAGCAATCTTCCTTCTGTTCCTGCCTGTCTCACCACCCAAGGACTATCGCAGAGCCCACTGTGTTCTAAGATCTATTCTTTTCACTACCACCCAGCCAACCCGGTGTCCAGACCATTCCTTGATCAAATAACACTGTCTTCTGGAGTTTTAATTTTATCTTACAAAAAGTGAAATAAGGAAAACTGATAGGCAATTATACTGACTTACAATTTTTCTGTTTGCTTTTTTTTTTTAAGCAACATGAAACGCCAGTAAAAATAAATATGTCACAGAAACAGCCACTTGTCCAGTCTCTGGGGCAAGAACTCCAGCCCTGCTGAGAGAAGGGAAGCCCACCATCACCCCAGCAGCTGGATCGCCAAGCCACAGATGCTCCTCAAAGCCAGGCACAGGTCCCAGGCCTCAGGGGCATCCTGAGGAAAGAAGATGGAAAACCAAAGCCAGTTGCCCAGACCCTGGGGCCACCTCATCAACCCCCACTCCTCCTGGCAGCCGTCTGGCCTTAGTGGTTAATCATTTGCGGCATCTCCGCCTTTGCCCACCTGGACCCTCTTTCCCTGACCTCTCTGAAGAGGGCACAAGGAAAAAACCTGTCTTGGGCAGGCTGGGGGGATTCTTCCAGTGAGTCCCCAGCCCACCCTGAGTAACACAACCAGCTAACAGTCATTTTACACCCAGGTGCACATGAGCACAGCACACACATAACTCTCTCTCTCTCTCACACACACACACACACACACACACACACACACACACACACAGCTGGACTGAGCTGTCTTCCAGGAAGGGTCTTGGGTCTGGTCACAGTATGAGGTCCTCTCTCTTCTGAATATC
This sequence comes from Homo sapiens, assembly GCF_000001405.40. Taxonomy (NCBI): domain Eukaryota; kingdom Metazoa; phylum Chordata; class Mammalia; order Primates; family Hominidae; genus Homo; species Homo sapiens. The sequence goes on from NC_000019.10 coordinate 22,521,688, forward strand.
ATCTCAATAGTGGTGGCAGAGAGAACCCAAACCTCCCCAAGCCCCTGCATTGCAGACTCTGTAGCCGGCCTGGCTACCCCTCCCCAGCACACAGGATTACTATGTCCAATAGACCTGCAAAAGGGAAAGGAGCACACTCAGGACCCGGAAGAGCAAAGAAGGTGGACACTGTCTGCTCAGGACACTCTTCGTTGTAAGACTCGGGTATAAATAAAAGGCCCAGGGCCAAGCTAGTGGCACAGAACAGACATTAAGGGGTTCACCATGGAATACACAGGGCAGAAGAGAAGACTTGGCAGCAGGGAAATGGAGTCTGAAGGTGACCAATGGAGAGCACAGCATTCTCAGTGCTTGAGATGCAGATTCCAGGGAGCAGTCAGCAGAGGGCCAGAACATCTTGTGGGGATCCTTTTGGGGAGAGATGACTTCTCTTAGGAGTTTTGGTGGGGAAGAGCCACTGAGCTCGGTGCACAGAAGGCCACGGTTTACAGGGAGACACTGGTCTTCTGAGAAATCAAAAAAGAAAGTGGGAAGCAGGAAGTTATATCCAGAACACTAGTATAAAGGAATGAAAAGCCCCCAGAGACCTTCCCCCATGGGATGAGGACTCAATTGCAAAGCAATACCAGGCTTGAATTGACTGACACAGAGGGCCTTTCTCTGCTGACAGCTTTGGGAGTGATGGTCCCACCCAGGCCGCTTAAGTCTGGCTAAGTGTTTCAACCAGTCTGCACAACTTTAACCCAGCTCTTTGCTGTTTGCTGCTGGATTGGGAAATTTCATATTTAGCAGTGAATCACAAGTATACAGAGTCTCCACACACTAATTCCTAGAGAAGAGAACTCTGAATAAAGGAGGAGAACACCCCTCATATTGTCTTATGCCCAATTTCTGCCTCCAAAGAAAGAAGAAGTAAAAACTAAAAGGCAGAAATGAAATCCACAAGCAGACAGCCCAGCGCCACACCCTGGGCCTGGTAGTTAAAGATCGACCCCTGACCTAATCGGTTACTAGTGGTGCATGCAGCCCCCAGTCATGTACCCCCTCCTTGCTCAATCAATCACGACCATCTCACACGCACCCCCTTAGAGTTGTGAGCCCTTAAAAGGGACAGGAATTCTCATTCAGGGAGCTCAGCTCTTGAGACAGGAGCCTTGCCGATGCTCCCAGCCAAATAAACCGCATCCCTCTTTAACTCGGTGTCTGAAGGGTTTTGTCTGTGGCTTGTCCTGTTACACAAGCACCAGATAGAATTATCCCTAAATCAAGAGATGATGAGATAGACGCTTAAGAAGCATAACTCAGGGCCAAGTGCAGTGGCTCACACCTGTAATCCCAGACTTTGGGAGGCCAAGTTGGGCAGATCATGAGGTCGAGAGATCAAGACCATTCTGGCCAACATGGTGAAACCCCGTCCGTACTAAAAATACAAAAATTAGCCAGGTGTGGTGGCAGGCGCCTGTAATCCCAGCTACTCAGGAGGCTGAGACAGGAGAATTGCTTGAATTTGTGGAGGTTGCAGTGAGCTGAGATCACACCACTACACTCCAGTCTGGGCGAGAGAGTGAGACTTTGTCTCTAAGAAAAAAAGCCCCAAATTCCATATGCCTGCCCTTAAAGTTATTCCCAAATTACCTCTAACCTTTAAGATATGTCTCACTTTCTCCAAGATAATAAAAGATGTGGGTGAAGGAAAAGAAAAACCCAATCAATCAAATAGGTGAAGAAGCAGACATAAACAGGCAGAAGGGAAATGGCAGCAACATAAAATAAGCCAGAGGCAAAGTATCCCCCAAACCAGAGGAGCCTTGGGGCATGCACAGCTGGAGAGAGCAAGTCAGAGAGGGATCTTGGCACTGCCTCACCTTCCACTTGTCCAGTGTGGGGAGCACTACCCCATTGGAACGGTTAAGGTCAGACACCAGGACATTCAGAATGTCCTGAATCTACAGGAGGTGAAAAGGGTAGAACAAGGGCAGGGGGAGAAAGACAGAAGTGGCTTAGAGAGAGGCAAGAGAGTCAGAGGAGGAGGAAGAGGTAGCTTTAGGGAAACGAAATGCTGAAGAAGAGCAAAGGAGATCAAGACCATGGTCTGGCCTTCAAAATGGCTGCCTGCTGCCTTGCCAGGGGCAGAAACAAATAGATGGAGAAGTCCCCTGAGCGATGCAGTCACACAGGGTGGAGTCACCTGACCGATGCCACTCTGAATACTCTCATTGGATCCCTCTCCTCAGGCCCAGGATGTGGGGATGAATCTGGCAGAGCACCAGACCTCCACTTCCATTTTAAAAACCAGACTTTTGAGTAAGGGTTCACTTGAACAAAGGGGACTCCCGCAAAAAAAACAAGTTTGAACACACTGATCTTATCCAATGTCATCTTACAGAGGAGGTAACTGAGGCCCAGGGGAAGAAGTGACTTTTCTGTGGTCACCCAGCACGCTGGCGGCAAAGATGAGATTAAAAGTTAGATCTTCTCCTAATCTTAGTGCCTGGGGCTCTCCTCACCACATCCTGGGGCCCTTTCGGTGACTCCAAAAAAGACAGCCTGATGGCAAGTGGCTGTTCTCATTGGCCTGGCTTCCCCTTGAGACTGGGGATGAGGAAAATGAAACAGCAACTGTCATTTCCTGGGTGCCTTGGGTGTTTATGGCAGGCCCTGTACTTGGCATTAACCTAAAAACAACAATAACAAATCTCATTTAAGCTTCACAAGTGTAAGTCAAACAATACCACCCCTATTTTACAGATGTGAAAAGAGAGGCCCAAAGAGATCAAGTAATTTGCCCTACATCATATCCTTAGCAGCTGGAGAGGTAGGATTAAAACACAGAATTCTTAACCAGGACCCAACAGTTCTTCCACAATCTAAACAACTACCCTCTACTGCCCTTGGGCCCCCTGTCCCCAGGAGCCTGGCCAGCCAAGACTCACATCCCCAGGTGAGTGGCAACCACCAGAAGTGGTTGTCTCAGGGTTACTGCCATTTTAAATTTTCTCTTTCGCTCCTCTAGGAACACCAAGGCTGTTCCTCCACTGATAGTTTCTTATCTGTGGAAAAGAAGAGCAGGAATTCTCATGAGAAGTCCCTGCAGTCGCATCTGACTTTACAGTTTTTACTGAGGCAAAAATTTAAAAATAATAATAAGTACTACGTTTATTTACTTCAAGAAAAGTAAAAGCTAAGGCCCAGAATGTGGCAAGGCAAGGGTTAAAAAAAAAAAAGAACAAGTTTTCCTCTACCTAGCAAGCTCACTTCAAGGACAGTTATAATACTGTCCAAATAGCCAAGGCCAGAGGAATGGGCTCCAGACACCCCATCCCTTCCAGAGCAAGGTTAAAAAAAATATATATATATTTTACTGTTACTCTTTTCCCAGGCTTCTTAAGCATTATTATGTTTTACAAATGTCTATATTTATCCAGGTCTTGTTTTTCTTTCAATGCAGCTACAAGGTCACCAACTATACAAGGTCACAACTTATGCTATAGATTACATGACCTATGACTGTATAATTAACTGCTTTTGTTTTGCTTCTGTAAGGCTGCTTACAAAAACCCCACTCTGACTTTGTTCAATGTTCAGCTTTTTAAATATAAATCCACTGAGCCGGTGCGTACCTAAAATAAACAACAATCCTCCTGTACTCCATATTGGTCTCTCCGTTCCTCAGTTTACCACATTTTTGGCAGCCATGAAGGGACCGGAGACTGCAGGCTGACTGTCTCCTTTGCCTCTGGGGTCTGGAGCCCTGGGCCAGGGGAAACCTGTGACCCCAGGTGCCACCAGAAAATCTTCAGCCCGGAGGGGAAATCAGCTTTCCCCTGACCTGGTTCCCCCTACGCAGCAGCACGACAAAACCTGAAAAGAACTACAGGACAATTTCAGAAACAGAGCACTTCAGGAACCACAGTAAGGTTTTGGGGGCCCAAGGCAGGACCCGCCCATAGGGACAGAAAGAAAGCTAATCGCCTCCCGGGGTGTGCCAAATAGTCCGACCCAGAGGGGCTGGGGGCAACAGGAGTGGCTCAATTCAGATAAAACTCACACCCCAGCTGACACAGGACACGAAAGTAGCTCACTAAGTCAGCTAGAAAACTGACGAGAGTGGCTTACCACCCCAACTACAAAACTAGAGGTGGCAAAAGTGGCTCGCCACCCCAACTGCAAAACTAGAGGTAGCAAAAGTGGCTTGCCACCCCAGGTACAAACATGAGAACTAAAAGTATATAAAAGTGTGTAAATGGAGGGACCTAATTAGGCTCATCAGTCGCAAAATAAGAAATCACAAATCTCTTAACGTAAACTGTATGCTCCAAGAAAATTGTGGGGCAAACTGAGACTAATAACAATCTACATATGACTAATAGGAGCTGCCCTACAACTCCAAGTTATAACAAAAATAAAAAACTCTCCAAAGCCAAGCAGCGTCTGAAAACTCCTGTAATAGGAGACAGCATATAGTCGGCCAAAATGAGAAGAAAAATAACTGTACAAAAGTAAATGTGCAGCATCATAACTGGGAGAAAATGGGAAAAAACTCATCAAAACCTAGTCCCTTAAAATATATATTTAAAAACTTAAAAGTTTTACAGAAAATTATAAAGTTAAGTTAACCCCCCAAAAGTTAAAAACTCTCTGTAAATTAAAATAACCCTCTTTTAGTATTAAATAGCCAACCAAAGGAACTGTAAACTAAAAAACAATTAGCCATATATTTAAGGTGGTGACAGGGGTCAGAGGACAGCCAGGGCACCCAGACCAAATTCTTTTAAATTGACTCATGGTTAAATATAATATAAACAAAACCGACATAAATCCAGCCCTGTTTAATGGCTTATTACAAAAAGCCAAAAATAAAAATAAAAACAGCTTCGCCGGCAGACACAGAGTTAAAGGAAAAGTCCCAGAAAAAGCAAAAGAAGCTAGTTTATAGGAGCCACCAGAGGGAACAAAAATTCTCCTTCCATATGTCCCAGCCTACCCCCCTTTACCGAGGCCAACAGCTCCAGCTCTCCAGAAACCAGATTCAGGAGCCAGCATGCTCCAAGTCTCACCCCAAAGGGAAAGACTGGAGCCTCAAGAGGCTAAGGAAGGAAGTCAAAATAGTCAAGCAGGCCGTCCCAAATCTGGTTGTGCTCGAGCTATACAAATGCCTCTCAGGGAGATACGAAGACCCATCTATTATAATGACCAGGGCCACATCCCAGTGGCGGGGGGGCAACGGACTTTCTTCTATCAGCCCTTTTCAACCACTCATCTACTAAACTGAAAACACCACACACCCTCCTACACGGAGAAGCCCCAAGCTCTTATAAATCTGATGCATTCCATCTTTCTGACACATAATCTAACCTGGCCAAATTGCAGGCAGCTTTTCCTAACGTTGTTTAACATTAAAGAGTGCCAGAGAATGACATAAGCAGCTCTCCGCTAGCTAGAAGCCCATGCACTAGCAGAAGCAGTGAATGCTCAAGCACATGCTCAAGGCTGGTTCCCAGAAGCAGACCCCAATCAGGACCCAGCTTCAGCGCCTGCAGAGGTACAAAGAGGTCGCTTTTACAGGGGTAAAGAGCTGGTAAAAAGAGAACAATTAATATAAGGAAAATTTCAAAAGTGCTTCAGAGAGCTAACGAGAGCCCAAGTTAGTTTTATAAAAGACTCTGTAAAACATTCTGGCTTTACACCCCATTTGACCCTAAGGCTGCCAAAAATCAGCACGTGGTGAACACAGCATTTGTCAGGCAAGCCCAGGGTAACATCAAGCAGAAGCTGCAGACATGAATGCCACCCAACTTATAAAAGTGGCCACCAAGGTATATGTTAACTGTAACCAAGGAACAAAATGGGAAAGAGCAAAAGTAACAAGCTAGGCACGCCAAGGGTTAAGTCCCTCTCCCCAGCCCAGCTCTATCTAGAAAAAGAGGGGGCGGGAACCAGCGCCAGGAGAAGAGCAAAGAAAAGAAAAAAATAAAAGTGTAAAAAAGGAAAGGAAAAAGAAAAAAAAAATTGGAAAAAAATAGAAAAAATAGAAGGCAGTGCATAGGGGCAGCGCCCGTGCCGTTGTCCGGCCCCACCAGCCAGCCGCAGGAGCAGGAGAACTCAAAAAGAAAAAGAAAAATGTAAATTAAAGGCTTAAGAAAAAGGCCAATCTGTTGGCAACAGCTCTTATAAAAAGAGAAATTAACAATGTGAGAGGACGTGGACGCGGGCATAGACATGAAAGAGGTCAAGTTAAGCAAGGATTCGAGAGCCAGACAAGGTTAAAAAAAAGATCAATGCGTGAGATGCAAAAAAAAGGACACTAAAAAAAATAAATGTCCAGAAGGTAATAAAGAGAGTAGTAAAGGCTGTGGTATAAAAAAGTCACCAGCTAAAAGCTGTCACACCCTAAAAAAAAAAAAAAAAAATACTGATCTAATCCGGGCTGGCAGGGGCTAAAAAATATAAAGACTAGAGACAGACTGAGCACCTTCTCATTAGGCTTCCAGAAGCCCACAGTCACATTACAAGTTAAAGGCAGCAGGATTCTGCCATATCTGGATTCCAATTTCTCACTAATGGCTAAGTCACTATATGAAGTTACAAAGTGGGGGGAACCCCTCCTCTGGGAAACTAAACAGGAGAAAGAGCCATGCTTTATGAAAACTTGCTTATAAACTTCATAAAATTGCCCCATGCCAGAGGCTATCGGTACATGCTAGTGCTTATTTACACCTTTTCAGGGTGGGTTGAGGCTTTCCCCACCAGGACAAAAAAAGCACAAGAAGTGACTGAAGTACTGCTAAAAGACTTTATCCCCAAGTTTGAACTCCCTCTAACTTTAAAGTCAGACAATGGCCAGCATTTATAGCTAAAATAGTGCAAAATTTAACAAAACTGTTAAAAATAAAATAGAAGTTACACACAGCCTATCGGCCACAAAGTTCAGGAAAAGTGGAACGCATGAACCAGACACTCAAGCAGCTACTAAAAAATTATTGCCAGGAAATTAATCTATAATAAAATCAGGTTTTACCTATGAACCTCCTCTGAGTCAGGTACACCCCCACCGAACAAACTGGGTATTTGCCCTATAAAATTTTGTTCGGTCGGCCACCCCCAAATCACAAATCAAATTAAAGGTAATCTCCAAGAACTAGGGGAATTAACCTTCAAAAAAAAAATGCAGGCTTTAAAAATAGCCATGCAAGAAGTCCATGACTGGGTATGGGAAAAAATGCCTATAAGTCTAACAGACCCAGCACACCCCTTTAAACCTAGTAACTCTGTTTCAGTTAAAAAGTAAAACCCAACTTCTCTAAGACCCATGTGGGATGGGCCCCATACAGTAATCTTGTCCACTGCCACTGCTGTTAAAGTTACAGGAATCATGCCTTGAATCCATCACAGGCAGCTAAAACCGGCAGCTCAGGACAAGTAAACCAACCAGCAGGACCCAGAACATTCAACCCGGCTAATCTTGAGACGAGACCAAGCTGCTGCTGAGGACAACAACCCTGCCCTGGTCACTCCGGAGGCTGACCAGTCTACACACGGCTGAAGCTTGAGGAAACAAGCCCTGTTCTAATCACACATTGGAAGCTGACTAGTCTACGCACGGCCAAAGCTTGAGGACTCGTCAAGCAAGTAAATGTAATTAAAAATCTTAAAACTAATAGTTTTTCTGTAATACTATTTTCCTATTTGTTCTGTCACTGTGCTCAACCTCCTCCCCCAAGTAAAGACCTCCTTTGTCCTTACTAAATATAAGTATGCTGTACATTGTTTTGCTGTTGTTACCCCCCCCTTAACCATACTAAAAAAAACACCTATAGAAGGGTGTCCCCACTGTACACATACTACTTGGTCAGGGAACAGTACAACTAAAACCCTGTTACACTATATGTATTATAAATGTACAGAGACTCGCTTAGAAACTTGTACTTACAATCAGACCACCTATTCAATTAATAACCCTGGAAATGGCCAGCCTTATATATGCTATAACCCTAAGTCTTTACCTGGGACTTGGTTTAAAATTCATACCAAGTCAAAGGAAGGAAGTCTTATAAGTGGCGGGGGGGCTATATCCATATACTTTAATATTTGTCAGTTCACATCCATGAACCCAACCTATTTCACAGTCTCTGGTCCTACAGGGTACTATACAAACTGCCAGTACAAAATTATATATACACCCCCTGTTTGTCCCTCCAAGGCCCTAGCAATAGTTTGCTGGAACTGCACAACGCAGTTCACTGACGGATCATCACCGAGGCCAAAGCGAATCTTGCTCATCAAAATACCAGCAAAACCAAATTGTAAGACAAACACTTACAGTCCTATAAATCTTACTATCTTAAAGCCAGATATACCTATATGGACTACAGGTTACTCCATGACATTACGAAGCTACAGTCAAAAAGCTAAAATAGCTTTATACATTATAAAGAGGACTCAAACCAAGCAGTCAGCCCAGCAGCAATTCCGAGTCTTTACGTCATTCTTTGAACATATAAACCAGAAGTTACCAGAGCCTCCTCCTTTAACCAAAAACCTATTTGCTCAGCTGGCTGAAAACATTGCCAGCAGCCTAGGCATTTCCTCATGTTATGTTTGTAAAGGGACTAACATGGGAAACCAATGGCCTTGGGAAGCAAGAGTTAATGCCTCAAGATAACTTTAACTGACTCTTTCCCCAGACTGATGCCCACAAGTTCAAGCGTCTGGCTCTTAAAAACTTCTATTATTAAAAGATACTGTATTGCTCATTGGGGAAAAGTTTTTACAGACCCAGTAGGAGAACTAACCTGCTTAAAACAGCAATATTATAATAAAACATTAAACAAAACTTTGTAGCAGGGCAGAGATAACTACAAAACACCCCATCCAGACCCATTCTCCCGCTTCTCTTCTCTAAACCACACTTAATATCCAAATACTTAGCAAGTATTTGGAAGTATTTGCAAGTATTTGGAAGCTCCAAATACTTGGCAAGCATCCCCTGGTCTTTATTAGATCTGTGGGCCATGGGCATATCAACAGTTGCTAGCTAAATGAACAGGGGCCTGTGTGCTTGGAACAATTAGACTGTCTTTCTTCCTACTCCCACTGCAACAGAGAGAAACTTTAGGGTATCTTATCTATAATAAAGTTGAAAAAATACAGATATAAGAAGAAATATAAAAATTAAAAATTAAAAAGGCACAAATTGGCACCCTAAAAAAAAAATTCAATACTATAGGCCAGCTACCTGGACACAAAATAAGTCATAGGCATACCGCAGTCCTATTTACATGCTTAACCACATCATAAGGTTGCAGGCAGTACTTAAAATCATCACTAATAAGACAGCAAATGCATTAAGTTTACTAACCCAGCAAACCACAAAAATAAAAAACGCCATCAGAACAGATTAACTTTAGTCTGCCCCCTAGCCCACGAAGGAGGAGTATGTAAAAAATTCAATCTAACTAATTGTTGCCTGAAAATCAAAAATAATAAAAAAGCAATTATAAAAATAACTACAAAAATAAAAAAATTAGCCCACGTTCCAGTTCAAACTTGGAAAGAGTAGTCTCCAGATTCTCTCTTTGGAGGCTAGTTTTCATTTTTTGGAGGGTTCAAAACTTTAATAGGAGTGGTTTTAGCCACACTAAAAAGTTTCCTAATACTCCCTTGTCTGTTACCTCTCATTGTTAGAAGTATTCAATCAACTATAGAGGCAATAGTAGCTAGAAAAATCAACACTCAGCTAATAGCTCTGCGTAAATATCAACCTTTGTGTTAAAAAAAAACAAAACTTGTCTCTTCAGGCAAAACTAAGTAATAGTAATGCTTTCTATTAAACTTCTTTCATAAAAATCATCAAACGGGGGAAACTGAGGCAAAAATTTAAAAATAATAATAAGTACTACATGTATTCACTCCAAGAAAAGTAAAAGCTAAGGCCCAGAATGTGGCAAGGCAGGGGTTTAAAAAAAACAAAGAAAAGAACAAGTTTTCCTCCACCTAGCAAGCTCATTTCAAGGACAGTTATAAAATAACGCTGTCCAAATAGCCAAGGCCAAAGGAATGGGCTCCAAACACCCCATCCCTTCCAGAGCAAGGTTAAAAAAACAAAAACAAACAAACAAACAAAAAAACACACACACAAAAAACCAGATTCTTTACTGTTACTCTTTTCCCATGCGTCCTCACGGCAGAAGGCAGCCTTTCTGTTACATCTAGGAATTGAACAGAAAGAGGACAGCCCAAGCCTCATTTCAGAGAGGTCTGGTATACTCTTAGAAATCTATGAGACGGTCATCCCTAAATCCATTAATGTTTTTTCTCTCTGAAGAGAATCAAGGGAAACTGATGCTTCAGAAAGATGCCCCATATTACCCTGTGACACTCAAAGTCCCCCAGATTGAGACATGAGGAAGATTCAAGCTGTCAAGTTCAGTTTCCCAAGATCTCTTTCATGGTAAATAAGCAAATCTCACTCCAGGCAGGGTCTGGGCTGTTAAGGGGAGGGGCTGACTGACAAGACTTTGATGGGGGGAGCCCAGTGGCACTTGGGGGCCCAGCCCAGTAAGCCTCGGGAGTGGCATGAGCTCTGGCCGCAGTCCTGCCATCAGAGGGATTCTGGGGCTGGGTGGGGGAGGCCATCACCTGGCGATAGTACCTTTTTCTTTGCAGCCGCCAATTTGCTCTGTAGGGTTTCTTCAGACATTGCAGGGCAGGAAGGAATGTGGGGTTGGGGCCACGTCAGCTAGATTGCGGCTTACCACTGGGGAACAATTCCTGTCGGCCACCGCGCAACTGTGCGACTGACCAGAGGAGGCGTAACCAGGGCCTACTACAGCGCAGAATAGGGGGCGTGGCCGCCATCCTCCAAGTCCATTGGTCGATGAGAAAGATGACAGAGAAAGGAGGCGAGGCCAGGCAGCAGCGCGTCCAGGTGGGTGTGAGGCGTCACAAGGAAAGCTGAGCAGGCAATTGCTGCCCCGCCCACTCTGGGAAGAGGGGCGGGGCCGCCCGCTCCAGAGGGACGGAAGCGGCGGGGCCGCCGGATCCAGGGACAATGGGGTGGGGCGGGCTTTCCCTGGGTGGGCGCAGCGGCTTCCTGGGTCCCCCTCACGCTCTGGGTCAGAGTTCCTTTACAGGCGGACCTGAGAGGCAACTCACCGACTCCTGCCCTGGACCCTCCTGCGCCACTGAACCCCCTGACCTGGGAGCCTCGGAACCTAGGGCTCAGGAGGTGGGTGAGGAACGGACTCCACAGTTTCTTTCCTGACTCCTCACAGCCCTGCCCCAGACCTTCCCTTCCCAGAAATCACCTCCAAGGACCCCTAATCAATGTTCCAGACGCCTACCTCTCGGAACGCCCCATTCCTAGAGGGTCCCTACCCTGATTCCGGGAGCACATTTGCCCCCCTTTCCAGCTGGATCCAGTCCCGGGCTCTCCTGCTTCCCAGCTCCTCCTCCCGCACCCAACAGCACCCCTTTCCTCTCAGAGCGGCCGTGGGTCCCATCAGGCTTTCCCCTCGGATCCTCTGCAGATGAACCAGGACTTATCCGAAGGTACCAAGTGAACTTCTAGGAAAAGTCCAATTCTCAGATGCTGGATGTCTTCCAAAAATGAAGCAAATTAGTAACTTAGTAGCTGAGTCAACTAATCCTGTTAGATGGTCAACACTGGTTTTTTTATTTTAATATTTTTAAGTGGCAACTCTAGTGTGTGAGAAAATTAATGTGACAGCTGAATTTGTAGAAAGCTGCTTTGACTCTCTTGGGCCCCTTCATAAGCCCTGGAACTAAATAAAAGTCTAGTGAATACAGGTAAGCTCCCTTCTTTTTCTCCATATTTACCCCTCACTTCAACTATAATTTCACAGGTCCCTTTTTCCACATTCAAGGTGGTTGATAATAAAGTGGGAATGTACAGGATTCTCTTTAATCCTGAATTAGCAATCCAAAAATTAGAATTTGTTGCATTCTTAGAACTACGGTCAGGGTTCCTGAGCAGGTACTCAAGCAGACACAAAGACAAAACTTCCATTTTATTTCAGAAGAACCTCCATAATCCCATGCATTAATTCCCATCATAAATCATCTCATCTCATCCATCTATCTTTCATCTATCTATCATCTATCTGTCATCTGTTATCTATCATATAACGATAATTCATCTATCATCTATCATTCATCTGTCTATAATCCATCTATTTATCATCTATGTATCATATATCGATCATTCATCTATCATCTATCATGTATTGATCATTCATCTATCTGTCATCTATCATTCATCTATCATCTATCATTCATCTATCACCTATCATCTATCATATATCGATAATTCATCTATCATCTATCATATTCATCTATCATCTATTATTCATCTGTCGATCATCTATCATTCATCTATTTATCATCTATCATATATTGATAATCTATCATCTATCGTGTATCAATCATCTATTATCTATCATCTATCTGTCATCTATCATATATTGATCATCTATCTATCACCTATCTATCTATATATCATCTATCTATTTATTATCTCTCTCTCTCTCTCCTCTATTAGTACTGTTTCTTTGGAGAACCCCTAGTACATATACTCTTTTTCCTGGCTCTTTGAGTATAAGGTGATTTGCTAGGGTTAAGAATGTAGCCTCCTGGTAGGCTGCAGCGAGTTGAGATCGCACCACTGCACTCCAGCATGGGTGAAAGAGCGAGACTTCATCAAAAAAACAACAAAAAAAGAATGTAGCCTCCTGTAACCACTAGCTCATTCCTTATTTAAATGGATCCCCCCCACCCTCCCAGAGCGCCACACTTTTTGTCCATTGATCATTTGTCTTGATATACTTGACAAATGTCATTGTCATGCATGAAACACCTCCGTAGCCAATAGTATGTGTATTAAAAATAACGCTTCTTCCTCTTCCACTCAAAAGAGAATTCTAATATAATGGTTATATATAAGGAAAATTTTAAATCTGAGTTTACTTTTTAAATTATATTAAAACATTCACAAAGTGCAACACTTTATTTTTTATAACAGATTATTTGCAAGTTACCCTTACCACAAAATAGGACAGTCCATTGTGTCCTATCTAATGCAAAGATTAAAATAAAAGAAATATACTTCAGCAAAAAGAACTATAGTCAATGAATGCTGTTTGTCAGGAAGATATAAGTTCATATAAGGAAGTTTGTTTCTGATTATTTTACTCTAGGGTGTAAAAACTCCTCAACAAAAATCAGTTTGTACTGGAATACAGTCTGTCATGTTTAAGTCATAGCAGCTGAGCCAGGACTATATTCTTCACTACATCAAGTAGGATGAAGGAGCTCCAGAAATACTTTTGAAGCAGGAATTTAAAGTGCGGATAGGATGGCTACCATTTAAGTGATATTTAAGTTTCTCCCTTATGAGGCTTGCAAGGCCCTTTGGAATCTGACTTCTACATCCTTCCTTTCCAACATCATATCTCATCATTTCCCCTTTTCCCTCCTCTAACAACCTCCATTCATCCACATCATGCACTTCAGCTATTCTGAACTTCCCTCCTGAAACCAGCCACTCACAGAGCAACACTTTTCAAATCCTGGCTCTACCTGTGTAACCTGAGGCAGGTTTCCAAATTCTGTGTGTCCCAGTTTCCTCATCCTCATTCCTAAATTTGGAACAATAACACTCAAGTCATAGGGTCACTGTAAAGATCAAATGAGATTACAACTACTCATGTGAAATTCTTAGCATAGTACCTTTCATTTAGGATATGCCCCCAAAATACTGGTTGTTGTTAACAGTGTTGATGTGTCTGCTCATAACACTCATTCCCCTCCTCACCTCCTTTTGTATACTTAGTTCCTACACATCTTTCAAACATCAGCTTAAATAGGAAACCTTCCCCAAATAACTCCTCCCTACCTAGGTGAATATTCCTCCTGTTTGTATGACCGTAATCCCTGCACATCCCATATCAAAGGACTTAATGTCACTTTCTGCCATCTCTTGTATGTTGTTCATATTTTTTCATTATACTGAAAGCTCCTTGAAGACAAGTGCTACATGTATTGGGATCTGCATTTCATCTCTATCCCCTGTCATAACACTTGCTACATATTATGCCTTCTATGTTTGTTGAAAAAAAATGAATGAATGAAACTCAGCTGGCAAGGGAAAGTTACTTTGGCTTTCATTTAGATTTGGGGTTTTTTGTTTTATTTTCAACATAGTCATGAGCTCTTCTGCTAAAAGATAAAATCTAGACATATTCAATTTTACAGAGTTTAATTAAGCAAAGAACAATTCACTAATGGTGCAGTCCCTGAAACAGAATAGATTCAGAGAGAGTCCAGGACTAGATGGTCAAAGATTTATGGACAGAAAAAAGGAAAATATGCAGAAAACAGAAGTGAAGTACAGAAACAGTAGGATTGGTTCCAGCTTGGCGTTTGCCTTACTTAAACATGGGTTTTCAAAGTTGGCTGCCTTGGATTGGCTGAAACTCAGTGATTGGTACAAGAGTAGGTGACAGCCTGTTTACATGTCTAATTAACTTACATTTCACCATGTACAAAGAAACCTTTAGGCTGAACTTAAAATTGTAAAATTGTTTAGCTGTGGGCTAAACTTAATGTCACATTTCTAGATCGTGTTCAATTAGCTAACCATAGGCGTCACTTCTCTTCTACCCTCCAAAACCACTAATGCTGCTGCAAAAGAGAACTTCCAGCAGCTGTTTACCTGGAAACAAGTTGAAAATGTATTTGAAATGGAAGCCACTAGAATTGTAAACACTTCTGTCATCTTTCTCCTTTGTGTGCCTCTGCAGATAAGGCTGCTCCAGTGCCCCCAAATTTGGACCTTATGCTCTGTAGTTTCCTGTTATAACCAATTTGCTATTTGTGTTACCAAAGTATATTTAGTAGATTTTATTTGAAAAAAGAAATAAAGTTAGAAAATATTGACAGTATTACATAACATAAGTTCTTTGTTTAAATTTGTCATATTTAATTTTTGAAAGCTAAATAACTAAAATCTCATTTCTACTAAATTATTCTTTTTTTCATGCTAAGGCTAAATGTGAGAGCTAACATTTTACAAAATTTTGTGTTTTTCTTTCAAAATACATGACAAAGCACAAAAGCATTTTTATCAGGATTAAAGTAATTTATGGAAAATCTAACTCTACGACTATGTAAGTGATGATCTAGTTATATTACAATATTATGTTGTTTTAATATCCATTATTATTGTGTGTTAAGTGCTTTCCTTGTCTCTATCGTAAAGTTACATACATAGTAAGCAATTATAGGTATAATGCTTACAACTGTAATGATGAATAATAAATAATGACATTTGTTAAACCCCAGATATTCATTTATTTATTCAGGCAATATTTATTATGTATCAGATACTGTGCTAAGCAATGAGTATATCATGATGAACAAAGAAATGGGACTGGACTCTTGGAACAAGATGAAAACATTACAGGAATAAGCCTAAAACACATTTATATAGTTATAATTATAAATCACAATAAAACCTACAAAGAAAAAAAAGACACTAAAAGAGATCATAGCAGAGGGAATCTAATTTAGATTGGAATGCCAGGAAAGTCTTTCCAAGGATATGGTATTGTAAATTAAGCTAAAAAGCATGAAAACCAATTCTACACAAACTATTCCAGAAAATACAAGAGGAGGGAACACTGCATGAAAATCATTCAGTAAGGCCAGCACTCTACTGACACCCAAACCAGACAAAGATACTACAAGAAAGAAAGCAAGGAAAGGAAACTCCCAATAATATTCCTCATAAAATAGGAGACATAGTATTGAAATTGATGTGAAAATCCTCAAGAAAATATGAGCAAGTTGAATTCAGGTATAAAAAGAAGATAACATGCTATGATTAAATATATCAGGAAATGTAAATCTGGTTGAACATTTTAAAATCAATAGATGTAATTTATCGTATTAACAGGTGAAAGCAGAAAACCATATAATCATCCCACAGGATGTAGAAAAAATATTTGACAAAATTTAATATCCACTCATGATAAAATCTCTCAGCATAGAGGGATAGTGGAGAACTTCCTCAACTTGATAGTGAGCATCTCTGAAATACTTCTAGCTAACTTCTCAGTTAGTAAGGAAAGACTGGATGCTTTCTCTCTGAATGCGAGAACAAAGCAAGGATGTCCTCTCTCACAACTTATATTCAAGATTTTGCTTGAGGTCCTTGTCAGTGCAATAAAAGGAAAAAAAAAATACAATAAAGGCATCCAGATTGGAATAAATGAAATAAAAACAAAATTGTTTTTATTTTTAGTTAGCATGATTGCTTGTGGAGAAAAATCTCAAAGAACTTAACAAAAACTTAGTAGAACTAATAAGCAATACTATCTAGAGTGAAAGAAACAAGGTCAAGTTTATTTTGTACCCTGTATTTCTGTATTTCTGTTTTATTTCTGTATGGCAGCAATGAACAGTTGGAAATTAAAATTTTAAAACAGCATCAAAAACATAAAATGCTTAGCTATAAATCTAACAAAACATATACAGATTCTGTGCCAAAAACTGTAAATGTCTATTTAAAAAATCAAAGAAGAGCTGAACAGAGAGCTACATCATGTCTATTGTTGGAAAATTCAATAGAATTAAGATACAAATTTCCTCAAAGTGATCTGGATGCAACACAATTCCATTCAAATCCAAGCAGACATTTCCTTTTAAAATCCACAAGCTGTTTCTAAATTCACACGAAAATTCATAAGAATAAAAAAGCCAAAATACTTCTGAAAGAGAACAAATTTAGAAGACTCCTACTATCTGACTTCAGGATTTATTATAACACAGTGTAATTCTGGTGAAAAGACAGACATGTAGATTAATGAAATAGAATAGATACTAGAAATACAGTAACTATACACAGGCAATTTTTCACAAAAATGCAAAATGCAATTCAATAGAGAAAGTATAGGTTTTTAACAAATGGTGCTGGAACAATTGGACATCTGTATATAAAAAAAAGAGTTTTAATTCATACCTTGTATCATATACCAAAACTAAAATAGATCGTATTCATAAATATAAAACTATAAAACACATAGAGGAGAACCTACAATAAAAATCTTTGTGACCTTAACTTAGACAAAAATTTCTTGGACATGACACCAAAAATATGATCCATAAAATTATGATAAATTAGACATTATCATAATTTAAAAGTTTTTGTCCAAAAGATACTGTTAGAATAAAAACACAAACCAGAAACTTGGAGAAAACATTTGCAAAACACAAATCTAATAAAGGGCTTGTATCCAGGTTATGTAAAGACCTCTTGAGCTCAATAATAAGGAAACAAATAATTTCATAAAAATACATAGGCAACAGATTTGAGTATAGAGTTCAACAAAGAAGATATAAGGATGGCAAAAAAGCTCATAATAAGATGTTGAACATCAGGTGTCATTGGAGAAATTAAAGCCACAATGATATACCATTATATTCTATTAAAAGAGCCTAAATTTAAAAAAAAATTTTTTTAAATGACAGCACCGGCCAGGCGCAGTGGCTCACACCTGTAATCCCAGCACTTTGGGAGTCCAAGGCAGGTGGATCACCTGAGGTCAGGAGTTCGAGACCAGCCTAGCCAACATGGTGAAACCCTGTCTCTACTAAAAATATAAAAATTAGCCAGGTGGGGTGGAAGACATCTGTAATCCCAGCTACTCAGGAGGCTGAGGCAGAAGAATCTCTTGAACCTGGGAGGCGGAGGTTGCAGTGAGTGGAGATTACACCACTGCACTCCAGCCTGGGCAACAAAGTGAGACTCCATCTCAAAAAAAAAAAAAAAAAAAAATGATGACAGCACCAAGTTCTGACCAGGATATAGTGCACCTGGAACACTCATACATTGCTGGTGGAATACAAAATGGAACAGCCATTTTGAAAAACATTTTAGCAGTTTCTTATACAATTGTTTATTATTAGTAGTAGTAGTATTGGGATAGGGTCTTGCTCTGTCACACAGGCTGGAGTACAGCGGTGCGATCACAGTTGAATCCAGCCTTTACCTCCCGGGCTCAAGCTTCCTCATGCCTCAGCCTCTGGAGTAGCTGAGACTACAGGCACATGCCACCACACCCAGCTAAGTTTCTTAAAAATTAAACACACTTTAGCATAAGACACAGCAATTTTACTGCTAGGTATTTATCCCGGAGAAATGAACATATTATGTCCGTATACAAACCTATAAGCAAATATATACATAATGAGTTTATTCATAATATCAAAAACTGGAAACAACTCAAATGCCTTTCAACTGGTAAATAGATAAACAAATTGTGGTGGATCTGTGCAATGAAATTATACTCAGAAATAAAAAGAACTACCAATACCCACAACAATCTGGATGAATCTGAAATGTATAACACTTAGTGAAAGAAACCAGATTCAAAAATTTATATACTTGTTTAATCACATTTACGTGTCACTCTGGAAGAGATCATTGTTTGGCAAGGGCTGGGAATGGAGTGAGGAGTTAATTAGAAATACACGCAAAGTGGCCCGGTGCGATGGCTTACGCCTGTAATCCAGCACTTTGGGAGGTCGAGGCCGGCAGATCACTTGAGGTTAGGTGTTCAAGACAGCCTGGCTAACATGGGGAAAGCCAGTCTCTACTAAAAGTACAAATAATTAGCCGGGTGTGATGGCGCACGCCTGTAGTCCCAGATACTCGGGAGGCTGAGGCAGGAGAATCGCTTGAACCCGGGAGGCGGAGGTTGCAGTGAGCCGAGATCACGCCACTGCACTCCAGCCTGGGCAACAGAGCGAGACTCTGGCTCAAAAAAAATTAAAATAAAAAAATAAAAAAATTAGCCAGGTGCAATGGTGCACACCTGTGGTCCCAACTACTTGGAAGGCTGAGGTGAGAAGATCACATGAGCCCAGGATGTCGACGCTGCAGTGAGCTCTGATTGTTCCACTGCACTCTAGCCTGGGCTATAGAGCAAGACCCTGTCTTAAAGAAAAAGAGAGAGAAAGAAAGAAAGAAAAAAGATAGAAGAAAAAGAGGGAAGGAAGGGAGGGAAGGAGGGAGGGGAGGGGGAAGAGGAGAGGAGGAGGAGAGGGGAGAGGGAGCAGAGGGGAGGGGCGGAAGGAAGGGAAGGAAATGAGGCTTGGAACCAGAGCCATGGAACTCTGTTCTTGATGGCGGCATCTCCCTCATCAAGTCGGGGCGTCCATCTCCCTGCTGGCTAAGGAGGCTCCCACCCCAGTGGAGGGCAGGACTCACCTCTGGCTTCAGTGTCAGGAACATGGTTGGCTGCGAGTAGACGGTGGGAAGATGGATAGATATTTGCTGGCCCAATGAAGGAGTGGGGGTTGTGACTAAACACGATGCCTGATCCTCTTCTGGGGCTCCAGCTGGCACCCGGAGCTGAAGAGAAAGGCTTTATGATGAAACTTCCCTTCTGCCAAAAATAACCAGTGCAAGCTGGGCATGGTGGCACAAGTCTATAGTCCCAACTACTCAGGAGGCTGAGGCAGGAGGACTGTTTAAGCCTGGGAGCTTGAAGCCAGTCTAGGCAACATAGCAAGACTCTGTCTCTTTTCAATTAAAAACTATTGCAGCTTCCTCAATCTTCCCCGGCAGCCTGGGGTGGGGCGCTCTGCTTTTCAGAGCTGCCTCCAGAACTTCATCCTTCCTCCTTCCCTCCTCCACCCTCCTCTTCTTGTTTCCATCACAGCCCCGCCACCCTCAAGCCACACCCCATTGATCATTTGCTAAAGATTTTAGTACCTGGCTCTGGCCTGCTTTCCACCGTCAACACTCACATCAAGGCACCTGGATCTCTTCTCCGCCGGCAATCCTGCCTTCCGCCTTCAGGTATGGATGCTGTCAGGAGAGATCTCCATCTGCTCCCAAGGCCAAGTTTCCCAACACCCTGCAGCAAGGTCTGCCCTCCCTCCTAGCATTGTAGATGGGCCTGCCAGGGCCAGGACTAGGATGAAACAGGCCAGCAAGGCACCCAGGGCATAAAGGTTAAAGAGGCACTCATCCCCAGGGTCATACCAGTAGAGAGTCGGCACCTGAGAATGAGTGCCTCCTCAATTTTACACTTGCTTGCCTTGCTGTAGTCCCAGCTCTGGGACCTACCTTATGAACACAAGGCTCTGGTCCCCTCCCACTTCCTCAGGGCTGTCTCTTTTGTGGCATCCCTCCCATCAGCTGCAAACAGATCCTGTGTAAATACCACCATACAAAGCCGGCCTTGACCCACTTTGCCCTCCAGCTATTGCTCCATTCTTCTGTTCTTTTTTCTTTCTTTCTTTCCTTTTTTTTTTTTTTTAGGGTTTTTTTTTTTTTTTTTAGTTTTTGACCAGGTCTTGCTCTGTCACCCGGGCTTCAGTGCAGTGGCATGATCTTGGCTCACTGCCGCCTTGACCTCCTGGGTCCAAGTGATCCTCCCACCTCAGCCTCCCAAGTAGCTGGGACTACAGGTGTGTGCCATCATGACTGGCTAATTTTTTATTTTTTGTATTTTTTTTTTTTGTAGAGACGGGGTCTCCCCATTTTGCCCAGGATGGTCCGAACTCCTGGGCTCAAGCAATCCTCCTGCCTCCACCTCCCAAAGTGCTAGGATTATAGGTGTGAACCACCATGACTGGCCCTTCTTTTTTTTTTTTTTTTTTTTTTTTTGAGACGGAGTCTCGCTCTGTCGCCCAGGCTGGAGTGCAGTGGCGGGATCTCGGCTCACTGCAAGCTCCGCCTCCCGGGTTCACGCCATTCTCCTGCCTCAGCCTCCCGAGTAGCTGGGACTACAGGCGCCCGCCACTACGCCCGGCTAATTTTTTGTATTTTTAGTAGAGACGGGGTTTCACCGTTTTAGCCGGGATGGTCTCGATCTCCTGACCTCGTGATCCGCCCGCCTCGGCCTCCCAAAGTGCTGGGATTACAGGCGTGAGCCACCGCGCCCGGCCATGACTGGCCCTTCTGTTCTTATTTCTAGCAAAGCTAAAGTCATCCACCTTTGACGTCTCTACTTTCTCTCCTTCCAGTCTCCCCAAGAAGTTGCTCTTGACCTCCACCCAACAGCACAGCCTGTTGTTGATTCAGTGTCTCCCATCCAACATGGCTGTGGCCCCAGCCATCCTCCCAGCCTCCTGCCTTGGTAGATGCTATCTCTGCCCTTAGTTCTCATGCCCTAATTAATAGCCGGGCTGTGGGTGCTAAGAGGTACCCAGCTCCTCCTAGCTCAGAATCCAGTGACAAATCTTCTTTATGTTAACAGGGCAACTCCTTCCAAATCCCTGGGCTGCTGTGTATGACTGCTGGGGTGAACGTCGCCATGTACTCTACCCCTTACTGTGCTATCGTTCAGAGGTCTTGTCATTGATGATGATTAAGGAAATCATAAAAATGTTAAACGAAGGCCAGGCATTGTGGCTCACGCCTGTAATCCCAGCACTTTGGGAGGCTGAGGCAGAAGGATCACTTGAGCCCAGAGCTCAAGACCAGCCTGGGTAACATAGTAAGAACCTGTCTCTACAGATTTTTTTTTTTTTTTTTTTCAGCTGGGCTGGTGGTGCATGCCTGTAGTTCCAGCTACTCAGGAGTCTGAGGTGGGAGGATTACCTGAGCCCAGGAAGTCAAGGCTGCAGTGAGCCATGATCCTGCCACTGCACTCCAGCCTGGGTAATAAAAACCAGCCTGTTTCAAAAACCCAAACAAATAACAAACAAAAAAAATGCAAAATGAAGAAAGAGTCGTCTCAGGAGCACGTTCCTCTGTGTGTGTGAGGAAATGTTACATATATAGTATATGTAGAGCGACAGAGACTCACAGAGAGAGAGAACGAGTCTAAAGCAGAAGCTAAAAGCCCAAGGAACCAAATGCAATGAGATGCCACTAAATACCCATTAAAAATAAATCAGTCAGTCATGATGGCTCACACCTGTAATCCTAGCAATTTGGGAGGCTCAGGCAAGAGGATCACTTGAGCCCAGGAGTTCAAGACTAGCCTGGGCAACATAATGAGATCCCATCTCTACAAAATTTTTTAAAGTGCCTGCAGTCCTAGCTACTCAGGAGGCTGACGTGGAAGGATTCCTTTGAGCCCAGAAGTTTAAGGTTACAGCGGGCTCTGATCGTGCCACTGCACTCTAGCCTTGGTGACAGAGCCAGATCCCAATTCTAGAAAAAAACGAAAACTGAAAAAGTCAGATTTAAGGCCCACAAGAGCAAATGTTGGTGAGGATAGGAAGCATCTGGAACCTTCATAGGTGGCTGATGGGGATGCAAAAATCATACAGTCATTTTGGAAAATAGTTAGACTTTTTTTTAAAAAATTCTACTTATTTATTGGCTAGTGTAGATCTTTATTTATTTGTTTGTTTTGAGACAGAGTCTGCTCTGTAGCCCAGGCTGGAGTGCAGTGGCGCCATCTTGGCTCACTCCAACCTCCGCCTCCCAGGTTGAAGCGATTCTTGTGCCTCAGCCTCCCAAGAAGCTGAGATTACAGGCATGTGCTACCACGCCCAGCTAATTTTTGTATTTTTAGTAGAGACAGGGTTTTGCCATGTTGGCCAGGCTGGTCTCAAACTCCTCGTCTCAAGCTGTCTGCCTACCTCGGCCTCTCAAAGTGCTGGGACTACAGGCGTGAGCCACCCTACCTGGCCTAGTGTAGATCTTTAAATACGAGGTATTTTCTTTAAAAGTTAAACACACACTCGCCACATCACCCAGCAATGGTGCCATGTGGTGAATATCCATTCAGGTATCTAGGTATCTGCGCCAAAGAAACGAAAGACTGTCTGAAAATGTTCAAGGCAGCTTTATAAAAATACCCAAAGAATGGAAATCACTCAAATGTGCATCAACTGATGGATGGAAAAAATGGGAGTATATTGGCCAGGCACAGTGGCTTACATCTATAATCCCAGAATTCTGGGAGGCTGAGGCAGGAGGATTGTTTAAGCCCAGGAGTTCAAGACCAGCCTCAGCAACATAGCAAGACCCTGTCTCTAAAGAAAAGGAAAGATGGTCTGGAATACCACTCAGTGATAAAAGAAAAGAACTACTGGGCTGAGCGCGGTGGCTCATGCCTGTAATCCCAGCAATTTGGGAGGCCGGGGGGTGCGGATCACCTGAGGTCAGGAGTTCGAAACCAGCCTGGCCAACATGGCGAAACTCCATCTCTACTAAAAATACAAAAATTAGCCAGTGCGCTGGTGGGTGCCTGGAATCCCAGCTACTCTGGAGGCTAAGGCAGGAGAACTGCTTGAACCCGGGAGGTGGAGGTGGAGGTTGCAGTGAGCTGAGATCACGCCATTGCACTCCAGCCTGAGTGACAGAGTAAGACTACACCTCAAAAAAAAAAAAAAAAAAAAAGAAAAAAAGAACTGAACTACTGGTTGAATCTCAATAACACGATTGACAGAGCCAATCACAAATTATTTTATTTATATAATTACTATTATTATATTAATTTATAATTTATATTATTTCATTTATATTCTAGAAAAGGGAAACTATAGCAACGAAAAGCAATTTGGTGGTTGCCTAGAAGTGTGGGTCAGGACAATGACTCACTGCAAAAGGGTGTGCGGGAATTTTTGGAGTGATAGAAACATTCTAAAACTTCTCGTGATGGTGTTTGCATGTCTTATACATTTACTCAAAGTGATCAAACTGTACACTTAAAATGGGTGAGTTTAGGCTGAGCATGGTGGCTCACGCCTGCCTGTAATCCCACCAGTTTGGGAGGTCAAGATGGGAGGATCGATTGATTCCAAAAGTTGGAGACCAGCTGGGCAACATAGTGAGTCTTCGTCCCTACAAAAGAAAAATTTTTTAAAGTTAGCCAGCCATGGTGGTGTGCGCCTGTGGTCCCAGCTAGTTGGGAGGCTGAAGTGAGGGATGACTTGAGTCCAGGAGGTGGAGGCTGAAGTGAGCTGTGATCGTGCCACTGCATTCCAGCCTGGGTGACAGAATAAGACTTCGTCTCAAAAAAAAAAGGGGGGGTAGGGGGTAAGTTTAATTGTAAGTTATTTTACCATAAAGCTGTTAAAAAATAACTATTAAGTCTAAACAGTAATCCTGGAAACCCACTTTGGGAACAGAGACATGCATGCAGCCTGTGCTCAAAAAATGCTTTCAGACTGTCGGGGAAACATTATGCACCAGTCAGTGTCCACTAAAAGGAAAGCCTCTTCCCTCCCTCAAGTTCGAGTCAGCCCAGGCTTAATGTTATCCTTGTCTGCCACCTGGTGGTCAAAATGGGCCATGTCGGTGTCCTGGTCTTTCACCCCAAACTCCATGAGGCTCTGTGGTTGGGCTGAAAAGCCGTGGATGGAAAGAAGGGGAACTTTACCCCTGGAAAACTGGTTCCCTGAGAGGCAAGTTGGTCAGAGGTACGGGCATAAGGGGATTACTAGGGGTCTATGGGACAGGAATACAGCCTCTTAATGACAGAGAAAATACTTTGGTGCAACCAAGAGGCCGATTGAACACAACTCACCCACCTTTGCACACTGAGATAAAATATGGGAAGGTTTTTTGCAAAGAGGGGAAGGAGAAAAGTTTAGGGACAACAATGAGCTAAGTAGGAAAGGTAGTCATGTGGACACCGATGGTGAGTTCGGGGATGCTCAGAAGATTGACAGGTTAGCAGGGGATTCTGAAAGGCATGGATGGGACACTTCAAGATATGTTGTTTCAATTGATAAAGATGCATAAACCTAACATTGTGCTTATTGGCTACTTAAATATTGGTGACATACTGCTTCCTCAATAATAAGGATTATAGCAAACTTAATTATAGTTTCCTAAAACCTTTTATCTGGTGGAAATTTCTATTAATTATCAAGAGGCCTTAAAATAAACTTCAATACACATAAACCCTTGTATTCATTTTAAATCTATCCAACCTACAAAAACAGAAGAGCATATTGGCCACAATTCAAGGCCATGTTACATTGGAAAAACATTCTCTATCATGTGGCCTGGCACAAGGGTTGGCAGCAACAGAGCAGACAGAACCAAAGGAAGAAGGGCCTGAAAAACCCGCTAGTGCATTTGGGCTGGCATTTTGTTACAGGAGGTTCTGATCCAATTTTAAATTCTGTATTGCAGTCTAGTGAGGCAGCGAGAGTTCATTATCCCAACCGCAACCTACAGTCTACCAGGAGACATGCGACCCACCAGCTGGTATTTGAAACAATATAGTTTAGTGCCTAACTGCTCAAAGTGTGGTCCCTGGCTGGGGAGCATCAGCATCTCCTGGGAGCTTGTTAGAAATGCAGAATTTCAAGCCTTTCGTGGATGTTATTTGTTAGCTAGCCTACAAAACATATGATAATAATTCATAAACATGCACTAAAGTGAAAAATAAACACTCACCTACACACAGGCACACACACAAACATAGGGCTTGCTAATACTAACTGCAAAATGTTTTATCCAATAAATGATGATAACCAATTTGTTTTCAAAATGAGAATGTAGGATTTGGGTACCCATTTCTGTGTAACTAAAAATAACAAAATTCGATGGCTTAAAATAATTATTTAACATGAATCATTTCTACAGGTTAAAAATATGGAAAGGCCTTGGCTCAGTGATTCTGCACGCAGTCAAATAGTATCTGGGACTGGAATCACCTGCAGTCTCACTCATTGACATGGCCGAAGTGGCACCTGCAGCCTCTCTCTCTATCCTTATGTGATTTTTCCATATGGGCTTTCCAGCATGGAGTCCTCAGGGTAGCCAGACTTTTTATATGGCAGGGAAGGTGGTCTTCTCATTCTATCAGAAATGAAAGTGATATTTTTGGCCTCTCTCATTTCTCTTCTATTTTTCAACTTGTTTAGGACCTGGGCAGGAAATACAGCTGCTATTTGCTAGACTAGTGCCTTATAGTCTCAACACTTTACAATGACTTTTCTTTCATTCCCATGGTATCTTCCCACTTGGGGCCCTGCGTTGCTTGGTGCCCTAGTACACCCATACTCTTATCTCCCCAGCCCCTTTGGGGCGTCAGTCTGCAGACTTACTCCACCTGCCCCCCACTCCACTAGAGGACCCAACAGCAACCCTGTGGCTTCTGTCACGCCCTTGGCTATCTGCTCATCTCCTGCTAACACTCCAAATCCTGAGTATTAGGCAGCACTAGGAGATTGCTTCATTGCCTAGGACTCCAAAAGGGGAAGTCCTGGATTGATGTGGAGCAGCCTATAAAGTTTCCCAGGGGATGTGAGGTGAGAGAATCAACAAGGAGTGGTTGAGACATAAGTATAATGAGGAGAGAAGAGCATGCCCCTCCTCATCCCCACCCACCTGTAGTTCCAAAAGAAGGAAACCTTTTTTCTTTATCTCTTGAAAGAAGACAAAGTTGTCCAATTTAATGACATCACGTATATAACAGTGAAATGTCACAATATTCTTTGTGCTGCAACAGTATCAATAACTAGTGAAGCCATATGACCAACCACCATCACAGGAAGCCATCAGTGCCTTTCAAACAATGTTTTCATGCTATGCTTGAGGCCAAAGAGCAGGAACCTCGGGGAGAGGTAGAGGGAGTGAAATGTATCCAAACCTGTGAAGATACTACAGCCAACCTCAGCCTAAAAACACACAGGTGATACTCTGCCTGCCAGATACCAGGTTTCTCAGAGCTGGGAGAGTAGGTGAGGGCTGTGAGACCCTTAACTCTGACTCAGGAGCAGAGGAATACATCTCTGGTTTTCACAGCATCAGTGACAATTTCCTGAGCAGTGGTGGGCCTGGCTGCAGAAAACGGGAGCCGCACACCTCACGCACACACAACAGTGCACAACAGTCTGCCTGGGGCAGAAGAATGCAGCGACCTGTGCTCCCAACCACACAAATCCCTGAAGGTACTGCTGGTGCCCAGCTGTCATTCAAGGCAATAGACACACTAGCAGGGACAGAGGCAGCAAAACGAGTTTCCTAGGTGATGGCAGGGCAGGCAGCCTGAGGCATATCTCAGCCAGCTAGGCACAGAAGGAAAAAGCTGAATGACTCTAAAGAGAAATCACCCCTTTTGTACTAAAGGGAGAGAATTAGAAGGGTTACAGCTCAGAATGAATCCCATTTACAATCGCATCAAAAAGAATAAAATACTTATGAATATATTTAACCAAGTAAGTAAAAGAACTGTACAGTGAAAACTATAAAATATTAATTTTAAAAGATTTAAGAAGACAAATGGAAAGATACACTGTGTTTATGACAAAATCATGACCTTTACAGCAACATGGATGCAGTTGGGAGCCATTATCCTACATGAGTTAACACAGAAACAGAAAACCAAATATCCCACATTCTCACTTATAAGTGGGAGCTAAACATTGAGTACACATGGACATAAACATGAAAACAATAGACAATGGAGACTCCAAAAGGCTTAAGCGAGTGGGATCAAGGGTTGAAAAACTACCTGCTGGGTACTATGTTCACTATTTGAGTGATGGGATACCAAGCCCAAACCTCAACATTATACAATATATTCATGTAACAAACCTGCACATGTGCCCCCTGAATCTAAACAAGCAAACAAAAACAAAACCAATAAATGGTTTATGTTAAAGAGTAAAAGAAATTCTGAGGTACAAAAAAAGAAAGGATATACTGAGTTCATGGATTGGAAGAATTAATATTGTTAAATACTAACCAAAGTGATCTACAGAGTCAATGCAATCCCTATCAAAGTTCTAATTGCATTTTTCACAGAAATGTAAAAAAATCCTAAAATTCATATGGAACCACAAAGACCCTGAATAGCTAAAACAATATTGAAAAGGAAGAACAAAGCTGGAGGCATCACACTTCCTGATTTCAAATTATAATTCAAAGCTATAGTAATCAAAACAGTGTGGCACTAGCATAAATGTAGACATATAGACCAATAGAACAAAATAGAGAGCCTGGAAATAATCCCACCTATAGTAACAAATTTTTGGCAAAGGCACCAAAAATACCCAATAAGGAAAGGATAGTCTTTTCAATAAAAGGTGGGACAACTGGATATCCATATTCAAAGAAATGATATTGGACCTTTATGTTACGCCATACACAAAAACCAATTCAAAATGGATTAAAGACAAGTGTAAGACCTGAAACCATTAAACTCCTTGAAGAAAACATGGGAAAAACTCCATGACATTGGTCTTGGCAATGACTTGTTGGTTATCATACCAAAATCACAGGCAACAAAAGCAAAAATAAACAAATGGAACTGCATCAAACTAAAAAGTTTCTACACAGCAAAGAAAACAATCAACAAAATGAAAAGACATATGGAATGCAAGAAATATGTGCGCATCCTCTATCTGATAAGTAGTTAATATCTAAACTATCTTAGGAATACAGCTCTATGGCAATAGAACAACCCAATTCAAAAATGAGCAAAGGACCTGAGTAGACATATTCCCAAAGAAGACATACAAATGGCAAACAGGTATATGAAACGATGATCAATATCACTAATCATCAGAGAAATGAAAGTCAAAACCACAATGAGATATTACCTCACACATGTTAGGTTGGCTATTACCAAAAAGTCAAAAGATAAGTGTTGGGAAGGAAATGGAGAAAGGGGAGCCCTTCCACACCATCAGTGGCAATGTAAATTGGTGTAGCCATTACAGAAAACAGCGTGAAGAAAACAGTAGTTTTCTCAGAAAACTAAAAATAGAAATACCGTAGGATCCAGCAATTCCACTATTGGGTATATACCCAAAGGAAATTAAATCAGTACGTTGAAGAAATGTCTGCACTCCCATGCTCATTGTAGCATTATACACAATAACCAAGATATGGAATCAACCTAAGTGTCTGGTGACAGATGAATAGGATGGTATGTATGTATACAATGGAATATTATTCCACCTTAAAAAGAAGGAGATCCTGCCAGCTGAGACAACATGGATGAACCTGAAGGACATTATGCTAAGTGAAATAGCCAGATGCAGAAAGACATGTACTGCATGAACTCACTTACGTGTGGTAAAAACAGATATTAGAATGATGGTTATTAGGGACTAGGGGTGTGGGAAATGAGAAGATGTTAGCCTAAGGGCATAAATTTTCAGTTATAAGATAAATAAGTTCTAGAGACCTAATGTACAGCACGTTTAATAGTAATGCATACTTGAAATTTGCTAAGATAGTAGATCTTAAGTATTATCAACACAAAAAGGAAGGCAAAGTTAGAATGGCGGTCATTAAAAAGTCAGAAAACAACAGATGCTGGAGAGGATGTGGAGAAATAGGAACACTTTTACACTGTTGGTGGGAGTGTAAATTAGTTCAACCATTGTGGAAGACAGTGTGGTGATTCCTCAAGGATCTAGAACTAGAAATACCATTTGACCCAGCAATCCCATTACTGGGTATATACCCAAAAGATTATAAATCATTCAACTGTAAAGACACATGCACACATATGTTTATTGTGGCACTATTCACAATAGCAAAGACTTGGAACCAACCCAAATGTCCAGCAATAATAGACTGGATAAAGAAAATGTGGCACATATACACCATGGAATACTATGCAGCCATTAAAAAGGATAAGTTAATGTCCTTTGCAGAGACATGGATGAAGCTGGAAACCATCATTCTTAGCAAACTATCACAAGAACAGAAAACCAAACACCGCATGTTCTTACTCGTAAATGGGAGTTTAACAGTGAAAACACACGGACACAGGGAGGGGAACATCACACACCAGGGCCTGTCAGGGGGTGGGGAGCTGGGGGTGGGATACCATTAGGAGGAATACCTAATGGAGGTGACAGGTTGATGGGGTTGATGGGTACAGCAAACCACCATGGCACGTGTATACCTATGTAACAAAACTGCACGTTCTGCACGTGTACCCCAGAACTTAAAGTATAATAAAAAAGGGGGGGACAAATATATGAGGTAATAGATATATGAATTAGCTTGATTGTGATGATTATTTCATGATGCATATGTGTATCAAACCATCACACTGTATACCATAAACATATACAATTTTTGTTTGTCAATTTTTCTTCAATAGCACCTAGGGAAAAATTAAACTTTGATGCTATTGATTTTTTTCCATCTGTACCCATCGGTGGTCTTCTTGGAGAGAAAGAAGAAAACTTGGGAACATTGCCATTTTCTAACTTCTGACATAAAATGCTTTCTTCTTCTCCAAGTATTTTGGTGGATTGAGTTGCCTTAGTCTGGGTTCTGCCAGAAGGCAACTCTGAGACAAGATTTATGTGCCAATAGTTTACTTGGGAGGTGCTACAGGAAAACGCTGGTAGGGTACAGAGAAAAGAGGCAAGGAAGGGAAGGAAGCCGAGGGCATGATCATGCCAGTTTCCACCATAGGCAATTGGAGCACCAGGAATTGGTACAGAACACTCACCTCACAGTTATCACTCAAAAGGTGAGGTAGGTGGGCATTTTTCCACCAATCCACATCAGTGACTGGTTGAGAAAAATAATTTCCCTTTCCTGGAAGCAGTAATTTCCCTTTACTTTCAGCCTCCCGAGCAATCAAAGAGAATTCAGACAAAAAAAAAACCAAAAAACGAAAGGTGTTAACAGTTTGCCGACGACCTGGGTGCATAGAAATGTAACTTGTTTACTACAAAAGTCAATTTCTGTCTTTTCAGGTGACTCAGTCTTTTAACAATGCAAAGGCTCTTCCCCTAATTCCTGCAGTTCTAAATTACTGAGTGCCCCATTCTAGAATAGTGTGAGACTCAACTTGATCTTTCAGGCAAGCTTACCTGCACTGTTGCTTAGGCCTGGCCAGTCCCTCTACAGTCCTTTCCTACCCCTATTGGACTCCCTGGGGGAAATATTAATCAATGAAACAAGATAGGTCCACTAGGGAAAGAAACTATTGATGCCTTTTCAATATCATAAAGGCATAAAACATCTATTGTTTCAGTCTGACATGTTAAGGAGAGAGAGGAATAAAACTGAAAAATAAACAAAAAACAACTCTAGCATCTTCGAAGGAGAAAATGATTTCCAGTTTAGTGACACAGCCTCAAAGACCTAAGCACAAACATTAATGGAAGTACTTACCTGGAAATCACTGAAAGGGTTTTGTGGTTGTTTTTCTTATGTTTTTTCAAAGTACTCTGTAGAAAAAATCTTGAAAAGAAAGCGCTCTGAGATGTCTACATCTTAAAAGAATAGAATTTTTATAATGCTTATGACAACTACTTATAAAGTACATCAGTTAAAAAAAAATCTCATTGTGTTTTGCTGTAATAACCTAAAAGCTGCTTCTGAAAGTGCCCACCAGCCCAGGAAGCAGTTCGTACACTCAGAGATCACAACTAAGCTGAGAAGGAGCATTGCTGTCCTCAGACAAGGGCTGGGGATGGGGGCAGGAGAAATGCAACATAAAGGCAGGTGTTTTCTTTTTCCTGACCCAAATGTCAGGAAGTGAAAAAGTCTACAAAACAATGTTAACTCATCTGTTCCTCATAATTTGATTTGGAAAATAATTAAGTTGTTATTATTAACTCCAATAAAGCACACAGGGAGCCTCTGTGACATAACTATTATGAGATTCATTGGACTCAAACTTTGTAGGACTTTTTAACTTTGAAGTTGTAAGCTTGAGGTTGAACCAATGTAGTATTTCTCACTTTATTTTTTATAGACTTTAAAGCCGGAAAATGTACTGACCTTGGGAATAGCAAGAGAAAGTACTTCCTTTCCCTCTCCTGACACCAAGTGATCCCATCCCTGTGTTTAGGCCTAGTCCAACCTTCTAAGCTGTGCGTCGCTTCCATGCTTTGGAGCATTTTACATATATTTACCCACTTCATCCTCAAGACAATACCATTAAGTATGCACGATCATCAACTCCATTCTACAAATGAAGAAACCGGCACAGTGAAGGTAAGTAGTTTTCCCTGGTCTCATAGTTAGTAAGGGTAGAGCAAGAATTTGATTCCAGGCAGCCCTGGAGTTCATGGCTCCTAGAGATTGTCCTTACCTGGCTTGACCAACAGTCCCAGGAAACAAGTTGTGAAGGAGACGCAGTGGATTTTATTTTGTTGTGTTTTGTTTGGAGGGTTTGTTTGTTGTTTGATAACATTGATCTTCATGTCTCCTTACCCTTTCTAGAACTTCCTTAAAATCATCTAAAGTCTCCTGGCCTGTTGTCATAGGCCTGAACATTTTCTAACCAATGTTATTTAAACATTTACATGCCGTCTTCTCCAGGACACTGTCTTATTTGTCTTTGTAGCTCTCATAGGATTTAGTATCCTTGTTTATACATAGTAGGTTATATATATTTTTATGTGTGTGTAGATTTATATTTATATGTATATGTATAGTTGTATGTGCATATGGATGTATATGTATGTATGTATACATTTAGTATATACCATGTCTTAATCAATTACACAATGTTTTGACTCTACCATTCTGCATGAGAAAACCAAGCCATTTCTCACACTCAAATTTGACCATGCAACCACATGAATATGACAGCACTCGACATATCAGACACATTGGAAAACATTCTGACTTTCCCAAGGTCTCAGGCTATTTATCAAGCTCAATACAAAAAAGCATTTCATGTACATGTGTTTTGAAACATTTCAGCTGTTTCATATCACATGCTACTTAGAAGTAGGAAATGATTGCAGTATGGTTTTAAAAATATGGTACACAGGTATTTCTTGTATTTCTATAAGTTTCAAAAGAAAATGACAATTCACCAATTTCTTGCTGAAGACATGCGCATAGGCACACATGGTTTTCTCACCTGCGCTTATCATGGTACCTGGTTAGTAAGAGTAAACTCTTTAGGGCTAGTGAGAGAAGGAAGTAACATTTCACAAATTCGAGAAAGAAATGTAAAGCAAAATAGTTAAAATAGAGGAATGGAACTAGTAAAGAAAACATAAGATACTCTTCCAGGAAAATTATTATTATTATTATTATTATTATTTTTTGAGATGGAGTCTCGCTCTGTCGCCTAGGCTGGAGTGCAGTAGCACAATCCTGGCTCACTGCAACCTCTGCCTCCCAGGTTAAAGCGATTCTCTTGCCTCAGCCTCCCGAGTAGCTGGGATTACAGGTGCATGCCACCATGCTGGCTAATTTTTGGTATTTTTAGTAGAGACAGGTTTTCACCATGTTGGCCAGGATGGTCTTGATCTCCTGACCTCGGGATCCACCCATCTCGGCCTCCCAAAGTGCTGGGATTTCAGACATGAGCCACCGCACCCTGCCGAAAATTCTTTACACTAAAAAATGATAACTCTTGTTACTGTAAGTTTCTTAAAATTTCAATATAGCAATTTTTAGCATTGTGCCTACATAGTTCTTAGGACAAGGAAGGCTACTTCTGATATTCTTTGAAGAATCCTTCTATGGATTTTTAGATCCTTTTTGTCAAGAAATACCTCAGGTAATCCTTGCTTAGCAATGTTTTATTAGGTAGAGAACATGGCAGTATATTTTGGATATAATCCAAATCTACAGTGGGGTGGTACATGTGAGAAGTTTGATACAACTTAAAAAGACCTAGTCTGGTGCTCGCTTTGGCAGCACATATACTAAAATTGGAACAATACAGTGAAGATCAGCATGGCCTCTGCACAAGGATGACAAGCAAATTTGTGAACTGTTCCATATGTTTTTGAACAATGATAACACGTGGAAACAGGGAGGGGAACATCACACATTGGTGCCTGTCAGGGGATGGGAGACAAGGGGAGGGAGAGCATTAGTACAAATTCCTAATGCATACAGGACTTAAAACCTAAATGACGGGTTGATAGGTGCAGCAAACCACCATGGCACATGAATACCTAGGTAACAAACCTGCATGTTCTGTACATGTATCCCAGAACTCAAAGTAAAATTTAAAACAATGAAAAAAAATACTTTAAATTTTAAAATAAACTTAAAATTTACTTAGAAAACAAAAGGCTTAGTCTCAAATTCTAGTCCAGACTCTGCTAGGCATGACCTCCTACATTCCTATTGTCCCTCTAGAGTAATGACTTTAATCACCAAAAAGGGGTTGAGTCCGAAGCTTCTGTAGTTTCTTCCTTTTCTAGAATGCTATCAAAAGCATCTGATTTTGGCAGCTCATATTCCAAATGTGCCATTAAAGTCACAATTTATGTGTCTGACTCAAGTAGATTAATAAAGAGTACAGTCATTACCACATGTATTGGATCAAAAAAACTGTTTACTCTTATTTTCCCTCTTATTGTATTGGCAACCTACTTCCCTAAATTGACTAAAACTAATCTGTTGTTTAGAAAGTCATGTAGACATAAATTAGGTGAGGTAAAGATGGTTTTAGTTTAGATCCCTAAATAGGGATCAACAATACTCTTTTTCCTCCTAACATTCCTGGCTTAGTGACCTGACTTTATTTTGACTATATTATAAAGCAAAGGATATGGTAGTTTTAGTTAAATTGTTATTATAAGCTAGTTTGGAATAGTAGTATCATATAATGTGTGTTCAATAAAGGAAATTAGTAGACTTGAAAACAATTCTTTCTATCCTAGAGCTCGTAGTAGAATAGATTTAACTTATTATTTTAAGCACCTTCTAAATTGTTAATAAGATTTGCTGATGACACCCTACACAGTAGCAGTCAGTCCCCCACGGCTAATTTTAAACATCTGCCTTCATAATTAAACTTATTGTTTATTTCATCTTAAAATGAGAATAATACAGCACACAGCTATTTCAGAAATAGATCTATCACTCCTAAATAATTACTAGTCAGAGCATTATCCTACAGATAAAGAAAATTTATATCAATAATTCAATAAATAGATCCCAGTTTCAAGACAAATCACAATACAGACCCTGCCATAGACTAAATTGTGCTTCTTCTCCCCGCACCCCCTCACCACCACCAAATTCATAGATTGAATCCCTGATCCCCGTTGTGACTTTATTTGGAGATACAACTGTTACTGAAGTAATGAAAGATAAATGAGGTTATAGGGTGGAGCCCTGATCAGACAGTCTTAGAGTCCTTATAAGTAGAGAGAATGAGACCAGAGCTTTCTCCTTTGCTCTCCACTCCAACAGACCAAGGAATGACCACATGAGAACACAGCAAGAAGGCATCCACCTGCACGCCAGGAAGAGAGCCCTCACCTGCAACTGAATTGGCTGACTTCTTGATCTTGGACTTCCAGCCTCCAGAACTGTAAGAAATAGATTTTGTTCTTTTCTAGTTCCTGACCTCATCTTCCATCAGCCTCACCTAGCTCCCTCTGCTCCAGCTGTAGAGCCTCCTTGCTGTTTGTTGAATATGCCAAGTAGTTCTTTGCCTTAAGATCTTTGCAGGGGCTGTTCCCTCTACTTGGATTTTTTTGTCCCTCAGGGTATCTCCCTCATCCTCTTCAGCCTTTGTTCAAAACTCAATTTCTCAATGGTGATTACCTTATTTAAAACTGTCATCTACCTCCTATAACCACCCCTCCAGCATGACTGATTTACCTGTCCTGTTCTACTTTTGTTTCCATAGCATTTAATTTACTTATTTATTACAGTTATGGTTTATTTTGTTTTCCCCTAATAGAATGTAACCTTCTACATCACAAAGATTTGTGTCTGTTTTGTTAATGGTTTTGTTCATAGGACTAAAAGAGTGTCTGACAAATAGTAGGTATTCAAAAATTGCTGAATGAATAATCTAATATACCACGAAGATATTAATATGTTACTAATCATCTGAATATACTAAAAATCACTTATAAGTCTAATCTTCTAATATAGTAATATGGTAATCTAATATAAGTTGGTAAGCATTTGAAGTGTCACAGGTTTCCATGGAAGAGACACATCCTTTTGAGTGTGCTGACTGAGCATTATTGCTAGAGGTAGGCCTCTCACAGGCCTGGTTAGAACAGTCAGGTATTGCTAGACAAGAAAGCAATAAAAAGGAAAGAATCTTACTGGGCTTCACTGTGGAGATGACCAGCAAACCCATTTGGGGATGCAGTGGTAATAGCTTAATGATCAAATTGAGGCTGTGAATCAGAATTTTAGGTGAATAACTTAAATCAGGATCATCCAGCAAGTCTTTTGAAAAATAAATCCATTGGCCTGATAGATTATGTGATGGATCATTAATCTCTGGATGTAAAATTTCCAGAAACTGAGGCATGAGTACACAGAGGAAACTGCACTTGCCATGCTCCCCAAAAAGAAGAGTTCATAAAGTCAACATATTCATCATCATGTATGTCAATAAACATCTTTAGAGGGAGACTTTTGCTCTGACCCTGGGTGCTGCTGTGCCCCTGATAACAGATGAATTTCTTTCCTTCTGCACCACCCCCAAGGCCCGCAATCTGTATGGCATGGACATATTCATATGGAAGCAACAAAATTTCTCCCACTTCTTCCCCGGACACATTGTTTATCATTTTCAACTTCTACCTAAAGTGTGGAATATATATTTTCCTTTTACCAAGACAAGGTCCTGTTCTCAACAATTTGTTTCAATGGCCCACAGGGGAGAATAGGTGTTTTTTCGCATAACCACATGTGAAATGTGGATTTTTCTTTCAGCAATTTCTGACATATATTTTCTCTTTCTCTTTTCTTTGCTTTCGTGTCTTTCAAATCTCTTATGGTGACACAAAATTTTGTGAGCAAAATAAAATGTCTAGAACTCGTCAATGAAATTTATTTGAGGATAACTTTTTTTTAAACTGTAATATATATTTTCATTTCAATTAAAATGTGAATTCCCTTTGGTTTTCTTCACTTAGAGAAATGAAGGAATTTTAATTTAAATACGGGAAAGTTCTACATTTTTTACTATATACTGTAGTAAGTACTACGTGAATGCAAATTGGAAAGGGCTATTTCCTTAAAAGTAGAAATCATGCCTGGAAAAAAAATTTTTTAAAAACTTCCAAATTCCAAGCAATAACAAAGCATATGTTAACACTTTCTCTGTTAAAAGTTTTATGTTAGTGTAGGTGGCTTATTACAAAGGTCTTTCTATTGGTTTCAGTTGCTAATGACTATAAGCATTGTCACCTGGTTTTGTTATTTCAGAATGATGTTGCAGCATGTTCCCTTACATTACAACAATCTCTGGCCTTTTTTCTGAGTCAAGGTCAAGGTAGGAAACATCAAGTTTGAAAGGAAAAGGGCTACTGCCTACTCTTTTAAGCAAGAACCATCTTTATAAGGACTTAAAGAGTCTCAAAATCATCTCAAATATTATTAAAATGATAGGATATGAATAATAAATAAAGGTTGTAATCAAAAACATCAGGCAAGATGGCCTAGCTATCTAATGAAACACCAGGCTCTTCCATGAGAGCTAGTGACTAGGAAGAGCCAAGAGGAGGTTAATGGTACCTCTTTAGATCATTCAGCATGGGCTGTGTGACGTGATTCCATAGTGTCTTGCAATGGCCATCAACCTCTATAGGAAATGGCTAAGTCACACAAGAAAGATGCATAGCTTCACATGGTGTCAGGGAGCCCCATACATGACTTCAGCTGACAATGTATTTTAGTTCAGTGGTTTTCATCACTGAGCTCTAAGATATAGCTAGGCATGCCAAGAGGAACAAACTTTCAATAACTTGAAAAAAAAGTTTTTGTGTCTTACCTTGTTGAAGGCTATGCTCAGTAGCAATCTTCTAATACCCACAGGTGTTAGAACCACTGAATCCTGAATTTGTTTGGATACTGTGTGCTCTATAGATTTTTTTTTAACTTCTAACAATCTCTGAAATGCATCTAATAATAGATCTTCTGTTACTGACTCTAGAGTCAAGGAAAATTAAGCATTTCTTCCAGATTTGGTCTAGGGCAACTTCTTTTAATAAGAGGTGAAGTCAGTGAGGTTTCAATTTGACTTTCAGAGTAATTCAGGTTAATTTATTTTTAAAGAGCACACATTTGGTTGCTATGTAGGGATTTGCACACTTGCCGTTATGGGTAGGATGAAAGGAAATGGGAATCATTTCTCCCAGAATGCTTGCTTTCATGAGTTAGACTCAGAGTGATTCATTTCACCCTATTGGTAGTATTCAGCAGAGAAACAGTCATTGTACTGTTCAGTTCATCATTGATATGAATTTGGCTTTAGTTACAGAGAAAAAGATGCCCACTTAGGTATATGAAGGGATTGTGTCAGTCTCCTAAGAGACTCAGAAGGGTTAAGCACAGCTTGAGGAAAACCCCCACCATGGCATTTAGGATCTGAAAGTCCTTAGAGGTGTTGCTATGCCAAGTTCAAGTCCATAAAGCTCACAGCACTTTCCACCTGCTTGAGTCCATTCACCCTTAGTTTTCAACCACACCCAAAGGCCTCAGGAAGATGTATTTTTAACTCCTACTACACCAAGAAACTGATCTGGCTGGCTGTCATCCATTCCCAAAACTCTTTCTGCCTCCACCATTTCTCTGGCAGGAAATCCTCCAACGCTGCCTTGCTTTACCATTTAATTGTGAACTATTCATGCATGGCCCTCCCCAGTGAGTCTGAGGGCCTGTCAAGTATAAAGTCAGACCTCAGCTTATGTTGGTGGTTTTTCCCCTCCTTCCCTTTACCCCTCCCATAGTGCTTTATCCTGTGTACATTTTAAGTAAATTGCTTTACTGAATAGGACTATAATCTTTTTTTTAATTATTATTATACTTTAAGTCTGGGGTACCTGTGCAGAACGGTGAGGTTTGTTACATAGGTACACATGTGCCATGGTGGTTTGCTGCACCCAACAACCTGTCATCTACATTAGGTATTTCTCCTAATGCTATCCCTTCCCTAGCCTCCCACCACTCTGCAGGCCCCGGTGTGTGATGTTCCCCTCCCTGTGTCCATGTGTTCTCATTGTTCAACTCCCACTTATGAGTGAGAATATGTGGTGTTTGGTTTTCTCTTCTTGTGACAGTTTGCTGAGAATGATGGTTCCCAGCTTCATCCATGTCCCTGCCAAGGTCATGAACTCATCCTTTTTTATGGCTGTATAGTGTTCCATGGTGTATATGTGCCACACTTTCTTTATCCAGTCTATCATTGATGGGTATTTGGGTTGGTTCCAAGTCTTTGCTATTGTGAACAGTGCTGTAATAAACATATGTGTGCATGTGTCTTTATAGTTGAATGATTTATAAGCTTTTGGGTATATAGCCAGTAATGGGATTGCTGGGTCAAATGGTATTTCTAGTTCTAGATCCTTAAGGAATCACTACACTGTCTTCCACAATGGTTGAACGAATTTACACTCTTACACTAACAGTGTAAAAGTGCTTCTATTTCTCCATATCCTCTCCAGCATCTGTTGTTTCCTGACTTGTTAATGATCGCCATTATAACTGACATGAGATGGTATCTCATTGTGGTTTTGATTTGCATTTCTCTAATGACCAGTGATGATAAGCATTTTTTCATATGTTTGTTGGCTGCATAAATGTCTTCTTTTGAGAAGTGTCTGTTCACATCCTTTGCCCACTTTTTGATGGGGTGGTTTGTTTTTTCTTGTAAATTTGTGTAAGTTCTCTGTAGATTCTGGATATTAGCCCTTTGTCAGATGGATAGATTGCAAAAATTTTCTCCCATTCTGTAGGTTGCCTGTTCACTCTGATGATAGTTTCTTTTGCTGTTCAGAAGCTCTTTAGATTAATTAGATTCCATTTGTCTATTTTGGCTTTGGTTGCCATTGGTCTTGGTGTTTTAGTCAGGAAGTCTTTGCCCATGCCTATGTCCTGAATGGTATTGCCTATGTTTTCTTCTAGGGTTTTTATGGTTTTAGGTCTTATGTTTAAGTTCTTAATCCATCTTGAGTTAATTTTTCTATAAGGTGTAAGGAAGGGATCCAGTTTCAGCTTTCTGCATATGGCTAGCCAGTTTTTCCGACACCATTTATTAAATAGGGAATCTTTTCCCCATTGCTTGTTTTTGTCAGGTTTGTCAAAGATCAGATGGTTGTAGATGGGTGGTGTTGTTTCTGAGGCCTCTATTCTGTTCCATTGGTCTATATATCTGTTTTGGTACCAGTACCATGCTGTTTTTATTACTACAGCCTTGTAGTATAGTTTGAAGTCAAGTAACATGATGCCTCCAGCTTTTTTCTTTTTGCTTAGGGTTGTCTTGGCTACATGGGCTCTTTTTTGGTTCCATATGAAATTTAAAGTAGTTTTTTCCAATTCTGTGAAGAAAGTCAATGGTAACTTGATGGGGATAGCATTGAATCTATGAATTACTTTGGGCAGTATGGCCATTTTCACAATACTGATTCTTCCTATCCATGAGCATGGAATGTTTTTCCATTTGTTTGTGTCCTCTCTTATTTCCTTGAGCAGTGGTTTATAGTTCTCCTTGAAGAGGTCCTTCATATCCCTTTTAAGTTGTATTCCTAGGTATTTTATTCTCTTTGTAGCAATAGTGAATGGGAGTTCACTCATGATTTGGCTCTCTGTTTGTCTGTTATTAGTGTATAGGAATGCTAGTGATTTTTGCACTTTGATTTTGTAACCTGAAACTTTGCTGAAGTTGCTTATCAGCTTAAGGAGATTTGAGGCTGAGATGATGGGGTTTCCTAAATATACAATCATGCCACCTGCCAACAGAGACCATTTGACTTCCTCTTTTACTAATTGAATACTCTTTATTTCTTTTTCTTGCCTGATTGCCCTGGCCAGAACTTCCAATACTATGTTGAATAGGAGTGGTGAGAGAGGGCACCTTGTCTTCTGCCAGTTTTCAAAGGGAATGCTTCCAATTTTTGCTAGTTCAGTGTGATATTGGCTGTGGGTTTGTCATCAATAGCTCTTGTTATTTTGAGGTATGTTCCATCAATACCTAGTTTATTGAGAGTTTTTAGCATGAAGGGCTGTTGAATTTTGTCGAAGGCCTTTTCTGCATCTATTGAGATAATCATGTGGTTTTTGTCATTGGTTCTGTTTATGTGATGGATTACATTTATTGATTTGCGTATGTTGAACCAGCCTTGCATCCCAGGGATGAAGCCAACTTGATCGTGGTGGATAAGCTTTTTGATGTGCTGCTGGATTCAGTTTGCCAGTATTTTGCTGAGGATTTTTGCATTGATGTTCATCAGGGATATTGGTCTAAAATTTTCTTTTTTTGTTGTGTCTCTGCCTGGTTTTGGTATCAGGAAAATGCTGGCCTCATAAAATGAGTTAGGGAGGATTCCCTCTTTTTCTATTGATTGGAACAGTTTCAGAAGGAATGGTACCAGCTCTTCTTTGTACCTCTGGTAGAATTCGGCTGTGAATCCATCTGGTCCTGGACCTTTTTTGGTTGGTAGGCTATTAATTACTGCCTCAATTTCAGAACTTATTATTGGTCTATTCAGGGATTTGAATTCTTCCTGGTTAATCTTGGGAGGGTGTATATGTCCAGGAATTTATCCATTTCTTCTAGATTTTCTAGTTTATTTGCATAGAGGTGTTCATAGTATTCTCTGATGGTAGTTTGTATTTCTGTGGGATCAGTGGTGATATCCGCTTTATCATTTTTTTATTGTGTCTACTTGATTCTTCTCTTTTTCTTGTTTATTAGTTTGCTAGTGGTCTATTTTGTCAATCTGTTTAAAAAAATGGGTCCTGGATTCATTGATTTTTTTAAAGGGATTTTTGTGTCTCTGTCTCCTTCAGTTCATCTCTGATGGTAGTTATTTCTTGTCTTCTGCTAGTTTTTGAATTTGTTTGCTCTTACTTCTCTAATGCTTTTAATTGTGTTGTTTGGGTGTTGATTTTAGATCTTTCCTGCTTTCTCTTGTGGACAGTTAGTGCTATAAATTTCCCTCTAAACACTGCTTTAGCTGCACCCCAGAGATTCTGCTACATTGTGTCTTTGTTCTCAAAGAAAGAACAAAGAAAATCTTTCTTTATGCCTTCATTTCATTATTTACCCAGTAGTCATTCAGGATCAGGTTGTTCAGTTTCCATGTAGTTGTGTGGTTTTGAGTGAGTTTCTTAATCTGAGTTCTAATTCGATTGCACTGTGGTCTGAGAGACTGTTTGTTATGATTTCTTTTCTTTCACATTTGCTGAGGATTGTTTTACTTCCCATTATGTGGTCAATTTTAGAATAAGTGTGATGTGGTGCTGAGAAGAATGCATATTCTGTTGATTTGGGATGGAGAGTTCTGTAGATGTCTATTAGGTGTGCTTGGTCCAGAGCTGAGTACAAGTCCTGGATATCCTTGTTAATTTTCTGTCTCGTTGATATATCTAGTGTTGAGAGTGGGGTGTTAAAGTCTCCCACTATTATTGTGTGGGAGTCTAAGTCTCTTTGTAGGTCTCTAAGAACTTGCTTTATGAATTTGGGTGCTCCTGTATTGGGTACATATATATTTAGGATAGTTAGCTTTTCTTGTTCCATTGATCCCTTTACCATTACACAATGGCCTTCTTTGTCTCTTTTCATCTTTGTTGGGTTAAAGTCTGTTTTATCAGAGACTAGGATTGCAACCCCTGCTTTTTTTTGCTTTCTGTTTGCTTGGTAAATATTCCTTCATGCCTTTATTTTGAGCCTATGTATGTCTTTTCGTGTGAGATGTGTCTCCTGAATACAGCACACCAATGGGTCTTGACTCTTTATCCAATTTGCCAGTCTGTGTCTTTTAATTGGGGCATTTAGCCCATTTACCTTTATGGTTAATATTATTATGTGTGAATCTGATCCTGTCATTATGATGCTAGCTGGTTATTTTGCCCATTGGTTGATGCAGTTTCTTCATAGCGTCAATGGTCTTTACAGTTTGGTATGTTTTTTCAGTGGCTGGTACCAGTTGTTCCTTTCCACGTTTAGTGCTTCCTTCAGGGCCTCCTGTAAGGCAGGCCTGGTGGTGACAAAATCTCTCAGCATTTGCTTGTCTGTAAAGAATTTTATTTCTCCTTCGCTTATGAAGCTTAGTTTGGCTGGATATAAAATTCTGGGTTGAAAATTCTTTTCTTTAAGAATGTTGAATATTGGCCCCCACTCTCTTCTGGCTTGCAGGGTTCCTGCTGAGAGATCCACTGTTAGTCTGATGGGCTTCTCTTTGTGAATAACCTGACCTTTCTCTCTGGCTGCCCTTAACATTTTTTCCTTCATTTCAACCTTGATGAATCTGATGATTATGTGTCTTGGCATTGCTCTTCTCAAGGAATATCTCTGTGGTGCTCTCTGTATTTCCTGAATTTGAATGTTGGCCAGCCTTGTTAGGTTGGGGAAGTTCTGCTGGATAATATCCTGAAGAGTGTTTTCCAACTTAGTTCCATTCTCCCTGTAACTTTCAGGTACACCAATCACACGTAGATTTGGCCTTTTCACATAGTCCTGTATTTCTTGGAGGCTTTCTTCATGACTTTTCACTCTTTTTTTCTCTAATCTTGTCTTCTCGCTTTATTTCATTGAGTTGATCTTCAATCTCTGATATCCTTTCTTCTTCTTGATTCATTTGGCTATTGATACTTGTGTGTGCTTCATGACGTTCTCATGCTGTGTTTTTCAGCTCCATCAGGTCATTTATGTTCTTCTCTAAACAGGTTATTCTAGTTAGCAATTCATCTAACCTTTTTTCAAGGTTCTTAACTTCCTTGCATTGCATTAGAACATGCTCATTTAGCTCACAGGAGTTTGTTATTACCCACCTTCTGAAGCCTACTTCTGTCAATTTGTCAAACTCATTCTCTGTCCAGTTTTGTTCCCATGCTGGCAAGGAGTTGTGATCCTTTGGAGGAGAAGAGGCATTCTGGT
This sequence comes from Homo sapiens, assembly GCF_000001405.40. Lineage (NCBI taxonomy): Eukaryota > Metazoa > Chordata > Mammalia > Primates > Hominidae > Homo > Homo sapiens. Next base: position 22,565,445 of record NC_000019.10, read on the forward strand.
TTTTGGAGTTTTCAGCCTTTTTACACTGGTTTCTCCCCATCTTCATGGATTTATCTACCTTTGGTATTTGATGTTGGTAATCTTCAGATGGGGGTCTCTGAGTGGACGTCTTTTTTGTTGATGTTGCTACTATTCCTTTCTGTTCGTTAGTTTTCCTTCTAACAGTCAGGCCCCTCTTCTGCAGGTCTGCTGGAATTTGCTGGAGGTCCATTCCAGACCCTGTTTGCCTGAGTATCACCAGTGGAGTCTGCAGAACAGTAAGATTGCTGCCTGTTCCTTCCTCTGGAAGCTTTGTCCCAGAGCGGCACCTGCCAGATGCCAGCAAGAGTTCTCCTGTATGAGGTGTCTGTTGGCCCCTACTGGGAGGCGTCTCCCAGTCAGGACACATGAGTGTCTGGGACCCACTTGAGGAAGCAGCCTGTCCCTTATCAGAGCTTGAATGCTGTGCTGGGAGATCCACTGCTCTCTTAAGAGCTGTGAGGCAGGGATGTTTAAGTCTGCTGAAGTTGTGACCACAGTCACCCCCAGGGAGATGGGGGTTTTATCTATAAGTCCCTGGCTGGTGCCTTTTTAATCAGAGATGCCCTGCCTAGAGAGGCAGACTGGCCTCAGCAGCCTTGCTGGGCTGTGGGGGGCTCCATCCAGTTCAAACTTCCCTGCAGCTTTGTTTATACTGTGAAGGTAAAACTGCCTACTCAAACCTCAGCAATGGCATACGCCCCTCCCCCACCAAGCTTGAGCATCCCAGGTGGACCTCAGACTGCTGTGCTGGCAGCAAGAATTTCAAGCCAGTGGATCTTAGCTTGCTGGGCTCCATAAGGGTGGGACCCACCAAGCCAGGCACCGGAGGGAATCTCCTGGTCTGCTGGTTGTAAAGACCATGGGAAAATTGCAGTATCTGGGCAGGAGTTCACTGTTCCTCCCAGTACAGTCTCTCATGGCTTCCCTTGGCTCGGAACAGGAAATCCCCTGACCCCTTGTGCTTCCTGGGTGAGGTAATGCCCCACCCTGCTTCAGCTCACTCTCCATGGGCTGAACCCACTGTCCAATCAGTCCCAATGAGATGAACTGGGTACCTCAGTTGGAAATGCAGAAATCACCTGCCTTCTGCACTGATCTCACTGGGAGCTGCAGACTGGAGCTGTTCCTATTCACCCATCTTGCCAACAAGTTCCTAGGACTGTCATCTTTTATAGAAAAAAATGCCTTCAGACAGATTGGTTCTGTGACTGTTTATAAGTTTATATTCTAGCCCCATAGACAAATTTTTCAAAAAAGATCCCAACTGTAATAACATTTCTCCCAAGGAGTGATTAAAAACCAAATCTGAATGGACACTACTGTCTTACTAATGGGCTGTGGAAAATGCAATAATGATGCTTGTGAAATTATTAGATTCAGGAATAATGTATTATTCTAGAATTGTGCTAATTCATTTCCCACTTCTGATCATTTGAAGTTTACTTCTCTCTCATTGAAAAGGATTAATGATATGTTTATTAAATAAAGACTAATTTTATTTTATGTTTTTTGTGTTTTTTTTTTTGAGATGGAGTCTCGCTGTCACCCAGGCTAGAGTGCAGTGGCGCGATCTTGGCTCACTGCAGGATCCGCCCCACGGGGTTCAAGCCATTCTCCTGCCTCAGCCTCCCGCATAGCTGGGACTACAGATGCCCGCCACCTCGCCTGGCTAATTTTTTGTATTTTAGTAGAGACGGGGTTTCACCGTGTTAGCCAGGATGGTCTCGATCTCCTGATCTCATGATCCACCTGCCTCCACCTCCCAAAGTGCTAGATTACAGGCGTGAGCCACTGTGCTCGGCCCAAAAAAGACTAATTTTAAAAGAGCTTTGCTGGCTCGACTTTATGTAAAAATAGCATGAAAGAAAAGGAGATAATACCATATTTTATGAAATACCCTCTGAGACTCTTCTTTGTTAAAGAAACAATTTGTAAACTGTCCTGACATTATAAACTCTTTGTCTTCTTAGTCTGACATGAGGGTGCCAAGCTTAGTGATTTGTAGCATGGAAAGATGAGTGCTGTAGCTGGACACTCGTAGTCACACAAAGGTTCTGTTGGTTTGGAAGGTGAGCGTTTCATATTCTTGCCCCACAAGTAAGCCAATGTTCCACCCCAGGGACAAGTATATTTCCTGAATTATGAGAAGGAGCAAGAGAGCATGTCCATCCCATGTTCTTGAGAAGTCCTGGCTCGAGCCAATAAAGCTCATCGTTGTCTGAAAGAATGGAGATCAATTTCAGTCTGCTGTCACACAGACTCTGGCAGCCGGAGATCAACAGGATCTCATAACAGTAAACCTGGTGCTTTCCAGGGCAGAGCCCCAAGTTGCTAACAGCCTCTCAGACTTAAAAAAGTAAGTTCACACAGAACAATTGTATTCTCACAGTCAGCATTGTGATCTTCCTCTGGTTCTTCATATATTTAATAAACCTTTAAAACCAGAATCCTGAGAAATGTCCCATCCCTTCCCACACAAACACATCAGCCTCTTCTACTATGTACTCATACACACTGACCAGCATTTTCTTTTTTATCTTAGGAACTAACAGAATCAAAGATATGGAGTTTTAAGGTTATCTTTTGAAGCAGACCTTTACTTTATGAAGATAATTATTAAAGTATATTGATACTCTGTTGAGGCATATTGCTCCAGGGGTCTTGACATTTTGTTGGTCTAATTATCTGCAGCAAATACGGTATCCAAAGTTCCCAGTGTGGGGAAAAGAAAGAGAGATCAGATTGTTACTGTGTCTGTGTAGAAAGAAGTAGACATAGGAGACTCCATTTTGTTCTGTACTAAGTGTCAGGCCTCTGAGCCCAAGGCAAGCCATCGCATACCCTGTGACTTGCACGTATACACCCAGATGGCCTGAAGTAACTAAAGAATCACGAAAGAAGTAAATATGCCCTGCCCCACCTTAACTGATGACATTCCACCACAAAAGAAGTGTAAATGGCCGGTCCTTGCCTTAACTGATGACATTAACTTGTGAAAGTCCTTTTCCTGGCTCATCCTGGCTCAAAAAGCACCCCCACTGAGCACCTTGCGACCCCCCCTCCTGCCCACTGAGCACCTTGCAACCCCTACTCCTACCCGCCAGAGAACAAACCCCCTTTGACTGTAATTTTCCTTTACCTCCCCAAATCCTATAAAATGGCCCCACCCTTATCTCCCTTCGCTGACTCTCTTTTCGGACTCAGCCCGCCTGCACCCAGGTGAAATAAACAACCATGTTGCTCACACAAAGCCTGTTTGGTGGTCTCTTCACACGGACGCACATGAAATTTGGTGCCGTGACTCGGATTGGGGGACCTCCCTTGGGAGATCAATCCCCTGTCCTCCTGCTGTTTGCTCCATGAGAAACATCCACCTACGACCTCAGGTCCTCAGACCGACCAGCCCAAGAAACATCTCACCAATTTCAAATCTGGTAAGCGGCCTCTTTTTACTCTCTTCTCCAACCTCCCTCACTATCCCTCAAACTCTTTCTCCTTTCAATCTTGGTGCCACACTTCAATCTCTCCCTTCTCTTAATTTCAATTCCTTTCATTTTCTGGTAGAGACAGAAGAGGCATGTTTTATCTGTGAACCCAAAACTCTGGCGCCGGTCACGGACTGGGAAGGCAGCCTTCCCTTGGTGTTTAATCATTGCAGGGACACCTCTCTGATTATACAGTCACATTTCAAGGGTGTCAGACCACACAGGGATGCCTGCCTTGGTCCTTCACCCTTAGCGGCAAGTCCCGCTTTCCTGGGGCAGGGGCAAGTACCCCTCAACCCCTTCTCCTTCACCCTTAGTGGCAAGTCCCACTTTCCTAGGGGGCAAGAAGCCCCCAATTGCTTATTTCCGCAACCCAACCTCTTATCTCTGTGCCCCAATCCCTTATTTCTGCACCCTGACCTCTTATCTCTGTGCCCCAATCCCTTATTTCCATGCCCCAACCCCTTCTTTGCTTTTCTGGAGGGCAAGAACCCCCCGCCCCTTCTCCGTGTCTCTACTCTTTTCTCTGGGCTTGCCTCCTTCAGTATGGGTAAGCTTCCACCTTCCATTCCTCCTTCTCCCTTAGCCTGTGTTCTCAAAAACTTAAAACCTTTTCAACTCACACCTGACCTAAAACCTAAATGCCTTATTTTCTTCTGCAATGCCGCTTGACCCCAATACAAACTCGACAGTAGTTCCAAATAGCCAGAAAATGGCACTTTGAATTTTTCCATCCTGCAAGATCTAAATAATTATTGTCATAAAATAGGCAAATGGTCTGAGGTGCCTGACGTCCAGGCATTCTTTTACACACTCAGTCCCTTCCTAGTCCCTGTGCCCAGTGCAACTCGTCCCAAATCTTCCTTCTTTCCCTCCCACCTGTCCCCTCAGTACCAACCCCAAGCGTCGCTGAGTCTTTCTAATCTTCCTTTTCTACAGACCCATCTGACCTCTCCCTTCCTCCCCAGGCTGCTCCTCGCCAGGCCAAGCTAGGTCCCAATTCTTCCTCAGCCTCCGCTCCTCCACCCTATAATCTTTTCATCACCTCCCCTCCTCACAGCTGGTCCGGCTTACAGCTTCATTCCGTGACTAGCCCTCCCCCACCTGCCCAGCAATTTACTCTTAAAAAGGTGGCTGGAGCGAAAGGCATAGTCAAGGTGAATGCTCCTTTTTCTTTATCCCAAATCAGATAGCGTTTAGGCTCTTTTTCATCAAATATAAAAATCCAGCCCGGTTCATGACTTGTTTGGCAGCAACCCTGAGACACTTTACAGCCCTAGACCCTAAAAGGTCAAAAGGCCGTCTTATTCTCAAAATACATTTTATTACCCAATCTGCTCCTGACATTAAATAAAACTCCAAAAATTAAATTCTGACCCTCAAACCCCGTAACAGGATTTAATTAACTTCACCTTCAAGGTGTACGATAGTAGAAAAAAGTTTCAATTCCTTGCCTCCACTGTGAGACAAACCCCAGCCACATCTCCAGCACACAAGAAGTTCCAAACACCTGAACCGCAGTGGCCAGGCGTTCCTCCAGAACCTCCTCCCACAGGAGCTTGCTACACGTGCCGGAAATCTGGCCACTGGGCCAAGGAATGCCCGCTGCCCGGGATTCCTCCTAAGCTGCGTCCCATCTGTGTGGGACCCCACTGAAAATCGGACTGTTCGACTCACCTGGCAGCCACTCCCAGAGCCCCTGGAACTCTGGCCCAAGGCTCTCTGACTGACTCCTTCCCAGATCTTCTCGGCTTAGCGGCTGAAGACTGACACTGCCCGAACGCCTCGGAAGCCCCCTAGACCATCACGGATGCTGAGCTTTGGGTAACTCTCACAGTGGAAGGTAAGCCAGTCCCCTTCTTAATCAATACACAGGCTACCCACTCCACATTACCTTCTTTTCAAGGGCATGTTTCCCTTGCCTCCATAACTGTTGTGGGTATTGACGGCCAGGCTTCTAAACCTCTTAAAACTCCCCAACTCTGGTGCCAACTTAGACAATACTCTTTTAAGTACTCCTTTTATTTATCCCCACCTGCCCAGTTCCCTTATTAGGCTGAGACACTTTAACTAAATTATCTGCTTCCCTGCCTATTCCTGGACTACAGCTATATCTCATTGCCACCCTTCTTCCCAATCCAAAGCCTCCTTTGCGTCCTCCTCTTGTATCCCCCCACCTTAACCCACAAGTATAACATACCTCTACTCCCTCCTTGGTGACCGATCATGCACCCCTTACCATCCCATTAAAACCTAATCACCCTTACCCCACTCAACGCCAATATCCCATCCTGCAGCACACTTTAAAAAGATTAAAGCCTGTTATCACTCGCCTGCTACAGCATGGCCTTTTAAACCCTATAAACTCTCCTTACAATTCCCCCATTTTACCTGTCCTAAAACCAGACAAGCCTTACAAGTTAGTTCAGGATCTGCACCTTATCCACCAAATTGTTTTGCCTATCCACCCTGTGGTGCCCAACCCGTACACTCTTTTGTCCTCAATACCTTCCTTCACAACTCACTATTCCGTGCTTGATCTTAAAGATGCTTTTTTCACTATTCCCCTGCACCCCTCGTCCCAGCCTCTCTTTGCTTTCACTTAGACTGACCCTGACACCCATTAGGCTCAGCAAATTACCAAGGCTGTACTGCTGCAAAGCTTCACAGACAGCCCCCATTACTTCAATCAAGCCCAAATTTCTTCCTCATCTGTTACCTATCTTGGCATAATTCTCATAAAAACACACGTGCTCTCCCTGCCAATCATGTCTGACCTCTCAAACCCCAGCACCTTCTACAAAACAACAACTCCTTTCCTTCCTAGGCATGGTTAGTGTGGTCAGAATTCTTACATAGCCAGGACCACACCCTGTAGCCTTTCTGTCCAAACAACTTGACCTTACTGTTTTAGCCTAGCCCTCATGTCTGCGTGCAGTGGCTGCCGCTGCTTTAATACGTTTAGAGGCCCTCAAAATCACAAACTATGCTCAACTCACTCTCTACAGTTCTTATAACTTCCAAAATCTATTTTCTTCCTCATACCTGATGCATATACTTTCTGCTTCCTGGCTCCTTCAGCTACACTCACTCTTTGTTGAGTCTCCCACAATTACCATTGTTCCTGGCCTGGACTTCAATCCGGCCTCCCACATTACTCCTGATACCACACCTGACCCCCATGACTGTATCTCTCTGATCCACCTGACATTCACCCCATTTCCCCAAATTTCCTTCTTTCCTGTTCCTCACCCTGATCATGCTTGATTTATTGATGGCGGTTCCACCAGGCCTAATCACCACACACCAGCAAAGGCAGGCTATGCTATAGTATCTTCCACATCTATCATTGAGGCCACTGCTCTGCCTCCCTCCACTACCTCTCAGCAAGCTGAACTAGTTGCCTTAACTCAAGCCCTCACTCTTGCAAAAGGACTACGTGTCCATATCTATATTGATTCTAAATATGCCTTTCATATTCTGCAGCACCATGCAGTCATATGGGCTGAAAAAGGTTTCCTCACTACACAAGGGTCCTCCATCATTAATGCCTCTTTAATAAAAACTCTGCTCAAAGCCGCTTTACTTCTAAAAGAAGCTGGGGACATTCACTGCAAGGGGCATCAAAAGGCATCAGATCCCATTGCTCTAGGCAATGCTTATGCTGATAAAGTGGCTAGACAAGCAGCTAGCTTTCCAACTTCTGTCCCTCACGGCCAGTTTTTCTCCTTCACTTCAGTCACTCCCACCTACTCCCCCACTGAAACTTCCACCTATCAATCTCTTCCCACACAAGGCAAATGGTTCTTAGGCCAAGGAAAATATCTTCTTCTAGCCTCACAGGCCCATTCTATTCTGTCGTCATTTCATAACCTCTTCCATGTAGGTTACAAGCCGCTAGACCGTCTCTTAGAACCTCTCATTTCCTTTCCATCATGGAAATCTATCCTCAAGGAGATCACTTCTCAGTGTTCCATCTGCTATTCTACTACCCCTCAGGGATTGTTCAGGCCTCCTCCCTTCCCTACACATCAAGCTCGGGGATTTGCCCCTGCCCAGGACTAGCAAATTGACTTTACTCTCATGCCTCGAGTCAGAAAACTAGAATATCTCTTAGTCTGGGTAGACACTTTCACTGGATGGGTAGAGGCCTTCCCCACAGGGTCTGAGAAGGCCACCGCGGTCATTTCTTCCCTTCTGTCAGACATAATTCCTCGGTTTGGCCTTCCCACCTCTATACAGTCTGATAATGGACCAGCCTTTACTAGCCAAATCACCCAAGCAGTTTCTCAGGCTCTTGGTATTCAGTGGAAACTTCATATCCCTTACCATCCTCAATCTTCAGGAAAGGTAGAACGGACTAATGGTCTTTTAAAGACACACCTCACCAAGCTCAGCCTCCAACTTAAAACAGAATGGACAGTACTTTTACCTCTTGCCCTTCTCAGAATCAGAGCCTTTCCTCGAGAAGCTACAGGGTACAGTCCATTTGAACTTTCATATGGATGCACTTTCTTGCTTGGCCCCAACCTCATCCCAGGCACCAGCCCTCTAGGTGACTATCTTCCAGTACTCCAGCAGGCTAGACAGGAAATTCACCAGGCTGCTAATCTTCTCTTGCCTACTCCAGATCCCCAGCTATATGAAGACAACCTAGCTGGGCGATCAGTTCTTGTTAAGAATCTGACCCCTCAAACTCTACAACCTCGATGGACCGGACCCTACTTAGTCATCTATAGTACCCTGACTGCCGTCCGCCTGCAGGATCCTCCCCACTGGGTTCACCGTTCCAGAATAAAGCTGTGTCCATCGGACAGCCAGCCTAATCCCTCCTCTTCCTCCTGGAAGTCGCAAGTACTCTCCCCCACTTCCCTTAAACTCACTCGTATTTCTGAAGAACAGTAATAACACTTACGAGCCTAATACATCCCTTCATTCTATTAGGTCTGTTCGTCCTTACCCTACTTTTTGCAACAGGGCTTTAAGAAGTCACCCCACCACTTAGGCCAAGCCCCAAAAAACTAGTCATCCCTACTATCTTCTGTCCGGTCATACTCCTATTCTCCATTCTCAACTACTTATAAATGCTCTACTCTTGTTTACACCGCTGGTTTACACTGTTTTTCCAAGCCATCAAAGCTGATATCTCCTGGTGCTATCCCCAAACTGCCACTCTTAACTCTTGAAGTAAATAAATAATCTTTGCTGGCAGGGCTATGCTGAATCTCCTTAGGCACTCTCTAATTAGATGTCCTAGGTCCTCCCAATTCTTAGTCCTTTTATACCTGTTTTTCTCCTTCTCTTATTCCATTTAGTTTTTCAATTCATATAAAACCGTATCCAGGCCATCACCAATCATTCTATACGACAAATGTTTCTTCTAACATCCCCACAATATCACCCCTTACCACAAGACCTCCCTTCAGCTTAATCTCTCCCACTTTAGGTTACCACGCCGCCCCAATCCCCCTTGAAGCAGCCCTGAGAAACATCGCCCATTCTCTCTCCATATCACCCCCCAAAAATTTTCACCGCCCCAACACTTCAACACTATTTTATTTTTCTTATTAATATAAGAAGGCAGGAATGTCAGCCCTCTGAGCCCAAGCCAAGCCATCGCATCCCCTGTGACTTGCACGTATACACCCAGATGGCCTGAAGTAACTAAAGAATCACAAAAGAAGTGAATATGCCCTGCCCCACCTTAACTGATGACATTCCACCACAAAAGAAGTGTAAATGGCCAGTCCTTGCCTTAACTGATGACATTACCTTGTGAAAGTCCTTTTCCTGGCTCATCCTGGCTCAAAAAGCACCCCCCACTGAGCACCTTGCGACCCCTACTCCTGCCCACTGAGCACCTTGTGATCCCCACTCCTACCCGCCAGAGAACAAACCCCCTTTGACTGTAATTTTCCTTTACCTCCCCAAATCCTATAAAATGGCCCCACCCTTATCTCCCTTCGCTGACTCTCTTTTTGGACTCAGCCCACCTGCACCCAGGTGAAATAAACAGCCATGTTGCTCACACAAAGCCTGTTTGGTGGTCTCTTCACACGGATGCACATGAAACTAAGAAAAATTCTTCTGCCTTGAGATGCTGTTAATCTATAACCTTATCCCCAACCCCATGGTCTCTGAAACATGCTGTGTCCACTCAGGGTTAAATGGATTAAGGGCTGTGCAAGATGTGCTTTGTTAAACAGATGCTTGAAGGCAGCATGCTCCTTAAGAGTCATCACCACTCCCTAATCTCAAGTACCCAGGGACACAAACACTGCAGAAGGCCACAGGGACCTCTGCCTAGGAAAGCCAGGTATTGTCCAAGGTTTCTCCCCATGTGATAGTCTGAAATATGGCCTCGTGGGAAGGGAAAGACCTGACCATCCCCCAGCCCGACACCCATAAAAGTTCTGTGCTGAGGAGGATTAGTATAACAGGAAGGAATACCTCTTTGCAGTTGAGACAAGAGGAAGGCATCTGTCTCCTGCCCGTCCCTGTGCAATGGAATCTCTTGGTATAAAACCCGATTGTATGTTCCATCTACTGAGATAGGGGAAAACAGCCTTAGGGCTGGAGGTGGGACATGCGAGCAACAATACTGCTCTGTAAGGCATTGAGATGTTTATGTGTATGCATATCTAAAGCACAGCACTTAATTCTTTACCTTGTCTATGATGCAGAGACCTTTGTTCATGTGTTTATCTGCTGACCTTCTCTCCATTATTATCCTATGACCCTGCCACATCCCCCTCTCCAAAAAACACCCAAGAATGATCAATAAATACTAAGGGAACTCAGAGGCTGGCGGGATCCTCCGTATGCTGAACGCTGGTCCCCTGGGCCCCCTTATTTCTTTCTCTATACTTTGTCTTTTTCTTTTCCAAGTCTCTCATTCCACCTAATGAGAAACACCCACAGGCATGGAGGGGCAACCCACCCCTTCATCTGGTGCCCAACGTGGGGGCTTTTCTCTAGAGTGAAGGTAGGCTCGAGCGTGGTTATTGAGGACAAGTCGACGAGAGATCCCGAGTACATCTACAATCAGCCTTACGGTAAGCTCGTGCGCTCAGAAGCTAGGGTGACAATGGGGCAAACTCAAAGTAAAACTAAAAGTAAATATGCCTCTTATCTCAGCTTTATTAAAATTCTTTTAAAAAGAGGGGGAGTTAGAGTATCCACAAAAAAAAATCTAATCAATCTATTTCAAACAATAGAACAATTTTGCCCATGGTTTCCAGAACAAGGAACTTTAGATCTAAAAGATTAGAAAAGAATTGGTAAAGAACTAAAACAAGCAGGTAGGGAGGGTAATATCATCCCACTTATAGTATGGAATGATTGGGCCATTATTAAAGCAGCTTTAGAACCATTTCAAACAGAAGAAGATAGCGTTTCAGTTTCTGATGCCCCTGGAAGCTGTGTAATAGATTGTAAAGAAAAGACAGGGAGAAAATCCCAGAGAGAAACAGAAAGTTTACATTGCGAATATGTAGCAGAGCCGGTAATGGCTCAGTCAACGCAAAGTGTTGACTATAATCAATTACAGGAGGTGATATATCCTGAAACGTTAAAATTAGAAGGAAAAGGTTCAGAATTAGTGGGGCCATCAGAGTCTAAACCACGAGGGCCATGTCCTCTTCCAGCAGGTCAGATGCCCGTAATATTACAACCTCAAACGCAGTTTAGAGAAAATAAGACCCAACCGCCAGTAGCTTATCAATAATGGCCGCCAGCCAAACTTCAGTATCGGCCACCCCCAGAAAGTCAGTATGGATATCCAGGAACGCTCCCAGCACCACAGGGCAGGGCGCCATACCCTCAGCCACCCACTAGGAGACTTAATCCTATGGTACCACCTAGTAGACAGGGTAGTGAATTACCAGAAATTATTGATAAGTCAAGAAAGGAAGGAGATATTGAGGCATGGCAATTCCCAATAATGTTAGAACCACCTGGAGAAGGAGCCCAAGAGGGAGAGCCTCTCACAGTTGAGGCCAGATACAAGTCTTTTTCGATAAAAATGCTAAAAGATATGAAAGAGGGAGTAAAACAGTATGGACCCAACTCTCCTTATATGAGGACATTATTAGATTCCATTGCTCATGGACATAGACTCATTCCTTATGATTGGGAGATTCTGGCAAAATCGTCTCTCTCACCCTCTCAATTTTTACAATTTAAGACTTGGTGGATTGATGGGGCACAAGAACATGTCTGAAGAAATAGGGCTGCCAATCCTCCAGTTAACATAGATGCAGATCAACTATTAGGAACAGGTCAAAATTGGAGCACTATTAGTCAACAAGCATTAATGCAAAATGAGGCCATTGAGCAAGTTAGAGCTATCTGCCTTAGAGCCTGGGAAAAAATCCAAGACCCAGGAACTGCCTGCCCCTCATTTAATACAGTAAGACAAGGTTCAAAAGAGCCCTACCCTGATTTGGTGGCAAGGCTACAAGATGTTGCTCAAAAGTCAATTGCTGATGAAAATGCCTGTAAGGTCATAGTGGAGTTGATGGCATACGAAAACGCCAATCCTGAGTGTCAATCAGCCATTAAGCCATTAAAAGGAAAGGTTCCCGCAGGATCAGATGTAATCTCAGGTATGTAAAAGCCTGTGATGGAACTGGAGGAGCTAGCATAAAGCTATACTTATGGCTCAAGCAATAGCGGGAGTTGTTTTAGGAGGACAAGTTAGAACATTTGGAGGGAAATGTTATAATTGTGGTCAAATTGGTCATTTAAAAAGAATTGTCCAGTCTCAAGTAAACAGAATATAACTATTCAAGCTACTACGACAACAGGTAAAAAGCCACCTGACTTATGTCCAACATGTAAAAAAGGAAAACATTGGGCTAGTCAATGTCGTTCTAAATTTGATAGAAATGAGCAACCATTGTCGGGAAACAAGCAAAGGGGCTAGCCTCAGGCCCCACAACAAACTGGGGCATTCCCAATTCAGCCCTTTGTTCCTCAAGGGTTTTCAGGGACAACAACCCCCACTGTCCCAAGTACCTCAGGGAATAAGCCAGTTACCACAATACAACAATTGTCCCCCACCACAAGCAACAGTGCAGCAGTAGATTTATGTACTATACAAGCAGTCTGTCTGCTTCCAGGGGAACCCCCACAAAAAATCCCCACAGGGGTATACGGCCCGCTGCCTGAGGGGACTGTAGGACTTGTCTTGGGAAGATCAAGTCTAAATCCAAAGGGAGTTCAAATTCATACTGGTGTGGTTGATTCAGACTATAAAGGTGAAATTCAATTGATTATTAGCTCTTCAATTCCTTGCAGTGCCAGTCCAGGAGACAGGATTTCTCAATTATTACTCTTGACTTACATTAAGGTTGGAAATAGTGAGATAAAAAGAACAGGAGGATTTGGAAGCACGGATCTGACAGGAAAGGCTGCATATTGGGCAAGTCATGTCTCAGAGAACAGAACTGTGTGTAAGGCCGTTATTCAAGGAAAACAGTTTGAAGGATTAGTAGACACTGGACCAGATGTCTCTATCATTGCCTTAAATCAGTGGCCAAAAAATTGGCCTAAACAAAAGGTTGTTACGGGGCTTGTCAGCATAGGCACAGCCTCAGAAGTGTATCAAAGTACTAGGATTTTACATTGTTTAGGGCCAGATAATCAAGAAAGTACTTCCCATGCTAAAAAACATTTATTATCTTGTTTTGCTGTAATGGGAGTTCCAGAAAAAATTAAAACTGACAATGGACCAGGATATTGTAGTAAAGCTTTCCAAAAATTCTTACATCAGTGGAAAATTTCACATACAACAGGAATTCCCTATAATTCCCAAGGACAGGTCATAGTTGAAAGAACTAATTGAACACTCAAAACTCAATTAGTTAAACAAAAAGAAGGGGGAGACAGTAAGGAGTGTGCTACTCCTCAGAGGCAACTTAATCTAGCACTCTATACTTTAAATTTTTTAAACATTTATAGAAATCAGACTACTACTTCTGCAGAACAACATCTTACTGGTAAAAAGAACAGCCCACATGAAGGAAAACTGATTTGGTGGAAAGATAATAAAAATAAGACATGGGAAATAGGGAAGGTGATAACGTGGGGGAGAGGTTTTGCTTGTGTTTCACGAGGAGAAAATCAGCTTCCTGTTTGGATGCCCACTAGACATTTGAAGTTCTACAATGAACCCATCGGAGATGAAAAGAAAAGCGCCTCCATGGAGATGGAAACACCACTCACATGGATGGATAATCCTATTGAAGTATATGTTAATGATAGTGTATGGGTACATGGCCCCACAGATGATCGCTGCCCTGCCAAACCTGAGGAAGAAGGGATGATGACAAATATTTCCACTGGGTATCATTATCCTCCTATTTGCCTAGGGAGAGCACTAGGATGCTTAATGCCTGCAGTCCAAAATTGGTTGGTAGAAGTACCTACTGTCAGTCCCATCAGTAGATTCACTTATCACATGGTAAGTGGGATGTCACTCAGGCCACGGGTAAATAATTTACAAGACTTTCCTTATCAAAGATCATTAAAATTTAGACCTAAAGGGCAACCTTGCCCCGAGGAAATTCCCAAAGGATCAAAAAATACAGAAGTTTTAGTTTGGGAAGAATGTGTGGCCAATAGTTCAGTAATATTACAAAACAATGAATTCAGAACTATTATAGATTGGACATCTGGAGGTCAATTCTACCACAATTGCTCAGGGCAAACTCAGTCGTGACCCAGTGCACAAGTGAGTCCAGCTGTTGATAGCGACTTAACAGAAAGTTTAAACATTTCTGGTCATGAACATCCAAAATTATGGAGGCTTACTGTAGCCTCATACCACATTAGGATTTGATCTGGAAATCAAACTTTAGAAACAAGAGATCATAAGCCATTTTATACTATCGATCTAAATTCCAGTCTAACGGTTCCTTTACAAAGTTTCATAAAGCCCCCTTATATGCTAGTTGTAGGAAATATAGTTATTAAACCAGACTTTCAAACTATAACCTGTGAAAACTGTAGATTGATTACTTACATTGATTCAACTTTTAATTGGCAGCACCGTATTCTGCTGGTGAGAGCAAGAGAAGGCGTGTGGATCCCTGTGTCCATGGACCGACCATGGGAGGCCTCGCCATCCATCCATATTTTGACTGAAGTATTAAAAGGCATTTTAAATAGATCCAAAAGATTCATTTTTACTTTAATTGCAGTGATTATGGGATTAATTGCAGTCACAGCTACGGCTGCTGTGGCAGGAGTTGCGTTGCACTCTTCTGTTCAGTCAGTAAACTTTGTTAATGATTGGCAAAAGAATTCCACAAGATTGTGGAATTCACAATCTGGTATTGATCAAAAATTGGCAAATCAAATTAATGATCTTAGACAAACTGTCATTTGGGTGGGAGACAGACTCATGAGCTTAGAACATCATTTCCAGTTACGATGTGACTGGAATATCTCAGATTTTTGTATTACACCCCAAATTTATAATGAGTCTGAGCATCACTGGGACATGGTTAGATGCCATCTACAGGGAGGAGAAGATAATCTCACTTTAGACATTTCCAAATTAAAAGAACAAATTTTCAAAACATCAAAAGCCCATTTAAATTTGGTGCCGGGAACTGAGGCAATCGCAGGAGTTGCTGCTGGCCTCTCAAATCTTAACCCTGTCACTTGGGTTAAGACCATTGGAAGTACTACTATTATAAATTTCATATTAATCCTTGTGTGGCTGTTTTGTCTGTTGTTACTCTGCAGGTGTACCCAACAGCTCCGAAGAGACAGCGACCATCCAGAACGGGCCATGATGACGATGGTGGTTTTGTCGAAAAGAAAAGGGGGAAATGTAGGGAAAAGAAAGAGAGATCAGATTGCTACTGTGTCTGTGTAGAAAGAAGTAGACATAGGAGACTCCATTTTGTTCTGTACTAAGAAAAATTCTTCAGCCTTGAGATGCTATTAATCTGTAACCCTACCCCCAACCCTGTGCTCCCTGAGACATGTGCTGTGTCAACTCAGGGTTAAATGGATTAAGGGCTGTGCAGGATGTGCTTTGTTAAACAGATGCTTGAAGGCAGCATGCTCCTTAAGGGTCATCACCACTCCCTAATCTCAAGTACCCAGGGACACAAACACTGTGGAAGGCTGCAGGGACCTCTGCCTAGGAAAGCCAGGTATTGTCCAAGGTTTCTCCCCATGTGATAGTCTGAAATATGGCCTCGTGGGAAGGGAAAGACCTGACCGTCCCCCAGCCCGACACCCGTAAAGGGTCTGTGATGAGGAGGATTAGTATAAGAGGAAGGAATGCCTCTTTGCAGTTGAGACAAGAGGAAGGCATCTGTCTCCTGCCTGTCCCTGGGCAATGGAATGTCTCAGTATAAAACCCGATTGTATGTTCCATCTACTGAGATAGGGGAAAACAGCCTTAGGGCTAGAGGTGGGACATGCGGGCAGGAATACTGCTCTTTAAGGCATTGAGATGTTTATGTATATACATATCTAAAGCACAGCACTTAATTCTTTACCTTGTCTATGATGCAGAGACCTTTGTTCACGTGTTTACCTGCTGACCTTCTCTCCACTATTATCCTATGACCCTGCCACATCCCCCTCTCCGAGAAACACCCAATAATGATCAATAAATACTAAGGGAACTCAGAGGCTGGTGGGATCCTCCGTATGCTGAACGCTGGTCCCCTGGGCCCCCTTATTTCTTTCTCTATACTTTGTCTCTGTGTCTTTTTCTTTTCCAAGTCTCTCGTTCCACCTAACGAGAAACACCCACAGGTGTGGAAGGGCAACCCACCCCTTCATGTAATGTCCATTTAAATCCATAATAAATGGTATGCCCAGCCTGGCACGGGCTATTGATGAGTCTTTTGAGGGCTGGCATACATGCAACCCACTCACCTTACCCTTACCTCCTTGCCAACTTCCCTGTATTGCCTTATTACTCAGTCAGACTACACCCAGTCTCAGAAAAACAAGGAAAAGTGAAGGAAACATTGTCGATGACTGAGTCAGGGGTTAATTGGTCTCTTATCATTTAAACATGAAGGAAAGAATGTGAAAGAAGAAAATGATAGACAAGTAAAATTCTCTAGATCAATCCTGGAGATAATTGTGTAAAACTTTGCCAAGTATTTACCTAGTTACAAGTGCTAATCACTTTCACGTAAAAAGCCTTAATAAACTCTACACAGCACATTATTTTGAATCCACTAAAATCTAAATCTGAACTGTGTTAGATCTCTTCTTTCTAAAAAGTTTGATATACAGACCTGTATTACATTTAAAGAACACTGTGAGAAATTCAAAAATACTGAGACATTGATGAGCTGGGCACTTGGCTCAGGCTCCTATGAGACTTACGATTTCAAATTTGCTCCATCAGGCTAATTAAAGGGAGCCTGAAAAAAAAGCAAAATGGACTAAATTGGGAAGTCTTAGGATATATTTTAAGCTGGGTTATTTAACCATCTCTTGTTTGAAAGAAATCTAGTAATAAGAATGAAAATTGTGTAATGGATTTTTTTTTTTGTAGGCATCTTGTTTTTATTGAACAGATAGACTCTATTGATTTTGATCATAAAATAAATTTCTATAAGGGAAAGACTATTTTCCCTCACTGACCTCTATTCTAAATCAGAGAAGTAGTCCCAGAGAAAAATAATAATACGATGGTAAGTGAGAATAGCATCTCCTTTCAAAAAAATATAACTCAAGAAGGGCCTACAACTACCTTTCTCCTAGATCATAATGTTACAGTCTAAGAGGTAGGGTTTTCTAATGTATTTCCACCATATATTACACAAGTAAAATTTAATTTGGAGCAATAGGTTCTATTCTCTGGATGAGGTAATCCTACCATTGATTTATTCAGTAAATATTTTTATAATGTCTAATAACACCGTGTACTTGAGGAAATTAAATAAATTAGGTTCTTGACAGTCTCTATATAGCAAACACACAGTGGAATGTCAAATAAACAATATTTATTAAATATATACAATATAAATTCAGTATTATTCCAAGACTGTAGGGTTGGTGGAAGAAGTACGGAGAAATAAAAGAAGATTGAGTTCTTAGATTATGAAATTAACAAACTTGAATATCATGCAGTATTTTTTGGAGGCATCATGTACAGATTGAAGAATCCCATCAGGTGTTTAGCAAAATGAATGAAAAGTAAAGAGCATAATATAAAATAAAAGGTCAAATTTAATTATCCATATATATTATATTAATAAATAAATGGTATAGAAATCACCTATTATAACACAAAGACTCTCAGAGTGGACACAGAGTAAAATATAAGTAAATGTAGCATATGAGTCATTTACAACAAAGTGACTTATAAAGCCCTTTAGAAATTTTAAAATATGGTTCCTGAAATTAAAAAATAATAATAATACCATGGTTGGAAGATAAAGTCAAGGTACCATGATAAAATTAAAGGAAAATGAAAATGCTCAATAAATGTCCAGGTCATTGAATTAAAACACACACACATACACACATACACACACACACACGAAAGTAGGTCAAATTCAAAGGTACCAGACAACAGATATTCTAATAACAACATGGGCTGCTAAAATACAAAGAAGTGCTTTCAAAATTCCAGGAGAAAATAATTTCAATTTCAATTTCTGGAATCAAATGTGGTAGAATGAAGTATTTTGGTGTCTCATAAAATCTATCTCCTACGTACACTTTCTTAGAAAACTACTGGTAGATGTAATACAGTAAAGCAATGGCTTAAACTAAGAAAGAGGAAGACATGTTTTCCAAACATAATAGCTCCAACTACAAAGCCTAAATATGTCCTAGGATGACACCAGGGCAGCAAGGCTAGAGAGAAACCAGCACAAATTGGAGAAGGGTGGAAGATTTCAGGAAAGAGGACTTCAGGAATTGTTAAAATAGATGATATGATAAAACATTCTGATACAATTAAGGATATACGGAAAACAATAAGAGAATCAACAACAGTGATAATGGTTAACGTATATCGAACTAATTGTTAAAATAGATGATATAATTAAACATTCCAATATAATTAAGGATATATGGAAAACAAGAGAAACAACAGTGATAATGGCTAACATACATTGGTAGAGAGAATTATGCAACTAAAAACATTATACAAGGACTCAATTATTAAATTTAGGGAAAAATGCTTTATAAAATGGAAAAATGATTTGGCATACACTAGTTGCGCCTACCATTACCAAAATACATATAGTAATAATAAGATGAGTAATGATAGATTTAACTAAAAATACTGAGGTCACTGACTTTAGGAAGATGGTATGAAGAAAAGAATGGAATTTGAAAGAGCAATGTTTTCATTTATTGTAATAGGAAATTAATATATAATGTCCAGAATTGGTAATTCAAATAAAAGCAATGTAAGAATATTGTTTCTAAATGTTAAAACAACTACCAGAAGAAACAGTTAAGAGTTAAAGGGATTGCCACACAGAGTATGACTGTGTATCAGACTGGGTTTTTGTAAAAATTATAAAACCGCCAGAGATAATTTACTTTTTAAAATTATTAAATGTACTTGGTTTATTTAAAATGTTTAGTAAAGTAAAAGGTATGCATTACAAAATAAAGAAAGAACTAAGTGGTACTTTCAAAGATCTCCATTACTTAAAACACTTGCTCCAGCTGTTTTTACTCTATGACATACACTGAAGTGTGTTTGCTAATTCCTGAGGTATAAATAGTCCCATTACAGTTTATTTCAAGCTACTAACATGACATCACAGAATGTGGAGTTGAGAAGAGATGCAAAGTAACACACCATTATTATAGTAACTTCATCATACAGATACAGTAAATGTGAATAACCTTAAGAGCACAGATAATACCAAAATATAGTAAAATTATTAGGAAATGATGAGTTTTGTGTATCTATTAACTTTATTTTTAATATAATTTATTTGTTTATAAAATTTAGTTTTTTAATGGTTGTATGGAAAGCATGTAAAGTTTTCAGAAATTTAACAATCGTCCCTCAGAAGCCTATATGAGCCAGCTTCAGCTTACAGCTAATATTGAGATGCCCACCATATTCCTGTGGAGTGGGATGGGATATTAGCTGGCTGGCTGGCTGGCTGGATGGATGGATAAATGGATGGATGGATGGATGGATGGATGGATGGATGGATGGATGGATGGATGGATGATTAGTCAAAATGTAACTAACAGAAATGATTAACCACCCAATAGGCAATTCTCAGGACTGAGTTTCCTCTTCTGTGATTAATACCTTAAAATTCAAAGACAACCTACCCATAATGATAGTCGCTCTGTGTGGTGGCTTTAGTCAAGCGTTGTTCATTGTTGTTTTATAAAAAGCACAATTGGTTATTTTCTGACACTTTTGGCCACATTTTTTTTTTTTTTTTTTTTTTGAGACGGAGTCTCGCTCTGTCGCCTAGGCCGGACTGCGGACTGCAGTGGCGCAATCTCGGCTCACTGCAAGCTCCGCTTCCCGGGTTCACGCCATTCTCCTGCCTCAGCCTCCCGAGTAGCTGGGACTACAGGCGCCCGCCACCGCGCCCGGCTAATTTTTTTTTTTTGTATTTTTAGTAGAGACGGGGTTTCACCTTGTTAGCCAGGATGGTCTCGATCTCCTGACCTCATGATCCACCCGCCTCGGCCTCCCAAAGTGCTGGGATTACAGGCGTGAGCCACCGCGCCCGGCCGGCCACATTTACATAAAGTAAAATTTGGATGTTTCATCAAGTAGAATATCAACAAATCTAAAGAAATTATCAATAATTATCAGTTACCATAAATCTGGGCCTAGAGTGAATATTTACCTGAATTACCTGATGAAACTATGTTAGAATTAAGTTCTTCAAGTAAATTACAAGCACTTGTGGGCAGATTTTGTGTCTGGTTTGTTTTTCTAACTTCCTTAGCACCAATACAATGTTTAAAACTAGATTGGAATATACCACTCAATATTACAGTTATTTTTATGTTTTTGTCTTCTGATAACTATGGGATCTACTTGAGGGTGAAATTTTCATCTTGTCAAATCTATACACCAATGCCTAGTTTATATTAACCTCTCACTAAATATTAGTTCGGTTAGATTGAAGAGTGTCCAATACATATATATTGAATTAAATTAATTAGACTAGATCAGAATTTAATTTGATGTCATCTTAGCATAATCCTAAAAAAGCTATCAAACAGGCTAAGTTTTGTGTCATTAGGTAGTATAATGTATACAAGGGTGGATTCAAATTCCAGCTCATTTCTTATGAGCTTCCAGATCTTCATCAAGTATGTAATCTCTATAAACTTCATTTTCCCCACGCTAACAAGTAGATAATATGGTTGTTATGATTAAATCCATACAAAGTACTTAGCATAATACCTGGCACACAGTAAGCTCTTAATAAATGTTTGCTGTTATATTGCTATGCTTTATGCTCTAGATAAATCTGAAATGTGCTTATAATATATGATTTGCCTGAAGGGTGACCTAGGTCTTTAAAACAGTGACACATTTGCAATTGACCATCACAGGGCTTCTCACAAAATTGAACTTTATAATGCCATCGGATTGTCATAGTTTCCCTTCTAGAAAGGGAACCTATGATTCATTAAGCTAAATCAAGACTAAGTATCAAGTGACTATTGCCTTTTGATTTGTTTTCTTGCCTTAGGTTTGCCTTGATGATCTGGCATGTTAATAGAAGCCACGTATTGGTCTCTGTGTTATCTCATTGGATTTCCTGCCGACCATGGAGATTGACGGGTTTTATTAGCCCTCACAGGAAAACTGATTCTCAAAGTCAAAAATCTCAAGCATAGAATACAAGATATGGACCCATCGATCCCCACTACAAAAAGCCTTTCCTAGTACAGACTACTGCCTCTCAAAGATTGCGTTTCTCATCTCACTTTTCTTACCAAGATTTCTCCCTTGAAAAATCCAGGGAAATCAATTATGTGTGTTCATTCCTGATCCTCAGTTGTTAACATAAAGTTGTATACTGAGGCAAATTTAAAACATAGCTGAAAATCCTTTGACATTGATACGGTTTGACTCTGTGTCCCCAAACAAATCTCACCTCGAATTGTAATTCCCATAATCCCACATGTCAAGGGCGGGACCAAGTGGAGGTAATTGGATCATGAGGGTGGTTTCTCCCATGCTGTTCTTGTGATAGTGAGTGAGTTCTCACAAGATCTGATGGTTTTATGGGCATCTGGCATTTCCCCTGCTTGCACTCACTGACTCTGTCCTGCCACTCTGTGAAGAAGGTGCCTTGCTTCCCCTTCACCTTCTGCTATGATTGTAAGTTTCCTGAGGCCTCCCCAGCCATGCTGAACTGTGAGTCAATTATACCGTTTTCCTTTATAAATTACTCACCCCCACCTACCACCTTTTAGATAATGCTGTGGGACATAAAGACTTAGAATTCTCTCTTCAAAGGGCTTGGATATGGCTTCCAGGGTTCATGTTTCTCTCCTCCAGTTCTGTCTTTCATGGTGAGCCATGTATAGAGAGCGCACAACTAGAGGCCCTGTGGGCCAATGCAAAGCTGTTTACCAGAGGTACAGTGGTAGACTGAGCTTGGACATATCCACAGAGGTACCCAAAATGTGTACACACAAGGCCTGTCATGGTGTGAGACCACATTGGGGGACCAGCTCTCCCCATGCCCTTATATTCTGGTACTGGACTTTGAGGGCCCAAGAATTCCAGCTCTAAACTTGAATTTCATTAGGAAGCTACATGTGTCAAAGTGGGAAAACAAAGCATACTTAACAGTTTGTTAACATGATTTATAACTTTTAAATATTTAAACATGTACTATATAGGTTTTTATTATTATTCTTGCCCTAGGCCTTAAGAATGTTAAGTGTAAGACAATTAAATACTTTATTAGATATAAGAATGCAAGCACAGATACTCAGAAACTTAAATATAAGTCTCAAACTAGTCCTTACTTTTAAAAAATAATGATATATTCCATTTAACATCATATTTAGAGTGGATCCATTATGGCATCATGACATCTTTGCTGGTTCAGTTACAATTGAACAAAGTATTGGGCCTGACATCAACACTATTTCTCAAAATGCTAAAGATATAAAAGTGTGGGACAGATATGTCTTATGCTTATTTTGTAACATAACTATTCATTGCATATATCCAAACATCACTACATACTCCATAAGATTTAGTCTTATTTACAATTATTTAGTTGTTTACCTAATATTTGCTATGTAATACACACACACAGGCACACACCTACACACACATATGTGCACACATACACACATGTGCACACATATATATTTCAAATACAAACCATAAGAAGCAGCCAGGATGAATCCAGAGGACATTATGTTAAGCAAAATAAGCTAAGAACAGAAAGTTAAATAGTGCATGTTCTCACCGTATGTGGATGCTAAAAAATAGAAGATCTCATGGAAGGAAAAAGTAGAACAGAGGATACTAGAGGCTGGAGAGGTGGGTGAGAGATGGATAAGGAGAGATTTGTCAAAAAATACAAAATTACAGCTAGACAGGAGAAATAAGTTCTAGTGTTCTATAGCACTGTGAGATGACTATAGTTGACAATAATATATAGCTTCAAATTGCTAGAAGGAGTATATTGAATGTTCCCATCACAAAGAAATGATAAATGTTTGACATGATGCATATGCTAATTAATCTCTTAACTATTCATTGTATGTATCCGAACATCACTACATACCCCATAAATATGTACAATTATTATATGTCAATTAAAAAAATAAAATAATTAAGAAAAAATTGCAAAAGATTAAATAACTGTAACAGTAGATTTGTGCTCTCAAATATTAAAGCATTCTATAAATTTACATAGAATGGGGGTAGATATATAAAAATTAAAAATAATTGAAATGGAATCTGGGTGATAGATTGACAATACTACTCTTAATATTAAGAATAGTATAGCTGAACCAAAGTTTAACATGTTCAAACCTTTACATAAATGTATCCTCTCTAAACGATTTGACCCTGCTTATGGATAATTAAGGTTGTAATATTTTGGACATAAACGCCTGTTTACTTATACCAGAATATATCAGCAATTATAATTAAAATGATCTTACATATTATTTGTCATATCAGGACTCATACTATTTTTATTATGCTGAAGGTATATGGTGAATTTTTTATTTTTTTTTTTTGAGATGGAATCTCGCTTTGTTGCCAGGCTGGGGTGCAATGGCGCGATCTTGGCTCACTGCAACCTCTGCCTCCCAGGTTCAAGCAATTCTCCTTCCTCAGCCTCCCAAGTAGCTGGGATTACAGGCACATGCCATCACACTCAGCTAATTTTTGTATTTTTAGTAGAGATGAGGTTTCACCATGTTGGCCAGGCTAGTCTCAAACTCCTGACCTTGTGATCCACCCGCCTTGGCCTCCCAAAGTGCTGGGATTACAGGTGTGAGCCACTGCGCCTGGCCGCTTTTTTATCACTATGATTTACTCATCTACCTTTTTACAAAAAGAAAATGAGATCTCAGTAACAACTGGCAGCACTATGTTCCTCTGATGTATATGAAATATTTAAGTTCTAGGCTTGCTCAGGTATAAGCAGAGTATTCATAATGTCATCGTTTACATAAAGTATAAATGCACAACACCAGGAATACTTCAAAGACAAAAAGCAGAAATTATGCTTTAATGTATTATTACAGGAAATGTTGGTATCTTGTGCATTTGTGATTTGGAGCATTGAATGTTTATGACATGTTTCACTTGCCAATTTTCTGTCTTTATTTGGTAGCAGCCATTTATTCTTGAATCTTATTAATACATTTACATTCAGTGTATTGTTTATTTCATTTCATAAACTATGACACCTGAGCGAAAATGACTGGGTTTCTTAATCTGTACAAATCAGGGAGGACTTACAGGACATGGAAGCTGATTTGTACAGTATCCAAAGTATCCATTAGCAAGCAAGCTCATAGGGTTGTTGTAAGGATTAAAAGAGAAACCCTTATAGTCAATGCTACATATTATTATTATTATTATTTTTACTTTTTTTTTTTTTAGACAGAGTCTTGCTCAGTCACCAGGCTGGAGTGCAGTGGCATGCTCTCAGCTCACTGCAACCTCTGCCTCCCGGGTTCAAGCGATTCTCCCGCCTCAGCCTCCCGAGTAGCTGGGACTACAGGCGAGAGCCACCATGCCCAGCTAATTTTTGTATTTTTAGTAGAGATGGGGTTTCACCATGTTGGCCAGGATGGTCTCGATCTCTTGACCTCGTGATCCCCCCGCCTTGGCCTCCCAAAGTGCTGGGATTACAGGCATGAGCCACCGCACCCTGTCTTATCTCTTTTTTATAAACAAATATGAGATCTTTAAACGCATACTGTCTCTAGATTCCCTTGGTTGTGCTGTTTGTATATTTGGTGTCCCATGTGAAGTGCTTAGAACCAGACCTGATACTAAGCAAGAGCTTAATGGGTGATATTATTATTACTGCTGTTATTATGGTTCTGAAATTGTAGTTCTCTGGGTCAGTGGCTAAAAGTGGTTGGAGGAAGTCTTGTTAAAGTATAACAAAATTTACTATCTTTCCTGTTTGCAGGAAATCTGGAAAGTATTTGCCACTGATTAGGAAAGCTTTTTTTAGTATAATACATCCATCACTGAATGGGAAAGCAGGAAGGGGATCTGCCAATGATATGTAAGAAAATACTGTGGGTTAAAAAATTATCTTGGTGTGAAATACAGAGTTTTATGCGTTAACTTTTCTCTATTAATTCAGGAAATTGTTTTCTGGAAATAAATAACATTTACAGACAATTGAAAGTATTGATAGAACCACACAGTTGTTTCAAGCTATGTATGACCATCTATTAACATTCCGGGTGATAAATTTGGTCATAATTTTTATTTGTCATTGAGGATGCACCATCCAATGAGATTACCATTTAATGATTAAATATCCAATATGACTTATTTTATGAAATGATATAGCATTTCCTATTTAGTAAGGTAACACGGAAACTTATCTAGTATAAGACAAAAACCAGGCCCAATATATAAAATAATACATAATACTTGCTGTTAAAAGCTGAGAGAATCTTTCAGTACTGGAAGGCATTGCCTCTCTAAATTTAAGCCGAGAAATTGTTACCATAGCAACTCGCCTCTTATGTAGTTGTATTATTTTGTTCCCTTCATAAAAATTGCTATGTATTATCACTCTGTAAATAGAGACGATATGTTTAAATGCATATAATATCTGCTTTTCCTTAGTTGTGGAAAAGTTTATAATTCAGGTGAGTGACCATAGCAGAGAATGTCACCCAGGAACAGGAACATAGAGTGGGTTCTTGACATTTGTCTGGGGTACATCTGACAACCTTTACAAATTCCAAATTTGAGAATACTACTGTGGCACACCATTTTTCTGGAATTTCAATGTGCACCAAGAGGGGAGGAACATAAAGCTACATGCTCATGGAGATGTTGGGTTCCTCATTGGTTGCCCTTCCTGTACCAGCCAGCATCCTATTCTGGTGGACCAGCCTTGCACAGAGTTTGTCAATCACATTTGTATCCCAGCAACATTACACGTTACTTCGTGACATAAACCTGTGGGGTTGCTCAAGAAGAGAACTGAATCTGAAAATGCCTGAGTGACGACTAGATATGGAATTTGGCAGGGTACTGTTTAGAATGGGATCTAATCTCTGTTCTGCAGATTTAAAGTGCATTAAGGTTAAAGAATTTGACTAAGTCACAGAGTGTCTCAGTTTTTTCGTCTTCATGGTGTAGACGTTAGCTGAATGGACTGTGGAGCCTGACTCCTAGCAGTGGCATTTACTAGCTATGTCAACTTGGATAAGATACTTGGCATTTCTGTGCCTCTATTTCCACCTTTAAAATGGGAATTATGGGGAAGGAAGTGAGAGGGAGAGATATGTTAAAGCAGCGATCCTCAACCTTTTTGGCACCAGGGACTGGTTTTGTGGAAGACAAATTTTCCTTGGATGGGGATGGGGATGGTTTTGGGATGAAACTGTTTCACTTCAACTCATCAGGCGTTAGTTAGATTCTCATAAAGAGAACATAACCTGGACCCCTCCTATGTGCAGTTCACAATAGGGTTCACACTCCCACAAGAATCTAAAGCTGCAGCTGATCTGACAGGAGGTAGAGCTCAGGTGGGAATGCGGGCAATGGGGAGCAGCTGTGAACATAGATGAAGCTTCACTCACTCGCCCGCCCCCTGCTCACCTCCTGCTGTGTGGCCGGTTCCTAATAGGCCATAGACAGGGACTGGTCCATGGCCAGGAGGTTGGGGATCCCTGTGTTAAAGGATACAAAATTATAGCTAGATAGGGGAAATCAGTGCTAGGGTTCTATACCACAGTAGGGTGTCTACAGTTAACAATAATATGTGTTTCAAATAGCTAGAAGGAGGATATTAAATGCTCCCAACACAGAGAAATGATGGCTGTTGGAGATGCTGGATATCCTAATTTCCCCAATCTGATCTCTATACATTGTATGTAATAAAACATTACTATGTACCCCATGAATATGTACAATTATTATTTGTCAACTTAAAAAATGTCAAAAACCATACTAAATAAATAAAATGGGAATTATAATTTTACCTTATATGGCTGTAGTGCGAAAACCACGAGTGAATGCATAATGTACTCAATAAATGTTAGCCATGATCATAATGATAAATTTTACTCTGACCTTGAAAAATTCCCAAAGCTATGGTGACATTTTTATGAACAGGTAGCAGGGGAGTGTTTGCATGTGATCAAGGGTGAGTATAAAAGTATGTCTTTGGTATATATTCATTCATTTGGTCAATTGACATTCAAGAAGTATTTATTGAGTGTTAATTATCTGTTAGGCACTGAGAATACAACAGGAAACCAGGTATATTTAGTGCCTGTCACCAGAGAGATTATAGTTTAGAAAGGTATATCGAAAAATAAATACAAGATTATAAATAGTATGGTTAAGTTAGGGAAGGTACAGGGTGCTCCAGGAGGACAACGATATAAACACTAATGTGTTTTGAAATAAGATTTATAACTTTGCTACTCATCGTGTGTATCATGGACCAAGAGTACAGACATCACTTAGGAGCTTGTAAGGAATGCAGAATCTCAGGCTACGCCCTGCACCACTGAAATAGAATCTGCTTTTTAGCAAGATTTTTAGGTGATGTATACTGTATGCAATTAAAGTTTGAGAAGCACAGATTTTAAACAGAATGAGCAAAACCATAAGACAATTGAAGCATTTGTAAAATTACCTCAGGGCTAATTAAGAAAAAATATTTCTTGAGTACCTACTATGTGCAAGGCCTTGATGCAAGGTGGATAGAGTCTCAGCTGGGCAAGTGTTTGTGGATTCTCCATGGCTCAAGGCACATATAACAGCCCTAAGGAAAATAATCCATCCTGTGTGGTTCTTAGCTCCTGGGCCTGGCTCACTGACCACACACAGCTATTTGAAAAGTCTGGTTTTCAGAGAAGACTGTATTATGTAAAAATTAAGTCCTGTTTTAATAAACTTGAGACACTATCAAACCCTGAATTATATTCAACCTTCATGGAACGGGAGCATATAATATAACACAAGGAAGAGGCTTATATAATGAAATGTATTTAAAGTAATTGGTCTGTGGAAAGTTGCATTTGGAAACCACAAATTTAGAAGGAAGAAAGTAATACAGAAAGATATATCTTATTACTTCCAAATGCCCCTATGACTTGGATGTTATTGTTTCAAATTTAGGAATGAGGATGAGGAAACTGGGACATAGAGAGTTTGGAAACCTGCCTTGGGTTACACGAGTTGGGCCAGGATTTGAAGTGTTGCTCTGTGAGTGGCTGGTTTCAGGAGGGAAGTTCAGAATAGCTGAAGTGCATGATGTGGATGGATGAAGGTTGTTAGAGGAGGGAAGTGGGGAACTGATGAGGAATGAGGTTGGGGAACTGATGAGGAATGAGGTTGGGGAACTGATGAGGAATGAGGTTGGAAAGGAAGGATGTAGAAGTCAGATTCCAAAGGGCCTTGCAAGTCTCATAAAGGAGCAGCTTGAATATGACTTAAATGGTAGCCATCCTATCCAAACTTCAAATTCCTGCTTTAAAGTATTTCTGGAGCTCCTTCATCTTGCTTGATGTAGTGAAGAATATAGTCCTGGCTCAGCTGCCGTGACTTAAACATGACAAACTGTATTCCAGTAGAAACTGATTTTGGTTGAGGAAATTATTTTACCCTAGAGTAAAATAATCAGGAAAAAAAAACACTTCCTTATATGAACTTGTATCTTCCTGACAAACAGCATTCATTGTCTATAGTTCTTTTTGCTGAGATACATTTATTTTATTTTAATCTTTGGGTTAGATAGGACACAATGGACTGTCCTATTTTGTGGTAAGGGTGCCTCACCAATAATCTGTTATAAAAAATAAAGTATTGCACTTTGTGAATGTTTAATATAATTTAAAAGTAAACTCAGATTCAAAATGTTCCTTATATATAACCATTATATTAGAATTCTTCTTTTTTGAGTGGAAGAGGAAGAAGAGTTATTTTTAGTATACATACTATTGTATATGGAGGTGTTTCATGAATGACAATGACATTTCTCAAGTATATCAAGGCAAATGATCAATTGACAAAAAGTGTGGTGCTCTGGGAGGGTGGGGGGACTCATTAAAGAAGGAATGAGCTAGTGGCTACAGGAGGCTACATTCTTTTTTTTTTTTTTTTGACAGAGTCTCCTCTTTCACCCAGGCTGGAGTGCAGTGGCGCTATCTCAGTGCAGAGGCTACATTCTTAATCCTGGCCAATCATCTTATACTCAAAGAGCCAGGAAAAAAGAGTGTGTGTATTAGGGTTCTCCAAAGAAACAGTACCAATAGGAGACAGATAGATAGATAGACAACATAATTTACTAAGGGAACTGACTCACGGGATTATGGAGGTTCTTCTGAAATAAAATGGAAGTTTTGTCTTTGTGTCTGCTTGAGTACCTGCTCAGGAACCCTGAACTTAGTTCTAGGAATGCAACAAATTCTAATTTTTGGATTGCTAACTCAGGGTTAAAAAGAATCCTGTACATTCCCACTTTATTATCAACCACCTTAAATGTGGTTAATTATGTGAAATTATGGTTAAGGTGAGGGGTAAATATGGAGAAAAAGAAGGGGGCTTCCCTGTATTCACTAGACTTTTATTTCGTTCCAGGGCTTATGACAGAGCCCAAGAGAGTCAGAGAAGCTTTCTACAAATTCAGCTGTCGCATTCATTTTCTTACACACTAGAGTTGCCACTTAAAAATACTAAAATAAAATAAAAAATTAATGTTGACCATCTAACAGGAATACTTGACTCAGCTACTAAGTTACAAATTTGCTTCATTTTTGGAAGACATCTAGCATCTGAGAATTGGACTTTTCCCAGAAGTTCACTTGGTAACCTCAGGTAAGTCCTGGTTCATCCTGGAGAGGATCCGAGGGGAAAGCCTGATGGGACCCACGGCCGCCCTGAGAAGAAAGGGGTGCTGTGGGGTGCGGGAGGAGGAGGAGCTGGGAAGCAGGAGCGCCCGGGACTGGATCTAGCTGGAAAGGGGGCAGATGCTCTCCCGGAATCAGGGTAGGTACCCTCTAGGAATGGGACGTTCCGAGAGGGGGGTGTGTCTGGAACATTGGCTAGGGGTCCTTAGAGGTGATTTCTGGGAAGGGAAGGTCTGGGGCAGGGCTGTGAGGAGTCAGGAAAGAAACTGTGGAGTCCGTTCCTCACCCACTTCCTGAGCCCTAGGTTCCGAGGCCCCCAGGTCAGGGGGTTCAGTGGCGCAGGAGGGTCCAGGGCAGGAGTTGGTGAGTCACCTCTCAGGTCCACCTGTAAAGGAACTCTGACTCAGAGCATGAGGGTAGCCCAAGAAGCTTCGACTTCACCCAGAGAAAGTCTGCCCGCCGTTCTGCCCCTGGAGCAGGAGGCACCGCCCCTCTCTCACCCTTAGAGCCGGCGGCCCCGCCCCTTTCCTCCCACTGGAGCCTGCGGCCCCGCCCCCGCCCGCTCCCGGAGTCAGCGGCCCCGCCCCTCTCCCCAGAGTGGGCGGGGCCGCAATTGCCTGCTCAGCTTTCCTTGTGACGCCTCATATCCCCCTGGGTGCGCTGTTGCCTGGCTGCGCTTCCTTTTTCTGTCATCTTTCGCATCGACCAATGGGCTTGGAGCATGGAGGCCACGCCCCCCCTCTGCCCTAGTTGGCCCTGGTTACACCTTCTCTGGTCAGTCTCACAGCTGCGCGGTGGCAGACAGGACTTGTTCCACAGTGGTAACTGGGATAGAGCTGATGTGGCCCCAACCCCACCTCCCTTCCCGCCCTGCCATGTCGGAAGAAACCCGACGAGCAAATTGGCAGCAGCAAAGAAAAAGGTACAAGCGCCTGGTGGCAGCCCAACGACCCAGCCCCAGGTGCCGTCTGATGGCAGGACCACGGCCAGAGCTCATGCCACTCCCGAGGCTCACTGGGTTGGGCCCCCAGCTGCCTCTGGGCTCCCTCTACCAAAGTCTTGTCAGTGAGCCCCTCCCCTCAACAGCCCAGACCCTGCCTGGAGTGAGATTTGCTTATTTACCATGAAACAGATCTTGGGAAACTGAACTTGACACTTGAATCTTCCTCATATCTCAACCTAGGTGACTTTGAGTGCCACAGGGTAATATGGGGCATCTTTCTGAAGCATCAGTTTCCCTTGATTCTCTTGAGAGAGAAAAAACGTTCATGGACTTAGGGATGACAGCCCCATAGATTTCTAAGAGTATACCAAAATTCACTCTGAAAAGAGGCTTGGGTTGTCCTCTTTCTGTTCAATTCCCAGATGTAACAGAAAGGCTGCCTTCTGCCATGAGGACTCATTGATGTAAGAGTTTGAGAGGGGCTGCTGCACTTCCTACACTAACAGACATGTGATGATGTGTGACTCTAAACCACACAGTACCCAGTTCCTGCCTACTTAGTGTCTGTTTTTCTACCTCTGCCTCTGGTATTGGGCCCTGGCAGCTGCTGATTTGTGGCAAAACCCCAGATCTTGGAGTCAGAAGACAGAGTTCAAGTTCAATTATTGCCTTTTTTAAGCCGTGGTATCAATCCCTCTCAGTCATTAAGTCATTAAGACAACACCTTGTACAGTTGTTTGTGGCAATAAATCAGATGGCATAAAAGAAAGTTCTGTAAAAACTGTAAAGGCAGATGTGATTGTAGGGACTTCTCATGAGAATTCCTGCTCTTCTTTTCCACAGTTGAGAGACTATCAGTGGAGGAACAGCCCTGGTGTTCCTACAGGAGTGAAAAAGAAAATTAAAAATTGCAGTAACCCCGAGACAACCACTTCTGGTGGTTGCCACTCACCTGGAGATGTGAGTCTTGGCTGGCCAGGCTCCTGGGGACAGGGGGCCCAAGGGCAGTAGAGGGTACTTGTTAAGATTGTGGAAGAACTGTTGGGTCCTGGTTAAGAATTCTGGGTTTGAATCCTATCTCTCCCTCTGCTAGGGATATGATGTAGGGCAAATTGCTTGAGCTCTTTGGG
This sequence comes from Homo sapiens, assembly GCF_000001405.40. Lineage (NCBI taxonomy): Eukaryota > Metazoa > Chordata > Mammalia > Primates > Hominidae > Homo > Homo sapiens. Next base: position 22,597,571 of record NC_000019.10, read on the forward strand.
CCTCTCTTTTCACATCTGTAAAATAAGGGTGGTATTGTTTGACTTACACTTGTGAAGCTTAAATGAGATTAGTTATTATTTTTATGTTAATGCCAAGTACAGGGCCTGCCATAAACACCCAGGACACCCAGGAAATGGTAGTTGCTGTTTCATTTTCCTCATCCCCAGTCTCAAGGGAAAGCCAGGCTAATGGGAACAGCCACTTGCCATCAGGCTGTCTCTTTTGGAGTGACCGAAAGGGCCCAAGGGTGCGATGAGGAGAGCCCCAAGCACTAAGATTGGGAGAAGATCTAACTTTTGAGCTCATCTTTGCCTCCAGCGTGCTGGGTGACCACAGAAAAATCACTTCTTCCCCTTGGCCTCTTTAACTCCTCTGTAAGATGACACTGGATAAGATCAGTGTCTTTCAGACTTGTTTTTTAGCTGGAGCCTCCTATGTTGAAGTGAACCCTTACTCAAAAGTCTGGTTTTTTAAATGGAGGTGGAGGTCTAGTGCTCTACCAGATTTATCCCCACATCCTGGGCCTGAGGAGAGCGGTCCAATGAGAGTATTCAGAGCAGCATTGTCAGGTGACTCCACCCTGTGTGACTGCACCACTCAGGGGACTTTTCCATCTATTTGTTTCTGCCCCTGGCAAGGCAGCAGGCAGCCATTTGGAAGGCACAGCCCCTGGTCTTGATCTCCTCCGCTCTTCTTCAACATTTCGCTTCCCTGAAGCCACCTCTTCCTCCTCCCCTGAATCTCTTGCCTCTCTCTAAGCCTCTTCTGTCTTTGTCCACCTGCCCTTGTTCTACCCTTTTGGCCTCCTGTGGATTCTCCTTCCTCCCGCTGCCAAGCATAGCCTGACACCCACAGTGCCAACTCAGAGAGGGAAGAGCCTCCTCACCCAAGCCTCTGGAGTCCAGAAGACAGGAGCTCCAGGAGGGCCCCACCCTCACACCCTACCTTTCCAGATGCTCTCTCCAGCTGTGCATGCCGCTGAGGCTCCTCTGGTTTGGGGGATACTTTGCCTCTGGCTTATTTTATGTTGCTGCCATTTCCCTTCTGACTGTTTATGTCTGCTTCTTCACCTGTTTGATTGATTGGGTTTTTTTCCTTCACCCACATCTTTTATTATCTTGGAGAAAGTGAGACATATCTTAAAGGTTAGAGGTAATTTGGGAATAACTTTAAGAGCAGGCATATGGAATTTGGGGCTTTTTTTCTTAGAGACAAAGTCTCACTCTCTCGCCCAGGCTGGAGTGTAGTGGTGTGATCTCAGCTCACTGCAACATCCACTTCACAAGTTCAAGCAATTCTCCTGTCTCAGCCTGCTGAGTAGCTGGGATTACAGGCGCCCGCCACCACACCTGGCTAATTTTTGTATTTTTAGTAGAGACAGGGTTTCACCATTTTGGCCAGTCTGATCTTGAACTCCTGAGCTCAAGCGGTCCACCTGCCTCAGCTTCCCAAAGTGTTAACATTACAGGCATGAGCCACCATACCCAGCCTGAGATCTTTTTAAAATTATTTAAGTTTTTATTTCTAAAGCAAAGTAACTTGACAGTAGAGATCTTTATTGACCGAGTTGTACATTGAGCCTAGCCCTAGCCCTTTTAAGGGGCACTGTGTGGAACAGCCTGGGGTCCCCAGACCTAAACTTCTCACTCTTCACCATCCAGTTTTCAAGCCGGTGTGAAGCCCCTGATGCTAACCAGCAGTTATGACAGGCCATGGAGGAGCGGGCACAGCTGGAAGCACACCTGGGGCAGTGAGGCTTTGCAGAGGGAGGGATGTGGAAGGAAGATGACCCCAGGTGGCTAGGAGCAGGAGAGGACCAGTGACAGTCCTTCCTAACTTCTGCACCCATTCTTGCAGGTAATGGAGGCATGTAGACAAATACAACTGGAGAGAGATACATTTGCTGAGATTCTTAAAGGAGAGAGAGCCACATGGCAGCAGAGGATGAATCAGATGTCGGAGCAGGTGAGACCTGACACTTCAGCCCCCACTTTAGATCTTTCTGGGCATCTGTAAAATGGGAGGGGTGGTCATGAGTCTGGGCTTTGTGGAGGAGAGGGCAGAGAGGGAGATGGTAGCCTGTCCAGCCAGCAGCCCCCCTCTCCAGGGCCCTTTCCCCCTGTGCTTTGTGCAGATGCACACACTGAGGGAGGAGAAGGAGTGTATTATGAATCGGTTACAGGAGCTGGAGACAAGCTTGGTGGAATTGAGAAAACAGATGAGTAAGCTGAGGCTGGGGTGACCTGGGAGGAGGGCTAACATCAGAGGGCCATGGGGGGTGGGTTAGAATGTCCTAGGGAGGTGGGTGGATGGAAGGACTTTGAGGCAGAGGAAAAGAGGTATGTGCCAGGAGATGACAAGTCTGGTTATCTCCATGAGCCTCAGTTTCCCAGTCAGCAAAGAGGGAGGAGTGCCTATTGTCAGCCACCCACACATGTCTGTATCTGTAAGTGGCTTAGAAGATTGGCTACCATCCAGGTGTGGGGAATCATTAGCAGGGAGGCCAAGTTTGTGGAGCCTGAGAGGAGCTGTGGACCAAGAGGAAGATTTTTTTTAAGATTCCAGAGGCCCTTATTGTCTGCTTTTTTTTCCTCAGCTGAACTCCCAGCCCTGGCACCCCCAGCAAGGCCCTCCGAGGTGGAGCAGCAGCTACAAGAGGAGGCTGAGCACCTGAGGGAGGAGCTGGAGAGTCTGGCAGGACAGCTCCAAGCCCAGGTACAGGACAATGAGGGCTTGAGTTGCCTGAACCGGGAGCAGGAGGAGAGGCTGCTGGAGCTGGAGCGGGCAGCTGAGCTCTGGCGGAAGCAAGTGGAGGCACAGAGACAAATCCTGTAGACCATGGAGACCACACCGCTGTCAGCCACGTGCTCTCCCAGACCTGTGAGGTCAAGGAACAGCTGGCCGAGCTGCAGAGTGGCTTCATAAAGCTGGTGCACGGCCCCACCTGGGGAGCCAGCCCTCCTCCCTAGCCCTTTGGGCCTTTGTTTTCCCACCTGTCAAATGGGGCCGTGTAGCCCTCACGTGAAATGGCACTTCTGAGGGCACCTGTGAGCCAGAGCCCTGCTCCAATGGCTGTGGGGAGGTGGGGATGATTTTTCTAACCTGACTTCACCCTTCCTGGTGCCATGGGAGGCAGACACCAAGTTCTGGGCTCTCCAGCTGCAATGAAGTTAGCATCTTCTTCGCAGAGGTGCCAAGGATTAAATGAGATAATACGTGGAGAGAATTAGGCATGTCGGACACTTAGCAGATGATGGCTGGCTCCTGCTTTTCCACCATTCTGTGGCCTACAGTTTAAGTGGTGGGAAGAAGAGTGTGAGATTTCATGCAGGGAAGGAGGCATGGGGCTCTAGGCAGTCTCTCAGGCCTGGAGCAAGGGGCCACGGGCCTGGGCAGGAGACACAGCCCTGCAGTGCCCTAGGTACCCTATTCATAGGCCCAGAATTTGAAAGCAGGCCACCACCTGCAGGTCTTCCTGCAGGTAGAGATGAAGAGCCAAGAGGCTCAGAGTCTGCAGCCGCAGCAAGACCAGTCCCTGGGTCCCCTGCATCAGTACATGGCCACTTGTCAGCAGCTGAGCTCTGAGATGGAGGCGCTGCACAGGCAGTTACTGCTGCAGACCCAGCTCATGGACCAGCTGCAGCAGCAGGAAGCTTAGGGCAAAGCGATGGCCGAGATGGCCCACCAAGAGTTGCGGGGGACCCAGGTGTGGGAGTTGCTGAGGGCGGGTCCCAAGGGGGACGACCTGGCAGCCTCTGTGCCTTCAACTCTCTTTCCCCGCCCCTTAGGAGCACCTGGAAGCTGCCAGCCAGAGAACCAGCAGCTACAGGCCCAGCTGAGCCTCATGGCTCTCCCTGAGGAAGGTACGGGAGATCACTCAGAGGAAGAGGAGGGAGCCCAGGAGGAAGGGGGGACTGTTAGCAGATAGGAGTGAGGAGTTTAGAACAGCTGGTCACTATGCCGACCGGGTTTCTGCGTTAAGTTCGGCATCAAAACGGTGACCTGGGAGTAGAGGGGCCACCAGGTTGCCTAAGGATGGGTGAACTGGCCCAAGTCAGAAATGAAGCAGGTCAGAACTCCCCTGCCGGGCAGTAGTGGAACTGAGCTTGGGCAACATAGTGCGACTTTGGTTCTCAAAAAAAAAATAAAAATAAATTACAGCTGCTCATTCCCCTCTGGAGAGGGACTGGCCCAGGGTTATACAGTGACGGTTGAGGCAGAGGTGGGCCCACCCTACTTCCCTTGTTGGGTCGCGTGAGGACCCCTCTAGCTCTGTGCCCTAGGAGGTAGACTGGACGGAGGGTGGGGGAGAAGGAGGGGCGGGGGGGGGAGGAGGAGGAGGATGAGGATGAGGAGGAGAAGGAGAAGGAGAAGAAGAAGAAGAAGAAGGAGGAGAAGGAGAAGGAGGAGGAGGCGTCTCGGCCCATGAAGAGCATCCTGCAGGACCTGGAAAGCCAGGAGTCCATGGTTAGCCTACTCCCCCTGCCCCACCTTTGCCCCCTCCCTCTGTGGTCCCTCCCAGACCCGCTTATGCTTTTGGTTTCCTGCTTTCTTATTTCTCTGGATCCTCACCCCTTTCCTGGGAGCCAGTGGTCAGACAGATACCATTTGACCTGTGACCAACAGGTGCACACTCTGAGGCCCCAAGCGAAGGGCTCCTCTCCACCTCCCTGCCCCGTTGGTCCTGTATATCCCCCAAGAAGAATGCACACCTCTTGCCTGCAGGTGGCATTTTTAACATCAGCTGTAGCCAGTGCAGATGGGGAGCAGGCTCGGCTCCGTGGGCAGCTGAAGGAGCAAAGGCTGCGCTGCCGGTGCCTGGCTCACCTGCTGGCCTGGGCCCAGAAGCAGCCAGAGGCAGCAGCCCCAGCCCCAGGGACTGGGATGGATTCTGTGTGTGGGGGGACCCACCGGGCCCTGCAGGGTGCCATGGAGAAACTGCAGGTGAGTGAGTCTCTTCTGGCATGGGCCAAGAAGGGTGTGAGCGAGGCAGTTCACTGCCGAGATGTGACCCCATTCTTTTGGCTCCAGAGCTGCTTTATGCAGCTGATGCAGGAAAAGGTGGACCTGAAAGAGCGGGTGGAGGAGCTGGAACATCGCTGCATCCAGCTCTCTGGAGAGACAGACACCATCGGTGAGGCGGAGGCCAGGGCACGGCAGGGGGAGCTGCCCAGTGGGTGAAGGGAACCCAGCGTCTGAGCCCTGTCCTCTCGCAGGAGTCTACACTGCCCTCTCTCAGCCAGGGGGCAGCGCTGAAGGAGCAGCACCGAGAGGAGGAGGAGCACATCCACAGGCTAGCCCAGGACAAGGAGGAGATGAAGGCAGGGCGTGGAGCTTCTCTGCCCGGCGGGGGGCTGCGGGGAGGGTGCAGCTTCAGGCATGGCAGCTGAACACCCTCTCCTCCAGGTGAAGCTGCTGGAGTTGCAGGAGCTGGTGTTGCGGCTTGTGGGCGACAGGACTGAGGGCCATGGCAGATTCCTGGCAGCTGCCCAGAGCCCTGCTCATGAGCCAGCTCCAGGGGCCCCAGCCCCCCAGAGCTCAGGGCTGCCGACAAGCAGGGTGATGAGTAGTGCCCTCAGGCGGTTTGGGCAGGCAAGAGCAAGGGAGGCTGGCAGTGTGCTCAGAGCCCTCCTCCCTCTCTCCAAAGATCTTTGCCAGGTGACCCTCACCAGCAGCGTGGAGCCTGCACAAGGAGAGGCCGGGGAGGGTTCTCCCCTCGACAACCCCAGTGCACAGCAGATCATGCAGCTGTTTGGTGAGATGCAGAACCCTCAGGAGCGCCCAGGCTTGGGCAGCATCCCCTGCATTCTGTTTTCCCACCAGGCTGACAAAAACCACCAGGTGAAGATCACCCTCATCTGAAAGCCAGTTGCCTTCAGCAAAGCCAGGAGAAGGGGGGTGGGAGGCTCCGCCCCCCCATGTCCCTCCCACCCCTTTGCAGTCACCCCTTTACCCTTAAAGTAAATGGATTTAGCCATACTGCTTGGCCTGGCGTATCCTGTTTCCCTCACTGGGTCCTGGGGTTTGTGCCACTGAATGGGGGCCCCAGAATGTCTGAGCATGTCGAGCTGGGCTGCTGGGGACCTTCCAGGCCTGTTACCTGCATGCTGCCTGGTGACACCTGGGGGATTCCACAGGTGGAATGGCACCCATGGGGGACAGTCCGGCCCTAATGGCCAACAGGCTCAGAAGCCTGATCTCTCGGTGGCTGGGAAGGCAGGGTGCCAGCACCCAAGGGCACTGACTTTCATCCAGCCCAGGCAACTTCAGTCCCATCCCCCTGTCTGCCTCACCTGCCTGTGCCTGGTAGCCTGTTCTGTGCCTTCCGTCCAGCCCAGGCAACTGCAGTCCCATTCCCCTGTCTACCTCACCTGCCTGTGCCTGGTGGCCTGTTGCATCCCTCCCTCCAGAGTGCAGGTGCCCCACAGGCTCCCTCTAGGCTGAGCTCATGGCCCTGCTCCTAGTGGCCAGAGGTGGCTTCCAGGATGAGCCAGCTAAGCTCCAGGGTCTTTCCGGGAAAAGAGTTCCTTGGAAAGCATGTGAACTTTTCACCGCTTCCGACAACCATGAAAGCTCTGAGCCAGGTTTAGATGCCGTAGGATTCAAGGGGGCAGCAAGGGGTCCAGAGCTGCAGACAGCTGAGGGTGACCATTGGGGTCTGCTCAGGCAAGATCCTGGAGTAGGTGACCACGTCCAAGGCAAACTGTGACTAAAAGGAAGTGCTGGGTTGGCCAGAATAGAGGAGGCTGAGTGCTGAGAATCCCCAGGGGATCTCGGAGGGGGCGTGGAAAGGGCCATAATGGGAGGGCAGAGGTGAGAACAGGGAATGATGATGTCACAGTGCTGAGCAGCGGGGCTGGGGACGGAGTAAGTGGAGGTGGAGGGAGTAGCCTGTTTAAACCTGGAGCTCATCCCTATGAACATGAACTACTGGCAAAAAAAAATCTTTTTAAAAGAAAAACTTAATAAACTTAGGGGTCAGTAGGCCCTTGATAGGGGAGAAACAAGCCTTTAAAGTGAGCGAAACCCAGGATTGAGGGTACGAGGTCTGTGCTGAATCTCCTGGATTCAGGATTATATCCCCTGAGGGCCCAGCCGGAAGGCTGGAACAGACCTGGGCACCTGGAAAGCTGACATGGGAAACAGGTAGCAGGTGAGACAAAGTGGGTCCTTGATGCCAGGAGGAGAAGTGAGTGCTGGGCCTTGCGGCCTTGGGTCCATCCTAGGAAGTGCTGGAGGTTCACACAAGAGCCCTGCCTGGCTGGGGTTTCTGGGAGCCAGAGGAGGAAAGTTAGGTTGGGAGGGAGCAGAGTGGGAAGCACAGCTACTAGCAGCCTAGAGACTTGGAGGGAGCCAGCAGTCTCGGCTTTTAGCCAGGAAGGGACTTAGGAAGTGGATAGTTTCCTGGGTGGGTCATGGTTTGGAGAAGTCTAGAGACTCGGGATGGTCGCTGACCTCCCTAAGGGATGGGGAGGGTGATCTCTTCACAGAAATTCATCAGCAGCCCTGAGGTCAGCGATCCCCATCCCATGTCCTGACAGGTGCCTCCTGCAGCCCCTCCACCGCCACTTGCCAGGTTCTGACCCTGCAAGCACATGTGTAAACACACACATATGTTCCTGCTTTCCTCCGGCAGCACCTTGCAGGGTTCTGAGCTCTTTATTCCCACTCCTCCATTTTGCTCCCTTTCCTGCCATAATTTCTCTGCCCGTGAAGCCTGCTCTTCTTCAGCAGATAGGAGGAACATGAGCTAATAGGGATGTGCTGGGCCCAGGCTGCAGGATCAGTCCCCCTGCAGTCCTGCCCTGGGGAGTGGGGCTGACAGAAGGTCTCATCGGGAGATGGAAGCGCCTCCTCAGCGGTGCTGTCAGTGGACATGTGGAGGGTGACGGTTCACAGGTCCTCTCTGTCCTTCCTACTCCTGGCCTCCTGGAGGGCAAAGAACGAGCCTAACCCCTCACTAGAATCCCTGGTTCTCCAGAGGGTGTGGCATGTTTGTGGAAGGAATAAATAAAGGAATGGCCGAGAGTCCTGCAGTAGGATGCCACGGGTGGGGGCACAGGTGGGTTCCAGTAGGAAAACGGCCAGCTGTGTCCTGGTCTCAGGGCCTCCTTCCTTTGATCAGCTCTCATGCACATGCTTTCCTTTCCCCGGTTCCTCTTGGCAAGTGCTGTTGTGTCCTGGGCAGCCTCCTGAGTGAAGGTGAGGAATCTCCCTCCCCTGAGCTCATCCACATCTACCAGAAATTTGACTTCAAGGCATTCTCCTTCCAGGCACCCAGCCACGTGGTGACAGCCACCTTCCCCTACACCACCATGCTGTCCATCTGGGTGGCTGCCTGCCATATCCATTCTGCCTTGGACACCTACATCAAGGTGATGCACAGGCCTGGAGTTTGTGTGTTGGGGACAGCCAGGTCCCTTGGGTGGAGCTGAGTAGGATTGCCCAGAGTGGGAGGAAGAGGTGATTTGGGGAGAGCAGCACTCTGGGGCCCTCATGGAACAGGTACCTGTGGAGCCAGGAAGATGGGCCGAGGTGTTGGCATCTCTTTCAGATGCCCAAGACCTTGTGGGAGCCAGAGCATCTCCCAAGAGCATGGAGAGCTTGTTCATGAACCTGGTCTGGTTGGTTTGGCTCTGGCTTTGACCAAAGACATGCTTAGTGCTAATCCCACACTCCTGGCTCAGATGGAAGGACAGTCCACTTTTCTCTCCCACTGCTAGAAGCCTGCAAAGCAAGGACCTGAGGCTCCCCGTGGCTGGGCAGGCCCCAGGTAATCACGTGTTGCCCTTGGCCCTGCCTCTGCTATGCACCTGCTCCCTGAGCCCAGGGCTGGGGCAGCAATGGCAGGCCCTTCTCCTTTACTTCCTAACCTGGTCACTGGCCATGGTGGCAGCACACCCTTCCTGGAGGAAGGAGAGCCAGCCACCAGGTTGTCTGACAGAGGTCTGTGTGTCTACAGAGATTTTTTTAAAACTTGCCCTTTTACGCATCCCTCCTCCTCTAAATGTTTTGTAAACCTGGAAACCAGGAAAATGACCCATTGGGGCTTGGAAGTGACTGTTGATTCATTCATTTAACTTGTTTATTTTCTGTGCGCCGGGTGCTATAATGGGCACAATGTGAATGAAACTTTGGTGCATGAAACAGGCATTTACAATGAGGTGGTGAAGACAGGTAATCAATGTCAGACAAAAATGGGACATGTGCTAGAGAAGGAGAGGGTGAGAAAAGTCAGGGAACCGACTTAAACAGAATGATCAGGGACAACCTCTCAGGGGAGATCACCTCAAGGCAGAGTCCTAGAGGAGCCTTTGGAGAAGAGGTAAGAACATTCTAGGCAGAGCTTTGGTCTAAATGCAGCAGGAAGTCACTGCAGTGTTCCAACCAGGAAAATAACACAGTTGGAGCAGCGTGTGTGCAAGGTGGGCTGTCCCATTCCCAGGCAGGAAGGGGCTGGACCACAGAACTGGGGTGAGGTAGAGGTGCTTAGGAGGCTGTCATGAATCCCTGTGTGAGTGGCAGCGGCTTGGGCAGGCCCAGTGGCTGTGGAGACGCAGACAAGGGCGGAGATTTACAGGCACTTTTGGAACAGAACTCACAGACTTCAGGTGGATTGGCTGTTGTGGGGAGAGGCAGTGAGGGAGTCACAGCGGGCTCCACTTCTCTCTGGCCTGGGCAGGTGGGCAAGCATGTAGTGATGCTTTTCACTGATGTGTGGGGGAACTGAGGGAGGCCCTGGTTTTGGGGGGAAGCCAGGTTATTGGGCTATCTCAGGGGAGCTGCCTGAGAGACATCCAAGTTAGGGGTGTGGAGTGGGCAATGGGATGTGTGGTCTGGAGTTCAGAAAGGGCTGGGCTGGTGGATATGTTTGGGGACATCAGCCTGCTGGCAGTATTTGACCAGCTGCCCTGTGCCTCCTGCCTCGGTGGGGCCAGGTAGGCCATGGACAGCCTGGGGCAGCAAGGGCTGGGCAGAGGGCATGGTCAGTGTGGCTGGGGTCAGGGAACAGGACAGGAGAGTCTGTGGGAGTGGGAGCTTGGAACACTTGGAGGATCCTTGCAACTTTGTTCACCAGAGCAGGCTGGGAAAAGGGACAGGGTGATGGGAATGGAAATGGAAGCTCTCCCAAAGTGCTGGGATTACAGGCGTGAATCACCGTGCCTGGCCTTCCCTCTGCCTTTTTCCCACTGCCCCATCAGGGCAGAAGGCAGCTGCAGTGAGGCAGTGAGCGCCCTGGGACTGGGTGGCTGCATTCTTCATGACTGTGCTGTGTGTGCTGAGCTGCCTTTTCCTGGAGGAGAAGGCGGAGTGGACCTGGCTAACCTGGGCTCCCTTTTCCTGGCCATAGGAACTGACATGATGAGTGACACGAGTTCTGGAAGCTTGGAGGTGAGCCCTGGTAGCCGGGAGACTTCATTTGCTACCGTGTCACCTGGGGAGAGCGGCCGCGGCTGGGAGGATGGTGACACCTGCAGTGAGTGCAGCTGCAGAGAGTCAGGTGCCAGCGGCTCCTCTTTTGAGGAGCTGGACCTGGAGGGTGAGGGGCCCTTGGAGGAACCACGGCTGGACCCTGAGACTGAGCCCCTGGGGGCTACCAAGTGGCCCTGAGAGCCCAGTACCCTGAGAAGGGCAAGGAGTAACCCATGACCAGCCCCCTCCTGCGGGGCAGGGCTGCGGAACCGAGCAGACTCTCCAGCCATCTTCCTCCTTCTTCTGGGGGCGAGGGGTTCCCAGGGGACGTAACTCCCCCTGCTCTAGGCCTCTTGTGAAGCCTTCTCCTCACTGTCCTTTAGGCTCCCAGGGCCAAAGCAGCCAAAGACTGTATCCTGCACCAGCCCTGTGGGCCGACACTCCTGTTGTATCTCTTTTTCAGACTGTCACTGGAGCTTCCAGGACCCAGAATAAAGCCAATGACTTACTTGTTTCACCTGGATTTGGGCTGCGTATTTGTTTGACAGTTTCACCTTTGTGGGGACCCCTGTATAGACCGGCCAGGAGTAGGAAGGAGCCTCCCCTCCCCAGGACGAGGAAAGGAGGGACCATGCCAAATACTGGGGTCGGGGAGGAGGGGTGGTGGAGATCCTCCAAGTCCTGCTCTGTGACCCCCAGCGGCCAGCCGCCCTCCACTGCAGCACTTTTTCACAGAGGTGGTTATATCTCTAGGATATGTTCCTTAAAGTGGGATTGCCAGGTCTAAGGGTGTATGTGTGGCCATGAACAGGGTTAAGAACTCTCGCCAAGCTCCCCTCAGTGGAAGTGGTTCTCATGTATCCTCCCAGCACTGAGACATGAGAGCTGCAATGCTCTCGTTCCTAGCTTTGTATTATAGAAATTTTAAATTTTCATACATAGAGAGAAGTTGAAAAAAAGCACCATGAGCACCCATGTACCCTGCACCTAGATTTAATGATTATCAGTTTTCATAAGCCTTCTTCTTTTCTCCCTCCCTTTCTATTATTTGAGTCATTTGTAAGTCGAAGACATCATGTCATTTTATCTCTAAGTACTTCAACATGCCTCCTTTAAAATTAAGAATATTCTGTTCTAGCCGCAATATCATTATTACACTTAGAAAAAGCTAACAATTCCATAGAATTACCTAGTATTCAGGCTGAAATTCAGACTTCCTGTTTGTCTCAGCTGTCTTTCATAGCTTTGGATTTTGTTTTGTTTTTAAATCAGAAGGAACTGCTTTTTAGCTTTATTTTCCTCTCTCTCCCACCCAAATCACTGTCTCTTACTGCAAGAAAAAGTCTGACCAGTTTTAAGAATGATGTCTTAGCGTTTTATATTCCTTATCTCATAGGATTCACTTTGGTATCATTTTACACATTGGGGGACTGCCTTGTCATGGATAGACATTTCAAATAATTTTTTTCTTTGTGACTGGAAAAGGTTGACTGGGAGATGTTGTTAGACATCAAACTAACAGAATTTCAGGGACCACAGGTCAGGAATTTTTTAATGGAATTTTCTCCTCTACCCTCCGCTCCCTGGGCATTCTGGTTCTCTGTTACCTATATTTTGTCTCCAGGTTCCCAGGTATCTTCTCGTCAGTCCACAAGCAACGTCAGACAAGTGTTTCTTCACCCAAAGACCCCCACCCTGCAGGGCTGCCCAGGCCCATCTCTCCTGACAGCCTGGAGATCATCAGTGAGCTTCAGCAGTGGGCAGATGTGGCTGCTGCCTGGGAATCCCATCAGAGTTCCCCAAGTACCAATGCTGCCCTGCCTGGCCCCCGGCCCACCTTGTGGACTGCACTGCTGTTCCCGGGACAGCTCTCAGAGCTGAGCCTGGACTCGGTGGTCATTGCCTCCATAGTTCCCTCTGGGTGACTGGCAGTTCTGTGGTCATAGGCACCCAGTGCTGGACTGAAGGGGCCACAAGTGGAAGTTGACCATACCATCTTCTCCCAGGAGTCAGCCTGCTGGTGGTCCAGCAAGGGCCATCTGCCAGCCCCTGTGCAGCTGCATGAATACAGGTGTCCAGTCTCTGGAGGGTTTGCCAAGCCACCTGTCTCCTTACATCATAACCTCACCACCCCTTCACCTCCTAAGCTGGGGACAACACTCTGTTTATGGGCAGTGCCCCCTCTTACTGCCAGCTACCCAATTTGCTGGCAGGTGCCCACCTGGTGTTTCCAGTGACTACTGACCCTCTGATGCCAGCCAGCAGGCCCTGTCCATTCCTCTTCTAAGCTACTTCCATCACTGCCAGCAGCCCCTCCTTCATGCTCAGCCCTTCTGTGCCAGGGAAACCACCCAGCTCTCCACTTCCATTCTCACAGCGACTCCTGACTGAGCTGAGGATGTTTGCACCTTTTCCTTCCCCTGTCGTGCCAAGCAACCTTTCATGGGGCATGTCTATCTACCCAGGCTACATGTCCCCATGGGCAGGCTACCCAGCTGGTGGCCTCCTTCCATTCCAGGTGCCTCTATTTCACTCTCATGAGGTTGCTGAAGTGGGGTTCAGCTCCAGTGATGATGAGAATAGGGACGATGATGTGATAGAGGTCACTGGGAAATAGCTGGGGAGCTCCTCTGCTCTTCAATTGGGGTCCCCAGGAGGTTGCCCACCAAGCTGGAAGGCAATGATTTGGACTTCTCCAGAATAGGAAACTTGGCAGAAGAGAACACAAAGGGGACAAAGGAGGGTGGTTGGCCATGGTGGCAGAGCTGTGTTGCTGTTTAACAAAAGAGGCAAAAAAAAAAAAAAAAAAAGCCCAACAGGGCAGCCAACAGCGGGAAATTGAAGACCCAAAGCAGGGCTGGAGAACTGCGCAGCCTCTCCCACTCCCTGCCTTGCTCATGCTGTCTGCTTGCTTGCTCGCCCATCAAAGTGCAAAAGCTCACATCCCATTTCTGTCTCTAGGATCATTCTTTCCAAAGAGACCTGCCTTACTGAGTGATTTAACTTGGCCTGGGGAGGGGAGGGAAGGGAGGAAGAGGGAAGAGCGAGTGAGAGAAGGAGGGTGGGCAGGGGAGCAAACTGTGATCCCAGGTGAAGTTGGGTCTTTTTATGGGGTGGAAGGAAGCTGACCAGGCTTGTGTGTTTGTGAGTCTGTGTGTGTTGATGTATGTATGTAACAGAGCAGGAGTAAAGGTGGGAGGGGAGGGAGGGAGAAACAAAGGGGGAAACTGAAATAAATTTATCTTTCTTCTAATGGAAATCAGAGTTTGGTCGTTCATGGCACCTATTAGTGTGAACATCAGGGTGAGCCCAGGTGAAGAACCATGGAAATTACAAGTTTCCTTCTGGTTGGGGGAAGAGAAGGCCCAGCTAACTCAAGTCCCTGGTTTTAAGAGCCACATTTGTTTGAGAATTTGGGGGAAATCATGAGAGAAAATGGGCATTACCAATCTGCGTCTCTTAACCCCCATGGCTCTCTGTGAGCAGCGTGGAAGGTTGTCTGTGTGCAGAGGCTGGGAGGGGGAGGCCCTGGAGCTGTGGCTGGAAAAGACATTTTTCACCGGTGGGACCTGAGCCCCCAGCTGCCTATCCTGGTGTCTTTCCTGTTCCTTTCCTTCCCCTTTAGAGAGCTCCATGTTAATTTATTTCTTATGGGCAATTACTTCTTACTTGGGCTTTTCATGTGTCTTGTTTGTTTGTGGGTGGGGTGCGGGGAGGTTAGGGGAAAAGAGAGTAGGAGATAGAGATGTTTTCAGATATCCCAGACTCCATAGCTACTGGTGAAAAACAATCCTGGGTGGATGGATATTGATGAGGGAAAGAGTCTGTTTGACCAAGGTTTGGATTAAACAACTATATTTTTGAGAGATTGCTTTTCAGAAAGATCAAGGAATCCTGAGACTGGATAGTTAGTGGGAGGTGAGACTCATTCCACAGAAATTGAAAGTTGGGATCAGAGTTTACAACTGGGAAGTCGGGAAGCCCAGATTTGGAGCTGTGTCCTCCTGGGATGATCTTAGAGGCTGGCTGTCTATGCTGAAGAGTGAAGCTGTGGGTAGGTGGTTGCTGGGTTGAGGGACTTTTGATTTCTTGTTAGGAAATGTCTTCGGATGACCCACATGGGCCTGGTGTCTGCTGCCTCCATCTTCAAAGGACCATGGAGAAGCCCTTTCTCTGTAGGAGTCATAAGTTTGGGTTTTTTCTTAAAAGAACACATTAGTCATTCTGGGTCTCCCCTTATTGCCAATGCCAGGGAAGAGGCATCTAGTCCTTAAGTACAAACACTGGCTGTCTTCCTATTCCTATTAGCGTCCCTACCCCCTCTGCATCCCCCACTCCCCATACCCCAAGGCTTTACCAGATGGTTCTTTATGATGAAGAAAGTCTGACTTTAGAGCTTTACCACCTCACCTTGGCTCCCTCCTTACTGGGCAGATGCTGGACTTGCCTCTTCGTAGCCCAGAAGGCAGCTTAGTCAGGTCATCCCTATACTAGCTCCTGCAGCCCTCTGACCAGCCTGGTTCCATCATTGGAGGGCCATAGCAGACTCTGGGGTAAGAATCCAGAAAACCTTCTCAGCAGGGAACTGAAACCAGTCACTGGAGGCATAGATTTGTGAAATTGCCAGAGAGCAAATGGGTATTCTGAGAGGCAGCACATGGCTACTGGCTACCCATGTTCCAGAGACTGGGTCTTGCTTCTCCTCAGCAGAGGCCATCATTCTGGGAGGCTCACCTGACTAGAGAAAGCTTTCTCTTATATGTGCAGTTTCTATTGTGTAGAGGGGTGGAGGTGGGATCATGGGAAATTGGAGTGCTACCAGGTCCCTGGTTTTTGCTTTTATTAAAAAAACACTCACACACAAAAAAAACAAAACAAAAAATGTGGGGCCACGTGCGGGAATGCAGAGGATCTGACTGAGGAATTTCCCCTCGCTATTGCCTTCCATGGAATTTTTTCAAGGGCCTCTCAAGCCCCATCCATCTGGTTTAGCCAAGTTCTCAGCCTGGGGAATGCAGTACTACTTAATGATTCAGGTTTGCCATTTGTAGTGATGCTTGATTTCCTTTTCTTAATATATTTGTAGATAAAAACTGAACAGGGACAAAGTAGCTATTTAAGAAAGGCAATGAACCATGGTGGGTCTTATCATTTTCTTTAGATTGGATATCTGTGAAGTCCTCACCCCTCTGAGTTATGCTTTTTTTCTTTTCTTTTCTTTCTTTCTTTCTTTCTTTTTTTTTTTTTTTTAGAGGGAGTCTCGCTCTGTCACCAGGCTGGAGTATAGTGACAAAATCTAGGCTCACTGCAACCTCTGATTCAGGGGTTCAAGCAATTCTCCCACCTCAGCCTCCTGAGTAACTGGTACTACAGGTGTGCCCCAGCACGCCCAGCTAATTTTTGTATTTTTAGTAGAGACAGGGTTTCACCATGTCGGCCAGGATGGTCTTGATCTCTTGACCTCATGATCTGCACATCTCGGCCTCCCAAAGTCTGGGATTACAAGCGTAAGCCACCGCACCCGGCCCTGAGTTATGCTTCTTAAGCGTCTATCTCATCATCTCTTGATTTAGGGATAATTCTGTCTGGTGCTTGGAGACCTCTTCCCTAGGAATTAGTGGGTGGAGTCTCTATATACTTGTGATTCACAGCTAAATATGAAATTTCCCAATCCAGGAGGAGACAGCAAAGAGCTGGGGTAAAGATGTGCAGACTGGTTGAAACACTTAGCCAAACTTAAGCGGCCTGGATGGGACCATCACTCCCAAAGCTGTCAGCAGAGAAACGCCCTCTGTGTCAATCAATTCAAGCCTGGTATTGCTCTGAAATTGAGTCCTCATCCCATGGGGGAAGGTCTCTGGGGGCTTTTCATTCCTTTATACTAGTGTTCTGGATATAACTTCCTGCTTCCCACTTTCTTTTTTGATTTCTCAGAAGACCAGTGTCTCCCTCTGAACCGTGGCCTTCTGTGCACCGAGCTCAGTGGCTCTTCCCCACCAAAACTCCTAAGAGAAGTCATCCCTCCCCAAAAGGATCCCCACAAGATGTTCTGGCCCTCTGCTGACTGCTCCCTCGAATCAGCACCTCAAGGACTGTTTGAGAATGCTGTGCTCTCCATTGGTCACCTTCGGACTCCGTTTCCCTGCTGCCATGTGTATTCTTCTCTTCTGCCCTGTGTATTCCATGGTGACCCCCTTAATGTCTGTTCTGTGCCACTAGCTTGGCCCTGGGCCTTTTATTTATACCCGAGTCTTACAACGAAGAGTGTCCTGAGCAGACAGTGTCCACCTTCTTTGCTCTTCCGGGTCCTGAGTGTGCTCCTTTCCCTTTTGCAGGTCTATTGGACATAGTAATCCGGTGTGCTGGGGAGGGGTAGCCAGGCCGGCTACAGAGTCTGCAATGCAGGGGCTTGGGGAGGTTTGGGTTCTCTCTGCCACCACTATTGAGATGATATTCAGAAGAGAGAGGACCTCATACTGTGACCAGACCCAAGACCCTTCCTGGAAGACAGCTCAGTCCAGCTGTGTGTGTGTGTGTGTGTGTGTGTGTGTGTGTGCGTGTGTGTGTGTGTGTGTGAGAGAGAGAGAGAGAGTTATGTGTGTGCTGTGCTCATGTGCACCTGGGTGTAAAATGACTGTTAGCTGGTTGTGTTACTCAGGGTGGGCTGGGGACTCACTGGAAGAATCCCCTCAGTCTGCCCAAGACAGGTTTTTTCCTTGTGCCCTCTTCAGAGAGGTCAGGGAAAGAGGGTCCAGGTGGGCAAAGGCGGAGATGCCACAAATGATTAATCACTAAGGCCAGATGGCTGCCAGGAGGAGTGGGGGATGATGAGGTAGCCCAAGGGTCCAGGCAACTGGCTTTGGTTTTCCATCTTCTTTCCTCAGGATGCCCCTGAGGCCTGGGACCTGTGCCTGGCTTTGAGGAGCATCTGTGGCTTGGCGATCCAGCTGCTGGGGTGATCATGGGCTTCCCTCCTCTCAGCAGGGCCGGAGTTCCTGGTCCAGAGACTGAACAACTGGCTCTTTCTGTGACATATTTATTTTTACTTGTGTTTCATGTCACTTTTTTGAAAAAAAGCAAGCAGAACAATTGTTAAGTCAGTATAGCTGCCTATCGGTTTTCCTTATTTCTCTTTTTGTAAAATAAAATTAAAACTCCAGAAGGCAGTGTTGTTTGATTGAGGAATGGTCTGGACACTGGGTTGGCTGGGTGCTAGTGAAAGGAATAGATCTTAGAACACAGTGGGCTCTGCGATAGCCCTTGGGTGGTGAGACAGGCAGGAACAGAAGGAAGACTGCTGGCAGTTTCTTTGTTACAGTGGGGTTCACTGGGCTTTTTCTGCTTTTGTTTACCTGAAGAGGGATGTATTTCCAGGCTCCAGGGGAAACAGCAAGCTGACTTCAGAGTGGCTTGAGGCTAGCTGGTCCTCAGCCATGACAAGTCCTGCACGGACAGCCCTGACCAGACTGTGAATGGCGGGGTATTGGGTGCAGTGCCTTCAGAGGGTGGGAGATGGTTGTAAGGGATAATTGGAAGGACAGCCAAGAAAGGAATGAGGCCAATAGACCCAAGTTCAGGCAAGCTGATTTATTGTCAGTCCTGCCTGGCTACCTCTTGACAAAAGCAGAGAAGGCAGCCCCACTTATAGGCTAGAGCAAGGTTTTATAGGACATAGAACTGGATCAGGGTGAAGGAAAAAGAAAAGGGGGGGGGTCCTTTGTGCCATGTGTCTGACCGCTTCCTGGAGATGTTTTTCTTGCCAGTTCTCTTGTGCAAAGTAGACGTCTTAACCGCATCCTGGGACAGCTGGCCTCTGGTCAAACAGTTACAGGCAGGTTTGGGGTAGCGGGTTTTACTTTTTGGCCTTTGGGGCTTAGTCTATGGGAGGGGGAAACAGTCCAGTTGGGTGGACCTTAGCAATGGTGTATCTGTAAGTGGCTGGTGGCAGCGACAACATTCTTACGCTGCATGTGTATTGTTCAGTTGTCATCTGTGTTGGGGAATCTAGCCACTGGCCCACAGAGAGTTAACCAGAGCTTGGGAGTGTGAGAGGTGGGAAAGAGGGAACCATCTACTCCAGCTTCCTGTCTAATTTCTTCAAGGGGAGGGGCCCTGGGGAAACAATTCCTTGGAAATGTACAAAGGAGGATAGAGAAAGAATCTCTGTAGGAATTCCTTGGGCAGAGGAAGGCAAGAGGACACCCAGGTCACGTCAGGGCTCATGATAGGGAAATCTGTGCTATGGGGAGATGGGACTGGGAGTGAAGGGTGGGTGCGGCAGATGGCTGGGCCAGCAGGTTTCCTGCCACCTGTTAAAAGGGGGTGGGGGTCGGGTAAAGAAAGTGCCTTGCAGAGTAGGCTGCTGCCTCCCGGTGGTCAGCCGCGGCCTTGCATGGATCTTGCCAAGGGAGTTTGCTTGGCGGTGTTGGAAGCGGCCTGAGATGAAGCTGGGCGGGCTGATGGCCTGCTTCCCCCGTCACCGGCAGACTCTCCTTCCACGAAAGACTTGCTGAAGCTCCTGAGGCACATGCTGAACTGTGATGTGGGACTCTGGAGTTCCCCAACCACGCTAAAGGAAGTGAGCAGAGAGGACAAGATGAAGAATGGGCGCCTCCTTATAACGGCTTCCTGGGAAAAGCTCACCACTTGATGAGAAGCAGAACTGACCAGCAGGCCCTGCAGGCAGAGGCTGTCAGTCTCTGAGCCAGTGCCATGGCCCTCTTTGTGTCAAAGGAAATGCTTCCAAGTGAATAGCCTGCCTGCCTAGGGCACCTGAGCTGAGCGTTTGACCGTGTCCTGGGAGTTCATAGGTAAAATAACTGCCGCGACCTGCACTGACCCGGACCGGAGTGCCTGAAAGGGGCCAGCTGCCTATTCCGCCAGTCCGCCTGGAGGGCTGGGACAGGCTTGGTCCTGTGGACGAGGTTCCATCTCCCCTGCCTGCGGAAGGAAGAACGTGAAGCACAGAGAAAGGAAGCGGGATGATGACTGCCCCTGTGTGCCCAGCCTGCTCTTTGCTAGTGCAGTAGTGGGATCCACAAGGTCAACCACCCCATGATTGCTGACTGTTTCCACCACCAGTTTCCTGGTGTTCCCATCTGCGGGATCCTCTCCCATCAGTACTGGTCAGAATACCGAAGTAGCTCTTAGCCTCGACGGTCTTGTAGCCAAGCTTATGAACATCGTTGTCACCTTCCCCACCTCCCACCAAAAGTCTAGGACTGTCGCGAGGGGAGGGTTTTATCTCTGGGCCCCTGGCAGAGTGCTTTGTGGTTTATATGTCCTCAGAAATTTGAAGGGAAGAGTGAAGCGATCATCAAGGAGCTTACACTTGACCTGGGAGTCACCTAAGCTATCGCTAACCAGAAAGGTAGACCAGCCTCCCCCAGCCACCACCAGGGCACTGAGGGAGGAGCCTGGAAGGGGGCATGCCCCTGGGATGTGGACTCCAGGAGGGCGGAGCCTTGGTCTTATTCACTGTATCCCCAGCCCCTAGAATTGTCCTGGCAGGGAGTGATCATAAATGTTGGATGGATGAATGTGCTCACGGAGCGGGGAGGGGTGGGTGGAGGCAGGAAGCAGATATTTGGATCCACCAGCTTCTTCCGTGAGCCCAGACTGGGCTTAAGCTTCCTCAGCTATGCCTTGCTTGGTTCCCAAGTCTTTTGCGAAGCCATAATGAGAGAAAGTGGCAGGACTAACGGTGGTACAAATGCCAGAGGCGGATACTGCTGTGCCGTGTCTCCCTAGCCTGTGCAAACGCTCCTCCTCAGCCTCAGCTCCCTGGCCCCAGCCTGGCCCTCTCCTGTGGACCCCCGGGCTGGGCTGTCACTGAGGTGCTCCGGCTGACCCAGATCCCCTGGGTGTTGCTAAATCAACCTCGGCAACTGTAGAGTTTGCTGAAGGCGGGAAGGTAGTCCGAGGGTTCCGCCCCAGCCGGCTCCAGGGTCAGGCGCACGCCCGTGGCCATGGAGACGGGGAGAGGAGGCCTCGGCCCTCCCGGTCCAGCGCATTCAGCCAAGGCTACGGCCACAGCCACGTCTAGCCAGAGAGGGGGCGGCGGATCCGTGTGCGCTGCGGGCAGTGGTGGAGGCGGGGCCGGGCCGGAGGCGGGGCCGGGCCGGAGGCAGGGCGTCCCCACTGCAGCGTGGGTCTGGGACACCAGTCCACCCCTGCGCGACCTCAGGGCCCCCACATCCTGAGGGGACCGGCTGCTCTTGGCCTCTCGCCTCGCCCATCGCTGGCCCCGGCCGCGTCCCAGGGCCTGGATGCGAACTTGGGGCAGCCCTCACCCTTCTGGGCAGTTTGGAAGGTGAGAGGAAGAGAGAGGTGGTTACTAAATTCCCTTCAGGGGACAGGAAGTGCTCAGCTGAGATGGCAGATCAGAGTGAGGGCTGGTCATTCCCAAGGCAAGTGGGGGGCCTAGATGCTAAGAGTTTTGCAGCTTTGGGCTCAGAGACGTCCAACAAAGATTAAATTCTTGAGTCTTTCTGGAAGCCAGTCACCAGAGAGGAGAGAGAAAGCGGAAATGGGGTCCTGGAGTCCGAGTGTCTGGGTTCATGTTGCCTGCATTTTGGTCCACATGGCTCTGTTTAATACCTGTGTGACCTTGTGCAAGTCTCTTAACCTCTAACCACTTGCACCCTTAGCCATACCTATCTTGTCGGATTGCTTTGAGGATGAATGAAGCAGCTGTGTTTCAACACTTAGTGCCTGGTGTATAGTAAGTGCTCGGTAGAAGATTTCTCATCATTATCATCAAAGACAACAGGAATGAAACTAACTGGAGACAAGATGAGTAGGACAGGCAGAAAAGAGAGAGAGATACTGATGGGTAGGAGCATAGATGGCTGAGACCAGTGGGCAGCACCTCCATGTCCTGACACTAAAAGTTTAGAAATTTACTTTGCCTCTGCCGGGTGCGATGGCTCACGCCTGTAATCCCAGCACTTTGGGAAGCTGAGGCGGGTGGATCACCTGAGGTCAGGAGTTCAAGACCAGCTTGGCTAACATGGTGAAACTCGTCTCTACTAAAAATACAAAAATTAGCCAGGCGTGGTGGCGGGTGCCTGTAGTC
Organism: Homo sapiens; assembly: GCF_000001405.40. Taxonomy (NCBI): domain Eukaryota; kingdom Metazoa; phylum Chordata; class Mammalia; order Primates; family Hominidae; genus Homo; species Homo sapiens. Next base: position 22,619,062 of record NC_000019.10, read on the forward strand.
CCAGCTACTCAGGAGACTGAGGCAGGAGAATCGCTTGAACCTGGGAGGTGGAAGTTGCAGTGAGCCAAGATCATGCCACTGCACTCCAGCCTTAGCAACTAGAGCAAAACTCCATCTCAAAAAAAAAAAAAAAAGGCAGAAAGAAAAGAAATTTACTTTGCCTCTTTGTGAGCAAATACTGTGTGTTCATCGACTCCAAAAATAATTTTTTTAGTGTAAAATCAACACCCAGAACCCACAGGGAACAAATAATTCCACAGAGCTAAGTTTTCCACAAAGCTGCAGTGTGGCCTTTTCAGCTTCAAAACCTTTTAAATGTTAAATATTACTTTTAAATAATTGGGGTGGGAATGTACCCCCAGTGGGTCACATGCTTCCCTTCCTCTTTAAACAGTTTTCTCTGTGCTATAATTCCCCCCTCTCCAGGCAACTCAGGTCAAGGCCTCTGTGTAAGAGGGTTAGGCCTCTGGCCCCGAGCTGCCTGGAGACCTAGGCAGTCTGCCCGGAATAGCTCACACAATGGTTCTGTGTTGTGTTCCTGGGCCCGCTCTTGAACAGCTTCCCTTCCTCTATGCGTAGCTGTTACTTCTTCCTGTTGTGAGACTCCCCTTCTGGCAGCCTTTTCCTCTTACTCTTCACTGTTTCTTCTATGGGCTGGAAAATTGAGATGAAGCTTGTTAACATGGGTGATTCAAGTCTGGGAAGCTTAATGCTGAACTTTGTTCTAGCTGCTCAGGCCATTTTGCTGTGGTCTTCCCTCTGGTTCTGGATGGGTGAGCTTGCTGGAGAGCAAGGTCCCTGCAGGTCAGATGTACTTAGCAAAGAAGAGTTTCCTAAGAAATTCTCTTTCCTACACACATTTCCCCCTGGGGGGATTTTTTTCCCTCTGGGTTCCCTGTTTGTTGATAGGTGTTTGGACCCTGGTATTCATCTGTCCTCCCTCTGGCAGTAGTCCCTGAGGTTTCGGGAGGCTGGGCTGGCAGTGTGGCTCTGCTGTGGGAAGGAAGAGGTATTGTGGAGGAAAGGCAGGCTGGCTGGCATCTGGTATATCTTGGGGGAGACTTGTCCAGGCCAGGAGTATGTCCCTGGATGACTCACTCCTGTGCCCCTCTGTGACTCAGTTTCCCCCGGTGTGACCAGGGCTTCCAGCTGACAGGTAGAGCTGTTCTGAGATCCTCACCTACTGTGTTTAAGAAATAAAGAGGCTTGTGGCTTCAGTCATCCTTTATGGCTCTCTTCTAGGTCACTACGTGCTCTGGCCCCTCCACCTCCTGGGTCAAAGCACCCAAGGCAGGGCTGAGGAGGTTGGGCCAGAACCGGTTGGCGGGCAGGTGGGCACATTGTCAGAGATGGCTATCAGCCTCCTCTCCCTTCTTTCTCTGTTGCAGCTGCCTTGGGGTGCGGTGCAGGGGTCCAGAGCCATTTCGGACCTGTTACTACTGGGCCTCACAGGTGGCCTGACTCTGTTACTGCTCCTGACACTGCTGGCCTTTGCCGGGTACTCAGGGCTGTTGGCTGGGGTGGCAGTGAGTGCCGGCTCACCCCCCATCCCTACAAGTTCCATGTGGAGCCCTATGGTGAGGCTGGGTGGCTTTTCACCAGAGCTGCAGCATCTCCCCCAAGCTCTGCTCCATCGCTGTCCACTAGGACAACCCCACATGGTAAGGAGCCTCCATGGGGTTCTGCCCCACGGATGGACCTAGTGGGCCAGGGCTTCTTTGGGGAGGGTAGTTTTGGTTGCTGAGGAAAGGGTGGAAAAATCCTCAAGCTGGCCCTGCAGGCCCCTCCTCTGTGAGCTTGAAGCACCTTTCAGATTTAGCCTGGACTTCTGCTCCAGGAATCCATTTGCAGGCTTTCTACTTGCCTGGGTCTGGTTCCCCTTGACCATGGCTACTCATGGATTTTCAAATGCAGTGGATGATACCACTATGAGTCCCTAGCTTCTGCCAGGACTTCAGTCCCCTGCTGCCTCTTCTTGTCATCCCTCTTTCCATCTCCATTTAGGGCCAGTCCTGTCAGCCCAAGCCATTCAGATTCTGGCCACTCTCTGGGGTTACATCATGCTGTTTCTGTGCTTTCCACCCCTCAGCTCTCCTGCTGTAGTTGTGGGCTCTTGAGGGCTAAGACGGCAGGGTTGGGGGGCACCAGAATGGCTGAAGAGGTAAGATTCCATGCCCCATACCCAAGGTATATGGCATTTCCTTAGACCTCAAGCTGCCTAGTTGGGAGAGGGCCTGGGGGTCTAGTGGAACCAGATGAGCAGCTCAGAATGTCCAGAACACTGGAGTCATAGATGAACCCAGCATCATTAGCACCCTATGGGCATCAAGCTGTTCTTACAACCTATGGTGAGTAAAGCTTGCCAATGTAGCCTCCTGCTATGTTATAGGGTAGCGCTGCCACAGCTGGATGGGGCTGGCAGTTCTGCCAAGGGTTCTTCAGCCTCTAATACTGAGCCATGCCAAACCAAGCACTAGGAATCCCCAGTTCTGACTTTTTTTGCCTGGAAAGCTCAAGTGGACAAGCCCTACGGCCTACCCAATGTCTGCTGACCCGGCACTTAGTTGAAACAGGGTGTGCTGGTTCCCTCTCTGCCCCAGGTTCTGCTCTACACCTACACTTTGGAGATGAATCAGACCTAGCCCTGCCCTCATACAATGGGATAATTTAGGAATCAGAGAGACCGAGGGGTTGAGGAGGATTTATTATTATTATTATTATTATTTAGGTGAACTGGCCCAGTCAGATTAACATCCAAAAAAGACTGAGCCCCAAACAAAGAGTCAGGTTACCTTTTAAGCATTTTGTGGGGCAGGGGGAGATCTGTGCAGAGGGAAGCATATTACAGAAGCGAGAAACAAAAACAGTTCTTTAATTGAGACATGCATTACATCATTTCTTACTTTTCAAGGAAAAACATGTTTTACGACTTGAGTTTATCTGTCTAGTGACCTTGCAGCTGCACAGCTAGAGAAACAGGGTCTTCACAATGCCTGGGAAAGGGAGAGATAAGGCTCACTAGCCACAGACTGAAAAACAGACAGTTGATTTTTAAAGGAGTCCACCTCTTTCTCTTCCTCAGGGGGAATTGGGTTTTCTAACATACAACTGAGTTTTTGCTGACACATTCTTTAATTTCTTTTAATTCCTGTTCTAGTATAAGACCAAGCTGTGCCCCCAACCTCCTTGGTCACGTGTTGTCAGGACCTCCTGAGGCTGTGTCACAGGTGTGTCCTCAACTTTGGCAAAATAAACTTTCTAAATTGAGACCTGTCTCAGATACTTTTGAATTCACACTACTAATTTCAGGTAGAATTTTAAATTCTTAACATAGAAACAAATAAGGCCAGGTGTGGTGGCTCACGCCTGTAATCCCAGCACTTTGGGAGGCCGAGGGGGGTGGATCACGAGGTCAGGAGTTTGAGATCAGCCTGGCCAACATGGTGAAACCCTGTCTCTACTAAAGATAAAAAAAAAATTAGCCGGGCGTGGTGGCACATACCTGTAATCCCAGCTACTCAGGAGACTGAGGCGGGAGAATCTCTTGAACCCGGGAGGCGGAGGTTACAGTGGGCTGAGATCGCACCATTGCACTCCAACCTGTGCGACAGGGCGATACTCCGCCTCAAAAAAAAAAAAAAAAAAAAAGAAAAAAGAAAAAAAAGAAACGAACTAGTTAAACTGAGAAAAATTAATAAAAGTATGCTCAAATTTACTGACAGAATTATGGGTAAATCTAATTAGATTCTATCCATTTTAAGTAAATAAGAAAAAAAATTACGAAGGAGCCTTTACCTTTGGGAAATGAAAAAACCGCTTTTGACCAGTTGTTCCCCACAGGTACACACCCCAGTTCCCAGCCAAGCCAGGACGGCCTGTCCCGGTGCCTGGAGGGCAGGGCCCCTGCGGTCTGGGGTTGGGGTTTGTGTTCTGGCTCCGCGCGGTGGTCTGGACCGCGCCCGCCCTGCCTGGGCTCCCAGCCGGAAGGACGGAGCGGTTGCGGGGCGGGCGGGCTGCGAGCCACACAGGGTGCGGGCGGGGCGGGCGGGGCTGGGGTGTCGGGGGCTCGGATTCGGAGCCAGCTCTGCCGTGGGGCGGGCTGGGGCAGGCTTCCCGCTCTGGGAAATTTGCCCCTGCTCTCCCTGCCAGTTGCGGTCGTGGGCGGCCTCGCCTTGGAGCCCTGGCCACGGAGCCGCACGGGGCGGTAGAGAGGCTGGTGGGGAGGGACCAGCGGGCGGTGGAGGGGCGGCCCTGCAGGCGACGCGGGGACTGGAAAGGGCGCCTGGGTGGGAAGAGGCGCTGGCGGGTGATCGTCCCCACCGGGCCAGTCCCCGGGATCTGCTGCCGCCCCTCTCCGAAATTCACAGCCAGAGCGGGCGCACTGGTGTGTGTGGCGCCTGGAGCGCTAGGGTCCCCACCCAAGTGCGAGGCCCCCGCGGGGAGCCCAGCCCAGGGGCGTCCACAGTCCAGGCCCCAGACCCCAGGTCCTGGCTAGATTCGCCAAAGTCAGAGGCTGGAATCTGGAGGGCGGATGTGAGGGTGCCAGCTAAGCCCAGCCCCTGCCCGGCGGTGGCCAGCATAACGCGGTGACACTCTCTGGAGCCCCCACTGCCACCACTCTGCTGTCAAGCCCGCTGGGCTAAGGGATCCGTCTGCCCCTAGAGGTGCGCACCCAACGCCAGGCAGAGGGAGCTGGCGTGGGGCTGCTGGCGGTCAATGTCACCCGAGATGAGGAGGATCTTCTAGGAGGGGCCCCGGGGCCACAGAACGAGAGGGGAGTGTGCGCTGAGCCCACCTTGCAAAGACGCTCTGGTCCCCGAGGGGCGGCACCTTCGGCCTCCAGCCAAGTCGCCGAGCGCTCCCAGTGCTGCCTGCCCGGCACCTGCACTCCAGACTCCAGGCTGCCAACCAAAGAGGAAGCCCGCCCCCTGGGAACAGGCCACTCTCAGCTTGGGCGAGGGAAGCACAGACACCCCCATCCCTAGCCTGGCAGCCACACACAGGGAGGCCATCACCTGACGATTGCGGGGGGCCTGAGTTATTGACAGGTGAATATGCTGGGAATGAAGACTCCTGGGCCTGGGAGGGAGGGGCGGTGGTGTGGAGGGCGGTGAATGCCTGGACCTCTGGGTCTCCAGGCTGCCAGCGGCCTGACCAGGCTCCCGGTGTCCTCCTCCAACCTCAGTTTCCTTACCTGTCCCAGAGGAGAAATATGGCAGGGCTGTTTCGGTGATTAGGCCGGATAATCCTGGTAAAATTTATTAGCCTGCCTGGTCTGGATATTATTTTTTCTGACTTTGTTAAGAAACTTTGCTGCCCAATGTCTACTCTTGGAAAGTGAGTTGGGGAGGCAGGAAGTCAGGACTCTCACCCTTGGCTTCAGAGTCCCTTCCAGGTGCCCCCTCCCTTTAGGCTCAATGAAAGCACAGAGCTGGCAAAATTCCCTTACCCAAGACAGCTGTAGAGTCCAGAATCAGAAGATCTTGTTTTCTGACCCAAGGACCGTTTCTTACCCCAAAATCGAAATCTCTTTGAGTGGTCAGCTTCAGACAGGAGTCTGAATTTGATTGTTTTTCTCTAGGGTTAACCCAAGGCCCTTATGATAAGCGTTGCTTCATCCCCATTCCACCCCTTTTCCTGCCCTAATGCATTGGGGGTCCTTAACCGTAGTGACCTGGAATTGGGAGCAAGTTTCCCCAGGCGGGGCATATTGGCCTCCTCAACAGGCTGGCCTGGCCTTGGCCTGATAAACATCAGTCCTGGGGCAAAAGACCCAGGGCAGGGAGATCTCCCCCCCACCCCCACTTTCACATGCTGCAGTCATTTAATGGGCTGTGGTGACCTATCAGGGTCCCCTAGCCTGCAGGATGGAATTTAACTTTTTGCCATAGAGGGGGAAACTGAGGCACAAAGCTAGTGAGTGAAAAAATCAGAAAGACTCTGTGACTGGGAAACACTCCCCAGGACCAAGGTCCCTACAGGACTCAGCCCCTTTTGGGTTGTGCCAGTGGTTGGCATGTGCACCCTGGTTGTCGTCTGTACCTTTCTGGGGCTGAGGGTGGGGTGGGTGTTCTGGCAGGACAAGGTCTGTGACCCACGGGATAGAGAGACATTGCCCTCTTTCCCTGGCCTTGGGCAGAGCAAGAGTTCTGTTCTCTAATGTATGTAAGGACCAGTGCCTGTGTGAGTGGAGGTGGGACTCCTTTTTTCTTGATTAAATAAAACCCTTCCTGGGGCTGCTTAGGGGATTCTGGGGCTTGTGTACCTGACAGTTGGGTGTGGCATCTGGGTACTCAGCTTGTCTGTGCCTTGCTGTCACTTCTCCAGGGACAGCCACACACTTCTCTCTTAGTCCCCACACATGCCCAGTCCCTTACTTTTTCGCCTGGGATCCCCCTGCCTGAATCTCTCAACCCAGCCACTGCTAGGTCTCCCCAGGGACCCTGTAATCCCCGGGATGGGATTGCCGGAGGCGGTGACCCTGCTGCCTACCTCTGTCTGAAGTTAGGGTCCCTGGCCTCTGCCTGCACCTAGTGGACAGGGAGGGTGAACTGGTCAAGGATAGGCTCTTGGCCTAGCACAGGGCCTTTCTCTGCACCTCACCATATAGTGGTGGAGGCTCCAATCATGGCTGGCCTGGGAATTGCTCTGCATTGTGTCTCAGATTGCAGGAGATAAGCAGATCCGAGGAGAGGAGCACATCCTGAAAGAGAATCTGAATTTTCCAACTCAGCTGAACCCTCGGCCCCTGCCCTTGAACACACATTCTGGTTTTCTTACCAAGTCCCTGCTTGTTCCTGCCCACCTGGCCTTCCCAGGCAGGTGATTGGTGTTTCTGCCCCATGTGTGCTTTGGCTGGGAGGGTCACTGGTGGGCCACCATTCAGAAGGCAATTAAATCGGCCTCATTATCTGGGGTGTTACACGAAGTTCTTGGTCTCACAGCCAATGAAATCAAGGGTGCAGACACTCCAAAGGTGAGGTTAGAGAAGAATTTAATAAGTGAAAGGCAGAAAGCTTTCTGGCACAGAGAGGACCCCCAGGAAAAAGAGTTGCAGTTTTAAAGTGAAAAGCCCAAGGGATTTTATAAACAAGCTGGTCGGGAGAGGTGGTTCATTTACATAACGTGTGAAAAACCAGTCAGGACTAGGTGTGTCATTGCGTCCTTTGCATAAGGTGAAAACTTCTGACAGTCCCCACTCCACACTCCAACATTTTTTTTGTTTTGAGACGGAGTCTTGCTCTGTCGCCAAGCTGGAGTGCAGTGGTGTGATCTCAGCTTACTGCAACCTCTGCCTCCCGGGTTCAAGAGATTCTCCTGCCTTAGCCTCCCAAGTAGCTGGGACTACAGGCATGCTCCTGAGTAGCTGGGACTACAGGAGTGCTCCCGAGTAGCTGGGACTATAGGCGTGCACCACCACGCCCAGCTAATTTTTGTATTTTTAGTAGAGACGGGGTTTCACCATGTTGGCCACGGTGGTCTCGATCTCTTGACCTCGTGATCCACTGCTTTGGCCTCCCAAAGTGCTGGGATTACAGGCATGAGCCACTGCGCCCGGCCCCACTCCAACCTTTCTAGTGTGCCTGCAGGCTCCTTAGCGTGAGTTACTCCATGTTGCTTATCTCTTCCTACCATGCGTGTGTAAGTGTGTGTGTAAAAAGAAGTGGGTGGCAGAACCCTCCAAGGTAAACGTGCCTGATTCAGAGTAGCTCTTTTTTATCAGTGCTGTTGCAGGCACTCCCCTTGTGCAAGCCTCCTTGTCTGAATATTTTCAAAAAGAGAGAGAAATTTGCTCACTGGGGTCCTCCGTAGGTCAGTGAAACTTGCTGATCACATAGCAGTTCCTTTCTGTGTTAGAACTTGCCTCCATTATCTGCGTTTCCAGCCTGATCTTTTGAGCTCTCTTTGCTAAAACAGAAATGACCTCCGGGATTGCTTTTCCTTATAAGAGAAGCTGCTTTTTGTTAGAAGGGAATTCTACCAAGGACTCTCACCCTATCTGTCTAGTTGATTTCTTTCTCTCCCCTCTCTAAGTACCATCTGGTAGTGGGCAGCACTGAGTCATTGTGGTCTCTCCACAGCCTGCTGGGCTCTCTGCATCCCCCCAAGGGTCACCATTATCCACTCTTGGAGGGCAGCGCAGAGCTCTGGGAGGCGCCTCTTTCTAGCTTCCGTCCATACTCTCATGTGTGTGTCAGGGTCCTCCTCTGAGAGATTGGGGTATCTCTGCAGGCAGATGGCAGTGAGGTCACCATGGGGGGGGCTACCTCCCCCCTGTCTTGGGCCCAGGTCTTGGGCCCTTCTGAGAGACACTGGCCCAGCCACCCCATGAATCCTCATGGGGAGGAAGGCAGCTCCCATCGCAGCCTTCAGGAAGAGGAAAAACTAGTTGGGCTGTGAGGGAGGGGTGGCCGCAGTGCTAAACACCAGGAAGAAGAGGAGGCCGGGCCTGCAAAACTTCATTCTTAGTAGGTGCCCACCAGGTCCTACTAAGGTCCACTGCACAGTGGCAAAAGGTCTCAGAATCTCATAAATGGACACCACCCAACTGCCTTCTAGGCTCTTGGCACTGTGGACATCTGATTTCTCCCTTCTGGTAAACTGATCCCAAGGCCTGTTCTGGCTCCTTCAACCAGCTGGGATGCCCACTGGGTCCTCCCTGCTGGGCTTGCCCTGTTGTGCCTCCTTGAGAGGGTGAGAACTTCCCTGGAAGATTCCCTCATTCCCTGAAGTCCCCCAAGCCAGGTCGAAGCACCCTGGACTTCTCAGCAGCAGCAGCAGCTTGGAGGAAGGAGACAGAGGGGAGGAGACACACAGCCCAGCTCTGACAATAACCAGGATGTGGGGGGCATGGTGTTGATGCTCCTGGGAGCCTTTTTTAGCCCAGGAAAGAGACCTCAAAAGGCCAGCACTCTCCCTACACAGGAGAAGAAACTGAGGCTTGCAGGTAGACAGAAGGAGCCTTTGAAATGGGGTTGACCCAGATAGGCCTCCGTCTCCCACTTCTCTTATGGCCTTCACATGCCAGGCCCCTGACTGGACTCAGACCCAGTAGATAAGAAGCTGCTGGCCAATCCAACCACCCAACTCATTCACTTCAACTGTCCAGACACCAGCCATCCTACTTCCTCCATTTCCTGGATGAAAAACTACAAGAGGTTTCATAAAAAGCATCACATCAGGACATCAAGGTTGGCCTGGTGGCAAGGGTGTGACCCTTGGACTTGTGAGCAAGTGGTGGTGGGGTCTAAGGTAGGGGGCTCTGCAGGGCAGGACCTGTGATCCAGTCCTCTCACCTGAGCATCCACCCACAGTTGCGACATTAGCCGTGGAGCCTGGTTATGGAGAGCGTGGTGGAGAATAAGTTCGGCAGCATCCTGCAGATGGACATGATGGACATGCTGGGTGAGGGCTGCAGGCAGGCTCAGGCAGTGAAGAAGCCGGCCAGCCCTCATGTGCCCCTGCAGAGTGCTCTCCTCACTGGCCATTCTGCATACATGGCTGCTGGTCAACCAGACTGTGGTGCTGGGCGGTGAGGTGAAGCTCCGCTGTGAGGTGTGCAGGGACTTAGCATTTGGAGGCGAACAGCAGCAAGGTGGGCACCAATGTCATGCCCTCCTCACCATGCTCAAGGTGGGTGCTGCTGCCAGCTGGGTGCAAGTGGTAGGCAGGCTGTGGGGGGGGCTCCACTTCACTGAAATCTACCACCATTATAGAAGTTTTAGAGTAGCCTGCAAAAGATAAATTTATGGCACAGCCAGAAGACAAAATCATCTGCCGTGAGCAGTTCTGGATATGAACTTGCTGCTGGTTCATACCATCTTCTACGAACCATAGTCTAAACTTAGATGCAGTTTTTTGTTTTTTTTTTTCCGAGATAGGGTCTTGATCTGTAGCCAGGCTTGTGTGCAATGGGGTGATCTTGGCTCACTGCAACCTCTGCCTCCCAGGTTCAAGCGATTCTCCTGCCTCAGCCTCCTGAGTAGCTGAGATTACAGGCACACGCTACTATGCCCGGCTAATTTTTGTATTTTCAATATAGATGGGGTTTCACCATGTTGACCAGGCTGGTCTTGAACTCCTGACCTCAGGTGATCTACCCACCTCGGCCTCCCAAAATGCTGGGATTACAGGCGTGAGCCACCACGCCCAACCAAAGCAGTTTCTCTTAAAGTAACAATATACGTGTCAGTCAATAACAGTGGGAATGACTCCTGTGACTACTGTCTCTCGTAATCCTTTCAAAAACATTTGCTTCTCCCTTTGCAACCATATGCTCTATGAATTCACACACTGAGTAAAGAACTCTTTGGTGAGCTTATCATGAATCTCACATACTAAACAAACATAATACTGTATTAAGATCTCCTATAAAATTTGAGCAAAGTCTATTTGAATAATAGTAGATCAGAAATGAAAGAATTATGTTGAGCTTTCTGGAAGATGTAGAATTAGTTATTTTGTGTTTATGAGTTCTCTATTAACCTACATTTGTTACTTAGGAATATATATATTTTATAGAATTGGGTGCGATGGCTCATGCCTGTAATCTCAGCACTTTGGAAGGCCGAGGCAGATGGATCACTTGAGGTCAGAAGTTTGTGATCAGCATGGGCAACATGATAAAACCCCATCTCGACTAAAAATACAAACATTAGCTGAGCGTGGTGGCACATGCCTTTAATCCCAGCTATTCAGGAGGCTGAGATGTGAGAATCACTTGAACCTAAGAGGCAGAGGTTGCCCTGAGCTGAGATGCACCACTGCAGTTCAGCCTGGGCAACAGAAAGAGACTCTGTCTAAAAAGAAGAAGAAGAAAACAAAAGGTTAGGAATATATATGTTTCTTATTCTGTGAAGTTTAAACGGATGCACTTGCTCAAAAAATGAATAAATTTTACTCCAAATTTTTGCATTCTTCAATGCATCTTGTCTACAATAATTATTACTGTCATGTCCTAGTGGTGATTTTCTATTTTGCATTATCTATCTACATTGATTAGTACTTGGAATTTTTTAAAGAAGTCTCTTTTCTCCTATGTTTTTTCTTTTTAAAATTATTATTATTTTTTTGAGACAGAGTCTCACTCTGTCGCCCAGGCTGGAGTGCAGTGGCGTGATTTTCAAGCAATTCTTCTATCTCAGCCTGACCTCCTGTTGGCCAGGCTGGTCTTGAACGCCTGACCTCAAGTGATCCACCTGCTTTGGCCTCCCAAAGTGCTGGGATTACAGGTGTGAGCCACCATGCCCGGCCATTTTGGGTAAAATTTAAAGGAGAAACAATGTATTTATGCAGACTCAAAGGATCTGCCTCCAAATATTTATAAATACCATTTTATCTTAATTTTTTATGACTGTTTAAAAAAATTATAACAGTACTGTGAGATATATAATGTACAGATGTAAAATTTATGAATAATATAAAGAATTAAAAAAGTAATTAAAACTCTCCAACAGCAAGTTCTTCACATTTTAGCTTTATTAAAATAGTACAGTGTTAACTTTAAGTAGATTGTAATATGTTAAAGATGTATATGGTAATCCCTGAAGAAACCACTAAATAATGTAAAGAGGTGTCACTTAAATGTTGATAAATGAATTAAATTAAATTTCAAAAAGTATTTGTACAAGGATGTTTATAGACCTTTTAGTCATAATAGCTTAAAGCAGAAAACAACCCAAATGTCCGTATCTTGGAAGATGAATAAACAAATTGTAACTCATTCATGCAAGAGAAGACTACTCAGCCACAGAAAGAAACAAACTACTGAAGCACACACCCTGGATGAATCTCATAAACCTGCTGAGACAATCTTGAAATAAAATAATACATATTGAATGATGTCAGGCAAAATGAACCAATGGTTTTAAAAAAAAAACACACCAACAAATAGCCTTCATTGACAATAAAATCATCTGGGAAAAAAAGCATGAGGAAATTATTTGAGAATAATAATAATATTCTATCATTCTATTCTAGATTCCATCAATAGAATAAAAAAATTCTATCCATTCTTAAAAAATACGAAGACTATATATGAGTATATTTACATGTCAAAAATTTTTAGGATTTGTGCCTTTCAATGTTTGTATATTTGACCTCACAACAAACAAAAGTGAAAAAAATAATGGAGGGTGGACAATGTGTTGACCAGAAATGACTGAAGTAGAGAGCTATAGGTGAAACAAGAATGAGACATGATTAATAGTTCTCGAGGCTTCATGGCAGGTCTATTGAATTTTTGTTGTTGTTGTTGTCATTGTTTTTCATATGTTTAAATTTTTATATAATAAAACACTTAAATAAAAACACAAAATTGATCCACAATGTTAACTCTTAAGATTATGGTTATTGTCTAAGAAGAAAAAAGAAAGTGATTGTTGGGGCATGAATGAGGTTAGTTTTATTTTATTTTATTTTATTTATTTTGAGATAGGGTCTTGCTCTGTCAGCCAGGCTAGAGTCCAGGGGTGCAATCTCGGCTTACTGCAACCTCCACGCACGCCAGGACTCAAGTAATTGTCCCACCTCAGCCTCTGCAGAGGCTGGGACCACAGGTTTGCACCACCATGCCTGGTTCTTTTTTGTTGTTTTTTTTTTGGAGGGAGAATCTCACCATGTTTCCCAGGCTGATCTCCAACTCCTGAGCTCAAGCAATCCACCCACATTGGCATCCCAAAGTGCTAGGATTACAGACACGAGCCACAGCACCCAACCTAGTTTCATTTTCTGATTACAGAAGTGTATTTCTTTTTAACAATGCATTCAGCTTTACATAAATGAATGCTTTGTGCATACATTTCTGTATAAATGTTATATATCAATAAAAAATTATATAGTACTTTTTTTGTTGTTGTTTGTTTTTTGGGTTTTTTTTTTTGTTTTTTTTTTGAGACAGAGTTTTGCTCTTGTTGCCCAGGCTGGAGTATAATGGCGTGATTTCAGCTCACCGCAACCTCCGCCTCCCATGTTCAAGCGATTCTCCTTGCCTCAGCCTCCCAAGTACCTGGGATTACAGGCATGCACCACCACGCCTGACTAATTTTGTATTTTTAGCGGAGACAGGGTTTCTCCATGTTAGTCAGGGTGGTCTCGAACTCCCGACTTCAGGTGATCTGCCTGCCTCGGCCTCCCAAAGTGCTGGGATTACAGGCATGAGCCATCGCGCCTGGCCCATAGTACATATTTGAACAAAATGCTAACTTAGTATCTCAGAATAATGGCAACATTTTTTTGTTTGTTTTATGGTGGAACACACACACTCAGGGCATAATTATACAGCTTCTAATATTCCAAAAAGAGTATTCAAGCCCTTTTTGTTTGTTTGTTTGAGACAGAATCTCGCTCTGCTCTGTCGCCCAGGCTGGAGTGCAGTGGCACGATCTTGGCTCACTGCAACCTCCACCTCCCGGGTTCAAGCGATTCTCCTGCCTCAGCTTCCCGAGCAGCTGGGACTACAGGCACGTGCCACCATGCCCGGCTAACTTTTTTTGTATTTTTAGTAGAGACGGGGGTTCATCGTGTTAGGCAGGATGGTCTCAATCTCCTGATCTCATGATCCGCCTGCCTTGGCCTCCCAAAGTGCTGGGATTACAGGCGTTAGGCACCGTGCCCAGCCAAGCCTTAACTCCTGAATGAGACCATACGTCTTTTTATTTTAGCCCCAATTCGGTACATGGCATGTTTTTAATTTTAGGGGAATGCAACCTTTATTCTAGAAAATTTTTCCCTCACAGTAACGATCACCAATGTCAGGGCACCTACATTGGCCAATGTCAGGGCCTTGTGTGCACTCAGTATATATACAACTGGGTTGGTTCAGGAACAAAACCAATAGCGACGTTGGTTGTGCATAGAACAATAATTTGGTAATATTGGTAAGACAAAGCCATGACTTAGCGGCAAACATTTTTTCATTCATTTGAGAAAAAATTTGCAACTAGTCACCTAAAAGTACTGGTTTACAGCACTGGCATTTGACCTTGGCTGCGCTCTGTCATCACCTAGAGATATTTACACTATTGCCCAGGTTCCATTGCAGGAATTCTGATTTAATTGGTATGTGGCAACTTGTGTTTGGGGGATTTTAAAAGACCTCCGAAGTGATTTTTACATGCAGACTCGGGTGAAAACAATTGGTTCAGGGTGAGGGATGTATTCACTGTGTGTGATTTCCAGGTGTGCTTCTGGAGCTTTGCCCCATGGCTGCTTCTGACTTTGAAATCTTCAACAGCAGCTCTGCCATTGTAAAAATCAAAATGCAGGCCAGGCAGGGTGGCTCACACCTATAATCTCAGCACTTTGGGAGGCCGAGGCGAGTGGATCACCTGAGGTTAGGAGTTTGAGACCAGCCTGGCAAACATGGCAAAACCCCATCTCTACTAAAAATTGAAAAATCAGCTGGGCATGGTGGTGCACGCCTGTATTCTCAGCTACTGGAGAGGCTGAGACACCAGAATCTCTTGAAGCCAGGAGGCTGAGGTTGCAGTGAGCCGAGATCACACCACTGCATTTCAGCGTGGGAAACAAAGTGAGACCATGTCTTAAAAAAAAAAAAAAATCAAAAGACAACTTCAAGATGTACTCAAATATTTTGCTAAATTGCAGCAGAATGAAATGTCTTCCGGCTGGGGTCGGTGGCTCACGCCTGTAATCCCAGCACTTTAGGAAGCTAAGGAGGATGGATCACCTGAGGTCAGGAGTTCAAGACCAGCCTGGGCAAGATGGCGAAACCCCGCTTCTACTAAAAATACAAAAAAATTAGCCGGGCGCGGTGGCAGGCGCCTGTAATCCCAGCTACTCGGGAGGCTGGGGCAGGAGAATCGCTTGAACCCGGGGGCGGAGGTCGCAGCGAGCTGAGATCGCGCCACTGCGCTCCAGCCTGGGCGACAGAGTGAGACTCTGTCTCACACACAAAAAAGCCTAAATTTAAAAATAATTATTCTATTCTTTTCATGTGTGAGCAGCCATATAGTATATTATTTACAAATATATGAGACCTTACACACAACGTTAAAGGCAAACACCTTCTGCGGTGTGCTTGGCTCAGCTCAGGCAGGAAGCCCTGCCTGAAAAGGCTGCACCTTCGGCTGTCACTCTGTCCTCATTCGGCCCAGCGTTTGGTTACATCTTCTGTCACTCAGGGCCTGAGGGCGGGGGGGGGGGGGGTCTTAAACGTTATCCATTCAGCGACGCTGGCCTGGGAACTGTCCAATCAGGCACGCAGCTGGAGCGGAAAGGGCGGCTTCCGGGATGTGGCGGGGTCTTTGTCTCTCGCTGCAGTCGGAGTATGGTCTAGTGTTCGCTGTTCTGCGTCCTCTGGTCCTAGAGGCCCATCCTCTGTGGCCCTGTGACCTGCAGGTATTGGGAGATCCACAGCTAAGACGCTAGGACCCCCTGGAAGCCTAGAAACGGTGAGAGTGCCGGGTCCGACATCCCGAGAGAGGGGAAGGGGCTGGTTGGAACCGGTGGCAAGAGGCTGTGGCGGGACTCAGGCCTCCCCGCAGTCGGCTCCACAATCTGCGCCCCAAGTTCGCCTTGCCCAGCCCAGCCTCAGTCCCCTTCAGCCATCAGATTGGCGGCTGCGCTGGCAGCCGGACCCCCGGGCGTCCTGTCTCTTCCCTGCGCAGTGACGGTGCCCTGGCCTGGAGCCCTCTCTGGGCAGCTCTGCACCCGCAGCGTCGTGTCTCTCCCAGATTGTGCAGGGACCACGGGAGGGTGGTCAGGGGAGAATCCTGACTCGGGGTGCGGGTTCACGAATGGGAAGAGCTTTGGTTTGGTTTATGGGGTTCCTAGTTCCTCTTTTCTTCTATTAAAAATTTATGGGAGTTATCGCGAAAATACTTAAAAATTTAAGCAAGGAGTGGTTCAAAAGTTATAGAGCACCCAGCTGTGGGTTGTAGTTTGTGGTCGGTCCATGGGAGGATCTTGAAGGAAAGATGCAGATGAAAATACCCAAATTCAATAATCGGTTAGGTATATTTACGTAGTTTCTTAATTTTCACCTTGAGCCTACAAATTTCCTGGTTGTGTAATCAGAGCTTACTTGGCAGTTTATCGTTAGTTAAGCCTGAATTTTGTTTCCCCCAATGTAGTAATTTCTAAAAAAAAAAAAATGCATTTGAGTTTGATTTTTTAAAATTAGGAATCCAAAGATTAGAGCCACCTCAGTCTATTTGCCGCCACATGGGGCTGATTTTCCCTGGCATTTTTCACATAGGTCCCAAGCAGGTTCTCAAGTCAACCCCCCACACCCCATTTCTCCAGCTTAACTCTGGCTTGCAGTAAAATACTGAATTTTCAGTTCCTTCTGAAAATCTCAAATGCCAACTTCTTTTCCCTAATTTACATTATTATTTGTCCTTTAGTGTACATTTTTCATACTGTATTTTAATTAATCATTTTTTGACAAAGCATTAGATGGCATATTTAAAAAGATATGTTTTCTGTTTGTAAATATTTCCCATGAGAAGAAAGCAAGGAATATCCCGATAGTGAATTGTAAAAAATCTCTGTGCCTCTTTTTCTTTTGTCTTCCCTAGGCATAAAGATCTTATGAGAATGTTTTAGTGTCAAGATGTTTTTATTTTGCAAACGTTATGGGGTGATTTGTGCTTAGCAACCCTGTCGTTTATTCTTGGTCCTGGCTTTCAGTACTGTCTCTGAATAAACCAAGATAACCGCTATGGCGATGTCTGCTAGAGTATCTAGTGAATATCAGCTCCTAAAGTCATTTTCTTTCGTAGGACAACCTGAGATATGGAGTGTAGCCTCTCAAGTGGATACCCTGGGGAAAAGATGAATCTCTTTTAACTTTTATTTTTGGTTCAGGGGTACACATGCAGGTTTGTTATACAGCTAAAATTGTGTCATGGGGGTTTG
The DNA here is from genome assembly GCF_000001405.40 of Homo sapiens. Taxonomy (NCBI): domain Eukaryota; kingdom Metazoa; phylum Chordata; class Mammalia; order Primates; family Hominidae; genus Homo; species Homo sapiens. Next base: position 22,635,943 of record NC_000019.10, read on the forward strand.
GTGTGCAGATTATTTTGTCACTGAGGTACTAAGCATAGCACCAAACAGGTACTTTTTCTGATCCTCTTTGTCCTCCCATTCTCCAACCTCAACTAGGCCTCACTGTCTGTTGTTCCCTCTTTGTGTTTACGTGTTCTTATTATTCAGCTCTTACTTAAATATTTTTTTTTTTTTGAGATGGAGTTTCGCTCTTGTTGCCCAGGCTGGAGTGCAATGGCGCGATCTCGGCTCACGGCAACCTCCGCCTCCCAGGTTCTAGTGATTCTCCTGCCTCACCCTCCCAAGTAGCTGGGATTACAGGCATGCGCCACCACTTCCAGCTAATTTTGTATTTTTAGTAGAGATGGGGTTTCTCCATGTTGGTCAGGCTGGTCTTGAACTCCCAACCTCAGGTGATCTGCCCGCCTCGGCCCAAAGTGTTGGGATTACAGGCATGAGCCACCGCGCCCAGCCTCAGCTATTACTTAGAAACAACATGCATTTGGTTTTCTGCTGCTACGTTAGTTTTCTAAGAATAGTGGTCTCCAGCTTCATCTATGTTGCTCTATGTTGCTTCAAAGGACATGATCTTCTGTGTGTGTGTGTGTGTGTGTGTGTGTGTGTTTGTGTGTGTGCGTGTGTGTATGTGTGTTTTAACGGCCACACAGTATTCCGTGATATTTATCTACCATATTTTATTTATTTATTTTTATTTTATTATTTTTTTTTTGAGATGGAGTTTTGCTCCTATTGCCCAGGCTGGAGGGCAATGGCACGATCTTGGCTCACTGCAACCTCTGCCTCCCGGTTCAAGCAATTCTCCTGCCTCAGCCTCCCAAGTAGCTGGGATTACAGGCATGCGCCACCACGCCCAGCTAATTTTTGTATTTTTAGTAGAGACGGGGTTTCACCATGTTGGCCAGGCTGGTCTTGAACTCCTGACCTCAAGTGATCTGCCTGCCTCGGCCTCCCAAAGTGCTGGGATTACAGGTGTGAGCCACCACACCCTGACCCCATGTTTTATTTTTAGTAAACCTTTTTTTTTTTTTTTTTGAGACGGAGTCTAGCTCTGTTGCCCAGGCTGAAGTGAAGTGGTGCAGTTTGACTCACTGCAATCTCTGCCTCCTGGGTTCAAGCAATTTTCTTGCCTCAGCCTCCCAAGTAGCTGGGATTACAGGCTCTTGCCACCACGCCCGGGTAATTTTTTGTGTTTTTATTTATTTATTTTTATTTTTTTAGTAGAGATGGGGTTTCACCATGTTGGTCAGGCTGGTCTCGAATTCCTGACCTTGTGATCTGCCTGTCTTGGTCTCCCAAAGTGCTGGGATTACAGGCGTGAGCCATTGCACCCGGCCTAAACCTTTTATTTTATTTTATTTTATTTTTGAAGACAGGGTCTCACTCTGTTGTCCAGACTGGAGTGCAGTGGCATGATCTCAGCTTACTGCAGCCTTAACCTCCCAGGCTCAAGCAATCCTCTTCTACTTTAGCCCCCCAAGTAGCTGGGACTACAGGCACACACCACCAGGCCTGGCTAATTTTTTTGGTATTTTTTGTAGAGACAGGGTCTTGACATGTTGCCCTGGGTGGCCTCAAACTTTTGAGCTCAGGCAATTTACCTGCCTCAGCCTCCCAAAATGCTGAGATTACAGGTGTGAGCCACCATGCCCAGCCATACCATATTTTCTTTATCCAGTATACAATTGATAAGCATTTAGGTTGATTCCATGTCTTTGCTTTCATGAATGACAGGGACTGCAATGAACATACGTATGTCTTTATAATAGAATAATTTATATTTTACTGGTTATATGCCCAATTATGAGGTTGCTGGGTCAAAAGGTAATTCTGTTTTTAGTTCTGTGAGGAATCGTCACACTACTTTTTATAGTGGTTGAATAATTTACACTCCCATGGGTAGTGTATAAGCATTCCTGTTTCTCTGTAACCTTGCCAGCATCTGTTATGTTTTGACTTTCTAATACTAGCCATTCTCACTGGATGAGATGATATTTCATTGTGGTTTTTCTTTGAATTTCCCTAATGATTAGTGATGAGCATTTTTTTTATGCTCGTTAACCACATGTATGTCTTCTTCGAAGAAAACACCCTTTTCATGTTTTTTGTCTACTTTTTAGGTCTTTTTTTTCCTGTAACTTGTTTAAGTTTCTTATAAATTATGGGTATTGGACCTTTGTCAAAAGCATAGTTTGCAAATATTTTCTTTTATTCTGTGTGTTTTTTGTTTACTGTATTGATGGTTTCCTTTGCTGTGAAGAAGCTTTTTAGCTTAATTAGCTTCAATTTGTCAATTACTGCTTTTGTTGCAATTGCTTTTGGTATCTTTATTTTAAAATTTTTGCCGGCTTCTATTTCTAGAATGGTAATTCCTAAGTTATCTCATGCATTTTTTAAAATAATTTGAAATTTTACATTTAAATCTGTAATTTATCTTGAGTTGATTTTTGTATGTGGTGTAATGAAAGGGTCCAGTTTCAATCTTCTACATAGTCCTAGCTAGTTATTCCAGTACCATTTATTAAATAGGGATTTCTTTCCAGATTCCTGTTGTTAGCTTTGCCAAAGCTAACAACCAGATGGTTGTAGGTGTGTTGTATTATGGGCTCTCTATTCTGTTGTATTGGTCTATGAGTTTGTTTTTGTACCAGTACCATGTTGCTTTGTTTACTGTAGCCCTGTAGTATAGTTTGAATTCAGGTAATGTAATGACTTCAGCTTTGTTCTTTTTGCTTATGATTGCCTTGGCTATTTGGGCCCTTTTTTGGTTCCATATAAATTTAAAAATTTTTTTGTTTTGTTTTTTAGCTCTGTTAAGAAATATTTTTGGTAGTTTGATAAAAATAGCATTAAATCTGTAATTTCTTTGGCAGGATGACTATTTTAATAATATTGATCTTTTTTTGTTTGTTTGTTTGTTTGAGATGGAGTCTTGCTCTGTCGCCCAAGCTGGAGTGCAGTGGTGCGATTTCGGCTCACTGCAACCTCTGCCTCCCGGGTTCAAGCAATTCTCTCCCTCAGCCTCCCGAGTAGCTGAGATTACAGATGCCTGCCACCACGCCTGGCTAATTTTTGTATTTTTAGTAGAGATGGGGTTTCACCGTGTTGGCCAGGCTGGTCTTCAACTCCTGACCTCGTGATCCACCTGCCTCAGCCTCCCAAAGTGCTGGGACTACAGGCGTGAGCCACTGCGCCTGGCCAATATTGATCTTCTTTATCCATGAGCACAAAATGGTTTTCCATTTGTTTGTGTCATCTCTGACTTCAAGCAGTGTTTTCACAGTGTTGTCATAAAGATCTTTCACCTCCCTGGTTAGCTGTATTTCTAGATATTTTATTCTCTTTGTAGTGATTGTGAAGGGGTTCTGTTTTTGATTTGGCTTTTGGCATGCATGTTTTTGATTTACAGGGATGCTACTAATTTTTGTACATTTATTTTGTATTCTGAAATTTTACTGAAGTTTTTTGTCAGTTTGAAAAGCTTTCCTAGGCCTGGCGCGGTGGCTCACACCTGTAATCCCAGCACTTTGGGAGGCCAAGGCGGGCAGATCATCTGAGGTCGGAAGTTCAAGACCAGCCTGACCAACATGGAGAAACCCCGTCTCTACTAAAAAAACAAAATTAGCCGGGCGTGGTGGCGCATACCTTTAATCCCAGCTACTCAGGAAGGCTGAGGCAGGAGAATTGCTTGAACCTGGGAGGCAGAGGTTGCAGTGAGCCAAGATCGCGCCACCGCACCCCAGCCTGGGCAATAAGAGCGAAACTTGGTCTCAAAAAAAAAAAAAAAAGAAAAGAAAAGAAAAGCTTTTCTGTGATGATTATAGGGTTTTTCAGATACAGCATTATGTCATCTGTAAAAAGAAATAAGTTTGACTTCCTTTCTTCCTGTTTGTATGCCTTTTTTTTTTTATCTTGCCTAATTGCTCTAGCCAGGACTTCCAATTTTATGTTGAATAGGAGTGTTGAGAGGAGGCATGCTTGTCTTGTGCCTGTTTTCAAAGAAAAATGATTCCAGGTTATGTATATTCAGTATGTTGGCTGTGGGTTTGTGATAGATAACTCATTATTTTGAAGTATGCACCTTCCATCCCTAGTTTGTTGAGACTTTTTAACATAAAAATGTTAAATTTTATTGAAAGCCTTTTCTGCATCTATTGACATACTTTTGTGCTTTCTGTCTTCAGTTCTTATTATGTGATGAATCACATTTATTAATTCATGTGTGATTTTTTTTTTTCTTTGAGATGGAGTCTCACTCTCTTGCCTAGGCTGGAGTGCAGTGGCGCGATCTCAGCTCACTGCAACGTCTGCCTCCCGGGTTCAAGCAATTCTCCTGCCTTAGCCTCCCAAGCAGCTGAATTACAGGTGCTTGCTACCACGCTCGGCTAATTTTTGTATTTTTAGTAGAGACAGGGTTTCACCATGTTGGCCAGGCTGGTCTCGAACTCCTGACCTTGGGTGATCTGCCTGCTTTGGCTTCCCAAAGTGCTGGGATTACAGGCGTGAGCCACCACGCCCCACCTCATATATGTTGAATTAGCCTTGCATCCCCAAAATAAACTCTACTTGATTATAGTTGGTTAGGTTTTTGATGTCCTGCTCAATTTGGTTTGCCAATATTTTGTTGAGAATTTTTGCATCAATGTTCATCAAGAATATTGGTCTAAAGTTTTCTTCTTTTGTTTTATCTCTGTCAGGTTTTGGTATCAGAATGGTGCTGTTTTTAGTTTTTTGGAATAGTTTCAGTAGAAGTGGTACCAGCTGTCCTTTGTCCATCTACTAGAATTCAGCTGTGAATCTATCTGGTCCTAGCCTATTTTGGTTGGTAGGCTATTTATTACTAATTCAGTTTTCAAGCTTGTTATTTATCTATTAAGGGCTTTGATTTATTTTTTGTTCAGTCTTGAGAGGATATATTTATTCAAGAATTTTTCCATTTCTTCTAGATTTTCAAGTTTGTGTGCATAGAGGTGTTCATAGTAGACTTCAATATATTTTTGTGGGGTCAGTGGTAATGTCTCTTTTGTCATATTTAATTGTGTTTATTTGGATCTTTTCCTTTTTCTTCATTAATCTTAATGGTGGTTGGTTTTATTTTTATGTTTTTAAAAATTTTACTCCTGTACTTGTTGATCTTTTGTATAGTTTTTCATGTCAAAATCTTCCATTCAGAAATGATTTTGGTTATTTCTTCTGCTAGCTTAGGGGTTGATTTGCTCTTGCTTCTCTCAGTGTTTTATTTATGATGTCAGGTTGTTAAACTGAAGTCTTTCTAACTTTTCAATGTAAGCATTTAATGCTATAATTTTTTTCTCCTAACACTGCCTTAGCTGTGTTGCAAAAATTCAGGTATGTTGTATCTTTGTTCTCATTTTTTTCAGAGAACTTCTTGGTTCCTGCCTTAATTTCATTATTTACCCAAAAGTAATTCAAGTGCAGGTTGTTTAATTTGCATGTACTTGTATGATTCAAGTGATTTTCTTTGTATTGAATTACATTTTTATCAAGCTGTGGCCTCTGTGTGTGGTTCATATAATTTTGGAATTTTTAAATTTGCTGAGGATTGTTTTGCTTCTGACTGTGTGGTCAATTTTAGAGTATGTGCCACGTGATGATGAGAAGACTGTATACTATGTTGTTTTTAGATGGAGAGTTCTGTAGAAATCTATTAGGACTGTTTAGTCAAGTGTTGAGTTTAGGTCTTAATATCTTTGTTAATTTTCTGCCTCAATAATGTGACTATTAGTGCCCACGGGTGTTGTAGTCTCCCACTATTATTGTGTCAGTATCTCATTCTCTTCATAGGTCTCTAACAACTTGATTTATTTATGTGCCCCCATCAATTTATTTACTTATTTATTTTTTATTTTTTGAGACGGAGTCTTGCTCTGTTGCCCAGGCTGGAGTGCAGTGGGGCGATCTCGGCTCACTGCAAGCTCCGCCTCCCGGGTTCACGCCATTCTCCTGCCTCAGCCTCCCGAGTAGCTAGGACTACAGGCGCCTGCCACCATGCCCGGCTAATTTTTTGTGTTTTTAGTACAGACGGGGTTTCACCATGTTAGCCAGGATGGTCTCGATCTCCTGACCTCGTCATCCGCCCGCCTCAGCCTGCCAAAGTGCTAGGATTACAGGCGTGAGCCAGCGCGCCCGGCCACGCCCCCATCAGTTTATTATAACATCTTTCTCTCTTCTGCTTTTTTACCATAAACATTCTTTCACATTCACAATCCAGATGTCCCAGAGTTCAAGAACGTGTCCAGTGACCTGGTTGTTTTAGGAGAAAATGTAAATTAAAAATAAGAGGCTTTATTTACATACGTGAAAATAAGGGAGGATATTTTGTTCATCTCTGTTTTATTAAAGCATTTAGATTATATGTAGGTATTTTTCTCTGCTTTTTTGAAATATACATAAATTATATTAACAGCTAAATAAACCTTTTGTCTTTTTTTTTTTTTTTTTTTTTTTGAGATGGAGTCTCGCACTGTTGCCCAGGCTGGAGTGCAATGGCATGATCTTGGCTCACTGCAAGCTCTGCCTCCCGGGTTCACGCCATTCTGCTGCCTCAGCCTCCTGCGTAGCTGGGACTATAGGCACCCACCACCACGCCCGGCTAATTTTTTATACTTTTAGTAGAGACGGGGTTTCACCATGTTAGCCAGGATGGTCTCCATCTCCTGACCTCGTGATCCACCTGCCTTGGCCTCCTAAAGTGCTGGGAGTACAGGCGTAAGCGACCGCGCACGGCCTTGTCATTCTTTTTGACTCAGGATTGTCTTTATTTGTAACCTGAGATTCATTGCTTTGTGTTTGCTTTGGCAGAGGTTTATTTTTTTAATTTTCAGTCATTAAAAGTACACACAGATTTATTCAGAGTAAAGCTCATTTTAAGAGCACTTGAAAGTTGGACACAAAGGTAGAATTAAATTTAGCAATACAGAATGATAAAGACTAAAAGATACAGAGTTAAGTTCCTTTGACAGAAACTTGATTATCCAAGGTACTTATTTGCAGGCTGAAGTACTTACAATGCAAAAGCAAGGTCTGGCCGTGGTGGCTCACTCCTGTAATCCCAGTGCTTTGGGAGGCCGAGGCGGGCTGATCATTTGAGGTCAGGAGTTTGAGACCAGCCTGACCAACATAGTGAAATCTGTCTCTACTAAAAATACAACAACAACAACAAAATTAGCCAGGCATGGTGGCGCATGCCTGTAGTTCCAGCTACTTGGGAGGCTGAGGCAGGAGAATCGCTTGAACCTGGGAGGCAGAGGTTGCAGTAAGCGCACATCTTGTCACTGCACTCCAGCCTGGGCAACAGAGTGAGACTCTATCCTCAAAAAAATAAAAATAAAAAAAATAAATAAGTGCAGACTCAGTCGGATATTGCTGCTTTCTGTTTTCTCTGTAAACTTTAAAAAGCCAACAAAGATTATGATACTTTAAGATGGAGATTAGTTGTCTTCAATTTGTTCCAGAAGTAATTGTGTTGTGACAAGAGTGCCAAGTATAAGGGACTCTGTGCTGTGCCTGCTTTCTCTAACTAATGCTAATAATGAGCCTAGGGGGAGCATCATCAGCATTGACAGGGGACTTATTTAAAACACCCATTCATGGACCTTTCCATACCTGCAGAATCACATTACATAGATTGAGACCAACATTACCAAGTGATTTATAAGCTCAATAAAACTTGAGAGGCAATGCTTAGTTCAGTGGTTGTAAGCCCAGGCTGCTAATTACAATCACATGGCCAGTTTGCAGAACTCCCTTTACTGGTGCCCTTCCCACAGGTTCTGTTTAATGTTCTGGGTGGAAGCATTCATGTTATTTTAATTAACTGCCTCATGTGACTCTAAGTTGTGGCCAGAATCAAGTATAGGGGGTTCAAGATACATTTATGAGAGTTAAGTTTCACCTGTGCACTAAAGGGTAGTCCTAGAGCCTCTTTTCTTTGGGTTTCATAGGGACAGGGCAGTGTGGCTCATACTTTTGTTACTGTAGCAGAAATTGCTGGCAGGGGAGGGCACCTGAAGACAGGAAAGGAGAAACTTGTATTTTTATATCTGTAGAGCAGCTCATTGTTGCTGAATCTCTTCTGTTATAAAGTACAGAAATGGGTGGAGTTTTTTCTGTTTTGGGTCTTCTGCCTGTGGGTGTGGTGGTAGCAGGTAAACATGTGGTGCTGACACTTTTCAAGGCATAGTCTCAAGATGCGGTGTAATTTGTCCAGAGAATCTTATCTGAGAAGGAATCCTAGAAAAGAAGGAGAAAGAGAAAAAATGGCATTCTTAATGATGAAATATTGAATACTTATTTTATTTTTATTTTACTTTAAGTTCCAGGATACATGTGCAGAATGTGCAGGTTTATTACATAGGTATATGTGTGCCACAGTGGTTTGCTGCACGTATTGACCCATCTTCTAGGTGCCCTCCCCTTGCCCCCCACTCCACAACAGGCCCTGGTGTGTGTTATTCCCCTCCCTGTGTCCTTGTGTTCTCATTGTTCAACTACCACTTATGAGTGAGAACATGCGGTTTTTGGTTTTCTATCCCTGTGTTAGTTTGCTGAGGATGATGACTTCCAGCTTAATCCATGTTCCTACAAAGGACATGATCTCATTTCTTTGTATGGCTGCATAGTATTCCATGGTGTGTATGTACCACATTTTATCTATCCATTCTGTCATTGATGGGCATTTGGGTTGTTTCCATGTCTTTGCTGTTGTAAATAGTGCTGCAGTAAACATACGTGTGCATGTGTCTTTATAATAGAATGATTTGTATTCCTTTGAGTATATAACCAGTAATGGGATTGCTGGGTCAAATGGTATTTCTGGTTCTAGATCCTTGAGGAATCACCACACTGTCTTCGACGATGGTTGAACTAATACACATTCTCACCAACAGTGTAAAAGCATTCCTATTTCTTCACAGCCTCACCAGCATCTATTGTTTCTGACTTTTTAATAATCACCATTCTGACTGGTGTGAGATGGTATCTCATTGTGGTTTTGATTTGTATTTCTCTAATGATCAGTGATGTTGAGCTTCTTTTCATGTGTGTTGGCTGCATAAATGCCTTCTGAGAAGTGTTTGTTCATCTTTTGCCCACTTTTTTTTTTTGAGATGGAGTCTTGCTCTGTCTCCCAGGCTGGAGTACAGTGGCACGATCTCTGCTCACTGAAGCCTACACCTCCTGGGTTCAAGTGATTCTCCTGCCCCAGCCTCCCGAGAACCTGGGACTACAGATACCCACCACCACGCCCAGCTAATTTTTGTATTTTTAGTAGAGATGGGGTTTCACCATATTGGCCAGGCTGGTCTCGAACTCCATACCTCAAACGATCCACCCACCTTGGCCTCCCAAAGTGCTGGGAGTACAGGCATGAGCCACTACACCCAGCCTTTGCTCACTTTTTGATGGAATTGTTTTTTTTCTTGTAAATTTTTAAAAGTTTCTTGTAAATTCTGAATATTAGATCTTTGTCAGATGGGTAGATTGTAAAATTTTTCTCCTATTCTGTAGGTTGCCTGTTCACTCTGCTGATAGTTTCCTTTTCTGTGCAGAAGCTCTTTAGTTTAATTAGCTCTTATTTGTCAATTTTGGGTTTAGTTGCAGTTACTTTTGGCATTTTTGTCATGAAGTCTTTGCCGATGCCTATGTCCTGAATGGTATTGCCTAGATTTTCTTCTAGGGTTTTTATGGTTTTGAGTTTTACATTTAAGTCTTTAATCCATCTTGAGTAAATTTTTGTATAAGGTGTAAGGAAGAGGTCCAGTTTCAGTTTTCTGCATATGGCTAGCCAGTTTTCTCAGGACCATTTATTGAATAGAAAATCCTTTCCCCATTGCTTGTTTTTGTCAGGTTTGTTGAATATCAGATGGTTGTAGACGTGTGGTGTTATTTCTGAGGTTTCTTTTCTGTTCCATTGGTCTATATGTCTGTTTTTGGACCAGTACCATGTTGTTTTGCTTACTGTAGTCTTGTAGTATAGCTTGAAGTCAGGTAGTGTGATGCCTCTATCTTTGTTCTTTTTGCTTAGGATTGTCTTGGCTATATGGGCTCTTTTTTGGTTCCATATGAAATTTAAAGTCTTTTTTTCTAATTCTGTGAAGAATGTGAATGGTAGTTTGATGGGAATAACATTGAGCCCATAAATTACTTTGGGCAGTATGGCCATTTTCATGATGTTGATTCCTTCTATCCATAAGGATGGGATGTTTTTCCATTTGATTGTGTGCTCTCTTACCTCCTTGAGGAGTGGTTTGTAGTTCTCCTTGAAGAGGTCCTTCACATTCCTTGTTAGCTGTATTTTTAGATATTTTATTCTTTTTGTAGCAGTTGTGAAGTTTATTTATGATTTGGCTCTCTGATTGTCTGTTGTTGGCTTATAGGAATGCCTGTGATTTTTGCACATTCATTTTGTATCCTGAGACTTTGCTGAAGTTACTTATCAGCTTAAGGAGTTTTTGGGCTGAGATGATGGAATTTTCTAAATATAGAATAACGTCATGTGAAAACAGAGAGAATTTGACTTCCTCTTACTCTATTTGAATACTCTTTATTTCTTTCTCTTTCCTGATTGCCCTGGCCATAACTTCTAATACTATATTCAATAGGAATGGTGAGAAAGGACATCCTTGTCTTGTACTGGTTTTCAAAGAGAATGCTTCCAGCTTTTTCCCATTCAATATGATATTGGCTGTGGGTTTGTCATAAACAGCTCCTATTATTTTGAGATATGTTCCATTAACACCTAATTTATTGAGAGTTCTTAACATGAAAGAAAGTTGAATTTTATCAAAGGCCATTTCTGCATCTATTGAGATAATCATGTGATTTTTGTCTTTAGTTCTGTTTATGTCATGAATTATGTTTATTGATTTGCATATGTTGAACCAGCCCTGAATCCCAGGGATGAAGCCGACTTGATCATGGTGAATAAGTTTTTGTTTTTGTTTTTGCTTTTTTGAGACCGAGTTTCTCTCTTGTTGCCCAGTGCAATGGTGTAATCTCGGCTCACCGCAACCTCCGCCTCCTGGGTTCAAGTGATTCTCCTGCCTCAGCCTCTTGAGTAGCTGAGATTACAGGTATGCACCACCACGCCCGGCTAATTTTTTGTACTTTTAGTAGAGACGAAGTTTCTCCATGTTGGTCAGGCTGGGCTCAAACTCCTGACCTCAGGTGATCTGCCTGCCTCGGCCTCCCAAAGTGGTGGGATTTCGGGTGTGAGCCACTGCGCCCGGCCTGGTGGATGTTTTTTGATGTGCTGCTGGATTCAGTTTGCCAGTTTTTTTTTGTTTGTTTGTTTGTTGTTGTTTTTTTTTTTTTTAGGCAGAGTTTCATTCTTGTTGCCCAGGCTGGAGTGTAATTGTGCAGTCCTGGCTCACTGCAACCTCCGCCTCCTGGGTTCAAGTGATTGTCCTGCCCCAGCATCCCAAGTAGCCTGGATTACAGGTGCCCGCCACTACACCCAGTTAATTTTTTTTTTTAATTTTTATTAGAGATGGGGTTTCACCATGTTGGCCAGGCTGGTCTCGAACTCCTAACCTCAGGTGATCCCCCCCAATCTCGGCCTCCCAAAGTGCTGGGATTACAGGGGTGAGCCACCACGCCTGGCCCTATTTTGTTAATTTTTTCAAAAAACAGCTCCTGGATTCATTGATTTTTTTTTGAGGGTTTTTCATGTCTATCTCCTTCAGTTCTGCTCTCATCTTAGCTATTTCTTGTCCTCTGCTAGCTTTTGGAATTGGATTTGTTTGCTCTTGCTTTCTAGCTCTTTTAGTTTTTTTTTTTTTTTTTTTTGAGATGGAGACTCACTCTGTCACCCAAGCTGGAGTCCAGTGGCGTGATCTTGGCTTACTGCAACCTCCGCCTCCTGGGTTCAAGCAATTCTCTCTGCCTCAACCTCCTGAGTAGCTGGGATTATAGGTGCCCACCACCACACCTGGCTAATTTTGCTATTTTTTAGTAGAGATGGGGTTTTGACATATTGGCCAGAGGCTGGTCTTGCTCTCCTGATTTCAGGTGATTTGCCTGCCTCGGCCTCCCAAAATGCTGGGATTACAGGCGTGAGTCACCGTTCCCCGACTTAGCTCTTTTAATTGTGATGTTAGGGTGTCGATTTGAGATTTTTCTAGCTTTCTTATGTGGGCATTTGGTGCTATAAATTCCCCTTTTAACTCTGTCCCAGAGATTCTAGTATGTTGTGATTTTGTTCTCACTGGTTTCAAAGAACTTTTGATTTCTGCCTTATTATTTACCCAGGAGTCATTCAGGAGCAGATTGTTCATTTTTTATGTAAATGTGTGCTTTTGAGTAAGTTTCCTAATCCCGAGTTCTAATTTGACTGTGTTGTGGTCTGAGAGACTGTTTGTTACCATTTCAGTCCTGTTGCATTGGCTGAGGAGAGTTTTACTTCCAATTATGTGGTTGATTTTAGAAAAGTGCCATGTGGCACTGAGAAGAATGTATATTCTGTTGATTTGGGGTGGTGAGTTCTGTAGATGCCTATTAGGTCCACTTGATCCAGAGCTGAGTTCAAGTCCTGAATATCCTAGTTAATTTTTTGTCTTGTTGATCCGTCTAATATTGACAGTGAGGTGTTAAAGTCTCCCACTGATTGTGTGGGCGTCTAAGTCTCTTTGTAGGTCTCTAAGAACTTGCTTCATGAGTCTGAGTTCTCCTGCATTGGGTGCTTATGTATTTAGGAGAGTTAGCTCTTCTTGTTGAATTGACTCCTTTACCATTAAATAATGCCCTTCTTTGTCTTTTTTAAATCTTTGTTGGTTTAAAGTCTGTTTTGTCAGAGACTAGGATTCCATCCCCTGCTTATTTCTGCTTTCCATTTGCTTGGTAAATTTTGCTTCATCCCTATGTGTGTCTTTACACATGAGATGGGTCTCCTGAATACAGCACACTGATGGGTCTTGACTCTTTATCCAATTTGCCAGTCTGTGTCTTTTAATTTGGGCATTTAGCCCATTTACATTTAAGGTTAGTATTGTTCTGTGTGAAGTTGATCCTGTCATCATGATGGCATCTGGTTATTTTGCACACTAGTTGATGCTGTTTCTTCATAGTGTCATTGGTCTTCATGGTGTGTTTTTGCAGTGGCTGGTACCAGTTTTTCTTTTCCATATTTAGTGCTTTCTTCAGGAGCTCTTGCAAGCCAGGCCTGGTGGAGACAAAATCCCTCAGCATTTGCTTGTCTGGAAAGGATTTTATTTCTTTTTCTACTCATGCAGCTTAGTTTGGCTCGATATAAAATTCTGGGTTCAAAATTCTTTTCTTTAAGAATGTTGAATATTGGCCTCCATTGTCATCTGGTTTGTAGGATTTCTGCTGAGAGGTCCACTGTTAGTCTGATGGACTTATTTTGTAGGTGACCTGGCCTTTCTGTCTGACTACCCTTAACATTTTTTTGTCATTTCAACCTTGGAGAATCTGATGATTATGTTTCTTGGGGTTGATCTTCTTGTGGAATATCTTAGTGGTGTTCTTGGTATTTCCTGAATTTGAATGTTAGCTTGTCTTGCTAAACTGGGGAAGTTCTCCTGGATGATATCCTGAAGTGTGTTTTCCAGCTTGTTTCCATTCTCCCCCTTTCCTTCAGGTATTCCAGTCAATTGTAGGTTTGGCCTTTTTATGTAGTCCCATATTTCTCGGAGGCTTTGTTCATTCTTGTTCATTCTTGTTCAGTCTTTTTTTCTCTAATCTTGTCTGCATGCCTTATTTCAGCAAGGTGGTCTGCAAACTCTGATATTTTTTCTTCTACTTTGTCAATTTGGCTGTTGATACTTGTGTATGCTTCATGAAGTTCTCATGCTGTGTTTCTTAGCTCCGTCAGGTCATTTATGTTCCTCTCTAAACTGGTTATTCTAGTTAGTGGCTCCTCTCGCTAACTTTTTATCAAGGTTCTTAGGTTTTTTGCATTTGGTTAGAACATGCTCCTTTAGCTCAGTGGAGTTTGTTATTGCCCATCTTCTGAAGCCTACATCTGTCAATTTGTCTATCTCATTCTCCATCCAGTTCTGCACCCTTGCTGGAGAGGCATTGCAATCATTTGGAGAAGAAGAGGCACCCTTGCCTTTTGGGTTCTCAGTGTTTTTGTCATTGATTCTCATCTTCATGAGTTTGTCTAGTTTCGATCTTTGATGGGGTTCTTGTGGGGACTTTTTTGTTGCTGTTGTTCATTTCTGTTTGTTTTTCTTTCAATGGTCAGATCCCTCTTCTGTATGGTTGCTGTGGTTTGCTGGGGGTTCACTTCAGGCCCTATTTATCTGGTTCACTTCTGAACCTGGAGATATTAAGGAGATTGGAGAACAGCAAAGATGGGTGCCTGCTCCTTCCTCTGGGATCTCTGACCTTAAGGAACACCAATCTGATGCCAGTAGGAACACAGCTGTATAGGGTGTCTGACAACCCCAGTTGGAGTATCTCACCCAGTTGGGTGGCATGAGGAACAGAACCCATTTAATGAAGCACTTTTATTGTCCCTTGGTGGAGGGGGTATGCTTCACTGGGGTTAAACTCACTCCTCTGGGCTGCTTGGATTCCTCAGAACTGGCGGGGGGAAAAGCTAAGTCCACTGGTCCACAGAAACTGCAGTCACCTCTCCCCCTAGGGACTCAGGCCCAGGGAGATCAGAGTTCTGTCCCTGAGCCCCTGGCTGGAGTTGTTGGAGTTCCTGCAGAGTGGCCCCACACAGTGAGGAGGGATGTGTCAGGGTCAGGCCTGAAGAGGAGCTGTAGCTGCAGTCTGGCACAGCCAGTGTGTTAGGCTGTGGGGGACACCTCTTGGGACCAAGCCGTCCAGCATCCCTGGCTCCAGCAGGGGAAAAGCATGGCCAGGAGCTATAGAGATGACTGCCGCCCTTCCCCTGCCCAGGGAGCCTAGTGTGTTAGGCAGCTGTCAGTCCCAGTGCTGGTTGCTGCCCCTCCCCCAGGGAGCTCAAATGGCTTAAACAGCAGGCAGCCATAGCTGTAGTGCTGGTCACCCCTCCCCTGGGAACTCAGCAGGCTTAAGCAGATTTTAGCTGAGAGGCTGTTGAGAATCTGCACAGCTCTGGGGTTGGGATCCTAGGCCCCAGTGGCATGGGTTCACGAGTGAAATCTTTCAGTCTATGGGTTGCACAATTCCATGGAAAAGGCATGGTTTTGTCGGCTAAGTAGCACATTCATTCACCGCCTCCCTTGGCTGGGGGGTGGGGGCTCCCCTGCCCCGTGTGGCTCTCAGGTGGGTTGCTGCACCACACTGCTCTTTCTTCCTCTCTGTGGGTCATGCCAGCTGCCTAGTCAGTTCTGATGAGAGAACCTGGATACCTCAGGTGCCAGTGCAGGATTCACAGGCCATTATGGTTCTTTTCGGTGGGAGTCTCTGATCACCGCTGCTTCTAGTTGGCCATCTTTGCCCTGCCCCTAAAAAATGGCTTTTTTTTCTTTTTAAGCTAAACATGTCTCAGATGAAGAACTGTGTCCACTCTGCCTCCTGGAATGCCATGTGTTCAGTACTTGCAAAGCTTTACTTTTCTACTTGTGCTTTTTCTTCCTAATGAGTTTAACTACTTTTTAGTTCTTATAATAGTCAAAGGTCTCTGAAAAATATTTCTTTCCTACATACCAGAGTCTTCTCTACATTCTCAACATCATGGCTTCTTACATGTCATCAAGAATTCTCACCATGAATTTATGAACTGCAATATTAAGAATGTTTCCTTCGTGGCTATGGAACATGGGAAGGTGTAGATACTCAAGATTCCTATTGGGGAAAAGCTGGGGTCCTTAATAAAGATGGAGAGCATGTAATTTTGAGGTTCCATCTCTGTTCTCCATTAGCTGTAAACAAATAAGATTAAGAAAATGCTTATTTAAATGGGATGGCATTTATTACGCAGAAAGTTTAAAAATAATAATAATTAGGAGATACTTGCTCTTTAGGGTGTGAAAGAAAGACTACTTAAAATCACTATTAAAATTTACAGAACATGGCAGATATTGGTATCTGGAACTTTACATAAAACCAGTGTTTCTTTATGATTAAATTCAGACTATAATTTACTTTTGGCTGGGCAATATCATAGCAGTGATGCCGTGTCCTTCTGTGTGCATCAGCACATTTGTCTTCATGCACTTGATGTTAATAACTCACTTGATTAATGAACTCTGTGACAGATTTTTTTCTATAGAGTTAATTATTTTTCTCTTCATTACTGAGTATCTTTATTCAGCAGATGTGCATAAACAATCACATTTAATCTGGCAGCTGACCTTTCTTAGGCTTTTTTTTTTTTTTTTTGAGACGGAGTCTCGCTCTGTCGCCCAGGCCGGACTGCGGACTGCAGTGGCGCAATCTCGGCTCACTGCAAGCTCCGCTTCCCGGGTTCACGCCATTCTCCTGCCTCAGACTCCCGAGTAGCTGGGACTACAGGCGCCCGCCACCTTAGGTTTTCTTTGCATTTATCTGTCTTTGGAAAATGAAAGCTCTCATCTTTGTTTACAGGCCAGAAAAACTGAAAAACACACAGGCTTTTCCACTTACTGGATGTTTGACAAAATAGTTTTCTTGGACCAAAAACATGGGCATTACTGGTGAGCTTGTTAGAGATTCAGAAACTCAGATTTTATTCCAAATTTTCTTTTCTTTTTTTTTTTTTTGAGACGGAGTCTCGCTCTGTCACCCAGGCTGGAGTGCAGTGGCGCGATTTCAGCTCACTGCAAGCTCCGCCTCTGGGGTTCATGCCATTCTCCTGCCTCAGCCTCCCGAGTAGCTGGGACTACGGGCTCTCGCCTCCACGCCCGGCTAATTTTTTGTATTTTTAGTAGAGACAGGGTTTCACCGTGTTAGCCAGGATAGTCTCGGTCTCCTGACCTCGTGATCCACCCGCCTTAGCCTCCCAAAGTGCTGGGATTACAGGCGTGAGCCATCGCTCCCAGCCCAGATTTTCTGAAAAAATAATCTGCATTAACAAGATCTCCAGTTTATTGTACACATTAACATGTGAGCAGTATTTTCTAACTGAATATGTCTTTTCCATCTGAAAAATTTACACAACTTATTCTGTATGATGTAAATGTAGCACTCAAAAATGTACATGTTAGTGTTAATGCCCTCAATTTTATACTTCATCATCCGAAGAAGTATCATACTTACCTCGATGTTGTGGATCTTATGCCACTCTCTTTTCTCAGAGTTAGAGAATGCATTAGAGAATATACTTCTGTGCTGAAAGTTATTTATTAAATATATCAGTCACTCCTATAAGTAAGAACCAGTTCTCTTTACTCTTGTTTTACCTTGAGTCAAATTAAAAATTCTGTTCATGGCCACTTGGTAAATATGTATGTGTGTTTGTATGTTTTTCAGGGAGTGTTGACATTTAGGGATGTGGCCATAGAATTCTCTCTGGAGGAGTGGCAATGCCTGGACACCGCACAGCAGAATTTATATAGGAATGTGATGTTAGAGAACTACAGAAACCTGGTCTTCGTGGGTGAGGATAACTTCAATATACAATTCCCTAATATACCCTATAAATTTTATTTCTCTTTTTTGTAGAATGGTTTTTGGTAATTTATGCTTTCAGATCTCTGTTTTTTGTTTTTAACTTCAAGATTTGTCTATGTAGAAAAGAATTTCAAGATGTTTCATTTTGACCTGAACTTTCCACACTCCTGAGCTGATCTGTGTTCTTCACTCTAGATTAGTGTTAATTTTAGAAATTTAGTGGCATAACGTACTGTTGCCCACATCTTAAAATCTAATTGCCACTACCAGTTTTTGATTTAGTAGTATCAGGTAGTGAAATTAAGAACTTACAAAATTAAAATATTTCCTAAATATTTAAAATTTTTTGTTGTGTATTAGTATTTTGGAATCAATTTACTAGAATATTCTATTACATCCTTTTTTCTGAACACACTACTAAATTGGTAATTGGAGAATATGAGCAAGATTCATGTTATTTGTAATAAAACAGGTATTGCTGCCTCTAAGCCAGACCTGATCACCTGTCTGGAGCAAGGAAAAGAACCTTGGAATGTGAAGAGACATGAGATGGTAGCTGAACCCCCAGGTAGGTGAGAGTGAAAGTGAATACAACAGATGACACAGATGAGAGCTCCAAAGTAGAAAAAAAAAAAAGCCAGTCCTTAAAATGATTTGAAATCTGTGTTCCAAAGGAAATAGTTTCTGGGAAGCCTGAATTTTTTAAATTTTGCTTTCACATAGAAGCATCTTCTGTCTTATATTTTTAAAATCTCTGAAGATTTTACTTTCCCTTTGGTGATCTTCTTCAAGTTTACAGTGACAGCCAAGACAGCCCTCTTCATGGCACATAAGAGACTGTGAAATCTGACTTTTTCACTGTTTTTGAAAACACGTAGATAATCTGCATAATTTTGAGAAACTCTATGTTAAACTGTTTTTCAAGTTCTGTTTTTACATTATGTCCTAAATGTGTGAGAGCAGTGGTTTCTGTTCCATTGGTTTCTTTATTGCTAATTTTTCTGCACATTGCATTCTGTCTTATTATAGTCTTGAAGTATAGTTTGAAATTATAAAGTATGATGTTCTTCTGCTTTGTCCTTTTTTTTTCAAGATTGCTTTGGCTATTCAAAGTTTATTGTAAGTCTATGTGAGAATTGTATTTTCTTTTTCTCTTTCTTTTTTTTTTTTTTGAGATAGAGTCTCGCTCTGTCACCCAGGCTGGAGTGCAGTGTCATCATCTCGGCTAACTGCAACCTCTGCCTCCTGGGTTCAAGCGATTCTTCTGCCTCAGCCTCCTGAGTAGCTGGGAATACAGGCGCGAGCCACCATGCCTGACTAATTTTTGTATTTTTAGTAGAGATGGGGTGTCACCATATTGGCCAGGCTGGTCTCGAACTCCTAGACCTCGTGATCCGCCCACCTCGGCCTCCCAGAGTGCTAGAATTACAGGCGTGACCCACCGTGCCTGACTGAGAATTGTATTTTCTATTGCTGTAAAAAAAAAATACTGGAATTTTGATAGAGAATTTATTGAATCTAGAGAGCACTGTAGATAACACGGCACTTTAATAATATTCTTTCAGCCGGGCATGGTGGCTCACGCCTGTAATCCCTGCACTTTGGGAGGCCGAGGCAGGCGGATCACCTGAGGTCAGGAGTTTGAGACCAGCCTGGCCAACATGATGAAACCCTGTCTCTACTAAAAATACAAAAAATTAGTCAGGCGTGGTGACAGGCGCCTGTAATTCCAGCTACTTGGGAGGCTGAGGCGGAAGAATCGCTTGAACCTGGTAGGCAGAGGTTGCAGTGAGCTGAGATTGCACCACTACACTCCAATGTGGGCAACAAGAGTGAAACTCCATCTCAAAAAAAAAAAAATTCTTTCAATCAATAGACATGAAATGTTTTTAAATTTATTTTTGTCTTCTCCAATTTTTTTTTATTGATGTATCTTTTATTTGAAAGATATTTAAGCTCCTTGGTTAAATTTGTTCTCAGAAATTTATTATTTTAGTGCTATTGTAAATAAGATTGCTTTCTGTCTCTTTTTTGTCAGATAGTTTGTTTAAAGTGTATGGAACCATAACTTACACTTGTATGTTAATTTTCTATTTTGCTAAATTATTGAGTGTAATTATTACTTTAATTAGGTTTTAAATGTACTGTTTATGGTTTTCTATATACAAGATCAAATGATCTACAAAAAGCAACTTTTTACTTATTTGTCTTCAATTTCAGTGACTTAATTTTTTTTTTTTTTTTTTTACTTATTCCACATACTTCCAGTGCTGTGTTAAAATAGAAGCGTTGAGAATGGGCATAATAAACTTTTGCATTGGTGTCTGTGAGTTTGAAGGAGCAAACACCTCTTCAAGTTTTTCTTGTTGTTTTTTTTTTTTTTTTTTTTTTTTTTGAGACAGCGTCTCACTCTGTCGCTGAGACTGGAGTGCAGTGGCGCGGCCTCGGCTCACTGCAACCTCCACCTCCCAGGTTCAAGTGATTCTCCTGCCTCTGCCTCCCGAGTAGCTGGGACTACAGGTGCGTGCCACCATGCCTGGCTAATTTTTATATTTTTAGTAGAGATGGGGTTTCACCATGTTGGCCAGGCTGGTCTTGAACTCCTGACCTGGTGATCCACCCGCCTTGGCCTCCCAAAGTTCTGGGATTACAGGCATGAGCCACCGCGCCTGGCCCTCTTCAAGTTTTTATAAATTGGTTTCAGAAAGTGAAGATCTTTTGTTGAGCCCCCAGGGTGATGGGATGTCCTATGGGTTTGTAGTGGAGAGGGGTAGGTAGCTTGTTTACAAAGGCTGCTGGGTCTGCATTAGGGTCCACCTTTAGTTGGCTTGTTACAAGGGGCTTAGGTAGTTGTAATTCCCATTTTATTTTTGGACAGAGTGAGTATCCTTCAGGACTTTGCTCTGTAGGGCAGACGCTAGGGCAGATTTCTGCACTTGGGTCTGCATATGGTAGGCTTTATATTAGGATGTAGATGAGTTTGGCTTTCACTGAAAACCAGAGAGGATTTCCCATGGTCACTGTGTGGGTTTCTACATAGGCAGAACTTGCCATGAACTGTGGCTCAGGGTGATAAAACTGAGTCATGGAACTGCTTCAGGGACCACAGTAAGGGCCAAGGTCTGCAGGCCTGCTGCATGGCTATAAAGGGGTGTCTGTCTCTAGGCTTCTGAAAGGGCAAGACCTCTCCCAGACTGTGGCTGGGAGGAGTTTGGGATGATTGCAGTGTAAGTTCAGAATTCTCAGTGGGACCAAGTTTGGTGGGCCATTTTCTGGTCTGTAGCCAAGAACAGGGGTCCTATAGTTTGCCACCTGAATGAAAGCCTGCCTTCTGAAGAGAATATTCCTCAATCTTGGGCATTAGCAGAGTTTCACAGCTCCCTCCGTAGATCTCAAAGCTCTTTAAGGGCACTTATTTTGGAGATGGGTTCTTGCTACATAACCCAGGTTGATCTTGAAGTTCTGTCCTAAAGCATTTCTCATTACAGGTTTGAGTCATGATTCCTGTTTCTCTCATAAAGGCATTTTTGTCAGGCTGATGAATTTTCTTGCTGTCAGAAAATAAGCAAATAAGGCACCATTTATTTTTCCATCTTAGTGATGTCACTCTTCCTGTCCATTTTTACTTTCTACTTTCTATTTCAATTTTGTCAGTAGTTTTAGATTTAGACATTTAGGACAATATACTAAAATTTACATGTTATGTCTGAAGTGAATTAGGTAATTAGTAGACAGACAAAAAGGAAATATAGACAGGCAAAAAAAGATTACAGGATTTTCACTCACTTTTGTCAGCTAGTACCTAAAATATGACATGATTTGTTCCCAAATATTTGTTTCATATATCAGAGGCCCTGACCATATTCTGCAAAATAGATATATTTTTTCTTTATTTAGCAATGTAAGGCTATTTTTTGCTTCTAAATTTGGATTACAGCAGTTTTATTTTGTGTAAGAATAGCATATATTTAAAACTTAGAAATGATCTTAAAATGCTTATTTATCAGTTTGTCATTAGAGTCTTCTGTTTATGATTATACTGCATTTTATCTGAAACTTTTACTGCATTACAGTGCATGCCAATGATTCAAAATAGCCACCTTCAATGAGTACACAGTTACAGTAAAATATTACAGTTATCTACACAAATTCTTTGTTAATGCTACATCAAGTTACATACCAGATTTTATGAGTAAACATTTATTATTATTTTTTAGTTTCATATTAACGCATTTTTTCAGTGTAGGTTTCTTAACATAAGTTTATTGTGTTTTTTGGTTTTACAATTTTAGACAATTTGCAATTCTGTTTTTACATGTAAGTCGGTGTGTGGTTTAAGAGATAGATCAGCCTTATCTCTATTACAATCTGATTATATGTGTGTGTGTTTTTATCTATAAATATGACCCCAATTTTGGTTATGGCTAATCTTGTATATATTTTTTCTTGGCTGATTTTTAATGGTGGCTTTATCTTGTCTAAATGAGTAGTCATGGAAATAGTCTTATTTTCACCTTGTGTTTAATAATAAACATATTTCCTATGTGTGAGGGAAACACTTTTGTGACTTGACGGTAATTTTTGGAAAGATTTATAATTCTGGATCTTCTTCAGTTATTCTTCTAAAAAACAATTGTATAAACATATAACCTAAAATTTACCACCTTAAATCTATTTAAATGTACATTTCATGGCCAGTCATGGTGGTGGTTCACGTCTGTAATCCCCGGATTTTGGGAGGCCAAGGCAGGAAGACTGAGCCCAAAAGCTTGAGAACATCCTGGAAGACATATGGAAACCTCATCTCTGTAAAGCATTTTAAAACTTAGCCAGACATGGTGAAGTGGTCCTGTCTCCTTGGGAGATTGAGGAGGGAGGATTACTTGAACCTGGAAGTTTGAGGCTGCAGTGAGCTGTAATTGTGCCATGCACCCCAGCTTGGGTGACAGAGTGAGACCCTGACTCAAAAACACTGTACATTTCAGGCATGTTAAGTATATTTACATTATTTTATAAAAGATTTCTAGAAATTTTACAATACACATTAAACAACTACCAATTTTTCCCATTTCCTGGCACTTTTCAAATACCGTTCTGTTTTCTGTTTCTAAGAGTATAACTGCTTTATATATCTCATAAAATCTGTTTGTGGCTGGCTCATTTTATTTTGCATAAAGTCATCAAGATTTACCTTTATAGTTGTTAGAATATTTCCTGCTTTTTTTCAAACTGAGTAATATATTGGCATTTTTGTATTTCAAATTATATCTGCTGAACGATTTGGTGACCGAAATTTGCCTTGCTTTTACCTACTGGCTTTTAGTAACAATGCTAAAATAAATGTGGGTATGCAAATGACTCTTCATGTGACCATATATGTGAGAGTTTATATATGTGCTGCATTCTATTTTATTAGTCTACTTTTTCACCTTTATAGTCATACCAAATTGTTTTAATTCTGTAGCTTTGTGTTTTGAAATCAGGAACTGTAATGCCTCCAACATTGTTTTGTTTTGTTTTTAATATTTTTGGGTACTTTATTGTATGTAGAGATTCTGTATACTCGAGGGATTGCTGTTTCTGTTTCTTCAAAAATGCAGTGAGAAATTTGAAAAACATTGCATTAAATCTGTAGATTGCATTGAGCAGGATGGACATCTTTACAGTATTACCTTTTTCAGCCTTTCACAAGAGCATGCTCAAGAGTGTGTTGTTTAATTTCTATATATTTGTTAATTTTTCAGATTTTTTTTCTCGTTGTATACTCATTTCATTTTGGTGATAGAAAGTAATTTATAAAATTTCAGTTTTAAAAAAACTGGTAAGACTTAATTTTCTTCTTTTTGTAATAAGAGGAGGTCTATCAAGGAAAATGTTGTATTAGCTATTGAGAACCATGTGTGTCCTGGTGTTGAGGGGTGTTTTCTATACCTCTGTTAGAAATAATTGTCTTACACTGCCTGGAAGTCCTCTATTCCCTTACTAATATTCTCATTTAATTTTTATTACGGAAAATGCAGTGTCAAAATATCCTACTATAATTATGTTGCTCTCTATGTGTCTCTGTTATTCTGTCAATGTTTGCTTTATATGTTTGGAGCCCTAATGTGAGATACACACACACACACACACACACACACACACAGAGAGAGAGAGAGACGTGTATACAGATTTGTCATAGGTTCCCAGTGAGTAAATCTGAAGTGGTTTTTTTTTGTTGTTTTTTTTTTTTTTTTGAGACAGAGTCTCACTCTGTGTCCCAGGCTGGAGTGCAGTGGTGTGATCTCGGCTCACTGCAACCTCTGCCTCCTAGGTTCAAGCGATTCTCCTGCCTCAGCCTCCCGAGTAGCTAGGATTACAGGTGCCCACCACCATGCCCGGCTAATTTTTGTATTTTTAGTAGAGTCAGGGTTTCACCATGTTGGCCAGGCCAGTCTCGAACTCTTGACCTCAAGTGATCCACCTGCCTCAACCTCCCAAAGTGCTGGGATTACAGGCGTGAGCCACCATGCCCAGCCTAAATCTGTAAGTTTTAATGTCCTTTTTTGTCTCCTTGGAGTTTTAACTTCAAGTACATTTTGTAAAATATGATAGTTTTTGACTTAAGATGTAGCTTGCATAATACTATCTTGATTTCTTCTGCTCTCATTTGATTAATATTTGCATGAAATGTATTCTTCCATCTTGCCCCTTTTAGTGTTTTTTATCATTAGATCTCTACTGACTCTTGTAGAAAAAAAAGTTGGATCTTGGTTTTTAAAATTTTTAATCTGTTGAAAGTATGTCTCGATTTGAAAGTTAATTTTATATATACATTTAAATAATTGATAAAGACGGACTGTTACATTTTTAATTATTTTATTTGATTCTTGCATCTTTGTTTCTCATTTTCTCTCTTTGTGTCTTTTTGATTTTTGTATTGATATGCTTTTACTTATTTCTAATTCACTTTTGTATATTTGTACAGATTTTTTTTTTTGGTGGCACCTTGGGGGTTGCATAAAACTTCTATAAGAAACAACAGTATAGTTTTAATTTGGTATAAAATAAATCTCAGTTGAATAAAAAAATCTTCCTCATTACATCTGCCCTGAAATTTGTCTTTGATGTTGCTAATTATGTTTTTACATTGTATATTCATTAACAGTTGTTTATAATTTCTGTGCTTTTATTTTTCAAAATTTAGAGATCATTTAAAATGTTTTCTGCACCATTATGATAATGCCACAAGATTCTGTTTTTATGTATGTGCATATCTTTCCTGGAAAATAATGTATTTTTATATGATTATGTGTTTTTTTTTTTAATACTTTTACTTTCAGTTTAAGGAACTGCTTTCATCATCTTTTATATGTAGGGCATATGCAGTGCTAATATACTTTTTCAGAATTTGGTTGTTTTGGAAGGTTTTTTCTTTTTATGTGGCAGGACAGATTTGTTGATGGTATTATCCTCAACTTGATAGCTTTTTTTTTTTTTTTCCCCTCAGGACTTTGTGTCACACGGTATCTTTCTGATCTGCAGAATTTTTGTTGATAATTCACTGGTAATATCATAAGACTATGTTTGTAAATGACACATTACTTTTACCTTGTAGCTCCTAAGACTTTCTTCTTGTCTTTGATTTTTGAAAATGTGCTTAATATGTATCTGTTTAAATATCTGTGTGTGTATCCTAATTTGTTTGTTGAACTTCATTTTTACATCATTTTTCTTTTAGGATTTTCCAGTTGTTTATTTTTCTACTTTTTACCACCAAATTGTTTTTTTTAATATTTTGATATTCTTGTATTTATTCTCATTTTTGTGACTTTCTACAGTGGACTGTGTTCCTGTTTCACTCATTGGATATTATTCAACTTATGAGTGTTTAAAATGTGTACATCTTTTTTATGGTTTCTTTCTGAAGTTTATACGGTATTTTTGATGAAATTATATTGCCCTGTTTTGTATACATTGTAATCTTGGAATGAGATTTGGACATCAAAAAAAGCTACCTGTCACAGTCTTTAAAATGTGTTTTTTTCTGACATAGTCTGAAAACAATTATCTTGGCTAGAGATTCTGGGAGTCTCTCAAACATGTTCTTAGGATCTGCCTTGTCTAAAATTTTGTGTTTAGTTTTTAGTCAGAGGAGTTTATTTGTGTTTCTCTTCTTTTTTTTTTGAAACAGAGTTTTGCTCCTGTCACCCAGGCTGCAGTGCAATGGCATGGTCTCAGCCCACTGCAGCCTCCACTTCTCTGGTTCAAGTGATTATCTGGTCTCAGCTTCCCACTTAGCTGGGATTACAGGCATGTGACCCCATGCTCAGCTACTTTTGTATTTTTAGTAGAGACAGGGTTTCACTATGTTGCCCAGGCTTGGTCTCAAACTCCTGACCTCAGCTGATCCTCCCACCTTGGCCGCCAAAGTGCTAGGATTACAGGTTTGAACCACCAAACTCCTTCTTAATAACCAATAATCACTTGCTATAATTGTTTCCTGTCTGTAGTACCACAGTCTTTCTGCTGCTGTAAAACTTACCTTTCTTATTTATTTATTTCATTATACTTTAAGTCCTAGGGTACATGTGCCCAGCGTGCAGTTATATTACATAGGTATACATGTGCCATGGGTTAATGCTATCCTTCCCCCAGCCCCTCATACCCCGACAGGCCCTGTTGTGTGATGTTCCCCGCCCTGTGTCCAGGTATTCTCATTGCTCAATTCCCACCTATGAGTGAGAACATGTGGTGTTTGGTTTTCTGTCCTTGTGATAGTGTGCTCAGAATGATGGTTTCCAGCTTCATCCATGTCCCTGCAAAGGACATGAACTCATCCTTTTTCATGAATGCATAGTATTCTGTAGTGTATACATGCCACATTTTCTTAATCCATTCTATCATTGATGGACATTTGGGTTGGTTCCAAGTCTTTGCTATTGTGAATAGTGCCGCAATAAATATACGTGTGCATGTGTCCTTATAGTAGCATGATTTATAATCCTTTGGGTATATACCCAGTAATGGGATGGCTGGCTCAAATGGTATTTCTAGTTCTAGATCCTTGAGGAATCATAACACTGTCTTCCACAATGGTTGAACTAGTTTACAGTCCCACCAACAGTGTAAAAGCGTTTCTATTTCTCCACATCCTCTCCAGCACCTGTTGTCTCCTGACTTTTTAATGATCACCATTCTAACTGGCATGAGATGGTATCTCATTGTGGTTTTGATTTGCATTTCTCGGATGGCCAGTGATGATGAGCATTTTTCCATGTGTCTGTTGGCTGCATAAATGTCTTCTTTTGAGAAGTGTCTGTTCACATCCTTTGCTCACTTTTTGATGGGGTTGTTAGTTTTTTTCTTGTAAATTTGTTTAAGTTCTTTGTAGATTCTGGATGTTTGCCCTTTGTCAGATGGGTAGATTGCATAGATTTTCTCCCATTCTGTAGGTTGCCTGTTCATTCTGGTGGTAGTTTCTTTTGCCGTGCAGAAGCTCTTTAGTTTAATTAGATCCCATTTGTCAATTTTGGCTTTTGTTGCCATTGCTTTTGGTGTTTTAGTCATGAAGTCCTTGCCCATACCTATGTCCTGAATGGTATTGCCTAGGTTTTCCTCTAGGGTTTTTATGGTTTTAGGTCTAATATTTAAGTCTTTAATCCATCTTGAATTAATTTTTGTATAAGGTGTAAGGAAGGGATCCAGTTTCAGCTTTCTACATATGGCTAGCCAGTTTTCCCAGTACCATTTATTAAATAGGGAATCCTTTCCCCATTTCTTGTGTTTTGTCAGGTTTGTCAAAGATCAGATAGTTGTAGATGTGTGGTGTTATTTCTGAGGTCTCTATTCTGTTCCATTGGTCTATATATCTGTTTTGGTACCTTACCTTTCATCTCAGCAGCCTCAAACTGTCATTTGAAAGAATACCACTATTTCTTTCAGAACTTTTATGCAATGAGACACAGGAACCAGTGTAAAAGCCCCTGCCATTGAGAAATAAAGATGTATAAGCCATTATTTTACTTGTCTTTTAAAAATGAAACCAGGAGTTGGCAATTTATTTCTAAAGTCACTATGTTATATAGGGAAGCAGGAAGATCTGCACTGGGTAAATGTAACAGACTTTTCTTTCTTCTATGTGACTCTTTGCATTGGGCTCACCTGGGGCACTGCACACACTTAACTTACTTTAATTTTTCAGAAATGTAATTTGTTCTGTATGCTTTTATATGTCTGTGAAAATGTTAGAGCGTGTAATATTTTGCTGTAACATCTTGTGATGTAGTTTGTATAATTTTATAGGTTAGATTTGTAAAGTACATTCGTCTGAGTCAGTAAGTGAAGTAATTTATTATTTTTATTTCTTTCAGTTGTATGTTCTTATTTTGCCCGAGACCTTTGGCCAAAGCAGGGCAAAAAAAATTATTTCCAAAAAGTGATACTGAGAAGATATAAAAAATGTGGATGTGAAAATTTACAGTTAAGAAAATACTGTAAAAGCATGGATGAGTGTAAGGTGCACAAAGAATGTTACAATGGACTTAACCAGTGTTTGACGACTACCCAGAACAAAATATTTCAATGTGACAAATATGTGAAAGTCTTTCATAAATTTTCAAATTCAAACAGACATACGATAAGACATACTGGAAAGAAATCTTTCAAATGTAAAGAATGTGAAAAGTCATTTTGCATGCTTTCACACTTAGCTCAACATAAAAGAATTCATAGTGGAGAGAAACCCTACAAATGTAAAGAATGTGGGAAAGCCTATAATGAGACCTCAAACCTTTCTACACATAAAAGAATTCATACTGGAAAGAAACCCTACAAATGCGAAGAGTGTGGAAAAGCCTTTAACCGGCTCTCACACCTTACTACACATAAGATAATTCATACTGGAAAGAAACCCTACAAATGTGAGGAGTGTGGCAAAGCTTTTAACCAATCTGCAAACCTTACTACACATAAGAGAATTCATACTGGAGAGAAACCCTACAAATGTGAAGAATGTGGCAGAGCTTTTAGCCAGTCCTCAACCCTTACTGCACATAAGATAATTCATGCTGGAGAGAAACCTTACAAATGTGAAGAATGTGGCAAAGCTTTTAGCCAGTCCTCAACCCTTACTACACATAAGATAATTCATACTGGAGAGAAATTCTACAAATGTGAAGAATGTGGTAAGGCCTTTAGCCAGTTATCCCACCTTACTACACATAAGAGAATTCATTCTGGAGAGAAACCCTACAAGTGTGAAGAATGTGGCAAAGCTTTTAAACAATCCTCAACCCTTACTACACATAAGAGAATTCATGCTGGAGAGAAATTCTACAAATGTGAAGTATGTAGCAAAGCCTTTAGCCGGTTCTCACACCTTACTACACATAAGAGAATTCATACTGGAGAGAAGCCCTACAAATGTGAAGAATGTGGCAAAGCTTTTAACCTATCGTCACAACTTACTACACATAAGATAATTCATACTGGAGAGAAACCCTACAAATGTGAAGAATGTGGCAAAGCTTTTAACCAGTCCTCAACTCTTTCTAAACATAAGGTAATTCATACTGGAGAGAAGCCCTACAAATATGAAGAATGTGGCAAAGCTTTTAACCAGTCCTCACACCTTACTACACATAAGATGATTCATACTGGAGAGAAACCCTACAAGTGTGAAGAATGTGGCAAAGCCTTTAACAACTCCTCTATTCTTAACAGACATAAGATGATTCATACTGGAGAGAAACTCTACAAACCTGAAAGTTGTAACAATGCTTGTGACAACATTGCAAAGATTTCCAAATATAAAAGAAATTGTGCTGGTGAGAAATAATAGAAATATGAATGTGACAAAGCCTTTAAATGGTTATCACACTGGATTGTAGGTAAGGTAATTCATTCTGGAGAAAACTTCTACAAGTGTGAATGAACAGTGTGGCAAAACTTACACAATGCTCAAACCTTATTGCACAGGAAAGCCTTTATACTTGAGAACAAATGTACAAATATAAAGAAAGTAAAAAAGTGATTAATATCTGTGCACATCTTATTCAACATCAGAGTTTATATTAATAGCATTAAAAGTGCAATTACTGTCAAAAGAGTTCAAAAAATAAGCATTTAAAGTGCTGAAGAGGATTTATTTTGAAGACAAACATTACAAATATAAACGAAGTTGTGGTAACTTTACTTGTAACACAGATCTTGTTGTATTCATTCTGTATTAGAGCAAACCCTGAGGCAATTGCTCAAACTTTGTTCAACATCAGAGAATTTATATCGAAGAAAAACCCTGTAAATGTAATAAATTTAGAAAAAAACATTTATTCAAAAACTACAGGTTAGAAAATTCCAGAGAGTTCATATTAAAATATTTTTGCATATACAGTAAATAGAAAAAAATATTTAATTCAATGGTAAGTTTATGTAAATATCAGAGAATTTATGTTAGAAATATATAAGGCAATGACACTTCAGACTTTACACTGAATCAGAGTTCTGAGTTTAGAAAGTAATCCAAAACTAAACTTGGCAGAAAAATTATTTGTTTATAACTTTAAAAGAGTAGAAGATTTTTTGGAGAGTTACAAGTATACTTTTTTTTAGAAAGATTACAGATTTTTTTTAAAAGTAAATAACTCTCAAATTACTTCATACAAATAATGTTGTAATTAACTCAAATTACTTCGTGTTAATGTTGTAATTAACTCTCAAATTACTTCATGCTAAGGAAATTAGTTTTTCTTTTTCTTCTTCTTTTTTTTTTTTTTTTTAGATGGAGTCTTGCTCTATCGCCCCCCCAGGCTGGAGTACAGTGGCACGATCTCAGCTCACTGCAACCTCCGTCTCCAGGGTTCAAGTGATTCTCCTGCCTCAGCCTCCCAAGTGGCTGGGATTACAGGCGCAAACCACCATGCGTGGCTAAATTTTGTATTTTTAATAGAGCCAGGGTTTTGCCATGTTGGCCAGGCTGGTCTCGAACTCGAGACTTTAGGTGATCCGCCCAGCTTGGCCTCCCGCAATGCTGCAATTACAGGTGTTAGCCACTGCGCCTGCCTGATGTTGTTTCTTTATTCCTATTGTATTCATATGTGAAAGCATGTGACCAAAAGATATGAGGATTATTTTTTATTAGGTGAGCATTTATGACCTCTTCTATGAAAGAGTAAGGACATTAAAATGCATGATGAAAATCTAAGTAAAGAGGTTCTTTGTGATTCACTTACAGTACTGAGTGATGCATGAGGTAGGTGTTCTGAGTAATATTCTGCATTATATTGAGAGACAAATTTTTAGTTTTAGTTAAAATTAAAAATAAATTAGTATATTATTTTACTAATTTTACTTTTATGAAAATGCAGTACATGTTAAAAATTTTAGATTATGTGTGAACTTAATTTCTTAATTCAACATTTTTAACAGTTTAAATATTGTGCATTCAATCAAGTCACATTATTCCACTTACTTTAACCTAGTCCACCTTACTCAAGGGTGTAGGTAAAAGGTGGTAACAAGGCCGGGCACGGTGGCTCACGCCTGTAATCCCAGCACTTTGGGAGGCAAAGGTGGGTAGATCACCTGAGGTCGGGAGTTCAAGACCAGCCTGACCAACATGGAGAAACGCCATCTCTACTAAAAATACAAAATTAGCCAGGCATGGTGGCGCATGCCTGTAATCCCAGCTACTCGGGAGGCTGAGGCAGGAGAATCACTTGAACCCGGGAAGCAGAGGTTGCGGTGAGCCGAGATCATGCCATGGCACTCCGTCCTGGGTGACAAAGTGAGACTCCCTCTCAAAAAATAAATAAGTAAATAAAATAAATGGTGGTAACAATACACTATTTGGTAAAAGAATGCACTAACATCTGTAGTACTAATCTTTTTTCCAGTGGCTTTAAACTGCAAATAAGGAATGTTGTTTCTGTAGGTAAAATTTTTATTTATTTTTTCCCATTTAAATTTACTTTTGTTAGTTTTTTCAGGCATATAATATTTATGTTATATATGGCATATTCTGATAAGAGGCATACAATATGTAATAATCACATTAGGGTAAATGAGGTATCCATCACCTTTAGAATTTATTTTTTGTATTATGAACAGTTCAATTGTACAGTTTTAGTTTTTTTAAAATATACGATTGTTATTGACTACAGGGTTATTTTTATAATAAAAATTATATACAAGTATAAAATTTACACATTTCTGAGTCCTGAATAAATAAAAATAATTTCTTGTATATTTTTCTTTGAATATGTGGCCTCTCTACTTGCAAACAGATACAGGCTTTTAGTTTTGATTTACATAGAGTTAAATGTACACATCTATTAGTCTAAATATAAACCTTAGGTGTAAGAAGATTATGGATTAAGTGTGTTTGAGTATGAGTTTGTAACTATTTTCAGAATAATATTGGAACAAGACATCATTTTAATAAGGTGTCTAATTTTCTTTTCTTTTTTCTTTTTTTTTTTTTTTTGGAGACAGAATCTCACTCTGTTGCCTAGGCTGGAGTGCAGTGGCGTGACCTCCGCTCACTGTAACTCTGCCTCCTGGGTTCAAGCAGTTCTCCTGTTTCAGCCTCCCTAGTAGGTAGGACTACAGGCGCAGGCCACCATGCCCAGATAATTTTTGTATTTTTAGTACAGATGGGGTTTCATCATTTTGGTCAGGCTAGTCTTGAACTCCTGACCTCAGGTGATCCACCTGCCTCAATCTTCCAAAGTACTAGGATTACAGGCGTGAACCACTACACCTGGTCAGGTGTCTACTTTTTTAGAAAACAAAAATCCTCAAAAATGAATGCAAATCTATACTCTGGTTTGTATTGAATTTTACTGTATAATTTTACGGCTTATGGTTCAGAATCTTGCCATTCAAATTCTCTTGTTTTCACTTGTCTGGTACTCATGCTAGGCCCATAAATTTCTTGTTTCTGATATATATTTGTTGTTTTATAGTTTATGAGGTATTCATTTTGTGAGCTGCTCTGTGATTATAAGAATGATTTTAATGAAATTTAGTTATGGGCTGGGTGCAGTGGCTCACACCTATAATCCCAACACTTTGGGAGGCCGAGGTGGGTGGATCACTTGAGGTCAGGAGTTCAAGATCAACCTGGCCAACATGGTGAAACCTCATCTCTACCAAAAATAACAAAAATTAGCCAGGCATGGTGGCATGCTCCTGTAATCCCAGCTACTGGGAGGCTGAGGCAGGAGAATAGCTTTAACCCGGGAGACAGAGGTCACAGTGAGCCAAGATTGTGCCACTGCACTCCAGCGTGGGCGACAGAGCAAGACTCCACCTCAAAATAAAATAAACTTAGTCATGTACACAAAATAATTTTTAGCTGTAATTCTAAAATTAGTGCATTAAATTTTATTTAGTTGGAACATTTCATTTAATTGGAGAACCCTATATAAGCCTACTTTTCGTATGTTATTTTTTTTCACTTTTTGTGATGGATATAAGTAAATTTATTCATTAGGCGATTTGTTCAGGTAAGTACTAGGGAAGCTTCATAAGTCGAGAATGTTTTTATACATAAATGTAGCAAACAAACATGACAGTGCTTGCTGTATAACAGATGCTCCATAATAAGGCATAAATACTCCTGTGAAAGTTGCAAACTTCAAGTCAGGTGGAAAATATCAAAGGTAAACAAATAACATTGATTCTTCATGTGGAGGGGACATTTTATTTTTTTTCAGGCTGCAAAGCTGAATTTTGCTGAATTTAAAAAGAAATTCTGCTTCATTTATTTTCTAATTATCTTAAGCTTTGTCTTTTTATGTGTATTCCACCCACGTATACATCATAGCCCTTCTTTTTCTGTGTTAATGGCTGCAGTTATCCCACTGTTTTTTTCATGCCATGTCATCTCACATGGTATTTTGTGGGTTTTGATGAGAACTTTGGTATTTTTTAATGGACTGAAAAAATGGTTTTAACTGGAGAGTTTGCTTATCAATATAACTTTCAGATCAGTTAATTAAGATAAAAGGCATACATGTCCACAGGCGAGAGGATTAAATCAGTTAGTGTTGTGCTGCTTTCTTTGTAAAAAGAAAAAATATTGTTAGAAAAAGAGTCTTACTAGATTCTTACCCAAAGTGTGACAAATACAAAATTTCCTAGAAAATATAGAAATTAGAATTTTAGAGAGTTTATGGTAAGTGAACCATATTAAATTATTATTTTTTAAGACAGAGCCTCACTGTCACCCAGGCTGGAGTACAGTGTCACAATCTGGGCTCACTGCAACCTACATCTTCCAGGTTCAAGCAGTTCTGCCTCAGCCTCCCAAATAGCGGGGATTGTAGGCACCCGCCATCATGCCTGGCTAATTTTTGTATTTTTGTAGAGACAGAGTTTCACCATGTTGGCCAGGCTGGTCTCAAAACTCCTCGTGATCCGCCAGCCTCAGCCTCCCAAAGTGCTGGGATTACAGGCATGAGCCACCGCGCCCAGCAAAGAAAACTAATTTGTATGAAAGAATAAAAGAGCCCAAATAGTCAAGGCAACGTCAGAAAAAAAAAAAAAAAAAAAACCAGAGGCCTCCTATTACCTGATTTAAAATTGTACTACAAGCTACAGTAACCAGTATTACATGGTTCTGGTATGAAAATATACATTTAGATCAATGGAGAAGAGAAAGCCCTGAAATCTGCACTTTTACAACCAAGTTAATTTTCACAAAGCCCACAGAAATTAACAAAG
Source organism: Homo sapiens (assembly GCF_000001405.40). Taxonomy (NCBI): domain Eukaryota; kingdom Metazoa; phylum Chordata; class Mammalia; order Primates; family Hominidae; genus Homo; species Homo sapiens. Next base: position 22,670,155 of record NC_000019.10, read on the forward strand.
GGAAAATAACTGCCTATTTAATAAGTGGGGGCTGGATGCAGTGGCTCACACCTGTAATCCCAGAACTTTGGGAAGCTGAGGCTGGTGGATCACGAGTTCCGGAGTTCGAGGCCAGCCTGGCCAACAGGGTGAAACCCTGTCTACTAAAAATACAAAAATTATCCAGGCGAGGTAGCAGGCACCTGTAGTCCCAGCTACTCGGGAGGCTGAGGCAGAAGAATCACTTGAACCTGGGAGGTGGAGATTGCAGTGAGCCAAGATGGCGCCACTGCACTCCACCCTGGGTGACAGAGTGAGACTTTGTTTCAAAAGTAATAATAATAATAAATGGTACAGGGAAAACTGGTTATGTGCAGAAAAAAGTGGACTCCTACCTCTTTCCATATAGAAAATGCAAGTCAAGATAGATTAAGAACTTATCTGTGAGTCTTCAAGCTACACAAATCCTAGAAGAACATTTAGAAAGGACTGCTGTAGACACTGGCCTCTGGAATGAATTTATGAATAACATCTTAAAAGTGCAACAACAATAAAAATCAAAAATTTGCATCTAATTAAACTAAAGAGCTTCCGCACAGCCAAAGAAACTATCAACAAAGGAAACATACCTTACAATGTGAAATAAAATATTTGCAAAGTGCATACAACTGATTAATATATCGAATCTTAAGAAATTTAATTTGACAAAGCAGAAAATATCGACACTTCTCAAAGGAAGACGTAAGAGTTGCCAATAAACATTCAAAAAATGCTTAACATCTGTAATCATCAGAGATGTAAATCAAAATGACAATATGATACCATTTCACACCAGTTAGAATGGCTGTTATCATAAGTCAAAAAATTACATGTTGAAGTTGTGGAGAAACAGCTTTCTGTTTCAACTTCATCCTGACTTCAGGAGAAACGGGTGCCTATAAATCTTAGATTGGATAAGAAAAATGAGGTACTTACAGACTGCAATACTATGCAGTCACAGAAAAGAGTGAAATAATGTCCTTTGTGGCAACATGAATGCAGCAGAAGGCCATTAATGTAAGCAAATTAACAGAGATCAGTAAAACAAATACCACATGTTCTCACTTATATGTGGGAGGTAAACATTGGATGCTCATGGAAACAAAGATGAAAACAATAAACACTGGGAATTCCAAAAAGATGGAAGAAGAAAGGGAGACAAACGCTGAAAAACTACTTACCATGTGTAGTGTACACTGCTTGGGCAATGGGATAGTTAAAAGTGTCCAAACTTCAACACCATGCAGTATACCTATGCTACCAATCTGCAGGTGTATTCCCTGAATCTAAAATAGAAATAACAAGATGTTTTGTGGTATAATGAAATGTTATATTTCTGTAGTTCCAAGTTAATAGTTGGAATTAGCAGTGAAAGAATTATTTACTCCTTAAGGCATAGGGGTAAATGTTTCTATACCCAGTCTCCCCACATTTTGTAAGCTATCTTCTCTGAAAGCTCTTGGCCTATAGCCCAAGATGTCTTTTATTCCCAAGTGTGCAGTTAAAATAGATGACTCTGGATTTAAGGGAGGTTCCAAGATGGCCAAATAGGAACAGCTCCAGTCTACAGCTCCCAGCTTGAGTGACACAGAAGATGGGTGATTTTCTGCATTTCCAACTGAGGTACTGGGTTCATCTCACTGGGGCTTGTCGGACAGTGGGTGCAGCCCACGGAGAGTGAGCCGAAGCAGGGCGGGGCACCACCTCACCCGGGAAATGCAAGGGGTTGGGGAATTCCCTTTCCTAGCTAAGGGAAGCCATGACAGATGGTACGTGGAAAATCGGGACACTCCTACCCTAATACTGTGCTTTTCCAATGGTCTTAGCAAACAGCACACCAGGAGATTATATCCCACGCCTGGCTCGGAGTGTCCCGTGCCCACGAAGCCTCGCTCACTGCTAGCACAGAAGTCTGAGATCAAACTGCAAGGCTGTAGTGAGGCTGGGCAAGGGGCATCTGTCGTTGCTGAGGCTTCAGTAGGTAAAGTGGCTGGGAAGCTCAAACGGGGTGGAGCCTACCACAGCTCAAGGAGGCCTGCCTGCCTCTGTAGACTCCCACCTCTGGGGCCAAGGCATAGCCGAAAAAAAGGCAGCAGAAACTTCTGCAGACTTAAACGTCCCTGTCTGACAGCTTTGAAGAGAGTAGTGGTTCTCCCAGCACAGAGTTTGAGATCTGAGAATGGACAGACTGCCTCCTCAAGTGGGTCCCTGACCCCCAAGTAGCCTAACTAGGCAACACCTCCCAGTAGGGACTGACTGACACCTCATATGGCCGGGTGCCCCTCTGAGACGAAGCTTCCAGAGGAAGGATCAGGCAGCAATATTTGCTGTTCTGCAGCCTCCACTGGTGATACCCAGGCAAACTCCAACAGACCTGCAGCTGAGGGTCCTGACTGTTAGAAGGAAAGCTAACAAACAGAAAGGACATCCACACCAAAGCCCCATCTGTACGTCACCATCATCAAAGACCAAAGGTAGATAAAACCCACAAAGATGGGGAGAAACCAGAGCAGAAAAGCTGAAAATTCTAAAAACCAGAGTGCCTCTTCTCCTCCAAAGGAAAGCAGCTCCTTGCCAGCAACGGAACAAAGTTGGATGGAGAATGACTTTCACGAGTTGAGAGAAGACTTCAGACGATGGGTAGTAATAAACTTCTTCGAACTAAAGGAGGATGTTCCAACCCATCACAAAGAAGCTAAAAACCTTGAAAAAAGATTAGACGAATGGCTAACTAGAATAAACAGCATAGAGAAGACCTTAATGACCTGATGGAGCTGAAAACCATGGCAAGAGAACTACGTGACACATGCACAAGCTTCAGTAGCTGATTTGATCAAGTGGAAGAAAGAGTATCAGTGATCAAAGATCAAATGAATGAAATGAAGTGAGAAGTTTAGAGAAAAAAGAGTAAAAAGAAATGAACAAAGCCTCCAAGAAATAAGGACTATGTGAAAAGACCAAATCTACGTCTGATTGGTGTACCTGAAAGTGACGGAGAGAATGGAACCAAGTTGGAAAACACTCTTCAGGATATTATCCAGGAGAACTTCCCCAACCTAGCAAGGCAGGCCAACATTCAAATTCAGGAAATACAGAGAACACCAGAAAGATACTCCTCAAGAAGAGCAACTCCAAGACAATTGTCAGGTTCGCCAAAGTTGAAATAAAGGAAAAAATGTTAAGGGCAGCCAGAGAGAAAGGTCAGCTTACCCACAAAGGGAAGCCCATCAGACTAACAGTGGATCTCTTGGCAGAAACTCTACAAGCCAGAAGAGACTGGGGGCCAATATTCAACATTCTTTTTTTTTTTTTTTTTTTTTTTGAGACGGAATCTTGCTCTGTTGCCCAGGCTGGAGTGCAGTGGCATGATGTCGGCTCACTGCAAGATCCGCCTCCCGGGTTCATGCCATTCTTCTGCCTCAGCCTCCTGAGTAGCTGGGACTACAGGCGCCACCACCATGCCCAGCTAATTTTTTGTATTTTTAGTAGAGATGGGGTTTCACTGTGTTAGCTAGGATGGTCTCGATCTCTTGACCTCATGATCCACCCACCTCAGCCTTCCATAGTGCTGGGATTACAGGTGTGAGCCACCGTGCCCGACTCAACATTCTCAAAAGAATTTTCAGCCCAGAATTTCATATCCAGCCAAGCTAAGCTTCATAAGTGAAGGAGAAATAAAATCCTTTACAGACAAACAAATGCTGAGAGATTTTGTCGCCACCAGGCCTGCCTTACAAGAGCTCCTGAAGGAAGCACTAAACATGGAAAGGAACAACCGGTATCAGCCACTGCAAAAACATGCCAAATTGTAAAGACCATCAATGCTAGGCAGAAACTGCATCAACTAACCAGCAAAATAACCAGCTAACATCATAATGACAGGATCAAATTACAATATTTACCTTAAATGTAAATGGGATAAATGCCCCAATTAAAAGAAACAGACTGGCAAATTGGATAAAGAGTCAAGACCCATCAGTGTGCTGTATTCAGGAGACCCATCTCACCTGCAGAGACACACATAGGCTCAAAATAAAGGGATGGAGGAAGATCTACCAAGCAAATGGAAAACAAACAAAAAAAGCGGGTTGCAATCCTAGTCTCTGATGAAACAGACTTTAAACCAACAAAGAGCAATAGAGACAAAGAAGGCCATTACATAATGGTAAAGGGATCAATGCAATTAGAAGAGCTAACTATCATAAATATATATGCACCCAATACAGGGGCACCCATATTCATAAAGCAAGTCCTTAGAGACCTACAAAGAGACTTAGACTCCCACACAATAATGGGAGTCTTTAACACCCCCCTGTTGACATTAGATCAACGAGACAGAAAGTTAACAAGGATATGCAGGAATTGAACTCAGCTCTCCACCAAGCATACCTAATAGACATCTACAGAACTCTCCGCCCCAAATCAACGGAATATACATTCTTCTCAACGCTACATCGCACTTATTCCAAAACTGACCACATAGTTGGAAGTAAAGCACTCCTCAGCAAATGTAAAAGAATAGAAATTATAACAAACTGTCTCTCAGACCACAGTGCAATCAAACTAGAACTCAGGATTAAGAAACTCACTTAAAACTGCTCAACTACATGGAAACTGAACAACCTGCTCCTGAATGACTACTGGGTACATAACAAAATGAAGGCAGAATAAAGATGTTCTTTGAAACAAATGAGAACGAAGACACAACAGACCAGAATCTCTGGGTCACATTTAAAGCAGTGTGTAGAGGGAAATTTATAGAACTAAATGCCCACAAGAGAAAGCAGGAAAGATCTAAAATTGACACCCTATTGTCACAATTAAAAGAATTAGAGAAGCAGCCGGGTGCAGTGGCTCATGCCTGTAATCCCAGCACTGTGGGAGGCCAAAGCGGGCAGATCATGAGATCAGGAGATCGAGACCATCCTGGCTAACACGATGAAACCCCATCTCTACTAAAAATACAAAAAAAAAAAAAAATGGGCCACACGTGGTGGCAGGCGCCTGTAGTTCCAGCTACTTGGGAGGCTGAGGCAGGACAATGGTGTGAACCCGGGAGGTGGAGCTTGCAGTGAGCTGAGATCGTGCCACTGCACTCCAACCTTGGCGACAGAGCGAGACTCCGTCTCAAAAAAAAAAAAAAAAAAAAAAAAAAAAAAACTAGAGAAGAGCAAACACATTCAAAAATTAGCAGAAGTCAAGAAAGAACTAAGATCAGAGCAGAATTAAAGGAGATAGAGACATAAAAAAACCCTTTAAAAAAATCAATGAATCCAGGAGCTGGTTTTTTGAAAAGATCAACAAAATTGATAGACCGCTAGCAAGACTAATAAGAAAAGAGAGTAGATGCAATAAAAGATGATAAAGGCGATATCACCACAGATCCCACAGAAATACAAACTACCATCAGAGAATACTATGAACACCTCTACACAAATAAACTAGAAAATCTAGAAGAAATGGATAAATTCCTGGACACATGCACCCTCCCAAGACTAAACCAGGAAGAAGTTGAATCCCTGAATAGACCAATAACTGGCTCTGAAATTGAGGCAATAATTAATAGCCTACCAATAAAAAAAAGTCCAGGACCAGATGGATTCACAGCCGAATTCTACCAGAGGTACAAAGAGGAGCTGGTACCATTCCTTCTGAAACTGTTCCAATCAATAGAAAAAGAGGGAATCCTCCCTAACTCATTTTATGAGGTCAGCAGCATCCTGATACCAAAGCCTGACAGACAACAAGAAAAGAGAATTTAGACCATTATCCCTGATGAACATCGATGCAAAAATCCTCAATAAAATACTGGCTAAACGAATCCTGCAGCACATCAAAAAGCTTATCCACCACGATCAAGTTAGTTTCATCCCTGGGATGCAAGGCTGGTTCATCATACGTAAATCAATAAATGTAATCCATCATATAAACAGAACCAAAGACAAAAACCACATGATTATCTAATACATGCAGAAAAGACTTTTGACAAAATTCAACAGCCCTTCATGCTAAAAACTCTCAATCGACTAGGTATTGATGGGACGTATCTCAAAATAAGAGCTATTTATGACAAACCCACAGCCAATGTCATACTGAATGGGCAAAAACTGGAAGCATTCCCTTTGAAAACTGGCACAAGACAGGAATGCCCTCTCTCACCACTCTTATTCAACATAGTGTTGGAAGTTCTGGCCTGGGCAATCAGGCAAGAGAAAGAAATAATGTGTATTCAAATAGGAAACAAGGAAGTCAAATTGTCCCTGTTTGCAGATGACATGATTGTATATTGGTCTCAGCCCAAAATCTCCTTAAGCTGATAAGCAACTTCAGCAAAGTCTCAGGATACTAATGTGCAGAAATCACAAGCATTCCTATACACCATTAACAGACGAACAGCCAAATCATGAGTGAAATCTCATTCACAATTGCTTCAAAGGGAATAAAATACCTAGGAATCCAACTTACAAGGGATGTGAAGGACCTCTTCAAGGAAAACTACAAACCACTGCTCAACGAAATAAAAGAGGACACAAACAAATGGAAGAACATTCCAGGCTCATGGATAGGAATAATCAGTATCGTGAAAATGGCCATACTGCCCAAAGTAATTTATAGATTCAATGCCATACTCATCAAGCTACAAATGACTTTCTGCACAGAATTGGAAAAAACTACTTTAAAGTTCATATGGAACCAAAATAGAGCCCACATTGCCAAGACAATCCTAAGCCAAAAGAACAAAGCTGGGGGCATCACGCTACCTGACTTCAAACTATACTACAAGGCTACAGTAACCAAAACAACATGGTACTAGTACCAAAACAGAGATATAGACCAATGGAACAGAACAGAGCCTTCAGAAATAATACCACACATCTACAAGCATCTGATCTTTGACAAACCAGATGAAAACAAGAAATAGGGAAAGGATTCCCTATTTAATAAATGGTGCTGGGAAAACTGGCTAGCCATATGTAGAAAGCTGAAACTGGATCCCTTCCTTACACCTTATACAAAAATTAATTTAAGATGGATTAAAGACTTAAATATTAGACCTAAAACCATAAAAACCCTAGAGGAAAACCTAGGTAATGCCATTCAGGACATGGGCATGGGCAAGGACTTCATGACTAAAACACCAAAAGCAATGGCAACAAAAGCCAAAATTGACAAATGGGATCTAATTAAACTAAAGAGCTTCTGCACAGCAAAAGAAAACACCATCAGAGTGAACAGGCAACTTACAGAATGGGAGAAAATTTTTACAATCTACTCATCTGACAAAGGGCTAATATCCAGAATCTACAAAGAATTTAAATTTACAAGAAAAAATCAAACAACCCCATCAAAAAGTGGGTGAAGGATATGAACAGACACTTTTCAGAAGAAGACATTTATGCAGCCAACAGACACATGAAAAAATGCTCATCATCACTGGCCATCAGAGAAACGCAAATCAAAACCACAATGAGATACCATCTCACACCAGTTAGAATGGCAATCATTAAAAAGTCAGGAAAAAACAGGTGCTGGAGGGGATGTGGAGAAATAGGAACACTTTTACACTGTTGGTGGGAGTGTAAACTAGTTCAACCATTGCAGAAGACAGTGTTGCGATTCCTCAATTACCATTTGACCCAGCCATCCCATTACTGAGTATATACCCAAAGGATTATAAATCATGCTGGTATAAAGACACATGCACACATATGTTTATTGTGGCACTATTCACAATAGCAAAGACTTGGAACCAACCCATATGTCCATCAATGATAGACTGGATTAAGAAAATGTGGCACATATACACCATGGAATACTCTGCAGCCATAAAAAAGGATGAGTTCATGTCCTTTGTAGGGACATGGATGAAGCTGGAAACATCATTCTGAGCAAACTATCACAAGGACAGAAAATCAAATGCCGCATGTTCTCACTCGTAGGTGGGAATTGAACAATGTGAACACTTGGACACAGGATGGGGAACATCACACACTGGGGCCTGTCGTGGGGAGGGGGGCGTGTTGAGGCATAGCATTAGGAGATATACCTAATGTAAATGACGAGTTAATGGGTGCAGCATGCCAACATGGCACATGTATACATATGTAACAAACCTGCACGTTGTGCACATGTACCATAGAATTTAAAATATAATAATAATAATATCAGGAAACAACAGGTGCTGGAGAGGATGTGGAGAATTAGGAACACTTTTCGGTGTTGGTGGGAGTGTAAACTAGTTCAACCATTGTGGAAGACAGTGTGGCAATTCCTCAAAGGATCTAGAACTAGAACTATCATTTGACCAAGTCATTCCATTACTGGGTATATGCCCAAAGGATTGTAAATCATGCTGCTATAAAGACACATGCACACATATGTTTATTGCGGCACTATTCACAACAGCAAAGACTTGGAGCCAATCCAGATGTCCATCAGTGATAGACTGGATTAAGAAAATGTGGCACATATGCATCATGGAATACTATGCAGCCATAAAAAAGGACACGTTCATGTCCTTTGTAGGGACATGGATGAAGCTGGAAACCATCATTCTGAGCAAACTATCAGAAGGACAGAAAACCAAACACCATATGTTCTCACTCATAGGTGGGAATTGAAGAATGAGAACACTTGGACACAGGGTGGTGAACATCACACACTGGAGCCTGTCGTGGGGTGACGGGAGCCGGGAGGGATAGCATTAGGAGATATACCTAATGTAAATGATGAGTTAACTGGTGCAGCACTCCAACATGGCACATGTATACATATGTAACAAACCTTCATTTTGTGCACATGTACCATAGAACTTAAAGTATAATGATAATAACAATAGTGATAAGGTCAGGAAACAACAAGTGCTGGAGAAGATGTGGAGAAATAGGAACACTTTTACACTGTTGGTGGGACTGTAAACTAGTTCAACCATTGCGGATGACAGTGTGGTGATTCCTCAAGGATCTAGAACTAGAACTACCATTTGACTAGGTATATACCCAAAGGATTATAAATCATGCTGCTATAAATACACATGCACAAGTATGTTTATTGCAGCACTGTTCACAATAGCAAAGAGTTGGAACCAATCCAAATGTCCATCAATGATAGACTGAATTAAGAAAATGTGGCACATACACACCATGGAATACTGTGCAGCCATAAAAAAGGATGAGGTCATGTCCATTGTAGGGACATGGATGAAGCTGGAAACCATCATTCTGAGCAAACAGTCACAAGGACAGAAAACCAAGCACCGCATGTTCTCACTCATAGGTGGGAATTGAACAATGAGAACACTTGGACACAGAGTGGGGAACATCACACACTGGGGACTGTTATGGGGTGTGAGGAAGGGGGAGGTATAGCATTAGGAGATATACCTAATGTAAATGACAAGTTAATGGGTGCAGCATACCAACATGGCAAAAAGGAAATATAGGCAGGCAAAAAAAGATTACAGGATTTTTACTCACTTTCGTCACCCTATATCTAAAATATGACATAATTTGTTCCCAAATATTTGTTTTATGTATCAGAGGCTCTGACCATATTCTGCAAAATAGATAATTTTTTTCTTTATTTAGCAATGTAAGGCTATTCTTTGCTTCTAAATTTGGATTACAGCAGTTTTTTTGTGTAAGAATAGCATATATTTACAACTTAAAAATGATCTTATTTATTAAAATGCTTATTTATCAGTTTGTCATTAGAATCTTGTTTATGATTATACTACATTTTATCTGAAATTATACTGCATTACAATGGATGCCAGTGATTCAAAATAGCCACCTTCAATGAGTACACAGTTACAGTAAAATATTACAGCTATCTACACGAATTCTTTATTAATGCTACATCAGTGTTGCATACCAGATTTTATGAGTAAACATTTCTTTTATTATTATTTTGTAGTTCCATTTCAGTGTTTTTTTTTTCAGTGTTAGTTTCTTAATATAAGTTTATTGTGTTTTTTGGTTTTATAGTTTTAGACAATTTGCAATTCTGTTTGTATACCTAAGTCAGTGTGGAGTTTAAGAGATTAATCAGCCATATTGTCTGTTAAAATCTGATTATATGTGTGTGTGTTTTTAATCTATAAATATGACCCCAATTTTGGTTATGGCTAATCTTGTATATATTTTTTCTTAGCTGATTTTTAATGGTGTCTTTATCTTGTCTAAATGGGTAGTCATGGAAATAGTCTTATTTTCACCTTGTTATAATAAACATATATTTCCTTTGTGTGAGAGAAGCACTTTTGTGACTTGAAGGTAATTTTTGGAGAGATTTATAATTCTGTATCTTCTTCAGTTATTCTTTTAAAAAATAATTGTACAAACACATAACCTAAAATTTACCATCTTAAATCTATTTAAGTGTACATTTCATGGCTAGTCGTGGTGGTTCACATTTGTAATCCCCAGATTTTGGGAGGCCAAGGCAGGAAGACTACTTGAGCCCAAAAGCTTGAGAACATCCTGGGAGATATGTGGAGAACTCATCTCTATAAAACATTTTTAAAAATAGCCAGACATGGTGGTGTGGTCCTATCTACTTGGGAGATTGAGGAGGGAGGATTACTTGAACATGGAAGTTTGAGGCTGCAATGAGCCATAATTGTGCCGTGGACCCCAGCTTGGGTCACAGAGTAAGACCCTGACTCAAAAACACTGTACGTTTCAGACATGTTAAGTATATTTACATTGTTTTTAGAAAAGACTTCTAGAAATTTTACAATACACATTAGACAACTACCAGTTTTTCCCATTTCCTGGCACTTTTGAAACACCATTCTGTTTTCTGTTTCTAAGAGTATAACTGCTTTATAGATCTCTCATACAATTTCTGTTAGTTGTTAGAATATGTCCTGCTTTTTTGCAAATTGAGTAATTCTTTGGTATTTTTATATTTTAAATTATATCTGTTGAACGATTTGGTGACAGAAATTTGCATTGCTTTTACCTATTGGCTTTTAGTAACAATGCTAAAATAATTGTGGGTATGCAAATGACTCTTCATGTGACCATATATGTGAGAGTTTATGTATGTGCTGCATTCTATTTTATTAGTCTACTTTTTCACCTTTATACTCATACCAAATTGTTTTAATTCTGTAGGTTTGTAATGTGTTTTGAAATCAGGAACTGTAATGCCTCCAACATTGTTTTATTTTGTTTTTAATATTTTTGGGCACTTTGTAGAGATTCTATGTACTTGAGGGATTGCTGTTTTTCTTTCATCAAAAATGCAGTGAGAAATTTGAAAAACATTGCATTAAATCTGTAGATTGCATTGAGCAGGATGGACATCTTTACAATGTTGCCTTTTTCAGCCTTTCACAAGAGCACGCTCAAGAGTGTATTGTTTAATTTCCATATATGTGTGAATTTTTCAGGTTTTTTATTTTCTTAATTGTTGTATACTCATTTCATTTTGGTGATAGAAAGTAATTTATAAAATTTCAGTTTTAAAAAATTTGGTAAGATGACTTTTTTTTGGCATAAGAAGTGGTCTATCAAGGAAAGTGTTGTGTTAGCTATTGAGAACCATGTGTGTCCTGATGTTGAGGAGTGTTTTTTATACCTGTGTTAGGAATAATTGTTGCCTGCAAGTCCTCTATTCCCTTACTAATATTCTTATTTTATTTTTATTACAGAAAGTGCAGTATTGAAATATCCTACTATAATTATGTTGCTCTCTCTGTGTCTCTGTTATTCTGTCAATATTTGCTTTATATTTGAAGCCCTAATGTGAGATACACACACACACACACACACACACACACACACACACACACACGTACATATATACAAATTTGTTATAGGTTCCCAGTGAATAAATCTATTTTTTTTTTTTTTTTTTTGAGACAGAGTCTCATTCTGTGTCCCAGGCTGGATGGAGTGCAGTGGTGTGATCTCGGCTCACTGCAACCTCTGCCTCCTGGGTTCAAGTGATTCTCCTGCCTTAGCCTCCCAAGTAGCTAGTATTATAGGTGCCCACCACCATGCCCAGCTAATTTTTGTATTTTTAGTAGAGATGGGGTTTCACTATGTTGGCCAGGCCAGTCTCGAACTCCTGACCTCAAGTGATCCACCTGCCTCGGCCTCCCAAAGTGCTGGGATTACAGGTGTGAGCCACCGTGCCCAGCCTAAATCTGTAAGTTTTATGTCCTTTTTTGTCTCCTTGGAGTTTTGACTTCAAATACATTTTATAAAATATGACAGTTTTTGACTAAGATGTAGGTTGCATAATATTATTTTGATTTCTTCTGCTCTCATTTGATTAACACTTGCATGAAATGTATTCTTGCATCGTCCCCCTTTCAGTGTTTTTTTATCATTAGATCTCAACTGACTTTTGTAGAAAAAAAAGTTGGATCTTGGTTTTTAAAATTTTAAATCTATTTATTGAAAGTATGTCTCTTGATTTGAAAGTTAATTTTATATATATTTAAATAATTTTCTGAAAGAGACTTACTGTTTTAATTATTTTATTTGATTCTTGCATCTTTGTTTCTCATTTTCTCTTGTGTCTTTTTGATTTTTGTATTGATATGCTTTTACTTATTTCTAATTCACTGTTGTGTATCTATACAGATTTTTTTTGTGTGTGTGGTGCCTTGGGGGTTACAGATAACCTCTATAAGAAACAACAGTATATTTTTAATTTGGTATAAAATAAACTTCAGTTGAATAAAAAATTCTTCCTCATTACATCTGCCCTGAAATTTGTCATTGATGTTGCCAATTATGTTTTTACATTGTATATTCATTAACAGATGTTTAATTTCTGTGCTTTTATTTTTCAAATTTTAGAGAATAGATTAAAATATTTTCTGCACCATTATGATAATGCCACAAGATTCTATTTTTGTGTATGTGCATATCTTTCCCAGAAAATAATGTATTTGTATTTGATTATGTGGTATTTTCTCAAATTCTTTTACTTTCAGTTTAAAGAACTGCTTTCAGCGTCTTTTATATGTAGGGCATATGCAGTGCTAATAATATACTTTTTCATAATTTGTTTTTTTTTTTTGGAAGGTTTTTTCTTTTTATTTGGTAGGGCAGATTTGTTGATGGTATTATTCTCACTTGGTAGATTTTTTTTTTTTTTCAGGACTTTGACTGTGTCACACAGTTTCTTTCTGGCCTGCAAAATTCTTGTTGATAATTTACTGGTTATAAGACTATGTTTGTAAATGACACATTGCTTTTATCTTGCAGCTTCCAAGACTTTCTTCTTGTCTGTGATTTTTGAAAATGTGCTTATAAATGTATTTGTTATAAATATCTTTGTGTGTTTCCTAATTTGTTTGTTGAACTTCCTCATTTTTACATCATTTTTTTCCTACTTTTAGGATTTTCCAGTTATTTATTTTTCTGTTTTTTTTACCTACAAATTTAAAAAAAAAATTGTAGATACTTTCGTTTTTATTCTCATTTTTCTGATTCTTTTTTTTTTTTTTTTCGTTTGAGACAGAGTCTCGCTGTGTCGCCTAGGCTGGAGTGCAGTGGCGCGATCTTGGCTCACTGCAAGCCCCGCCTCCCAGGTTCATGCAGTTCTCCTGCCTCAGCCTCCCGAGTAGCTGGGACTACAGGCGCCTGCCACCACGCCTGGCTAATTTTTTTGTATTTTTTTTTTTTAGTAGAGACGGGTTTTCACCGTGTTGGCCAGGATGGTCTCGATCTCCTGACCTCGTGATCCACCCACCTCGGCCTCCCAAAATGCTGGGATTACAGGCGTGAGCCACCACGCCCAGCCCATTTTTGTGATTTTCTACACTGGGCCGTGTTCCTGTTTCACTCATTGAATATTATTCAATTTATTATCAGTGTTTAAAATTAATGTGTACATCTTTTTTATGGTTTCTTTCTGAAATTTATACAATATTTTTGATGAGACTATATTGCCTTGTTTTGTATACATTGTAATCTTTGATTGAGATTTGGACATTAAAAAGCTACCTGTCACAGTCTTTAAAATGTAGTTTTTTCTGACATAGTCTGAAAATAATTATCTTGGCTAGAGATTCTGAGAGTCTCTCAAACATGTTCTTAGGATGTGCCTTGTCTAAAATTTTGTATTTAGTTTTTAGTTAAAGCAGTTTATTATTCATGTTTCTTTCTTCTTCTTTTTTTTTTTTTTTTTCTGAGACACAGTTTTGCTCCTGTCACCCAGCCTGGAGGGCAGTGGCATGGTCTCAGCTCACTGCAGTCTCCACCTCCCGGGTTCAAGTGGTCCTCTTGTCTCAGCCTCCCACATAGCTGGGATTACAGGCATTTGACCCCATGCTCAGCTAATTTTGTATTTTTAGTAGAGACAGTGTTTCACCATGTTGGCCAGGCTGGTCTCGAACTCCTGACCTCAGGTGATCCACCCACCTCGGCTTCCCAAAGTGCTAGGATTACAGGTGTGAGCCACCATGCTCAGCCTGTTCATAGTTCTTCTTAATAACCAATAATCACTTGCTATAATTGTTACCTGTCTATGATATCACAGTCTTTCTGCTGCTGTAAAACTTATCTTTCATTTCAGCAGACTCAAACTGTCATTTGAAAGAATACCTCTATTTCTTTCAGAACTTTATGTAATGAGGGACAGGAACCAGTGTCTGTAAAAGCCCCTACCATTCAGAAATAAAGATGTATAAGCCAGTATTTTACTTGTCTTTTAAAAAGGAAACCAGGAATTGGCAATTTATTTCTAAAGTCACTATGTTTTATTGGGAAGCAGGAACATCTGTGTTGGGTAAATGGAACTGACTTTTCCTCTATGTGGCTGTTTGCATTGGGCTCACCTGGGGCACTGCACACTTAACTTACTTTAATTTTTCACAAATGTAATTTGGTCTGTATGTTTTTGTTACATTATATGTCTGTGAAAAAGTTAGAGCCTGTAATATTTTGCTACTTGTGATGTAGTTTGTATAATTTTATAGGTTAGATTTGTAAAGTATATTCATCTGTATCTAGTAAGTGGAGTAATTGATTATTTTTATTTCTTGCAGTTGTATGTTCTTATTTTGCCCAAGACTTTTGGCCAAAGCAGGGCATAAAAAATTGTTTCCAAAAAGTGATACTGAAAAGATATAAAAAATGTGGACATGAAAATTTACAGTTAGGAAAATACTGTAAAAGCATGGATGAGTGTAAGGTGCACGAAGAATGTTACAATGGACTTAACCAGTGTTTGAGAACTACCCAGAGCAAAATATTACAATGTGATAAATATGTGAAAGTCTTTCATAAATTTTCAAATTCAAACAGATATAAGATAAGACATACTGGAAAGAAACCTTTCAAATGTAAAGAATGTGAAAAGTCATTTTGCATGCTTTCACACTTAGCTCAACATAAAAGAATTCATACTAGAGAGAAACCCTACAAATGTAAAGAATGTGGGAAAGCCTATAATGAGGCCTCAAACCTTTCTACACATAAGAGAATTCATACTGGAAAGAAACCCTACAAATGCGAACAGTGTGGAAAAGCCTTTAACCGGCTCTCACACCTTACTACACATAAGATAATTCATACTGGAAAGAAACCCTACATATGTGAGGACTGTGGCAAAGCTTTTAACCAATCTGCAAACCTTACTACACATAAGAGAATTCATACTGGAGAGAAACCCTACAAATGTGAAGAAAGTGGCAAAGCTTTTAGCCAGTCCTCAACCCTTACTACACATAAGATAATTCATGCTGGAGAGAAACCCTACAAATATGAAGAATGTGGCAAATCTTTTAACCAATCCTCAACCCTTACTACACGTAAGATAATTCATACTGGAGAGAAATTCTGCAAATGTGAAGAATGGGGCAAGGCCTTTAGCCGGTTATCCCACCTTACTACACATAAGAGAATTCATTCTGGAGAGAAACCCTACAAATGTGAAGAATGTGGCAAAGCTTTTAAACAATCCTCAACCCTTACTACACATAAGAGGATTCATTCTGGAGAGAAATTCTACAAATGTGAAGTATGTAGCAAAGCCTTTAGCCGGTTCTCACACCTTACTACACATAAGAGAATTCATTCTGGAGAGAAGCCCTACAAATGTGAAGAATGTGGCAAAGCTTTTAACCTATCTTCACACCTTACTACACATAAGATAATTCATACTGGAGAGAAACCCTACAAATGTGAAGAATGTGGCAAAGCTTTTAACCTATCTTCACACCTTACTACACATAAGATAATTCATACTGGAGAGAAACCCTACAAATGTGAAGAATGTGGCAAAGCTTTTAACCAGTCCTCAACTCTTTCTAAACATAAGGTAATTCATACTGGAGAGAAACCCTACAAATGTGGAGAATGTGGCAAAGCCTTTAACCAGTCCTCACACCTTACTACACATAAGATAATTCATACTGGAGAGAAACCCTACAAGTGTGAAGAATGTGGCAAAGCCTTTAACAACTCCTCTATTCTTAACAGACATAAGATGATTCATACTGGAGAGAAATTCTACAAACCTGAAAGTTGTGACAATGCTTGTGACAACATCTCAAACATTTCCAAACATAAAAGAAATTGTGCTGGTGAGAAAACATAGAAATATGAATAATGTGACAAAGCCTTTAAATGGTTATCACACTTGTTTGTAAGTAGGGTAATTCATACTGGAGAAAACATCACGAGTGTGAACAGTGTGGCAAGACTTAAACAATGCTCACACCTTATTGCACAGGAAAGCCTTTATACTTGAGAACAAATGTGCAAATATAAAGAAAGTAAAAAAGTGATTAATATCTGCTCACATCTTAACATCAGAGAATTTATACTTAATAGCATTAAAAGTGCAATTACTGTCAAAAGACTCTTGAGAAAATGTAAGCCTTTAAAGTGCTGAAGAGGATTTATTTTGAAGACAAACATTACAAATATAAAGAGAGTTATAGTAACTTTACTTGTAACACAGATCTTGTTGTATTCATTTTGTATTAGAGCAAACCCTGAAGCAATTACTCAAACTTTGTTCAACATCAGTGAATTTGTATTGAAGAAAAACCCTGTAAATGTAATAAATTTAGGAAAAAAACATTTATTCAAAAACTACAGGTTAGAAAACTCCAGAGAGTTCATAGTAAAATATATTTTTGCAGATGCAGTAAATAAGAAAAAAAAATTTAATCCAAAATTGTCTATGTAAATACCAGAGAATTTACATTAGAAATATATAAGGCACTGACACTTCAGATTTTACACTAAATCAGAGTTCTGAGTTTAGAAAATAATCCAAAACTAAAGTTGGGAGAAAAATTATTTGTATATAACTTTAAAAGAGTAGAAGATTTTTTGGAGAGTTATAATTACATTACAAGTATACTTTTTTTGGAAAGCTTACAGATTTTTTAAAAAGTAATGTAATTAACTCTCAAATTACTTCATGTAAATAATGTTGTAATTAACTCAAATTACTTCATGCTAAATAAATTAATTTCTTTCTTTTTTTTTTTTCTTTTAAGACAGAGCCCCACTCTGTCACCCAGGCTGGAGTGCAGTGGCGCTTTCTCGGCTCACTGCAACCTCCGTCTTCAGCATTCAATGATTCTCCTGCCTCAGCCTCCTGAGTAGCTGGGATTACAGGCACACACCACCACGCCCAGCTAAGTTTTATATTTTTAGTAGAGCTGGGGTTTTGCCATGTTGGCCAGGCTGGTCTCAAACTCGTGACCTCAGGTGATCCGCCCAGCTTGGCCTCCCAAAGTGCTGGGATTATAGGTGTTAGCCACTGGGCCCAGCCCATGCTGTTTCTCTTTTCCTATTGTATTCATCTGTGAAAGCGTATGACCAATTGTTGCTGCATCAAAGATATGAGAGATTTTTTTTTTAGGTGAGCATTTATGACCTCTTCAATGAAAGAGTAAGGACATTAAAATGTAAGATGCATGATGAAAATCTTAAGTAAAGAGGTTCTTTGTGGTTCACTTACAGTATTGAGTGATGCATGAGGTAGGTGTTCAGAGTAATATTCTGCATTATATTGAGAGACGAATATTTTTAGTTTTAGTTAAAATTAAAATAATATATTATTTTACTAATTGTACTTTTATGAAACAAAATGCAATACATGTTAAAAATTTTATATTATGTGTGAAAATTTAATTGAACATTTTTAACGTTAAATATTGTGCATTCAATCAAGTCACATTATTCCACTTAATTTAACCTAGTCCACCTTACTCAAGGGTGTAGGTAAAAGATCGTAACAATACACTATTTGGTAAAATAATGGACTAACATCTCTAGTAATCTTTTTTGCCAGTGGCTTTAAACTGCAAATAAGTTAAGGAATATTGTTTCTGTAGGTAAAATTTTTATTTTTTTCCCATTTAAATTTACTTTTGTTAATTTTTGTGGGCACATAATATTTATGTTATATATGGCATATTCTGATAGGCATACAATATATAATTTATACTAATAATCACATTAGGATAAATGACGTATCCATCACCTCTAGAATTTATTTTTTGTATTACAAACAATTCAGTTCTACAGTTTTAGATCATTTCAAATGTATAATTAAATTGTTATTGACTACAGGTTTATTTTTATAATAATAAAAATTATATACAATTATAAACAAAATTTACACATTTTTGAGTCCTGAATAAATACTTTAAAAAATTTCTTATATATTTTTCTTTGAATATGTGGCCTCTCTGCTTGCAAACACATACAGACTTTTAGTTTTGATTTACATAGAGTTAAATGTACACATCTGTTAGTCTAAATATAAACCTTAGGTGTAAGAAAATTAATAAGGTGTCTAATTTTCTTTTTGATTCTTTTTTTTGACAGAGTTTTGCCCTGTTGCCTAGGCTGGAGTGCAGCGGTGTGATATCGGCTCGCTGCAACCTCTGCTTCGCAGGGTCAAGCAATTTTCCTGTCTCAGTCTCCTGAGTAGCTAGGACTACAGGCCCAGGCCACCACACCTGGACAATTTTTGTATTTTTAGTACAGACAGGGTTTCATCATATTGGTCAGGCTAGTCTTGAACTCCTGACCTCAGGTGATCCACCCACCTCAGCCTCCGAAAGTACTAGAATTACAGGCATGAGCCACCATGCCCGGCCAGGTGTCCAATTTTCTAGAAAACAAAAATCTTCAAAAATGTGAATGCAAATTTCTGCTCTCTGCTTTGTTCTGAATTTATTACTGTACAATCTTATGGCTTATGATTCAGAATCTTGCCATGCAAATTCTGTTTTTACTTGCCTGGTACTCATGCTAGGCCCATAACTTTCTTGTTTCTTATATAAGTTTTTTGTTTTATGGTTTATGAAGTTTTCATTATGTGAGCTGCTCTGTGATTATATGAATGATTTTAATGAAATTGAGTCATGGACCGGGCGCGGTGGCTCACGCCTATAATCCCAACGCTTTGGGAGGCCAAGGTGGGTGGATCACTTGAGGTCAGGAGTTCAAGATCAACTTGGCCAACGTGGTGAACCCTCCTCTCTACTAAAAATACAAAAATTAGCCGGGCATGGTGGCGTGCACCTGTAATCCCAGCTACTGGGAGGCTGAGGCAGGAGAATAGCTTTAACCCGGGAGACAGAGGTTGTAGTGAGCTGAGATTGCACCTCTGCACTCCAGCCTGGGCGACAGAGGAAGAATCCATCTCAAAAAAAAAAGAAATTTAGTCATGCACACAAAATAATTTTTACCTGTAATTCTAAAATTAGTTTGTTAAATTATATTTTATTTAGTTGGAACATTCCATTTTGTTCTTTTAATTGGAGAACCCTATATAAGCCTCCTTTTCTTAAGTTACTGTTTTTTTCACTTTTTATAATGGATATAAATAAATTTATTCATTGATTGGGCCAATTTGTTCAGGTAAGTACTAGGGAAGCTTCATAAGTCATGAAAATGTTTTTATACCTAAATGTAGCAAACAAACATGACGGTGCTTGCTGTATAACAGATGCTCCATAATAAGGCATAAATACTCCTGTGAAACTTGCAACTTCATGTTCAGAGGTAGAAAATATCAAAGGTAAACAATTGATTCTTCATGTGGCGAGTACTTTTTTTTCAGGCTGCAAAGCTGAATTTTGCTGAATTTAAAAAGAAGTTCTGCTTCATTTATTTTCTAATTATCTTAAGTTTTGTTTGTCTTTTTATGTGTATTCCACCCATGTATGCATCATAGCCCTTCTTCTTCTTCTGTGTTATGGCTACAGTTTTCCCACTGTTTTCTTCATGCCATGTCATTTCATACGGTGTTTTGTGGGTTTTGATGAGAACTGTGATATTTTTTAATGCACTGAAAAATTGGTTTCAACTGGAGAGTTTGCTTATCAATATAACTTTCAGATCAGTTAATTAAGATAAAAGGCATACACTGTCCACAGGAGAGAGGATTAAATCGGTTAGCATGGTGCTTCTTTCTTTGTAAAAAGAAAAAGTATTGTTTGTAAAAAGAAAATCATACTAGATTCTTACCCAAAGTGTGACAAATATAAAATTTGCTAGAAAATATATCATAGAAATTAAAATTTTAAGAGAGTTTATGGTAAGTAAACCATATTAAATTTAATTTTTTCTTTTTTTTTTTTTAAGACAGTCTCACTCTGTCACCCAGGCTAGGGTGCGGTGGCACAATCTGGGCTCACTGCAACCTACATCTTCCAGATTCAAGCGATTCTTCCGCCTCAGCCTCCCTAGTAGCTGCCCCAAGCTTAAAATAAAGCACTAAAGTACATTGGCTCCTCCCATGCACTGTGCTGGGTTTAAAACATGCTGTCAAGCCTGGGCGCGGTGGCTCACGCTTGTATTCCGAGCACTTTGGGAGGCCGAGGAGGGTGGATCACCTGAGGTCAGGAGTTCAAGACCAGCCTGGCCAAACATGGCAAAAACGCATCTCTAATGAAAATACAAAAATTAGCTGGGTGTAACAGCACACTCCTGTAATCCCAGCTACACGGGAAGCTGGGGCAGGAGAATCGCTTGCACCTGTGAGGCGGAGATTGCAGTGAGCAGAGATGGTGCCATTGTATTCCAGCCTGGGCTACAAGAGCAAAACTCTGTCTCAAAACAAACAAAAAAAACAAAACAAAAACCATGCTGTCAAGTATCAAAATTCCTGTGGTTATGACTGACACATGATAAAACAGTACAAAAACTATTTTTTATACTATTCAGCCAAGTTTATGACAAAGACACAGACATTATTTGAAATACTGTTATCTTTCTATAAGGTTTTAGAAATGTATTCTCTAACTTGAAAGAGAAAATGTGTATTTATTCTGTAAAACAGCATTTTGAAGTATATACAGGTGGTCAGATGCTTATTAGCTTTATGTAATTAATGCTTTATCTCAAATAGTTAACATTTTGATGGTGAGATTACATAACATTGTCTTAGCATTTTTTCAAACATAACAAATGCAATATTATAAACTATAGTCGCAATGCCGAACAATCTTGAACTTATTCCTCCTATCCAACTATATGTATTATTTGGCAGATATCTTTCGAATTCCCCCATTTTTAAAAATACCTTGGCATCTAGTGGTCACCGTTTTGTTCTCCACATCAATGAGATTAAGTTTTTTTGAATCCATGTGTAAGTGAAATGAGATACTAATCATTTTGTAACTGGCTTATTTCAACTAATATAATGTCCTTCAGGTTAATCCATGTGATTGAAAATAGAATTTTCTTTTAAATATAAATAGTATTCCATTGTGTATATATGCCATATTGTCTTTATTTACTTATTAGATGTTGAACTGTTGATTGCATAATTTGGCTGTTGGGAAGAGTGCTGAAAGCAACATAGAAGTGTGAATATTTCTTCATTCTGATTTTGTTTTGAATACATACCCAACAGTGCAATTGCTGTATTATATAGTAGTTTGATTTTAAGTTTTTTTGAGTAATCTCTATTTTGTTATTCATAATGGCTGTCCTCATTTACATTCAAACCAACAGTGTGTAAGCATTTTCTTTTATTGACATCTTTACCAACTAACACTTTTTTCTTTTATTTATTTATTTACTTATTTATTTATTTATTTATTTTTGAGACAGTTTCACTGTGTCACCCAGCCTGGAGTGCAGTGGTGCGATCTTGGCTCACTTACAACCTCCGCTTCCCGGGTTCAAGCAATTCTCCTGCCTCAGCCTCCCAAGTAGCTGGGATTACAGGTCCCTGCCATCATGCCCAGCTAATTTTGTATTTTTAGTAGAGATGGGGTTTTGCCATGTTGGCCAGGTTGGTCTCAAACTCCTGACCTCAGGTGATCCACCTGCCTTGGCCTCCCAAAATGCTGGGATTACAGGCATGAGCCATTGCATCCGGCCCTTTTTTTTTTTTCATTTTTAGTAAGCGTCATTCTAATGAGTGAGTTGATATCTCATAGTCTTTTCTGGCTTGCTTTCCCTAATAAGAATTGACATTCGGCTGGGCGCAGTGGCTTACACCTGTAATCTCAGCACTTTGTGAGGCCAAAGCAGGCGGATCACCTGAGGTCAGGAATTCGAGACCAGCCTGGCAACATGGTGAAACCCTGTCTCTACTAAAAATACAACAATTAGCTGGGTATGGTGACGCATGTCTGTAATCCCAGCTACTCAGTAGGCTGAGGCAGGAGAATCGCTTGAACCCATGAGGTGGAGGTTGCAGTGAGACGAGATCGTGCCACTACACTCCAGCCTGGGTGACAGAATGAGACTCCATCTCCAAAAAAAAAAAAAAAAAAAAGACATTCAGCATTTTTAAATGTATCTATTTGCCATATGTATGTATTTTCTTGAAAAATATGCTTTTTGCTTTTTTTTTTTTTTTTTTTTTTTTTTTTTTTTTTTTTAGATGGAGTCTCGCTCTGTTACCCAGGCTGGAGTGTAGTGGCGTGATCCCTCAGCCTCCCAAGTAGCTGGGACTACAGGTGCCTGCCACCACGCCTGGCTAATTTTTTGTTTTTTAGTAGAGATGAGGTTTCACCATGTTGGCCAGGCTGTTCTCGAACTCCTGACCTTGTGATCTGCCCGCCTGAGCCTCCCGAAGTGCTGGGATTACAGGCGTGAGCCACTGTGCCTGGCCAGCTCATTTTCAATAGTTATTTGTTTTATGTTGTATAGTCATTTAATTTTCTTATATATTTTTGATATTAATAATGCCTTGTCCCATTTTTTAGTTATTCTGTTGATTGTATTCTATGCAGCAGCATTTTAATTTGAAGTATTCTGACTCATTTATTTTTTTCCTTTTGTTCCCTGGGATTTTGAGTTTAAATGTTAATGGGGCCTTCTCTCTGGTTTTTTTTTTGTTCTTGTTGTTGTTTTTTGTTTGTTTGTTTTTGTAGTAGTAATGGTAGTTTCAGAGTTTCAGGCCTTACATTTAAATATCTAATTTATTTTGAGTGGATTTTTATATGTGGTGTGAGTTAGGGTCTCCTTTTATTGCTCTGCATTTGGCCATAAAGTATTCTCAACATAATTTTCTGTCTTTTTCCTACGAAATTGTCACCTTTATTTAAAATCAGTTAGCTGTAAGTACATGGCTATATTTCTGGAATCTTTTTTTTTGCTCCATTGGCCTAGTGTCTGTTTTTATTCAAGCACCATACTGTTTTTGTTACTGTACTTTTGTAGTATATTTCAAAGTCAGGTAGGGTGATAGATTCACTTTTTTCTGTTAGATTGCTTTGGCTATTGAGGGTCTTTTGTGGTACAATATACATTGTAGATGTATTTTTTAAGAATTTTTATTAAGTATGTCACTGATATTTTCATTGAGGTTGCATTATATCTTTAGGTTATTTTGTGTAATACAAATATTTAACAATATTAATAATGGCAATTCATTAATGATTAACTTTTTAATTCATGTATTAATTTCTTGAATGTTTTTAGAGTATAATGTAAAGTGCTTCAAAATTTTGATTAAATTTATTTTAAAGTATAGTTACTACAGTTACTGTAGATGGAATTGTTTTTTAAATTTATTTTGAGATAGTTCATAGAAATGCTACTGACATTTGGATATTGGTTTTGTATTCCACATGTTTAATAAATTTATTAGTTTTAATAGTTTTTGGTAAAGTCTTAGGCTTTTCTTAGGATTATGTATAGGGATAAAAGATTATTTTTTATTATTTATTATTTTTTGAGATGGAGTTTCACTCTTGTCACGTAGGCTAGAGTGCAATGGTGCGATCTCGGCTCACTGCAACCTCTGCGTGCCGCATTCAAGCAATTCTCCTGCCTCAGCCTCCTGTGTAGCTGGGATTACACGCATGCGCCACCACACCCAGCTAATTTTTGCATTTTCAGTAGAGATGGGTTTCACCATGTTGTCCAGGTTGGTCTCGAACTCCTGACCTTAGGTGATGCACCTGCCTCGGCCTCCCAAAGT
The DNA here is from genome assembly GCF_000001405.40 of Homo sapiens. Taxonomy (NCBI): domain Eukaryota; kingdom Metazoa; phylum Chordata; class Mammalia; order Primates; family Hominidae; genus Homo; species Homo sapiens. Next base: position 22,694,557 of record NC_000019.10, read on the forward strand.
GCTGGAATTACAGGTGTGAGCCACAGCACCCAGCCTGAGATAAAAGATTATCATACAATGATAATTTAACTCCTTTTTTTCCAATCTGGATGCCTTTGATTTTATTCTTTATTTTCTATGTCTTGGACATTTAGTACTATGTTTAGTAAGACTGAAGAAAGTGCACATCCTTGACTTGTTTTAGCTCTTAGAGTAAAATCTTACAGCATTTCCCTATTCAGTATGTTAATACCTGTGCATTTTTTGTTATATTTGACATTTATTATCGGAATTAACCAGACAAATCGCTCCACCAACTAAACGCCACTTGTCCCTCTAAGAAGTTGGGGGACGCCGACCGCAATCTCAACTCACTGCAACCTCCGCCTCCTGGGTTCAAGCGATTCTCCTGCCTCATCATCCCAAGTAGCTGGGACTACAGGTGCCTGCCACCTTCCCTGGCTAATTTTAGTATTTTTTAGTAGAGACGAGGTTTCGCCGTTTTGGCCAGGCTGGTCCCGAACTCCTGACCTCAGGTGATCCACCCGCCTTGGCCTCCCAAAGTGCCCAAAGTGCTGGCATTACAGGCGTGAGCCACTGCACCCAGCCTAACAATCATTTTTAATAAAAATTAACACATTGAATAATTGAATAATTTTCATTGTTGTATATGTGTGTAAATGTATAAAATGATACTTGAAAAAAATAAGCCAGAAAAAGTATGTTAATATTTGTAATAAAATGGGAAGGTAGTTAATTATTATTTGCAAATGATATCTTTTGTTTACTTAGATAAAAAAAGAAACTATAAGACTATTTTAACAGTCTATTCAGGTGGGTAGACAAAATTCTAAGATGATCGCCAGGATTCCCAATCTGTTGCACACCTGCTGTGTAATCCTCTCCTTTGGCGTGTAAAGAAAATATGACTTACTGTCGTGGAAAATCACTCATGAAATTAGGTTGCTGATGTATTGACTTTGTGTTCATCAAAAGGGAGATTATCCTGATAGGGCTAAACTTAATCAGAGGTGCTTTTAAGAGAAAGACACGGGCCGGGCGTGGTGGCTCACGCCTGTAATCCCAGCACTTTGGGAGGCCGAGACGGGTGGATCACTTGAGGTCAGGAGTTCGAGACCGCCTGATCAACGTGGTGAAACCCATCTCTACTAAAAATACAAAAATTAACCAGTTAGCCGGGCGTTGTGGCATGCGCCTGTAATCCCAGCTCCTCAGGAGGCTGAGATGGGAGAATCACTTGAACCTGGGAGGCAGAGGTTGTAGTGAGCCAAGATCACACCACTGTACTCCAGCCTGGGCGACAGAGCGAGACTCTATCCTCCCCAAAAAATAAAAAGACACATTGTAGAAAAACACCCTTGCTGGCCTGGAAGTAAGTGACTTCTAGGTGGAACAGGTTGTAAGCTGCTCTTGGTGGCCACATGGCAGGAAACACGTTTGTATATTGTCATCATTCCTGCCTTCCACATGTTGCTTCCAATAGGGAGGATCCCAGGACAGAGATAAAAAGGGGGTCTTCTTCATGCAAAAATAATCACCTCTCATCTGGGATAGCCTAAGATAAACAGAGGAGACCACAACATGAGCAAATCAATGGGAGGAAAAGGGCAACCTGGTTGAAAGGGCTCACTGGCATGATGGAGCAGCATTTACTAAGTTGTAGTGAATGATCAGCCTCTGGGATAGCAATAGTCAGCCAAGGAGGCTGAACTCATTTTTATTCTCATTAAATCAGCATATCTGCACCATTCTGGTGGCCCAGTGTTACACTACCCATTACAAAAATAACACGGAGACCAGTGGGTAACTTCCTAGAATTGAGCTTATCATGAAAAAGCATATCTCATTATTTGTTTTCACAATTGAAAAGCCTCGAAAACAATGAATTTATTAATAATGAACTTCTGCTCATTTTAGAGGATTCTACGTTGTCATGTATTAAACTTTAAACACTTTAATATTAATGTCTTGAATGCATAAACTATGCAGATAGTTTAACACGATAAAAGTAACAATTAGAAAAAAACATTTGAAATGGGATAGAATTTATCAAAATCACATCTTTTCAATGGCTTGGCATAATTGCCGTGCTTTCTGAAGTGGCTAGATTATTAACAAGTAGCAAAGACAATTTTGGTTTTGTTCAATCATTAAGTTCTTGACCATTTAAAATCTAAAATTCTGGCTAAAGGATTTAAAGGCCGTATTCTTTAGTGGCTTCTTAGGGTTTCACAGGCAATACAAAAAGAATTTTGATAGGCAGAAAAATGCATTCTACATATATACACAGTGCTCTTCTCTAGTTTGCATTAACATTAAAAGATTGAAGATTTCAAATCTAGTCTGTCAGAGTAAATTGATAAAAGTTGTATTTTTCAGCTAAGCAAATAATTGAATAAAATAGGTAACAATTTGTCATTAGCTGCCAAAAAATAGTATGACCAGATTCACTAAGTATCTAGCCACGCAAACGACAGCCCAATTAAGTCAAGATCCTAACAGGTGCGTGTGGAAAGCATTTATGGGCAATGTGGTGCCCCTCCACTCAGCACCTTCTTCTGCCCCTTTACAGAGATACAATTTCCCGAGTGACTCAGGGTGAATACTAGGAGCTGAGAATGCTGTATTCAGTTTATTACCGGGAACATAATCAACAAATTTATTTCATATTATAAAAATTTTATGAATCAGTTTGGTGTGGTGGCTCACACCTGTAATCCTAGCACTTTGGGAGTCCTAGGTGGGTGGCTCACAAGGTCAAGAGATGGAGACCATACTAGACAACAAGGTGAAACCCCGTCTCTACTAAAAATACAAAAATTAGCTGGGTATGGTGACACGTGCCCGTATTCCCAGCTACTTGGGAGACTGAGGCAAGAGAATCGGTTGAACCCGGGAGGCAGAAGTTGCAGTTAGCCGAGATCGCGCTGCTTCACTCCAGCCTGGCGACAGAGTGAGACTCCGTCCCCCCCGCCAAAAAAAAAGAAATGAATACTACTCTGCCTCACAAAGGCTTTTAGTAAAAGATTGCATATAATACTCAATTTGGATTCATAAAAATTTCAATATTCCAGGTAAATCAGCAGCACTTAAATGTCAACCAAATTTCATAAAACATATTTCAATGAGATAAGTCTTTTTAGCTAAGAATTTTATTTTATTCGTAAATTTAGAGAAAAATAGAAAACCAGTACTTTGAGCTAAATAACAGTGTTTGGCATGAGAGCACCATCCAAACAAGTGCTCTTCATGATTAACATAGCAATGGCACCATGTGCTCTCCTTGAGCAGGCCGGCCTGTTTCCACTGATATAAAGTGGAGACGGCATTGAAATAGTGAGCGAGGGTGATATAAATGGAATATTTATATTAAATACAGTTTTTAATAAAAAGCATTTGATGTTGTACAGCTACAGATGAAATTATTAGTATGAGGCCGTAATATTTTTACTTCTACTGACAGGATAACTTGATTCACAATATTCTTATTTCAAATAATATTCCTTTTTTTGCTGTATATTTGCTAGCTTTTGGTCCAAATATTACCGGAACTCAATAGAAATCAACAAAATTCATCTTTATTTTACCACAAGCATTTTGTTATTGATGCATATGCTTATTTTGCTTAAAAATCCATTAGCTTTTGATGAAAGATTTGTACTTTTCTTTCAGTGTGTTGTTTATTGCTGACAAGTGGCTGTCCTGCCAGGAAACTGCTGTTCTCAGCTCTATCCACACTGACAAATAGTGAGTGGAAGTGAAGTGTAAGTAAGAACCAAATGTGTCTTCTCTTCATCAGTTTTTTCATCCATTGGCTGAAAAAAGAGAAAGATGCAGAAAGATGAAAGAAGATATGATCCCTGAAAGATCACATAGAAGTCCTCTTAATGAGAAAAAAATGGTTGTGTGACCATAAAATACATTATTTTGCTAAGCCTCTGAAATTTTAATATACAACTTGCATTGCTTTCAGTCCTTCAGTTTTGATGCTTCAGGATATGACACAATTCCCTGGTGAATCAAAACTGAAAAGAATAATTTATTAAGGTAAGAGATACAGGAAAGACCTCTTACATTTGACCAATATCTCCACCCCCAGCCTTTTTTTTTTTTTTTTTTTTTTTTTTTTTTTTTGTTGAGAAAAACTTTCGTTCTTGTCACCCAGGCTGGCGTACAATGGGGCGATCTCAGCCCACGGCAACTTCTGCCTCCTGGGTTCAAGCGATTCCCCTGCCTCAGCCTCCCGAGTAGCTGAAATTACAGTCACGTGCCACCACACCCGGCTAATTTTGTATTTTTAGTAGAGACTGGGTTTCTCCATGTTGGTCAGGCTGGTCTTGAACTCCCAGCCTCAGGTGATCCACCCACTTAGCCTCCCAAAGTGCTGGGATTACAGGCTTGAGCCACTGTGCCTTTTTTTTTTTTTTTTTTTTTTTTTTTGAGACGGAGTCTCACTCTTGTCCAGGCTGGAGTGCAGTAGTGCAATCTTGGCTCACTGCAACCTCTACCTCCCAGGTTCAAGTGATTCTCCTGCCTCAGTCTCCCAAGTAGCTGGGTTTACAGGTGCCCACCACCCCGCCCAGCTAATTTTTGTATTTTTAGTAGAGACGGGGTTTCACCATGTTGCCCAGGCTGTTCTCAAACTCCTGATCTCAGGTGATCCACCTGCCTCAGCCTCCCAAAGTGCTGGGATTACAGGTGAGTCACCACACCCGGCCGAGTTAGAATTTTTTTCTACTCTACCTAGACATGAGATCATGTGGCTCTTCCGAGACATTGTCTGCAGGCACTCAGAATGGTCCAGCGTTTGACATACCAATGTAGGCATTCCTACAGTACAGCCTCTAACAAAAGTAGGCTGTTCCGAACCCCTGGTAATAGAATACCTTTATACCAAGAAGGTTGGAAAAGCATCAAAATCTGCTTGTGGCATGTGCCCAGGCAGACTTCGAGGGGTTCGTGCTGTAAGACTTAAAGTTCTTATGAAATTGTCCAAAACAAACAAACATGTCAGCAGGGCCTATGGTGGTTCCATGTGTGCTAAATGTGTTCGTGGCAGGATCAAGCGTGCTTTCCTTATTGAGGAGCAGAAAATCGTTGTGAAAGTGTTGAAGGCACAAGCAGAGTCTTCTCACTCATTTTATTTAGCTTTGCAGCTAAATAAAAAGTGAAACTTTTTTGAGAAAGAAAAAAAAATGAGATCATGTGGTATGTTTTTGTTTTCTTTTTTCTTTGTGCTGGCTCTTTTTTTTAGTATTTATTGATCATTCTTGGGTGTTTCTCACAGAGGGGGATTTGGCAGGGTCATAGGACAATAGTGGAGGGAAGATCAGCAGATAAACAAGTGAACAAGGGTCTCTGGTTTTCCTAGGCAGAGGGCCCTGCCACCTTCCGCAGTGTTTGTGTCCCTGGGTACTTGAGATTAGGGAGTGGTGATGACTCTTAACGAGCATGCTGCCTTCAAGCATCTGTTTAACAAAGCACATTGTGCACCGCCCTTAATCCATTTAACCCTGAGTGGACACAGCACATGTTTCAGAGAGCACGGGGTTGGGGGTAAGGTTATAGATTAACAGCATCCCAAGGCAGAATAACTTCTCTTAGTACAGAACAAAATGGAGTCTCCTATGTCTACTTCTTTCTACACAGACACAGCAACAATCTGATTTCTCTATCTTTTCCCCACCTTTCCCCCTTTTCTATTCGACAAAACCGCCATCGTCATCATGGCCCGTTCTCAATGAGCTGTTGGGTACACCTCCCAGACGGGGTGGCAGCCAGGCAGAGGGGCTCCTCACTTCCCAGCAGGGGTGGCCAGGCAGAGGCGCCCCCACCTCCCGGATGGGGCAGCTGGCCGGGCGGAGGCGCCCCCCACCTCCCTCCTGGATGGGGCGGCTGGCCGGGTGGGGACTGGCCCCCACCTCCCTCCCGGACGGGGCAGCTGGCCAGGCGGGGGCTGCCCCCCACCTCCCGGACGGGGCGGCTGCCGGGCGGAGACGCTCCTCACTTCCCAGACGGGGTGGCTGCTGGGCGGAGGGGCTCCTCACTTCTCAGATGGGGCGGCCGGGCAGAGATGCTCCTCGCCTCCCAGACGGGGTCGCGGCTGGGCCGAGGCACTCCATACATCCCAGATGGGGCGGCGGGGCAGAGGCGCTCCCCACATCTCAGACGATGAGCGGCCGGGCAGGGACGCTCCTAACTTCCTAGATGGGATGGTGGCTGGGAAGAGGCGCTCCTCACTTCCCAGACTGGGCAGCCAGGCAGAGGGGCTCCTCACATCCCAGACGATGGGCGGCCAGGTAGAGACGCTCCTCACTTCCCAGACGGCGTGGCGGCCGGGCAGAGGCTGCAATCTCAGCACTTTGGGAGTCCAAGGCGGGCGGCTGGAAGGTGGAGGTTGTAGCGAGCCGAGATCATGCCACTGCACTCCAGCCTGGGCAACACTGAGCACTGAGTGAGCGAGACTCCGTCTGCAATCCCCGCACCTCGGGAGGCCGAAGCTGGCAGATTACTCGCGGTTAGGTGCTGGAGACCAGCCCGGCCAACACAGTGAACCCCCGTCTCCACCAAAAAAATACGAAAACCAGTCAGGCGTGGCGGCGTGCGCCTGCAATCCCAGGCAGTCTGCAGGCTGAGGCAGGAGAATCAGGCAGGGAGGTTGCAGTGAGCCGAGATGGCGGCAGTACAGTCCAGCTTCCACTCGGCATCAGAGGAAGACCGTGGAGAGGGAGGAAGAGGGAGACCGTGGGGAGACGGAGATGAGGGAGAGGGAGATGGAGAGCTGTGTTGGCTCTTTTTACTTAGGCTAATGTCCTACAGGTTCATCAGTATCGTTGCAGATAACAAGATTTCTTTATTTTTAAGGGCTGAATAGCATTCCATTGTGTAAATACACGAAATTTTCTTCATCCATTCACCTGTTGACACTTAGGTTAACACTTAGGTTGATTCTCTATCTTAGCTATTGTGAGTAACCTACTTCCTTCTCCTTCATTTGTTTTCATATCTTTTTTTTTTTCTTTCTAAAAGTATTTTAATTTAAAATACAAATTTTGACTGTTAAATGCCTTCATTTTTCTGCCTTCTTTTGGATAATATTTTGGCTAATTTTAAAAATAAATTTTTTAAAAAGCTCTTGGGGGCCAGGCACCGTGGCTCACGCCTGTAATCCCAGCACTTTGGGAGGCCGAGGCAGGCAGATCACGAGGTCAGGAGGTAGAGACCATCCTGGCTAACATGGTGCAACCATGTCTCTACTAAAAATACAAAAAATTAGCCAAGCGTGGTAGCACGCGCCTGTAAGTCCCAGTTACTAGGGAGGCTGAGGCAGGAGAATCGCTTGAACCCGGGAGGCGGAGGTTGCAGTGAGCTGAGATTGCACCACTGCACTCCAGCCTGGGTGACAGAGTGAGACTCCATCTCAAAAAAAAAAAAAAGAAAAAAGAAAAAAATTCTTGGATCAAGGTTATTACTTCATTATTAACATAATTTGAGACAAAATAGCGATAAAAATAAACATTGATTAGTGAAACAACAATTGTCTAGCCCCTGGTAATCATTTCCTCTCTCACCCAACATGAAAGCTGTATCTTTGTGTCATCTCTCCCAGTTGTGAGAAAGACGTTTCTGATTAAATTGTTTGGCATAAAATTTTGTAAAATTTTACTCTTTTGGTGTGAAAATCAAACTGCTCTATTACTAGAAAAGTTTACCTTTTGATAAGTATAATTTTACTCTATTCTATTTAAATTCTTCAGAAAATCCTGACATAGAATGCACTTAAATTTTTTTGAAAATTAAAAGTGCTTAAACATTTTTTATACAAACTAAAAATAATTTTAGATTCTTAGAAAACATCTTTCAAATACTTTAAGTTACCTTCCTCTGACAGTACTTTTTTTATATTGCTATAACACAGCTTTTCTGTCCTTTGTGGCCAACTCTGTCACTTCTATCCTATTTAGTTGTGCAGTATTTATGTTTTGCATTTTACATTTTTTTAAGGTTATAGATTAACAGCATCCCAAGGCAGAAGAATTTTTCTTAGTACAGAACAAAATGGAATCTCCCATGTCTACTTCTTTCTACACAGACACAGTAACAATCTGATCTCTCTTTCTTTTCCCCACATTTCCCCCTTTTCTATTTGACAAAACCACCATCGTCATCATGGCCCATTCCCAATGAGCTGTCGGGTACACCTCCCAGACGGGGTGGCGGCCGGGCAGAGGGGCTCCTCACTTCCCAGATGAGGTGGCTGGGCAGAGGCGCCCCCCACCTCCCAGACGGGGCAGCTGGCCGGGTGGAGGCACCCCCCACCTCCCTCCGGGACGGGGTGGCTGGCTGGGCGGGGGCTGCCCCCCACCTCCCTCCCGGACGGGGCGGCTGGCCGGGCGGGGGCTGCCCCCACCTCCTGGATGGGGCGGCTGGCCGGACGGGGGCTGCCCCCCACCTCCCGGACAGGGCAGCTGCCGGGCGGAGGGGCTCCTCACTTTCCAGACAGGGCGGCTGCTGGGCGGAGGGGCTCCTCACTTTCCAGACAGGGCGGCTGCTGGGCGGAGGGGCTCCTTACTTCCCAGATCGGGCGGCTGCCAGGCGGAGGGGCTCCTCACTTCTCAGACGGGGCGGCCGGGCAGAGACGCTCCTCACCTCCCAGACTGGGTGGCGGTCAGGCAGAGACATTCCTCAGTTCCCAGACGGGGTCGCGGCCGGGCAGAGGCGCTCCTCACATCCCAGACGAGGCGACGGGTCAGAGGCGCTCCCCACATCTCAGATGATGGGCGGCCGGGCAGAGAGGCTCCTCACTTCCCAGATGGGATGGCGGCCAGGAAGAGGCGCTCCTCACTTCCCAGACTGGGCAGCCGGGCAGAGACGCTCCTCACTTCCCAGACGGGGTGGCGGCCGGGCAGAGGCTACAATCTCAGCACTTTGGGAGGCCAAGGCAGGCGGCTGGGAGGTGGAGGTTGTAGCCAGCTGAGATCACGCCACTGCACTCCAGCCTGGGCACCATTGAGCACTGAGTGAGCAAGACTCCGTCTGCAATCCCGGCACCTCAGGAGGCCGAGGCAGGCGGATCACTCGCGGTCAGGAGCTGGAGACCAGCCCGGCCAACACGGCAAAACCCAGTCTCCACCAAAAAATGCAAAAACCAGTCAGGCGTGGCGGCGCGCGCCTGCAATCCCAGGCAGTCTGCAGGCTGAGGCAGGAGAAATCAGGCAGGGAGGTTGCAGTGAGCGGAGATGGCGGCAGCACAGTCCAGCCTCGGCTTTCACAACTTTGGTGGCATCAGAGGGAGACCGTGGAGAGGGAGAGGGAGAGGACATTTTACATTTTAAAAGTTGTAATTCATGCAATGTAATTTTCAAACAGTTGACCAACCTTTTTTCATGTGAAACTCTGCTTAATCAGCAGTCACTTTATTTTTACTCTTCAAGGGCATTTTCATTCCCTGAAAAGCAGAGCGAAAGTTCAAGTGAGTGTGCTGAGCTGGTCCTCGCCAGTGTCAGTTTATTCACATTCACACAGGTGACCTTCTGGGGAAAGAGGGTTCATTTCAACAGCCTTATTACAGGAATGTGGAACAGATTTAATAGAGTAAAATGTAAATCACTGACTTTCAAGAAAAAAAGAAATTTTTTTTTATTCTTTGTATGTGAGTATGTGGTGGTTGTAAAGTTTACAATAAAGACTAAAGTTAGAGAGCACACTTTACATGAGGGGTACAGTGCAGGTCCTATGCAACCTTCTTTTTGCCAAACATGCCCTTAATGCTTTTTTCAAGTAGTATGTTGCTGTATCCATCACTTATCAGGCTCTGATGATCATTTTCTAATTTATCAATTTAAATATGCAGTCAATATCATCCAGAGTTCTGTCCTTGACGTTTAACTGCTCAGACATAAAACTATTTAAATATTCTTGATAAAAGATGAGGTTTTATTTATTTTACTACAGAGCATTTCATGCCAGTAAGCTTAAGTTTCATGAAACTTGAAAACATGCTTTAGTTTTACCTTCGTTTGGAAAGCCAAATTTGGCCAAAAATGAATACAACAATAAACTTGAATATAAATCATTTTGAAATTGAATTCAAATTATTAAAATATTAAAATTGATAAATGTATTTGACTATGTGTCAAATTATTAAAAATTTTTGAATAAAAAGTGTAATAAAGTTGGAACTTGAGAAATATGCATGCTTTTATGATAAATCATTTTGTGATTAAAGTTTCAATTTAGCAGTTTTGACTGTTGAAAATGTGAATACTGACATATCAGAGAAGAAAATATTGATAACAAAGAATACAAAACAAAGCACAATAGTGTTGATAGCTGTGGTGAGTCCTCAGCTCTTGTCTTAGTTTCAAAAAATTTAAACAAGACAAACCACAAAGAAGATGCAGCATAATTTATTGCAAAGGAGAAAGACTATTTTAAAAGTTAGATGCAGAATACCCAGTACACGCTGAGCGAGAAGGGATTCAGGGCGGGCAGCTTACAGGAATGAGACGAAAAGACTAGAACTAGGAACACTCCATTTATGGGAATCTTACATAATTATTCATAAGGAGGTGGAAAGAGGTGTTAACTGGTAAGCATGTTCTGGGTGGTCCTCTTGGTGCACATACACAGTGGCTGTACATGCTTGTTTATATGTCACGTGTTATTAGCATCTTAAATCTCAACCACGGTGTGTTTTTTACTATTTATAATAGTAATAATGAGTAAAAGGTCACTTTAAGGACAGGTAAAATCAAAATGTGCATGCTCTCTACAAGGGTATTTCCCTACATGAGAGAGCTTTGCTTGAATGAGTTGAAATACGATGCAAATGCTGGGGCTTACTGGGTTGACAATATGCAGTTGCCATGCATTCACCGTGGTTGCTGCATCCCGAGGACATTATCAGTATGCCAACGTGGTATACTGTAGTAGTCACTTTCTTGAATACCCATCCTGCCTCAATAGTACTTGTACTGATTTATTCCCAACGACTGACTCCGAGACTTAAGATTTAGCTATTATATCAACATTGTCAACAGTAGGAAAATCAAAATTTTAAAATCAAATGTATTTGAGTTTGATTTGGGTAATTAGCTGAGTGCCCAGGAAAAATTATTTTACATTTCTGAAGCTTCAATCTTCATTATTAATAAAAAATATTATCTCCCTCAGGGCTGTTTTAACACATGGTAGCTATAAGTATTTTTAACTGAAAGTCTTGTGTAAATATTATAGTAAATATTTAAGAATAAATATTCATATTTCAAAGATTATGTGAGTTGGTATATTTTGTCATGTTTAATGTATTTATCCTTTCCAGAAAATGCCACAGTAAGAATTTTTTATTTTCTCTGGAATAAAAGACTAAGGTTTTCTACATTGTGACTGTGCTGATATTTGCATAGGGTTTTGACTGTTACTGTTGAATTTAGGTTGAATTTCAAATCCACTGTTGTTTAGCTTGTGTGGTTTCTGGTTCATTTGGAGAACCAAATATATTAGACGTGAACTGTTTGGAGTAACTTGGCATCATTTCAGCTGTCCTTCTGTTATTACATCTGGGGCTTTAGAAATGACTAGGATTCAAATAAGGTTGGTTTGGAATCAAGCAATAGAAAATCCCCCCAAATACTCAGGGAAATAGCTACTGAATAATGCCTTTCAGTGAGATTTATACATGAAACAGAGTTCAATGAAATTCAAAAATTATTGCAAGTTTTCTAAATTTAGAAACTGACTGCAAACAACATATTAGGCACTTGTAGCTTGTCTATAGCATCTGTAGCCTGGGGAAGCTGACATTACAGAAAAGCATATTGCTACTGTAATAAGATTTGGAACAAAAACTTACGTGCATGTAAACATTCCCCCTTAGTAATCCTTAAATACTTGTCATTCTGGCTCAATCTTTTTGGTGCAACTGTTTATGATTTCAGAGATTCTATCTCACCAATTTCAAGCTATGGTGTTTTCAGCTCTTAATGTTTACTTGTACCCAGTAAGCTTCATGGTTACATCATTATATTGGGGTCCCCCAGGCAATCCCTGAGGCTTAGAGCTGACCATCCTACCTCATCTTTTTTGCTTCACATGCTGTTATTGAGTCCCTTTCACTCCATATTTGAGCCTTAATGAGCCTTCCATTTAAGGAAACCAGAAGAATGGGTTGCCCATATATGTTGAGTTGAGAATCAGGATTCTCTTGAGTATAAAGACTTTACGGCCGGGCACGGTGGCTCACACCTGTAATCCCAGCACTTTGGGAGACCGAGGCGGGTGGATCAGGAGGTCAGGAGTTTGACACCAGCCTGACCAATATGGTGAAACCCTGTCTCTACTAAAAATACTAAAATTAGCCAGGTGTGGTGGTGCGCGCCTGTAGTTCCAGCTGCTTGGGAGACTGAGGCAGGGGAATCGCTTGAACCTGGGAGGCGGAGATTTCAGTGAGCCAAGATTGCCACCACTGCACTCCAGCCTGGGCAACGGAGCAAGATTCCGTCAATAAGTAAATAAAATAAATAGACTTTACATTTATTCATAGTACAAAGCAGTATTTTTTTTTTTTTAATATGGAGTCTCACTCTGTCGCACAGGCTGGAGTGCAGTGTCATGATCTTGGCTCACTGCAACCTCCGCCTCCTGGGTTCAAGCGATTCTCCTGACTCAGCCTCCCGAGTAGCGTGGACTACAGGCGCATGCCACCACGCCTGACTAATTTTTGCATTTTTATTAGAGACGGGTTTCACTATGTTGGCCAGGCTGGTCTTGAACTCCTGACCTCGTGATCTGCCGGCCTCAGCCTCCCAAAGTGCTGGGATTACAGGCGTGAGCCACCACACCCGGCCACAAAGCAGTGTTTTTAAGATGTGAACATGTTTTACTCAAATTAAATATAAATGATTTTATCAGTATTCCAATGTGGTGAAAATAACTGCATGAAGTTCACCAAATGTTCTGCTTCAGACTTTTTCGAAACAAAGATCAATATGTATGCACTAGTGGATATTAGTTATTTGGTGTTGGTTTTCATTTTTAAAGATTTTTTCCCTACTTTATGCTGATGTTAAGCTACACAAAGCATACCAAAAGCTATAATTTACCACACTTTTTACCAAAATTTCAAATACTTAAATATTGAAAGTGATATTCTTGATTACCATTTTTTATGTGATGTAGTCTGCATTTATTAGTACTACATTGCATTTTTTTATGTGGTGCCAGGTTATAAAAATGCCTTCCAGCTGATTTCTTAGGTAACAGTAGAATCTGTTTTCTTAGACAGTAACATGAGAATTCTTTGTATACTACCTTTGGAGGTACTAAAAGCAGCTGGTTAAAGGTACTGAAATCTGTCCTTATTAATGGAAATTTAATTCAAAGACTATGCAAAGAAAAGTCATTCAGGCACCCTGAAACTAAATTGGAATCTGGTTCCTGACACTGATTAACAGATTGAGCAGATTAGAGTGGACCTACGTCCCTTTAAACAATATTGAAACACATTTTTTTTTGAGACAGCGTCTCGCTCTGTCACCCAGGCTGGAGTGCAGTGGTGCAGTCTCAGCTCACTGCAACCTCCACCTCCTGAGTTCAAGCAATTCTCATTCCTCAGACTCCTGAGTAGCTGGGATTATAGGTGCCTGCCACCATGGCCAGCTAATTTTTGTATTTTTAGTAGAGACAGGGTTTCACCATGTTGGCCAGGCTGGTCTCTAACTCCTGACCTCAAGTGATCTGCCTGCCTCGGCCTCCCAAAGTGCTGGGATCACAGGCGTGAGCCACCGCGCCCAGCCAGATTTGATTTTTTAAATGTTTGTGAATGTGTATCACTGTAGTGAAAAATCAAATTATTTAAATCTACTTTCTAAATAATTTTGATTAAAGTATTCTGTATTTTGAGTGCCAGTATTCATATAGTATGCCAAATCACCCATTTGTTTACTATTTTGCCATTTTATAAAATAAGCCTGAATTTGTGGAGACATTTTTAAAGAAACCGATCTTTTCTACAAAAAGATTTAGACATCGAAAATAGAGAATTTAGTTTCACATTATATATATAGTTTGCTGAACCCTACAGTAATTTGTAAAGTTTGTTTGTGTATGCCAATCTTAGATTTTCTAAAACAAAATGAAGGGTTTTTGTTTTATGTTACATTTAATATACAAAGTCCAAAATATGCTCAGACAGACAACTTCATCAGACTCCTTCATCAACTCCGTTTCCATCGTGGCGTGAACGGTTTCTCACTGCTTTAGCATCTGCCTTTGATTTCTACTAATTTTCTTTGACTTTGATTTTTCTTGTCCATCTCTGGTGGTTGCTTTGCTGCTCCACTTTGAGGAGTTCGGGCAGCTTCACCCTCAGCCGCTCCAACAGTCCGTCCATTTGGCTCAAGCTCTAGGCAGTTTCTCCTGGTTCTTCTGTTCCTGGCGTCTGAGATTTGTCAGCAGGGCCAGATTTTCAGGAACCATGCATGGCTATCGCCTCCTCCCGCCTGGAGGGCTGCTCCTGCGCCTCTGACCGGCGCTGGTTCCAGCCGCGGCCCAGCTGAGCACAGCAGGAACCGCAGTAGCAGCCGGAGCGCCCACGCCCGGGGTCGCCTAGCCCAGGAACGCCTTAGTTGCAACCCTGCGTCGAGGCCCAGCTCCGTGCGCAGAAAGCCGAGGCCAACCAGAGCATTTCCTGGACGAGTCCTCTCGGCCTGCGGGGCCAGTTCCTCCTACCAGCTTCCTGCTGCCACCTCGGCTTCCATCAGAGGGACGCTTAGGATGGCGCAGGGGCCCGGAGACACTGTGAAGAGTCCAGGGGAATGAGGAGGGGCTGGGCCGGGCAGCCTCAGGCCCAGCGCAGGTTAGCGCTTCTCACGCCTGAGCAGAGATCAGCTACTGCCACTGCGGGGAGGACAGAAGGACCCAGGCTCCCCAGCCTCCCTCTGCACCGGGAGTGTAGGAAACTATTTAAAAATAATAATAATAATAATAATAATAAGTATGGAATAGAACTTGCAGATCTAACCCAACCAAGTTTTCATTCTTTTTCCTTTTCCTTTTCTTTTTTTTAATGTATTTTTCTCTTATATTATGCTCGCCTGACGGAAGATTTTATGTTCCATCCTCACATGGAAATTTAAATGTAATCATAATGGTCACAAATTTAGAAACAGTATTTACTTTATTTTGCCTAAGAATGCTGGGGTAACATTAATTTTTCAATGGTGCCTTCTGAATCTTAACGTTGATTACCTTTTATTTGAGTCTATTAACTAAACTGTAGTAAGTAATAATAATAAATTCTTGATTTGCATAGGGCTTAACAGTTTACAAAGGGCATGTATTCATTCGTTTAACCGATAAATGTGCGTTGAGCTACACGTTGTGCTATATTTTTTGCTAGCCTTGGGAGATAAAATTAATAAAAGAAAGTATTGGCCGGGTGCTGTGGCTCACGCCTGTAATCCCAGCACTTTGGGAGGCCGAGGCGGGCGGATCACGAGGTCAGAAGTTCGAGACCAGCCTGG
The DNA here is from genome assembly GCF_000001405.40 of Homo sapiens. Taxonomy (NCBI): domain Eukaryota; kingdom Metazoa; phylum Chordata; class Mammalia; order Primates; family Hominidae; genus Homo; species Homo sapiens. The sequence continues at coordinate 22,710,081 of NC_000019.10, forward strand.
CCAACATAGTGAAACCCCGTCTCTACTAAAAATACAGAAATTAGCCGGGCATGGTGGCACGCGCCTGTAGTCCTGGCTACTCAGGAGGCTGAGTAAGGAGAATCACTTGAACTTGGGAGGCGGAGGTTGTGGTGGTGAGCCAAGATCTCACCACTGCACTCCAGCCTGGGCAACAGAGCGAGACTCAAAAAAACAACAACAAAAAAAGAAAGTGTTGATCTCTTCTCTCAGGAAACTTTCAGTCTGGCTTCATAAAATCCTCACACACTCTCATAAAGTCTCTTAAGTCTTCTATAAGCCTGCTACCCCAAAGTGACCACTATCTGAATTTTGTGTTATTCACTTTATGCAATTTTATGAACAATATACATTTTAGTGTTGCCTGTTTCTTTTTTTTGTATATATATGCTAGCATTAGTTTTCATGTGTGCCTTTTTTAATTTATATGTATATTTTCCTATTTTTCCATGTTGCTTTGCATAGCAACAGTGATTTTATGTACCTTTGGAAGCAGTATTGTATGTATGTTTCCTGGGTTAGACCAGTGTCTTCAACGGTTAGAAGAGCAGGCTCAGACAGCCTGTGTAACGTTGGGCAAGTATCTTAACCTCTCTGATTCCTCTGTTACTTAGAGATAATAACATGGCAGTGAAATCCGTGTTGTTCTTTGAATGTAATAATAAAGTAGGTAAAGTTATATTAAGAACAATAAAAACATTACAAAAGACAAAAGAGTATTTATAGATACATTCAAGACTTAAACATAAGATAATATTTTAAACAATTTTATGTTATTAAATTTGAAAATTTAGATAAAACTACCTTTTTTTTTCCAGAAAACTATGTGACAAAAACTGATTAAGGAAGAAATAAAAAAGATAAATAGAAAAATTGGCCGGGCACAGTGGCTCACACCTGTAATCCCAGCACTTTGGGAGGCCAAGGGAGGTGGATCACGAGGTCAAGAGATCGAGACCATCCTGGCCAACATGGTGAAACCCTGTCTCTACTAAAAAAAATAAAAATAAAAAAATAAAAATTTAAAAAAATTAGCCGGGTTGGTGGCGGGCGCCTGTAGTCCCAGCTACTCAGGAGGCTGAGGCAGGAAAATCACTTGAACCTGGGAGGTGGAGGTTGCAGTGAGCCAAGATTGCGCCACTGCACTCCAGCCTGGTGACAGAGCGAGACTCCGTCTCAAAAAAAAAAAAAAGAAAAAATGTTGTTTTTAATTTTACACACCTAAAAAGTACATGTATTATAAAAGAACAGCTTGATAAATGTTTACAAAAGATATATACCATGAACCCAGCACCCAGCAGTGGAAGAGTATGAACAACCTGGACACTCCCCCTCCTTTATTCTCCTTTTTTTTTCTTTTCTTTTCTTTTTTTTTTTGAGAAGAATTCTCGCTCTGTTGCCCCAGGCTGGAGTGCAGTGGTGTGATCTTGGCTCACTGCGACCTCTGCCTCCTAGGCTCAAGCCATTCTGCCTTAGCCTCCTGAGTAGCTGGGATTACAGGTGCACACCACAACACCTGGCTAGTTTTTGTATTTTTAGTAGAGACGGGGTTTCACCATGTTGGTCAGGCTGGTCTCGAACTCCTGACCTCATGATCTGCCCGCCTCAGCCTCCCAAAGTGGTGGGATTACAGGCGTGAGCCACCGCACCCAGCTATTCTCCTTTTCAATCACTGTTCTGCCAACAGAAACTTATATCCTGGCTTTTTATACAATAAATAATATTTGTCTGTTTTTGAACTTTAAATAAATAGATTAATACAATAAGTTCTCATTTTTGGCCAGCTTCTTTTGTTCAACATTGTGAGATTAATCTCTGTTGCTGTCTGTGGTTTGCATATTTATTGATCTACCATGTGACATCATATAAATACACTACAATTTATTTATTCAACTGTTCATGAACATTTTGTTAAATTTCCAGATTTTTCAGTGCGTCTATAGACCATCTTGTGCTTTTTTTTTTTTTTTTTTTGAGGTGTCGCCCAGGCTGGGGTGCAGTGGCACGATCTCGGCTCACTCCAACCTCCGCCTCCCGGGTTCAAGCAATTCTCCTGCCTCAGCCTCCCGAGTAGCTGGGATTACAGGCATGCGCCACCACGCCCGGCTAATTTTGTATTTTTAGTAGAGAAGGGGTTTCTCCATATTGGTCAGGCTGGTCTCGACCTCCCGATCTCAGGTGATCTGCCACCTCGGCCTCCCAAAGTGCTGGCATTACAAGCATGACCCACCGCGCCCGCTTGTGTGCATTTTTAAAGATAAATTTCTGCAATTATGTAGATATTTTACCACAAATATAATTAAAATATATTTATATCTTCAGCTTGTGTAGGCATTGGCAAGCCCTCTTCCAGAATGTAGTACCAACTTATACTACCAGCACTACAGGATGGATTATATATTATCTAATTGTCTTTATTTTCTAAACCCTACAGTGTAAACTTTGTGAAGTCAAAGGCCTTTAATTTCATTCACCATAATATTTGCAATTTTTAATTAAATGAATTTTATTTGACTTTGAAGCATTTTCTTTTTTTTTTCTTTTTTTTTTTTTTGAGACAGAGTCTCGCTCTGTCACCCAGGCTGGAGTGCAGTGGCGTGATCTCGGCTCACTGCAACCTCTGCCTCCCTGGTTCAAGCAATTCTCCTGCCTCAGCCTCCCGAGTAGCTGGGATTACAGGCGCCCGCCACCATGCTTGGCTAATTTTTTGTATATTTAGTCTGGTCTCAAATTCCTGACCTGGTGATCTGCTGCCTCGGCCTCCGAAAGTGCTGAGATTACAGGCATGAGCTACCACGCCTAGCCTGAAGCATTTGTTTTCTTAAAAATAACTGGGGTAGATCGGGCTCGGTGGCTCATGCCTGTAATCCCAGCACTTTGGGAGGCTGAGGCAGGTGGATCACCTGAGGTCAGGAGTTCGAGACCAGCCTGACCAACATGGTCTCTACTAAAAATACAGCATTAGCTGGGTGTGGTGGTGCATGCCTGTAATCCCAGCTACTTGGGAGACTGAGACAGGAGAATTGCTTGAACCCAGGAGGCAGAGGTTGCAGTGAGCCGAGATTGCGCCGTTGCACTCCAGCCTGGGCAACAAGAGTGAAATTCTGTCTCAAATAAATAAATAAATAATAAAAAATGACTGGGGTAAAATTGATTTATTTATGCTTTTCTGAACATTTTTTTCCACATCTCTGTCTCTTTACACATAAGATTTATCTGCCAAAATTTTTTTTCTTATTTTGACCATTCTCAGTGAGGGTCATTCCACCCCAGGAGATACTGTAACCAAGCAGGTGCAATTGAAGGCAGGCCTTGGCTGACCAGGTGAGCTCTAAGCAATTGTAAATAACTACCTTCCAAATATGTATAATTTATATTTTTTATTTATATACCATAAACGTTTATTAAGCTGTAATATTTACAATATTATTTTCTGTTCTGAGATCTACAACTATATCTACATAACACCAATGACAATATTTTAATAAACAGGAGGAATATATATATATAGCTTTACAAAAAAAGCCTGATACATTTGCATCGTATAAGATACTGTAGAATCAATTTCCAAAGCTCAAAGAACTAAAACACACACACACAGACACACACACACAAACATCCTAATACAAGAGTCAACATTTCTCCTCTTTCCTGGGTCCAGGTATGAGAGTCATCACTGTGTCTGTGAGCTGAGACCAGAAATAAGACACCCACCTGTGGCAACATCCACATATAAAAGTCACAATACAAACTGTGAGCTATATCCACAAGTGAGACTCAGAACCTCAGCAGTGGGCTCCGTCCATGTGTGAGGGTGATAATCCTGTCAGCTGGGTGTGCATAGAAGAGTCACAATCTCAACTTTGTACTGGGACCTAATATGAAACCCTTGGTGAAATGTAAGGGCTTTATATTATATACATGAGTGTGGTAATCTTCTGAGAACTTTCTGCAAGTAGAAGACTCAGGACCTTACCCATTGCCCTAAGCCCAGCTACAAGAATCAACACCTCTTCTATTGGCTAAATCCAAGTATGAGAGTCATCATTGCACCTGTGAGCTTGATCCAGAAATGAGTCATCATCTCACACATTGCTAAATTTACATAGGACAGTCACAACTCTAACTGTGGACCATGTCCACATGTGAGATTCAGGACCTCACCAGTGGATTCTGTCCATGTGTGAGAGTGACAATTCTAATTGTCCACTGGGCGTGCCTATGGGATGCACAATCTCACCTGTGTGCTGAGTCCTGTTAGGACACTCTGTGTCACTCAAGGATGTTATAGGATATGCATGAGTGTCATCATCTTCTGTGACATTACCACAAATAGGAAACAGAAGACCTTACCTATTCCCCTAATTCTAGCCATGAGAGTCAAAATCTTTTCTGTTGGTTGGGTCCACATATGACAGTCATCATCACACCTGTGAGCTAGGCCTAGGTATGTCACAATCCCACCTGTGGGAAGACCAGACAGGAGAGTCACATTGCTTGAATGTTGGTCTAGGAATATTTCAATAACCCCATGTGTTCAGGGCCCTGGCAAGAAAGTCACATTACTTGAGTGCTGAGCTCAGCAATATGTCAAAATGCCTCTGTGGGCAGGGCTTAGCCTAGAGAACCACATCACCTGGGTTCTGTGTAAAGCAATATTTCACAATTAACTCTGTTTACATGGCTCAGGAAGGAAAGGAAAGTCATGTAGGTTCTGGCCTACTGGATAGGTCACAATCCCTCCTTTGACAGAACTCAGGCAGCAGAGTCACATCATTTGTGTGTAGGGCCCAGTATATGTCAAAATCCTCACTGCAGTCAGGGGCCATGATGGAAGAAAGAGTCATGTCACCTAGGTTCTGGGCAAGGAATATGTCACAATCCACCTGTGGACTCAGCTCTGGCCCCAGAGTCACATCTCCTGAGCACTAAATTCAGGAATATGTCACAGTGCCCTTTGTGGTACAGGCCAGAGCAGATGTATCACATCACCTAGGTGCTATGCCCAGCAATATGTCACTATTTATTTTGTGGGCAAGGCCCAAGCAAAAGAAGAATTACATCATCTAGGTGATGAGCCCCATGATATATCACAGTGCCCCCTTTGTGTAGGGTCCAAGCAGAAGTGAAAAGTCTCATCATTGTGTCTTGGGCCTAGGAATACATCACAATGGCTTGTGTAAGCAGTGCTTAGGCAGAAGAGTCCCATTACCTAGGTGCTGGGCCCAGAGATATGTGGAAATCTTCCTGTGGGCAGAGCACAAGCAGGTGAGGAAGGTCACATCAGCTAGGTGGTAGGCCCAGAGATATGTCACAATTTCCCCTTTAGGGCAGGCCAATGCAGAAGAGTCACATCACCTGGGAGATAGTCCCCACATTATGTCACCTTGCCCCTTGTAGACAGGGCCCTGGTGGGAGCTGAAAATCGCATGACCTAAGGGCTAGTCTTAGCGATATCTTACAATTCTCTTTTAGGACAGAGTACAGACAGGAGAGGAGAGTCACATCACCTAAGTACTGAGCCCAGTGACATGTCACCATTCTCTTTTATGGCAGGGACCAGGAGCGTCACATCACCAAGGTGTTGGGTTCAGTGATATGTCAAAATCTCCCCTATGGACAGGGGCCAGGCAGGAGAAAACACTGATATGGTTTGGCTGTGTCCCCACCCAAATCTCACCTTAAATTTTAGCAATCCCTTCATGTTAAGAGCAAGGACAGGTAAATATAATTGAATTATGGAGGTGGTTTTATACTGTTCTTGGGGTAGTGAATAAGTCTCGTGGGATCTAATGGTTTTATAAAAGGGAGTTCCCATGCACAGGCCTTTATGCCTGCCACCATGTAAGATGCCTTTTTGCTCTTCCTTTATCTTTTACCATGACTGTGGGCCTCCTCAGCCATGTGGAACTGTGAGTCCATTAAACCTATTTCTTCTATAAATTACCCAGTCTTGAGGATGACTTTATTCGCAGTATGAGAACAGACTAATGTAGAAAGTCACAATTTTAGTTGATGGGCCCACACATATATCACAATGCCCTCTGTGGGCAGGGCCCATGCAGCAGAGTCAAACCACTTGAGTGCTGGGCCCAGCATTTTGTAACAATCACAGCTGTGGGTGGCACATATTCAGAAGAGGATAGCCACTTCACCCAGGTGATGGGGCCAGAGATATGTCACGATGCCCCTTTTGGGCAAAGCCCAGGTAGTAGAGGAGAGTCACCTCACCTAGGTCTGGGGCCCAGTGATATTTTCTATTTTTTTGTATGTAAGGCACAGGAAAAAGTCACATCACATAGGTTCTGGGTTCAGTGATATGTCACAATTCTTCCTATGGGCAACACAGAGGCAGAAGAGTCACCTCACGTACATGCTGGATACAGTAATATATCAATTTTCCCTGAAAACAGGGCTCTGGCAGGTAAAAAGAATCCCATTACTTGGGTGATGAGCAGAAAGATGTGTCACAATGCCTTTTGTAGGCGGGCAAGGCCAGGCAGGAGACTAACATCACCTGGGTCCTGGGCTCAGCAACATGTCACAATCTCCCCTTGGGCATTGCCCAGGCATGAAAAGAGAGTTACATCATCTAGGTGATACATCCAAATACATGTCACACACACAAAAAAACAGGGCCTAGAAAAAAATAGAGACAGATTACCTAGGTGCTGGATCCAGAGACATGTTACATTCCCTTCTGTGAGCCAGAACCAGGCAGGAGAGGAGAGTCACATCACCTAGATGATGGGTGCAGAGGTATGTCACAGTGTTCTCCATAGGCGAAGCCCAGATAGGAGAGTTAAATCATCTGGGTTCAAGGCTTATGAGTAGGGCTCACTCAGGAGAAAAGAGTCACATCATTTAGCTGTTGAACATGGTAACATGTCACAATACCCACTGTGGGTGGGTCAATAAAGGGAAGAAGCATTACATCACCTAGGTGATGAGCCCAGTGACATCTCACATTTCCCACTGTTGGGAGGGCCCAAACAGGAGAGAGTCACATTACCTAGGTGCTGGGCCCAGCGATATGCAACTCTCCCCCGCTGAGCAGATTCCAGGCAGGAGAGGAAAGTGACATCATCTGCTTGCTGGGCTCAGCAATATGTTACCATTCATCCTGTGGATGGGGTCCAGGTAGTAGAGGTGAAAAAAATCACCTAGGTTCTGGATTCAGTGATATGTCATAATACCCCCGAGGGAATGACCCAGGGATGAGAGGGGAGTCCCTTAATCTAGTTAATGTTCCCAGGGATATGTCACAATGTCCCTGTAGGAACAGGGAGGAATGTCACAATGTCCCATATTCCAGGGAGGAATGTCCTGGAGGAAGAAATCTAAATGCTGGGCTTAGCAATATGTCACAATCTTTTCTGTTTGCAGATCCCAGGCAAAAGAAGAAAGTCACAGCATTTAGGTGTTTGGCCCAGGTATATGTCACAATTCCAGTTTTGGCCTGGGCCAAGGCAGGAAAGTCAAATTACTAAGGAGCTGGGCAAAGGCATATGTCATAATCACATTTGTGGGAAGGTACAGGGATGAGATTGACAACCCTGTATATGTCCCAGCTCTAGGTATGAGATTCAACATCTGTGTGTTGGGTCCTCGTACATGAGTCACAAACTCAATGGTGGACTGGGCATGTGCATGAGACCTCAATCTCACCAGCAGACTATATCCCAGTAGGGAACTCACAGCCTCACAGGGGTGCTAAATCCAGGTCAGAGAGTCATTATCTCACTTGTGGACTGGATTCTTGTCTGAGACACAATTCCAAATTTTGACTGCCTCCAGCTATGAGATTTAGGACTTCAACAGTGTGCTGTATTCAAGTGGGAGGGTGACAATTCTTACATCACCTGGGTGTACATACAAGAGTCACAATCTCATCAGTGTGCTGGGCCCTATTATGACACACTGTACAACTTGAGGGCTTTAAAATATACACCTGAGAGCCACAATCTGCTCTGAGACCTTCATGCTTGTATGGATCTGTGATCTTACTCATTGCCCTAGAATCAGGTATGAGATTGAACATCTCTTATTGGCTGGATCCAGGTATGAGAGTTACCACCATTCCTGTGATCTGAGTCCATAAATGAGTCACCATTGGAACTGTGGCCATATTCACATATGATAATCACAATTCCAACTGTGGACTGTGTTTGCAATTCAGGCTTAGAATTTTACCAACAGGCTCTGTCCATGTGAGAGAGTGACAGTTATAACTGTGGCCTGGGTGTGCATATGAGAGTCACAATCTCTACTGTATGCTGAGTCCTGTTATGATACTCTCTGTACCACTCAAGTGCTTTATATAGTATGAGTGAGTGATGTGATCCTTTGTGATCTTTATACAATTTAGAAACTAAGGAACTTACTGGTTGCCCTAATCTTAGCTATGAAAATTACCATCTCTCCTATTAGCTGAGTCCAGGTACAAGAGTCATCCTCATCCCTGTTAGCTGGGAGCAGGGATAAGGCTGGATCATCACATCCCGTGGGTGCTGGACCAGGGCTCGGCAAATGTATACATAAAAATCACACCTGCAAGAAGGTCCAGTGGTTAGATTTACAATTCTGCACGTGTCCCAGCTTTAGGTATGAGAGTCAACACCTCCTGTGAGTTACGCACAAGTACAGGACTCATCATCTCAATAGTAAATTGGATCCATGCATGAGAGTCCCAGCCCCACCTAGGGGCTGTGTTCTGGTGTGAGAGTAACAGGCCCATGGGTGTGCTGAATTCTGGTCCAAGCATCACCACCCCACCTGTGGATGGGATCCATGTATGAAAGTCATGATTTTAACTGTCAACTGTCTCTGGATGTCAGATTCAGAACCTCAAAGGTGAGCTGTGTCCATGTGGGAGAGTGGCAACTCTTATTTTTGGGTGAGTGTGCATTTAAGGATCACAATCTTCCCTGTGTGATTGGCACCGTTATGACATTTTCTGTATCACCCAAAGGCTTTATATGATATGCATGAGAGTCACAGTCTGCTCTGAGAGTTTTGTGCTAGTATGACCCATGATTTTACCTGTTGCCCTAAGCCCAGGTATGAGAGTCAACCTCTCACTAATTTGCTGTATCCAGGAATGACAGTCATCACTGTGCCTGTCAGCTGGATTCAGAAGTGAGTCACCATCCCACCCGTGGCTGGATCCACGTATAAGTCACAATTTTAACTGCAAACTGCATTTACATGTGAGATTTGAGATCTTAACATGTGTAAGTTAAAATCCTAACTGTCGGCTGGGTGTGCATGTGAGAATCACAGTCTCACCTATGTGCTGAGCCCTGTTATGACACTCTTTGCACCAACTGAAAGCCTTATACAATATGCATGAGTATTGTAATTTTCTCTGACCGTCGTACAAGAAACACACCCAAACCTTACTCACTGCTTGAAGCCTAGCAAAGAGAATCAATATCTCTCCTATTTGCTGGGTTCAGGTATGATTGTCATCATTGCACCAGTGAGCTGAGCCCAGATGTATGTCACAATCCCGCCCGTAGACAGGGACCAGGCAGAAGAGTCACATCACCTGGATGCTAGGACAGGAATATGTCAATCCTCATTATGAGCAGGATGAGGGAAGAAGAGTCATTGCTGGGTTCTGGGCCTAGTGATATGCCACAGCCCTTCATGTGGGCAGGTCCCAAGCAGACGAGAACAATAACATTACTTAGGTGATGAGCCCAGCAATATGTAACAATGCCCAATATGAGCAGGGCCCAGGGAAGAGAGGAGAGTCACATCACCTAGTTGCTGGTTCCCATAATATGTTGCAATTCCCACTGTTCACAGGACTTAGCAAAAGAAGTGAGTCACAAAATTTAGGTGCTGGGCTGGGTGTGGTGGCTCATGCCTGTAATCCCAGCACTTTGGGAGGCCAAGGCAGGCAGGTCACCTGAGGTCGGGAGCTCGAGACCAGCCTGACCAACATGGAGAAACCCTGTCTCTACTAAAAAAAAAAATCCAAACATAGCCAGGCGTGGTGGCACATGGCTGTAATTTCAGCTACTCAGGAGGCTGAGGCAGGAGAATCCCTTGAACCTGGGAGGCGGAGGTTGGAGTGAGCCGAGATTGCGCCATTGCATGCTAGCCTGGGCAACAAGAGTGAAACTCTGTCTCAAAAAAAAAAAAAAAAATTAGGTGCTGGGTTAAGCAATAGTTCAAATAGTTCACAATCCCCACTGTTGGCAAAGATCAGGCAGCAGAGAAGACTCAAATCACCTAGATGCTTGGTGCAGCAATATGTTACATGTTCTTCTGAAGCTGAGACCCAGACAGGAGAGAAGAGTATCTTCACCTAGGTGTTTGACTAAGAAATATGTCATAATGTCCCATGTGGGGAGAAATAAGTCAGAACAAGCACATCACCTAGGTGCTGGGCCCAGTGGTATGTCACAATCTTCTCTGTGATCAAAGCCTTGGCACAAGGGGAGAGTCACATTACCTAGGTGTTGAATTCAGAAATATGTAACAATCACTTCTAAGTAATGGGTTCAGGCAGATGAGGAGAGTCATGTTACCTTGGTCCTTGGCCTTGATATATGTCACAATTTCATTTGTGGGCTGAGCCCACAAAGAAAACTAAAATCACTCAGGGTATGGGCAAAAGCATACATCACAATCACACCTGCAGAAAAGTCCAGGGATGAGATACACAATCCCAAACATGTCCAGCTCCAGGGAGGACAGTCAACACCTCCTGTGTGTTCAGTCCGAGTATGCAAGTCAGAATCTAGATATTGGACTGGATTTGTGCCTGAGAGTCTCAAATCAACCTTCAGATTGTGTCCTGGTAGTAGAGTCACAGCCTCAGAGGTGTGATAAATCTTGGTCTGGAGTCATTATCTCATCTGTGGACCTGATCTATGTATGAGACTCACAATTCCAACTTTTAGCTACCTCTTGAGTGTGAGATTCATGACCTCAACAGTGGGCTGTAGCTATTTAAGAGGGTGAAAATTCTTACTGTGAACTGGACGTGCATATGAGGGTCACTATCTCACCTGTGCACTGGGCCCTGTTACCACACTCTTGGTGCCACTCGAGGGCTGTCTATGGTATGCCTCAAAGTCACAATCCACAATTAGATCTACATGCTGGTATGAACTCATGATCTTACCCATTGTCCTAAGCCCAGGAATGAGAGCTAACATCTCTCTTATTGGCTAGGGTCAGATGTGAGAGTTCTCACTGTGCCTGTGAGTTGGGTGCAGAAAGAAGTCATCATCCCACCTGTGGCCAGATCCATGTATGACAATCAAAATTTCTTTTTTTTTTCTTTTTTTTTTTTGAGATGGAGTCTCGCCCTGTTGCCCAGGCTGGAGCACAGTGGCATGATCTCAGCTCACCACAACCTCCCCCTGCTGGGTTCAAGTGATTCTCCTGCCTCAGCCTCCCGAGTAGCTGGGACTACAGGTGCGTGCCACCATGCCCAGCCAATTTTTGTATTTTTAGTAGAGATGGGGTTTCACTGTGTTGGCCAGGCTGGTCTCGAACTCCTGACCTTGTGATCCACCCGCCTCAGCCTCCCAAAGTGCTGGGCCACTGTGCCCGGATGACAGTTACAATTTCAACTGTGGACGGCATCCACATGTGATACTCAGGACCTCACCGTGGTCTCTGTCCATGTGTGGGAGTGACAATCCTCACTGTTTGCTGGGTATGCCTATGAGAATCACAGTTTTAACTTTATGCTGGAATCTGTTATGACACTCTCTGTATCATCAGAAGGGATCATACAATATGCATGAGTTTTGTAATCTTCTGTGACCTTCATACAAGTAGAAAGTCCAGGACCTTGCCCATTGCTTGAAGGCTACCTATGAGCGTCAACATATCTCCTCTTGGCTAGATCCAGGTATGCAGCTAATCACTGTGCCTCTGAGCTGGGTCCAGAAATCAGTCACTGTTCAACTTGTTTCCAGGTGTACACATGACAGTCAGACTTTTCACTGTGGACTGCATCTGCGTGTGAGGTTCAGAAGCTCACCAGTGTGCTTCTTTCATGTTTGGAAGTGACAATCCCAATTGTTGGCTTGGTATGCCTGTGAGAGTCACAGTCTCACCTGTGTGCTGAGTCCTATTATTACATTCTCTGTAGCACATGAAGTATTTATAAGATATGCATAAATTTTATACATCTCTGTGACCCTTCTAAAGTAGGAAACCCAGGACTTTACCTATTGCCTAAAGTCTAACTAAGAGCGTCAAAATCATTCCTATTGTCTGGGTTCTCATATGAGTGTAATCGTAATGCCTGTGAGCTGGAAAAACTATATGTCAAAACTTAGCCTGTGTGAATAAACCAGAAAAGAGAATCATGTCACCTGAACACTGGACTAAAAACATGTCGCTATCCACTCTGTGGGGAGGGCCATGGCAGAGAAGTCCCATAACCTGGGTACTGGTCCCAGCAGTATGTTGCAATGCCTTCTGTGGGCAAGGTTCATGCAGGAAAGACACATTATCTGCATGCAGGGCACAGCAATATGTCACCCTGTGTACAGGGCTCAGGTAAGAGAGGAGAGTCACAATATCCAGTTGTTGGGCCTATTGATAGGTCACAATGCCTCCTTTTGGAGGAGCCAAGGCAGGAGAGTCATATCATTTATGCATAGGGCTCAGTGATATATCACAACCCACACTGCGGCAAAGCCCATGCAAAAGAGTAAAGTCATATCACTTAGGTGATTGGCCCAGTTATATGCTACAACTATCTGTGTTGGCAGGGCCCAAGCAGGAGAGGACAATTACATAACCTGGGTTATGGGCCCAAAGATATGTCACAATTTCCCCTGAGGACAAGGCCTATGTAGGAAAGGAAAATAACTTAAATGCTTGGCTCAGGTATACATCACAATTTTATTTTTGGGCTTTACCCAGGCAGGAGAGTCAAATCACTCAGGTGCTGGGCAAATGTATATATCACAATCACACTAGCAAGAAGGTCGAGAAATGAGATTCAAAATTCCACACATTTTCTGACTTCAGGTATGAGAGCCAAGAGACCTCATTTGAGTTGGGTCCAAGTACATAAGTCACAATCTTAATGGTGGACTCAATCCCTGCAAGAGAGCCCCAATTCCAAATGCAACTATTTCTGAATCTAAGAGTCACAGCCTCACAGGTGTTCTGAATCCTAGTCTTTGAGTCACCATTCTACCTGTTAAGCAGATCCAAGTATGAGAGTCATAATTCCAACTTTCAACTGCCTCCATGTGTGAGATCCACAGCCTCAACAGTGGACGGTTTCCATGTGTGACAGTGCCAATGTTTACTGTTGGCTGAGTGTGCATAGGAGAGTCACAATTTCACCTGTGTTCTTGGTTGTGTTATGATACTATCTGTATTACCCATGGGCTTTTTATGGTATAAGTGGCAGTTGAAATCTGCTTTGAGACCTTCATGCTGGTATGAACCAATGATTGTACCCATTGCCCTATGCCCAGGTATGAGAGTCACATCTCTCTTGTTGGCCAGATATAGGTATGACAGTCATCAAAGTGTCTGTAAGCTGGCTCCAAAAATAGGTCAGCATACCAACTGTCCCAGGACCCACATATGACTGTCACACATCTAATTTTGGAGTTTGCCCATGAGATTCAGGACCTCACCAGTGGGCTCTTCTTATGTGTGAGGGTGACAATCCTAACTGTCAGCTGGGCATGCCTATGAGAGTAACAATCTCACTTGTGTAGTGGATCCTGTTATTATACTCTCAATATTACACAGAAGCTTTATAGGATAAGCTTGAGTGTCATAATCTTTTGTGATCTTTCCTCACATAAGAGACACATTACTTTATCCATTGCGCTAAGCCTAAAATAAAAAGGCAAAAAACACCCTTATTGGCGGGTCCGTATATCAAATTAGCCAGTAAAAAAGATACTCTCTGTCCTAGCCAGGCTGAGAGAAACAGGTCTTCTGGGTCTTCTCTTTGTACAAAGATCATAAAAAATTACCACTTCCTTCCAAATTGTATAAAGACCTTGGGTGATGCGGAGAGTGTAAAATGCAGGTGATACAGAGAGTGTATCCAGCACACAATAGAAATTTTTCTTATTTTATGTACACCCAGCCAACCATTAGCCTTGTCACCCTCACACATAAACAGAGCCCACTGGTAAGGTCCTGAATCTAACTCGTGGATGCAGTTCACAGTTGAAATTGGGACTGCATATGTGAACACCTGGCTACAGTTGGAATAGTGACTCATTTCTAAACCCAGCTCATAGGCAGATGAAGACCCTCGTATCTAAACTCAGCCATTCTTAAAGATGTTCACTCTCATATCTGGGCTTAGAATCACAGGTAAAATTGTAGGTTCACACAAGCACAAAAGTTTCAGAATGGATTGCAACTCTCATGCATACTGCATAATGCCCTCAGTAAGACAGAGAGGGTCCTTACAGGGCCGGGCACACAAATGAGATTGTGACACTCATATGCACACCCAGCCAACGGTAAAAACTGTCATCCAACCACATGAATGCAGCCAGTGTTAAAGTCCTGAATCTCAGCCGGGTGCGGTGGCTCACTCCTGTAATCCCAGCACTTTGGGAGGCCGAGGTGGGCGGATCATGAGGTCAGGAGATTGAAACCATCCTGGCTAACACGGCGAAACCCCGTCTCTACTAAAAATACAAAAAATTAGCCGGGTGTGGTGGCGGGCTCCTGTAGTCCCAGCTACTCGGGAGGCTGAGGCAGGAGAATGGCATGAACCTGGGAGGCGGAGCTTGCAGTGAGCCAAGATCATGCCACTGCACTCCAGCCTGGGCAACGGACTGAGGCTCCGTCTCCAAAAAAAAAAAAAAAAAAAAGTCCTGAATCTCATGCCAGGAGGCAGTCGAAAGTTGGAAAACTGATTCTCATATGTGGAGAGTCAGCAACCCACCTGACCAAGATTCATCATACCTGTGAGGCTGTGACCCTTTGAAAATAATACAGTGCATGGGAGGGATTGTGGCTGTCATGCAAGGATCCTGTCCGCTGTTGAGATTGTAACTCTTGTACTGAGACCCAACATACAGAATGTATTGACTCTTATACCTAGAACTGGGCCATGTGCATGATTGTTAATTTTATCCCTGGACTTTTCTGCAGGTGTGATCGTGACATATTTCTTTGCCCAGTACCTGAGTGATTTGACTCTCTTGCCTGGGCCCTCTCCTTATAGGGTGTTGTGACATATTTCCGAACCCAGGACTAAGTGATTTGACTTTCTTCTGCCACTTGGGCTCTGACCAAGAAGGGATTGTGATGTATTACTGGACCCAGAACCAAGGTGATGTGACTCTTCTCTTACATCAGGGCACTGCCAAAAAAAAATTGTGACATATCACAGGACCCTGATTCTAGATGATGTAACTCTCCTCTTTTTGCTTTGCCCCACATATTTTGGATACCATGACACATCGCTAGGCCCAGAACCTAGGGGATGTGAGGCTCCTGCCTAAGCCCACCCTGCAGCGAGCCTTGTGACATATGTCTGCATCCATGACCTAAGAATTGTGACTCTTTCTGCCTGAACTTTGCCAACAAGGAAAATTGTGACATATTTCTGCACCTACCAACCAGCTGATGTGTCTCTCCTGCCTGGGATTTTCCCAGAGAGAGCATTGTGACATATTGCTGGGTCCAGCAGCCAGGTGAGGTGGTTCTGTTCCTGTTGCATTGTTTTCAGGAGAAGATTTTTAAATATTCTTGGCTAAGCATGCTAATGATGTGACTCTCCAGCCTGGTCCCTGTTTTCAGAAAAGACTGTGACGTATCCATGGCCTAGTGCCTAGGTGATGTGGCTCTCCTGTTCGCTCCCTACCAAGAGGTGGCATTGTGACATATATCTTGGTTCAGCTCACAGATGCAATAATGACTATCATACCTTGTGAGTTGAACCAGGCAATAGAAGAGATACTGACTCTCACATTTAGGCTTAGAAAAATGAGTAAGACCCTGTGTCTCCTCTTTGTATGAAGGTTATAGAAAGTTACCACTCACATATCACATAAAGCATTTGGGTACTACAATGTCATCACAAATCCCAGAACATGAGTGAGACTGTGTTCTCGTGTGCACAGTCCACCAACCATTAGAATTTCCACCCTCTCACATTGACAGAGACTACAGGTGATGTTTTGAATCACACACAAATGCAGTCAGTCCACAGTTTAAACTGTGACTTTTATATCTGAACATCAAGGCACAATTGGAATGGTTATTCATTTTTAAACCCAGCTTATAGGCAGGTGAAGACTCTCCTATCCGGACACAGTCAATAAGAAAGATGTTGACTCTCACGCCTGGGCTTAGGGCCATAGGTACGATCAAAGGTCTCTTCTAACATGAAGATTTCAGAGCAAATTTTGACTCTCATGCATATTGTATAAAGCCCTCGAGTGGTACAGAGAGTGTTCTAACAGGGTCCAGCACGCAAGTGCAATTGTAACTCTCATCTGCACACCCAGGCAAGAGTAAAGATTGTCATTGCCCCACA
Source organism: Homo sapiens (assembly GCF_000001405.40). NCBI lineage: Eukaryota > Metazoa > Chordata > Mammalia > Primates > Hominidae > Homo > Homo sapiens. Next base: position 22,726,612 of record NC_000019.10, read on the forward strand.
TGAACACAGCTCACTGTTGAGGTTCTGAATCTCACAGCCTGAGGTGGCTAAAAGTTGCAAACTTGACTCTCATACATGAATCTGTTCCACAAGTGGGTTCATGACACTCAGATTAAGATTCAGCAAACCCGTGAGGCTGTGACTGTACTTAAAAAACACAATCCCCAGAAGGAATAGGGCTGTCAAACATAGATCCTGTTGGCCAATGGGATTGTGACTTGTGTACTTAGAATGACCATACAGAGATTGACTCATACCTATAACTGGGACATGTGTGAGATTGTTAATCTCAACCCTGGACCTTCCTGTAGGTGTTATTGTTACATATGCCGCAGTCCAGCACCTGAGTGATTTGACTCTACTGCCTGGACCCAGCTCACATATGAGATTGTAACATATAACTGGGCGCTGGGACATTTTGACACCACTGGGCCTTGCACTCGGGTGATGTCTTCTCTCATGCCTTGACGCTGCCCACGGGAGGCATTGTAATATACCATTGGGTCCTATGCCCATTTGATTTAACTCTCCTGCCTAAGTCCTGCCTATACAGAAAATTGTTTCATATCCTGGGCCTGTCACCAAGTGATGTGACTATCTTCATTTGCCTGATCCTAGCTCTCAGGGGAGAATGGAACATATCACTTTGTTCAGTACTGAGCTGATGTGACTTCTCTTGCCTTCTGAGGTTTTCCTCACAGGGGAGATTGTGACATAAAGCTGGGCCCAACACCATGGTGATGTTACTCTTTTGCCTTGGCACTGTCTTCAGAAGGCCTTGTGACATATTGCTGTTACCAGCACCAAGGTGAAGTGTGTCTTGTGTTTGGACCCTGCCCATAGAGTGCATTGTGACATATCTTTGGGCCCATCAACTATTTGATTTGACTATCCCCCCTTACCACATCTTTGCCCATAAGGGATATGGTGACATATATCTGGGCCCAGCACCTTGGAAATGCGATGCTCCTCTCTTGCCTGAGGTATGTTCAGAAAAGAAAGGGTGATGTATTGTTGTTTATCACCTAGGTGATATGACCTAGTACATTACTGAGTGCAAATGTGGTGTGATACTTCTGCCTGGTCCTTGCCAATAAAGGTAACTGGAATATATCTCTGAGAGCATAACTTAGATGATGTGAGTCTCCTTTTGTTTCTTGAGTCTGTCCACAGTGGAAATTATGATATATTGCCAGGCCTTGCACCCAGTTTTTGTGACTCTCCTGCTTGTGTCCTTTCCATGTGGGGCATTGTGACATATTTCTGAATCCAACACCAAGGTGATGTTACTCTCTTGCCTGGAATATTGTTACATCTCTCTGCACTCATCACTCAGGTGATTTGACTTCTTCCTCCTGCCTGGTCCCTGCTCTCAGAGGGCATTGTGACATATCACTTGGCTCAGCACCTACATCATGTGACTCTCCACTCATGCCTCAACCATGGCTTACTAGGGTGATTGTGAAATATAACTTGGTCTATCTCATAGGCTTTGTGACTTTCTTCTTCCTGAGCCCTAACACAGAAAGCATTGGGATATACCTCTGGGCCTCTTGCCTAGGTGAGGAGACTTTTCTGCCTAGGCCCTCTTCTTAGGGGGTATTGTGACATATTGCTGGACCCAGCAACTAGATGATGATGATGTGATTCTCTTCTACTGCTTGGACTTTGCCCAAGAAGGAATTGTGTTGTATCATGGAGCTAAGAACCTAGGTGTTGTGACTCTCCTCTTCTGCCGGGGCCCTGCATACATTCTATGTTGTGACATATGGCTGGGATCAAAACCTAGGTGATGCAACTCTTCAACCTGGGCCCTGCCAGCGGGGTATTATGACATCTTTTTGTTCATCACCTAGGTGTTGTGACTCTCTCCTTCTGCCTGGGTTCCGACAAAAAAGGGGATTGGGGCATGTCCCTTGACCGAGCACCTAGGTGATGTGACTGTCTTATTTGCCTGGGCCTTGCATATTTGGGGTATTGAGACATATGGCTGGGCCCTACATCAATGGGATTTAAGGCTCCTGCCTTGGTCCTGCTAACAGAAAACTTTTTACATATCCCTGAATCCATCACCTAGGATATGTGATTCTCTTCTTCTGCCGGCATTCTGCCCACAGGAAACACTGGGACATATTGCTGGGCCCACCATTGAGATGATGTGGCATTCCTGCCTGGGTACTGCCCACAGGGAGCATTGTGACACATCACTGGGCCCACCAGTGAGATGATGTGGCATTCCTGCCTGGGTACTGCCCACAGGGAGCATTGTGACACATCACTGGGCCCAGCACCTAGGTGATGTGAGTATGCATCATGTTCCCTGCTTTCAGGAAGGCATTGTAAAATATCCCTGACTGAGCATCCAGGGATGTGGCTCTTCTAGCTGGTCTTTGTCCTCAGGGAAGAGTATGATATATGCCTTGCCCAGCTCCCAGGTGATATGACTCTCCTGCTCACTCTCTACCTATAGGTGGGATTATGACATATCTTGGCCCAGCTTACAGGTAGTATGCTGACCCTCTTTCCTCGAACCAGTCAATATAAGAGATACTTTCATAGCTAGACTTAGTGAAATGGGTAAGATCCTGGGTCTCCTCTTTGTATTAAAGTCATAGAGAATTACCACTTTCTTGTATCTTATATAAAGTCCTCCAGTGGTAGAGAGGATGTCATCACAGGGCCCAGGACACAAGTGAGATTGTGTTTCTCATACACACATCCAGCCAACTGTTAGGATTGTCACCCTCACATCTAAACAGAGCCTACTGGTGAAATGCTGAATCTCACATGCAGACGAAGTCTGCAGTTAAAATTCTGACTGTCATATGTGAACACCTGGCCACAGTTGCGATGGTGACTCATTTCTAAACCCAGCTCATAGAGAGGTCAGGATTCTCCCATCTAGACTCAGCCAATAGGAGAGATGTTGAGTCTCATACGTGGAATTAGGGGCACAGGTACAATCATCGGTGCATAACAGCATGAAGGTCTCAGAGCAGATGTTGACTCTCATACATAACATATGCAGCCCCTGAATGGTAGAGAGACTGTCCTCACAGAGCCCAGCAAACAGGTGAAGTTGTGACACTCCTTTGCATAGGTGGCCAATAGTAAAGATTGTCATCCTTCCACGTGAACACAGCCCACCGTTAAGGTTCTGAATCTCCCACCTGGAGGCAGTGGAAAGTTGGAGAATTAACTCTCATACATTGATCTTGTCCCTAGGTTGGTTGGTGAATCTCAGATCAAGATTCCCCACATCTGTGAGGCTGTGACTGCACTAAGGGGAAACAGTCTTCAGAAGGAGTTAAGTCTCTTTTGTACAGATTCAGTTTATTTTTGAGATTGTGACTCATGTACTTAAACCAAACCTACAACTGGGGCATGTGTGGGACTGTTAATCCTATCCCTGGACCTTCCTGTAGGCGTGATTCTGATGTATGCCCCTCCCTGGGTCTACCTTCCAATAGAGATTATGACATGTCATTTTGCCCCATACTTAGCTGATGTGATCTATTCTCCTGTCTTGGCTGTCTCCATAGAAGATATTATGATGTATCTACAGGCCCTGCACCCAGTTTACGTGATTTCTGCCTGTGGCCTGCCCACATTGGCTATTTTGACATATTGCACAGTCCAACACCCAGGTGATTTTACTCTTCTGCCTGGGCCCTTCCTACGGGGGACATTAGGACATATTTCTGTGCCCATTGTGTGTGTGTGTGTGTGTGTGTGTGTGTGTGTGTGTGTGTGTGTGTGTCTGTGTGTGTTTTGAGACAGAATCTCACTCTGTCACTGAGGCTGGAGTGCAGTGGCATGATCTTGGCTCACTGCAACCTCCACCTCACAGGTTCAAGTGATTCTTGTGCCTCAGCCTCCCAAGTAGCTGGGATTACAGGCGCCTGCCATCACTCCTGGCTAAGTTTTGTATTTTTAGTAGAGATGGGGTTTCACTATGTTGACCAGGCTGGTCTCAAACTCCTGACCTCTGGTGATCCACCTGCCTCGGCCTCCCAAAGTTCTGGGATTAAACGCATGAGCGACCGCACCCGGCCACATCCATGTGTTTTGACTCTCTTCTCCCGCATGATTTCTGTTGAGGGGGGGGATTGAGACATATCTCTGGTCTCAGCACCCAACTGATGTGACTCATCTCTTTTTCCTATGTTTTGCTCACACAAAAGATAGTGACATATCGCTAGGCCAAACAAAGTGGCATTACTCTCTTGATTTGGTCCTCCTCTCAAAAGGCATCATGACATATTGATGGGCCCAGCACGAAAGTGATTTAAGTCTCATGCCTAGACTCTGCTTACAGGGGCATTGTGACATATCTCTGGGCCAATCTACTATTTGATGTGACTCTCCTTTTGTACCTGGGCTTTGCCTATAGAAGACATTGTGACATATCTCTCGGCTCTGCACCCAGGTGACTTGACTTGCCTCTTCTGCTTGGGCCATACCTACAGGGAACATTGATACATATCTGTGGCCCCAACATGTAGATGATGTGACTATTTTCTTTTTTCTTGGACCCGTCCACAGTGGGAATTGTGACATATCACTTGGCTTAGCATTTGTGTAGTGTGACTCTCCTCTCATACCTAGGCCTTGTCCACTGGGGTGATATATATCTGGGCGTAGCCCCTAGGTTATTTGAAGCTCCTCTTTTCCATGATCCCTACTTATAGCATGCATTGTGAAATCTCTGGTCTACTCACCTCGGTTATATGACTTTCTTTTATTTTTATTTTTATTTATTTATTTTTGAGATGGAGTTTGGCTCTTCTTGTCCAGGCTCAAGTGCAATTGTACGATCTTGGCTAACTGCAACCTCTGCCTCCCAGTTTCAAGCGATTCTCCTGCCTCAGCCTCCTGAGTAGCTCGGATTACAGGCACACGCTACTATGCCCAGCTAATTTTTGTATTTTCAATATAGATGGGGTTTCACCATGTTGACCAGGCTGGTATTGAACTCCCAACCTCAGGTGATCTGCCTACCTCAACCTCCCAAAGTGCTGGGATTTCAGGTGTGAGCCACTGTGCCTGGCCATAACTTTCTTTTATTTGCCCTTCCATCAGGGGACATTTTGACATATTGCTGGGCCTATTATCTGGATGATGTGACTCTCCTCACCTGCCTGCAAACTACCAGAAAGGGACATTGTGACATATCTCTAAACCAATTTTCTACATAATGTGCCTCTTCTCTGCTGCCCAAAACATGCATAAAGAAAATATTCTTTAGGCCCCTGTGACCTATCTCTGGACCCGGCACCCAAATGTCATGACTATCCAGTCTGGGCTCTGCCTAGAGGAAATGTTATGATATGTCACTGGGCCATGAACACAAGTGATGTGACTCTCCTGCCTGGGCCTTGCCCATAGAGGGGATTGAGACATTCCAGGTGAAGAATCAAGGTGGTGTTACTCTTATTTCTCAGCCTTTTCCTAAGGTAAAATTGTGACATATAACTTGGCCCAGCACACAGATGAGATTTTTACTCTTGTATGCAAACCCAGCCAAAAGTTACTATTGTCACTATAACACATGAACAAAGACCACTGTTGAGGTCCTGAGTCTTATATGTGAACACAGCCAACAGTTGGAATTGGGACTGTCATATGTTTATCTTGCCAGAAGTGAGATGGTGACTTACTCTGGATTCAGTTCACAGGAATGGTGATGACTCTCATACCTGAACCCAGCTAATAAGAGAGATGTTGACTCTGGTAGCTAGGCTTTGGGGTCTGGGTCCTTTACTTGGAGGAAGGCAACAGAAGATTATGACATCCATGTATGTTGTATAAAGCTCTTGGGAAATACTGAGTGTCATTACAGGGCCCAGTACACAGGTGTGATTGTGAGTCTCCTATACATACCTAGCCAACAGTTTGAATTGCCATGCTTATACATAGACCGAGCCTACTGGTGAGGTCCTAAATCTTACACATGAACCTATTCCACCATTGAAATTGTGGCTGTCATATGTGGATCCAGCCATAGGTTGGATGTTGACAAATTTCTGAACCCAACTCACTTGCACAATAAACCCAGCCAATAGAAGATATTTTGACTCTTGTACCTAGGCTTAGGGCAACAGGTAAGGTTTTGGGTTTTCTACTTGTATAAATGTCACAGAGGATTACTGCACTCACTTATATTGTATAATGCCCCCAAGGTTGTAAAGAAAGTGTCACTACATAACTCAGCACAAAGTTGAGATTGTGAATCTCAAATGCACACTCAGCCAACAGTAAGAATTGTCATTCACACACATGGACAGAACCCACTGGTGAGGTCCTGAATTTTAGTCACAGATGCAATCCACAGTTGAAATTTTTAATGTCATGTGTGCATCTAGCCACAGGAGGGATGGTGACACATATCTGAACCCAACTAAGAGGCAGAGCAATGACTTTTATACCTGGAACCAGCCAATACGAGAGATGTTGACTCTCACACCTGGGCATGGGGCAACAGGTAAACTCATGCGTTTATACAGCACTAATGTCTCACAGGGGATTATGAGTCTCACCCAAATAATGTACAGCCCTCTGGTGGTACAGAGAGTGTCATAAGAGGACCCAGAACACAGCTGAGTTTGTGATTCTCATATACACTTCCATCCCACAGTAAAAATTGTCATCCTCCCACATGAATACAGACAACTGTTGAGAGTCACATCACCTAGGTGCTGGTCCTAGAGATATGCCACAGTCTATTCTGTGGGCACAGTTCAGGTAAGAGAAGAGAAGAGGAAAGTCACATTAACTAGGTGATTGGCTCAGAGCTATGTCACAATGCTCCTACAAGGCAGGGTCCAGGCAGGAGACTCAAATCACCTTGGTGCTGAGTCCAACAATATGTCACAATCTCCCCTGTAGGCAGAACCTGAGAAAAAGAGTTACAAGAATTACATGTGGGCCTATTGATAGGTCATAATCTTTCCTGTGAGCAGAAACCAGGCAGTAGAAAAGGTTCATATCACCTGCGTGATTGGCACATAGATATGTGAAAATGCTCCCTACAGGTAGACCCCAGGCAGGAGGCTTACATAACGTGAATGTCAGCCCCAAAAATATGTCACAATGAACCCACACGGGCTGGGCACAGGCAGAAGAGACATATAACCTGAGTGCTAAGTGCGGGGCCTAGAAACATGTGACAATGCTCCATGTAGGCAGGGCCAAGGCAGAATAGAATAACATCACCTATGTTCTGGGTCCAGTGATATATCACAATTTCATCTCTGGGCTGAGACTCAAATCATGCTGGGTGCTGGGCACATGACATGTCAGTCACACCTGCAGGTAGGTCCAGGGACGAGATTAACAATCCTGCACATGTCCCAGTTTTAGGTATGAGAGTCAACACTGTTGCGGGAAGTCAGGGACCCCAAACGGAGGGACCGGCTGAAGTCATGACAGTAGAACGTGGATTGCAAATATTTCATGGACACTTATCACTTCCCCAATCAATACCCTTGTGATTTCCTATGCCTGTCTTTACTTTAATCTCTTAATCCTGTCAGCCAAGAAGGATGTATATCGTCTCAGGACCCTGTAATAATTGCGTTAACTATACAAATTGTACAGCGTGTGTGTTTGAGGAATATGAAATGTGGGCACCCTGAAAAAAGAACAGGATAACAGCAATAGTTCAGGGAATAAGAGAGATAACCTTAAACTCTGACCGCCAGTGAGCCGGGCAGAACAGAGCCATATGTCTCTTCTTTCAAAAGCAAATGGGAGAAATATCGCTGAATTCTTTTTCTCAGCATGGGATATCCCTGAGAGAGAATGCACACCTAGGGGTAGGTCTCTGAACTGGCCCCCCCGGGGCGTACCTGTCTCTTATGGTTGAGACTGCAGGGGTGAAATAAATTCCAGCCTCCCATAGTGCTCCCAGGCTTATTAGGAAGAGGAAATTCCCACCTAATAAATTTTGGTCAGACTGGTTGATCTCAAAACCCTGTCTCCTGATAAGATGTTATCAATGACAATGGTGCCCGAAACTTCATTAGCAATTTTAATTTCGCCTCGGTCCTGTGGCCCTCTGATCTCACCCTGCCTCCACTTGCCTTGTGATATTCTATTACCCTGTTAAGTACTTGATGTCTGTCACCCACACCTATTTCGCACACTCCCTCCCCTTTTGAAAATCCCTAATAAAAACTTGCTGGTTTTTGTGGCTTGTGGGGCATCAGGGATCCTACCAATGTGTGATGTCTCCCCCAGATGCCCAGCTTTAAAATTTCTCTCTTTTGTACTCTGTCCCTTTATTTCTTAAGCCAGCCAACGCTTAGGAAAATAGAAAAGAACCTACATGATTTTGGGGGCAGGTCCCCCGAAACAACACATCCTGAATGTTGGGTCCATCTACATGAGGCACATCTCATCAGTGAACCGGATCTATGCATCATAGCCTCAATTCCTATTGCAGATTGTGTTGACTTAATGGAGTCCCAGCCTCCTTGGTGTGCTGAATCCTGGTCTGAGAGTCACCAAGCCACCTGTGGACCACAATTATGCACAAGAGCCTTTTTTTTTTTTTAATCTTCTGACTGCCTCTGGGTGTGAGATTTAGAACTTCAACAGTGCACTGTGTTGATGTATGGCTTACATCTTTACTTGACCATCCTTACTTTCAGCTGGGTTTTCATATGAGGGTCACAATCCCACCTATCTTCTGGGCCCTGTGAAAACATTCTCTGTACCAACTGATGGCATTATACATTGTGCATTAGTGTCACCATTCACTCCGAGACATTCATGCTGGTATGGACCAATGATTGTACCTGTGGCCCTAAGCCAAGATATGACAGTCAACATCACTCTAGTTGGCTCGGTCCAGATAGGAGAGTCCCGCCTATGAGTGGATTTAGAAATGAGTTACCATTCCAAGTGTGGCCAAATCTTCACGTATGAAAGTCGTAATTCCAAGTGTAAGCTGCATTCCTGTGTGAGATTTAAAACTTCATCAGTGGGCTTTGTCATGTATGAATGTGATTAATGAAATGGTTGGCAGGGTGTGTGTATGTAACACACAATTTCACATGTGTGCCGGGCTTTGTGTTGACACTCTCTGTACCACCCAAGGTCTTTATATGATATGCAACAAAGTGGTAACCCATTACCTTTGAACAAAGGGAAGGCCCACAATATTACCCATATTGGCTGGTTCGAGGTATAAAAGTCATCATCACACCTGTAAACTAAGCAAAGATAAATGTCACAACCCTACTTGTGGGTAGGGAGCAAGCAGAAGAATCACATCATCTGGGTCCTTCTCCAGGGATATGTCACAATCATTTTTGAGGGCAGGGAATTGGCAGGAAAGTCACATTATCTGTGTGCTGGGCTCAGTGATAAGTCACTCTCTATTTTGTGCAGATGGTCCAGGACAAAGCTCATAGGAGAGAAGAGTTCCCATCAAAGAGTTGATGGGTCCAAAGATATGTCAAATTACCCCTTGTGGGCAGGATGCAGGCAGGAGACTTACATCACCTTGGCGCTGGGCCCAGAAATATGTCACAATGTCTTGTGATTGCAGTGTGAAGGCAAGAGTAACGTCAACATAGTGCTGGGACAAGGGACATGTTACAATCTCCCCGGTGGGCAGAAGCTAGGGAAAAGAGAAAAGCCACATCAGCTAGGTGCTAGTCTCAGAGATAAGTCACAATTTTTCCTGTAGACTGAGACCAGGCTGGATAAGAGAGTCACATCACCTGAATAAAAGGCACAGAGATAGGTCAAATGCCCCTTGTAGGAAGGTCCCAAGCAGGAGAGTTACATCATGTGGGTGATGGGACTCAGCAATACACCTCAATGGCCCATATGGGCAGGGAACAGGCAGGAGAGCCAAATATCCTGGGTGCAGGGCCCAGTGATATGTCACAATGCCCTCTGGGGCATCGCCAAGACAAGAGAGGAGATTCACAGCACCTGGCTACAAGGCCCAGAAATATGTCACAATGTCCCCTGTGGTTAGAGACAAAGCAAAATAGTTACATCAATTAGATACTGAGTCCAATGATATCTCACAATTTACCTTTGAGCCCAGGCAGAAAACTCAAATCACTCATGTGGTGGGCAGGGGCATATGTCACACTCTCACCTGCTGGAAGGTCTAGTGATGAGATTAAGAATTTAGTTGCCGGGCACAGTGGCTCATGCCTGTAATCCCAGCACTTTTGGAGGCCGAGGCAGGCAGATCACCTGAGGTCAGGAGTTCGAGACCAGCCTGACCAACATGACAAAACCCTGTCTCCACTAAAAATACAAAAAATTAGCTGGTCGTTGTGGCAGATACCTATAATCCCAGCTACTCAGGAGGCTGAGGCAGGAGGATCGCTTGAACCTGGGAGGCAGAGGCTGCAGTGAGCAGAGATCATTACACTGCACTCCAGCCTGAGCAAGAGTGAGATTCTGTCTCAAAAACAAAAAAAAGAAGGAAGGAAGGAAGGAAGGAAAGAAAAAAAGAAAAAGAAAGAAAGAAAAAGAAAAAGAAAGAAAGAAAGAGAGAAAGAATGAAAAGTATTTAGCATGTGTCTTGGTTCTAGGTACAACACCTCTTGTATGTTGAGTCTAAATACAGGAGTCACAATCTCAGTGGTGGACTGGAATCAATTATTTTTGTGGACTGTGTGAGCCTCAATCACTTTTGTGGACTGTGTCTCCTTAGTCACAGCCTTACAGGTGTGCCGAGTCATGGTCCAAAATTTGCCAGCCCTCCTTTTGACTGGATCCACATGTGAAAGTCCACACTTTGACTGCCTCCAGTTGTGAGATTTAGTTCCTCAACTGTGGGCTGTGTTCATGCGGAAAGGTGACATCTTGACTGTTGGGTGTGTGTGCATATGAGTGTCATATTCTCATCTGCGTTCTCGGTTTTGTTAGGACACTCTGTATCACCTGAGGGCTTTATACATTATGTATGAGAGTCACAATCTGCTCTGACATATTTGTACTGATATGGACCCATGATTGTACCCGTGGCCCTAAGCCCAGGTATGAGAGTCAACATCTCTTCAATTAGGAGAGTCCAGATTGGAAAGTTTTTACCTGCTTATAGGCTGGGTTTATTAAAGAGTCACTAACCCAACAATGGCCAGATGTTCACATATGACAGTCACAATTTTAACTTTGGACTGTGTCTACTTGTGAGTTTCAGGACCTCAAAATTGGACCCTGTCCATGTGTGAGGGTGACAACTTTAAAGGTTGGCAGGTTGCGCATACAAAAAACAATCTCATATTTGTGCTGTGTCCTGCGATGACAGTTTGTACCACTTGATGGCTTTATACCGTATGTGAGGGAGTGGTAATTCTCTATGACATTTATACAAAGAAAAGACCCATTATTTTACCCATTTCCCTAAGCCTAGCTATTAGAGACAGTATATCTTTTATTAACTTTTTTGGGGGGGTACAAATGTCATCATCATATCAGTAATCTCCACAAATATATATATCAACATCCCTCCCATGTGTAGGGAATGAGGAGAGTTATGTCACCTTGGCACTGGCCCAGGAATATGTCACACTCTTTTCGGAGGGCAAAGACCAGGCAGGAGAGTCACATCACCTTGATGCTTAGCGAGGAATATGTTACAATCCCCTCCTGAAAGTAGGGCACAGGTGGCAGGGTAACATCACCTGGGTGCAGGGCCTAGTGTTATATCCCAATACTTTTTGTGGGCAAGGCCCAGGCAGGAGAGGCATGTCACCTGTTTTTTGGGCCCAGTAATAGGTTACAGTCTTCCAAGTAGAAAGAAGAAGAGTCACTACTTTTTGCTGATGAATGCAAAGATATGTCACAATTTCCTTGTAGGTAGGGTCCAGACATAAGCCTCTAATCTAATTCCACTAATCCACACTAATTCCAACTCTGGCTCTGCCAGCTTCTTATGACTTATTGTATACTTTTCATTTCTGTTATGCTCCAGGAATGAGTTTCTCAGTGACTTTTGAAGTAATTTGTCCACAGCTTTGGATAAACATTGCCCTCTTGAATCCAAGGGCTGTTTTGTTGAGCATATGAAGGCTTCCCTTGAGTATTCCTCTCGCTTCCGTTCACTTTCTTCTGTAGCCTCCATTTTTCTAATTGCTTTCCTATAGCCCCTTTTTGGCAGTTAGCTGAAAAACGGCCTTCACAGCTACTAAAAGAATATGGGAAGTGGAAATCTGAGAAGAGAAATACTTATTTTGTTGCTAGAATGCTCTTACCGAGAGTCACTAGAGGTCAATGGAGTCGACGACATAGGCCGGACCAAGGCCACAGGTGCAAGAGACACATAAAGCAGAGATCAAAATTTGGGTGTACATGGTAAGACTTGCCCATTCCAGAACCCCAAGGATGAAGAGGGGGCCACAGTTCAATCCCATATCTCCTCTGTTCTCAAGTGGGTAACTAGTGAATCACCTACAAATAGTGATCAGCAGCTTCCCAACAATATCTCAAGAGTTGGGCGAGTGGGGGGAAGTAATGCAAGACCCCTGAAGTATGACAACATACAAAACCCCAAGTTAAACACCGTGCACTTGCCTTTTAAGTCACCCACTTGGCCCTCTTCTAAGTGTACTTTCCTTCCTTTTGTTTCTGTTCTGTAGCTTTCTAATAAACTTTTACTGCTACTCTAAATCTTGCCTGCTTTATGTCTCCTGCTTTATGCCCCTCAGTTGAGTTGTTTCTTCTGAGGAGGCAAGAATCGAGGTTCCTGATGACTCATACCCACATGAATTCACTTCCAGTAACAGGTAACAGGTAGGAGAAAAGAGTAACATCACCTAGGTGCTGGTCCAGGAATATGTCACAATACCGTATTAGGGGAGGATCCAGGAAAAGAGTCATATTACCTAGGTGAAGTGCTTAGAGATGTGTCACAATGACCCCTATGGGTAGGACTCAGGAAGAAGAGAAGAGTTAAATTACCTAGAAGCTGTGCCCAGCTATATGTCACAATCAGCCCAGTGGGAAAAGCCAAGGCATGAGGCACATCATGTAGGTGCTGGGTCAAGTGATATGTCACAACCTCCTCTGTGGACAGGTCCCAGGAAGAAAAGGAGACACACATCATCTAGCAGAAAAGCCCAAAGTATGTAATGATGATTCCTATGGGCAAGGATCAAGGCAGTAGAATCACATCATCTGTGTGCTGGGCCCAGTCATAAGTCACTCTCTTCTGTAGGCATAGCCCAGGCAGGAGAGCAGAGTTACATCAACTAAGTGCTGGACCCAGAGATATGTCACATTCTCTCCTATGGGCAAAGAGCAGGTATAATATGGTAACCACTTCAAATACTTGAGCTTCCAGAGACCATGTCACAATGGTCTCTATGGTTAGGGTTCAAGCAGGAGACTCACGTCACGTTGATTGTGGCCCCAACAATATGTCACAATGTTTTCTGAGAAGAGGGTCAAGGTAAAAAAGCAATGTCACTTTGGTATTGGGCCCAGCAATATGTCACTGTCTCCCATGTGAGCAGATATCAGGCAAGAGAAGAGAATCACATCACCTTAGTTATGAGCACAGACATGTCACAAAGCCCCAAGTAGGTAGTGCCAAGGCAGGAGAATAGTGTCACATCACCTAGGTGCTGGGTCCAGTGATATGCCACAATCCCATCTGTCAGCTAGGCCCCCCACAAGAGTCAAATCACTCAGGTGCTAGGAGAGGTGTATGTCACAATAACATCTACAGGAAGATCCAGGGGTGAGATTAACAATTCCGTACTTGTCCCAGTTTTAGGTATAAGAGTCAACACCTCCTGAATGTTGAGTCTAAGTACATGAGTCACAATCTCAAGAGTGGACTGCATGAAAGCCTCTATTCCTCCTGTAAACTTTGTATTCTTAGTAAAGTCGCCATTTCATGGGTGTGCTGAACCATAGTGTGGGAGTCACCAACCTACCTGTGGACCAGATCTATGTTTGCAAGTCAATTTTCCAACTTTTGACTGCCTTCGGGTGTAGGATTCAGAAACTCCACAGTGGGCTGTGTGATGTCACCAGCTAAAGGGCTATTCATGCACAGAAGGGTTGTTATTGTAATCATCATGGTTTCTGTTGCTTTTACCTTGTTAAGAATACATGCGTGGCTCATAATTGTGCTAGAAAACCCTAAGGGTTTTGGTTAAATTACCTGTTGTTGTATGTTATAAAGTAGACATAAAATTGGCCAAAATAGATTAAAATTCTACAAATGTGGAGTCAAGTTTCTCTTGACTCCAAGAGAAACTTGGAGGCTTAGGAAAGACAGACCTGGAAAAAACCCAATAAAAGGCTAATCAGAAGCTCAGAAAAACTGCAACCAGCTGTCCTTTATCTACCTATGACCTGGAAGCTCCCACCCCACTTCGTGTTGTCCCACCTTTCTGGACAATGTACATCTTACATATAGTGATGGATGTCTCCTGTCTCCCTAAAATGTATAAAACTAACACATGCCCCAACCACCTTGGGCACGCATTGTCACAGCCTCCTGACACTGTGTCACCGGTGTGTTCTTAACCTTGGCAAAATGAACTTTCTAAATTGAGACCTGTCTCGATACTTTGGGTTCAAATTAGTAATTTCAGGTAGAAATTAAAATTCTTCTTACAATAGAAACAAACAAAAGGACTAAACAGAGAAAAACTAATAAAAGTGTGCTCAAGGCCGGGCATGTGCTCACACCTGTAATCCCAGCACTTTGAGAGGCTGAGGTGGATCACTCGAGGTCAGGAGTTCAAGACCAGCATCGCCAACATGGTAAAACCCCATCTCTACTAAAAATGCAAAAATTAGCAAAGCACAGTGGTGCGTGCCTGTAATCCCAGCTACTCAGGAGGGTGAGGCAGGAGAACCATTTGCACCCGAGGGCAGGGGTTGAAATGAGCCGAGATTGCACAACTGCACTTCAGCCTGGGTGACAAGAGTGAAACTCCATCTAAAAAAAAAAAATCTAAAATTTATATGGTATGACAAAAAACTCTGAAGAGCAGAAGGATTCAAGCAAAAAAGAAAGGCTAAAAGTATCATCCTACTTGACTTTGAAATATACAGCAAAGCTATAGTAATGAAAACAGTATGATACTTGAACAAAAATAGTCACATTGGCCAATGGAGAATAAAAGAGAAACCAGAAATACATCCATGTATTTAAGGCTAACCAATTTTTTATATAGATGACAATTTCTTAGGAAAATGACAGTATCTTTAAATGTAAAGCCTGAAGCTCTGAAACTACTAAAAAATATATAGATTGAAAGCCCTATAACATTGGTTTGGGCAGTGATTTTTTTTATTTAACCTCAAAATCCCAGGGAACTAAAGATCATACATGTGACAAGGGGTGAATATCAAGATTATGTAAGAAAGTAAAAAACAAATAACTACTAAAAATGAGCAAAAGGCTTAAATATTTTTCAAAAAAAGACATACATATGGCCAACAGATATTTAAAAATGCTCAATGTCACTTATTATCAGAGAAAGGCAAGCCAAAAAATCTATGAGATATAAAGTCACTCATATTAGAATGATTCTTATTAAAAAGAAAAAAAAGCATTGGTAAAGATGTGAAGAAAAGGGAATGCTTGCACACTGCAGGTTTGAGTGTAAATGAGGAAAACCATTATGAAAACTGAAATAGAGATTTCTTAATAAATTTAAAATCAAACTACCATATAATACAGCAATTTCACTATTGGATATATATATTTAAAAACAAATGAAATAAGAATGAGAAACATTTGCACTTCTATGTTGTTTGCAACACTCTTCACAATAGCCAAAATATAGAATCAACAGTTCAACATCCAATGAGTAAATATTGACAATGTAGTA
Source organism: Homo sapiens (assembly GCF_000001405.40). NCBI lineage: Eukaryota > Metazoa > Chordata > Mammalia > Primates > Hominidae > Homo > Homo sapiens. Next base: position 22,742,442 of record NC_000019.10, read on the forward strand.
TATATACACAATGGAATACTATTTCTCTTTTAGAAAGAAAACTCTATTATGTTCAATCACATGGATTAACCTGGAGGACATTATATTAGTTTAAATAAGCCAGGAACAGAAACATTAAAATTTTATGATTTCACCTACACAGGAATGATATAAAACTTAAATTAAGTAGAGAGCAAAATTGTAACCATCAGACGCCAAGGTATTTAGAAGAAAGAGGGCTTTAGAAAGATGTTTGTCAAAGAATACATAATTATAATAGCATACAAGTAACACATTCAAAAGACTGATTGTACAGCATGGTATCTACAGTTAATAGTAATGTATTTTTGAAAAATGCTAGGATAATGTCATGTGCTCTTACCACAAAAATGTTAACTGTGTGAAGTAAAGCATTAATTACCTAAAATTAAGCATTTGACAATGTATATATATACTTCAAAACATGTTTTACAGAACATGTTTTATCTATCAAGTTGAAAAATATATATTTGAAACATTATAGAAGGATACCAATTTTTTCAAATACTCTCTGTCTTTGTCATTAACTTGGCTAAATAGTATCCAAAATATATTTTTGTGCTGTTTTTGTCATTTAATTTTTCAGTCATAACCATAGGAGCTCTGACATTTAACAGCATGTTCTGAATGCAGTACTGTGCATAGGAGGAGCCAATGTACATTAGGGTTTTTATTTTAAGCTTGGGACAGCAGGAGTTTCTGGGGCTAATTGCAATGGTATGAAAGACATTAAAAGGGCAGGTGTTGTTTGTTCTCAAGACTGGCCACTGTTTGAACACAGTAAACAAGTTTGCATGCAAAATAATAGGAAATGTTTTAATCTGAAAGCCATCGTAACCTCATCTCCAAAATTTTTTCAGAGAAAATGACCAAAGAGTTGCCTACAGTGAGGTGACTAAAAATAAAAACTGTAGACTGAACTTCACCAACTTCAAAAATTATACAACAGTAAAAATTTTCTCCAAATTGTAATATCAGTATGAAAAATAAACACTTCAAATGTCTAATCAACAGAGTACATTTTATTATTTTTCAACATTTAACATTTACACTTAAAAATAGGAGTCTGTATAAAAATGTAACGTGCTGTATCATAGAAAATTAAATTTAGAATCCTTACTTACCACTAACTCTCTTTTAAATATAACTTATAAGATATATTTTGTAACAAATTTTATGCTTGCCACACTTTGTGTAAGAATCCAATAAGATTCTTCTTTTACAAACAAAGAAAAACAATGTTAACTGATTTAATTATTCCACGTGTGGACAGTGTATGTCTCTTATTTTAATTAACTAATCTGAAAGTTATATTGGCAAGCAAATTCTCCACTTAAAATCCATTTTTTAGCACATTAAAAATAGCAACTTTTGGCCAGGGGTGATGGCTCATGCCTGTAATCCCAGCATTTTGGGAGGCTGAGGAGGTGGGGATCATGCGGTCAGGAGTTCGAGACCAGTCTGGCCAATATAGTGAAACCCCATCTCTACTAAAAATACAAAAGTTAGCTGGGCATGGTGGCGCATGCCTGTAGTCCCAGCTACTTGGGAGACTGAGGCAGAAGAATCACTTGAACCCAGGAGGCAAAGGTTGGAGTGAGCCAAGATCACACCACTGCACTCCAGCCTGGGTGACAGAATGAGACTCCATCTCAGAAAAAACAAAACAAAACAAAACAAAACAAAACAAAACCAACCAACTTTCTCATCAGAACCTACAAAATACCATGTAAAATAACATGGTAGGAAGACAACTGAGACAATTGTAGCTGTAACACAGAAAAAGAATTAGAAGAACTGTGATGCATACATACTTGAAATGAATATATGACAAACAAAACTGAACATAATTAAAAAATAAAGAAGCAGAATTTCTCTTTAAATTCAGCAAGAGTAAACTTTGCATCCTGGGAAAAATGTCCTCTCAACATGAGGAATCAATGTAATTTCTTCTCCATTGATATTTTCCATTCTGACTTAAAGTTACAAACTAACTCCAGGAGGAATACTTATGGCTTATCATGAAGCATCTGCTACACAGCAAGCACTGCCATGTTTGTTTGCTGCATTTATATACAAAAACATCCTCTTGACTTATCGAAGCCTTCCTAGTACTTACCTGAACAAACTTGCTCAGTAAATAAACTTATGACAATTTTAAAAATAGAGAAGAACAATAACCAAGTAAAAGTGAGCTTATATAGGGTTCTCCAAGTAAAAGAAATAAATGAAATCTTCTAACTAAATAAAATATAACTTAATACACTAATTGTGGAATTACATCTAAAAATCATTTCATGTACACTACTAAATTTCATAAAAATTATTCTTATACTCCATGACCAGCTCACATAATGTATACTTCATAAACTACAAAACAATATATGATATATATGAGATATATATGTGATATATATATGAGATATATATGATATATATATGATATATATATGAGATATATATGAGATATATATATGATATATATATGAGATATATATGATATATATATGAGATATATATATGATATATATGAGATATATATATGAGATATATATGATATATATATGAAATATATATATATGACATATATATATGAAAAAAGAAAATTGTGGGTCTTGCATTGAGTACCAGGCAAGTAAAAACAAAGAAATTTCATGGGGAGATTCTGAACCATAAGATGTAAGATTTTACAGTAATGAATTCAATACAAACCAGAGAGTACAGATTTGCTTTCCAGATTTTTTAGGTTTTTGGTTTTCTAGTAAATTAGTCACCTTATTACAATAATTTGTTCTGTTCTAATAATTTTTTTTCTGAAAATAGGTACAAACTCATAATTACACAAACACACTTACTTCATAATTTTCTTCTAAGGTATAGCTTTAGAGTAATATATATGTATGTTTAACCCTATGTAAATAAAAACTAAAAGTCTGCATGGGGCTACCCCCTTTGGGTCCCCTCCCTTTGTATGGGAGCTCTGTTTTCACTCTATTAAATCTTGCAACTGCACACTCTTCTGGTCCATGTTTGTTATGGCTCGAGCTGAACTTTTGCTCACCATCCACCACTGCTGTTTGCTGCTGTCACAGACCTGCCGCTGACTTCCACCCCTCCAGATCCAGCAGGGTGTCTGCTGTGCTCCTGATCCAGCGAGGTGCCCACTGCCAATCCCAATAGGGCTAAGGCTTGCCATTGTTCCTGCATGGCTAAGTGCCTGGGTTTGTCCTAATTGAGCTGAACACTAGTCACTGGGTTCCACGGTTCTCTTCCGTGACCCACGGCTTCTAACAGAGCTATAACACTCACTGCATGGCTCAAGATTCCATTCCTTGGAATCTGTGAAGCCAAGAACCCCAGGTCAGAGAACAAGAGGCTTGCTGCTATCTTGGAAGCAGCCCGCCACCACCTTGGGAGCTCCAGGAGCAAAGACCCCTTCATGGCAACCACGAAGGGACCTCTAAAGCAGTGAGTAAAATTGGACCACTTTCACCTTGCTATTCTGTCCTGCCCTTCCTTAGAATTGGAGGAAAATACTGGGCACCTGTCAGCCAGTTAAAAACGATTAGTGTGGCCGCCGGACTTAAGACTCAGGTGTGAGGCTGTCTGGGAAAGGGCTTTCCAACAATCCCCAACCCTTCTGGATTGGGAGCGTTGGTCTGCCTGGAACCAGCTTCCACTTTCAATTTTCCTGAGGAAGCCGAGGGCTGACTAGAGGCAGAAAGCTGTCGTCCCGAACTCCCAGCGTTAGCCGATTGAGATCATGGTGCAGCCAGAAGTCTCTACTCAACAGTCTCCCATGCGTGCACCCCTACCTTTCCTTCTGACCCATATCTCCTGGGTCCTGACTATGACTTTCTTGAAAGTGTAGCCCCAAAATTCTCCTTATCTCTGAATCTACTTCCTCTGATCCCTGCCTCCTAGGTACTAATGGTTCAGATTTTCATTTACTCTAGCAAGTTGTATCTCCAAAGGGATGTAAGGAAGCTCTACACTGTGTCCTTAGGCCCCTAGGCTATGAACCCACAAAGTCTTGTCCCTGGTGTCCCTCCCAATTTAGGTATACAGCTCTCAGCATGGGCAGTTACACAGGACCTGTTCCCCACCACCCTTGCCAGGGCCCCAAGTTTGTAAAGAGCTAGGAGAAAAGAGAGAGAGACAGAGGGGAGAGAAAGAGAGAGAGACAAAGAGGGAGAAAGAGAGAGAGACAAAGAGGGAGACAGAGAGAGAGAGACAAAGAGAAAGATAGAAGTAGTAAAGAAAAAACAGTGTGCCCTATTCCTTTAAAAGCCAGGGTAAATTTAAAACCTATAATTGTTCATTGAAAGTCTTCTCTGTGACCTTATAACACTCCAATACCACTTGGCTGTCAGTGTAAACAAGGGCGTAGCCCTAAAGCACTGAGGCCACTGACAACCCATAGCCTTCCTATCAAAAATTCTTAACCCAGTAACCCATGGATGGGACAAATGCATTCAGTCAGTAGTGGCACTGCTTTGCTATAAGTAGAAAAACTTTAGAGGGAACCTCATTGTGAGCACACCTTGCCAGTTCAGAGCTATCCTAAGTCAAAAAAAAAAAAAGCAAAAAGGTAGCTTACTAACTCAAATCTTAAAGTATGGGACTATTCTGTTAGAAAAAGGTGATTTAACATTGACCACTGAAAATTCCCTTAACCCAGCAGATTTCCTAACAGGGGATTTAAATCTTAATTACCATACAAAGGTCCAACCAGACCTAGGAGGAACTCCCTCATGACAGGACCATAGATGGTTCCTCCCAGGTGATTGAGGAAAAAAAAAAAAACACACACACACAATGGGTATTCAGTAATTGAGGTAAACTCTTGTAGAAGCAGAGTTAGGAAAATTGCCTAATAACTAGTCTGCTCAAACGTGTGAGCTGTTTGCACTCAGCCAAGCCTTAAAGTACTTACAGAATCAAAAAACTCTATCTCGGTCCTGACTCAAAAGGTTACCCACACCCTCTCTGAAGTGAATTTGCATATGAACTGTTGTTTGTAGGAATGCATCTTGATGGGGCATCTGGGTTGTTATGAAATATTCAGGAACCCCGCCTAGCTCTAGAACTCACCTATGAGCACAAAGTCAACATTAGGCATGCTGGTAAAGGACCACTAGAATCCAGCAGCCCAGACCCCTTTCTTTGTGGTCAAGAAAGGTGGGAAAACAGGTGCAGAACTGCTACATCAGTAAACGTAACTAATCCAATAAGCAGAAGTCCATGGGGTTACACACTCTGGAAAGGAATAAGCATTAGGACCATAGAGGATGCTGCAGGACTAATGCTCATCGGAAAATGACTAAGGGTACTAGCATCCTTATGTTTTTTTTTTCAGATGGGAAACATTCCCTCCAAGGCAAAAATGCCCCTAAGATGTATTCTGGAGAATTCAGCCCAGTCAGGGTATATGTACCTTTTTCCCTGTCAGACTTGAGGCAAACTGAAATAGCCCTAGGTAAATTATCAGATAACCCTGATGGCTATATTGATGTTTTACAAGGGTTAGGACAATCCTTTGATCTGACATGGAGAGATAAAATGTTACTGTTAGATCAGACACTAACCCCAAATGAGAGAAGTGCCACCATAACTGCAGCCTGAGAGTTCGGTGATCTCTGGTATGTCAGTCAGGTCAATGATAGTATGACAACAGAGGAAAGAGAATGATTCCCCACAGGCCAGCAGGTAATTCCCAGTGTAGACCCTCATTGAGACGCAGAACCAGAACATGTAGATTGATGCTGCAGACATTTGCTAACTTGCATGCTAGAAAGACTAAGGAAAACTAGGAAGAAGCCTATTAATTATTCAATGATGTCCACTATAACACAGGGAAAGGAAGAAAATCCTACTGCCTTTCTGGAGAGACTAAGGGAGGCATTAAGGAAGCATATCTCTCTGTCACCTGACTCTATTAAAGGCCAACTAATCTTAAAGGATAAGTTTATCACTCAGTCAGTTGCAGACATTAGAAAAAAACTTCAAAAGTCTGCCTTAGGCCTGGAGCAAAACTTAGAAACCCTGTTGAACTTGGCAACCTCGGTTTTTTATAATAGAGATCAGGAGGAACAGGCAGAATGAGACAAATGAGATTAAAAAAAAAAAAGGCTTTAGTCATGGCCCTCAGGCAAACAGACTTTGGAGGCTCTGGAACACGGAAAGCCTGGGCAAATCAAATGCCTAATAGGGCTTCCTTCCAGTGTGGTCTACAAAGACACTTTAAAAAAGATTGTCCAAATAGAAATAAGCCACCCCCTCATCCATGCCCCTTATGTCAAGGGAATCACTGGAAGGCCCACTGCCCCAGGGGATGAAGGTCCTCTGAGTCAGAAGCCACTAACCAGATGATCCAGCAGCAGGACTGAGGGTGCCCGGGGCAAGCGCCAGCCCATGCCACCACCCTCACAGAGCCCCGGGTATTCTTAACCATTGAAGGCCAGGTGGTTAACCACCTCCTGGACACTGGCGTGTCAGTCTTACTCTCCTGTCCCAGACAACTGTCCTCCAGATCTGTCACTATCTGAGGGTTCCTAGGACAGCCAGTCACTAGATACTTCTTCCAGCCACTAAGTTGTGACTGGGGAACTTTACTCTTTTCACATGCTTTTCTAATTATGCCTGAAAGCCCCACTCGCTTTTTAGGGAGAGACATTCTAGCAAAAGCAGGGGCCATTATACACCTGAACATAGGAGAAGGAACACCTGTTTGTTGTCCCCTGCTTGAGGAATTAATCCTGAAGTCTGGAAAACAGAAGGACAATATAGGCAAGCAAAGAATGCCCGTCCTGTTCAAGTTAAACTAAAGGAGTCCACCTCCTTTCCCTACCAAAGGCAGTACCCCTTTAGACCCGAGGCCCAACAAGGACTCCAAAAGATTAAGGACCTAAAAGCCCAAGGCCTAGTAAAACCCTGCAATAGCCCCTGCAATCCTCCAATTTTAGGAGTACAGGAACCTAACGGACAGTGCATGTTAGTGCAAGATCTCAGGATTATCAGTGAGGCCGTTGTCCCTCTATACCCAGCTGTATCTAACCCTTATACTCTACTCTGCTTTCCCAAATACCAGAGGAAGCAGAGTGTTTTACAGTCCTGGACCTTAAGGATGCCTATTTCTGCATCCCTGTACATCCTGACTCTCAATTCTTGTTTTTCTTTGAAGATCCTTCGAACCCAACATCTCAATTCACCTGGATTGTTATACCCCAAGGGTTCAGGGATAACCCCCATCTATTTGGCCAGGCATTAGCCCAAGACTTGAGCCAGTTCTCATACCCGGACACTCCTGCCCTTCGGTATGTGAATAATTTACTTCTAGACGCCCATTCAGAAACCTTGTGCCATCAAGCCACCAAAGCGCTTTTAAACTTCCTCACCACTTGTGGCTACAAGGATTCCAAACCAAAGGCTCAGCTCTGCTTACAGCAGGTTAAATACTTAGGGCTAAAATTATTTAAAGGCACTAGGGCCCTCGGTGAGGAAAGTATCCAGCCTATACTGGCTTATCCTCATCCCAAAACCCTAAAAGCAACTAAGAGGGTTCTTTGGCATAACAGGCTTCTGCCAAATATGGTTTCCCAGGTACGGTGAAACAGTCAGGCCAGTATATACACTAAGTAAACTCAGAAAGCCAATACCCATTTAGTAAGATGGACACCTGAAGCAAAAGAGGCTTTCCAGGCCCTAAAGAAGGCCCTAACCCAAGCCCCAATGTTAAGTTTGCCAACAGGGCAAGGCTTCTCTTTATATGTCACAGAAAAAACAGGAATAGCTCTAGGAATCCTTACACAGGTTCAAGGGACCAGCTTGCAACCTGTGGCATACTTGAGTAAGAAAATTGATGTAGTGGCAAAGGGTTGGCCTCATTGTTTACAGGTAGTGACGGCAGTAGCAGTCTTAGTATCTGAAGCAGTTAAAATAATACAGGGAAGAGATCTTACTGTGTGGACATCTCATGATGTAAATGGTATACTCACTGCTAAAGGAAACTTGTGGCTGTCAGACAACCATTTGCTTAAAAATCAGGCTCTATTAATTGAAGGACTAGTGCTGAGACTGCGCACTTGTGCAACTCTTAACCCAGCCACATTTCTTCCAGACAATGAAGAAAAGAGAGAACGTAACTGTCAACGGTGATTGCTCAAACCTATGTCACTCAAAGGGACCTTCTAGAGATTCCCTTGACTGATCCCTACCTCAACTTGTATACTGATGAAAGTTCCTTTGTAGCAAAAGGGCTTTGAAAAGCAGGGTATGCAGTGGTCAGTGATAATGGAATACTTGAAAGTAATCCCCTCACTGCAGGAACTAGCGCTCAGTTGGCAGAACTAATAGCCCTCATTCGGGCACTAGAATTAAGAAAAGGAAAAAGGGTAAATATATATACAGAATCTAAGTATGCTTACCTAGCCCTCCAAGCCCACACAGCAATATGGAGAGAAATGGAATTCCTAACTTCTGAGGGAACACCTATCAAACATCAGGAAGCTATTAGATTATTATTGGCTATACAGAAACCTAAAGAGGTGGCAGTCTTACACTGCTGGGGTCATCAAAAAGGAAAGGAAAGGGAAATAGAAGGGAACCGCCAAGCGGACATTGAAGCCAAAAGAGATGCAAGGCAGGACCCTCCATTAGAAATGCTTATAGAAGGACCCCTAGTATGGGGTAACCCCCTCCAGGAAACCAAGCCCCAGTACTCAGCAGAAGAAACAATGGGGAACCTCACGACGACAGTTTCCTCCCCTCAGGATGGCTAGCCACTGAAGAAGGAAAAATACTTTTGCCTGCAGCTAACCAATGGAAATTACTTAAAACCCTTCACCAAACCTTTCCCTTAGGCATTAATAGCACCTATCAGATGGCCAAATTATTATTTACTGGACAAGGCCTTTTTAAAACCATCAAGCAGATAGTCAGGGCCTGTGAAGTGTGCCAAAGAAATAATCTCCTGCACTGCAGGCCATACATTTCAATTCCTGTATCTTTAACCTCCTTGTTAAGTTTGTCTCTTCCAGAATCCAAGCTGTAAAGCTACAAATCGTTCTTCAAATGGAGCCCCAGATGCAGTCCATGACTAAGATCTACCGTGGACCCCTGGACCGGCCTGCAAGCCCATGCTCTGATGTTGATGACATCAAAGCCACCCCTCCTGAGGAAATCTCAACTGCACAACCCCTACTATGCCCCAATTCAGCAGAAAGCAGTTAGAGCGGTCATCAGCCAACCTCCCCAACAGGACTTGGGTTTTCCTGTTGAGAAGGGGGACTGAGAGACAGGACTAGCTGGATTTCCTAGGCCGACTAAGAATCCCTAAGCCTAGCTGGGAAGGTGACCGCATCCACCTTTAAACACGGGGCTTGCAACTTGGCTCACACCCAACCAATCAGGTAGTAAAGAGAGCTCACTAAAATGCTAATTAGGCAAAAATGGGAGGTAAAGAAATAGCCAATCATCTATCCCCTGAGAGCACAGGGGGAGGGACAATGATCAGGATATAAACCCAGGCATTTGAGCTGGCACCAGCTACCCTCTTTGGGTCCCCTCCTTTTGTATGAGAGCTCTGTTTTCACTCTATTAAATCTTGCAACTGCAAAAAAAAAAAAAAAAAAAAAAAAGTCTGTAGGTATGTGTTTGCAGGCACAGTGGCCACATGTTCAAAGAAAAATAGATGACAAATTAAAAAAAATATTTACTCAGGACCCAGATATGTATAGATTTTATTTACATTCCTATATGATTTTTATTATGACCACAAAAATGACGCTATAATAAAGATAACAATTTAGTTTTATATTTCAAAGTGACTAAAAGTGTAGATTTGGATTGCTTGTAATTCAAGGAATAAATGTTGAAGGTGAAGAATCCCTCATTTACCCTGACGTGATTATTACATATTTTATGCTGGTATCAAAATATGCTATATATGGCAGAAATATATCTACACACTATGTACCCATAAAAGTTAAGAAAAATAAGTTTAAATTTGTCAAGGCAAAAAAAAAAAGAAGTTTAAATAAGATTAAAAGTATAAAAATGTAACCTACGAGAACAATATTCTTTAATTTATTTGCAGGTTAAAGCCACTGAAAAAAAGAGATTACTAGAGATGTTATTCCACTCTTACCAAATAGTAAACTGTTGCCATCTCTTACCTACACCCTTGAGTAAGGTGGGATAGGTTAAAGCGAGTGGCATAATAACACTTCATTGAATGTACAACAGACTTAACATGTCAAAAAATGTTTAAAAAATTAAGTTTACATATAATCTAAAAATTTATGAATGTACTACATTACATAAAAGCACAACTAATATAATACATCACTAATTTAATTTTAATTTTAACTAAAATTTTAAAATGTTTTTCTCACTATAATGCACAAAAATATATTCCTCAGAACACCTACCTCATACATCACTCAATATTTTAAGTTAACCACAAAAAGCCTCTCCATTTAGATTTTTATCATGCATTTTATATTTTAATATCCTTTCTCTTTTATGAAAAAGGTCATAAATAATGCCCATCTAATAAAAAAGAATCTTTCATATCTCTGATGCAGCAACAATTGATCGCATGCTTTCACATGTAAATAAAGTAGGAATGAAGAGCATGAAGTAACTTGAGAGTTGAATTACATCCTTATTTGCTTTTCAGAGTCTGTAATTTTTTTCAATATTGTGATGTTAATTTTTTTGATATTTGAAGTATACAAAAAGTATACTTCAAATGTAATTATAATTCTCCAAAAAATCACCTCCTCTTTTTTAAGTTATATGCAAATAACTTATCTAAATTTTAGATTGAAATTATTTTTTTTACTCAACACTCTGATTTAGTGTAGTCTGAAGTGCCAGTGCCTTATCATTTCTACTGTGAATTCTCTGACATTTACAGAGTTAATTTTGGATTGAATATTTTTCATATTTACTGCATCTACAAAAAAAACTTACTCTGTTTTCTAAGCTGTAGTTTATAAACTTTTTTCCAAATTTATTACATTTGCAGGTTTTTTTCTCTATTATACATTCCCTGATATTGAACAAAGTTTGAGCAACTTTAGGGTTTTTCTCTAGCACAAAATATGCACAATAAGATCTGTGATACAAATATAGTACTACAACCGTCTTTATATTTGTAATGTTTGTCATCAAAAGAAATACTCTTCACCATTCTAAGGTTTATATTTTCTAAAAGATATTCTCACAGTAATTGCATTTTTAATATTTGTTTTAAGTATAAACTCTGTGATGTTAAGATGTGAGCAGATATTAATGGCTTTTCCACATTCTTCATAGGTGTACATTTTTTTTCAAGTATAAATGCTTTCCTATGCGATAAGGTGTGAGTATTGGTTAAATATTTTGCCACATTCTTCATAGTTTTCTCTAGGATAAATTAGCTTATACTCAAGTGTGACAACCATTTAAAGGCTTTGTGACATGACTCACATCTAGGGCTTCTTGACACTATGATTTCTTTTATGTTTAGAAAAGTTTAAGGTGTTCTCAAGAGCACTGTCATGTCTTTTAGGTTTGTAGAGCTTCTCTCCAGTATGATTTGATAACTTATTAAAAACTTTGCCACATTCGACCGGGCTCAATGGCTCATGCTTGTAATCCCAGCACTTTGGGGCACTTTGGGAGGCCAAGGCGGGTGGATCACTTGAGGTCAGGAGTTCAAAACCAGCCTGGTCAAAATGGTGAAACCCCGTCTCTACTAAAAATACAAAAATTAGCTGGGCGTGGTGGCAGGCGCCTGCAATCCCAGCTGCTTGGGAGGTTGAGGCCAGAGAATCGCTTGAACCCAGGAGGCGGAGGTTGCAATGAACTGAGATTGCACCATTGCACTCCAATTTGGGCGACAGAGTGAGACTCCATTTCAAAAAAAAAAAAAAAACTTTGCCACATTCTTCACATTTGTAGAATTTCTCTACAACATAAATTATCTTATGTGTAATAAGGGTTGAAATGTTTTTAAAGCTTTTGTCACATTCTTCATATTTATAAAATTTATCTTCTGTATGAATTCTCTTATATTTAGTATGAGTTGAAGACCAGTTAAAGACTTTGTTACATTCTTCACATTTGTCGGGTTTCTCTTCAGTATGAATTATCTTAATGTGTGGTAAGATGTGAGAAATGGTTACAGTGTTTGCCACATTCTTCATATTTGTAGGGCTAGTTTCCATTATGAATTATCTTATGTTCAGTAAGGTTTGAGGACGTTAAAAGCTTTGCAACATTCTTCACGTTTGTAGGGTTTCTCTTCAGTATAAATTGTTTATTAAGAATTGAAGAATTAGGCTGGGCACGGTGGCTCACGCCTTTAATCCCAGCACTTTGGGAGGCCGAGGCGGGCAGATCACCAGAGGTCGGGAGTTCGAGACCAGCTTGACCAACATGGAGAAACCCCGTCTCTACTAAAAATACAAAATTAGGTGGGCGTGGTGGCACATGCCTATAGTCCCTGCTACTCGGGAGGCTGAGGCAGGAGAATCGCTTGAAAACCCAGGAGGCGGAGGTTGCAGTGAGCCGAGATTGTGCCACTGCACTCCAGAGCCTGGGCAACTAGGGCGAAACTCTGTTTCAAAAAAAAAAAAAAAAAAATTGAAGAATGCTTATGGCATTATTCACATTTGTAGGGTTTCTCTCCCATTGAATTATGTTGTTTAGCAAGAGTTGAGGACTGGCTAAAAGCATTGCCACTTTCTTCACATTTGTAGGGTTTTTCTCCAGTACGAATTTTCTTATGTCTAATAAAGTTTAACTGATTAAAAGCATTGCCACATTCTTCACATTTCTAGAGTTTGTCTTCAGTATCAACTATTTTCTGTTGAGTAAGGTCTGAAAACCAGTTAAAAGCTTTGCCACAGTTTTCATATTTGTAGGGTTTCTCTTCAGTATGAATTATCTTATGTTCAGTAAGGTTTGAGGACCAGTTAAAAGTTTTGCCACACTCTTCACATGAGGCGGGTTTCTCTCTAATTTATCTTATATTCAGTAAGATCTGAGAACCCGTTAGAAGCTTTGCCACATTCTTCACATTTGTAAAGTATCTCTCCAGTATGAATTATCTTATGTTCAGTAAGTTTTGAGAAGCAGTTAAAAGTTTTGCCAAATTCTTTAAATTTGTAGTGTTCCTCTCCAAGATAAATTATTTTATGTTGAGTAAAGTTTGAGGACTGGTTAAAAGCTTTGCCCATTCTTCATATTTGCAGTGTTTGTCTCTACTATGAATTATCTTATGTTCAGTAAGATTTGAGGACTGATTAAAAGCTTTGCCACATTCCTCACATTTGAAGGGTTTATCTTCAGTATGAATTATCTTACATTCAGTAAGATTTGAGGACCAGTTAAAAGCTTTGCCATATTATTCACATTTGTGGAGTTTATCTTCTTTAGGAATTCTCTCATTTTGAGTAACAGCTGAGCAATGGTTAAAAGCTTTGTCACCTTTATTATATTTGTAGGGTTTTCCTCCAGTATCAATTATTTTATGTGTATTTAAGGTGTGAGGACTGGTTAAAGGCTTTGCCACATTCTTTACATTTGTGGGGTTTCTCTCCAGCATGAATTGTTTTCTGCCTATTAAGGCTTGAGGACTGGTTAAAAGCTTTGCCACATTCTTCACATATGGAGGGTCTGTCTCTAGTATAAATTATCTTATGTGTATTAAGGTTTGTAAAATGGTTGAAAGCTTTGACACATTCTTCACATTTTTAGGGCTTCTCCCCAGTATGAATTATCTTATGTTTAGTAAGGGCTGAAAGATGGTTAAAAGCTTTGCCACATTCTTCACATTTGTAGGTTTTCCCTCCAGTATGAATTGTTTTATGTTGAGTAAGGTGTGAGGACTGGTTAAAGGCTTTGCCACATTCTTCACATTTGTAGGGTTTCTCTCCAGAATGAATTATCTTATGTTTAGTAAGGTTTGAGGACTAAATGCTTTACCACACTCTTCACATTTGTAGGGTTTCTTTCCAGTATGAATTATCCTATGTTTAGTAAGGCGTGAGAAATGGCTAAAAGCTTTGCCACGTTCTTCACATTTGTAGGGTTTCTCTCCAGTATGAATTGATTTATGTTTAGTAAGGTGTGAGGATTGCTTAAAAGCTTTGCCACATTCTTCACATTTGTACGGTTTCTCCCCAGTATGAATTATCTTATGTTTCATAAGGGTCGAGAAATTGTTAAAACCTTTGCCACATTCTTCACATTTGTACGGTTTCTCCCCAGTATGAATTATCTTATGTTTCATAAGGGTTGAGGAATTGTTAAAAGCTTTGCCACATTCTTCACATTTGTAGGGTTTCTTTCCAGTATAATTATCTCATGTTTTCTAAGGGCTGAGAAATGCTTAAAAGCTTTGCCACATTCTTCACATTTGTAGGGTTTCTCTACAGTATGAATTACCTTATGTTCCATAAGTTTTGAGACCACTTAAAAGCTTTACCACATTCTTCACATTTGTATGGTTTCTCCCCAGTATGAATTATCTTATGTTTCCTAAGGGCTGAGAAATTGCTAAAAGCTTTGCCACATTCTTCACATTTGTACGATTTCTCCCTAGTATGAATTAGCTTATGTTTCTTAAGGGTTGAGGAATTGTTAAAAGCTTTTCCACATTCTCCACATTTGTAGGGCTTCTCCCCAGTATGAACTGCTTTATGTCTAGTAAGGTGTGAGGACTGCTTAAAAGCTTTGCCACATTCTTCACATTTGTATGGTTTCTTCCCAGTATAAATTATCTTATGTTTCCTAAGGGTTGAGGAATTGTTAAAAGCTTTGCCACATTCTTCACATTTGTAGGGTTTCTTTCCAGTATGAATTATCTCATGTTTTCTAAGGGCTGAGAAATGTTTAAAAGCTTTGCCACATTCTTCACATTTGCAGGGTTTCTCTCCATATGAATTACCTTATGTAAAGTAAGTTTTGAGGACCACTGAAAAGCTTTACCACATTCTTCACATTTGTAGGATTTCTCTCCAGTATGAATTATCTCATGTTTTCTAAGGGTTGAGGAATTGTTAAAAGCTTTGCCACATTCTTCACATTTATAGGGTTTCTTTCCAGTATGAATTATCTTATGTTTTCTAAGGGCTGAGAAATGCTTAAAAGCTTTGCCACATTCTTCACATTTGCAGGGTTTCTCTGCAGTATGAATTACCTTATGTACAGTAAGTTTTGAGGACCACTTAAAAGCTTTACCACATTCTTCACATTTGTAGGGTTTCTC
This sequence comes from Homo sapiens, assembly GCF_000001405.40. Lineage (NCBI taxonomy): Eukaryota > Metazoa > Chordata > Mammalia > Primates > Hominidae > Homo > Homo sapiens. The sequence goes on from NC_000019.10 coordinate 22,757,722, forward strand.
TCCAGTATGAATTATCTCATGTTTTCTAAGAGTTGAGGACTGGCTAAAAGCTTTGCCACATTCTTCACATTTGTAGGGTTTCTTTCCAGTATGAATTATCTTATGTTTCCTAAGGGCTGAGAAATGGTTAAAAGCCTTGCCACATTCTTCACATTTGTAGGGTTTCTCTTCAGTATGAATTACTTTATGTCTAGTAAGGTGTGAGGACCACTTAAAAGCTTTACCACATTCTTCACATTTGTAGGGTTTCTCTCCAGTATGAATTATCTCATGTTTTCTAAGGGTTGAGGACTGGCTAAAAGCTTTGCCACATTCTTCACATTTGTAGGGTTTCTTTCCAGTATGAATTATCTGATGTTTTCTAAGGGCTGAGAAGTGGTTAAAAGCTTTGCCACATTCTTCACATTTGTAGGGTTTCTCCCCAGTATGAATTGCTTTATGTCTAGTAAGATGTGAAGATTGCTTAAAAGCTTTGCCACATTCTTCACATTTGTATGGTTTCTTCCCAGTATGAATTATCTTATGTTTCATAAGGGTTGAGGAATTGTTAAAAGCTTTGCCACATTCTTCACATTTGTAGGGTTTCTTTCCAGTATGAATTATCTTATGTTTTCTAAGGGCTGAGAAATGCTTAAAAGCTTTGCCACATTCTTCACATTTGCAAGGTTTCTCTTCCATATGAATTACCTTATGTACAGTAAGTTTTGAGGACCACTTAAAAGCTTTACCACATTCTTCACATTTGTAGGGTTTCTCTCCAGTATGAATTATCTCATGTTTTCTAAGGGCTGAAAAATTGCTAAAAGCTTTGCTGCATTCTTCACATTTGTAGGGTTGCTTTCCAGTATGAATTATCTTATGTTTTCTAAGGGCTGAGAAACGCTTAAAAGCTTTGCCACATTCTTCACATTTGCAGGGTTTCTCTGCAGTATGAATTACCTTATGTACAGTAAGTTTTGAGGACCACTTAAAAGCTTTACCACATTCTTCACATTTGTAGGGTTTCTGTCCAGTATGAATTATCTCATGTTTTCTAAGGGCTGACAAATTGCTAAAAGCTTTGCCGCATTCTTCATATTTGTAGGGTTTCTCTTCAGTATGAATTATCTCATGTTTTCTAAGGGTTGAGGACTGGCTAAAAGCTTTGCCACATTCTTCACATTTGTAGGGTTTCTTTCCAGTATGAATTATCTGATGTTTTCTAAGGGCTGAGAAATGGTTAAAAGCTTTGCCACATTCTTCGCATTTGTAGGGTTTCTCTCCAGTATGAATTGCTTTATGTCTAGTAAGGTGTGAGGATTGCTTAAAAGCTTTGCCACATTCTTCACATTTATATGGTTTCTTCCCAGTATGAATTATCTTATGTTTCATAAGGGTTGAGGAATTGTTAAAAACTTTGCCACATTCTTCACATTTGCAGGGTTTCTTTCCAGTATGAATTATCTTACATTTAGTGAACATTGAAGAGATGTTAAAAGCTTTGCCACATTTCTTATATTTGTAGGGTTTGTCTTCAGTATGAATTATCTTATGTTTAATAAGGGTTGAGAACCATTTAAAGGCTTTGCCACGTTCTTCACATTTGTAGATATTCTCTCTAGTATGAATTCTCTTATGTTGAATTAAGTGTGAAAGCATGAAAAATGATTTGCTACATTTCATACATTTGAAAGTTTTCTTTTTAGTGTGTCTAATCTTATATCTATTTGAATTTGAATATTTATGAAAGACTTTCACATATTTGTTACACTGAAATATTTTTCCCTGGGTAGTTGTCCAACATTGGTTAAGTTTATTATAAGCTTCTTCGTGCATCTTACCCTCATTGACACTTTCACAATCTTTTCTTAATCGTAAATTCTTATGTCCACATCTTGCATATGTTCTCAATATTATTTCTTGGAAAGAATCTTTTATGCTCTGATCTGGCCAAAAGTCTTGTGTAAAATGAGAACTAATAACTGGAAGAAATGAAAATAATAAATTATGTCACTTGCTAGACTCAGATGAATATACTTTACAAATCTAACCTATAAAATTATACAAACCGCTTAAGCAAGATGGCACAGCAAAATAAGACAGGCCCTAATTTCTTCATAGACATATAAATGTAATAAAAACATACTGACCAAAATATATTTGTTGAAAATTTATAAATAAGTTAAGTGTGTAGAGTGCCCCAAGTAAGTACAATGCAAACAGCCACATAAAAGGAAAGAGAAGTCTGTTACAGTTTCCCAACTCAGCTCTTCCTGCTCCCCAAAATGACATGGTGTCGTTAGAAGTAAATTGCTGGCTGGGAATGGCAGCTCACACCTGCAATCCCAGCACTTTTGGAGGCTGAGGCAAGTGGATTACCTGAGATCAAGGGTTCAAGACCAGCCTGGCCAAAATGGAAAAACTCCATCTCTACTAAAAATTCAAAAATTAGCCAGGCATGGTGGCACACGTCTGTAGTCTCAGCTACTTGGGAAGCTGAGGCAATCACTTGAACTTGGGATGTAGAAATTACAGTGAGATGAGATTATGCTATTGTACTCCAGCCAGCGTGACACAGTGAGACTCTGTCTCAAAACAAAAAAAGTAAATTGCCATCTCCTGATTTCATTTCTAAAGACATATAAAACAGTGGCACATACATATTTATTTCTGGCTTCTAGGGGCCTTTCCAGACTGGTTTATGTTTCTCATGACACAAAGTACTGAAAGAAATGGTGGCATACTTTAAAATGACAGCTTGAGGCCGGGCACGGTGGCTCAGGCCTGTAATCCCAGCACCTTGAGAGGCCTAGGTGGGCAGATCACGAGGTCAGGAGATCGAGACCATTCTGGCTAACACGGTGAAACCGCGTCTCCACTAAAAATACAAAAAATTCGCCAGGTGTGGTGGCGGGCATCTGTAGTCCCAGCTACTCAGGAGGCTGAAGCAGGAAAATGGCATGAACCCGGGAGGCAGAGCTTGCAGTGAGCCGAGATCATGCCACTGCACTCCAGCCTGGGCGACAGAGAGAGACTCTGTCTCAAAAAAAAATAAATGAATAAAATAAAATGGCAGCTTGAATCTGCTGAAACCAAAGTTAAATATTACAGCAGCAGAGAATGTAGTACCACACACAAAAAATAGATTACTATTGAGAAGAAACATGAGTAACATTCTTTATCTAAAAAAAAAAAAAAAAAAAAAATTTCAAACAAGATGCATTCTAAGAACATGTTTGACATACTCCCAGAATCTCTAGCCAAGACAATTGGTTTCAGATTTCCAGGACAAGGCTACATTATGAAGACTGTAACAGGTAGCTTTTTTGATGTACAAATTTTAATTAATTATTATAATGTATATGGAATACTAGGGCAACATGGCCCAATCAAAAAAAGTATAAAATTTTTGGAAAACAACCATAAAACAATGAAGATTAATAAATTAATTTTTAAAATTTCAAATAAATTAAATAATACTGAATAAGAGACATAGGAACACAGACCACTATAAAAAATTTTAAAAATGAGGATACCTCTTCCCCTAATGGCGTGAGGTAATTCATGAAAATGGCTTGCTATTCACCTAAGCCAGAGAATCCCGCAATATCATGCTAAACAAGAGGTTCATAAGAGCTATTCTTATATAAGACAAAATAAACTTTAAAGCAACAGCAGTTTAAAAAAACAAAGAGGGACATTATACAATGGTAAAAGGTCTTGTACAACAGGAACATATCACAATCCTCAACATATATGCACCTAACACTGAAGCTCCCAAATTTATAAGACAATTACTAGTAGACCTAATAAATGAGATAGACACCAACACAATAATAATGAGGACTTCAATACTCCACTGACAGCACTAGACAGGTCATCAAGACAGAAAGTCAACAAATAAAAAATGGATTTAAACTATACCTTGGAGCAAATGCACTTAACAGATATATACAGAACATTCCATCCAATAACTGCAGAATATACATTCTACTCAACAGTGCACGAAACCTTCTCCAAATAGACCGTATGATAAGCCACAAAATGAGCCTCAATAAATTTAAGAAAATGAAATTATATCAAACACTCTCTCAGACCACAGTGGAATAAAAGTGGAATTCAACTACAAAAGGAAACTTCAAAACCATGCAAATACATGTAAATTAAAAAACCTGCTCCTGAATAATCATTGGGTCAAACATGAAATCAAAATGGAAATTTAAAAATTCTTCAAACTCAACAACAAAAGTGATACAACCTATCAAAACCTCTAGGATACAGCAAAGGAGATGCTAAAAGGAAAGTTCATAGTCCTAAACACCTACATCAAAAAGTCTGAAAGAACACAAAATGACACTCTTGTTCACACCTCAAGAAACTAGAGAAACAAGGACAAACCAAACCCAAACCCAGAAGAAGAAAAAAAAATAGTCACAGTCAGAGCAGAATGAAATGAAATTGAAACAAACAAACAAAAACCAAAAGATAAATAAAACAAAAACCTGGCTCTTTAAAACGCATAAATACAATTGATAGACCATTAGCAAGATTAACCAAGAAAAAAAGAAAATCCAAATAACCTCAATAAGAAATGAAATGGGAGATATTACAACTGACAACACAGAAATACAAAAGATCATTCAAGGCTACTATGAACACCTTTAAGTGCACTAACTAGAAAACCTAAAAGAAATGAATAAATTTCTGCAAAAATGCAACCCACCCAGCTTAAATCAGGAAGAATTAGATACCCTGAACAGACCAATAATGAGCAGCGAGATTGAAATGGTAATTTAAAAATTACCAAGAAAAAAATGTCTAGGACCAGACAGTATGCAGCAGAATTCTACCAGACATTCAAAGAAGAATTGATACCAATTCTATTGACACTATTCCATAAGATAGAGAAAGAGGGAGCCCTTCCTAATTCATTCTATGAAGCCAGCATCACCCTAATACCAAAACCAGAAAAGGCATTAATCAAAAAAGAAAACCACAGACTGACGTCCCTGATGAAAATAGATGCTAAAATCCTTAACAAAATACTAGCTAACTGAATCCAACAACATATCAAAAACAGAATCCATGATCAAGTGGGTTTCATACCAGTGATGCAGGGATGGTTTAACAAATGCAAGTCAATAAATGTGATACACCACATAAAAAGAAATAAAAACAAAAGTCACAGGATCATCTCAATAGATGCAGAAAAAGCATTCAACAAAATCCAGCAACGCTTTATGATTAAAACTCTTAGCAACACTGGCATACAAGGGACATACATCAAGATAATAAAAGCCATCTATGACAAACCCAGAGCCAACATAATACTGAATGAGGAGAAGTTGAAAGCATTCCCTCTGAGGACTGGAACAAGACAAGGATGCCCACTTTCACCCCACTTCTTCAACATAGTACTGGAAGTCTTATCCAGAGCAAGCAGAAAAGAGAAAAAAATAAAGGGCATCAAAATTGGTAAAGAGGAAGTAAAGCTGTCACTGTTTGCGGATGATATGATTGTTTACTTTGAAAACCCTAGACTTTTCAAGAAAGCTCCTAGAAGTGATAAAATAATTCAGCAAAGTTTTCAGATACAAAATTAATGCATACAAATCAGTAGCTCTTCTATACACCAACAGCGACGAAGCAGAGAGTCAAATCAAAACTCAAACTCTTTTACAATAGCTGTGAGAAAAAAAAAAAATTAGGAATATACCTAACCAAGGAGGTAAAAGACCTCTACAAGGAAAACTACAAAACACTGCTGAAAGAAATCACAGATGACACAAACAAATGGAAACAGTCCACGTTCATGGATAGGTAGAATCAATATTGTGAAAATGACCACACTGCCAAAAGCAATCTACAAATTAAATGCAATTTCCATCAAAATACCACCGTCATTCTTCACAGAATTAGAAAAAATTATTCTAAAATCCATATGGAACAAAAAAAGAGCCTGCATAGCCAAAGCAAGACTAAGCAAAAAGAACAAATCTGAAGGCATCACACTACCTGACTTCAAACTATACTATAAAGCCATAGTCACAAAAACAGCATGGTACTGGTATAAAAATAGGCACATAAACCAATGGAACAGAATAGAGAACCCAGAAATAAACCCAAATATTACAGCCAGCTGAACTTCGACAAAGCAAACAAAAACATAAAGTAGGGAAAGGATACTCTTTTTTTTTTCTTTCCTTTTTTTTTTTTTTTTTTTTTTGAGATGGAGTCTTGTTCTGTCACCCAGGCTGGAGTGCAGTGGTGTGATCTTGGCTCACCACAACTTCTGCCTCCCGGGTTCAAGCAATTCTCCTGCCTCAGCCTCCCAAGTAGCTGGGATTACAGGTGCCTGCCACTGCACCTGGCTAATTTTTGTATTTTTAGTAGAGATGGGGTTTCATCACATTGGCCAGGCTGGTCTTGAACTCCTGACCTCATGATCCACCCGTCTCAGCCTCCCAAAGTGCTGGGATTACAGGCATGAGCCACCGCGCCTGGCCAGGGACTCTTTTCAACAAATGATGCTGGGATAATTGGCTAGCCACATGTAGGAGAATAAAACTGGATCCTCATATTTTACTTTATACAAAAATCAACACAAGATGGATTAAGGACTTAAATCTAAGACCTGAAAGTATAAAAATTCTAGAACATTGGAAAAACCCTTTTAGACATTGGCTTAGACAAGGATTTCATAATCAAGAACCCAAAAGCAAATGCAATTAAAACAAACATAAATTAGGGAGGGTTTTCTCTCTATCTTGTGGAATAGTGTCAAAACAGGGACTTAATTAAACTAAAGAGCTTTTGCATGGCAAAAGGAACACCAGAGTGAACAGACAACCCACAGAGTAGGAGAAAATCTTCACAATCTATACACCTGACAAAGAAGTAATATCTTGAATCTACAATGCACTCAAACAAATCAGCAAGAAAAAAAAAAATCCCATCAAAACTGAGCTAAGGACACAAATAGACAATTTTCAACAGAAGATATACAAATGGCCAAGAAACATATGAAAAAATGCTCAATATTGCTAATGGCCAGGGAAATGCAAATCAAAACCACCAAAGGATACCACCTTACTCATGCAAGAATGGCCATAATAAAAAATAAATAAATAAAAAAACAGATGTTGGTGTGGATGTGGTGATCAGGGAACACTTCTACACTGCTGGTGGGAATGTAAACTAGTACAACCACTATGGAAAACAGTGTGGAGATTCCTAAAGAACTAAAAGTTGTACTACCATTTGATCCAGCAATCCCACTACTGGGTATCTACTCAGAGGAAAAGAAGTCATTATATGAAAAAGATACTTACACACACATTTATAGCAGCGTAATTCACAACAGCAAAATCATGGAACCAACCCAAATGCCCATTAACCAATGAGTGGATAAAGAAACTGTGAGATATATATATAATGGAACACTACTCAGCCATAAAATGGAATAAATTAATGGCATTCACAGCAACATGGATAAGATTAGAGGCTATCCTTCTAAGTGAAGTAAATCAGAAATGGAAAACCAAACATCGTATGTTCTCACTGATATGTGGGAGTTAAGCTATGAGGATGCAAAGGCATAAGAATGACACAGTGGACTTTGGGGACTTGGGGGGAAGAGTGGGAGGAAAACGAGGGATAAAAGACCACAAATAGAGTGCAGTGTATACAGCTCGGGTGATGAGTGCACAAAAATCCCACAAATCACCACTAAAGAACTTACTCATGTAACCAAACACCACTTGTACCTCAATAACTTATGAAAAAATAAAATAAATAAAAAAAAATAAAGTAGTACACAGGTTACTTGAAGACGAAAAAAAAGAGCTTTCCAAATTTTGATGTAATAAAAAAAATTCTTAATCCATAATACTTGATCAGAAATTATTTTACTTTAAAAAACAATAAAAAATAAAGACTTTCCAAAATGAAAGGTAAGGGTGTTCATCACCACTAGCACAGTTAAAAAAAAAAGCTACATGGTGGCCAGGCACAGTGGCTCATGCCTGTAATCCTACACCTTTAGGAGGCCAAGGTAGTCAGAAAACTTGAGACCAAGAGTTCAAGATCAGCCCCAAAACAGAGTGAGACTGTGCATATATAACAAGAGAAATGCTAAAATGAGTCTTTTATGTTGAAAAATAAAATGATGCTAGACAGCATCAAAAAACCGTATATGAATATATAGCTTTCTATTAAATGTAAACATACAGACACATATAAAATGTCTTACTATAATAATAGGCATAATACCCTTAAAATTCTTCTATAGAATATAAAAACAAAATATAAATCTGCATAAATCTGAATACACAATATAAAATAATTTGTAATATTAATAACAAACTTGAAAATATAGAAATATAGTTTTTGTATTCAATTAAGTTGTTATGATATTAAAACACATTGATTTAATCTTAAGATGTTTTACATAATGTCCATTTTTCAACATAACTACAAAAATTTTATAGAAACTACGCAAAACAAAATAAAAAAAATAAGCAAAGTGTGCCACTACAAAATTAAACAAAAAATAGTTAAACAAGAAATGAGACAAAATATGTAAAAAAAAAAAAAACATAAAACATAACAATGAAACTGGTATGTAACTTTATTTCTTTTCTTTTCTTTTTTTTTTTGAGATGGAGTCTCGCTCTATTGCCCAGGGTGGAGTGCGGTGGCACGATCTCAGCTCACCACAACCTACGCCTCTGGGTTCAAGTGATTCTCCTGCCTCAGCCTCCCAAGCAGCTAGGACTACAGGCACGTGCCACCATGCCTGGATAATTTTTGTATTTTCAGTAGAGACGGGGTTTCATTGTGTTGGCCAGGCTAGTCTCAAACTCCTGACCTCGTGATCCACCCACTTCGGTCTCCCAAAGTGCTGGGATTACAGGCATGAGCCACCGTGCCCGGCATAACTTTATTTCTTATTTCTTTTTTTTTTTTTGAGTCGGAGTTTCACTGTTGTTGTCCAGGCTGGAGTGCAATGGCGCCATCTCGGCTTACCACAACCTCCGCCTCCCGGGTTCAAGCAATTCTCCTGCATCAGCCTCCCGAATAGCTGGGATTACAGGCATGCGCCACCACGCCCGGCTAATTTTATATTTTTAGCAGACATAGGGTTTCTCCATGTTGGTCAGGCTGGTCTCAAACTCCCAACCTCAGGTGATCCGCCCACCTCGGCCTCCCAAAGTGCTGGAATTACAGGCGTGAGACACCATGCCTGGCGTAACTTTCTTTAAGAAATCATTTTAAATATAAATTTATCAAACTACTTAATAAAAAGAAATGTAATTCCAGGACTTTCGGAGGCCAAGGTGGGCTGATAACTTGATTCCAGGAGTTTGAGAACAGCCTGAGCAACAAAGCAAAACCCTGTCTCTACCAAAAAAAAAAAAAAAAAAAACCAAAAAACTAGCTGGGTTTAATGGCATGGGCCTGTAACCCAGCTACTTAAGAGGTTGAAACTAGAAGATTATCTGAGTTTGAGAGGCTGAGGCTGCAGTTCACTGCCATGATTACACCATTGCAAAACAGCCTGGTTGACGAAGTGAGACCCTATTTCATTAATTAATTAATTAAAAGGAAAAGAAAGAAGATGCCTGAGTGGCTTAAGAAAAGAAGCATACAATATGTTCTCTACAAGAGACCAATTTTAGCACTGAGTCAAATAGTCTGTAAGTAACAGAATTTAAAAAAATCTATATTTCATGCAAATAGTAGCCACAATTGGGTGAGGTAGTCGTAATTATATTGGGCACAATATGCTTTAAGTCAAGTACTAGTACAAGAAAAAGATTGATATTATATAATAGTAAAATGGGTCAATTTACCAGGAATCTATAACTATTATATTTATATGTACAGGTAGGTATAACAACAGGCCTCCAAAATATATAAATATTGACATAGGTGAAGCAAGAAGTACATAGCAACATAACAGTTGCAGACACTGAGACCCCATTTTCAATAATAATAGAAAATTCATATAGAAGATTAAGAAAATAGAAAATGTAGATAACATTATGGACTGTAATATTTTACATACAGAGAAATATCTGAGAGTAAATAATTTATAACAGAAAAGTTTATTTGGCTCACAGTTCAACAGACTGTACAAGAAGTATATGCCGGTATCTGTTTCTGGTGTGTTCTCAGGAAGCTTATGATCATAGTGGAAAGCGAAGAGAAACTGGACATATCACATGGTAAGAGATAGAGCAAGTGTGAGGTAAAAGAGCCAGGTTTTTTAAAAATAGTTTCTCAAAACTATACAGATATTTGTGTGTCCCCAATATGGAAAAGCAGTCAGATTGTGCAGTCCCTTATATGCCATGAACACAACTTTGGCTCTCACTGTAAACTTGAAGGGAAATTACCAAAACGAAAATAGAATCCTTAGAGAATTTTAAAGCATAAGACAGAAGATGCCCTACATGAGAGCAAAATTTTAAAAAATCTCAGTCTTCCCAGAAACTACTTCCTTTGGAGCACAGCTTCTCAGGTCACATTTTGAGAACTGGCTTTCTCCTGGACCTCTGGACCTCTTATTTGTGTTGTTTCTTGTATTCACTCTCACATACCTGGGGGTTTAGTTACCATCTCATGTCTCTTCATATTCCAAGGCTCTTTCCCTTGCTTCAGACAAGTTATCAAGTCTAGCTTAGAGACAGCGATACCTGTTTTATTAAAAATAAATAACATAAATATTGCTCATATTCCCCAAATAATGTGCTCATTAAAGAGAATGTAATAGAATATTCTAGTAAATTGATCCCTCAATACTAATTTATAACATAAATTTCTAAATATTTAGAAAATATTTTCAATTTGTACAGTCCCTTAATTTTACTACCTGGTACTACTGAATCAAATATTGGTGGTGGCAATGAGATTTCAAGGTGTGGCAACTACATTTTATGCCACTAAATTTCTTCAATTTTCACTAATCTAGAGTGAAAAATGCAGATCTGCTTAGAAATGTGGAAAGTTCAGGTAAAAATTAAACATCTTTAAAAAATTCCTTTCTGGCCGGGCATGGTGGCTCACACCTATAATCCCAGCACTTTGAGAGGCCGAGGCAGGTGGATCACCTGAGGTCAGGAGTTCAAGACCAGCCTCAACATGGAGAAACCCCGTCTCTGCTAAAAATACAAAATTAGCCGGGTGTGGTGGTGCATGCCTGTAATCCCAGCTACTCAGGAGGCTGAGGCAGAAGAATTGCTTGAACCTGGGAGGCGGAGGTTGTGGTAAGCCGAGATCGCACCATTGCACTCCAGCCTGGGCAACAAGAGCGAAACTCTGTTTCAAAAAAAAAAAAAAAAATTCTTTTCTACACTTTCAAATCCCTGTTTTCAGAAAACGGGTATCTGAAACTTATTTATGCTAAGCATAAATCACCAAAACACATCCTACAGAAAAGAGAAATGAAACCTATAGAATATAATAGGAATTGCTTAATTAAAATCATCCTCACCCAGGAAGACCAGGTTTCTGTAGTTCTCTAACATAACATTCCTATATAAATTCTGCTGAGCCATGTCCAGGCATTGCCACTCCTCCAGAGCGAATTCTATGGTCACATCCCAAAATGTCAACGATCCCTGAAAAACACAACAAAGATACATATAGATTTCCCAATTGGCCATGGACAGAATTTTTAATTTGACTCAAGGTGAAATGAGAGAGTAAAGAGAACAGGTTCTAACTTACAGGGATGACTGAACGTATTCAGTAAAATAATTTTCAACACAGAAATCGTCTCGGCTGGGCGCAGTGGCTCATGCCTGTAATCCCAGCACTTTGGGAGGCCAAGGCAGGAAGATCACGAAGTCAGGAGATTGAGACCATCCTGGCTAACACGGTGAAACCCCGTCTCTACTAAAAATACAAAAAATTAGCCGGCATGGTGGTGGGTGCCTGTAGCCCCAGCTACTTGGGAGGCTGAGGCAGGAGAATGGCATGAACCCGGGAGGCAGAGCTTGCAGTGAGCTGAGATTGCTGCACTCCAGCCTGGGCGACAGAGCTAGACTCTGTCTCAAAAAAAAAAAAATAAAGAAAAGAAAAAAAGAAATATTCTCTAATGTATTCTCAAACTCTGAGAAAAAAAGAATGGCAGAAGATCCACAACACCAGCACAGACAAGATACTTTTCTGGATAATAAAGTATAAAATTAAGGGCATGATAACATGTACATTTTTGAGTGCTATTTTTAAATCATACAGAATAAGTCTTGTACATTTTTCAGACCAAAAAGACATGTTGAGTTAGAAGACACCTCTCAAATTTTAATGTGTACAATTAACTGGAGATCTTGTTAAGCATATTTATTTTATAAGATCTGGAATAAAGTCTGAGTTTCTGAATTTGACAAGCTCACCAGTAATGCCTGTTTTTGGCCCCAAAAGAATCTTTTGTTAAATATTCAGCAAGTGGAGGAGCCTGTATTTTTCCCAGTTTTTCTGCCCTATAAACAAAGACGAGAGCCCTCATTTTCCAAAGATAGATATATGCAGAGAAAATCTAAGAAAGGCAGGTGCCAGATTAAATGTGATCATTGGTGCACATCAGCTACATAAAGATACTTAATAACGAGGAGAAAAATAGTTAACTCTATACTGAAAAAACCTGTCAGACAGCTTTTTTTTTTTTTAGACAGAGTTTCTCTCTTGTCACCAAGGCTGGAGTGCAGTGGCGCGATCTCGACTCACTGCAACCTTCGCCTCCTGGGTTCAAGCGATTCTCCTGCCTCAGCCTCCCGGGTAGCTGGGACTACAGGCGCGTGCCACCACGCGCAGCTAATGTTTGTATTTTTAGTAGAGACAGGGTTTCACCATCTTGGCCAGGCTGGCTTCAAACTCCTGACCTTGTGATCCACCCACCTCGGCCTCCCAAAGTGCTGGGATTACAGGCATAAGCCACCGCGCACAGCTCAGACAGCACTTTAATCAAGTCAATCATTAACATCAACTGCAGTAGGACAAATTTTTATGATGTGCTGATGCACACAGAAGGGCACACAGAAGGACACAGCATTACTGCTGTGATATTGCTCCCCCAAAGTAAATTATAATCTGAATTTAACCATAAAGAAACATCAGTTTATGCAAATGTCAAGACACAGATAACTCCCATTTTTTGTAACTTTTAATAGCCATTTTAAGCAGACTTTCTTTAGCACACTAGAGAGCAGGTATCTCCTAACCATTTTTTTCAGAACTTTTTTTTTTTTTTTGAGATGGAGTCTCACTCTGTTGCCCAGGCGGGAGTGCAATGGTGCGATCTCAGCTCACTGCAACCTCCACCTCCCGGGTTCAAGCGATTCTCCTGCCTCAGCCTCCCGAGTAGCTGAGATTACAGGTGCCCCACACCACGCCTAGGTATTTTTTGTATTTTTAGTATAGACGGGGTTTCACCGTGCTGGCCAGGCTGGTCTCGAACTCCTAATCTCAGGTGATCCACCCGCCTTAAAGTGCTGGGGTTACAGGTGTGAGCCACTGCAACTTGCCTTTAAAAAGCATTTTCTTTTTTTTTTTTTTTTTTTTTTTTTTTGAGGCAGAGTCTTGCTCTGTCGCCCAGGCTGGAGTGTAGCAGCCTGATCTCCGCTCACTGCAAGCTCGGCCTCACGGATTCACGCCATTCTCCTACCTCAGCCTCCCGAGTAGCTGGGACTACAGGTGCCCGCCACCACGCCCGGCTAATTTTTTGTATTTTTAGTAGAGACAGGGTTTCACCGTGTTAGCCAGGATGGTCTCGATCTCCTGACCTCGTGATCCGCCTGCCTTGGCCTCCCAAAGTGCTGGGATTACAGGCGTGAGCCACCGGGCCCAGCTAAAAAGCATTTTCTTAAAGCTGTTCTGCATAGAGCTAATGGAGAACACAGATGGAGCCTCAACATTACATGTTCTACTTTTTCCGTAAGGACCCCAGCTTTTCCCCAATAGGAATCTTGAGTATCCACACCTTCCCCTATTCAACAACCACAGGTGAAACTTTTTTTTTTTTTTTTTTTTTGAGACGGAGTCTTGCTCTGTCACCCAGGCTGGAGTGCAATGGCACCATCTCGGCTCACTGCAACCTCTGCCTCCCGGGTTCAAGCGATTCTCCTGCCTCAGCCTCCTGAGTAGCTGGGATTACAGGCGTGTGCCACCACGCCCGGCTAATTTTTGTATTTTTAGTAGAGACAGGGTTTCACCATATTGGCCAGGCTGGTCTCGAACTCCTGACCTTGTGATCCGCCCGCCTCGGCCTCCCAAAGTGCTGGGATCACAGGCGTGAGCCACCGCGCCCAGCCTGCTCTGGCACATTCTAAATAATATGTCTACCTAGGAAAAATCTGAGGAAACATAGATATAAGTTGACCGTTTATTTGGGCCAAGCTTGAGGACTGTAACCTGGGAGCAAATATTCAAGTTGCCTGAAATATATACTTGATTAGCAGTGTGATTACAAGTTGATTTGTAAAGGCTAAAAAAGATGGACAGAGAGTGAGTTGATACAAAGTTGTCTGTCAGAAATTTTTATTTATTTACAGGAATAACATTGATTATTGATTGGATATACACCATTAGTTTTTAGGTACAAGTTATAGTGTCCAGTGTGGCATTATTAATATATAGCTACTTGTGGCAATAGTGAACAGCTTCAAAAGATGAATACATAGTGCAAAAAACAAAAAGAAGGTCGGGTACGGTGGCTTGCGCCTATAATCCCAGCACTTTGGGAGGCGGGCAGATCACCTGAGGTTGGGAACTCAAGATCAGCCTGACAAACATGGAGAAACCCTATCTCTACTAAAATACAAAATTAGCCTGGCATGGTGGGGCATGCCTGTAATCCCAGCTATTCGGGAGGCTGAGGCAGGAGAATCACCTGAACCCGGGAGGCAGGGGTTGCGGTGAGCCGAGATGGTGCCATTGCACTCCAGCCTGGGCAACAAGAACGAAATTCTGTCTCAAAAAAAAAAAAAAAGACAGAGAGAAAGAGAATTCTACTCTCATTTTAGTGTCTCTATAAGTTTGACAACTAAAAGGACTTGCATCTCTCAGAAAGAAAGTTTTTCTTTTTTCTCAAATCTGAAAACCTGGATTCAGAATTTGAAGTTGCAGTTTTAGGTCCTGAATGGATGGAGTAGCAGCAGGTGTTCCCTGCACATCTGTGGGCATTTTAACAAGAGGAAGAAAAAGGAAGTAGAGATTCCCATGTGTACATGTCTACTCAATGCACACATGTTACTGTGACTGGGTTTCTGGGCCCCATGGTCTGTGAATCAGTTTCAGATGTGAAGATACAAGAGTCACTGAAAAAGGTAAAACGGCTGTTTGCTGCCCTGTGAAGTTTGTAGAATTCTGATCTAGCCTCTCTAAAAGTTACTGTGGAGGACTATAGATACCAAATTGGCAGAGAAACAATTCTGCCTGCATATTTAGGGGACAGCATGCACTTTGCAGCACAATTGTGAGTTGAATGATAGCCTGAGAGGGAAAGTTTCCTCTAGCTTAAAGCTTGGGTGGCACCTTATATTTTTGTAACATGTCTGATAATTCTAGAGTTTTTGTGAAACATAAAAGACAAATTTTCTTCAGCCCCGGAGAAACTCCACAATAATAGAACAGACATAAAACTGTTGTATTACACAATTAAACCTGAACGTGACATGCATCACAGTCAGTCTGCTTAAGAGACTGCAAAGACAAAAGGATGGTCACCTTAATTAGTTAACAAGTAGAAAATTTATAGCACCATGTCATACATAGTTATTCCTAAATTCACCTGGTAATTGAAAAGGCTAGCCATGTAGGCTAATCAGTTATGTTCAATGACAAAATAAACTTTTCATATCTTCATGAAAGGAGGTAATTTTGCAACTTGAAGCCAGGTGCCTGCTGAAGGTAGGCTCTCAATCTCCTACAAAAATGGTTGAATAGGGTGCTATCTTTTTGGCTATTTATATTTTAAAGCAATGGCTCTCTACTCCCTGAGCACTGGGGCTACTCCTCTCCCGCTTGCACTCTCCTGTTAGCTGGTGTCCTCTCTTGACCCCTACCATCTGCCATTGAGGCAGAGCTCACAGCTGAAAGCTCACATCTTACATAAACCACAACTGCCACAGCAGCACTCCAGTGACACCTCAGAGAGGGAAGCCTGAGCTGCAGGAGAAAAGCCTGCAGGCCTCCTGGGGAGAACTGCACCTTCACATTAATGGAAATTGGAACAGTAATTCAGCCTCAGTTTTTATTTACAATGGTGACATGGAAAAACCACTGCTGGATTTCCAACATGAGTCCAGACAGAGATAGCTCCAAAAGTTCCCACTGTGACAGCCCACCTCTTTTACAGACACCAGGGAATACTTACAATGCAGACACCCAAAGCACTGGACAGAAAAACAGCTCTCAGTCTGAGCAAGATTATGCTGAGAGGAAAAAAGAAGTTAAAACCATCTTAGGTAAAAACTCAGTTTAGACGTAAGATTGATCAAGTCAGCCAGAAAATACTATCTTAAAAAGAATTTCTCTCTCAACAAGCAAAATACACAACTACTCTCAGCATGAGAAACATGAGCATTACGAAGAAAAGGGGCATATTCTCAGCAGAATTTTAGAAGGTTTCTCTTCCATCTCTGCTGCTCTCTCATCTCCTAGCCATTGAATGGGGGTTCCATATTGAAATACATCTCACAATTTCCACCAGCACTTTTTGATGAAGATTTATAATCTGACTTTGTTCATATACTGGAATATATTTAAGCTTGCCACATAGCTAACTAAAGAGCTATTATGGTTTTTGGGTGGCCACATCATCTGTGTTTATTTGTCCTGTAATAGCAGCATTCCGATTTAGTGAAATGAAAGACACTATTAACAGGCCAGGCACAGTGGCTCACATCTGTAATCCCAGCACTTTGGGAGGCCGAGGTGGGTAGATCATTTGAGGTCAGGAGTTGGAGACCAGCCTGGCCAACATGGTGAAACCCCATCTCTACTAAAAATACAAAAATGAGCTGGGCATGGTGGTGGGCGCCTGTAATCTCAGCTATTCAGGAGGCTGAGGCAGGAGAATAGCTTGAACCCGGAAGACAGAGGTTGCAGTGAGCCGAGATTGTGCCATTGCACTCCAGCCTGGGCGACAGAGCGAGGATCTGACTCAAAATTAAAAAAAAGAAAAGAAAAAGAAAACAAAAGTCAGAGATAACACAAATAAATGGAAAACCATTTTATGCTCATAGGTAGAAAAGATCAAAATCATTAAAATGGCCATACTACCCAAAAACGGAACAGATTTAATGCTATTCTTATCAAACTACCAAAAACATTTTTAACAGAACTATAAAAAACTATTTTAAAATTCATATGGAACCATAAAAGAGCCTGAGTAGCCAAGGCAATCCTAAGCAAAAAGAACAAAGCTGGAGGCATTACATTACCTGACTTCAAACTATGCAACAGGGCTACAGTAACCAAAGCCACATAATACTGGTACAAGAAACAGACTTATAGAACAATGCAACAGAATAGAGAGCCCAGAAATAATGCCACAGACCTAAAACCACCTGATCTTTGACAAAACTAATAAGAGGAATGTGGGAAGAAATCCCTATTTAATAAATGGTACTGGGAAACCACCTAGCAGTATGTAGAAAATTGAAACTGGACCCCTTCCTTACATCATATACAAAAATCAACTCAAGATGAATTAAAGCCTTAAATGTAAAACTTGAAATTATAAGAAACCCTTGAAGATAACCTAGAAAATACCATTTTACACATGGGAACTAACTAAGATTTTATGATGAAATTACCAAAAGCAACTGCAACAGAAGTAAAAACTGACAAATGGGACCTAATTAAATTAAATATCTTCTTCACAGCAAGGAAATCATCAACAGAGTAAACACACAACCTACAGAATAAAAGAAAATATTTGCAAACTATGCTTTTGACAAAGGTCTAGTATCTAGAATCCATAAAAAACTGAAGTTTACAAGAAACAAACAACCTCCTTAAAAGTAAACAAAACGCAGCCAGGCGCGGTGGCTCATGCCTGTAATCCCAGCACTCTGGGAGGCTGAGGCGGGTGGATCACCTGAGGTCAGGAGTTCGAGACCAGCCTGGCCAAGAGGGTGAAACCCAGTCTTTACTAAAAACACAATTAGCTGGGCGTGGTGGTAGGCACCTGTAATCTCAGCTTCTCGGGAGGCTGAGGTAGGAGAATCTCTTGAACCCGGGAGGCAGAGGTTGCAGTGTGCCGAGACTGTGCCACTGCACTCGAGCCTAGGCAACAAGAGTGAAACTCCACCTCAAAAACAAAACAAAACATAACAAAAACCTAGTAGACAAAAGGCTAAGAGTAAGATTAAAGGCTCACGCCTGTAATCCCAGCATCTTGGGAGGCCAAGGAGGGAAGATCACTTGAGATCAGGAGTTTGAGACCAGCCTGGCCAACATGGTTAAACCTCATCTCTACTAAAAATAAAAAAATTAGCTGGGTGTGGTGGCAGGCGCCTATAATTCCATCCACTCAGGAGGCTGAGGCAGGAGAATCACTTGAACCCAGGAGGCGAAGGTTGTAGTGTGCTGAGATTATGCCACTGCGCTTTAGCTTGGGTGACAGAGTGAGGCTTCATCTCAATTAAAAAAAAAAAAAAAAGTAAACAAAAAACATGAGCAAACTTTTTCCAAAATAAGATATATATATATATATATATATATATATATATATATATATATATATATATATATATGGCTAACAAGCCTATGAAAAAAATACTCATCACTACAGAAAAGCAAAGAAAAACCACAATGATATACCATCTCATATCAGTCAAAATGGCTATTACTACAAAGTCAAAAAATAACAGATGCTGGCAGTTGCAGAGAAAAGCGTATGCGCTGCTGCTAGGAGTGTAAATTAGTTCAACCATTGTGAAAAGCAGTGTGGCGATTCCTCACAGAACTAAAAGCAGAATTACCATTTGACCCGGCAACCTCATAATTGGGTATATACCCAAAGAAATAAAAATTATTCTGTCATAAAGACACATGCACATGCATGTTCACTGAAGCACTATTCACAATAGCAAAGACATGGAATCAACCGAAATGCCTATCAATGGTAAACTGGATAAAGAAAATATGGTACAGGTAAGGTTTGGTGGCTCATGCCTGTAGTTCCAGCACTCTGGGAGGCTGAGGCAGGTAAATTGCCTGAGCTCAGGAGTTCAAGACCACCCTAAACAACATGGCAAAACCCTATGTCAACAAAAAATACAGGAAGAAAAATTAGCTGGGCTTGGTGGCACACACCTGTAGTCCCAGCTAGTTAGGGGGCTGAGGTAGAAGAACTGTTTGAGCCCGGGAATTTGAGGCTGCAATAAGCCAAGATCATGTCACTGTACTCCAGCCTGGGTGACAGAGACCCATTTTCAAAAAATAAAATAAAGTATTTAGCAAAAACAAAACATGGTATATAAACATCATGGAATACTGCATTGCCATAAAAAGTGAACAAGATTATGTCATTTGCAGCAACATAGATGGAGCTGGAGACCATTATCCTTAGAAAACTAATGCAGAAAGAGAAAACCAAATGCATGCTCTCATTTATTAGTAAGAGCTAAATAATGAGAACACAAAGAGGGGAACAACACACACCCTTCTAGTTAAGGGTGGAGGACAAAGAGGATCAGAAAAATAATACCTGTGTGGTGCTGTGCTTAATACCTCAGTGACAAAATAATCTGCACACCAACTCCCGACACAATTTCCTCTATGTAACAAACCTACACATGTACTCCTGAATCAAAAATAAAAGTTAAAACAAAAAAACTCTATGGGTGAAAGAGAGTGCAATGCAGGTGGAAGGACTGGTTTGTGCTACAGATAGTGGCCCAGGTACGGCTCTACTCTGATTAATTTTTGGGTTCATGCTGGCAGATGATATTATGAACAGGTTGTCCAGAACCTCATGTTGGTGGAAAAAACATGTTGCTGCTGCAGATTCAGTGTCTGGGGTTGGGATATGCCAGGAGACTTGTAGACACTTGAGTGAGATTTGGCAGGAAACACTAGGATCAAAAATGCTGTAGTGAAATTCCTGAGGGTGGTAACTAGTTCTAAGAGGGGTGTGGATAAGCCAGTGTCCAGTGGATATGCTTGTAAGAAGGTGGGAATCCTGTGATGGCAGCAGTGGAAAAAGGCGGTCTGTTCGCATATTCTCACTCATAGGTGGGAATTGAATAATGAGAACACTTGGACACAGGGTGGGGAACATCACACACCAGGGCCTGTCGTGGGGTGGGGGGAGGGGGGAGGGATAGCATTAGGAGAAATACCTAACGTAAATGATGAGTTAACGGGTGCAGCACACCAACATGGCACATGTATACATATGTAACAAACCTGCATGTTGTGCACATGTATCCTAGAACTTAAATTAAAAAAAAAAAGAAAAAGGCGGTCTGTTATTAGAACTTTTTTCCTCTTTTTTATCCTCTCTCACCCTGGGAGGAGACCTGAAATCACAGGGTAATGGGCAGTGTGATGGCCTGTGTACAGAAAAGCAGAGCCTCCCATTCCTAGACACCCAGAGATCCATTCCAGACCAGGCCTCTGTGATATCTCTCAGCTGGAACCAAATTTGTAGAGTTTGCTAAACACCAAGCAATTCTCCCACACCAACTCACTGTCTGACATTCTCCAACACCAACTCACTGAATTCTGACACCACCCAGAGTCAGCACACACCCTGATTCAGGGCTCAGTCTCACAACATTGTTCTTACTGAAAAAGCCAGTCACAAACCCCATGGGCCCATCTTTGCTTCTGAGCTACTGTTTAAAAACTGGGGACTCTCATAACATTCCTCAAATTCAATAATTTTATAGAGCTAGTCACAGAACTCAGGAAAACACTGTAGTTACATTTATCAGTTTATTAGAAAAGATACAATCCAGGAAAAGTCAAATGGAAGAAATGTATAGGACAAAGAAAAGATGTGGGGAGGCTGAGCACGGTGGCTCACACCTGTAATCCCAGCACTTTGGGAGGCCAAGGTGGGCGATCACCTGAGGTTGTGAGTTCAAGACTGGCCTGAACAACATGAAGAAACCTCGTCTCTACTAAAAATACAAAAAAATTAGCTGGGCGTGGTGGTGCCTGCCTGTAATCCCAGCTACTCAGGAGGCTGAGGCAGGAGAATCGCTCCAACCCAGGAAGTGGAGGTTGTGGTGAGCCAAGATTGTGCCATTGCACTCAAGCCTGGGCAACAAGAGCAAAACTCTATCTCAAAAAAAAAAAAGAAAGAAAAGAGGTGGGGAAAGATAAAGCATATAGATAATCCTGGTAAATAGCTGTGATTAATAAAATTCTCTATCCTTTGTGTGCTCCAGGAACAGTTTCTGGAAAGAAACACCCTTCCCATTATGACTTCGATGGTGCTCTCTTTTCTTACCTATCACATAGCCAGACACAGACTCTGCACATTGTCTCCTTTTTCTCATTAAAAAATAAATAAATAAATCGGGCCGGGCGCGGTAGCTCATGCGTGTAATCCTAGCACTTTGGGAGGCTGAGGCAGGCGGATCAAAAGGTCAGGAGTTCGAGACCAGCTTGGCCAATATGGTGAAACACGGTCTCTACTAAAAACACAAAAATTAGCCAGGCATGATGGCAGATGCCTGTAGTCCCAGCTCCTCAGGAGGCTAAGGCAGGAGAATAGCTTGAACCCGGGAGGCGGAGGTTGCAGTTGAGTCAAGATCGTGCCACTGCACTCCAGCCTCAGCAACAGAGTGAGACTCTGTCTCAAAAAATAATAATAATAAAAATAAATAAATAAATCAGCTGAGTTTGTTTTCAGTGGTCAACCTAAAATATTTCTTAATCAAACATTACTTATTTAAACAGGCTTCTGAACTTTGAGCTACCCTCAGTCTGAGTCAACATACAACCTTATTTTTATGTAGTTCCTAAGTACATGATGACTTCAGTGTAAAACATTCTCTGATCTAAAATCTCTTTCTTTCACCCTCCATTCGCCATCCCCTCCGACCTCCTCTCTAATATGGTTTGCTCTTCCATATGAAACAAGGCCCTTGTCTGCCTAAACTTAGCAATCCTTAAAGATCTTATAGTTGGTATTTCCTCCTGTTGCAATACCCTTTTGGAATTCAATTCTTTTTTCAACATAAATCTAACTTCGTTTTATTTTACAAAGTCTAGAAACTATCTCAAAACAATAACAATTTCATCTTCAGTAAGACCCTCCCAATCCCCTTTCATCTTAACCTTAACTGCATCTGCCTGTGGGTCCCCAGCTTTCCAGGGTTCTGTGGCTTCCCTCAGGATAAAGTCTCCTTCCATGACTGGGGTGAGCAGGCTGGGATATCTGCAGAGAAGACTCCCCAGAAAAAACTAACTGATCCTTTAATAACCTCCTTTTGCAGGCTCAGTATTAGCCTTAGCTTAGAGTCACTGGGCTCAGGCTTTAATCTTCATGTCAGAGTTATTCCCTTGGTTTTTGAAAGTAAGTGTTCGAAAAATTCAGTGCAATTACTCTAACACAGTGTTCATATAAGGGAAGGAAATTTTAAGGTGCTTACACTTTATATCTCAATAAGAGAAACAAAAGTATCTATTCTTTTCAGACAATAAATGTATTATTTTACTATTTCCATTAAAAATCATGTAGTAGGCCAGGCGTGGTGGCTCATGCCTGTAATCCCAGCACTTTGGGAGGCTGAGGCGGGCGGATCACCTGAGGTTGGGAGTTCGAGACCAGCATGGCCAACATGGAGAAACCCCCGTCTCTACTAAAAATACAAAATTAGCGGCGTGGTGGCACATATCTGTAATCCCAGCTACTCGGGAGGCTGAGGCAGGAGAATCACTTGAACCCGGGAGGCAGAGGTTACAGTCAGCCAAGATCGTGCCATTGCACTCCAGCCTGGGCAACAAGAATGAAACTCTGTTTCAAAAAAAAAAAAAAAAATCATGTAGCAAACAATTAGTCATATGGAAACATTTCTAGAAGGTACAAAGTTTCAGCATGAAACTCAGATAGCAAAGTAATAGGATACAGAATAGAGATAGTCACTGTTACAAATTTACCCTGCAAAAGGAGGAACTGATGTTTTCATGAATCTAAGGAACTCACCAATTACCACCTTTTCTTGTGGAAATATGTGCATTTTCTAAAGCCAAAATGGAAGAGAGATTTTCCCTATTTTTCTTCCTTGGTAGCATTTGAAAAGTCAAGCCTTGAAATTCTGTTTAAAATCACCCAACCATAAAAAACACACCAGAGAAAATTCCTAAAGTCATTCTGGGAAAAAGGTAAATGAAAATTTTTAACAAATGGAATATACAATTCAATATTAATTTTATTCTGAAACCCATCTCTTTTTTGCCCTTGGTTAAGTATTTTCTTACCTTTCAATCCCTACTAACAAAATGCAATTTACAGTTAAAAAACTGAGGTCAAAATAAGTGAACAAATCTTTTCAAGGTACAGATGTGTCTGATTCATGTGTCAAGTCAGGCCATCCAATCACTTAAGAGATTCTCCCACCCCATTCTCCTCACTTAAGTGCCCAATAACTCCTTCTCAGGAGACTCTGAACTATGCCCCAGTGAGTGCCCCAGGTAAGAACTTTTCAAGTTCTTACACCATCTCATTGGGGTCACTTTTTTTTTTTTTTTTTTTTTTTGTCGTTTGGGACACTATTTTTGATTTCACAGATTCTCACTATTTTTCTTTCACTATTTTTTCATTATATTTCACTATTGTTCTGCTCCCTTAAAGAATGCAGGGGGCAGAAATTATTTCTGTGTTTTCCCCGCAATACCAGCATCTGATTGGCTGACCAGCAATGTGTCTTCAAAAAATGGAAGCTGGGTTGGGTGAAGACAATCTTAATGTCTCAAGGGTTAGCTTTTCAAAGGAAGAGTATACCAGGAGAGACCTCTCAACCCCAGGGCATCTGCCTTCTTCGTTGAAAGGCTACACTCCACACCTCAGGTTGTCCTACTGGAGAAAATGACCAGGAGCTGATATTCACTAGACACTCTAGCAGACATAGCCATGGGGAATATTTTAGCTAATTCCCAGACAGTACTGAAACCCAGGACCAGGGAAAAAACTGAAGAATGGCTGAAAACACATCATAAAGTTTCCAAAGGAAAACCTTTACCTTTACCCCAAAACATTCTGCTAAAATCTGTGGAGCAAGGAGGAAAAAAAAAAAGCGGCACAAAGATTTTTTACAACACAGTGTCAGGGGATTATTTTTTGCTTTCTTCTCTTAGGAAATATTCACAAACAGAAAACAAATATTATGAAAAGTACCATCCAATGCTTTGTTAAAAAATAAAATACAGTATCAAAATGTACACTAAGGACAAATAGTAATGTGAATCAGAGAGGGAAAATTGACATTATGAACTGGAAGTTTAGTATTTTATTGCAAGCCAGAGTTAGGCTGCAGGAATTGGGGTTTGGGAGTAGACATAATACTCTGCTTGAGATACCTGTAAAAAATGGAGGGGAAAATCAGTCATCTGAGGAGTGTGAAAATAATTAAAAATAATTAAGTGGCAGGCAAATAGACTGAGGTGGCTCTAGTGCCTGATATCTACTTTTTTTTTTCTTTTTTTTTAAGACAGTTTCGGTCTTGTTGCCCAGAATGGACTGCAATGGCGCGATCTCGGCTCACCGCAACCTCTATCTCCCGGGTTCAAGCAATTCTCCTGCCTCAGCCCCACGAGTAGCTAGGATTACAGGTACAGGCATGTGCCACCACACCTGGCTAATTTTTGTATTTTTAGTAGAGATGGGGTTTCTCCATGTTGGTCAGGCTGGTCTTGAACTCCCGACCTCAGGTGATCCGCCTGCCTCGGCTTCCCAAAGTGCTGGGATTACAGGCATGAACCACCGCACCTGGCCTTTTTTTTTTTTTTTTTTTTTTTAATATGAGAGGGAGTCTCCCTCTCTTGCCCAGGCTGGTGTGCAGTGGCGCAATCTCAGCTCACAGCAACCTCTGCCTCCCGGGTTCAAGCGATTATCTGCCTCAGCCTCCCGAGAAACTGGGATTACAGGCATCTGCCACACTCCCGGCTAATTTTTGTATTTTTATTAGAGACGGAGTTTTACCATGTTAGCCAGGCTGGTCTAGAACTCCTGACTTCGTGATTCACCCGCCTCGGCCTCCCAAAGTGCTGGGATTACAGGTGTAAGCCACCGAGCCAGGCCTGATAATCTACTTTTTAAAAAATCTAATTCGGCCGGACGCGGTGGCTCATGTCTGTGATCCCAGCACTCTGGGAGGCGGAGGAGGGCAGATCACCTGACGTCGGGAGTTCGAGACCAGCCTGACCAAAACGGAGAAACCTCGTCTCTACTAAAAACACAAAAATTAGCCGGGTGTGGTGGCGGATGCCTGTAATCCCAGCTACTCGGGAGGCTGAGGCAGGAGAATCGCTTGAACCTGGGAGGCGGAAGTTGCGTTGAGCCGAGATCGCGCCACTGCACTCCAGCCTGGGCAACAAGAACAAAACTCCGTTTCAAAAAAAGAAAGAAAAAAATATTAATAATTCAAGTGCTTTTTTTTTTGTAAATTACTACATTGGGGGAAACAAAATTCAGGCTTAACCAACTATAAACTACAATTAACCTCTGATTATATAAACGGGAAATTTCCATCTTGATTGTACAAATTAAGAATCTACGTAACTGTACATAACCCATTACTGAATTTGGTTTTCTTCATTATGCACCTTATAAAACTCTTTCCGTCAAATCCCTTCCATAGACCATAAACTACAAACCACAGCTGGGTGCTCTGCCATTTTTGAATCACTCTTTGATTAAATCCTTTATTACTTTAGTGATGACTGCCATCAATTTTTAATAGGAGAAAAGAGGGACTGGAAACCTCACTGGACCAAAGCTCTTCCCATTCATGAACCCGCACCCGGAGTCAGGATTCTCCCCTGACGCCCCTCCCGTGGTCCCTGCACAATCTGTGAGAGAGGAGGCGCTGCGGGTGAAGAGCGGCCCAGAGAGGGCTCCAGGCCAGGGCATAGTCACAGTGCAGGAAGGAGGCAGGTCGCCCGGGGTCCCGCAGTCAGCGCAGCCGCCATCTTATGGCTGAAGGAGACTGAGGCCGAGCTGGGCAAGAGCTCGGGGCGCAGACTGTGGAGCTCACTGAGGGGAGGCCTGAGTCCCGCCACAGCCACTTTCCACCGGTTCCAGTCAGCCCCTTCCCCTTCTCAGGATATCGGACCCGGCACTCTCACCATTTCTAAGCTTCCAGGGGGTCCTGGCGTCCTAGCTGTGGATCTCCAAATACCTACAGGTCACAGGGCCACAGAGGCTAAGGACACAGAGCAGTAAAAACGAGATCCGGAGCTCCAGCTGGAACCAGAAACAACGGCCCCGCCACATCCCACAAGCCGCCCTTTCCGCTCCAGCTGAGTGCCTGATTGGACGGTTCCCAGCCCAGAGTCCCTGATTGGATAATGTTTAAATCCCCGCCTCCTCAGGCCCTGAGTGACAGAAGATGTGATCTGATGCTGAGCTGAATGAAGAGTGACGGGCCGGGCGCGGTGGCTCACGCGTGTAATCCCAGCACTTTGGGTGGCCGAGGCGGGTGAATCACCAGAGGTCAGGAGTTGGAGACCAGCCTGGCCAACATGGCAAAACCCGGTCTCTACTAAAAATAAAAATTAGGCTGGTGTGGTGGCGGGCGCCTGTAATCCCAGCTACTCCGGAGGCTGAGGCACGAGAATTGCTTAAACTCAGGAGGCGGAGGTTGCAGTGAGCCGAGATCGCGCCAGTGCACTCCAGCCTGGATGACAGAGCGAGATTCTGTCACGAAAAAAAGAAAAGAAAAGAAAAAGAAAG
Source organism: Homo sapiens (assembly GCF_000001405.40). NCBI lineage: Eukaryota > Metazoa > Chordata > Mammalia > Primates > Hominidae > Homo > Homo sapiens. The sequence goes on from NC_000019.10 coordinate 22,784,621, forward strand.
GAAAGGATGACAGTCTAGGCTGCAGCCTTTTCAGGCAGGGCTTCCTTCCTGAACTGAGCCAGGCCAACCCCAGAGGGTATTTGCATTTAACCTTTTGTATAAGGTCACATTCTTTTATAAATAATATATTATATGGTTATTCACAAATGAAAAGAATATAACAATTATCTAAAATTTTCAGAGTTTATGACCTTCCTGGCTTCTGGTTTTTTCATCAGATTGCCTGAGGTTTTAAAAAGAAGGCAATCCTCTGAAATAAAATTGTATTTTAAATTTTCTAGTAGCCAAACTTTAAAAATTAAAAAAAAAAAAAACAGGTGGAATTTATTGTAGCAATTTAATTAACCCAATATATCCAAAATATCATCTTAATACGTAAGCAAAATGTAAATTATAAATGAAGTGTAGATATTTTTTGGAACTTCATCTTTGAAACTAACTCTGTATTTTACCTTTCCAGCACATCACAGTTCAGACCAGCCACATTCCAGGCACTCAGTCGCCACACATGGCCAGTAGCTGCCACATTGAAGTGCAGCTCTGACCTTAGGAGAGGGAAGGGCCTGAACAAACCTTTTCTGCCAAAGATGGAAAAAGAGCCTTTCCCTACCAACATCTCTCTTCAGCTCTGAGGGAGGAACAGATAGTAGCCATAAATAAAGCACAGGACAGCAGGAAAAAACAACCACAGGTAGACCACTGCTGGCCACCTGTTGCCTACCTTTATTCCAGAGATCAGAAGGTGAACTAAGGATGGTAAGGCCACAGGAGAAGAAATCTCTGTGTCTTCAAATCTGTGCACAGTCTTGACCTCCAATGTTTAGATATGAAGAAAATAGATTAAAGGAAAACTTACTTTTCTATTTGTCCTTGGCCCTAATGGTCAGGCTGTGGTTATCTGTTTTCTCCTGTGGTATGGGGGACTGTGTGAGTATAGGCACCAATTACATGCATACATGTCCACATATATTTCTGCATTACTCAGCATTCTCTTACGAGGCCTCCAACTTTATATCAGGGGAAAAATCAGTACCTATAGGGTACCCACTGTTAGAAGAGAACTAGTAATCAACTTGTCAATGAATCCTGGCATCCTATCTGCACTGGGTGCATGTATTAATTAGCTATTGCAGCACAACAAATCATTCAAAACTTATTTGCTCATAATTGAGATGGTCAGCTATTTAGGGTGGGCTCAGTGAGGCTGTTCTTTTTGTCTCAGCTGAGCTCCTCCAGACATGTATCTTCAGCTGTTTGTTGAATAGGCAGCTGTGCTTCTGGGGATGAGCTTCTGCTTCTGGGGCTGTCAACAGGGGCAACTTGCTTCTCCTCCCCATGGTATCTTATCCTCCAGCTGGCTAACATGGGCTTTATTCATGGAGATGGCAGCATTCTGAAAGAAAAACAGAAGCATTCAAGACCTTTTGAGCCTACGCCCCAAACTAGTACATTGTCATGTTCACAGGTTTCTACTGCCCTGAGTGAATAAGGCCAGCAAAATCTAGGGTTTGAAAAGCATTCTGGATCTTGATGGGAACAGCTTTAAAAGCACCTACAATGGGCATGGATACAGGAAAAACTAGAAATTGCTACCATTTTTGAAATCAGTATCATTCTGCCTTTGTTTATTTGTTTGTTTGTTTTGCATATGTGGTTTATAGAACTCTTTCACATCAAGAATCTTGTCCAAAGACACACAGCTACTAAGTGGCTGGGCTGAGACTCAGGATCAACTCTGTCTGACTCCAAAGCCCACACACCTCCATAGATGACACTACTAAAGTAGCTGCCCTAGACCCTTGAAGTGTCCTGGAGGGTGACACTTCCACAGTAGAAGCCAGATTCCTTTTATTTTTTTTTTATTAATCTATTTCACTTCTTTTGAGACAGGGTCTCGCTCTGTCACCCAGGCTGGAATGCAGTAGTGCAATCTCGGCTCACTGTAACATCCTCCTCCCAAGTTCAAGTAATTCTCCTGTCACAGCCTTTCAAGTAGCTGGGATTTCAGGTGCTTGCCACCACACCTGACTAATTTTTGTATTTGTAGTAGAGACGGGGTTTCAGCATGTTGGCCAGGCTGGTTTCAAGCTCCTGACCTTAAGTAATCTGCCTGCCTTGGTCTCCCAAGGTTCTGAGATTACTAACATGAGCCACTGTGCCCAGCCTACATTCCTTTTACATTTGTGCCAATATAGTACTGTTTATCATTGGGAATAATCCTCTCAAGAATTTGCAGAAGTGCACAGTGGCTCACACCTGTAAACCTAGCATTTTGGGAGGCTAATGTGGAAGAATTACATGAGCTCAGGAGTTCAAGTGCAGGCTGGGTAACATAGTAAGAACCTGTCTTCACAAAAAAAAATTTAAAAATTAGCCGGACATGGTGGTACATGCCTGTAGCCCCAGCTACTCAGGTGGCAGAGGCAGAAGGATCGCTTCAGCCTGGAGGGTCAAGCTGCAGTGAGCCATGTTTGGATACACCACTGCACTCCAGCCTGGGTGATAGAGTAAGATGTTGTCTCAAAAAAAAAAAAAAAAAAAAAAGAATTTGCCAAAGCATTTTAAAAAGACATAGAATACTGGCCGGGCATGGTGGCTCAAGCCTGTAATCCCTGCACTTTGGGAGGCCGAGGTGGGTGGATCACCTGAGGTCAGGAATTCAAGACCAACCTGGCCAACATGATGAAACCCTGTCTCTACTAAAAACAAAAAAATTAGCCAGGCGTGGTGGCGGGTGCCTGTAATCCAGCTCCTCAGGAGGCTGAGGCAGAAGAATCACTTGAACCCAGGAGGCAGAGGTTGCAGTGAGCCGAGATTGCGCCATTGCACTCCAGCCTGGGCAACAAGAGCGAAACTGCATCTCAAAAAATAAAAAAAAAAGACATAGAATACTTTGTGTTTGTAGCTGATGGATAAGTTTAGAAAATCGAAACCCAACAACAGATTATTTTTCATCACAGAAAAAATTTGAAAACTTTTAAAAGAAAAATACTTTAGAGAAATTAAATTTAAAAGAGTTTAAATGGGCAAAGAATGATTTGCAAATTGGGCAGCCTGTGGAGCCAGAGTAGGCTCAGAGAGACTGCAGCATAGCCACATGGTGGAAAAAGATTTATGGACAGAAAAAGCAAAGTGACATACAGAAAATGGGGGTGAGATACAGAAACAGCCAGATTGATTACAGCTTGAGATTTGCCTTACTCAAACATGGTTTAAACAGCTGATGTTGTTTTATTGCCAAAAACACAGTAGTTGGTAGAAGAGTGGGTTACAGTCTATTCACATATCCAGTTAGGTTTCAGTTTACTATGTACAGAAAACCTATTGACAAAAATTAAACAGAAAAGACGGCAGCTTTAGGCTATAACTGATTTAACAATTTCTCCCTTTTGGTCATCTTCTCAATTTTGAGAGATAAACCAAAACTTTAGACATTGATAGCACTCTGTCACCATCAAAAGTGTACTTATTTAGTCTCAAATCCCACTGTGAAATAGCAGAACTGTGGGTTTTGTAAAGCGAAAACAAGGACTTCAGGTTATTATTATTACTATTATTATTGTTGTTATTTTTTTTGAGACAGAGTTTTGCTCTTGTTGCTCAGGCTAGAGTGCAATGGCATGATCTTGGCTCACCGCAACCTCTGCCTCCCAGGTTCAAGCGATTCTCCTGCCTCAGCCTCCTGAGTAGCTGAGATTACAGGCATGCACCACCACGGCCGGCTAATTTTGTATTTTCAGTAGAGACCAGGTTTCTCTATGATGGTCAGGCTAGTCTTGAACTCCCAACCTCAGGTGATCCGCCCGCCTTGGCCTCCCAAAGTGCTAGGATTATAGGTGTGAGCCACCGTGCTTGGCCCTATTTTTTTTAAAAAAGGAATTACAGTAGAGGGAAACTCCTTGTGTTAAAATCTGCTGTTTACAGAAGAAAGCAAAGCCTGGACTGCTTTAGGATCTACTTATTTCCTTACATTTTTAGTGTGATTATGTCATATTTAGCATGAGTGACTCCATACAATAATGGATTTTTTAAAAATTCTCAGATAATTTCCTCATGCTTTTTTCCAGATAATTTTATTCTTCATCACAGGCCATTTTTTGGTTGTTTTTCTTTTTCTTTTTTTAATTTTTTAAATTTTTTTTTTAACCATTGGTTCATTTTGCCTGACATCATACAATACGTATTATTTTATTTCAAGCTTGTCTTATCTGGCAGATTTATGAGATACATCCAGAGTGTGTGATTTAGTAGTTCATTTTTTTCTATGGCTGGATGGTATTCTCTTGTATGAATGAGATACAATTTGTTCATCTATTTTTATAGAGATGGATATTTAGTTTGTTCCTTGCTGTAAGCTATATGACCAAAAACGCCTATAAACATTCTTGTACAAATACTTTTTGGTATATAACTAAATTCCTTTATTAGCATTTAAGTGACACCTCTTTACATTTCTTAGTGGTTTCTCCAGGGATCACTATATGCATCTGTAACATATCACGATCTACCTAGAGTTTATACTGTACTATTTTAATAAATGTAAAATATGAAAACCTTGCTGTTGAAGAGTTTCAATTACCTCTTTTTATTCATATATTTTACATCTACACATCATTATATCTCACAATACCGTGTTATAACTTTTCCTTAAATAGTCATAAGTCTTATAGAGAAATTGACAGTAAATAGTGTTTATAAATATTTGGAGGCAGGTACTTTGGGGCTATGTAAATACACTATTTATCCTTTAAATCTTACCCACAATTTTTGCATTTTAAAGTACACCTTGTCTACAGTAATTATTACTGTGGTGTCTTAGTGGTGATTTTCTATTTTGCATTATGTGTCTACATTGATTAGTACTTGGAATTTTGTAAAAAACATTTTTTCTCTTTCTTTTTTTATTTATTTATTTTTCTATCTGTAGGGATTCATGAATTTTTTTTATTCTCTAGGTTTTAATCCAATGCTATTAATGTATATTGTGTTTTTCACATTTTTTCACCTTGGACTCCTGAGAAGTCTTTCAGGTTGATTTTCTCTGACATGGCTGCTTCTGTTGTTTTTTTTTTTTTTTTTTTTTTGAGATGGAGTCTCGCTCTGTCGCCCAGGCTGGAGTGCAGTGGAATGATCTCGGCTCACTGCAAGCTCCGCCTTCCGGGTTCACGCCATTCTCCTGCCTCAGCCTCCCGAGTAGCTGGGACTACAGGCGCCCGCCACTGCGCCCAGCTAATTTTTTGTATTTTTAGTAGAGACGGGGTTTCACCGTGGTCTCGATCTCCTGACCTCGTGATCCGCCCGCCTCTGCCTCCCAAAGTGCTGGGATTACAGGCGTGAGCCACCGCACCCGGCCTGCTTCTGTTGTTTATAAACCACTTTTAAACTTTCTGACTTCACAATACTCTACCTTAATTTGGATTTTCCACTCCAGTGCTAGAATTGTCTATTATTACAAGTAGTCTTGCTTTTTTTTTAATTGAAGAATAGTACTTAGAAACCGTGATATAGAGCTAGGTGTGCCCATTAATACTGGGGTGTCACTGCTTCTGCAACCTCTCAGCAAACAGAGTTTGGAAAGGTACATATTAATATTGACTCCTGTATGAACACATCTCTCTCTTTCTCTCTCTCTCAATGGATATGTTATGACACATGCATTTATCCAAATATTCTCAACTCGTCTAGAATTATCTTTTTTTTTCAACTTCAGTTAGAAGCAGGCACTAATTATGTTACATATATATACTAACATATAGAGTGCTTTTAAAGATTGCTAATCTAGGCCAGGTGCAGTGGCTCACGCCTGTAATCCCAGCACTTTGGGAGGCTGAGGCAGGAGGATCTCGAGGTCAGGAGATCGAGACCATCCTGGCCAACATGGTGAAACCCTGTCTCTACTAAAAGTGCAAAAATTAGCTTGGCGTGGTGGCATGTGTCTGTAATCCCAGCTACTTGGGGGCTGAGGCAGGAGAATCGCTTGAACCAGGGAGTCAGAGGTTGCAGTGAGCTGAGATAGCACCACTGCACTCCAGCCTGGTAACAGAGTGACACTCCATCTAAAAAATAAATAAATAAATAAATAAATAAATAAATGCTAATCTATACGCTTATAGACAAGCAATACCTACCAGAACACAATGTTTGTGTTCAGTTCTTGAGTCTTGCAGTATTTAATCAAAATACTGTTATTCAAAGTGATTTACACCAAGTCCTTTTATTCCAACGTTTTTCAATAGGGTTAGGTGATACATTTCTAGTAAGGTTAAGCTCTTCTTTTTACTACCTGCATTTTACCTGAATTTTCCCCAAATCCTTGTTTTTTATAATTTGCAGAGAGGAAAAATTTATTCTTTGTGATGTACAGTTCCATAAGTTTTGAAAACTGTCTAGAGTCACATAGCCATCTTCACAGTACCACACAGAACTGCTTCATTGCCCCCAAAATTATCTGATGCTTCCTATTTATAGTTAACTCTACCCTCATCTATTCTTTGGCAATCAGTGATTATTTTCTTTTTATTTTTCTTTTGTAGGGAGGTCTTTCTATGTTGCCCAGGCTGGTCTCAAAATCCTGGGCTCAAACAATCCTCTCAGCTCAGCCTCCCAAAGTGCTGAGATTATATGCTTGAGCCATCAAGCGTGGCCTGATTATTATCAATCCCTACAACTTTATTTTTCTACAATGCCATATAATTGGATTATATAATTTGTACCCTATCGGATCTTACTTTCTTCACTTAAAGAAATGCATTTGTGACTCATCTATACTGTGATGTCGATCAATGGTTTTTGTTTGTTTGTTTGTTTATTGACAACTAGGATTCTATTGTATGGATGCCCCAGTTTGTTTATTCATTCACCTGTTGAGAAGCATCTGGTTTACATCTAGCTTTTTGCAATTACAAATAAAGTGAGCAATAGACATCTACAAAAAGGTTTCATTTCTACATTAGTTTTCAGTTTGCTTTAGTAATAACCTAGCAGTGGGATGTCGTGGTAACATAATAAGTGTATGTTCAACTTTGTAATAAGCCACTAAAGTGTTTTCCAAAGTTATATCATTTCATATTTCTAGTTCTAGTTAACCCAAATTTTCATCCACACTCTTTGAAATTTTTCTTTTTACGATTGCCATTATCATATTTGTGTGTGATCTCATTGTTATTCATGCTTCATTTTTTTCCATTTCTGTTGGGAAACCCGAATTATATAATCAGTGCAGAAAGAAATGTATAAAATGCTTAGGCATTAGCCTTGGATTCTGGAAACTGACTTCCAGAAATCTGCTATGCAATTAGAGCTTTACAAACATTAAAAAAAATAGTTTATTATCTGTGGTTTTCTTTTTCTTTTCTTTTCTTTTCTTTTCTTCTCTTTCTTTTTCTGAGACAAAGTCTTGCTCTGCTGCCCAGGCTGGAGTGCAGTGGTGCAGTCTCAGCTCACTGCAACATCCCCCTTTACAGTTCAAGCGATTCTCATGCCTCAGCCTACCGAGAACCTGAGATTACAGGCAAATGCCACCATGCCCAGCTAATTTTTGTATTTTTAGCAGAAACAGGGTTTTTCGTGTTGGCAAGCCTTGTCTCAAACTCCTAACCTCAAGTGATCTGCCTGACTTGAATTTCATTCTCTTTCTTTCTTTTGAGACAGATTCTGTCTCACCCAGGCAGGCATGCAGTGGCATGACTGCAGCTGACTGCAGCCTCAACCATCTGGGCCCAAGCAGTTTTTCTCACCTCAGCCTTCTGAGTAGCTGGGACCACACTCATGTGCCACCATGCTCAGCTAATTTATTATTATTATTTTTAGAGGTGAGGTCACACTATATAACCCAGGCTGGTCTCAAACTCCTGAGCTAAAAGAATCCTCCCACCTCAGCCTCCCAAAGTGCTGGAATTACAGGCAGGAGTCAACATATCCACATTGAGGTTTTATTTTTTATATCAAAATATGAAAAATAGCATTGATGTCCATTAATAGAATTCAAGAAAATGTTATGCATATTAAAAAAGTAATTTCGCCGGGCGCAGTGGCTCACGCCTGTAATCCCAACACTTTGGGAGGCTGAGGTGGGCACATCACGAGGTCAAGAGATCAAGACCTTCCTGGCCAACATGGCAAAACCCTGTCTCTACTGAAAATGCAAAAAGTAGCTGGGCGTGGTGGCTTGCGCCTGTAGTCCCATCTACTCGGGAGGCTGAGGCAGGAGAATCACTTGAACCCGGGAGGCAGAGGTTGCAGTGAGCCGAGATCCCACCACTGCACTCTAACCTGAAGACAGAACAAGACTGTCTCAAAAGAAAAAAATAATAATAATTTCAAAAGCAAATACTAAAATTCAAAACAAATTGAAATAAAAATAACTAAATATTATATAGATATATGACCAGAAAGAGAGACGTTTAGTTTTCTTGACTTTATTTATTTAATTTCTTTTATTTATTTATTTATTTATTTATTTATTTATTTATTTTTGAGATGGAGTTTCACTCTTGTTGCCCAGGCTGGAGTGCAATGGCGCGATCTTGGCTCACTGCAACCTCCACCTCCTGGGTTCAAGTGATACTCCTGCCTCAGCCTCCCCAGTAGCTGGGATAACAGGCATGTGCCACCATGCCCAGCTAATTTTGTATTTTTAGTAGAGGCGGGGTTTTTCCATGTTGGTCAGGCTGGTCTCGAACTCCCGACCTCAGATGATCTGCCCACCTCGGCCTCCCAAAGTGCTGGGATTACAGGTGTGAGCCACCACGCCCAGCCTGACTTTATTTATTTATTTACATTTTATTTTGCTTTAAGTTCCGAGATACATGTGCAGAACCTGCAGTTTGTTACATAGGTAAATATGTACCATGGTGGTTTGCTGCACCTATTTACCAATCACCTCAGTATTAAGCCCCACATTAATTAGCTATTTGTCCTGATGCTGTCCCTCCCCTTGCCCCTCTGACAGGCCCGGGTGAGCGTTGCTCCTCTTTCTGTGTCCATGTGTTCTCATTGTTCAGCTCTCACATCTGAGTCAGTAATGCAATGTTTGGTTTTCTTTTCCTGTGTTAGTTTGCTGAGGATGATGGCTTCCAGCTTCATCCATCTTCCTGCAAAGGACATGATCTCATTCTTTTCTTATGGCTGCATAGTACTCCATGGTGTACATGTACTAAATTTTCTTTATCCAGCCTATCATTGATGGGCATTTGGGTTGGTTCCATGTCTTTGCTATTGTGAATAGTGCTGTAATAAACATAAGTGTGCATGTATCTTTGTAACAGAATGATTTACATTCCTTTGAGTATATACCCAGTAATAGGATTTCTGGGTCAAATGACATTTCTGGTTCTAGATCCTTGAGGAATTGCCACACTGTCTTCCACAATGGTTTAACTAATTTACACTCCCACCAACAGTGTAAAAGCATTCCTACTTCTCCACAGCCTCACCAGCATCTGTTGTTTCTTCACTTTTTAATAATCACCATTCTGACTGACATGAGATGGTATCTCACTGTAGTTTTGATTCGCATTTCTCTTATGATCGTAATGTTGAGCTTTTTTTCATATGTTTGTTGGCTGAATGAATGTCTTCTTTAGAGAAGTGTCTATTCATGTCTTTTGCCCACTTTTTGACAGGGTTGTTTTTTTCTTGTAAATTTGTTTAAGTTTCCTGTAAATTCTGGATATTAGACCGTTGTCAAATGGGTAGATTGCAAAAATTTTCTCCCATTCTGTAGATTGCCTGTTCGCTCTGATGATAGTTTCTTTTTCTGTGCAGAAGCTTTTTTGTTTAACTAGATCTCTTTGTAAATTTTTGCTTTTGTTGCAATCGCTTTCAGCCATTTCATTATAAAATCTTCACCCATGTTTATCTCTTCAATGGTATTGCCTAGATTTTCTTCTAGAGTTTTTATGGTTTGGGGTTTTACATTTAAGCCTTTAATTCATCTTGAGTTAATTTTTGTATAAGGTATAGGAGAGGGGTCCAGTTTCAGTTTGCTGCACATGGCTAGCCAGTTTTTCCAGCATCATTTATTAAGTAGGGAATATTTTCCCCATTGCTTGTTTCTGTCAGGTTTCTCAAATATCAGATGGTTGTAGATGTGTGTTCTTATTTCTGAGGTCTCTATTCTGTTTCATTGGTCAATGTGTCAGTACCATGCTGTTTTGGTTACTGTAGCCTTGTATAGTTTGAGGTCAAGTAGCATGATGCCTTCAGCTTTGTTATTTTCACTTAGAATTTTCTTGGCTACGCAGGCTCTTTTTTGGTTCCATATGAATTTTAAAGTAGCTTTTTCTAGTTCTGTGAAGAATCTCAAAGGTAGTTTGATGGGAATACCATTGAATGTATAAATTACTTTGGGCAGTATGGCCATTTTCATGATATTGATTCTTCCTATCCATGAGGATGAAATGTTTTTCCATTTGTTTGTATCCTCTCTTATTTCTTTGAGCAGTGGTGTGTAGTTCTTTTTTTTTTCTTCTTCTTGAGATGGAGTTTCGCTCTTGTTGCCCAGGCTAGAGAGCAGTGGCGAGATCTCAGCTCACCACAACCTCCGCCTCCCGGGTTCAAGCGATTTTCCTGCCTCAGTCTCTCGAGTAGCTGGGATTACAGGCCTGCACCACCACGCCCGGCTAGTTTTGTATTTTTAGTAGAGACGGGGTTTCTCCATGTTGGTCAGGCTGGTCTTGAACTCCTGACCTCAGGTGATCTGCCCACCTGGGCTTCCCAAAGTGCTGGGATTACAGGCATGAGCCACCGTGACCAGCCTGGTGTGTAGTTCTTTTTGAGGAGGTCCTTCACATCCCTTGTTAGCTGTATTCCTAGGTATTTTATTCTCTTGTAGCAATTGTGAATGAAAATTCATGCATGATTTCAAAATCTGCTTGTTTATTGTTGGTGTATAAAAATACTTGTAATTTTTGCACATTGATTTTGTATCCAGAGACTTTGCTGAAGTTGCTTATCAGCTTAAGGAGTTTTTGGGCTAAGACAATGGGATTTTCTAGATACAGCATCATATCATCTACAGAGACTATTTGACTTCCTCTCTTCCTATTTCAACACCCTTTATTTCTTTCTCTTGCCTGATTTTCCTGGCCAGAACTTCAAATACTATGTTGAATAGGAGTGGTGAGAGAGGGCATTTTGTCTTGTGCTGATTTTCCAGAATGCTTCCAGGTTTTGCCTATTCAATATGATATTGGCTGTGGATTTTTCATAAATACATCTTATTATTTTGAGGTATGGTTTTTCAATACCTAGTTTATTGAGAGTTATTAACATGAAGGGGTATTGAATTTTGTTTTTTATTTGTTTGTTTTTTTGAGACAGAGTCTCACTCTGTTGCCCAGGCTGGAGTGTAGTGGCACAGTCTTGGCTCACTGCAACTTCTGCTTTTCGGGTTCAAGGGATTCTCCTGCCTCAGCCTCCCCAGTAGCTGGGATTACAGGCACCCGCCACCACGCCTGGCTAATATTTGTATTTTTAGTAGAGATGGGGTTTCACCATGTTGATCACACTGGTCTCAAACTCCTGACCTCGTTATCCACCTGCCTCAGCCTCCCAAAGTGCTGGGATTACAGGCGTGAGCCACCATGCCTGGCCAAGGAATGTTGAATTCTATTGAAGACTTTATTATTATTATTATTATTATTATTATTATTATTATTATTATTTGAGAGAGAGTCTCGCTCTGTCACCCAGGCTGGAGTGCAGTGGCATAATCTCGGCTCACCACAACCTCCACTTCCCGGGTTCAAGCAATTCTCCTGCCTCAGCCTCCTGAGTAGCTGGGATTACAGGCGTGCACCACCATGCCCGGGTAATTTTTGTGTTTTTAGTAAAGACGAGGCTTCACCATATTGGTCAGGCTGGTCTCAAACTCCTGACCTCCTGACCTCCTGATTCGCCCACCTCAGCCTCCCAAAGTGGTGGGATTACAGGCGTGAGTCACCAGCCGGCCGTTATTGAAGAATTTTACTGCACCTATTGAGATAATCATGTGGTTTTTGTCATTGTTTCTGTTTATGTGATAGATTACATTTATTGATTTGCATATGTTAAGTGAGCTTTGCATCCCAGTGATGAAGGTGACTTGTTTGTGGTGGATAACTTCTTGATGTGCTGCTGGATTCGGTTTGCCAGTATTTTATTGAGGATATTCACATTAATGTTCTTCAGAGATATTAGCCTGAAGTTTTCTTTTTTTGTTGTGTCTCTGCCAGGTTTCGGTGTCAGGATGATGCTGGTCTCATAAAATGAGTAGGGAGGAGTCTCTTCTTTTCAATTATTTGGAATAGTTTCAGAAGAAATGGTACCAGTAGTATAGGAATTATTAAGAAATTATTTTAGGCAGTTAGCAAGGGTAAAAAAGTTCTCAGTGAATTTTTTCTTTAATAGAAAGCAGCGAAAAACCATTTCTTTTCTAACATAAAGCAGCCTGAAAAGTCAAGCTGCAAGCATAAATAAGCAAGCTGGAAGTTTGCATAGATGAATGTGGGCAGCTGTACTAAAAGCCAGGACCACCCAGTATGGCAATTCCCCCTTCCTTTTCTTTGTCCCCATGTATGCAGTTGTCGTGGAGCCGGCCAGGTAGAGGCCACATTTGCATAATAAAAGATTGGGATGGGAGGGCCAGTTTTTTTGCAGGCTGTGTAAATAGTACACTTGGGCAAACCAATCCTTCGAGCCCTATGTAAGTCAATCACCCCCTCCTCAAGCCTTTCTAAAAAATCAATTGCATCCTGTTCCAAACCTGGAAAAACTTCTTGGGCGCCCGCTTTCTCTGCATAAGGAAGCTGTCTTTCTCCTGCTCTTCTTTCTTTCATCTGTTAAACTTCCTGCTCTTAAAACCCCCTCCAAGGTTGTGTGTCCGTGTCATTAATCTTCTCAGCATGAGATAATCAACCCCGGGTATTTACCCTGGACAACGATGCTGCTTCACCAGCTCCTCTTTTTACCTCTGGTAGAATTCGGCTGTTAGTCCATCTGGTCCTGGGCTTTTTTTGTTGTTGTTTTGGTTGGTAGGCTATTTACTACTAAATTTTGGAACTTGATTGGTCTGTTCAAGGATTCGACTTCTTCCTGGTTTAGGCTTGGGAGGGTGTATGTGTCCAGAAATTGATCCATTTCTTCTAGATTTTTTAGTGTATTTGCGTAGAGGTGTTTATAATATTCTCTGTTAGTTTGTACTTTTGTGGGGTCACCGGTGATATCCCATTTATCATTTTTTATTGTGTCTATTTGATTCTTCTCTCTTTTCTTTTTTATTACTCTAGCTAGTGATGTTGTAGCAGGACAAGCGGCAGACAAAAGCCCTCAGACACCAAGTTAAAGAAGGAAGGGCTTTATTCAGCTGGGAGTTTCAGCAAGACTCACGTCTCCAACAACTGAGCTCCCCAGGTGAGCAATTCCTGTTCCTTTTGAGGGCTTACAGCTCTAAGGGAGTCTGCCTGAGAGGGTCATGATCAGTTGAGCAAGCAGGGGGTACATGACTGGGGGCTACATGCACAGGTAGTCAGAACAGAACAGAACAGGACAGGGATTTTCACAATGCTTTTCCATACAATGTCTGGAAACTATGGCTAACATAACTGGTTAGGTCAGGGGTCGATCTTTAACCAGGCCCAGGGCACGGCGCTGGGCTGTCTGCCTGTGGATTTCATTTCTGCCTTTTAGTTTTTACTTCTTCTTTCTTTGGAGGCAGAAATTGGGCATAAGACAATATGAGGGGTGGTCACCTCCTTTAGTGTATGTATTTTATTAATTTCTTAAAAAAAAAAAAAACAGATTCTGGGCCAGGCACGGTGGCTCATGCCTGTGATCCCAGCACTTTTGGAGGCCAAGGTGGGTGGATCACGAGGTCAGGAGTTTGAGACCAGCCTGACCAACATGGTGATACCCCATCTCTACTAAAAATATAAAAATTAGGGCTGGGCGCAGTGGCTCACGCCTGTAATCCCAGCACTTTGGGAAGCTGAGGCATGCAGATCACCTAAGGTCAGGAGTTCGAGACCAGCCTGACCAACATGGAGAAACCTCATCTCTACTAAAAACTCAAAATAAGCCAGGAGTGGTGGCACATGCCTGTAATCCCAGCTACTCGGGAGGCTGAATGAGGAGAATCGCTTGAACCTGGGAAGTGGAGGTTGCAGTGAGCCAAGATCACACCACTGCACTCCAGCCTGGGCAACAAGAACAAAATCCATCTCAGAAAAAAAAAAAAAGGCCAAGCATGGTGGCGCACTCCTGTAATTCCAGCTACTCAGGAGGCTGAGGCAGGAGAATTGATTAAACCTGGGAGGCAGAGGTTGCAGTGAGCCGAGATCTTGCCATTGCACTCCAGCCTGGGCAACAAGAGTGAGACTCCATCCCAAAACAAAAACAAAAACAAAACAAACAAACAAAAAAACCAGCTCCTGAATTTATTGATTTTTTGAAGAATTTTTCGTGTCTCTATCTCCTTCAGTTTTGCTCTGATCTTAATTATTTCTTGTCTTCTGTCAGCTTTTAAATTTGTTTGCTCTTGCATCTCTAGCTCTTTTAGTTGTAATGTTAGGGTGTTGATTTGAGATCTTTCTAGCTTTTCAATGTAAGCATTTAGTGCTATATATTTACCCCTTAACACTGCTGTAGCTGCATCCCAGAGATTCTAGTACATTGTCTTTTTGTTCTCATTGACTTCAAAGAACTTCTTGATTTCTGCCTTAATTTCATCATTTACCCAGAAGTCATTCAGAAGCAGGTTGTCCAATTTCCATGTAGTTGTGTGGTTTTGAGTGAGTTTCTTAATCTTGAGTTTTAATTTGATTGTACTGTGGTCTGAGAGACAGTATGATATAATTGTAGTTCTTTCGCATTTGCTGAAGAGTGTTTTACTTCCAATTATATGATCAATTTTAGAGTAAGTTCCATGTGGCACTGAGAAGAATGTATATTCTGTTGTTTTGGGGTGGAGAGTTCTGTAAATATCTATCAGTTTCACTTGGTCCGGAGCTGAGTTCCCGTACTGAATATATTTTTTGTTGTTGTTTTTTTTTGTTTTGAGATGGAGCCTTGCTCTGTCACCCAGGCTGGAGTGCAGTGGTGCAATCTTGGCTCACTGCAACCTCCACTTCCAGGATTCAAGCAATTCTCCTGCCTGAGCCTTCTGAGTAGCTGGGATTACAGGTGCACGCCACTATGCCTGGCTAATTTTTGTATTTTTAGTAGAGACGGGGTTTCACCATGTTGGTCAGGCTGGTCTTGAACTCCTGACCTCGTGATCCACCTGCCTTGGCCTCTCAAAGTGCTGGGATTACAGGTGTGAGCCACCACGCCCGTCCCCTGAATATCTTTATTAATTTTCTTTCTCATTGATCGGTCTAATATTGATAGTGGTGTGGTAATGTCTCCCAGTATTATTGTGTGGAAGTCTAAGTTTTTTTGTAGGTCTCCAAGAAATTGTTTTATGAATCTGGGTACTCCAGTATTGAGTGCATATATATTTAGGATAGTTAGGACTTCTTGTTGAATTGATTCCTTTACCATTATGTAATGCCCTTCTTTGCTTTTTTTGATCTTTGTTGGTTTAAAGCCTGTTTTGTAGGAAACTAGGATTGCAATCACTGCTTTTTTTCTGCTTTCCATTTGCTTGGTAAATTTTTCTTCATCTTTTTTATTTTGAGCATAAGTGTGTCTTTGCATGTGAAACGAGTCTAGGCCTTGTGGTGATGAATTCTCTCAGCATTTGCTTGTCTGAAAAGGATTTCATTACTCCTTTGCGTATGAGGCTTAGTTTGGCTGGATAAAAATTCTGGGTTGAAAATTATTTTATTCCAGAATGTTGAATATTGGCCCCCACTTTCTTCTGCTTGTAGCGTTTCTGCTGAGAGATCTGCTTTTAGTCTGATGGGCTTCCCTTTGTAAATGACCTGACCTTTCTCTCTGGCTGCCCTTAACATTTCTTTCTTCATTTCAACCTTGGAGAATCTGACGATTATGTGTCTTGGGGTTGATCTTCTCATAAAGTATCTTACTGAGGTTCTCTGTATTTTCTGAATTTGAATGTTGGCCTGTCTTGCTAGGTTGGGGAATTTCTCCTGGATGACCTCCTGAAGTGTGTTTTCCAACTTGGTTTCATTCTCCCTGTCTCTTTCAGGAACTCCAATCAGTCATAGGTTTGGTTTTTTTTTTTCTTTTGTAGATGGAGTTTCACTCTTGTTGCCCAGGCTGGAGTGCAATAGCGCAATCTCAGCTCACTGCAGCCTCTGCCTCCCGGGTTCAAGTGATTCTCCTGCCTCAGCCTCCCAAGTAGCTGGGACTACAGGCGTGTATCACCATACCCAGCTATTTTTTTTTTTTGGATTTTTAGTAGAGACAGGGTTTCACCATGTTGGTCAGGCTGGTCTCGAACTCCCAACCTTAGGTGATCTACCCGCCTCGGCCTCCCAAAGTGCTGGTATTACAGGCATGAGCCACTGCGCCCAGCCGGTTTGGTCTTTTTACATAGTCCCACAGTTCTCAAAGGTTTTGTTCATTACTTTTTATTCTTTTTTCTCTAATCTTGTCTGCCTGCCTTATTTCAGCAAGATAGTCTTTAAGCTCTGATATTCTTTCTTCTGCTTGATTGCTTTGGCTACTGATACCTGTGTATGCTTCACAAATTTCTCATGCTGTGTTTTCAGCTCCATTAGGTTATTTATGTTTCTCTCTAAACTGGTTATTGTAGTTAGCAACTCCTGTAATCTTTTACCATGGTTCTTAGCTTCTTTGCATTGGGTTAGAACATGCTTCTTTACCTCCTTGAAGTTTGTTATTACCCACCTTCTGAAGCCTACTTCTGTCAATTCATCAATCTTTTTCTCTATTCAGATTTGTGCCCTTTCTGGAGAGGTGTTGTGATCATTTGGAGAAGAGGCACTTTGGCCTTTTGTGTGTTCAGCATTTTTTGGTTGATTCTTTCTCATCTTCATGAGTTTGTCTGGTTTTGATCTTTGAGGCTGCTGACCCTTGGATGAAGTTTTTGTCAGGACTTTTTTTGTTGATGTTGTTGCTGTTACCTTCTGTTTGTTTTTCTTTCAATAGTCAGGTTCCTCTTCTGTAAGGCTGCTGTGGCTTGTTGGGGGTTCACTTCAGGCCTATTTATCCAGGTCACTCCTGCATCTGGAGATGCCCACAGAGGAGGCTGGAGAACAGCAAAGATAGGTGCCTCCTCCTTCCTTTGGGATTTCTGATCTCGAGGGACAGTGACCTAATGTCTGTAGGAACACTCCTGTATAAAGTATCTGGAGATTCCTATTGGGGGTCTCACACAGTTGAGAGCATGGGAACCAGGAACCATTTAAGGAAGAATTTTGGCTGTCCCTTGGTGGAGGGGGTGTGCCGTGCTGGAGGGAAACCCATTTGTCTGGGCTGCCTGGATTCTGCAGAGCTAGCAAGAGGAAAGACTAAGTTTGCTGGTCATTGGAGGCTATGGCAACTTTTCCCCCTAGGGGGTCAGAACCAGGAAGATCAGGGTTCTGTTCCTGAGCTCCTAGCTGGATTTGTTGGAGCTTCTGCAGGGAGGCCCCACTCAGTGAGAAGGGATGGATCAGGGTCTGGCCTAAAGAGGCAGTCTGGCCATTGTCTGCAAATTGGGACCAAGTTGTCTAGCCTCCCTGACTCCAACAGGGAAGTAGCATGGCCTGGAGCTATAGTGATGGCTGCCACCCTCCCCTACACCCCAGGGGCTTAGTGCCTTTGGTAGTTAGCAGCTGCAGGGATAGCTGCTGCCCCTCCACCAGGGAGTTCAGATGGCTTAGACTGCAGGCAGCCACAGTATGTAGCCCAGTCTGGTCTCAAACTCCTGGGCTTATATAATCCTCCCACCTTAGCCTCCCAAAATGCTGGAATTACAGGCATGAGCCATCACATCCACAGTGAGGTTTTATTTTTTATATCAAAATATAAAAAAGAGCATTGACATTCATTAATAGAATCCAAGAGAATATTATGCAAATTTAAAAAGTAATTTCAAAAGCAAATACTAAAATCGAAAGCAAATTAAAATAAATAAAAAATAACTAAATATTGTATAGATAATATGACCAGAAAGAGAAACATTTAATTTTCACGACTTTGAAGTGAAGTTTACCAATGGGATATTTTTAGTGGAGAAGATTCTATTTCCATAAGAAATTCAAAATGAGATAATTTCCAGGTTTTAAAAACTGATGCAAAACATATAAATATAGAAAGCCTCTAAGGTATGTAGTACTACTTGACATGAAAACTGGGCAAACTCAGCAAAAGGAAATTTTTTTTTTTGAGATGGAGTTTTGCTCTCGTCTCCCAGGCTGGAGTGCAGTGGAGTGATCTTGGCTCACTGCAACTTCCGCCTCCCGGGTTCAAGCAATTCTCCTGCCTCAGCCTCCCAAGTAGCTAGGATTACAGGTGCCCGCCACCACGCCCAGCTAATTTTTTGTATTTTTAGTAGAGATGGGATTTCACCGTGTTAGCCAGGATGGTCTCAAACTCCTGACCTCAGGTTATCCGCCTGCCTCAGCCTCCCAAAGTGCTGGGATTACAGGCATGAGTCACCACGCCCGGCAGCAAAAAGAAATTTAAAATTAATCTCAAGTGTCAGAATAGATACAGAAGTTCTAATAATATAATATTAAATGGAATCCAGAGTTTTATTAAAAAATAATATGTTGTATATTTATGTATTGTGTTATTAAACTGTAAATGTTATTAAAAATAGAAAATCTTTTTTTATTTAATTATGTAAAAGGTTAAAAAGTGAGCAGGGCATGGTGGCTCACACCTGTAATCCCAGCACTTTGGGAGGCTGAGGCAGGCGGATCACCTGAGGTCAAGAGTTCAAGATCAGCTTGGCCAACATTGTGAAACCCAGTCTCTACTAAAAATACAAAATTAGCTGGGCATGGTGGTGCATGCCTGTAATCACAGCTCCTCGGGAGGCTGAGGCAGGAGAATCACTTGAACCCGGGAGGCAGAGGTTGCAGTGAGCCGAGATCATGCCATTGCACTCCAGCGTGGGTGACAAGAGCAAGACTGTCTCCAAAAAAAAAAAAAAAAAAGTGGCTGGGCAAGGTGGCTCACGCCTGTAATCCCAGCACTTTGGGAGGCCAAAGCGGGCGGATCTTGAGGTCAGGAGATCGAGACCATCCTGGCTAACACGGCGAAACCCAGTCTCTACTAAAAATACAAAAAATTAGCCTGGCATGGCGGCGTGTGCCTGTAGTCCCAGCTGCTGGGGAGGCTGAGGCAGGAGAATGGCGTGAACCTGGGAGGCGGAGCTTGCAGTGAGCCGAGATTGCGGCACTGCACTCCAGCCTGGGTTGTGGCACTGCACTCCAGCCTGGGTGACAGAGCGAGACTCCATCTCAAAAAAAAAAAAAAAAAAAAAAGTGGCCATTCTCAGTAATTTTGAAAGCAGCATTGTCTAAACAGATGTGAATTTGCATCTACATTTATCTACACATAGATTTACATAGTATCTGTCTATGTGTTCTTCATCCATCCATTTATAGAATGTATAAAAAGGATGGATTTAAAATAGAGTGATTTAAAAAAGCATTTGAAATGTATTATCACAGTTAATTACATTGTCTAGATATTTATATGTTCACTCACAAAATATAAAATGAGATTATTTTATCAACCCTTCCAGATAATTTTTTTCATTTATTTTATTTATTATTTTTTTTTGAGATGGAGTCTCGCTCTGTCGCCCAGGCTGGAGTGCAGTGGTGGGATCTCGGCTCACTGCAAGCTCCGCCTCCCAGGTTCATGCCATTCTCGGGCCTCAGCCTCCCAAGTAGCTGGGACTACAGGCGCCCACCACCACGCCCGGCTACCAGATAATTTAATAAAATATTTTAAAACTATGTGACTAATATTATTAGCTGAAAATAGGAAAGAATATATTTATTTGCACAAATAATAAAAATGCTAAACTAAATGTAAAATATAAAAATATCCCTGAAAAAGGCAAATAATGTACACTATTTAAAAAATAACTGTGCTACAAGAGTTATGCAGCATACAGGAATCATACATAAATATCAACTATTTATATCTATTTTTTGAGACAGGATCTCAATGTATCACCCAGGCTGGAATTCTGTGGTTGATGGTGCCATGAGTAACCACACCTTACCTAACTATAGACATTTTAAATAATTTCAGTGTGAAATACTAAACATAATTCAAAATATATTTTCCTTATATGTAATGAGGCAAACAGTTTCAAGATCTAAATGATGAGTGAAAAAGAATTCCAACAACCTGCGGCATGATAATGCAAATAGCTCACGTGTACAGCGCTCTCACTGTGCCAGCCCATGTTTAGAAGCATATTAGATATTTTTGCGCATTAAATTATCATCAGAAATAACTCTTTCAGGTAAGTTTAATTATTCCCCATGTCGCAGACAAGGTGACTGAATGGAAAAATATTCAGGGACTTATCCAAGGTCACCCAGATAGGGAGTGGGTGAGCTAAGGTGTGCTCTGACCTCCTCTCTGCTTCCCTGGCACAGACAGTCCCATTGTTCATTGATTAAACAGCTCTCATTGAGCACCTGCCATGGGCCGAGCACTGTGCCTGGTACTGGGAACATAGTGGTGAACTAGACACAACTCCCAGGAGCAAACACTAAAGAAGTAAACAACAAACAGCAAGATTATTGCAGAGAATGACAAGTTGCTAAGACATGCTGCTGCTGTAAAAGATGGACGTGCATAGGGCTATTGGGGGTGGGTTCTAGTTGGAGGGAGGAGGGTGGAGCAAACCTCCCCAAGGAAGAGCTGAGCCCAGCCTGGAGGCTCCTGTCAGTGTGAGGATGTGGTTAGAGTCTGTCTCAGTTTCTTTCCATGCAGCCCCTAAAATCTTTGGAATGTCTGAAATGAGAAGTGTCTTTTCCATGTAGGCACTGATCCTCACATACATTAGAGAACAGAACTCTTGCTGTGCCCACGGCCAGGGAAAGGGGAACAATATCTCTCTACCTTGTGGATCCTAGAGCACCTTGTCCTGCCAGGACGCTCACCCTCACCCCCACAAGGTACAGATGGCAACCAGGGTGCCGCATACCACCCACTGGCTCGCCCAAAGGATGCTGAGTCCTGTAGGGACCGTGGGCCTGAATAATGTTTCCTAGTCATAGAGTCTTTCTGATTTTCTCACTCACTAGCCCTGTGCCTCAGTTTCCCTCACTGTGGCACAAAATCAACATCCCATTCCGCAGGCTAGGTGACCCAGAGAGGTCACCACAGCCCATTAAATGACTATAGCATGTGAAAGTGGGAAGTGAGAGTCCCTCCCTGCTCTGGGTCTTTTGCCCCAGGACAGATGTTTATCAGGCCAGCTGCCTGGGGAGGGCCACACCTCCTGACTTGGGAACATTGTTTCCAAATTGAGGTCACTACAGTTAAGGACTCCCAATGCATTGGGGTAGGCACAGGGGTGGGATGGGGTAAAGCAACATCGCATTACAAGAGCCTTGGATCGACCCTGGAGAGCGAGAATCAAATTTAGACTCCTGTCTGAAGCTGACCACCCTGAATAATTAGGATTTGGGGATACGACAAGGCTCTTGGTTCAGGAAACAAGATCTTCTGGTTCTGGACTCTGTAGCTGTCCTGGGGACTTGTTTCCAACTATGTGCTTTAATTGAACCTAAGGGGATGGGGCACTCGGAAGGAACTCTTAAGCCAAGGGTGAGAGGCCTGCCTTCTGCCTCCCAAACTCCCTCCCCAGTGGTGGACATTGGGCGGCAAAATTTCTTTACAAAGAAAAAAAAAATATCCAGAGACCAGGAAGGCTAATAAATGCTTACCAGGATTATCCAGCCTAATCATCACAACAGTCCTGCCATATTCGTCCTCTGGGACAGGTGAGGAAACTGAGGTTGGAGGAGGACACCGGGAGCCTGGTCGGGCCACTGGAAGCCTGGAGCCCCAGAGTTCCCGGCATTCACCGCCCTCCAACCCCCTCTCTCCCTCCCGGCCCCGGGAAGCTTCATTCCCAGCTCATTCACTTGTCAATCACTCAGACTCGCTGGGCCTCCAGCCCTCCCTGAAGCCCTCGCACTCATCAGGTGACGGCCTCCCTCTGTGTGGCTGCCAGGCTGGGGATGGGGGTGTCTGTGCTTCCCTTGCCCAAGCCGAGAGTGGCCTGTTCCCAGGGGGCAGGCTTCCTCCTTGGTTGGCAGCCAGGAGTCTGGAGCGCAGGTGCCGGGCAGGCAGCACTGGGAGCGCTCGGCGACTTAGCTGGAGGCCTAAGGAGCCACCCCTCACGGACCAGAGCGCCTTTGCAAGGTGGGCTCGCCGCACACTCTGCTCCTCTTCTGTGGCCCCGGGGCCCCTCCTAGAACACCCTCCTCATCTCGGGGGACCTTGACCGCCAGCAGCCCCACACCTGCTACCTCTGCCTGGCGTTGGGTGCGCACCTCTAGGGACAGATGGATCCCTTAGCCCAGCGGGCTTGACAGCAGGGTGGGGGCAGTGGGGGCTCCAGAGAGTGTCACCGCCTTATGCTGGCCACCGCCGGGCAGGGGCTGGGCTCAGCTGACACCCTACATCCGCCCTCCAGATTCCAGTGTCTGACTTCGGCGAATCTGGACCGGACGCGTGGTCTGGGGCCTGGACTGTGGACGCCCATGGGCCGGGCTCCCCGCGGGGACCTCGCACTTGGGTGGGGACCCTGCGGCTCCAGGCGCCACACACATCAGTGCGCCCGCTCTGGCTGTGAATTTCGGGGAGGGGCGGCAGCAGAGCACGTGGGCTGGCTGGGTGGGGACGATCACCCGCCAGCGCCTTTTCCCACCCGGGCGCCCTTTCCAGTCCCCGCGTCGCCTGCAGGGCCGCCCCTCCTCCGCCCGCTGGTTCCTCCCCACTCGCCGCTCTCCAGCCCCGCGCGGCTCTGTGGCCCGGGCTCCAAGGCGGGGGCCGCCCACGACGGCCACCGGCAGGGACAGCGGGGGCAAATTTCCCAGAGCGGTAAGCCGGCCCCAGCCAGCCCCACGGCAGGGATGGCTTCGAATCCGAGCCCCCGACACCCCGGCCCCGTCCGCCCAGCCCGCACCCTGCGTGGCTCGCTGCCCGCCCGTCCCGCACCCGCTCGGTCACTCGGGCTGGGGCCCCCTGCAGGGTGGGCGCGACCCAGCGCCGCCGCACGGAGCCTGAACCCAAACCCCAAACCCGGACCGCAGGATCCCCGCCCTCTAGGAACCAGGACGGGCCCTCCTAGCGGGTATTTGGGGACCTGGGTGTGTATCTGTGGAAACAATTGGTCAAAAGTGGCTTTTTGTTTTCCCAAAGGTAAAGGCTCCTTTGTAATTATGTATTTTCTTCTTATTTACTTAAAACTGATAGAATCTCATCATTTAGATGAATCCATAATTGTGTCAGTGAATTTGAGTACACTTTTTAAAGTTTTTCTCAGTTTAATTAGTCCTTTTTTTTGTTTCTAGTTTAAGAAGAATTTTAAATTCTACCTAAAATTAGTAAAGTGAACTCCAAAATATCTGAGATAGGTCTCAATTTAGAAAATTTATTTTGCCAAGATTAAGGGCACACCTGTGACACAGCCTCAGGAGGTGGTGACAATGCGTGCCCAAGGTGATTGGGGCACAGCTTGATTTTATGCTTTTTTTTTTTTTTGAGACGGAGTTTCGCCCTTGTTGCCCAGGCTGGAGCGCAGTGGTGCAATCTCTGCTCACCGCAACATTTGCCTCCCGGGTTCAAGCAATTCTCCTGCCTCAGCCTCCTGGGTAGCTGGGACTACAGGCGCCCGCCACCACGCCCAGCTAATTTTTTGTATTTTTAGTAGAGACAGGGTTTCACCGTGTTAGCCAGGAGGGTCTCGATCTCCTGACCTCGTGATCCGCCTGCCTCGGCCTCCCAAAGTGCTGGGATTACAGGCGTGAGCCACCGTGCCCAGCCCTGATTTTATACATTTTAGGAGACAGGAAACATCAATCAATATATGGAAGATGTACATCGTCCAAGAAGGTGGGAGAACTCGAAGCAGGGCAGGAGCTTCCAGGTCATAGGTAGATAAAGGACTAATGGTTGGTTGCAATTTTTCTGAGATTCTGATTAGCCTTTTACAGGGGTATTTCCAGGTCTGTCTCTCCTAAGCTTGCCCAAGAGAAACTTGACACCAAGGTTGTATAATTTTAATCTGTTTTTGCCAAATTTTTGTCTATTTCATAACTTACAATAACAGGTAATTTAACCAAAACCCTTATGGTTTTCTAGCACAATTATATTATAAGCTACATATGTATTCTTAGCAAGGTAAAAGCAATAGAAATGATGATGATAAAATAACAACTTTTCTGTGCATGAATAGCCCTTCAGCTGGTGACATCACACAGCCCACTGTTGAGGTTCCGAGTCCTACACCCACATGCAATCAAAAGATGGAAAATCGACTTGCACACATGGATCTGGTTTACAGGCTGGTTGTTGACTCTCACACCGTGATTCAGCAAACCTGTAAGGCTGTGACTTTACTAAGAAGACAAAGTTTGCAGGAGGAATAGAGGCTTTGATGCAGTCCACTGCTGAGATTGTGACTTATGTACTTAGACTCAACATTCAGGAGGTGTTGACTCTTATACCTAGAACTGGGACATGTGTGAAATTATTATTATTTTCCTTTTTTTTTTGAGATGGAGTCTTGCTCTGTCAACCAGGCTGGAGTACAGTGGCGTGATCTTGGCTCACTTCAATCTTCACCTCCTGGGTTCAAGTGATTCTCCTTTCTCAGCCTCCACAGTAACTGGGATTACAGGCATGCATCACAACGTCCAGCTAATTTTTGTATTTTTAGTGGAGACAAGGTTTCATCATGTTGGCCAGGCTGGTCTTGAACTCTTGACCTCAGGTGATCTGCCTGCCTCAGCCTCCCAAAGTGCTGGGATTACGGGTGTGAGCCACTGCGCTTGGCCATGTGTGGAATTATTAGTCTCACCCCTGGATCTTATTGCAGATGTTATTGTGACATATGCCTCTCCCAGCACCTGAGTGATTTGACTCTCTTGTGAGGTCTTAGCTGACAGATTGGATTGTGGCATATCACCTAGGTGATATGACACTATTCGCCTGCCTTGGCACTACCTACTTGGGGCTTTGTGACATATGTCTGTGCTCATAACTAAGATGATGTGATTCTCTTCTCTTACCTGGTCTCTGCTCACATGGGAGATAATGACATATTGCTGGGACCAATACCAAAGTGACATTACTCTTTTACCTTGACCTTCTTCTCAGAAAACATTGGGACATATTGTTGGGCCCACCACCAACATGATGTGAGTCTTCTGTGTGGTCTCTGACCACAGAGATCATCGTGACATATCTCTGAAAGTTCAAAACTATTTGAAGCGATTATCTTGTTATGCCTGCTCTTTGCCCATAGGAGAGAATGTAACATTTCTGTGGGCCCAGCACCTAGTTGATATAAGTGTGCCTGGCCCATGCCTACAAAAGAAAGACTGACTTATCCATGGGTCCAGCACACAGGTGATTCCATTCTACTGCCTTGATTATTGCCCACAAGAATCACTGTTACATATTTTTGGGCTCTCCTCCTAGGTGATGTGAGACTCTTTTCCTTCCCTGGTCCCATCCACAAAGGAGATTGTGACATATCACTTGACCCAGCACCTACGTGATCTGTCTCTCATCTGATGCCTTGGCCCTTCCCACTGGGCTGATCATGACATATAGCTGGGCACAGCTACTAGGTTATGTGACTCTTCTCTTCCTGAGTCCTGCCCACAGGGAGCATTGTGACCTATCTCTAAACACTTCACCTAGATAATGGGACTCTTTCATCTGGGCCCTCCCCAAAGAGGCTATTGTGACATGTTTGGATCAAGCACCTAGGAAATATTACTGTTCTCTCCTACCTGTTACCTGTTACTGGTAGTGAATCCGTATGGGTACAGGTCTGCAGCAACCTCAATTCTTGCCTCCTCAGAAGAAAAAAACTCAACTGAGGGGCATAAGGCAGAAGGAGAGACCAAGGCAAGTAATAGAGCAGGAGTGAAAGTTTATTAGAACAGGAACAAAAGGAAAAAATGTACACTTGGAAGAGGACCAAGTGGATGACTTAAAAGGCAAGTGCACAGTTTGACCTTTGGAGCTGGGGTTTTGTATGTTGGCATACTTCTGGAGTCTTGAATTACTTCTCCCCATTCACCCAACTCCTGAGATCTTATTGGGAAGCTGCTGATCACCAGTTTCAGCTGTTTTCTATCTATTAAGAGACTGCCTTTCACTAGTGCCAGCTGTGCTGTAACCAATTATTACTTTAGAGGGACAGCTAACAACTGCCTCACCTGACCATCACCTGATCATTGACTGACTCTCCTGGTGTGTGTGTGGGGCCCTCACTTGCCCTGTTCATACCTGACTAGCTACCTACTGTAACGCTGCATGCATTGTGTATTGTGACATATAACAGGGCCCAATATCTAGGTGAGGTGACTCTACTGCAAGGGCCCTGCCCAACAGGGGTATTATGATATATTTTTACATTCACGATTTAGGCGATTTGCCTTTCTCTTTCTGCCAGACCCCTGCCAAAATATGGATGGTGACATATCACTGGGCCTAATGCCTAGGTAATGTGACTTCTGTCTTTTGAATGGGCCCCACATATTCTGAGTACCATGACATATCACTGGGCCAAACATCTAGAAGATGGGAGGTGCCGACCTGTGTACTGTAAACAGAACTTTAGCCCTACCACTCTCAAGAGCCTCGTGACATATCTCTGCATTTGTCACCTAGGAGATGTGACTCTCCCCTGCTGCCTTCACCCTGCTCACAGGGAAGGTTGTGATATAACATTGACCCAGCAACAGGATGATGTGTTTCCTTTTCCTAGGCCTTGCTCACAGGGACCATTGTGACATATCACTGGGCCCAGCACCCAGGTGCTGTGACTCTGCTGCCTGTGCCCTGCCTGTGTCCTGCTTTCAGAATAGGATTGTAACATAGACCTGGCTGAGTACCCAGGTGATGTGACTCTTCTCTCTGGTTCCTGCCGTCAGAGAAGATTGCGATATATCCCTGGCCTAGCATCAAAATGATGTGACTCTCCTGTCACTCTCTATCCACAGGTAGGATTGTGAAGTATATCTTCGTTCAACTCATCAGTGAGATAGTAACTTTCATACCTCAAACCAACCAATAGGAGAGACACTATCTTTTGAAGCTAGGCTTTGGGAAATAGATAAGATCCCATTTCTCCTCTCTGTATGAAGATCACAGTGGATGTCTGCTGTCTTATATATCACATCAGCCCCTCATGTGTTACAGAGGGTGTCATCACAGGGCCCAGCACACAGGTGACATGGCATTTCTTATTTTTTGAGACGGAGTCCCTCTCTGTCCCCCAGGCTGGAGTGCAGTGGCACAATATTGGTGCTCACTACAACCTCCGCCTCCCGGATTCAAGCAGTTCTCTTGTCTCAGCCTTCCCAATAGCTGAGACTACAGGTGCCCGCCACCACGCTTGGCTAATTTTTTGTATTTTTAGTAGAGACGGAGTTTCACCGTGTTAGCCAGAATGGTCTCGATCCCTGACCTCGTGATCCACCTGCCTCAGCCTCCTAAAGTGCTGGGATTACAGGTGTGAGCCACCTCACCCGGCCAACATGACATTTCTTGTGTGCACACCCTGTCATCCATCAGGATTGTCACCCTCACGCATGAACAGAGCCTACTGGTAAGGTCTTGAATTTCACACGTGAATGCAGTCTACAGTTGAAATTGTGATTGTCATATGTGAACATCCAGCTGCAATTGGCATGGTGATTTTCAACCTAGCTCCTAGGCAGGTGAGGACTCTTTTATCTGGAACCAGCCCATTATAGAGATGTTGACTCTCACAACTGAGCTTAGTTCCACAGGTACAATCATGGGTCCATACCATCATGAAGGTCATAGAGCAGTTTGTAACTCTCACTAATACTGCAGAAAGCTCTCGGGTGGTACTGGGTCTTAAAGAACCTAGCGCACAGGTGAGATTGTGACACTCATATGCAAACCCAGTCAACAGTAAAAATTGTCCTCTTTTGACATGAACACAGCCCACTGTTGAGGTCCCAAGTCTCCCTCATGAAAACAGTTTAAAGGTACGAAATTGACTCTTATATGTAGATTCAGTTCACAGGTGGGTTGGTGATGCTCAGACCAATATTCAGCACACCTGTGAGTCTGTGACTCCAGTAAGCATCCACAGTCTGTAGGAGAAACTGAGGCCCTCGTAAACGAATCAAGTGCACCATTGAGACTGTGACTCTTGTACTTAGACTCAACATATAGAAGGTGTTTTTTTTGTTTGTTTGTTTGTTTTTGTTTTGTTTTGTTTTTGTGACAGAGTCTCACTTTGTCACCCAGGCTGGAGTACGGTGTCATGATCTTGGCTGACTGCAACCTCCACCTCCTGGGTTCAAGCGATTCTCTTGCCTCAGCCTCCCAAGTAGCTGGGATTACAGGCACCCGCCACCATGCCTGGCTAATTTTTGTATTTTTAGTAGAGACGGAGTTTCACCATGTTGGCCAGACTGGTGGAGGTGTTGACTCTCAAATTTAGAAATGGGACATGTGTAAGATTGTTAATCTAATCTCCAAATTGTCTTGCAGGTGTTATTGTGACATATGTCTCTGCTTAGTACTTGAGTGATTTGACTCTCCTGCCTGGGCCCAGTCCATAGATGCAAGTGTGACATATGGCAGAACCCAGCACTTAGGAGTTGTGACTCCATACTCCTGCCTTTGTGCTGCCCCTAGGGTTGGAGGGGGGAGGATTGCAACTTATCACTGGGCCTTGCATCCAAGTAATGTAAGTCTTTCTTTTCTTGGCAATGCCTACAGGGGACACTGATATATTCCTGGGTCCCAAACCCAGTTTATGTTATTCTCCTATTTGTTCCCTGCTCACATGGCCCATTTCTACTAAAAATACAAAAATTAGTCAGGCATTGTGGCGGGTGTCTGTAATCACAGCTGCTTGGGAGGCTGAGGCAGGAGAATTGCTTGAATCCAGGAGGTGGGTGTTGCAGTGAGCCAAGATTGAGCCACTGCACTCCCGCCTGGATGACAGAGTGAGACTCCGTCTCAAAAACAAACAAACAAACAAAAAAACTGACTATCATATGTGAGCATCTGGTCAAATTTGGGGTAGCAAAACTTTTTTGTTTTTTTTTTTGAGATGGAGTGTTGCTCTGTTGCTCATGCTGGAGTGCAGTGGCTTGATCTTGGCTCACCACAACCTCCAGCTCCCAGGTTCAAGCGATTCTCCTACCTCAGCCACCCGAGTAGCTGGGACTACAGGCGTGTGCCACCAAGCCCGGCTAATTTTTGTATTTTTAGTAGAGATGGGGTTTCACTATGTTGGCCAGTCTGGTCTTGTGATCTTATGATCTTATGATCCGCCCACCTCGGCCTCCCAAAGTGCTGGGATTATAGGTGTAAGCCACCACGCCCGGCCAGCAAAACATTTTTAAATGAAGCTCATAGGAAGATGAAGGCTCTTGTATCTGGATTCAGAAAATTGAAAAGATGTTGACTCATATCTGGGCTTAATTACCTTAGATGCACTCATAGGTTTATACCAGCATGAAAGTCTCAGACTCGATTGTAACTCTCATTCAAACTGTATAAAGCCCTAGGATAGTACAAAGAGTGACGTAATAGGGCCAAGCACACAGGTGAGATTATCACACTCATGTGCACACCCTGCCAACAGTAAAGACTGTCATTCTCCCATATGAACATGGCCCACTGTTGAGACTTTGAACCTCACACACAAAGACAGCTGAAAGTTGGAAAATTGAATTACATATGTGGTTCTGGTCCACAGATGTTTTGTTGACTCTCAAAGCAAGATTCAGGACACCTGTGAGCCTCTGACTCCACTAGGGGAACACAATTCACAGGAGAGATTGAGGCTTTCAAATACAGATCCAGACCACCTTTGAGATGGTGACTCATGTAATTAGACACAACATACAGCAGGTATTGACTCTCATACCTAGAACCAGGACATGTGTGGGATTCTTAATCTCATCCCTAGACCTTCTTGCACATGTGATTGTGACATATGCCTCTTCCCAGCACCTGAGTGATTTAACCTTTCTGCCTGGGCCCTACAGATGGAATTGTGGCATATCACTGAACTCATACCTAGGTGACGTGAGCCTATACTTTTGCCTTAGCACTTTTCACAGACAGCATAGTGACATATCACTGGCCCTAGAACCCAGGTGAAGTGACTTTCCTCTATTGCTTGGTCTCTGCCCAAGAACAGATTGTGATATGTCACTGGGCCTATCACCTAGGTGATATGATTTTTCTCTCCTACCTGGACCCAACACTTTCATAATGCAAATCTCCTGCTTGGGCTCGCCTACAGAGGTATTATAATATATCTGTTCATTTATCACCTAGGGGATGTGACTCTCCTTTTCTGCCTGAACCCTGCTGAAAGGGAGAATTCTGACATATCACTGGGCCCAGAATCTAGGTTATGCTACTTTTCTGTTTTTCCTGGGCCCCACATATTTTAGGTATTGTTACATATTGCTAGGTGTCATTCCTTTGGGCTGGGATGCTCTGGCTTGCCCACAAGGGGCCTTGTAAAATATTTCTGTATCTGACACCTAAGATATGTGAGTTTCCTCTTTTGCCTGCATCCTGTCCACAGAAAATGTTGTGATATATCACTGGACCCAGGCACCAGGTGATGTGTCTGTCCTGCCAAGGCTGTGCCCAGAGGGAGCATTGTGACATATCACTGAGTTCAGCACCCAGGTGATATGGCTTTGCTGCCTGTGCTCTGCTTTCAGGAGGGGATTGTACTATATCTGTGGCTGAGTACCTAGGTGATATGACTCCCGCGTGGTTTCTGCCCTCAGGGAAGATTTTGACATACCCTTGCCAAAAACCTACTTGATGTGACTTTCCTGGTTGCTCCCTAGCCACAGGTAGAATTGTGACATATATTTTGGCCAGCTACCAGGTGCATTGGTTACCTCATACCTCAAACCAGCTAATAGAAGAGACACTACCTCCGATAGCTAGACTTAGGAAAATGAGTAAGATCATGGGTCTCCTCTTTGTGTAAAGGCCATAAAGGATTACTGTTCTTTTACATATCATATAAAGCCCTTGAGGGGTACAGAAAATGTCATCACAGGGCACAATAAAAGTGAGATTGTGTTTCTTGTATGTGAATCCCATCAACTGTTAAGACTGTCACCCTGACACAAGGACAGAGCCCATTGGAGAGGTCCTGAATTTCACACGTTGACACAGCCCACAGTTCAGATTGTGACTGTCATATGTGAACACCCAGCTACAATTGGGATGGTGATGTATTTCTAATTCTGGCAGGTTAAATCTCTTCTATCTGGACATATCCAACTGGAGAGATGTTGACTCTCATTACTGGGCTTGGGGCCACAGGAAGGATCATGGGTCTATATGAGCACAAATGTCTCAGAGCATATTGTGACTTTAATGTATATTGTAGAAAGCCCTTTGGTGGTACAGAGGGTGTCCTAACAGAGCACAGCACGCAGGTGAGATTGTGACACTCATATATACACCAAGCTGACAGTAAATATTGTCATTCTTCTGGATAAACACAGGCCACTGTTTAGGTTCTG
Source organism: Homo sapiens (assembly GCF_000001405.40). NCBI lineage: Eukaryota > Metazoa > Chordata > Mammalia > Primates > Hominidae > Homo > Homo sapiens. The sequence continues at coordinate 22,816,291 of NC_000019.10, forward strand.
GATCTCACACCCAAAGTAAGTTGAAATTGAAAAATTGATGCATAAATGGATTCAGTTCACAGATGGGTTGGTGACTCTCAGACCAAGATCCAGCATATCTATGAGGCATTGACTTCACTAAAGGGACACTGTCTGCAGGAGGGATTAAGGCTTTTATGAACAGATTCAGTAAACTGTTGAGATTGTGGGTTATAAACTTAGACCCAACATACAGGAGGTGGCGCCTCTTATACCTAAAACCAAGAAGTGCAGGATTGTTAATCTCTTCTCTGGACCTTCCTGCAGCTGTGATTGTGACGTATACCTCAGCCTAGCACTTGAGCAGATTTACTGTCCTGCCTGGGCTCAGCCCACAGATTGGATAGTGACATCTTGCTGCATCCAGCATTTAGTCAATGCGAATCTACACTCTTGTCTTGGTTCTGACCATAGAGAGAATTTTGACATATCACTGCTCCTTGCACATAGGCTATGTGACTGTCCTGCCTGTGTTTTGCCCACATGGGCCATTGTAACATATTGCTGAGTCCAGCACCCAGGTGATATGATCCTCCAGCCTTTCCTCTGCCTACACAAGATAGTGTGACATATCTTTGGGTCCCTCACATGGGTGATGTGACTCTCCTGCCTCACCCTTGTTTCAAGGGATATTGTGACATAACTGCTGTAACCAGCACCTAGGTGATGCGGCTATTTTCCACTGCTTGGGCTGTGCCCAATGAGGAATTGTGAAGTGTCTCTCTGCCCAGTACCTAGGTAATTTGACTCTCCTCTTTTTCCTGGGCACTGCATACATTGCGTATTTGAAAATATGGCTGAATCCAACAGCTAGGTGATGCAACTATCTTACAAAGGCCCTGCCTAGAGATGTATTACGATGCATTTTTTATTTATTACTTAGGTGATGTGACTATCTTCTTCTGCCTTGGCCCTGCCTAATTTGAGAATTGTGAAATATCACTGGACCCGGCACCTAAGTTATGTAATTCTCTTCTATTGCCTGGGCCCTACATATTTTGGGTATTGTGACATATCACTGCACCAAACACCAAAGAGATAAGAAGCTCCTGCCTAGGCTATGCCTACAGCAGCCCTTGTGACATATTTCTGAATTCATTATGTATGAGATGTGACTCTCCTCTTCCGCTTGCACTCTTTCTATAGAAAGATTATGACATATCACTGGGCCCAGCAATTAGGTGAGGTGTCTGTCCTGCTTGGACCTTGCCCACTGGGAGCACTGTGACATATTGCTGGGCCCAGCACTGAGGTGATGTGACTCCTTTCTGGACCCTGCCTTTAGGAAGAATTGTGACATATCGCTAGCCCAAAACCAAAGTGATGAAACTTTCTTGCTTACTCTATAACCACAGGTAGGATTGTGACATGTATCTTTGCCCAGCTCATAGGTATGATTATGATTGATACGTTGAATTAGCCAATAGAAGAAATGCTATCTCTCACAGAAAGGCTTAAGGGAAATGAATAAATCCTTAGGTCTCTTCTTTATACAAAGGTTGTAGGTGAGTACCACTGTCTCACATGTCATATAACGCCTTTGGGTGGCATACAGTGTCATCACAGGGCCCAGCACACAGGTGAGATTGTGTTTTTCATGTGCACACTGTGCCAACCATTAGGATTGATACTCTCATGAATAAACAGAGCACACTTCTGAGGTTCTGAATCTCACACTCAGATGCAGTTCAAAGTTGGAACTGTGACGGTCATATGTAAATATCCAGCCACAGTTGAGATGGTTATTCATTTCTAAACCTAGCTAATAGGCAGGGGAGAACTCTTCTATGTAAACCCAGTTACTTGGAGAGATGATGACTCTCATACCTGGGCTTAATTTCACAGGTACAGTCATTGGTCCATAGCAGCATAAAGGTCTCAGAGTGGAATGCCACTCTTAGGTATATCATATAAATTCATCAGGTGGTACACAGATTGCTCTAACAAGGCCCAGCACGCAGGTGAAATTGTGACACACATATTCACACACAGATGACACTAAAAATTGTCATCCTTCCACATGAATACAGCCCTCAGTTGAGGTTCTAAACCTCACACCCAGAAGAACTCACAAATTGAATAATTGACTCTCATACATGGATCCAGTCCACAGGTGTGTTGATGACTAAGACCAAGATAGACACACCTTAGAGGCTGCAACTTCACCAAGGGGACACAGTTTGCAGGAGGGATTGAGTCTCCCATGCAAGGGTCCAGTCTACAATTGAGATTGTGACTCATGTACTTTTATCTGACATACAGGAGATGTTGATTCTCATATCTAAATCCAGGACATTTGGGAGACTGTTAGTCATATCTATGGACTTTCTTGCAGGTGTAATTGTGGCATATGTTTCTGCCCAGTACCTGAGTGATTTTACTTTCCTGTATGACCCAAGCCCACAGATGTGATTGTTACATACCAGTGGACCCAGCACCTAGGTGATGCAATTATATTTTTCTCCCTTGGTGCTGTTTGCAGTGGGGCTTTGTGATGTATCACTGAACCCAGCACCCAGGTTATGAGACTCTTCTGCCTGTGCCCTGCCCAGATATGCCATTGTGCTATATTGCTGCATCCAACACTATGGTCATGTAACCCACTTGCCTGGGCTCTGCCTACAGAGGGAATTGTGACATATCTCTGCACCTATTACTCAGGTGATGTGACTCTTCTCCTGCATAGTCCCTGCTCATCAGAGGGATTTTGACTAATTCTTAGGCCCAGCACCTAGCTGATATGATTCTTCTTTCTAGGTCCTGCCTGTAGGGGAGATAGTGACATATCACTAGGCTCAACAGCAAGGTGATGTTTTTCTTCTGCTTTGGCCCTGCCCTCAAAAGTCATTGTGATGTATTGCTGAGTCCAGCACCAAGGTGATGCCCAGTTCTTGCCTGAATCCTGCCCACAGGAGGCAATGTGACTTATCTCTGTGTCCATCAACAATTTGATGTAACTTTACTCTTTTGCCTGGGCTTTTAGCATAGGAGAGATTGTGATATATCTCCATGACCTAGGTTACATGACTGTCCTCTTCTGCCTGGGCCATGCCCACAAAAGGGAGAGTGACTTTTCACTGGGCCCAGCACATAGGTGATGTAATTCTTCCTCCTGGTCACTGCTCACAGGGTTTATTATGACATATCTTTAGGCCCATCACCTAGGTGATATGACTATAGTTTTCTTCCTAGGACCTTTTGACAGGACTGTGATATGTCACTTGGCCCAGCACCTATGTGATGTGACTGCTCTCATAACTGACCCCTGCCATCTAGGGTGATTTTGACATACAGCTGATCCCAGTTTTTAAATTATGGCACTCTTTTTTACTTTGTGAGTCCTGACCACAGAAAGCATTGCAACATATCTCTTGGCCTCTGACGTACAATATGTAACTATCCTGCCTAAAACCTATTTTCAGGGGGTGTTGTAACATATTGCTGAACCCACCATCTAGGTGATGTGACTGTCCCATACTGGATGGGCTCTGAGCAAAATGGGACTGTGATGTATCACTAGGGTCAGCACCTAAGTGAAGTGATTCTCCTCTTTTTCCCAGGCCCTGCATACATTGTGTATTGTGACATATGTGTGGGTCAAACACCTAGGTGATTTGACTCTTCTGCCTGGAGCTTTCATACAGCATACTATGACATGTCTTTTCATTTATTACCTGTGTTATGTGACTCTCCTTTTCTGCCTGGGCCATGCCAAAAGGGGGGATTGTAACATATCACTGGACCAAGCACCCAGGTGATGTGACTCTCCTATTTTATCCAGCCCCCACATATTTTTAGTATTCTGATACATGGCTGGGCCCAACACCTAGGGGTTGGAAATCTCCTTTCTCTGCCATGCTCACAGTGGACCTCATGACATATCTCTGCACGTGTCACTTAAAAGATGTGACCCTTTTCTGCCTGCACGCTGCCCATAGGAAAAATTGTGAAATACTCATGGGCCCCCAAACCAGGTGGTGTGTCTCTCCTGCCTAGGCCTTGTTCACAGGGAGAATTGTGACATATCACTGGACTCAGCACCCAAGTGATTTGACTCTGCTGCCTGTGCCCTGCTTTCATTAGAGGATATTCACATATCCCTGGCAGAAAACCAGATGATGTGACTCTTCTTCCGGGTCCCTTCTCTCAGAGAATATTATAATATATTCCTGACTCAAGACCCAGGTAATGTGACTCTCCTGCTTCCTTCCTATCCACAGGTGGGATTGTGACATATGTCTTTGTTCAGATCATAGATGCAATAATGACTCTAATACCTCAAACCATCCAATAAGAGATATACTGTCTCTTCTAGCTAGGTTTAGAGAAACAGGTAAGATCCTGGGTCTCCTGTTTGCATAAAAATAATATCAAATTACCACTCTCTTGCTTATGGTATAAAGCAGTTTGATGGGACAGAAAGTGTCATCATATGGTCCAGCACGGCACACACGTGATACGGTGTTTCTCATATGCACACCCTGTGAACCATTAGAACTGTCACCCTTACATATGAACAGAGCCCACTTTTGAGAACACAGGTAAAACTGTGACTCTCCTATGCACACTCAGCCAACAGTAAACATTGTCACCCTCCTAAATGGAAACCATCCACTGTTGAGGCTGTGAATCTCCCACGTGGAGGTAGTCAAAAGTTGGAATTGTGACTCTCATACATGGATCTTGTCCATAGGTAGAATGGTAACTCAATGAACAGGATTCAGCACAGCTGTGAGGCTGTGATTCAGATATTGAGACTCAGTTTGCATTTGAAATTGTGTCTTCACGCAGGAATACAGTCCACCATTAAGACGGTGACTCATGTACTTGGACCAAACATAAAGAAGGTCTTGACTTTCATACCTGGAGCCAGAAAATGTATGGAATTTTGAATCTCATTTCTGGACCTGCTTGCAGGCGTGATTGTGACATATACCTTGGTCCAGCACCTGAGTGATTTGACTATCCTGCCTGGGTAAAGCCTCAAAATGGAATTGTGACACATGCCTGGTGCAAGCATCTAAGGTATTTTACTCTCCTGCGTAGACCCTGTCCTCAGGGAGAATTGTGACATCCTGCTGGACCCATCGCCTAGGTTATATATTCTCTCCTGCCTGGGCCCTTTACACAGGGTGGATTGTGACATATTGCTGTGTCCTGCATGCAGATAATGTGACTTTCCTGCCTGAACCCTGCCCACAGAAGGCACTGTGAAATACTCCTGGGCCCAGTACCCAGGTTATGTGACTTTACTGCCACAGCCCTGCCCACAGAGTGGACATTGACGTATTTTTGGTCCAGCATTCAGGTGATCTGAATCTCTTGCCTGCTCCATTCACACAGCTTAAATTTAGACATATGTATTTTCAAGCTCTTAGACATTATAGTCAAGCTTATATGGGAACCCAGCCAATAAGAGTAATTTTGACTCTCTTAGCTAGATTTTGGACAGTGGGTAGAGTCCTGGATCACCTACGTTTAGAAAGGTCACAGAGGTTTATAAAATTTATGCATAATTGGCCAGGTGCAGTGGCTCATGCCTGTAATCCCAGTCCTCTGGGGGGCCAAGGCGGGTGGATCACCTGAGGTCAGGAGTTCAAGACCAGCCTGCCCAATATGGTGAAACCCCATCTCTACTAAAAATACAAAAAATTAGCCAGTTGTGGTGGTGTGCGTCTGTAATCCCAGCTACTCAGGAGGCTGAGGCAGGAGAATCACTTGAACCCGGGTGGCAGAGGTTGCAGTGAGCTGATATCATGCCATCGTACTCCAGTCTGGGTGACAAGAGCGAGACTCCATCTCAAAAAAAATTATGCATACTTTAGAAATACTTTGTGTGCTACAGAGAATGTAATAATAGGGTCTACCACACAGGTAAGATTGTGACTTCTCACAGGCATACCAAGCCAACAATTAGGATTGTCACTTCCAAACATGAAAGAAGCACACTGGTGATGTCCTGAACCTCACATGCAGATGCAGTTCACAGTTAAAATTCTGACTGTCATATGTAAATCTGGGAACAGGTTGAATAGTGACTGATTTCTGGACCCAGCTCAGAGGCACAGTGATTAGTTGCATTACCTGGACCTAGCCAATAGGAGATATGTTGACTCTTATAGGTAGCCTTCAAGCAATGGGCAAGGTCCTGGGCTTTCTACTTGTATGAAGGTCACAGAAGATTGTAAAACTCATGCATGTTGTATGATCCCTTCCAATGGTACAGAGAGTGTCATAACAGTTTCCAGCACACAGTTAAAATTGTGATTCTCAGCTGGGGGCAGTGGCGCATGCCTGTAATTCCATCAGTTTGGGAGGCCGAGGCAGGCGGATCACGAGGTCAGGAGATCAAGACCATCCTGGCTAACATGGTGAAACGCTGTCACTACTAAAAATACAAAAAATTAGCTGGGTGTGGTGGTGGGTGCCTGTAGTCCCAGCTACTCAGGAGGCTGAGGCAGGAGAATTGCGTGAACCTGGGAGGCAAAGCTTGCAGTGAGCTGAGATCGCGCCACTGCACTCCAGCCTGGACAACAGAGTGAGACTCCATCTCAAAAAAGAAAAAAATTGTGATTCTCATAGGCATACCCTGCCAACAATGAGGGCTGTCATTCTCACAAATGGAAAAAGACTTCTGGTTTGGTCCTAAATATCACATGTGGATGCAGTCCACAGTTGAAATTGTGACTGTTATATTTGGATCTGGCCACAGGTAAAATGGTGACTCACTTCTGTATCCAACTCACAGGCATAGTGAGAACTCTCACACCTGGATCTAGCCAATAAGAGAGATGTTAGCTCTCATTCCTGGGCTTAGGACAATGGGTAAGATTATGAGTTTATACCAGCACATAGATCCAAGAGTGGGTTGTGGCTCTCAGGCATACCGTATAAAGCCCTCAGGTGTCACCAAGAGTGTGGTAACAGGGCCCAGTGCACAGGTGAGATAGTGACTCTGGTATGCACGCCCAGTTCACAGTAAGAATTTTCACCTTCTTAAATAGCCACAGTCCACTGTTGAGGTTCTGAATCTCAAACTCAAAGGAGCTGAAAGTTAGAATTGTGACTCTCATATGAGGATCAGGTCCACAGACGAGATAGTGAATCTTGGACCAACATTCAACACACCGGTGAGGCTGTGACTCTTCTACCAGGACACAGTCTAAGAATTGAGGCTGTCATGCACAAATCCAGTCTACTATTGAGATTCTGACTCGCATACTTAGACCAAACACTCAGAAGATCTTGACTATGATCTCTAGAGCTGGAAGTGTTTGGGATTGTTTATCTCATCCCTGAATCTTTCTGCAGGTGTGATTGTGGCATATGTCTTTGCCCATACCCTGAGTGATTTTAGTTTCCTGCCTGAGCCCAGCCCATAGATGGAATTGTGACATATACCAAGGCCAAGCACCAAGGTAATATGACTCTTCTCATCTGCCTGAACCTGTCACTTAGAAGTAATTGTGACATATTTCTGAATCCAGCACGTGGGTGATGTGACTCTCCTCTTGTGCCTAGGCCTTGCCTACAAGAAAGATTGTGTCATATCACTGAGCCCAGCACCTATGTGATGTACTTCTTCTGCCATAGTTCTCCCCACATAAGACACTGTGACATATTTCTGGGCCAATTACATAAGTTAAATGAGTCTTTGCTTATGCCTGGATCTCACCCTCAGAAGAACTTATGACATGTTGCTGGACCCAGCACCTAGGTAATTTGAGTCTTCTCTGCTGCCTGGCCCCTGCCAACAGAAGGGATTTTAAACTATTGCTTAAACTAGCACATAAATTTTGTGACTCACTTCTTTTGCTAAGCCCTGCTAACCGTGGGAATTACAACATATTGCTGAAACCAGGATAATGCAACAATCCTCTCTTGCCTGGGCCTTGCCCACAGTGGGCATTGTTACATATTACTGGGCCCATCTTCTAAGTAATGTGACTGTCCTCTTCTGCTTGGGACCTGCAACATGAAAGACTGTGGAATATCGCTAGGCCCAGAACCCAGTTGGTGTGACTCTCTTCTTTCTTGATCCTGCTCATAGTGCAGATTGAGATATTCCTGTCCTAGCATCCAAGTGATGTGACTCTTCTTCCTGGTTCCTAGCTACAGGTGGGATTGTGACATATGCCTGGGACGTGGTCACTGGTACAATGATGACACCCACAAACTTCAACCCACAAACCAGGAGAAATATTGATTCTGTCTGCTAGGCTTTGGGCAACAGGTAAAGTCTTCGTCTGTTACTTGCATGAAAGGTCAGAGAAAATTACAATACTCATGCAAATTGTATAAAGCTTTCAGCTGGTGCAGAGAGTGTCATAACAAAGCCCAGCACACAGGTGAAATTTTGACTCTCAAATGCACACCCAGCCAATAGTTAGAATTTTTACCCACACACATGTTTTTAGCCTACAGTTAAGGTCCCAAATCTCACATGTAAATGCTGTTCACAGTTGGAATTGTGACTGGTATATGTGGATCTAGCCACAGGTAGGATGGTAATTAACTTCTGAACCCAACTGACAGGTGTAATGATGACTCTAATACCTGGATGCAGCAAATTAGAGAGAGGTTGACTCTAATACCTGTGCTTAGGGCAAGGGTACAATCATGGGTCATAACAGCACAAGAGTCTCAGAGCAGATTGTGACTCTCAGGAATATTATACAAAGCCTTTGAGTGGTACATGGAATGTCATAGCAGTACCAATCACGGAGGTGACATTGTGATTCTTATATGCACACCCACCCAAATGTAAAAGTTGTCACCCTCCCACAGGGACACTGATCACCTTGAGGTTCTGAATCTGACACTAAGAGGCAATCGAAAGTTAAAATTGTGACTCTCATATGTGGATCCCATCCACAGGTGGGGTAGTGACTCTTGAGAAAGAATTCAACATGCCGGTGAGCCTGTGACTTTCATACCAGGACACCGTCCTTGGGTGGGATTGGGACTCTCATTCACAGATCCGATATATCATTGAAATGGTGAGTCCTGTACTTGCACATAACTCACAGGAGATGTTGACTCTCATAACTAAAGCTGAGACATGTGCAGAATTATAAATCTAACCACAGAAGCTTCATGAATGTGTGATTTTTACAGACCTATTTGCCTAGCATTTGAGTAATTCCACTCGTCTGTGTAGGCCAAGCCCTTAGATGGTGTTGTGACATGAATTGAGTCAAGAATCTAGGTGATGTAACTTTCTTTCCTGGGTGCTGCCCTCAAAGGAGATTTTGACATATTGCTGGGCCCAGCACATTAGTGATGTGATTCTTTTCTCCTGCCTGGTTCCTACACACTGGGAGCATTGTGGCATATCACTGAGCCCAACACCTAGGTGATATGACTCTCCTCCCATGTCTGGGCCCTGCCCACATTAGGGATGGTGACATATCACTGGGCCCAGCACCCAGGTGAAGTGAATATCCTCTCCTGTTTGGCTTCTGCATACAGGGGCATGGTGACATACTGCAGTGCCCAACATTATGATAATGTGATTTTACTGCATGGGCAGTGTTCACAGGATGGTATTGTGACATGTAAGTGGACCCAGCACCTAGATAATGTGACTCTCCTCTCCTGCCCAGGCCCTGCTTATAGAGCAAATTACGACATATTGCTGAGTCTAGCACCTGGGTGATGTGACTCTCCTGCCTTAGCCTTGCTCACAGGGGACATTTTGACATATCTTTGGGTTCATCACCTAGATGATGTGACTCTCTTCTTCTGCCTGTGCTTTACCCACAGGAAAGCTTGGATCATATCACTGGGCTGAGCATCCAGGTAATCTGATTCTGTTTTTGAGCCTTGCCCACTGGGGGCATTGTGACATTTCACTAGGCCCAGCATTTAGGTGATGTGACTCTCTTGCCTGGGTCCTGCCCATAGGGGAACTGTGACATATTTCTGGTCCAGTGCCCAGGGGATGTGATGCTCTAGCCTGGTCTCTGCTCCCAGGTGGAATTGTGACATATACCTATGCCCGGCTAACAGGGATGAAGATGACTCTTGTACCTGGACTCAGCTAATAGGAGAGATTGTAACTTTCATAGCCAACATTAGGGCAACCAGTAATGTCCTGGGTTTCCTAATTGTATGAATATCAAAAAGGATTACATCACTTACTCATATTACATAAAGCAGTCAAGTGTACAGAGAGTATTATAACAGGGCTCAGCACAGAGGTGAGATTGTGACTTTCATATGCACACCCAGGCAACAGTTATAACTGTCACTCTCTCACATGGACACAGCCCACTGGTAAAATCCTGAATCTGACTCATGAACACAGTTCACAGTTGGAATTGTGACTATCATATGTGGATACAGCCACCAGTCAAATGCGGACTCGTGTATGAACTCAGCTCACAGGAATGGTGATAACTGTCATACCTGGATCCAACCAATAAGGGTTCATTCACAGTTTTCTAATGGCTCTACGAACAACAGAAATAAAAAAGGTATCTCTTTATGGGGTATACTTATATGTAGAGAATTTTGCTGCCAACTTATATATAAAAAAACTTTCACCTTGATAGGTAAAAGATGAAGGGCTAATGTGAGTGAGAAGTTTTAAAGAAACATTTGTTGCCTCATAATATCAGAAACAGAATATTGATCCACTGCTTTTAACCTACTTCATAAGTCAAAAATAACTTCTTCAGAATAGGTTAAAGAGCATTGCCAGCAGGCCATTACTCTTCTGAATGGGCATCATTTGTTAGATCATTTTTTCCATGGCTTAGCATAAATGAAGCAATGGTTAGGAATTTATCCCCCAAAATAGGGCTGTATAGCAGATTCTAATGTAAAGGCTGTGGTTACACAATAGGTATTAAATGTTCTAACTAAAGTTGTGCTAAATAATAGAATTTCTTTTGATTACTTACTGGATAAACAGAGAACTACTTGTGTAATTGCTAATACTTGTAGTTGCACATGGTAGAATACATTGTGTATTACAGAGATGCAGTTGTAGGGGATTAATGAACAGGCTGCTTGGTTGAAATGAGTAGATCATTATCTAGCTAATTATTTAATCTATTGGATTTTAGTTGGTTGTTCATGGGGACCTTGGCTAAGAAGCATGGTTTCAACTATTTTTTTTTTTTGTTTTTTTGTTTGTTTGTTTGTTTGTTTGAGACAAAGTCTTGCTCTGTAGCTCAGGCTGGAGAGCAGTGGCATGATCTTGGCTTACCACAACCTCCACCTCCTGGGTTCAAGTGATTCTCCTGCCTCAGCCTCCAGAGTGGCTGGGATTATAGGTACGCATTACTGCACATGGTTAATTTTTAGTATTTTTAGTAGAGACAGAATTTCACCATGTTGGCCAGGCTGGTCTTGAACTCCTGACCTCAGGTAATCTGCCTGCCTCGGCCTCCCAAAGTGTTAGGAAACAGGCCACCGTGCCTGGCCTGTTTCAACTTTTGGCATTATTCTCCTGCTAGTCAAAATAGTAGTCTCCCAGGCCGGGCGTGGTGGCTCACACCTGTAATCCTAGCACTTTGGGAGGTTGAGGTGGGTGGATCACCTGAGGTCGTGAGTTCGAGACCAGCCTGACCAAAATGGAGAAACCCCATCTCTACTAAAAATACAAAAATAAAATTAGCTGGGTGTGGTGGCACATGCCTGTAATCTCAGCTACTCAGGAGGCTGAGGCAGGAGAATCACTTGAACCCGGGAGGCGGATGTTGCAGTGAGCTGAGATTGTGACTTTGCACTCCAGCCAGGGCAACAAGAGTGAAACTCCATCTAAAAAAAATAAATGAATAAAATTGTAGTATCCCTACTGCACCGTATTCTCTCAAAAATTATAAATGTTTGCATGCAGTCATCTCTAGAATGTTAAATAGTCTCTTGTTGACTGGCCTGACAGAAACTCAAAGACATATGTGACTATGAAGACACCATAACCTGTGAATAACATTATAAGGACAAAAACCCGAAATAATGGAAATTGAGAGTGCCACTAAGGCCTAGAGTTTTGGTCACACTCTGACCTACGTAAGAACTTCACCAAAAAGCCAGGGTTTTAAAAAACAAAGTTGGCGGGGGGTGGTGGCTCACGTCTGTAATCCCAGAACTTTGGGACGCCGGGGCGGGCAGATCACAAGGTCAGGAGATGGAGACCATCATGGCCAACAAGGTGAAACCCCATGTCTACTAAAAATACAAAAATTAGCTGGGTTTGGTGGCGCGTGCCTGTAATCCCAGCTACTCAGGGGGCTGTGGCAAGAGAATCGCTTGAACCCAGGAGGCAGAGGTTGCTGTGAGCTGAGATTGTGCTATTCCACTCCAGCCTGGTGACAGAGCGAGACTCCCTCTCAAAAAAACAAAACAAAACAAAGTTATTGGAGGCCATCGTTCTAAACTGAGCTTGTACACTAGTTCCAAACAGACCAAACCAAACCAAAATGAGTCACCTGTGCTAAATGTGACATAATCCAACTGAAAATTGAAGAAAATAGGTAGATCCTAAAACAGGCCAGGTTTATATTTTTCTTCTGGAAACAGCAGATTTCAACACAAGGAAGCCCCTTCTAATCCTTTAAAAAATAAATAATAGGCCAGACACGGTGGCTCACACCTGTAATACTAACACTTTGGGAGGCTGAGGTGGGTGGATCACTTGAGGTCAGGAGTTCAAGACCAGTCTGGCCAACATGGTGAAACTCCATCGCTACTAAAAATACAAAAATTAGCCAGGCATGGTGGCAGGCACCTGTAATCACAGCTACTTGGGAGGCTAAGGCAGGAGAATCGTTTGAACCTGGGAGGAGGAGGTTGCAGTGAGCTGAGATTGCGCCCTTGCACTCCAGCCTGGGTGACAGAGTGAAACTTCATCTCAGTAATAAACAAACAAACAAACATAATAAAATAACCGGAAGCCCATGTTTCTACTTAAAAAAAAAAAAAACACAGTTCTGCTATTTTACAGTAGGATTTGACACTACGTAAGTACTCTTTTTTTTTTTTTTGAGATGCCGTCTTGCTCTGTGGCCCAGACTGGAGTGCAGCGGCGAGATTTCCGTGCACTACAACATCTGCCTCCTGGGTTCAAGTGATTATCCTGCCTCAGCTTCTGGCGTAGCTGGGATTACAGGCACCTGCTATCATGCCCGGCTAATTTTTGTATTTTTGTAGAGACAGAGTTTTACCATGTTGGCCAGGCTGGTCTTGAACTCCTGACCTCAGGTGATCTGTCTGCCTCGGCCTTCCAAAGTGCTGGGATTACAGGCGTGAACAACCACGCCCGGCCAATAAGTACATTTTTGATGACAACAGAGTGATATCAATATCTAAAGTTTTGATATATCTCTCAAAATTGAGAAGATGACCAAAAGGGAGAAATTGTTAAATTAATTATATTCTAATGCTGCCACTTTCATGTTTAATTTTTTTGATAGGTTTTTTTTCATACTAAACTGAAACCTAACTTGATAAATAAATAGACTGTACCCATTCTTGTACCAGCCACATTGTATTGGCAAATATAAGAATGTCAACTGTTCAAATCACGTTCAAATAAGGCAAATTCTAAGCTGTAATCAATATGGCTCTTTCTGTACATCCTTGAATTTTCTGTATGCCACTTTGCTTTTTCCACCATGTAGCTATGCTGGAGTATCTCTGAGCCTACTCTGGATCCACAGGGTATCTGATTTGCAAATCATTTTTTGCTCAGTTTAAGCCTGTTAAATTTAATTTCTCTAAAGTTTTTTTTTTCTTTTACAAGTTTTGAAATTATGTCTATGATGAAAAATAAATAATATTCTTGGGCTTTGACTTTTTAAGCTTATCTCTCAGCTTTTCTTTCAAATTATCCTATGTCTGTTCAAAATGCTCCTGCAATTTTTTTTGAGACAGTGTCTCACTCTTTTATCCTGGCTAGAGTGTGGTGGTGTAACCAATTATTTCTCATTGTAGCCTTAATTGTCTTGGCTCACACAATCCTCCTGGTTCAGTAACCTGGGACTACAGGCAGGCAACATCATGCCTGGCTAATTTTTAAAAATTGTTTTCATAGACATAGGATCTTACTATGTTGCCCAGGCTGTACTTGAACTCCTGAACCCAAGTGATTCTTTCAACTCAGCCTCCCAAAGTGCTAGGATTACAAGTGTGAGGCGCCGTGTGCTTCTGCAATTTCTTGACAGGACTATTCTCAATAATAAAGAGTACTACACAGGCACAAATCTAAAAAAAAAAAATCCAGCTTCTAGTGTAAAAGTATAATTCTCCAGTATTTCATGGGTCTGCAGAAGCCCCATCTATGGGGCAGCATTGATCAACAAATTCAGTTTATTCTGAGTTTCAGCCCAGCCACTTAGTAGGTGTGGGTCTTTGGACAAGTTTCTTGATGTAAAAGAGTTGTATAAACCACATATGCAAAAAAGGCAGAATAATATTGATTGTAAAAATTGCAGCAATTTTTCTTTTTTTCTTTTTCTTTTTGAGATGGAGTCTCATTCTGTCGCCTAGGCTGGAGTGCAGTGGTGCGATCTTGGCTCACTGCAACCTCTGCCTCCTGGGTTGAAGCAATTCTCCTGCCTCAGCCTCCTGAGTAGCTGGGATTATAGGTGCGCACCACCATGTCCGGCTAATTTTTGTATTTTTCTTAGAGACAGGGTTTCGCCATGTTGGCCAGGCTGGTCTTGAACTCCTGACCTCAGGTGATTCACCTACCTCGGCCTCCCAGAGTGCTGGGATGACAGGCGTGAGCCACCGTGCCCGGCCATAGCAATTTTTCACCCCTCCTATATCCATGCCCATTGCCAGATGCTTTTACAGCTGCTCCCATTGAGATACAGAATCTGTTTTACAAAGCTTAAATCTGGCTGACCTTGTTTGCTCAGGACAGTAGAAACCTGAGAACCGACAGTGTGCTAGTTTGGTGAAGGGCTGAAATGGTCTTGAATACTACCTTTTTCTTTTTAAAGTTTGGCAATGGCCGGGTGCAGTGACTCACTCCTGCAATCCCAGTATTTTGGGAGGCCGAGGCGGGCGGATCACCTGAGGTCAGGAGTTCGAGACCAGCGTGCCCAACATGGTGAAACCTTGTCTTTAATAAGAATATAAAAATTAGCTGGGTGTGGTGGCGGATGCCTGTAATCCAAGCTACCCAGGAGGCTGAGGCAGGACAATCACTTGAGACTGGGAGGCGGAGGTTGCAGTGAGGCGAGACTGTTTGAATGCACTCCAACCTGGGCAACAGAGCGAGACTCCGTATCAAAAAAAAAAAATTAAAATTCACATGTGGCTCACATTTTATTTCAGAAGATTGCCTTTTTAAAAAAAATCTTGGCCGGGCGCGATGGCTCACGCCTGTAATCCCAGCACTTTGGGAAGCCGAGGCGGGCGGATCACCTGTCAGGAGTTTGAGACCAGTCTGGCCAACAGGGTGAAACCCCGTCTCTACTAAAAGTCCAAAAATTAGCCGGGCATGGTGGCAGGCGCCTGTAATCCCAGCTACTCAGGAGGCTGAGGCAGAAGAATCGCTTGAACCCGGAAGGCAGAGGTTGCAGTGAGCCGAGATCGTGCCACGGCACTCCATCCTGGGCGACAAGAGCGAGACTCTGTCTCAAAAAAAAAAATAATAAATAAATAAAATCTTAGGCTGCCTCTTTAAAGAACTGAAGCCAGGAAGGTCATAAAAGCCGAAATTTTAAAATAGCTGTTATTATATTCTTTTCCTTTGTGAATAGCCATATTCAAACAAAGTTAATGGCAAATCCCCTCTGAGGTGGGCCTGGCTCATTTCAGGGAGGAAGCCCTGCCTGAAAACGCCACAGCTTAGGCTGTCACTCTTTCTTCATTGAACCCAGCATCTGATCACATCTTCTGTCACTCCAGGCCTGAATGGGCGGGGCCTTAAACGGCATCCATTCAGGGATGCTTGACTAAGAGCCGTCCAATCAGACCCGCAGCTAGAGCGGACAGGGCGGCTTCCGGGATTTGGCGCGGCCTTTTGAGTTCCTGGTCTCTGTGGCCTCCTGACCTACATGCATTGGGAGATCCACAGCTAAGACGCCAGGACTCCCTGGAAGCCTAGAAATGGTGAGAGTACCGGGTCCGACATCCCGAGAGAGGGGAAGGGCTGGTTGGAACCGGTGGGAAGTGGCTGTGGCGGGACTCAGGCCTCCCTGCTGTCAGCCCCACAATCTGCGCTCGGAGTTCTAGCCTGGCCCGGCCTCAGACACCTTCAGCGATAAGATGGCGGCTGTACTGACAGCCGGGCCCGAGCGTCTTGTCTCTTCCCTGGCAGTGACCGTGCCCTGGCCTGGAGCCCTCTCTGGGCAGCTCTGCACCCGCAGCGCCGAGTCTCTCCCAGATTGTGCAGGGACCAGGGGAGGGTCGTCAGGGGAGAATCCTGACTCGGGTGAGGAGTTCCTGAATGGGAGCAGCTTTGGTCCGTGGGGTTCCTAGTTCATCTTTTCTCTGAAATATTTATGGGAGTCATCGCAAAAATATTAAAGAATTTAAAGAGTTGTTCAAAAATTATAGAGCACCCCTATGGGTTGTAGTTTGTGGTCCATTAGAGGGGCTTGAAGAAAAGACTTTTATAAGATGCATGATGAAAAAACCCAAATTCTGTAATCAGGCACAGTTACGTAGTTTCCTAATTTCCACCTTGAGCCTACAAATTTCCTGATTATGTAATCAGAGCTTAATTAGCTGTTTATATTTGGTTAAGACTGAATTTCGTTTCCTCTAATGTAGTAATTTTTTAAAAATAAATAAATGCATTTGAGTTAGATTTTTTTTTTAAGTAGGAATCCAGAGAGTAGATTTCCACCTCAGCCTAATTCCATATCACTTAACTATTTTCTTTTTTTTCTTTTTTTGAGACGGAATTTCACTCTTTCGCCTAGACTGGAGTACCGTGGCGCAATCTCGGCTCACTGCAGTCTCCGCCTTCCTGTTTCAAGCGATTCTCCTGTCTCAGCTTCTTGAGTAGCTGGGATTACAGGCGCCTGCCACCACGGCCGGCTAATTTTTGTATTTTTGGTAGAGACGGGGTTTCACCATGTTGGCCAGGATGGTTTCAAACTCCTGACCTCGTGATCCGCCCGCCTCGGCCTCCCAAAGTGCTGGGAGTACAGGCGTGAGCCACCGCTTCTGGCTATGCCCTGCATTTTTCACATGTTTTTCAAGAAGGGTCTCAAATGTACCCCCCAATCCTCCTTTACTCTAGCCTAACTGTGGCTTAAAGTAAAATACTAAATTTCCAGCTCCTTCTGACAATTCCAAACGCTAACTTTTCCTCCGTAATAAAGATTATTAATTTTTTTTTTCTTTTTTGAAACAGAGTCTCACTCTGTTGCCCAGGCTGGAGTGCAATGGCATGATCTCGGCTCACTGCAACCTCCACCTCCCGGGTTCAAGCGATTCTCCTGCCTCAGCCTCCCGAGTAGCTGGATTATAGGCACGTGCCACCACGCCTGGCTATTTTTTGTAGAGACGGGGTTTTGTAGAGACCATGTTGGGCAGGCTGGTCTTGAACTCCTGACCTCAGGTGATCCACCCGCCTCGACCTCCTAAAGTGCTGGGATTACAGGCGTGAGACACCGCGCCCGGCCGCTATTTGTTTTTTAGCGTACTTTTTTTTTTTTTTTTTTTTTTCCGAGTCTCCTTCTGTTGCTCAGGCTGGAGTACTGTGGCTCACCGCAACCTCCGCCTCCCAGGCTCAAGTGATTTTCCTGCCTCAGCCTCCTAGGTAGCTGGGATTAGAAGCATACACCACCACGCCCGGCTAATTTTTGTATTTTTAGTGGAGACGGGGTTTCACCATGTTGGCCAGGCTGGTATCGAACACCTGACTTCAGGTGATCTGCCCGCCTTAGCCTCCCAAAGTGCTGGGATTGCAGGCATGAGCCACTGCGCCCAGCCTGGTGTACATTCTTGATAATGTATTTTAATTAATCTTTTTTTTTTTACAGCGCATTGGATGGAACATTTAAAGAGATTCGTTTTCTATTTTTAAGTCTTTTCCTTTAGAAGAAAGCAAAGAATAATCCCCTTGCAATGTACTGTAAATAAATCTTTGTGTGTCTTTCTCTTTATCTTCCCTAGGCACAGAGATCTTATGAGAACGTTTTGGGGTAATTTTTTTTTTTTGGAAACTTTATGGGGTTTTGTGTCCGCAGTCACCATTTAGTGTTTTTCTCCTTCTGGATTTTAGTACTCTCTGTGAATAAACGAAGATACTGTGTCTATGTCTGCTACAGTGTCTAGGTAATATCCGCTCCTGGGTCGTTTTCTGCCATAGGACAACCTGAGGTATGGAGTGTAGCCTCTCCAGGGAGGAAGTTGATGCCCTGGGGCTGAGAGGCATCTCCTGGCATATTCTTCCTTTGAAAAGCTGACATTTAGACATTAAGATTGTCTTCACCTAACCCATCTTCCATTTCTTGGAGACACATTGCTGGTCAGCCAATCAGATGCTGGTACTGAGAGCAAAACAGAAATAATTTCTGCCACCTGGATTCTCTAAGATTTGTGAAAAAAAAATAGTATCCCCAAAGACAGGAAAAAAAACCTGACCCCAGTGAGAAAGTGCAAGAATTTGCAAAGTAAACTGCACTTGAGGCACTCACTGGGGCATAGTGCAGTGTCTCCTCAGAGGGGGTCATTGAGCATTTAACTGAGCAGGGTGGGGTGGGAGAATCTAAGTGATTGGATGACCTGACTTGACACATGACTGAGACACATCTGTGTGTGTGATTTTTTTTGTTTGTTGGTTGTTTTTTTTTTTTTGAGATGGAGTTTCTCTCTTGTCACCCAGGCTTACTGTATCCTCTGCCTTCCGGGTTCAAGCAGTTATCCTTTCTAAGCCTCCGGAGTAGCTGGGATTACAGGCGCCTGCCACCACACCCAGCTAATTTTTGTATTTTTTAGCAGAGACGGGGTTTCACCACGTTGGCCAGGCTGGTCCTGAACTCCTGACCTCAGGTAATCCACCCGCTTCAGCCTCCCAAAGTGTTGGGATTACAGGCGTGAGCCACCACGCCTGTAATCCCTGGGTTTGCCACCTTGAAAAGATTTGTTTGCTTATATTGACTTCAGTTTCTTAACTGAAAATTGCATTTTATTAGTAGAGCTTGAAAGGTTAAAAAGAAAATGTTTACAAAGGGCATAAAAGAGGTGAGTTTCAAAATATATTCCATTTGTTAAGAGTTCGCATTTACCGTTTTTTTTGTTTGTTTGTTTTTGTTTGTTTTTCCCAGAATGAGTTTAGGAAACTTCTCAGGTGTGTTTTTATGGGTAATTTCAAACAGAATTCCAAGGCTTAGATTTTGTAATGCTATCAAGGCAAATAATAGGGAAATCTCTCTTTTATTTTGGCTGTAGAAAATAAATACATTTCCACAAGAAAATGTGGTAGATAATTGGTGAGTTGCATAGATTCATGAAAACAACAGTTTTTCTTTCTGTATGGTAAATTTCTGACAGTGAATATTTTTGTTCTATAGCCTGTGATCTTGATTTCTGATTTTAATGCTAAATATTACAAGATGAAACTTGGTACCTCTTAGGAATGTTCCCATATGATTGTTTACTACATAATTTTTAATGCAAATAATAAAATAATACATTTATTGTCTGAAAGGAATAGATACTTTGGGTTTTCTTGTTGAGGTATGAAATGTAAGCACCTTAAAATTTTTTTCCTTCATATGAACACTGTGTTTCAGTAATTTTGCTAGATGTTTTAGTTTTAAAAACTGAGTAAATAACTGACATAAAAATTGAAGCTTGAGCCCAGGGACTCCAAGCTAAGGCTAATATTGAGCCTGCAAAAGGAGGTTATTAAAGGCACCGTTAGTTCTTCCTGGGGAGCCTCCGCTGCAGATTTCCCAGCCTGCTCACCCTAGCCATGGAAGAAGCTTTTATTCCGAGAGAAGCTACACAGCCCTGGAAAGCTGGGGACCCTCAGGCAGACGCAGTTAAGGTTAAGATGGAATGGGACTGAAAGGATCTCACTGAAGATAAAGTTATTCTTGCTTTGAGGCAGTTTCTAGACTTTTAGAAATA
Organism: Homo sapiens; assembly: GCF_000001405.40. Lineage (NCBI taxonomy): Eukaryota > Metazoa > Chordata > Mammalia > Primates > Hominidae > Homo > Homo sapiens. The sequence continues at coordinate 22,836,361 of NC_000019.10, forward strand.
AAACAAAGTCAGATTTATGTAAAAAAAAATTAAATTCTAAAGGAGTATTGCAGCAGGAGGAAGTACCAACCATAAGATATTTAAGGATTGCAAAGGATAGGCAGACAAGGGCTTTCTTCCATAGGAAGGAGCAAATAAGATTAGAAAGAAGGTGGTAGGGGAATGGCAAATGGAGGGTGAAAAATCAGATTCTAGATCACAGAATATTTTATCCTGAAGTCAGCATGTTCTTAGAAGGGACATAAAATTGGGTTTATTTTGGCTCAGACTGAGAATAGCTCAAAGTTCAGGAGCTGTGGGAAGAAGATAAACTTAAGTGAAGTTTGATTAACAAGTATTCTATTTTGACCACTGAAGACAAATTCAGCCAATTTTTCTATGAGAAAAAGATTTGCAGAGTCTATGTCTGGCTGTGATAGGTAAGCACAAAAAGGATAGAGAATTTTATTTATTATAGCTATTTACCAGGATTATCTTTATGCTTCATCTTTCTTCCATTTGACATTTCCTGGGTTGTATCTTTTATTATAAACTGGTCAGCATAACTGCAGTGTTTTGCTGAGGTCTGTGAGTAGCTCTATCAAGTTATTGAACTTGAGGGAGATTATGGAAGTCCCCAGTTTTTAAACAGTAGCTCAGAAACACAGATGGGGATGGCACGATTACTCATGCCTGTAATCCTAGCATTTTGGGAGGCTGAGGTGGGCAGATCCCTTGAAGTCAGGAATTCAAGACGAGCCTGGCCAACATGGTGAAACCCTGTCTCTACTAAAAATACAAAAATTAGCTGGGCGTGGTGGTGTGTGGCTGTAATCCCAGCTACTTGGGAAGCTGAGGCAGGAGAATCACTTGAACCCTGGAGGCAGAGATTGTGCCACTGCACTCCAGCCTGGGCTACAGAGCGAGACTCTGGCTTAAAAAAAAAAAAAAAGAAAGAAAGAAAAAAGAAAAGAAAGAAAGAAAGAAAGGAAGAAATGTAGATGGGCCCATGGAGTTTGTGACTGGCATCTGCAATAAGGACAATATTGTGGGACTGAGCCCTGAACCAAGGTCTGTGCTGACTCTGGGTGGTTTCAGAATTCAAATGTTAGACAGTGAGTTGGTGTTGAAGAATTGTTTGGTGTTAACAAACAATTTGGTGCCAGAAAAAATATCATGGAGGCCTGGCCTGGAATAAAACTCTGGGCGTGTGGGAAGGAGAGGCTCTGCTTTCCTGTACACAGGCCGTCACACTGCTCATTGTTCTGTGATTCCAGATCTCCTCTTAGGGTGAGAGAGGACTGAAAACTTAGAGAAAAGGAGTTCTGATGACAGACCCCATTTTTCCACAGCTGCCACCACAGGATTCCCACCCACTCACAGTCATGCCCACTGGACATTGACATGTGCACAGCCCTTCCAGGACTAGGCACCACCCTCAAAAATTTAACCATGGCATTTTTGATCCTAGTGTTTTTTGCCAAAATCCCACAAAATTGTCTACAAATTTTTGGCATATCCCTACCCCCAGACACTGAATCTGCAGCAGCAACCTCTTTTCTCCACCAACTTGGGGTTCTGGGCCACCTGTTCATAATCTCACCTGCCTGCATGGACCCAGAAATAAGTAGCACAAGCCAGTCCTGCCTACACTGCACTCTTCTCCACCCATTGAGTTCCTTTCTCTTAACTCTTATTTTTGTTTTAGGGGTACACGTGCAGGTTTACTATATAGGTAAAATTGTGTCATGGAAGTTTGATGTAAATTATTTTGTCACTGAGGTACTAAGCATAACACCAAACAGATTTTTGTTTTTTAATCTTCTTTGTTCTCCCACTCTCCACCCCCAGGTAGGCCTCAGTGTCTGTTGTTTTCCCCTTTGTGTCCATGTGTTGTTATTATTTAGCTCTTACTTAGAAATGAGAACATGGAGCCGGGCACGGTGGCTCACACTTGTAATCCCAGCACTTTGGGAGGCTGAGGCGAGTGGATCACGAGGTCAGGAGTTTGAGACCAGCCTGACCAACATGGTGAAACCCCGTCTCTACTAAAAACACAAAAATTAGCCGGGCGTGGTGGCACACGCCTGTAATCCCAGCTACTCAGGAGGCTGAGGCAGGAGAATTGCTTGGACCCGGGAGGCGGAGGTTGTGGTGAGCTGAGATCTAGCCATTGCATTCCAGCCCGGTCGACAAAGCTAGACTCTGTCTCAAAAAGAAAAAAAAAGAACATGCATTTGCTTTTGTCTTTCAGCATTAGTTTTCTAAGGATAATGGGTCATAGTTTCATCCATGTTGCTGCAAAAAACATGATCTTGTTCTTTTTTATGGCCACACAGTATTCCATGATATTTATATACTATATTTTTCTTTTTATATAAATATTCTACTTTATTTTCTTCTTATTTTATTATTATTATTTTTTGAGATGGAGTTTCACTCTTGTTGCCCAAGCTGGAGTGCAATGGCATGATCTCTGCTCACCGCAACCTCTGCCTCCTGGGTTCAAGTGATTCTCTTGCCTCAGCCTCCTGAGTAGCTGGGCTTACAGGCATGCGCCACTATGCCTGGCTAATTTTGTATTTTTAGTAGAGACAGGGTTTCTCCATGTTGGCCAGGCTGGTCTCGAACTCCTTACCTTAGGTGATCTGCCCTCCTCGGCCTCCCAAAATGCTGGGATTACGGGCATGAGCCACCACGCCCGGCCTTCTAGAAATGGGGTTTCTTCATGTTGCCTTGGCTGTTCACAAACTCTTGAACTCAGGCAGTCTGCCTGCCTCGGCCTCTTAAATTGCTGTGATTACAGGCATGAGCCACCGCCCTTCTGTATTATATTTTCTTTATCCAGTTTACCATTGATAAGGATTCAGGTTGATTCCATGTCTGTGCTATTGTGAATAGTTCTGCAGTGACCATGAATGTGCATGTGTTTTTATGGCAGAATAACTTATATTTCTTTGGGCATATACCCATTTATGAGGGTGCTGGGTCAAATGCTAATTCTGTTTTTAGTTCTCTGAGGAATCACCAAACTGCTTTTCACAATGGCTGAACTAATTTACACTCCCACCAGCAGCGTATAAGTACTCCTTTATCTCCACAACCTTGCCAGCATGTTTTTTTTTGGTTTTTTTTTTTTTTTTTTGAGACAGAGTCTCACTCTGTTGCCCAGGCTGGAGTGCAGTGGCATGATCTCAGCTGATTGCAGTCTCCACCTCCTGCTTCCCAGGTTCAAGCGATTCTCATGTCTCAGCCTCCTGAACAGCTGGGATTACAGGCATTTGCCACCATGCCTGGCTAATATTTTTTATTTTTAGTAGAGATGGGGTTTCACCATGTTGTCCAGGCTGCTCTCGAACTCCCGGCCTCAAGTGATCCACCCATCTCGGCCTCCCAAAGTGCTAGGATTACAGGCATGAGCCACTGCGCTTGGCCCTGCATCTGTAATTTTTTGATGTTTTAATTATAGCCATTTTGGCTTGTGTGAGAAGGTATCTCATTGTGTATTTTCTTTGCATTTCTCTAATTAATGATGAGTATTTTTTTTCATATGCTTGTTAGCCACACGTATGCCTCCTTTTGAAAAGCATCCGTTCATCTTCTTTGCTTCCTTTTTAATAAGGTTGTTTGTTTTTCCTTGTAAATTTATTTAAGTATTTTATGGATTGTGGATATTAGTTGTTTGTCAGCAGCATAGTTTGCAAACATATTATTCTATTCTGTAGGTTGTCTGTTTACTCTGTTGATAGTTTCCTTTGCTGTGAAGAAGCTCTTTGGTTTAGTTAGGTCTCATTTGTCAATTTTTGCTTTTGTTGCAATTGTTTTTAATATTTTCTTTTTTCTTTTTTTTTGAGACGGAGTTTCGCTCATTGCCCAGGCTGGAGTGCAATGGCATGATCTGGGCTCACTGCAATCTCCGCCTCCTGGGTTCAAGTGATTCTCCTGCCTCAGCCTCCCAAGAAGCTGGGATAACAGGCATGCGCCACCATGCCTGGCTAATTTTGTATTTTTAGTATAGGCAGGGTTTCACCATGTTGGTCAGACTGGTCTCGAACTCCTAACCTCAGGTGATCCACCTGCCTCAGCATCCCAAAGTGCTGGGATTACAGGTATGAGCCACCGCAACTGGCCTGTCCCGTTTCTTTATAACGCTCATGTTTCTCACGCTGAGAATAGTTGTGCACTTTGGGTATTTAAAGAGAAATATTTTTTTAGAGGAATATTTTCTGGTGGACTTGATCAATATTATATCTAATCTGAGTTTTGTTTTTAAAGATGCTTTTAACTTTTTATTTTCTCTTGATATAATCTTGCTCAGATGGAGAGCTGTTTTTTGCGTGAATTCTTTGGGTTTCTGTTTCAGAAGCCCTATTAGTATCCCATGATATCTGTGAATGAGGTGGGCTGTCACAGGGAGAACTTAGACCTATCTCTATCCGGACTCATGCTGGAAATCCAGCAGTACTTTTTTCATGTCACCATTTTAAATAGAAGCTGAGGCTGAAACACTGCTCCCATTCCCATTATCGTGAAGGTGCAGTTTCACCCAGGAGGCCTGCAGGCTCTCCTCCTGCAGCTCAGGCTTCATTGTCTGATGTGACACTGGAGTGCTGCTGTGGCAATTGGGGTTCATGTAAGATGTGAGCTGCCAGCTATGAGCTTTGTGTTGTGGGCTGTGTGTCAATGGCAGATAGTAGGCGTCAAGAGAGGACATGGCCATCAGGAGAGGGCAAGCAGGGTGCTCTAGCCCAGTGCTAAAGGAGTTAAAGAGCCATTGCTTTAAAATATAAATAGCCAAAAAGATAACACCCTATTCAGCCATTTCTGTAGGAGAGTGGGAGCCTACCTTCAGCAGGCACTTGGCTTCATGTTGCAGAATTAACCTCCTGTTATGAAGATGTGAAAAGTTTATTTTGTCATTGAATATAACCAATAAGCTTACACCGATGGCCTTGCCAATTGCCAGGTGAATTTAGGATGAACTACATATGACATGGTGCTGTAAATTTTTCCACTTGTGGACTAACTGTGGTGACTGTCTTTCTGGCTTGACGATCTCTTGAGCAGATTGACTGTGATGCGTGTCACATTCAGGTTAAATTGTGTAATAAAACAGTTTTCTTTCTGTTCTATCATTTTGGAGTTTTTCTGGGGCTGGAGAAAATTTTTCTTTTAATTATATTTTCCACACACTGTCTAGAATTACCAGACATTATATAAACTCATAAGATGCCAACCAAGCTTTACTCTAGAGGAGACTTCCTCTCAGGCTTCCAGTCAACTCACAGATTTCTACAAACTTCACAGGGTAGCAATCAACCATTTCACCTCTTTTAGTGACTGTTGTGTCTTCAGACCTGAAACTGATTCAGAGACCAGGGGGACCAGAAACCCAATCAGAGTAACATGTGAGTGTTGAGTAGACATGTAGACATGAGAATCTCCACTCTCCCCTTCCTCCTATTGCTAAAATACCCACAAATATGCAAGTAACACCTGCTGCAGATCCAAATTCTGAATCTAGGTCTTGAGATCTGGGAACCAAAAAAAAAGAAAAAAACAAACCTTTCATCTGAGGAATGCAAGTCCTTTTAGTTGTCAAACTCAGAGAGACATTAAAATGAGAACACAATTTTGTCTTTCTCCCACCTTTGAACTATGTTTTGTTGTTGTTGTTGTTGTTTTGAGACAGTCTTGGTCTGTCCCCAAGGCCAGAGTGCAGTGACGCAATCTTTGCTCACTGGAACCTCCACCTCCTAGGTTCAAGCGATTCTCCTGCCTCAGCTTCCCAAGTAGCTGGGATTACAGGCATGTGCCATAACAGCTGGCTAATTTTTGTATTTTTAGTAAAGAAGGGGTTTCACTGTGTTGGCCAGGCTGGTGTTGAACTCTTGACCTCAGGTGATCGACCCGCCTCGGCCTTCCAAAGTGCTGGAAAATTACAGGCATGAGCCACTGCGCCTGGTCCTGAACTAAGAGTTTTTTTTAATCTCTTAAAACTGTTAACTGTTGCCACTAGTAGCTATAAATTAATAATGCCACACTGGACACTATAACCCATACTCTAAATTTTAATGATGTATATCCAATCAATAATCAATGTCATTTCTGTAAATATAATAAAAATTTCTGGTAAACAACTTTGTATCAGCCATCTCTCTCTCCCTCTCTTTTTGCCTTTTCAGATCAACTTGTAACTGCTCCTAATCAAAGTGTAGATGACAGGCAACTTGAAGGTTTGCTCCCAGGTTACAATCCTCAAGCTTTGCCCAAATAAACGGTCTACTTACATTCATGTTGCCTTAGCTTTTTTTCTTTTAGGTAGACATATCTTTCAGAATGTGCTAAAGCAGCCTCTATAAGGTGATCTTTCCTTTGATTGTACTCTGCTTGCTGTAACACCCAAGAATGAAGAGCCAGGTTGATCCCACCTAGAATCTGCAAATAAGGTCTGTTCTCTTCCTGGAATTTACAAGATAAGGCCAGACTTTGAATTGAGAATGTAGAGAAAACTAACTAGACATTTTATGCATTGTCAGATGTCAACATAGACATCTTAAAGTTCCTCTTTGAGAATGTGATTCTTTCAGCTTCTCAGATCTTGTCCAGTGACCTGCTACAGTTATGTGAGGGCCACCAGGTATAAATAGAATCTGATGGCAGAATACGTAAGTGTGAACAAGCATCTTCAGAGTTATAGAAAGGTGATAATGTATCCAGAGCCATAACCACAACTACACCTGTCCCTAAAATGTGGGACTGGAGTAGAATATTCCTGTTCTTCCTCTTACCTAAGAGCTGGATAATCAGGACAGGTGATCCAGGTTCTGGAGCTTCTCCAGGGCAGTTTAATTTTTTGTTTAGAATTAGCCTGAGTCTCTCCTGTCTGTTTTATCATTGGGCCATCAGCCCAGGGTCACTGGGAACTCTCACAATAAGCTGGGTGTCTTTGAGACATTTGAGGATGTCCAGAGCAGAATTGTGCCAGGTTAACAAAAGTGGTTAATTCTGCTTCTATCTCAGTGTAAAAAATTGAGTCTTCTTGTGTTTGCTCCTCCCCTTACACAAGAAATGACTTTGGTGGGTACCCAGATGAATGTTTCTCCAGTTTTCAGATACTTGGGTGAAAAACAACCAGGATGTCTGGAGACTCAAACAAATAAACAAATTGCTTTTATTTTATATGGCGATTAGAAAAATAGATGAAGCAGTCATCCAGGAACCATCCAGGAACTTTTAGACTAGACTAGCAACTGAATAAAGGGTTGAATTAAGCATCATATGGTTGATTCATTGAACAGATGTGTGCAAAAAAATTTGCCTTTATTTGGGCCCCTTTCTTTATATTGTAGTGACTTCTTATGTCATCACCTGAAGGGATATTTATGAACAGAAGAGTTGTTATTATTATATGCGTTTCTATTACCTGCTAAGAATACATATTTATCTTCTAATAATTACCCTAGAGAACCTTAAGACATTTATTTAAATTGCTTATTAGTATGCATTATATAATGGACAGGGCAGTGGCTAAAAAAAATTATACAAACTCTGAGATTTAAGTTTCTCTTAGGCAAGTTTAGGAAAGCAGAACTGGAAATACGCCAGTGGCACAGAGAACAGAATTCTACATAAGGTCCACTCCCTGCCCCAGTTCTGTTCAGATTCACTCTATTTGGGGTCTTGTTTAGATCTGGCCCCACTCTGGAGTCTTGCCTCACAGAACTGATTGGAAGAGATGAGAGTTTTGGCTGGTGAATCCTGCTGCCTTTCTAAAGCTGGTACTTACAATTTTCTGAACCCCAAAGGAGATAAAGGGAAAAATAAAGTATGTATTTTAATGTCTTAATTTTTAAATTTTCTATTAAATCAGTGCTTGCAGATTCCATTTAGCATCTTGTTTTCTATTCCTGCAGATTCAGTAGTTGCTCCACTAGTCACACAAAAAAAATATAAACACAATAAAAGTTTCTCTAAACTGCGTTAAACTTTTCTCTATTCAGGTAATTTGTCTACATTTAGCTTTTATTGTATACATTTTCTTTAAAAAACCAAGAACAGAAACAGAAGATGAAATACATGTGCTGGGCCCTTAACCTAATGCTGGGAATTATTAAATACTTAGTACCAAATCGCAGTGTGTTATGAGGATTAAATCACATAATGTATTATTCGTATTAGTACTCTGCAACATACTCTTGAGCACATAGTACCTGCTTAAACATTGCATTAGTACATGTGTATATGTTGTTTTCCAAATGTAGGCTTATTCAGGCACTCCTACCTTTTATTGCCTCTGTAAACTTTAAAGAACCAGCAAAGAATTTGATGCTTTAGGATGGAGATTAGTTATCTTCATTTGTGCCAGAAGTAATTGTGTTGTGAAAAGAGTACGGAGTTTAAGGGACTCTGTGCTGTGCCTGCTTTCTCTAATGCTAATAATGAGCCCAGGGGGAGCATCATCAGCATTGACAGGGGACTTAGTTAAAACACACATTCATGGCCGGCGTGGTGGCTCATGCCTGTAATCCCATTTGGGAGGCCGAGGCGGGTGGATCATGAGGTCAGGAGATCGAGACCATCCTGGCTAACATGGTGAAACCCCATCTCTACTAAAAATAGAAAAAAAATTAGCCGGGCATGGTGGCAGGCGCCTGTAGTCCCAGCTACTTGGGAGGCTGAGGCAGGAGAATGGCATGAACCCGGGAGGCGGAGGTTGCAGTGAGCCGATATCACGCCACTGCACTCCAGCCTGGGTGACAGAGCGAGACTCTGTCTCAAAAACAAAACAAAAACACTCATGTACCCTTTGAAAACCTGCAGAATCACATTACATAAAGAGGGACTAAAATTACTGAGTGGTTTATAAGCTCGTTAAAGCTTGAGAGACAATGCTTAGCTAAGTGGTTATAAACCCAGGGTTCTATTAGTTTGGTGCAAAAGTTATTACAGTTTCTGCCATTGTAATTAATGTGGATTACTTAGATGTGGATACTCAGATTACATGGCCAATTCACAGAAATATCTTTGCTCGTGCCCTTTCCACGGGTTCTTTTTATTGTTGGACACATCCATGTTGTTTTAATTAAGAGCCTCATGTGATTCTAAGGTGAGGCCAGAATCACTTATGAGGGGTTGAAGATACACTCATGAGAGTTCAGTTTCACCTGTTTACTACAGGGTGATTATAGGGCCTGTTCTGTTTGGGTTTGGTATGGACAGGGCAGTGTGGCCCATATTTTTATTACTGTAGCAGAGATTGTTGGTGTCTGTAGCAGGGGAGGGCACCTAAAGAGAGGAAAGGAGAAACTTTTATTTCTTCTTCATGGGGAAACTCATTGTTCCTGAATTTTTCATGTTATAAAGGACAGAAATGGATGGACTTTTTCAGCGGGTCTTGGTACTTCTGCCTGTGGGTGTGGTGGTAGCAGGTAAACAGGTGGTGCTGACACCTTTAAAGGCATATTCTCAAGATGCAGGTCTAATTTGTCCAGAGAATCTCAACTGAAAAGGAATCCCAGAGAAGGAGGAGATAGGGAAAAAATATGCCTTTTTTTTTTTTTTTTTTAGCTAAACACATCTCAGATCAAGAACTGCGTCCACTCTGCCTCGTGGATTTCCATGCATTTAGTACTTGCAAACCTTTACTTCTCTTGCGTTTTTCCTCCCTAATGAGTTTGTTTTAACTACTTTTGAAAATTTTATTGATAGTCAAGGGTCTCTGAACAATATTTCTTTTTAGAGCCTTTTCTAAGTTCTCCACATCATGGCTTTTTATATGCCATGGAGGATTCTCACCATTAATTTATGATCTGCAGTATTAAAAATGTTTCCTTTGTGGCTGTTGAACATGGGAGGGTGGGGATACTCAAGATTCCTGTTGGGGAAAAGCTGGTATCCTTAGTAAAGATGGAGAACAGGTACTGTTGAGGCTCCATTTGTGTTCCCCATTAGCACTATGCAGAACGGGATTAAGGAAATGCTTACTTAAACAAGATGACGGCCAGGTGCGGTGGCTCCCACCTGTAATCCCAGCAGTTTGGGAGGCTGAGCAGGTTGGATCACCTGAGGTCAGGAGTTCAAGAGCAGCCTGGCCAACATGGCGAAACCTCATCTCTACTAAAAATACAAAAATTAGCCAGGCATGGTGGCGCATGCCTGTAATCCCAGCTACTTGATAGGCCGAGGCAGGAGAATCGCTTGAACCCGGGAGGTGGAGGTTGCACTGAGGCAAGATTGCGCCACTGCCCTCCAGCCTGGATGACACAATGAGACTCTGTCTCAAGAAAAAATGATGAGATTTATTACCCAGAAAGTTTGAAAGATAATTATCAGGAGATAACTGCTCTCTAGGGTGCTCAAAAAAGACTCCTTAAAATCACTACTAAAAATTACAGAAAATGGGAAATATCTGTATCTTGAATTTTGCATAAAACTGATGTTTCTGTATGGTTGCATTCAGCCTATAATTTCCTTTTTTTTTTTTTTTTTTTTTTTTTTTTGAGATGGAGTTTTGCTCTTGATGCCGTGCTGGGATTACAGGCATGAGCCACTACCCCCAACCAGCCTATAATTTACTTTTTGGGAACAATATTTCAGCAGTGATGCTGTGTTATGTGTGTATCAGCACATCATACAAATTTTTCCTACTGCTGTTGATGTTTATGATTCACTTGGATAAGCACTCTCTGACAGATTTTTTTTTTTTTTTACTATAATTTTTTTCTTTGTTATTTTATTTTATTATTATTTTTGAGACAGGGCCTCACTCTGTTGCCCAGCTTGGAATGTAGTGGCGTGATCTCGACTCACTGCAACCTCTGCCTCCTAGGTTCAAGCAATTCCCCTGCCTCAGCCTTGCAAGTTGCTGGGACTACAGGTGCCCACCGCCATGCCAGACTAATTTTTGTAAAGGCCTTTTTTTTTTTAATTAAGTATCTTTATGCAGCTGATGTGTGTAAACTATCAAATTTAATTTGGCAGCTGCTCTTTCTTAGAGTTTCTTTGCATATATCTGTCCTTGGAAAATGAAGAGTTTCATCTTTTATAGTCCAGAAAAACTGGAAAAAACACAGGTTCTTCCATATACTGGATGTTTGATAAAATATTCTTCTTAGGCCAAAATCATTGGCATTATTGGTGAGCTTGTTAGAAATTCAGAAACTCAGACTTTATTCCAGATGTTCTGGAAAAAAAAAAAATCTCCATTACAAGATCTCCAGTTTATTGTACACATTAAAATTTGCTAGGTACCTTCTAACTCAACATGTCTTTTCCATCTCAAAAATACACAGAACTCATTCTCTATGATGTTAATATAGCACTCAAAAATATACATGCTTGTGTTAATGCCTTTAATTTTATACTTTATTATCCAGAAAAGTATCATATATACACTGATGTTGTGGATCTTATTCCACTCTTTTTTTCAGAATTAGAGAATACATAAGAGAATATTTCTGTGTTGAAAATTATTTTCGGCCAGGCGTGGTGTCTCACACCTGTAATCCCAGCACTTTGGGAGGCCAAGGCGGATGCATCATCCGAGGTCAGGAGTTCGAGACCAGCCTGGCCAATATGATGAAACCCCATCTCTACTAAAAATACAAAAATTAGCTGGGCGTGGTGGTGGGTGTCTTGTAATCCCAGCTACTTGGGAGACTGAGGCAAGAGAATCACTTGAACCCAGGAGGCAGAGGTTGCAGTGAGCCGAAATTGCACCATTGTACTCCAGCCTGGGCAACAAGTGCAAGACTCTGTCTTAAAAAAAAAAAAAAAAAAATTATTGGAGGATTTCAGTCATTCCTATAAGTCAGAACCTGTTCTCTTTACTCTCTCATTTCACCTTCAGTCAAATTAAAAATTCTGCCGTTGGCCACCCGGTAAATATGTGTGTATGTGTGTGTGTGTTTTTTTTTCAGGGACCATTGACATTCACAGATGTGGCAATAAAATTTTCTCTGGAGGAGTGGCAATTCCTGGACACTGCACAGCAGAATTTATATAGGGATGTGATGTTAGAGAACTACAGAAACCTGGTCTTCCTGGGTGAGAATAACTTCAATACACAATCCTCAGATACTGTAAATGTTTCTTTTTTTGGTGTTGTAGAATGTTTTTTGGTAATTGATGCTTTGCATAAATGAGTTTCACATCACTGTTTTGAAGAAAAGCTTGGGAATTTGTCAGTGTAGAAAAGAATTTCTTCAAGATAAACATCTTGAAGTTCACCTTGATCTGAACTTTCCACATTCCTGAGCAGACCTGTAGTTTTTACTCACCATTAGCGATCATTTCAAAATTTAGTGACATAAAATATTGTTGCCCACACCTTAACATCTAAGTGTCACCACCAGCTTTTGATTCAGTGGTACTGGGTAGAGAAATTATTTTATTTATTTATTTATTTATTTATTTATTTATTTATTTATTTATGAGATGGAATGTTGCTGTTGCCCAGGCTGGAGTACAATGGTGCGATTTTGGCTCACTGCAATCCTCACCTCCCAGGTTCAAGAGATTCTCCAGCCTCAGCTTTCTGAGTCGCTGGGAGTAGAGGCATGTGCCACCAAGCCCAGCTAATTTTTGTATTTTTAGTAGAGATGGGGTTTCACCATGTTGGCCAGGCTGGTCTCGAACTTCTGACCTCAAGTGATCCACCCTCCTTGGCCTCCCAAAGTGCTGGGATTACAGGCATGAGTCACCGCAGCCAGCCCATTTTCTAAATATTAAGAAATTACTGTTATAAATTACTGTTTTGGGATGAATATACTAGAATATTCTATTATGTTCTCTTTACTGAGCACATTATTTGAAGAATATGAGGAACATTCATGTTATTTATTTTTAATAAAACAGGTGTTGGTGTCTCTAAGCCAGATTTAATCACCTGTCTGGAGCAAGGAAAAGAGCCCTGGAATATGAAGAGACACAAGATGGTAGCCAAGCCCCCAGGTAGGTGGAGAGTGAACACAATGGACAACACAGATAAGACGTCCAAAGGTCAAGGAGAAAGCCAGTCCTTAAAATAGATTTTGGGAAGCTGTGTTCCAAAGAAAATAGTTTCAGGAAAGCCTGAGAGTTTAAAAAATTTTACTCTCACATAGGGGCATCTTCTGCATTGTGCTATTAAATTTTCTAAGGATTCTACTTTCCCTTTTGTGATCTTCCTTGAAGTTTACAGTGACAGCCAAAGTCTTCTTCATGGCATATAAGAGACTGCACAATCTACTTTTTCATATTTTCAAGGGAACCATAAATATCTGCATAATTTTATAAAACTCTGTTAGGCTGGGCAAATGTCTCACACCAGTAAACCCAGCACTTTGGGAGGCCGAGGCGGGTGGATCACCTGAGGTCAGGAGTTCGAGACCAGCCTGGCCAACATGGTGAAACCCCTTCTCTACCAAAAATACAAAAATTTGTTGCTCGTGGTGGCGCACTTCTGTAATCCCAGCTATTTGGTAGGCTGAGTCAGGAGAATCGCTTGAATTAAGGAAGCAGAGGTTCCTTAATTCTGATGTCGTGCCATTGCACTCCAGCTTGTGTGAGAAGAGTGAAAGTCCATCTCAAAAGTAAAAAAAAAGAAACAAAAACCTATGTTAAACTGTTTTTCATGTTTTCTTGTTTTATCGTGTTTAAAATATGTGAGAGTAGTGGTTTCTGTTCCATTTGTTTTTTCATTTTTCTGCATAATTCATCCTGTTTTTATTAGTATAGTCTTGAAATACAGTTTGGAATTATTATATTAAGTATGACATCCTCCTGGTTTGTTTTTTTTTTGTCAAGATTGCTTTGGCTATTCAAAGTTTATTGAAGTTTTATGTAAATTTTAGGATTGTGTTTTACATTACTATATAAAAGATAGCACTGGAGGCTTTTTTTGAGATGGAGTTTTGCTCTTGTTGCCCAGGCTGGAGTGTAATGGCACCCTCTTGGCTCACTGTAACCTCCGCCTCCCGGATTCAAGTGATTCTGCTGCCTCAGCCTCCCGAGTAGCTGGGATTACAGGCACGTGCCACCATGCCCAGCTAATTTTTGTATTTTTAGTAGAGCCGGGGTTTCACCATGTAGGCCAGGCTAGTCTCAAACTCCTGACATCAGGTGATCGGCCCACGTCGGCCTCCCAAAGTGCTGGGATCACAGGCGCTGGGTCTTTTTTTTTTTTCTTTTTACTGAGATGGAGTTTTGCACTTGCTGCCCAGGCTGGAGTGCAATGGCACGATCTTGGCTCACTGCAACCTCCGCCTCCTGGGTTCAAGTGATTCTCCTGTCTCAGCTTCCCCAGTAGCTGGGATTATAGGCATGAGCCACCATGCCCAGCTACATTTCTTTTTATTAAATTGTTTAATTTATATTTAAAATAATTGCTTAAAGATATGAAGTTACTATTAAGAGTTTATTATTTTTTTAGATACGTTTTTTCTCATTTCCTGTTTTACTGCCTTAATTTTTGTTTAATTTTGTTGTGACATGCCTTGCTTATTTTTTATTCTGTTTCACATGCTTTCTACAAATGCAACGCAGTCATCCTGAAATATAATGTGATCATGTTGAAAAATGGAGATTACATAAAACATCTTAAAGTTAAAACAATACATTTTAATATCATAACTTCAATTGAATACAAAACCTATATCTTTATATTTTCCAGTTTGTTATTGATATTATAAATATTATCTTGTGTATCTATTAATAAATGTAGGCAGATTTAAGTGTTGTTTTTTCTATTTACAGAAGAAGTTTAAGGGTTTTATGCACCATCATTATAATAGAATTCTATATGTGTCTCTATATTTACATTTAACAGAGAGCTATTTATTTATTTATTTATTTATTACTATTTTTTTTGAGATGGAGTCTTGCTCTGTTGCCTAGGCTGGAGCGCGGTGGCACGATCTTGGCTCACTGCAACCACTGCCTCATGGGTTCAAGCAATTCTCCTGCCTCAGCCTCTTGAGTAGCTGAGATTACAGGCACGAGCAACCACACCCAACTAATTTTTCTATTTTTAGTAGAGACGGGGTTTCAGCATGTTGGTGAGGCTGGTCTTGAATTCCTGATGTCAGGTGATCTGCCTGCCTTGACCTCCTAAAGTGCTGGGATTACAGGCGTGAGGCACCGCGCCCAGCCTATATACATTTTCATGATGCTGTCCAGCATGATTTTATTTTTCAACATAATGGACTCATTTTAGGATTTCTTTTTATTTATGTGCAGTCTCACTGTATTGCTCAGACTAATCTTGAACTCCTGGTCTCAAGTGATCTGACTGTCTTTGCCTCCTAATGCTATCGGATTACAGGCATGAGCCACTGTGCCTGGCCACCATGTAGCATTTGTTATAGGACTGTGTTAGTGGTGATGAACTCCCTCACTTTTCATTTGGGAAAGTCTTTATTTTTGTCTTGTTTTTGAAGTAAAATAATTTTGAATAAAGTATTACTTGTTAGAACTTTTTTTTTGAGACGGAGTTTTGCTCTTGTTGCCCAGGCTGGAGGGCAATGGCGCGATCTGGGCTCACCGCTACTTCCGCCTCCTGGGTTCAAGCGATTCTCCTGCCTCAGCCTCCGGAATAGCTGGGATTGCAGGCATGTGCCACCACGCCTGGCTAATTTTTTTGTATTTTTAGTAGAGACGGGGTTTCTGCATGTTGGTCAGACTGGTCTCAAACTCCCAACCTCAGGTGATCTGCCCCCTTCGGCCTCCCAAAGTGCTGGGATTACAGGTGTGAGCCACTGCGCCCAGCTAGAATTTTTTTTATAAAATCAAAATTGGTAAAGTTCTCAGTTTTTGTTTCTTCAAGTAATCTCTGTATTACTTTTTCTTTTATAGTCTTCTTTTAAGATTTCTTTCATAAATATATTGATCTACTTTATAGTGTCCAATAAGCTTTACATTGCATGTTTAGTGTTTTACAATTTTGTTTCTGTGTTATATATTTTAGAATATGCCACCTCATAGCAGTTAATTGTGTTTTGATGTTTTAGTTTATATTATCATTTTATATGACAATATTAAAGTCTGTACAATTTAAGAATGGATAGAGCAAAATCAAATATTAGTCTTTCATTCATATATCTGTTTCCAATATAGTTATGTTTGTTTCCCTGTATAAATATTATCTCTATCTTTTATGACTGTATATTTTTTGTGTAGGTTTGTTGTGAATGGTTGTTTAATCTTTTCTAGGTAAGCTGTCATAAACATTTTACTAGTTTTAGCATCTATTTGTGAATATATTATTTTTGTGTGGGGAAAAATTTTGGACTTGACAATAATTTAAAAACTTATCAGAACTTTATTAGGTATTATTGTTCATTTTTACTTGTCAAAAACACATAATCTTTACAGTCAAATGTTTTTAAATATTCGGTTTAGTCATATTAATGGTATTGACAATGCTATGCAACATATCCCTAGAATGTTTTTATCTCACAAAGCTAAATCTTGACACATTGAACAGCTACCAGTTTTTTTCATTTCTTGGTGCTTTTCAAATGCCACTATGTTTTCTGTTTTTAACAGTGTAACTGCTACATATATCTCATTCTATCTCTGACTTTTTATGACTGGCTCGTTTCATTTTGCATAATATCATCAAGCTTTATCTTTATAGTTGTTAAGAATATTTTCTGCTTATAAATCCTGAGTGATATTCCAGTATTTTTATATTTCAAATTATTTCTACTGAATGATTTGGTGACAGAAATTTGCATTGCTTTTAGTTATTGGCTTTCAGTAAAAACTGTAATAATTATAGATATGCAAATAGCTCTTTATATAACTATATATATGACAGTTTATATATGTGCTGCATTCTCTTTTATTATTCTGCTTTTTAACTTTTATATTCATAGTAAATTGTTTTAATTCTGTAGCTCGTAATGTGTTTTGAAATCAGGAACTGTAATGCCTTCAACATTGTTTCTTTTTTTGAAGATTGTTGAGTATTTTATTTTCTCTTGAGATTCCATATACTTTTGCTATTGCTGTTTACATTTTTTCAAAAATGCAGTTAGAAATTTAGTTAAATATCATTAAATCTGTAGATTACATTGAGCAGCATGGACATCTTCAAAATATTAATTATTTCAGTTTTTGAATAGATGCATTCTCCAGAGTGTGCTGTTTAATTTTTATATATTTATAAATTTTTCAGGTTTTTTTCTATTATTGTTTTATACCCTCATTCCATTTTGGTCATACAAAGTAATGCATAAAAATTTTGTTTTATGAAATTTGTTAAGACTTTTTTCAAGGAGAATCTTGTAAGATCGTGTGAGTATTTATTTATTTATCTGAGACAGAGCCTTGCTCTGTCACCCAGGCTGGAGTGCAATGGCCTGATCTTGGCTCAGTGCAACCTCCTCCTCCCAGGTGAACCTGCCTCAGCCTTCCAAGTAGCTGGAATTGCAGGCACCTGAACCATGCCCAGCTAATTTTTGTATTTTTAGTAGAGACAGGGTTTCACCATGTTGGCCAGGCTGGTCTCGAGCTCCTAACCTCAGGTGATCTGCCTGCCTTGGCCTCCCAAACTGCTGGGATTATAGGCTTGAGTCATCACAACCGGCCATATGAGTTATTGAGAAGGGTGTGTATCCTGATGTTGAGGAGTGTTCTCTATACTTCTTTTAGAAATAAATGTTTTATACTCTCTTCAAATTTTCTCTTTCCTTATTAATATTCTATCTTGTTTTATTTTTATTACAGAAAGTGGCGTATTAAAATATCCTACTATAATTATATTGCTCTCTATGTGTTTCTTTAATTCTGTCAATATTTGCTTTATATATTTGAAAGCCAAATGTGAGATACACACACACACACACACACATTTGTTATGTTTACACTAAATGACTCTATTATTGTTAATTTCCTTCTTTGTCTCCATATAGTTTTGACTTAGAATACATTTTATAAAATATGACACTTTGACTTCAGATATAGCTTATGTAATATTATTTTGATCTCTTCTTCTCTCATTTGGTTAGTATCTGCATAGAATGTGTATGTCCGTCTTGCCACTTTCTGTCTTTTTTTATCATTAAATCTCAGCTGACTCTTGCAGGAAAGTAAGTTGGATTTTGGGTTTTAAGATTTTTTAAATAAATCCTTTTATTGAAAATATGTCTCTTGATTGGAAAATTAATTGTATATATATTTAAATAATTTTCTGAAACAAAAACTTAATAATGTTTTATTGTTTTATTTGATTCTTGTATCTTTGTCCCTCATTTTCTCTCTTTCTGCCCTCTTTTGTGTCTGTTTCACTTTTGTATTAATATGCTTTTACTTCTTGTTTTTTTCATCTAAACATATATTCTTTGTGGTACCTTGGGGATTACACAAAACCTCTAAAAGATATGAGAATATATTTTAATCTAGTAAAAAGTGAACTTCAGCTGAATACGAAAATGTTTCTTTGGCTGTGCTTGGTGGTTTACACCTGTAATCCCATCACTTTGGGAGGCTGAGGTGGACAGATCACTTGAGGTCGGGAGTTCGAGTCCAGCCTGACCAACATGGAGAAACCCTGTCTCTACTAAAAATATGAAAGTTTCCAGGCGTGGTGGCACATGCCTGTAATCCCAGCTACTCTGTCAGCTGAGGCAAGAGAATCGCTTGAACCCAGAAGGTGGAGGTCACAGTGAGCTGAGATTGTGCCATTGCACTCCAGCCTGGGCAACAAGATTGAAACTCCATCTCAAAAAAAAAAATATTCTTCCTCAAATTTTTTATTTTTATATTCTCTAGAATTCTTTAAATTTTATAGAATAATTACAAATGTTTTCTGCACCGTTATAACAATGGTAGGAAATTTCATTTTTATGTAAGTATGTACATATCTTTCCTAGAAAATAATGTATTTTTATATGATTATGTGTTTTCTTTTTTTTTTTTTTTTGAGATGGAGTCTCTCTCTGTCACCCAGGCTGGAGTACAGTGGTGCAGTCCTGGCTCACTGCAACCTCCACCTCCCGGGTTCAAGTGATTCTCCTTCCTCAGACTCCTGAATAGCTGGGATTATAGACACACACCACCACACATGTCTAATTTTTGTATTTTTAGTGGAGATGGGGTTTTGCCATGTTGGCCAGGCTGATCTTGAACTCCTGACCTAAGGTGATCCATCTGCCGTGGCCTCCCAAAATGCTGGTACTACAGGTGTGAGTCACCACACCTGGCCTGTCATTTTCTTGAATCATATTATTTTCAATGGAAGAAACTGCTTTCAGTATCTTTTATGTATAGGGCACATGCAGTGCCAATATACTTTTTCAGAATTTGATTACTTTGGAAGGTTTTTTTATTTTTGGCAGGACAGATTTGCTGATGGTATTATTCTCACTTGATAGGTATTTTTCCAGGACTTTGACTATATCACACAGTTCCCTTCTGGCCTCCAAAATTTTTGTTGACAGTTCAGTGGTTATCTGAAAGCCTGCTTGTAAGTGATACATCACTTTTTTCTTGCAGTTTCCAAGATTCTCTTTTTGTCTGTGACTTTTAAAAGTGTGCTTATATATGTGTTTGTTATAAGTATCTTTGTGTGTTTCCTAGTTTGTTTGTTGAGCTTCTTCGTTTTTATTTTATCTTTCTTTTAGAATTTTTTTGTTTGTTTGTTTTTGTTTTTTGAGACAGAGTCTTGCTCTTGTCTCCCAGGCTGGAGTGCAATGGCGTGGTCTTGGCTCACTGCAACTTCCACCTCCCAGGTTCAAGCAATTCTCCTGCCTCAGCCTCCTGAGTAGCTGGGACTACAGGTGCTTGCCACCACACCCAGCTAATTTTTTGTATTTTTAGTAGAGATGAGGTTTCACCATGTTAGCCAGTATGGTCTTTATCTCCTGACCTCATGATCTGCCCACCTCGGCCTCCCGAAGTGCTGGGATTATAGACATGAGCCACTGTGCCTGGCCAGAATTTTTTAGTTATAATTTCTTTTTGTATTTTTTACCTCCACAATTTCTGTTTTTTTGATATTTCATACTTTTGTTACCCTCATTTTTCTGTTTTTCTGTAGTTGTCTGTGTTTCCATTTCACTCGTTGAGTATTATTCAATTTAGGACATTATTAAAATCTACCTGTTACATAATTTATGGCATAGTCTGAAAACAATTGTCTTGGTTAGAGATTTTGGGAGTCTATCAAACAGGTTCTTATGATGTGTCTTGTCTGAATTTAGTTTTTACTTTCTAGTTAAAGGAGTTTATTCATGTTTCTTTATATTCATCGCTTGCTACACCTGTTCCCTGCCTGTGGTACTGCAGTTTCTCTGCTGCTGTAACATTTACATTTAGTCTCAGCAAACTCAAAGGGTCACTTCAAAGTATATGACCAGTTATTTTAGCACTTTATGTCATTGGAAACAGAAACCAAGTGTCTGGAAAAGCCCCTCAAAGACAGAAATAAAGATGTATGTGCCAGTATTTTACTTGTCTTTTAAAAAAGAATTCAGGAGCTTACAATTTACTTGTAAAGGCTCTTTGCTATATTGGGGAGCAGAAAGAGCTGTTTTGGGTAGATGCAATAAACTTTTCTCTTCATTCTATGAGGCTCTTTGTGGCACTGCACATACTTAACTCATTTATACATTTTCCACAAATGTATTTTGGTCTGTATGTTTTTGTTACATTTATGTCTATGAAGTAATTATGGCCTATGGTATTTTGCTATGCCATCTTATGTAGTTTGTATAATTTTATAGCTTAGATTTGTAAAGTATATCCATCTGAGTCTAGTAAGATGAAGTAATTTGTTATTTCTATTTTTTTCAGTTGTGTGTTCTCATTTTGCCCAAGACCTTTGGCCAGAGCAGGGCATAAAAGATTCTTTCCAAAAAGTAATACTGAGAAGCTATGGAAAATATGGACATGACAATTTACAATTAAGAAAAGGCTGTGAAAGTGTGGATGAGTGTAAGATGCACAAAGGAGGTTATGATGAACTTAAGCAATGTTTGACAACTACCCCGAGCAAAATATTTCAATGTGATAAATATGTAAAAGTCTTTCATAAATTTTCAAGTTCAAATAGCCAGAAGATAAGACATACTGGAAATAATTCTTTCAAATGTAAAGAATGTGGCAAATCATTTTGCATGCTTTCACACCTAACTAAACATGAAAGAAATCATACTAGAGTGAATTGTTACAAATGTGAAGAATGTGGCAAAGCCTTTAGTGTGCCCTCAAAGCTTAATAATCATAAGAGAATTCATACTGGAGAGAAACCCTACAAATGTGAAGAATGTGGCAAAGCCTTTAATGTGTCCTCAAGCCTTAATAATCATAAGAGAATTCATACTGGAGAGAAACCCTACAAATGTGAAGAATGTGGCAAAACCTTTAATATGTTCTCAAGCCTTAATAATCATAAGAGAATTCACACTGGAGAGAAACCCTACAAATGTAAAGAATGTGGCAAAGCCTTTAATGTGTTCTCAAGCCTTAATAATCATAAGAGAATTCATACTGGAGAGAAACCCTACAAATGTGAAGAATGTGGCAAAGCCTTTAACCAGCCCTCACACCTTGCTACACATAAGAGAATTCATACTGGAGAGAAACTCTACAAATGTGAAGAATGTGGCAAAGCATTCAGCCAGTCCTCACACATTACTACACATAAGAGAATTCACACTGGAGAGAAACCCTACAAATGTGAAGAATGTGGCAAAGCTTTTAAAGTATCTGTACACCTTACTACACATAAGAGAATTCATACTGGAGAGAAACCCTACAAATGTGAAGAATGTGGCAAAGCCTTTAACCAATCCTCAGCCCTTACTACACATAAGATAATTCATACTGGAGAAAGACCTTACAAATGTAAACAATGTGGTAAAGGTTTTAGCCAATCCTCAACCCTTACTAAACATAAGATAATTCATACTAAAGAGAAACCCTACAAATGTGAAGAATGTGGCAAAGCTTTTAACCAATATTCAACCCTTAATAAACATAAGATAATTCATGCTAGAGAGAAGCCTTACAAATGTGAAGAATGTGGCAAAGCCTTTAACAAGTCCTCAATTCTTAACAGACATAAGATAATTCATACTAAAGAGAAATCACAAACCTTAAAGATGTGACAATGCTTTTTATGAAATCCCAAACTTTTTTAAACATAAAAGAAATGCTGGTGGCCAGGCACAGTAGCTTACGCCTGTAATCCCAGCACTTTGGGAGGCCGAGGCGGGCAGATCACCTGAGGTCAGGAGTTCGAGACCAACCTAACATGGTGAAACAACGTCTCTACTAAAATACAAAAAAAATTAGCCGGGTGTAGTGGTGGGCGCCTGTAATCCCAGCTAGTTGGGAGGCTGAGGCAGGAGAATCGCTTGAACCCGGGAGGTGGAGGTTGCAGTGATCTGAGATCACGCCATTGCACTCCAGCCTGGGCAACAGGACGAGACTCTCTCAAAAAAAACAAAAACAAAAAAAAGTGCTGGTGAGAACTCATAGAAATGTGAAGAATATGAGAAAGCCTTTAAATGGTTGTCTCACTTGATTGTAGGTAAGATACTTTATACTGGAGAAAACTCCTACAAGTGTGAAGAATGTGGCAAAACTTTTGACTAATGCTCACACCTTGGTGCACAGGAAATAATTTATATTTTAGACAACTTGTACAAGTATAAAGAATGTGACGAAGCCATTAATAACTGCTCACATTTTAACATCAGAGAGCTAATACAAGCATTAAAGGTGCAATTACTGTCAAAAGATCTTCCAGAAAATATAAGCCTTTAAAATGTATTAAATTTATTGCTGTAAATTCTTATGTCTTACAGTTCAGAATCTCTTCATGCAAATTCTGTTTTTACTTTTCTAGTACTCATACTAGACCCATAATTTTCTTGATTCTTATTTCGTTTTGTTTTATAGGTTATAAAGTATTCATTATATTAGCTGGTCAGTGATTATAGTAATTGTTTTTATGAAATTTAGTAGTGCACACAAAATAATTTTCAAAGGTAATTCCATTAGTGTATTAAGTTTTATTTAGTGTTAGAACATTCCATTTTGTTCTTTTAAGTGCAGAAACTTATATAAGCCTACTTTTTTTTTTTTTTAAGATGGAGTTTCACTCTTATCACCCAGGCTGGAGTGCAATGGTGCAATCTTGGCTCGTTGCAGCCTCCACCTCCTGGGTTCAAGTGATTCTCCTCCCTCAGCCTCCTGAGTAGCTGGGATTACAGGCATCTGTCACCCCGCCTGGCTAATTTTTTTATTTTTAGTAGAGACAGGGTTTCATCATGTTGGCAAGGCTGGTCTCGAGCTCCTGACCTCAAATGATCTGCCCACCTCAGCCTCCCAAAGTGCTGGGATTATAGGCATGAGAGACCGCACCCAGCCAAGCCAACCTTTATTTAGTTATTTTAAAAAAATTTTTAATAATTGACATAAATACATTTATTTATTGAGTCAATTTGTCCAGGTAAGTACTGGGGAAGCTTCATAAGTTTTGAGGATATTTTTATACATAAATATATCAAACATGAGAGTGCTTGCTGTATAACAGATGCTCCGTAATGCAGAAATATTTGTGTTAAAATTAGTTTGTAACTTTGATTCGGAAATTAAAAATACCATTGGGCCAGGTGCGATGGCTCACACCTATAATCCCAGCACTTTGGAGGTTCGAGGCGGGCAGATAACAGGATCAGGAGATCAAGACCATCCTGGCTAACACGGTGAAACCCCGTCTCCACTAAAAATACAAAAAAATTAGCCAGGTGTGGTAGTGGATGCCTGTAGTCCCAGCTACTCAGGATGCTGAGGCAGGAGAATGGTGTGAATCCAGGAGGCAGAGCTTGCAGTAAGCCCATATGGCGCCACTGCACTCCAGCCTGGGTGACAGAGCGAGACTCCGTCTCAAAGAAAAAAAAAAAGAAAAAATATTGGCTGGGCATGGTGGCTCATGCCTGTAATCCCAACACTTTGGGAGGCCGAGGTGGGTAGATTGCCTGAGGTCAGGAGTTCAAGACCAGCCTGGCTAACATGGTGAAACCCCAGCACTACAAAAATACAAAAATTAGCCAGGCATGATGGCAGGTGCCTGTAACTCCAGCTACTTGGAAGGCTGAGACATGAGAATTGCTTGAATGAGGGAGGCAGAGGTTGCAGTGAGCCGAGATCACGCCATTGCACTCCAGCCTGGGCGACAGAGCGAGACTTTTGTCTCAAAAAAAAAAAAAATACAAACAAAATAAAATATCAATGCTGAAGATATAACATTGATTTTTTTCATGTGGAGATGACACTTTTTTTCAGGCTTCAAAGCTGAATCTTGCTGAATTTAAAGAGAAATTCTGCTGCTTTAATTTCCTAATTATCTTGATTTTTTTTCACTTTTTATGTGTATTCTAACTATGTATGCATCACAGCCCTTTTTCTTCTTGCTCTGTTATGGCTACAGTTTTCTCTCTGTTATCTCCATGCCATGTCATTTCACATGGTACTTTGTAGGTTCTGAGGAGAAAGTTGGTACTTTTTAATGCATTGAAAAATTGGTTTTAACTAGAGAGTTTGCTTATCAATATAACTTTTAGATTAATTAAAATAAAAGACATACACTTTCCACAAGAATGTATCAGCATAGAATATATCATATATCAGTAAGAAGAATATATCAGTTAGCATGGTTTTGTTTGTTTATAAAAGAAAAACCTTATTAGATTCTCACACAAAGAGTGAAAAATATAGTGTGCTAAAATATATATCTTAGAAATTTTATTTTTGAGCAAGTTGACTGCAAGTGAACAATTTCGAATTTAATTTTATAATATAGCATAACTTATGTTTCTATACAGTATCTTCAACTTTTAAGTGTGAATGTTAAAGTTGGCAAAATAATAAAATGATCTCTGGATTTGAAATTTGATGTAATTTTTTTTTCATGTTGCTATTACAATTTGGAGGAATTTCTCACTTTTTTTCCTAGATTGCAGTTTTTACTCTTTGTCACCTAACTGTAGTCAACTCCCTGGTCATTTTCTCTGGAAAACTTTTGGAGAACATGGCTGCTTTTGGATTAAAATATTTCCCATTATTTTGCATAAAAAACGAGTTTACTGTGTTCACAGAGTGGCTAGTCATGGGACCATAAGCAACAGCTCCAACTTTTAGTGTTTTTCATACTGTTACCATCAACAACAGAAACTCCAGGTACCCCATGCTCGAAGTAAAAGCCCTAACGTACATTGGCTCTTCCCATACACTCTGCTGGGTCCAGAAAATGCTGTTAAATACTAGAGTTTCTAAGCTGGGCATGGTGGCTCATGCCTGTAATCCCAGCACTTTGGAAGGCTGAAGTGGGTGGATCACCTGAGGTCAGGAGTTTGACACCAGCCTGGCCAACATGGCAAAACCCCATCTTTACCAAAAATAGAAAAATTAACTGGGTATGGTGGTGGGCACCTGTACTTGGGAGGCTGAGGCAGAAGAATCCCTTGAATCCGGGAGGCGGAGGTTGCGTTGAGCCAAGATCGTGCCATTGTACTCCACTCTGTCTCTAAATAAATAAATAAAATAAATAAATATCAGAGTTCCTATGGTCATGGCTGACAAACTAAGTGACAAAAACTAATTTTGATACTATTCAGCTGTTTATGACAAAGACAGTATTTGAAACATTGTTATATGTGTGTGTATATATATATACATATGTATATAACATATATATAATTTTTAGACAAGAGTCCTGCTCTGTCACCCAGGCTGAAGTGCAGTGGCATAGTCTCAGCTTACTAAAACTTCCACATTTCAGGTTCAAGCAATTCTCAAGCCTCAACCTCTCGAGTAGCTGGGATTACAGGTTGGTGGCACCATGCCCAGCTACTTTTTCTATTTTTCATAGAGATGGGGTTTCTTCATGTTGGCCAGGCTGGTCTTGAACTCTTGATCTCAAGCGATTCACCCACCTTGGCCTCCCAAATTGCTGGAATTACAGGTGTGAGCCACTGCACCCATTTAATTATATATATATTATATATATGTAATATAATATATATATTATATATATGTAATATAATATATATATTATATATATGTAATATAATATATATGTAATATAATATATATATTATATATATGTAATATAATATATATATTATATATATGTAATATAATATATATATTATATATATGTAATATAATATATATATTATATATGTAATATAATATATAATATATGTAATATAATATATATTATATATGTAATATAATATATATTATATATGTAATATAATATATATTATATATGTAATATAATATATTATATATATATTATATTTATATATATATATATATATTTTTTTTTTCGAGATGATTTCAATCTGTCCCCCAGGCTGGAGTGCAGTGCAGCCTCCACCTCCTAGGTTTAAGTGATTCTCCTGCCTCAGTCTTCTGAGTAGCTGGGACTACAGGCAGACACCACCACTCCTTGCTAATTTTTTGTATTTTTGGTAAAGACAGTTTCACCCTGTTAGCCAGGCTGCTCTTGAACTCCTGACCTCAAGTGATCTGCCCACTTTGGCCTCTCAAAGCACTGGGATTACAGGCATGAGTCACCATGCCAAGCTAAAAATATATTTTTCCAGTTGACAGATAAAATGTGTATTCTGCAATACAATATTTTTAAGTACATATACATTGTCACATGCTTAATTCTAGGTAATTAATGCTTTACCTCATGTAGTTAACATTTTTGTTGTGAGACCACATAGCATTGTCTTAACATTTTTCAAAACTAGAAATACATTATAATGAACTATAGTCACTGTGCTGTAAAATAAATCTTCTGGACTTATTCCTCCTATTCAAGTATAATTATATATTTTCTTTCCAACTCCCCATTTCTTCTAAACACGTTGGCATCTGGTATTCACCATTTTATTCTCTACAGCAATGAGATTGTTTTTTAGAATTCTTGTGTAAGTGAGGCTGGGCATTGTGTCTCACGCTTGTAATCCCAGCACACTGGGAAGCCGAGGCAGGTGAATCACTTGAGGACAGGAGTTTGACACCAGCCTGGCCAAAGTGGTGAAACCCTGTCTCTACTAAAAATACAAAAAAATTAGCCAGGCATGGTGGTGGGCGCCTATAATCCCAGCTACTTGGGAGGCTGAGGCAGGAGAATTGCTTGAACCCAGCAGGTGGAGGTTGCAGTGAGCTGAGATCACACCATTGCAATCCAGCCTGGGAAACGAGCAAAACTCTGTCTTAAAAAAAAAAAAGAATTAATCTGTAAGTGATATCATAAGATAGTATTCATTCTGTGCCTGGCTTATTTAATATAATGTTCTCCAGGTTAATCCATGTCACTGAAAGTAATAGAATTTTCTTTTTTAAAAGATGAATAGTATTCAATTGTGTATGCCTACCACATTATTTTTATTTACTCATTAGATGTCAAACTGTTGACTCTATTTTGGCTATTGTGAGGAGTGCTACAAACAACATAGAAGTGCAAATGTTTCTTCATCCTGATTTTATTTGTTGTGGATATATGTCCAGTATTGAAATTCTTGTATTATATGATAGTTTTGATCTTATTTTTTTTGTGAGATCTCTTTTGTTTTTCATAATGGCTGTCCTCATTTACATGAAAACCAACAGTGTGCAAGCATCCCCTTTTCTTCACTTCTATGCCAACACTTTATTTTTATTTTTATTTTTTTGAGACGGAGTCTCGCACTTGTTGCCCAGGCTGGAGTGCAATGGCACAATCTTGGCTCACCGCAAGCTCTGCCTCCCAGGTTCAAGTGATTGTCCTGCCTCAGCCTCCCGAGTAGCTGGGATTACAGGCATGTGCCACCACGCCTGGCTAATTTTGTATTTTTAGTAGAGACAGGGTTTCTCCATGTTGGTCAGGCTGGTCTTGAACTCCTGACCTTAGGTGATCCACCCGCCTCGGCCTCCCAAAGTGTTGGGACTACAGGCATGAGCCACTGTGCTTGGTCACTTTTATTTTTAATAAAAATCATTTTAACAGTAGTGAGCTGATACCTTGTAGTTTTTTTTTTTTTTTGGCATGCCTTTCTCTGATAACAATTGACATTGAGCATTTTTTAATATATTTGTTGGACATGTATATGTCTTGAAATATATTTAAGGTTTTTGCTCATTTTTAGTAGTTATTTGTTTTCGTTGTATAGTTATTTGAGGTTTTTTTTTTTTTTTTTTTTTTTTTTTTTTTTTTTTGAGACAGCGTTTCTCTCTGTATCCTAGGCTGGAGTGCAGTGATGCGATCATGGCTCACTGCACCCTGGACCTCCCAGGTTCAAGTGATCCTCACACCTCAGCCTCTTAAATAGCTGGGACTACATGCATACACCACCAGCCTGGCTAATTTTTTTTATTACTTTTTGTAGAGACAGGGGTCTCACTGTGCTGCCCAGGCTGGCCTTGAACTCCTGGGCTCAAGCAGTTCTCCCACCAGGGCCTTCCAAAGTGCTGGGATTACAGGTGTGAGTCACTGTGCCCAGCCGAGAATGCTTTTTTTTTTTTTTTTTTTTGAGACGGAGTCTTGCTCTCTCGCCCAGGCTGGAGTGCAGTGGCGCGATCTTGGCTCAGTGCAAGCTCCTCCTCCCGGGTTCACGCCATTCTCCTGCCTCAGCCTCCCGCGTAGCTGGGACTACAGGCGCCCGCCACCACGCCCGGCTAATTTTTTATATTTTTAGTAGAGACGGGGTTTCACCGTGTTAGCCAGGATGGTCTCGATCTCCTGACCTCGTGATCCACCCGCCTCGGCCTCCCAAACTGCTGGGATTACAGGCGTGAGCCACCGCACCCGGCCCCCCTTTTTTTTTTTTTTTTTGAGTTGGAGTCTTGCTCTGTTGCCAGGCTGGAGTGCAGTGGCGCGATCTCGGCTTACTGCAACCTCTGACACCCTAGTTCAAGCGATTCTCCTGCCTCAGCCTCCCAAGTAGCTGGGATTACAGGCACGCACCACCATGCCCAGCTAATTTTTGTATATTTAGTAGAGACGGTTTCGCCATGTCCTCGGCCTCGGCCTCAGCCTCTCAAAGTGCTGGGATTATAGGCATGAGCCACTGTGCCCGGTCTTGAGTTTCTTATATATTTTTTATATTAAGCTCTTGTCGTGTATGATTTGCAAATATTTTGTCTGTTTTTTAGTTGTTTCATTCTGTTTTACCAGATTCTGTGCAGCAGCTTTTTAATTAAAAGTAATCTGAGTAATCAATTTTTCCTTTGGTTATCTGGGATTTTGATGTTAAATAAAAAAATTCACTGCCCAAATCAATGTTATTATGCTTTCACTCTATATTTTTTGTACTAATTTTAGAGTTTCAGGCCTTACATTTAAGAACCTAATTTATTTTGAGTTGATTTTTATATATGGTGTGAGATTAGGGTCTCATTGCTCTGTATGTGGGTGTAAAGTTTCCTTAACCATTTATTGAAAATACTGTTCTTTCCCTAAGAAATTGTCACCCTTACATTTGTGTAAAATGTGTTTCGTTTCTTCCTTTAATGTTCTTTAGATTATAATGTACAGGTCTTTCAACTTTTTGGTTAAATGTATTTCAAAGTATAGTTACTAGATTATTTGTAGATGGGATTGTTTTTAAATTTCATTTTGATATATTTATTACTGTATAGAAATGCTACTGAATTTTAGATATTGCTTTTGTATTCTGTGAGTTTAATGAATTTGTTTATTATAATAGCTTTTGGTAAAGTCTTAGGCTTTTCTATACTTAAGATTATGTATAGAAATAAAAGGTTATTAAACAGGGATAATTTAACTTACTTTTTCCAATTTGGATGCCTTTGGTTTTATTCCCTTCTCTGTTATATTTAGTAAGACTAAAAAAAGTGCACATTCTTGCCTTGTTCTAGCTCTTAGAATAAAATCTTAAACTTTTTTTGTTTATTTAGTATGTTGTTAGCTGTGCATTTTTTTGTTACATATAGCATTTATCAGCTTGAGGTGCAATGCTGCTATACCTAATTTTTTCAGAGATGTATTATGAGGGACTGTTGAATTTTGTCAAACTTTTATTCTGCATCTGTTAGTAGAGTTGTGAAATCACAACTAATTCTACATAAATACCAAACATTCTCAGAGACTTGTACGAACATCTCTGTGCATTCAAAGTACAAAATTTAGAGAAAATAGATAAACTGAATACATACAACTTCCAAGTTTGAATCAGGAATAAACAGAAGTCTTGAGAGCAAAAATGCATAAAATTGTATAATGAATTAGTAATTAAAAGAAACCCTACCAACCACAAAAAGCCCTGGATCAGATGAATCTGCAGAAAATTTTACCACGTATGCAAAGATGAGCTGGTCCTAATCATACTGATTGTATTCCAAAAAAAATCATGGTGGGATTCCACCCTAACTTATTACATAAAATTAGTATCATGTTGCTCTCAAAATCTAGTGAAGACAGAACAACAAAAACAACTACAGGCCTATATTCCTGGTGAACATAGAAACAAAAATCCTCCATGAAATACTAGGAAGCTGAGTTCATAAGCAAATAAAGTTACTTTGCCACAGTCATATGAGCTTTATTCTATGAATGCAATAATGTTTCATAATATGCAAGTCAATAAGTGTAATTCACCATGTGAAGGTAATTTTAAGCAAAAAAGTATATATCACAATATATGCAGAAATAGCATTCAAGAAAATTAAATATTGACTGATGAACATATTCGCAAAAAACCAGGCATTCAAGAAACATACCTCAAAATAATAAGAGGCATCTATGACAAATCCTCAGCCAACATCATACCGAACAGGAAAAAGCTGGACGCATTCTCTCTAAAAATAAAAATAATACAAGAATATTCACTCTAAACCGTCCTATTCAACATGATTCTGGAAGTCCTAGCAAGAGCAATTCAAAAAAGAAAGAAAAGGAATCCAAATTTTCTGCACTGATGATATAATTCTTTTTCTAGAACCTTTAAGATTAGACCAGAAGACCCCTCTGCCTAATAAAAGACTAAAGCAAAGTCTTAGGATACAAAATTAATATACAGAAATGAGTAGCATTTCTGTACACCAGTAACATTCAAGCTGAGAAAAAAAAATCAAGAAGAGTTCCATTTACAGTAGCCACAAAGAAAAAACAATATACATAGAAATGCATTAAAGAAGTAAAATATCTCTACAAGGAGAACGTAAAACACTGCTGAAAAAAACAGAGACAAAGCAAATAAATGGAAAAGCATTTCATGCTCATGAATTTGAAGAATCAACACTTAAAATGTTCATGCTGCATAAAGCAAGCTACAGATTAAGTCCTTTTTCTATCAAACTATCAATGACTTTTTTTAAATAGAATTAAGAAAAGAAGGCTGCATGCAGTGGCTCACGCCTGTAATCCCAGCACTTTGGGAGGCTGAGGTTGGCGGATCACTTGAGGTAGGAATTTGAGACCAGCCTGGCCAACATGGTGAAACCCTATCTCTAAGAGTTACAAAAAAAAAAAAAAAAAAAAAAAAGACAGGTATGGTGGTGCATGCCTGTAATCCTAGCTACTCGGGAGGCTGATGGGAGGATTACTTGAACCCGGGAGACAGAGGTTGCAATAAGCTGAGAATGCCACTGCACACTCCAGACTGGATGACAGAGTGAGACTCCTTCTAAAAAAAAAAATTAAAATATATATGGAAGAATAAAAGAATTCAAATAGTCAAAGCAACTTTAGATAAAAAGGACAAACCTGGAGACCTTACATTACTTATCTTTAAACTGTACTATAAGCTACAGTAATCAGTATAACATGGTTCTGGTACAAAAATATACATATAGAGCAATGGAAAAAAATGAGAGAGCCCTGAAATAAAGCTACACTACTCCAACTTATTATTGAAAAAGTGTACAGAAATAAAGGAAAAATAACTTCCTATGCAATAAATGGTAGTGGGAAAACTGGCTAGTCATATGCAGAAGAAAATTGAATCCCTACCTCATATCATAAGAAATATAACAAGATAGATTAATAACTGTGAGTCTTCAAGCTACAAAAATCCTAGAAGAACATCTAGAAAGTACATTTCTAGACACTGGCCTCTAGAAATAATTTATGACTAACACCTTAAAAGTGAATGCAACAAAAATAAAAATTTTAAAATGGCACCTAAGTAAACTAAGGAGCTTTTGCACAGTAAAAAGCTATCAACAAAGTAAACATAGAGCCTACAGTGTGGAATAAATTATTTGTATACTGCATACCACAAAGGATTAATACATGGAATCTATAAGATTTAATAAGAAAGTAGACAAGTGATGTAAATACTTCTCAAAGGAAGACATAAAAGCTGCCAATAAACATGCAGAAAATTGCACAAGATCTCTAATCAGAGAGACGGAAAATTTTGGAGAGAAGAAAATCTTTATAAACTGTTGGTGAAAATGCAAATTCAGCCCCTGTGAAAGTTTCTACATTTTTCAAATAACTAAAGATAGAATTGCCATTTGACCCATTAACCCCTTTTTTGGGTATCTACCCGAAGGAAAATATTTTACTAAAATGACACCTGTACTTACATGTTGATTGCAGCACTATTTACAGTGGCAAAAACCTTGAAAAACTATAGGGTATGATGTACACTATGTGGGCAATGGAATTATTAAATGTGCAAGCCTCAACATCCTGATGTATACAGGTTACAAATCTGCACATGTACCACTTGAATCTAAGATAAAAATAATAAAATGTTTTGTGGTATAATGGCATGTTACATTTCTCCAGTTCTGAATTAGTAGTTGGAATTAGGGGTGAGAGAATTATTTGCCCCTTAGGGCATAAGGGTAAATGTTTTTATACCAGGTCTCCCCACACTCTATAAGCTAGCCTCTCTGAAAGCTCTTGGGCTATATAGCTCAAGAAGTGTTTTATTCCCAAGTATGCAGATAAAATAAAAGACCCTACATCTTTATTTTTTATGTATCAACTGTACATTAGACTATAGAGTTAATTTGTTAGTCTACTCTTTTGGGGGAAAAATGGTAAGTGGTTTAATCACATTAAAAATTTTTTTAGAAAATGTGAGGTTGTGAAAATCATGGTTAATTCCTTAATTAGGAAAATAAAACATTTTTCTAAAAAAATGCATAAAAGTCTAATGTCCATAGCCTAAGAACAATGAAACAGAGACTGTGGTTTATTTAAGACCACACTGCTGCAAATGCTTATTCCATCACAAGAAATAGAAACAATGGGTCAGAAGGTGTTTTCAGAGTACTTTTCTTAATCTATTGCAGTGTTTAAAGTTTGGTCTTTATTATCTCCTATATAAGTCTGTACTTAAAAAGCCATGAATTTTATGTTAATATGCTCACACAAATATTTTTCCTAGAAAAGTACTAGTGTGTTTGCAATGAATGTGTAGCATTTCTGGCCTACCTTGTGCTGCTGTGTTTGTGTGAAATTAGAAGACAGGAAATAAAGCAGAGTTGACCATGACATTTCTAGTTTCTACAACCACACCATCTGAAATGTAGTGTTATGTCAACAATAAATAATGACAGTATTTCAAAATATAGAAACAAATTGATACTTTATATATTTAGTTTTTTATAGTTTATAAAAATTTGTAGTTTCTGAATTATTATAAATTAAACAACTTGAACATGAAGATACCTAAAAGTTTTATCTAAATGATAGTATTAAAATTGTAATAGCTTATGATTGTGAGTCACAATTGCCCTATTGGGTTTACTGGAAAGTAGTTATTTATCTTCTAATAGTAGATAGAGAATAGGTTTTTATAATCCTAAGGATACAGATTTTTTTTTTGAGACAAAGTTTCATTCTTGTTACCCAAGTTGGAGTGCAATGAAACAAATCTTGGCTCACTGCAACCTCTACCTGGCAGCTTCAAGCGATTCTCCTACCTCAGCCTCCCAAGCAGCTGGGATTACAGGCATGTGCCACCACACCCAGATAATTTTTGTATTTTTACTAGAGACAGGGTTTCACCATGTTGGCCAGGCTGGTCTCAAACTCCTGACCTCAGGTGATCTGCCCACCTTGGCCTCCCAAAGTGCTGGGATGACAGGTGTGAGCCACCGTGCCCAGCCCAGATCTTTTAAAATTAGTACTGCTTAGATTTGTACAAAATTCATAGGCTTGCAGTAGCAGAAATTTTAATATTTTTTTCTAATAGAAGAGAAAAAGTGGCTGGGCATGATGGCTCACACCTGTAATTCCAGCACTTTGGGAGGCCGAGGCAGGTGGATCCCCTGAGGTCAGGAGTTCGAGACCAGCCTGACTAACATGGTGAAACCCTGTCTCTACTAACAATACAAAAATTAGCCGGATGTAGTGGCGGGTGCCTGTAATCCCAGCTACTTAGGAGGCTGAGGCAGGAGAATCGCTGGAACCCAGGAGGCGGAGGTTGCAGTGAGCCGAGATTGTGCCATTGCACTCCAGCCTGGGTGAAAGAGCAAGACTCAGTCTCAAAAAAGAAAAAGAAACAAAAAATCAATAAAATTAATTTTTTAAAATAAGTTTAAAAGAAACTTCATATTTGTTCATTTTTTTTTTTTTTTATTGATCATTCTTGGGTGTTTCTCGCAGAGAGGGATTTGGCAGGGTCATAGGACAATAGTGGAGGGAAGGTCAGCAGACAAACAAGTGAACAAAGGTCTCTGGTTTTCCTAGGCAGAGTGTTTGTGTCCCTGGGTACTTGAGATTAGGGAGTGGTGATGACTCTCAAGAAGCATGCTGCCTTCAAGCATCTGTTTAACAAAGCACATCTTGCACCGCCCTTAATCCATTTAACCCTGAGTGGACACAGCACATGTTTCAGAGAGCACAGGGTTGGGGGTAAGGTCATAGATCAACAGGATCTCAAGGCAGAAGAATTTTTCTTAGTACAGAACAAAATGAAAAGTCTCCCACGTCTACTACTTTCTACACAGACACAGCAACCATCCGATTTCTCAATCTTTTCCCCACCTTGCCCCCTTTTCTATTCCACAAAACCGCCATTGTCATCATGGCCCGTTCTCAATGAGCTGTTGGGTACACCTCCCAGACGGGGTGGTGGCCGGGCAGAGGGGCTCCTCACTGCCCAGTAGGGGCAGCCGGGCAGAGGCGCCGCCCCTCACCTCCCGGACGGGGCGGCTGGCCGGGCGGGGGGCTGACCTCCCCACCTCCCTCCCGGATGGGGCGGCTGGCCGGGCGGGGGGCTGACCCCCCACCTCCCTCCCGGGGGCAGCTGGCCTGGCAGGGGCTGACCCCCCCACCTCCCTCCCAGGCGGGGTGGCTGCCGGGCGGAGACGCTCCTCACTTCCCAGATGGGGTGGCAGCCAGGCAGAGGGGATCCTCACTTCTCAGATGGGGCAGTTGCCGGGCGGAGGGGCTCCTCACTTCTCAGACGGGGCGGCCGGGCAGAGACGATCCTCACCTCCCAGATGGGGTCACGGCCGGGCCGAGGCGCTCCTCACATCCCAGACGGGGCGGCGGGGCAGAGGCGCTCCCCACATCTCAGACGATGGGCGGCCGGGCAGAGACGCTCCTCACTTTCCAGATGGGATGGCGGCCGGGCAGAGACGCTCCTCACTTTCCAGACTGGGCAGCCAGGCAGAGGGGCTCCTCACATCCCAGACGATGGGCGGCCAGGCAGAGACGCTCCTCACTTCCCAGACGGGGTGGCGGCCGGGCAGAGGCTGCAATCTCCGCACTTTGGGGGGCCAAGGCAGGCAGCTGGGAGGTGGAGGTTGTAGCCAGCCGAGATCACGCCACTGCACTCCAGCCTGGGCACCATTGAGCACTGAGTTAACGAGACTCCATCTGCAATCCCGGCACCTCGGGAGGCCGAGGCTGGCGGATCACTCGCGGTTAGGAGCTGGAGACCAGCCCGGCCAACACAGCGAAACCCCGTCTCCACCAAAAAAATACGAAAACCAGTCAGGCGTGGCAGCGCGCGCCTGCAATCGCAGGCACTGGGCAGGCTGAGGCAGGAGAATCAGGCAGGGAGGTTGCAGTGAGCCGAGATGGCAGCAGCACAGTCCAGCTTTGGCTCGGCATGAGAGGGAGACCGTGGAAAGGGGAGAAGAGGAGAGAGGAGAGAGGGGAGAGAGGGGACAGGGGACAGGGGAGAGGGGAGAGGGGAGAGGGGAGAAGGCCACATTTGTTCATTAAATAAGATTTAAAACCACATTTTAAGTGACTGATCAGTAATTCCAATCTATTTCATTTTAGTCACTGAAAAAACCCTAATATCCTTTAATTATTCAAAAAATATTCAAAAAAAGTATTCTTATATTTGTGTTTCTGAAACTTTCAGAAACTGTGGACCACTTAATGGATGATGACGTACATGGAGACAACAAATTTTCTATATGATAATAGGCTCATCCTAGCTTTTATTTTTATTTTTTTAAAAATTTTTTGAGACAGAGTTTTGCTTTTATTGCCCAGGCTGGAGTGCAATGGCGCGATCTTGGCTCACTGCAAACTCCACCTCCCGGGTACAGGCAATTCTTCTGCCTCAGCCTCCTGAGTAGCTGGGATTACAGGCATGTGCCACCATGCCTGGCTAATTTGTATTTTTAGTAGAGATGAGGTTTCTCCATGTTGGTCAGGCTGGTCTTGAACTCCCGACCTTAGGTGATCTGCTCACCTTGGCCTCCCAATGTGTTGGGATTACAGGCGTGGGCCACCTCACCTGGCCTCATCCTAGCTTTTAATTTAAAAATTCAAATTATTTCAAAAGTAAAATTAATGGCTTTTTTAAGTCATGAGAGGGATAGATATCATTGTTAGAATCCATTTACCAAAGTGTCTATCTTAGGCTTCGTAATGAGTACTTTAAACCAAAAATCAAGTTCTACATACTATCTAAGTGTAAAAAGAAGTGGTTTGTAAATTCCTCTTTATTTCTACTAAGTTAGAAAATTCAAAGCCAAAATGTTAAGTTAGGAATAAAAACAAGCATTGGATAAGAGTGTGTTGGGTATAATGATTAAGAGTCAAACTCGACATCAAGTGGTTCCTGATTGCATCTCAGTTCTGCTATTTATGGGCTGTACGACCTGAATGCAGTTTCTTCACCGCTATGTGCTTGATTCTTCAGCTGTACAGTGAGAATAATGGTGCCTAAATCCTAAGGTTTTGTTAAAATTAGAGCAAGTGATACAAATAATGTCCCAGAAGAGCATCCAACGTATAGCAAGTGTACAGAAATTTTAGCTCTTATTTGTCAATTCTGTTAGATTGTGATCAATGTTAAGCCTAAAAACCAGGTGACCACATCAGTGGACTGTAACTTATGTTCATTCTACTCAGTCAGTCTGAGGCTATATAGTAGTCGAATGTTTCTAATACTATCCTTGGCAAATTCTTATATATTCACATATGTGTGTGTATGTGTTTCCTGAAAATTTTAAGATGAACAAGCACTTTCTTCTCTGGCCGAATTTCTTAAAGCTTTTTTCTCTCTTTGGTTTTAAAAAAGTGTTAATATTTTTGGTTGGCAAATCAGAGTTGTATACATTTATGGGGAACAATATGAAGTTTTATATATGTATATAATATGGAATCAAAAAGTCAAGTTAAATAACATATCAACTCAACTATCATTTTTGTGATGAGATATTTGAAATTTAGTCATTTTGAAATATACAATACATTATAGTTTACTATAGTCACACTGCTGTACAATAGATCTCAAAAGCTATTTAACCTGTCTATTTGAAACTTTGTGCCCTTTGATCAACTCCCTCTTTCCTTCCTTCCTTTCTTTCTCTTTCTTTCTTTCTTTTCTTTTCTTCTTTCCTTCTTTCTTTTTTATTCCTTTCTTTTCTTTTTTTTTTTTTTTGAGATGGATTCTTGCTCTGTTGCCCAGGCTGGAGTGCATTGGTGCAATCTCAGCTCACTGCAACCTCCCTCTTCCATATTCAACTGATTATCCTGCCCCAGCCTCCCAGATAGCTGGGATTATAAGCATGCACCACCAAGCCTGGCCAACGACTCCCTATTTTCTTCCCACCACACCACTGGAACAACTGGTAACCGTTGTTCCACTTTCTACTTTTGTGAGTTAAAATTTATTAGATTCTACATATAAATGAGGTCATGCAGTATTATTCTTTCTGTATCAGGTTTCTTCCATCTAGCATAATGTCTTCTGAATTTATCTATATGTTTTTGAAGAATAGGATTTTCCTCTTTTTTTTTTTTTTTTTTTGAGTCAAAGTTTCACTTTGTCACCCAGGCTGGAGTGCAGTGGCATGGTCTTGGCTCACTGCAACCTCCGCCTCCTGGGTTCAAACAATTCCCCTGCCTTGGCGTCCCAAGTAGCTGGGATTTACAGGTGCCCACCACCATGCCCGGCTAATTTTTTGTATTTTTTGTAGAGACGGCGTTTCACCATGTTGGCCGGGCTGGTCTTAAACTCCTGACCTCATGATCCGCCTGCCTCGGCCTCCCGAAGTGCTAGAATTACAGGCATGAGCCACCACACCTGGCCAGGATTTTCCTATCTTTAAGGCTGGATAGTATTCCATTGTGTATCCATGTCAAATTTTTTAAAAAATTAATTTAAATATATATTTATTATTGGTTGAAAAACTTGTGTTATGAAAGGATATTTCTGTGTTAAGCATGTATTAATGTAATTCAGCACTAAATATTAATAATAGCTGGTTTGTACTGAGCACTAACCATAACACTATATCCATATTAATGAGTTAAATTCTCCCAGTAACTTAATACCACAGGTATTATAATTATTCTCATTTTACAGAGGAACCAAAAGAGCCACTGAGAAAAACAACTTGCTGACAATAGCCCAGGCTGGAGTTTAGTGGTTTGATCTTGGGTCACTGCAACCTCTACCTCCCGGGTTCAAACTATTCTCATGCCTCAGCCTCCCAAATATCTGGTATTACAGACGTGGAACACCATGCCTGGCTAATTTTTGTATTTTTAGTAGAAATGGAGTTTTTACATTTTTGCCAGGCTGGTCACAAACTCCTGACTTTATGTGATCCTCCCACCTTGGCCTCCCAAATTGCTGAGATTACAGGCGCGAGCCACCATGCCCAGCCTAATATGAATGTTTCTTGAATCCAGAAAAGTTATGCAGGTAGTTTCTTGTAGGTTAACATAAAAGAACAATTAGCAAAAACATATGAAATGGGGTAAAATTAATCAAAACCACATCTTTCCAATAAGCGGTAATAATTGCTGTGCTTTTTTAAATGGCTAGATTACTAACAATATGCAAACACAAGACTTTGGCTTTGCTCAATTATTAAGTTTTTGAACATTTTGATATCTGAAATCTTGGCTAAAGTTCTTTTTTTTTTTTTTTTTTTTTTTTTGAGATGGAGTTTCGCTCTTGTTGCCCAGGCTGGAGTACAATGGTGCGATCTTGGCTCACCGCAACCTCTGCCTCCTGGGTTCAAGCGATTCTCCTGCCTCAGCCTCCTGAGTAGCTGGGATTACAAGCATGTGCCACTATGCCTGGCTAATTTTTTGTATTTTTAGTAGAGATGGAGTTTCTCCATGTTGGTCAGGCTTGTCTCGAACTCTCAACCTCAGGTGATCCGCCCGCCTCGGCCTCCCAAACTGCTGGGATTACAGGCGTGAGCCACTGCGCCTGGCCAAAGATTTTAAAAAGAATATTTTTGAGGTGGCTTTTTAGGGTTTCCATGGTAATACAAGAAGAATTTTAATAGGCAGGAAAATGCATTCTACATACACACATTGCACTTCTCTGATTTGCTTTAACATTGAAAGATTAAAGATTGCAAATCTAGTTTCTCAGTTTAGAGTAAATTAACAAAAGATTTATTTTTCAGCTGGCAAATAATTGTATAAAACTAATGGATAATAGATGCCATTAGCTGTCAAAAAATAGCATGACTAGATTCAGTAAGTATCTAGCCATGCAAATGACAATCCAATAAAATTAAAACCCTAATTGGTTCATGTGGAAAGCATTGATGTGCAGTGTCGTGCACCTCCACTCAGCACCTCCTTGGGCCTGTTTACAGAGATACCAATTTCTCCTTCGTGACTAAGGGTGAATACTGGAAACAGAGTGCTGTGTTCAGAGTTATTACTGGGAACATGGTTAACACATTTCTTTCATATTATAAAGACATTTTATGAATGTTACTCTGCATCACAAAACCTTTTAGTAAAAGATTGTTTATTTAAGTACTTAATTTGGATTTATAAAAAATGTCAATATTCTGGGTAAGTCACAAACACTTAAATCTCAATCAAATTTTATAAAACATATTTGAATAAGATAAAGTTTTCTTAGACAAGAATTGTATTTTATTACTAAATTTAGAGACAAATAGAAAACCAGTACTTTGGGCCAAATAACAGTGTTTGGCACAGAAGTACTCCCAAACAAGTGCTCTCCATCATCACCGTTAAAGTAGCAATGGCACCACGTGCTTTCCTGAAACCAGCTGGACTGTTTTCCACTGATAAAAAGTGGAGAGGACATTGAAATAATGAAGGAAGCTGATATAAATGGAATACTTATATAAAATAAAAGTAAATACAAGTGAAATACTTATATGAAATACTTTTAAAATAAAAAGTAGCATTTGATGTTTATGACTGTAGATGAAACTGTTAGTATGAGATCCTCATATTTTTACTTCTCTTGACAGGATAACTTGATTCACAATGTTCTTATTTCAAATAATATTTTTTCTGCTAGATATTTGCAAGCTTTCAGTCACATAGTACCTGAGCTCAACAGAAATCAACAAAAGAAATATTTTACCACAAGCATTTTATTATTGATGCACATGCTTATTTTACTTAAAATACATTAGCTTTTGGTGAAAGATTATACTTTTTTTTCAGTGTGTTTTTTATTGTCCTTCCAGGAAACTGCTATTCTCAGCTCTACCTGCATTGACTAATAGTGAGTAAAAGTTATGTTTGGGTAAGAAGCAAATGTGTCTTGTCTGCATCTCTTTTTTCATTTGTTGGCTGAAGAAAGTATAATGCAGATAGAAGATTAAAGAAAATAAAATCCCTGAAAGATTATTTAGAAGTCCTCTTAACCGGAAAAAAAAAAAGCCCTCAAGGAATTGTGATATAAGTAGAAAATATATTATCTTGCTAAGCCTCTAAAATTTCAGCATAAAAGGCCAGGCGCAGTGGCTCACACCTGTAATCCTAGCACTTTGGGAGGCTGAGGTGGGTGAATCACGAGGTCAGGAGATCAAGACCATCCTGGCTAACACGGTGAAACCCCGTCTCTACTAAAAATATAAAAAGTTAGTCAGGTGTGGTGGCGGGCGCCTGTAGTCCCAGCTACTCGGGAGGCTGAGGCAAGAGAATGGCGTGAACCTGGGAGGCAGAGGTTGCAGTGAGCAGAGATCTCTCCAC
Organism: Homo sapiens; assembly: GCF_000001405.40. Taxonomy (NCBI): domain Eukaryota; kingdom Metazoa; phylum Chordata; class Mammalia; order Primates; family Hominidae; genus Homo; species Homo sapiens. The sequence goes on from NC_000019.10 coordinate 22,877,714, forward strand.
TGCACTCCAGCCTGGGTGACACAGCAAGACTCCGTCTCAAAAAAAAAAAAATTTCAGTGTAAAACCTGTATTGCTTTAACAAATATATTATTCCTTCAGTTTTTATTTTTCAGAATATGATTCAATTTCTTGGTGAATCAAAACTGAGAGGAGAATAACTTATTTGTTAAGGTAAAAAATGTAGGGAATACTCACTGCTTATGGCCAACATCTTCTCCACCCCCAGGCCCAGGCAATCATCATTCTATGCTCTGCTGTTATTGATACAGGAGCACAAAAGAAATTATTTAGGCAAATTGTGAGGATAAGAGAGCCCTTGGCAAAGCTTCCCTTTTAACAAGAAGCAGCCCCCAACTGACTTTTTTTCAACAAAGAGTAGCCTGTAAAATCCAGCTGCAAATATAGATAAGCAAGCTAGAAGCTTGCATGGGTGAATGTCAGCAGCTGTGCCAATGGGAAAAGGCTACCTGAGGCCAAGCATTTTCAACATGGAGGCACCATATTCCCTTTTTTGTGAATCACGTGTATAAAGGAACAGGAAACATGGCACTGGCCAGGTAAAACACCCATCTGTATAGTAGAAAATTAAAGTGGGGTGGCCAGCTTCTTCATGCACTATGTAAATGGTACACCTTGTCTGACCAATCTTTTGGGCCCTATGTATATGAAACATCACCTCCTCAAGCTCATCTGTAAAACTCCATGCATTTCACCACAGAACTGGAAGACCTGCTCGAGAGCCCCTCTCTCTCTGAAGGAGACAGAGGTTTTATTTTTCTTTTGCCTATTAAACCTCTGCTCTTAAACTCACTCCTCATGTGTTTGCATTCTTAATTTTATTGCTGTGAGGCAATGAACCTCAGGTATTACCCCAGGTGAATGACACTGCTTCATTGTGGGGGCTTGTCCAGGATTATAGGAAGGGTAAGTATAAAAGCAAATGCTGGCCAGGTGCACTGGCTCACACCTGTAATTTCAGCACTTTAGGAGGCCGAGGTGGGCGGATCTCCTGAGGTCAGGAGTTTGAGACTAGCCTGGCCAACATGGTGAAACCCTGTCTCTACTAAAAATACTAAATAGCCAAGCGTGGTGGTGCATGCCTGTAATCCTAGCTACCTAGGAGGCTGAGGCAGGAGAATTGCTTGAACCCAGGAGGCGGAGGTTGCAGTGAGCCAAGATCACACCATTGCACTCCAGCCTGGGCGACAGAGCAAGACTCTATCTAAAAGCAAAACAAAACACAACAAAAAAAAAACAAAAAAAACCAGACCCCAACTCTGTCCTTTTATTTTGAGGCTCTCACACTCCATTTTAAAATCAAATAAAACCAGAAATACCAGGTGTCCTATGGCCAGCTGTACCTTTAGGGTGAGCTGCCATTCTCAAGTCTCACATGACAGACTTGCTGGGGAGAACATAATGAATTCCCCAGTGCCCTCAGGTTGCTGCGAATGTTGGCTATTTTTCAAACTGCTTTTCATTTATGGAGGACCTAGCCATCACATGGGGCTGGAAGAGGTCCTAAAGTAATTGAGGATTTCTTTTCTGGGCCACACCCTGGTTTTACCTGAAGGCGTCTGGACCGATCCCAGCCTCTGACTGCTCGACTGGATGTTGGCAACAGGATTTCCAAGCTTTCCCTATCACAATTTTTCTCCCTTTCCTATCTGTGACCACCATGTCTTCTAGCCTCTTTTCGTACGTAATGCCGCAGGAATTTTTACAGTTCAAGGAAGTAATCCTGTTAGGCAAGATCAGAAAATACCAATAGTAACTGGAAATATAGCTCACAGGGTTGCTGGTTTTGTGAATTTTTTAGGAGCAGAGCGTCCCACCACAGTCAAAACCACTGTCTTTCTCTCCACCTTGGGCCACTTCAAGGGAAAGGAAGGAGACTAAAAGGGTGCCTTTCTCTCACTTTTCTTTCTAGGTGGGTAACAAGCCATCTTTGGTCTGCACTCCTCTTGAGTGCATTCAGAAGCATTGGCACTCCTGTAACCCCATGAGTTTGGGGAAAAAAAAAGTGGCTTATTGCACAAGGGCCTGACATTTTTACTAGACCTTTGCAAGCACTGCAAAATCAACCCAGCTATTAGCAGTCATATCAAGCAGGTCTATAGGAATGATTCTCCAAAATTAGAGAAGCAACTTCCAGGAGAACCATCTGAGGGATCCCCCTTATTCAGGATCCACTCAAGTTCCCATGTCATGACAGAACCTTAGTCAAAAAAGAAAATAGTGAATGAAAAAATAGGAGAAACATTATTCTCAATTGAAAGAGAGACAGTACCTCTTGAGAATCCTGATTGGAACCCCAATGATGCCACAGATAAATGGAAAATCAAACACTTTTTAATGTGCGTATTGAAGGGCCTATGGAGAACTAAGGCCAATCCTCTTAGTTACTCTAAACTGTCCATGATAGACCAGAAGCTAGATAAGAATCCTGCAGCCTTTATGAAAAGGCTGAGAGAGGCTCTAATAAAACACACCTCCTTATCCCCTGATTCAGTTAAGGGACAGCTAATCCTAAAGAACAAGTTTATTACACCGGCACCTCCTGATATTAGAAGAAAACTGCAGAAGCAGGATATAGGAGCAGACAGCACCTTGGAGAACCTCCTGAGGGTGGCCAACTTAGTCTTTTATAATAGAGACCAGAAGGAGGCCCCCTAAAAAGAAAGAGAGCACAAAAGAAGGACAAACCTTTAGTAGCTGCTTTGCATGCTTGCAAAGTCCAGGATCCCGAAGGTGCCTTCACTAATTGCTACCCACGTGGCAAGCCAGGGCACTTTGAGAAGGGGTGCCCAGGCACCAAGAGGAATCCACCTCAACCCTGTCGAGCCTGTGGCATGGTCCACTGGAATCAAACTGCCCCCAGAGGTGGAGGTCATCAGCTTCAGAACCAGTCTCACAGATGGTCCAGAAGGACTTATGGGTCCTGGGGCTCAAACTCCTGGCTCCAGTGGCTCAAACTGCCATTACAGCACAGGATCCCCAGGTGATTCTGAAAATTGAAAGAAGGAAGGTAGACCTCCTTCAGGAAACTGGAGTCAGCCTCTCTCTTCTTCTCTCTATTCTTCTACCCTTTTCCCATAGCATGACTATGAGAGACATCTCAGGAAAAACTCTAATCCAATATTTTTCTCAACCCTTTAGTTGCAGTTAAAAGGACCTATTATTTACACATGGCTTTTAAATCATGCCTGAAAGTTACACTCCTTTATTAGGTAGAGACATTCTATCTCACATGGGGACCAGCATCCTTATAGGCCCAGGACAAATTCTTTGTCTCTATCTGGTAGAAGATAATATTAATCCAGAAGTGTGGGCAATTCAAAGGAGAATAGGTCAAGCTGTAAACATGAGGCCAGTCTGGATCCAACTTAAGGATTCCACTTTCTTTTTTTCTTTTTATTTCTTTTTTTTTGATAGAGTTTTCACTCTTGTTGCCCAGGCTGGAGTGCAATGGTGCGATCTGGGCTCACTGCAACCTCCGCCTCTGGGGTTCAAGCAATTCTCCTGCCTCAGCCTCCCACCCAAGTAGCTGGGATTATAGGCAGGCACTGCCATGCTTGTGTAATTTTTTTTTTTTTTTTTTTTTTAAGTAGAGACAGGGTTTCACCATGTTGGCCAGGCTGGTTTCAAACTCCTGACCTCAAGTGATCTGCTCACCTCAGTCTTCCAAAGTGCTGGGATTACAGGTGTAAGCCACCTCGACTGGTGGATTCCACTTTCTTTTCTAATCAGAAAAAATATCTCCTAAAGCCAAAGGATAAAAAAGGGCTAGAAGCCATTATTAGTAACCTAAAAATCTAGGCCCTCCTCAAACCCTGTAACACCCCAATATTAGGAGTGCAAAAATCCAATGTGAAATGAAAAACATCAAAAAATTAACAGGTTATTATCCTCAGTTTTCCTTCCACAAAACATAGCAGAAATGCACTCTAAGGAATATAAAAAGAAAACAGGAAGTAGCCGAAGGAAATAGTTTAGCTGATCAGGCAGTTAAATCGCAGAAAGGAAGCTTCAGGGCATCAATACACTTCATACCCCTCTAATTTGGTAAGGCTCTAAAAGAAATTTGGAGGCCTAATTTGGTTAGGCCTCAGTACTCTCCTGCAGAGATAAAATGGGTCATTACTCAAGGGTACACTTTCCAGCCCTCAGAATAGCTACAGTCAAAGGATGGCAAACTCCACTTGCCAGCCTCCAGCCAATGGAAAGTCCTTAAAAAGCTTCACCAAGCTTTTCACTTGGGAAAGGATAAAACTTTTCAATATGCCCAGAGATTGTTTTCAGGAGAGAACTTATTCAAAACAGTCAAACAGGTTGTTAAGGCTTATGAAGTCTACCTTAAAGATAATCTCCTCAACAAGACAGCTTCTTCCTCTTTGAACCCAAAGGGTGGGAAGCTATGCAAGGGAGATCTGGCAGACAAACTTCACCCACATGTCAAAACCAAAGGGCATCCAACGCCTTCTGGTATGGGTGGATACTTTAAGGGTCTTTCTTTTCATGGGCTATGTAATTGGCACACTTAGTCAAACCAATCCCCTGTAAATCAATCATCACCTATGTAAATCAATCACTGCCTCCTCAAGCCACTGTAAAAAATCAATCATGTTCTGCTGCAAATCAAAGACCCTCTCTTGGGCAACGCACATTCTCAGAATGAGGAAGCTTTTCTTCTCTCTCTTCTTTCTATTAAACTTTCTGCTTCTAAACCCACTGCTTGTGTGTGTTTGTGTCCCGAATTCTTTTTCAGTGCAAGACAAAGAACCATGGGTAGATGCCCAGACAACAAAGACATTTCATTTGGGGGTTCTCATCTGGGATCAGGATCAGAACAGAAGATAGAAACATCAGATTGGTGAGTATGGAGTGAACCTCAAATCTGTCTTTTAATCTCAAGGCTTCCTTCAAACCAGTTTTATTCGCAGAGGTCCTAACCATCATGTGAGGCTGGGAGAAGTCTGATGCAACTGAGGATTACTGTCCAGGGCACACCGTGGCATTATTCAAAGGCTTCTGGACTGAACCCAGCCTCTGACAGCCTGTCTGAGTGTTGGTAAAGGATCTTCAGCTATCCTGTCATAAAATTTTCCTTTCTTTCTATCTGGTGTCACTATGTGTCCTATTCTCTCTGTGTGTGCAATGTGCAGGAAGTTTTACAGTTCAGAGAAACACTTCTGTTAGGAAAGATTGGCAAACGCCTCAGGCAGTAACTCAATAAGCATCTCTAACGTTCCTCTAGTGAGCACATGGTATTTCTAAGCCAACAGTGCCACCTAGTGAAAAATAGAAATTCTCTTCGTGAGACACATTGTCAGTCCTTTACCATAACACTGCAGTTTCCTATTTTTTGTGCTGCTAGAAAAGCCCCTTCTGTGAATGGGAGAGCTCTGCCTTCAACAATTAGGAGTAAAACATTCTCCATAGCCAAATTTTAGTTCTGATACTGTCCCATTAGCAGGAAAAATCATCGTTAGGTCCCTACCTTCATTTAAGGCACCTAGTCTGTCTCCAATTAGAACAGTACTTAATTAGTAAGGAGAATTTTAAGTTTATAAGTTAAGCAGAAACACTTTTCTAAGGGTGAATGTTTTATCATGAGCCATAATAGCAGGCAATCTAGCAATTTTTTTTGTTAAAGAAACCTTGCCCAAAGGCCGACTATTACAGTCTCTGTGAAGATTCATTTTTTGGGGAGCCAGGAAGATCACACAAGTTTAGAAAGTAAAAGGGGATCACAGGTGGATAAGCTAGGGTTGCATTGCTAAAGTATGGTTAATCCCATCACTTAGTTCATCTGGTTCCATGGTTTGGAAAGACACACCTACAACCATGGGCAGCACATTTAACACGATGCTGGGACCCAGGAAACAAGAAAAGAGAATGGTTGGGGAGACACTCACACTGTCTTCCCCTCCAACCTGGGTCACAATGAAAGCAGGAAAACTAAAACGATGTTTTTATCCTCACTTTTTCTAGATGAGCAACAGACCATCTTCAGCTTGCACCCCTCTGGAGTGCACTGTGAAACACTAGAACTTCTTTAACCTCAGGACTTTGAAGAGAAAAGCAATTCATTTTCTTTTGCACTAGGGCATGGCATTTTTACTGAACCTTTGCAAGCCTTGTAAAATCAACCCCGCTATTTTAACAGGCATATCAGGCAGGACTATAGAGAACAATCCTCCAGAATTAGAAAAGCAACTTCCAGGGGAACCATCTGAGAACTCCCCTTATTTGGGGCCACCTCAAGTTCTCTTCTTATTACGAGACCCTAGGGAAGTAAAGGAAGACTTAGGCCAATTTTCTGACAACTCCAATACGTTTATAGAAGGTTTTCAGAATTTAACTCAAGTGTATCACCTCACATGAAAGGATGTTATGCTGCTTCTAAACCAAACCCCAACCACAGCTGAAAAGCAGGCAGTTCTGCAGGCAGCAGAGATTTTCAGAAATGAGCAACAAATCTCCTATAATACATCAAAAGGGAAGAAAGGAGATAGGGAATGTGAAGAAATAGCAGAAACACCATTTCAAATAGGAAGTGAAGCAGTTCCTCTTGACAACCCTGACTGGAACTCCAGTAGCTCTGCGGGTGAATGGAAAAGGAGACACTTTTTAATATGCATTTTAGAAGGTCTGGAAAGAACTAAGGCCAAATTTCTTAATTGTTCTAAACTGTCTATGGTAGACCAAAAGCCAGATGAGAATCCTGCAGCATTTATGGAAAGGCTGAGAGAGGCACTAATAGAGCAAACCTCCTTATCCCCAGATTCGGTCGAGAAACAGCTCATTCTAAAGGACAAGTTTGTTACACAGTCAGCTTCCAATATTAGAAGAAAACTACAGAAGCAAGCTATAGGACCAATTAGCACCTTAAAGAACCTCCTGAAGGTGGCCACTTTGGTCTTTTATAATAGAAACCAAGAGGAGGACCCTGTAGTCCCAGCTACTCAGGAGGCTGAGACAGGAGAATCTCTTGAACCTGGGAGGCGGAGGTTGCAGTGAGCTGAGATTGCACCACTGCACTCCAGCCTGGGCCACAGAGCGAGATTCCATCTCAAAAAAAAAAAAATTTGTGAATTCAATTTTTTTGGTATTCTTGGTATGTTTTTGTGGTGATTCTTGATGCAGAAGTTTATAATGTGAGTATCTACATGCTATTCTGTCTATCAAAGTGGGAGCTGCAAGTTAGTCTTGCCTTCTAGTCACCACTTTCCGTCTCTCTCAAAGGTGGTCTTTTAACTTAGCTACTGTTTCTTAGCTATAATTTCTGAGTTCGAGGTGGAGCCCATTAAGAAATATTCTATATGCCTGGACTCAGTATGGATAAATCTTTAAAAGGGCAAGCCTACTTTACCTAAGCGTCTACTTCTACAAATAACTTATTTAAGATATATATATATATATATATTTTTTTTTACCTTCAAGGTGGGATAATGACTAAGAAAAAGGTTGGCAGATTGATTTAATTTTTAGTAAGCATTTAGTCTTTTATTTACCTTTTACGAAGATTATCTTTTAAAAAACAATAAATATATTAAAAATATATTAAAAATATTAAAATCTTTTTAGAAGCTGCTGCACATCAGCAGTCAAGCCTAGATGAGGCTAACTAGGGAGACTTCCTTTTCAAATGCATGTGCTAAAGTGCAGTGTTGTTTATTTGGAATACCCCATTGTAATTTTAAATTATCTTTAGTAAAATTTTCCCATTTCTGTGTTTGCTGCTACAAGGGCCTAATACATATGCATGTAAATGTAGGCATACCTGGAAGATAAATTACTCAGTTCTTAAAAAATTAAGCGTTCCATTCTTATCTTGAAACTTTCTTTGGCTGATATCATTCTGATAAACTTAGCCAATGATTCTTTTCTGCCTAAAAAAACACAAGAATAAGAAACCAAGGGGATAAAACACAACAATATCTGCCAATTTACAGATGTCAAAGTTTACACTCCTTGCATTATTGCCATTTACTACCGATTTCTACCTGACCCAGCGAGATGTCATAGACCTCTAACTGAATCCAAGCCAGTTAATTATCAGATCCAACCTGATCCTGGATCCAGTCCAGTTTCTGTCCTGTCTTCTTAATCCAATTTGAATTCTAAATTCGCTAAAACTCAGAGAGTTCAAAACACAAATCCATGACACTTTGGAATCCAAGAAAGAACTTACCATGCCCCCTAGTTGCTGCAAGACAGCAACGAACACAATAAGCCATTGTTTGGTCACTTGGTGTTCCTGGGGGTTGCTAGAGGCTACTTCAGATTTTGCTTCTAGTTCAATCTGTTAAAAAAGCCTTAAACAGAATATATATATATATTTGAGATGGAGTTTCATTCTTGTCCTCCAGGCTGTAGTGCAATGATGCATTCTTGGCTCACTGCAACCTTCGCTTCTCGGGTTCAAGCAATTCTCCTACCTCAGTCTCCCAAGTAGCTGGGATTACAGGCACCCACCACCACGCCTGGCTATTTGTGTGTGTTTGTGTATTTTTAGTAGACACAGGGTTTCACCATGTTGGCCAGGCTGGTCTCGAACTGTTGACCTCAGGTGATCCACCCGCCTTGGCCTCCCAAAGTGCTGTGATTACAGGCGTGAGCTACCGTGCCCAGCCAAACAAAATAAATTTAACAGAGTTTAATCAAGCAAAAAATTATTCACTAATTTGCAGTCTGGTGAGCCAGAGTAGGCTCAGAGAAATTCCCAAGCAGTCACACTGTTGGAGGCATTTAAACTAGAACAATTTCACTATGAATAGGGGATGGATAAAATAACGCTGAGACCTGTTGGGCTGCATTCAGAAAAAGTTAGGCATTCTTAGTCGTAGGATGAGATAGGAGTTCAATAGGATTGGTATCACAAAATACAGGTTATAAAGACCCAATTGATAAAACAGAATGCAATAAAAAAGCCAGACAAAATCCATAAAATTCAAGATGGTAATGAAAGTGACCTGTGGTCATCCTCCTTGCTGATTATACATTGATTGTAATGCATTAGCATGTTAGAAGAAACTCCCACTGGTGCCATGATAGTTTACAAATGCCATGGAAATGTCCAGAAGTTAAACTACATAGTCTAAAAGGGGGAAGAACTGTCAGTTCTGGAAATTGCTCACTCCAGTCATGGAAAATTCATAAATATTTCACCCCTTGTTTAGCATATAATCAATAAATAACTATAAGTATACTCAATCAAGCAGCCCATGCCATTTTTCTATCTATAGGTAGCCATTCTTTTACTTCTTCACTTTCTCAATAAACTTGCTTTTACTTTATAGACTCACCCTAAATTCTTTTTGTTTGTTTGTTTGTTTTTTAGATGGAGTCTTGCTCTGTCACCCAGGCTGGAGTGCAGTGGCACGATCTCGGCTCACTACAACCTCTGCCTCCCGGGTTCAAGTGATTCTCCTGCCTCAGCCTCCTGAGTCACTGGGACTACAGGCATGCACCACCATGCCCAGCTAATTTTTGTATTTTTTAGTAGAGATGGGGTTTCTCCATGTTGGCCAGGATAGTCTCAATCTCTTGACCTTGTGATCCACCTGCCTCAACCTCCCAAAGTGCTGGGATTACCGGCGTGAGCCACTGCGCCTGGCTGACTCACCCTAAATTATTTTATGTGTGAGATTCAAGAACCCTCTCTTGAGGTTTGGATTGTGATCCTGTTGCGGGACGCAGAGGACTAGAGAGACTAGTATGGGTGAATAAAGGAGGATATTTATTTTAAGGTACGCACTGGCTCAGTGGATTCACATCTAAAAAGCTGAGACTTGAACAAAGACAGAGTGGGGTTTTTATAAGTGGGCTTACAAAAGCAAAACAAAAGCAGTTAATCATATAGTGCATAACCTGTGGCCTTGCATAGCTGGTGGCCTTGTAGCTGCATCAAAAGAAAAACAAGAACTGGCTAAATACAGACATTTATAAAACATAGTCATGCTTAAGAGGCAAAGGAAAGGAGTAACAATAAATGAATTTGTCTTTTTGTTTTTCTTCAACCTTGCTCTGGAGTGGGGGAGTTTCTGGAGTCTATTCCTTGGCCTTGGCTTTTTGGATAGCGTTATCTTATAACCGTCCTTGAAGTGAGCTGCTAGGCAGAGGAAAACTAGTTTCTTTTTCTTTTTAACCCTTACTACAATCCCTTTCTGGTCACAAAATAATGGAAGAATATTTATACACAGATAAAAAACCTGAAGTACAGGAAAGAAAAGTGAGTTACAGAAAGAGCTGGATTAATTAGAGCTTGGCATTTGCTTTATTTAGACATGAATTAGAGAGTTGGCCTCTTTTGATTGGCCAAAATTTGATAACTGACACAAAACTCAGTTACACTTTATTTACACTTTCAGTTGGGTTTCAGTTTACCATCTATGAAGAAACCCTCAGGCTCAATTCAAAACACATAAAAAGGCAGCTTTAGGTTAAACTTTATTTAACAAAACAGATTTAATATGTCTGCAAATGCTTTTCATCTCTTTTTGATATTTGGAGACTATTCATGATTTTCAACACTGACTAAAACTACTGTGCCTGAAACAAACTCTAACCTTGATATCATGTGACTTATAGATAAATCTGCTAAAAAGATATTTTATTCTGCTGAAATTTAGAAAAATAGCTGAGTACATCTTGAAGTTGTCTTTTGAGTTTTAAAGGAGCAGAGCTGCTTTTTAATATTCTAAAGTCAGAAGCAGCCATGAGGCAATTCTCAGCAGCACACATGAAAATCACACACAGTGAATGCATCTTTCACTCTGAACCAATTGTTTTCTCCCCAGTCTGCGTGTAAAAATCACCTGGGGGAGGCGCTTTAAAAATCTTCCCAATTCAAATTGATACACCCCAATTAAATCAGAATTCCTGGAGTGGAACCTGGGCAACAGTGTTGTTTAAATATCTCAAGGTGACGACAGAGTACAGCCAAGCTCAAAGCCACTGCTTTAAACCAACACTTTTTAGATTACCTACTTGCCAATTAATTCTCAAATAAATAAAAAATTGTTTGCCACTAAGTCACGGTCTTTCAGTCTTACCAGTATTATCAAATTACAACTTTTTTCAGAACCAACCTTGCTATTGGTTCTGTTCGTGATTCAACCTGGTTCCATCGATACTGCACACTATGTGCAGGGCACTGTGCTAGGTGCCCTGGCCTTGGTGATTATTACTGTGAGAAAAACATTTTCTTAAATTTAAAAAAGTTGCATGTCCCCAAAACAAACATTACATGTACCCAAATTAAGAAAAAAATAAAAATACCTATGAGTCGCCCAAAGGTTAGAGCTTTTTTTTTTTTGAGACGGAGTCTCGCTCTGTCGCCCAGGCTGGAGGGCAGTGGCACGATCTCGGCTCACTGCAAGCTCCACCTCCCGGGTTCACGCCATTCTCCTGCCTCAGCCTCCCGAGTAGCTGGGACTACAGGTGCCCGCCACCACGCCTGGCTAATTTTTCATATTTTTTAGTAGAGATGGGGTTTCACCGTGTTAGCCAGGATGGTCTCGATCTCCTGACCTCGTGATCCGCCCGCCTCGGCCTCCCAAAGTGCTGGGATTACAGGCTTGAGCCACCGCACACGGCCGGTTAGAGCTTTAATACTCCCTCTGAATATTAACATCTGTATGATTATGTCCTGAGTGAGTGTGTTCCACCAGAAAACAAATAAACAAAAAACAAAATCCTGCCATTATTCTGAGATACTCAGTTAGCATTTTTGTACAAATATGTACTATTTAATTTTTTTATTAATATGTAACATGCATACAGAAATACATGCACAAAGCATTTATTCATGCAAAACTCAATAAATTGTTACAAAAAATACACTTGTGTAATAAAAAAATAAAACTAGGCCTGGTGCAGTGTGTCACTCCTGTAATCTTTGTATTTTGGAAGGCCGAGGCCTGCAGATCGCTTGAACTCAGGAGTTTAAGACCAGCCTGGGCACCGTGGTGACACCCTGTCTCTTCTAAAATAAAATACCAAAAAACAACCAGGCATGGTTGTGCACACTTATGGTCCTAGCTCCTCGGGAAGCTGAGGTGGGAGGATCATTTGAACCTGAGGGGTGGGGGTTGCAGTGAGCCAAGATCACACCCCTGCACTTTATCCTGGGTGAAAGAGTGAGACCCTGTCTCAAAATAAAATAAAACTAGCCTCATCCATGCCCCAACAATTGCTTTATCCTTTCTTCTCCAACAATAGCCATAATCAGAGCTAACATTATAGATTAATTTTGTTATTATTATAGAAAATTTTTAACATGTGCAAAACAAACAAAACACATATTGTTGAGGCTTGTCAATAGACTTGTCATGAAGCCTCAACAACTAATCTTGTGCCATTCTGGTGTCATCCACCCTTCTCTACTTCAGTCAGCCCTGGTCAACCCATTGGCCACCCTCCATTATTTTCTTTAGGTTTTTTTTTTTTTTTTTTTTTTGGTGAGGTCGAGTGTACATACATTGAAAGGCACAAATCCTAACTGAAACATTTTGACAGATAAATACACTCATATAACCTTTATATCTTTTAAGAATGAACTGAATATTGTTCTATTCTAGTGATAGAGCATAAAATGGAATGATGAATTATTTTTCATTCTCAGATAATTCCTTCAGGCCTTTCTTTCAGACAATTTTGTTGTCACAAGAGGCTATTTTCTTGGTGATTTTTTTTTTTAACCATTGGTTCATTTTGCCTGACATCATACAATATGTACTATTTTATTTTAAACTTGTCTCATTTAGCAGGTTTATGGGATTCATCCAGGATGTTTGCTTCAGTAGTTTGTTTCTTTCTATGACTGTTCTCTTGTGTGAATGAGTTACAAGTTTTCCATCCATTTCCTAGAGATGGACATTTGGGTTTTTTTCCTGCTTTAAGCTATTATGACTAAAAGGTTTATAAACATTATCGTACAAATACTTTTTACTATATAATTTTATTCCTTTATTAGCATAGCATTTAAGTGACACCTCTTTACTTTTTTTAATGGTTTCTCCGGGTATTACAATATGCATCTTTAACATATCACAATCTACTTAAATACTGTACTATTTTAATAAATGTAAAATATGAAGGCCCTGCTGTTAAAAAGTTTGAAGTACCTCCTTCTATTTTTTGTGCTATTTATAAATTTTATGTCTATGCATTATATATGTCACAATACTGGTTTATGACATTTGTTAAATAGTCATAAGTCTTATAAAGAAATTAAGAGAAAATGATGTTCATAAATATTTAGAGGCAAATATTTTGAGGCTATGTAAATACACTGTTTCTCTTTTAAATTTACCCACAATTTTTGCATTCTTCAGTACGTGGTGTCTACAGTAATTATTATTGTGGTGTCCTAGTTGTGATTTTCTATTTTGCATTATCCATCTACATTAATTAGTACTTGGAATTCTATAAAAAAGATTTTCTTCCTATCTCTATTTATTTCTATTTATTTTTTCTAGATCTGTATGGACTTATGAATATTTCTTTTATTCTCAGCTTTATAATCCAATCCTATTATTATTTATTTTGTTTCTCATGTTGTTCCAGCTTGGGCTGCTTGAAAGTCTTTCAGGTTGACTTCCTCTGACATGTCTTCTTCTGTTGTTCATAAAGCACTTTTTTAACTTTCTGGCTTCACAAGATACTCTACCCTAACTTGAATGTTCCACTCCACTGCTAGAATTATCTAATTTTATGAACAGTCTTGCTTCCTTTTATTAAAGAATAGTGCTTAGAGGCCGGGCGCGGTGGCTCACGCCTGTAATCCCAGCACTTTGGGAGGCCGAGGCAGGCGGATCACGAGGTCAGGAGATCGAGACCATCCTGGCTAACACGGTGAAACCCCGTCTCTACTAAAAATACAAAAAATTAGCCGGGCGTAGTGGTGGGTGCCTGTAGTCCCAGCTACTCAGAAGGCTGAGGCAGAATGGCGTGAACCCGGAGGCAGAGCTTGCAGTGAGCCAAGATCGTGCCACTGCACTCCAGCCCGGGTGACAGAGCGAGACTCTGTCTGAAAAAAAAAAAAATTAAAAAAAAAAAAAAGAATAGTGCTTAGAAACCATGATATGAGAGCTAGGTGTGCTCAGTAATACTGGGATGTCACTGCTTCTGAAACCTCTCAGCAAACAGAGTTTGAAAATTTACATATTAATATAGATTCATGTAGGAACACCTCTCCTTTCTCTCTCTCTCTCTCTCTCTCTGTCTCAATTGATATATTATGAGACATGCATTTGTCTAAATATTCCCAAATCTGGTCCAGCACCACAGGGTTTGTTCTAGAATTCTCCCCCGCTTTTTTTTTTAACTTCAGAGGAAAGCAGGCAGTAATGACCTTATGTATAGTGTGTGTTTACACACACACAAAGACACATACACACACACACTAACAGAAAGAGTAGTTTTAAAAATTGCTAATCTTTATTCTTATAAACAAACAGTACTAACCAGAATACAGTGTTTGTGTTCAGTTCTTCAGTCTTGCAGTATTCAATTAAAACAGTTTTTCATTTTATTATTATTATTATTATTATTATAATTTAAGTTTTAGGGTACATGTGCACAATGCGCAGGTTAGTTACATATGTATACATGTGCCATGCTGGTGTGCTGCACCCATTAACTTGTCATTTAGCATTAGGTATATCCCCTAAAACACTGTTTTTCAAAGTGATATACATCAAGACCTTTCATTCCAATCTTCTGAAATAGTGTTAGGTTAGATAATACATTTTTAGTAAGGCTAAATTCTATTTTTTACTGCCTGCATTTTATCAGAATTTCCTCAAAATCACGGTTTCTTTTTTAATTTCCTGAAAGGAAAATTTATTCTTTGTGATGTACAGTTCCACGAAGTTTGACAACCGTCTAGAGTCATGTCCTCGTCTCCACAGTACCACACAGAACTCTTTATTACCCTCAAAATCATCTAATGCTTCCCATTCGTAGTTAACTTCTACCTTCATCTATTCTTTGGCAACCAGTGATTATGGTTTAGTTGCTGTCTTCCTCCTCCTCCCCCTCCCCCCTCCTCCTCCTCTTCCTCCTCCTCCTCTTCCTTCCTTCCTTCTTTCTTTGTCTCCTCCTCCTCCTCCTCCTGTAGGGAGGTCTTGCTATGTTTCCAGGCTGGTCTCAAAATCCTGGGCTCAAACAATCCTCTCACCTCAGCCCCACAAAGTGCTGAGATTACAGACTTGAGCCATCAAGACTGCACTGATTATCAATGCCTTTAATTTCTTTTTCTACAACGCCATAAAATTGAATCATATAATATGTAGCCTTTTGGATCCTCCTTTCTTCACTTAAAGAAATGCATTTCTGACTCCTTCATACTGTGATGTGAATCAATAGTTTCTTTCTGTTGACAACTGGGATTCTATTGTATGGATAACCCACAGTTTGTTTAATCATTCACCTGCAGAAAAGTATCTGGTTTACATCTAGCTTTTTGCAATTACAAATAAAGTAGACAATAAACATCCACAAAAAGGTTTTCACTTTAACATTAGTTTTCTCTTTGCTTTAGTAATGACCTAGGAGT
The DNA here is from genome assembly GCF_000001405.40 of Homo sapiens. Lineage (NCBI taxonomy): Eukaryota > Metazoa > Chordata > Mammalia > Primates > Hominidae > Homo > Homo sapiens. Next base: position 22,893,282 of record NC_000019.10, read on the forward strand.
GGAATATTTTGGTAACCTAATAAGTGTATGTTTAACTTTATAATAAACCACTGAACCGTTTTTCAAAGTTATTGCAGGAGTTTATATTTCTAGTTCTAGTTGCTCCAAGTCCTCGCCAGGTCTAAGTCTTTGTAATTTTTCTCTGCATGGTTGTCATTCTCATGATTGTGTGCTATTTCATTGTGGCTTATGCTTTATTTTTTTCCATTAATATTGGGAAGCCCAAAATATATAATCAATGTAGGAAGAAATGTATAGAATAACTTGGTATAAGCCTTGGATTCTGGAAACTGACTTCTAGAAATCTGCTATGCAATTAGCGCTTTGCAAACATTAAACAAATACTTTATAGTTTATTCTCTGTGGTTCTCTCTCTCTTTCTTTTTTTTTTTTTTCTTTGAGAGAGTTTCTTTCTATCACCCAGGCTGGAGTGCAGTGGCATAATCGCAGCTTATTGCAGCCTCGACAATCCGTGCTCAAGCTATTCTCTCACCTCAGCCTTCTGAGTAACTGGGAGCTTTCCGCGGGCAGAGTGGCAGGTGCCGCGCCGGAGGTGGTCATGGTGGAGTGGGCGTCCCTGCTCGGCGTCCTGCCTCTCTGGTTACCGCCTCCTTCCCGCACTCCGCCGGGGGCTAGTCCCCGGCAGGTGTTTGGGGAGAGTGGTGGGGTTTGCTGAGTCGCGGGCGTCGGAGGGTTGTGGCCCGGCGGCCCCTGTTCCAGGGGTGGCCGCGCGGACTTGGTGGTGGCCGTCCTGTCCGCGGCGGGAGGTGGGCGGGGCAGGCCTGGCGCCCTTCCTCCTCTTTCTGCCGCCCGGGAGACCAGCCGACCGCTGGGGAGAGGTGGGAATGAAGGTCAGTGGACTCAGACTCAGGCCGCAAGCGTCACACTTGGCCTCTTCCCGCGGTGGCCACGTTGACCAGATGTCGGCCTCGAACCGACAGCCTGAAAGGTTTAAGGTCCACCAGGTGGCTCTAGCCCGCAGCAGCACCGCATGTGTCCAGCAGAGGGTGAGATCCCGTCTAACTGCAGCCTCCACTTTCCAGGCTCGCCCAGGTGATCCTCCCATCTCGGCCTCCCAAGTACCTGGGACTACAGGGATCTTCTTCCTCTGTTTTTTGTTTTTTGTTAATTTGCTTGTTTTTTTTGACGGTTTCCATTTCATTTCCACAGTACTTTGAGTTGCTGTTTTATTTTTTGTTGTTGTTATTTTCTCTCTCTTTTTAAAATTTCTTACGCTCTTTGCACACTGAAGTTGCTATTGTTTTAGATTTACTTTTTTTTTTTTTTTTTTTTTGGAGTCAGGTCTTCTCACTCTGTCACCCAGACTGGAGTGCGGGTTCGTGATCACTGCTCACTGCAGCTTTGACCTCCCTAATTGGGACTTACAGAGATTGCCCTCCAGCCTGGGTGATGGAGACCCTGTCTGAAAAAGAGAAACAGGGACAGAGACCAGTTAAAAACACACACATACACACACATTTTTTAAAAATTAAGTACAATTAATTGTTATCTTCATTACCTTTTACTTCTGTTCACTCCCACTTATTTTATTGTTATTATTGTTTGGAATAATTTTTGTTATTGTTTGTTATTGTTACTGTTTATTTACTTAATTATTATTATTATTTTGAAACAGGGCCTCATTCTGTCACCTAGGCTGCAGTACAGTGGTACAATCTTGGCCCACTGTGGCCTTAAACTTTTGGGCTCAAGCCATCTTCCCGGCTTAGCCTCCCTGCAAGTAGCAGGAACTACAGGCATGTGCCACCACGCCTGGCTAATTTGTGTTTTATTTATTTATTTATTTATTGTAGAAATGAGGTTCCACCATGTTGCCCAGGCTGGTCTAGGCTAGTCTCAAAGTCCTGAACTCAAGTGATCCATCCACCTTGGCCTCCCGAAGTGCTGGGATTACAAACATGAACCACCATGCCTTGCTATCTATCTATCTATCTATCTATCTATCTATGTATCTATCTATCTATCATCTATCTATCTATGTATCTATCTATGTATCTATCTATGTATCTATCTATCTATCTATCATCTATCTATCTATCTATCATCTATCTGTCTTTTTAGTAGACATGTGGTCTCCCTATGTTGTTCAGGCTCTGGTCAAATATATTTTTTAACTTTAATTATTATTATTATTATTTTTTAATAGAGATGTTGTCTCACCAAGCTGCCCAGGAGAATCTCAAACTCCTGGGCTCAAGCTATCCTCCCACCTTGGCCTCCCAAAGTGCTGGGATATAGCCATGAACCACCACACTCTGCTCTATCTACCTATCTATTCCTTTAGCAGAGACACGGTCTCACTATGTTGTCCAGGCTCTGGTTATATATATTTCTTTTTAAATTTCAATTATTATTATTATTTTAATAGAGATGGGGTCTCGCCACCTATCCCAGTATGGTCTCGAACTCATGGGCTCAAGTGATCTTCCCCCCTTGGTCTCCCAAACTCCTGGGATTACAAGCGTGAGCCACCTGGTTATATTTTTGATGTGTTGATTCTTTGCAGTTTGTGTTCCAGTCCAGATGCATAGTGATAGTACAGGGATTGAAAACAAAAATTTTGACACAGATCAATCTCACGAACTTACCTTCCTTTCTAGTAGCTCCTAATCAAGTGAAGTGCTCCTAATCTCTGGTGGTTTTAAATATTGTAGGAAGCATTGCCCTATTTTACTCTGTGCACTGAAGATTTTTTCTAGTTCTGGAATACAGATAAATCTAGAGTCTGTTCTTGATCAATCACAAGAAAATCAATAAACCTTTTTCCTTATTCTACTTCCCTTTCTTGAAAGGGAGGGCCTTGATTTGCGTTGCTGCCTGTAGACAGCTATTTGTCTAATTTTTGTTGAAACTGGGAGAAGACTGAGCCTGACAAGGCTGCAGGGCTGTGAGGCCCTGCCCCTCAACTAAAAAAAATATTTAGGGGTACATATGCTTGTTTGTTAAATGAGCATACTGCATTCTGCTGGGGAGTGGGTTCCAGTGCATCCAGTACCCACATAGCAAATGTTGTATCTGATAGGTGATTTTTCATCCCTCATCCCCCTCCCACCCTCCTCCCTTTTGGAGTCCCTGAGTGTGTATGCGCTGTTTAGCTCCGACTAATAAGTGAGAACATGAAGTATTTGCTTTTCTACGTTGGAGTTAGTTCACTGAGTGTAATGGTCTCCAGCTCCATCCATGTTGCTGTAAAAGACACGAAATCATTCCTTATGGCTGCACCATTGGATAATTTTAGCTTTGTTATTGGTCTCCCTTCCTTCCTTCCTTCCTTCCTTCCTTCCTTCCTTCCTTCCTTCCTTCCTTCCCTCCCTCCCTCCTTCTTTCCTTCCTTCCTTCCTTCCTCCCTCCCTCTCTTTCTCTCTCTACTTTCTTTCTTCTTTCCTTCATTTTTGTTTTCTTTTGTTTGTTTTTTTATCTCAGATTACACACACCAAAATTTATTTTTTTGAGACAGGATCTTACTCTGCCCCCCTGGCTGCAGTGCAGTGGGCATGATACTAGCTCACTACAACCTCAAACCTCCTGCCTCAGCCTCCCCAGCCTCCTAAGTTGGGGCCCAGCGTGACGTGTGGGTCACCACCTTGCCAAATCTTTTTTTTTTTTTTTTAAGGAGGTGGATTCACCCTCCCCATGTTGCTCAGGCTGGTTCTCAAACTCCTGGCCTATTTTAACATTTTTTTTTGGTGGGGCAGCGTGGGGCAACTGCTGCATAGCTGTTCTACATAGGGAAAATCTATTTTTATGGGAAAGGGGGAAGGAGATACTTCTTGAAACTTCCCTCTTCAAATCCAGCTTCTGGTTGTTTAAATGAGCATCTGTTGTGAAATAGAAAATATTGAAAAATAAGAACAGAGATAAAAAGCACAAAATAAAGTTTCTCTTGTCATCACCAAGGGTGTCCCTTTGACCAGAAAGGGAAGTTTTAGTACTAAATCATTCCTCTCCCTGAAACCACCATTGCAAAATTATAACCAAGACAGTGAAAAATATCTGACCTAACAAACTCCATTTTGCTTCTAACCTTCAAGCTGCCCTTGCTCATTCCTGGGAATAGGCTGAACTAACTTTGGAAAGAACTTAGTTTATAGATTATAGTTTAAAACAAAGATGATAACAACCCTTTCCCAAAACAAACCTCCTTCTTGCCTGGGGACTAGACTGCCTTCGTAGGACTAACAAATTAGTCACAAGATTAAAAATTATGGTTTAGGAGTCATGCACCTGGAGGCTACAAGATTCTGACCCTCTCTAAACTGCTCCTAAGATCAGTGCTTGAGCTTTTTGCACACCAGGGTCTGCACTTGATGGATCAGCTGCCACTACTCAGATTGATAAACTGGTTCATATGGTCTTGTGGCCTCCACCCAGGAACTAAATCCGTACAAGAAGACAGCTTAGACTCTCTATGATTTCACTTCTGACCTGACCAATCAGCATTCTCGACTCACTGGCCTTCCCCCACCCACCAAATTATTCTTAAAATCTGTGATCCCCAAATGCTCAGGGGGACAGATTTGAGCAATAATAAAATTCCAGTCTCCCACACAGCCCACTCTGCATGAATTACTTTCTTTGTTGCAATTCCCCTATCTTGATAAATTCACTCTGTCTAGGCAGTGGGCCAGGTTGGGTGATTACAACACTAGAGGTGTACGGAATTCCATTGAGAGGCAAAAAGTTTATCTGGATATCTAGTGACCTTGGCCTAGGGAAACTGCCTTACGCTTATTATAAAACATAATGTGGGGGCAAAGGGAGAGGTTTCCCTTTGGCCCTCTGAAGTTTCACTGAGAAATCAACTCATCAAAGGCAGATGAATAAGAGAAAAGGCAGACACACGTTTCTGTGCACAGAGCCTTCATAACGAAGACCCCAAGACAGTGGGGAAATTGTGTTTAGGTTTTATTTATTTATTTAAGACAGAGTCTTGTTCTGTCACCCAGGCTGGAGTGCAGTGGCATCATCTTGGGTCACTGCAACCTCTGCCTCCTGGGTTCAAGCAGTTCTCCAGCCTCAGCCTCCCAAGTAGCTGAGATTACAAGCTCGTGCCACCACACCCGGCTAATTTTTGTGTTTCTTAGTAGAGACGGGGTTTCGCCAAGTTGCCCAAGCTGGTCTCGAACTCCTGACCTCAGGTGATCCACCCACCTGTTATGGCATCAACAGCATTATATAATAAGTGTAGTTATTTTTTGAGTACCCCCCTTCCTTCTCTCTCTCTCTGTCTCTCTTTAAAATAAGCTCAGGCAGATCTAATCCATTTCCAAAGCCTGAATTCTTTTTTTTGTTTGTTTGTTTGTTTTGAGACAGAGTCTCACTCTGTTGCCCAGGCTGGAGTGCAGTCACACGATCTCAGCTCACTGCAAACTCCACCTCCCAGGTTCAAGCGATTCTCCTGTCTCAGCCTCCCAAGTAGCTGGGATTACAGGTGTGTGCCACCACACCCAGCTAATTTTTGTAGTTTTAGTAGAGGTAGGGTTTTACCATGTTGGCCAGGCTGGTCTTGAACTCCTAACCTCAGGTGATCTGCCTGCCTCGGCCTCCCACAGTGCTGGGATTACAGGCGTGAGCCACCGTGCCCCAAAGCCTGAATTCTTAATCCAACATTGGATCTCTATCCCAAATCCTGTAGAGAACCAGTAAGTTGATTTCTGGACTTGGATGCCTCATAGACATTACATATTAATAATGACCCAACCCTAAAACTGGGTTTGCTTCTTCCTCATTCAACTCAGCTGTGACCCAGACTTACTGGCTCAATAAATTGTACCACTGTTCACCTAGGATACTGGGAGAGTTTACTCAATCTGTATCTCCCCATGTCCTAAACAACCCGTGACCAAGTCCTGTCCATTCTTCCTCCAATATGTATCTCCAAAAACTTCTCTCCATTTCCACAACTACCCATAGCCCTTTGTGGAGCCACTGGCTCTTTGAAGGACATCGGAGAATTTGTTTCAGGTTTGCAGGTATGAGGCCAAAGCCTGCTAACATTCCTGCCCCAGATTTTGTGTAAACAAAAGTATCTCTGCTGGGGGCATTGAGACCATACATACTTCTAGGTTTGGATGACTCTCTTGAAGGATGCATGGGACCCCACAAAACTGACACCCCCAACAAGGTCAGACATCTGCTACTGCATGGTCCAAGGCCTCCACCATAGATCACCACCGTTGTGAGCCTAAACTGCCAAGGGCACCAACTCCAGGGAGACTGTTGGGAAGCCAGCCTTCCTCTGCTAAAGTTGAAAGTCACAGGAACCTCCACCCACAAGGTCCCCACTGCACTCTGAAGATGTGGAGAATGAGTGGGTCAGAGAGAAGGCATGGAGGGGAGACTTCCTGGCCAGAATGAGTTTCCTAGGCTCTGGCCACCCCACCCGTGTCTCAGCCCACGAGACACCACTCTCTCTCCTCCTCTTCTGTCCACAAGCCCCTGAAGCCCACACACTGCAGGTGAGAAAACCACACAGTGTGAATAGAATAGAGCCTGACACCCTTCTCATGTGAGTGTGTCCTGAGCACATAGACGGGAGGTTTGTTTGACGGTGGCATCATTGTTTATCTGCAGCTGTATCCTAGGGAAGCAATTCTCCTATTTTCTTTTTTTGTTTTTTTTGTTTTGAGATGGAGTCTCGCTCTGTCGGCCAGGCTGGAGTGCAGTGGTGCAATCTCGGCTCACCACAACCTCTGCCTCCTGGGTTTAAGCGATTCTCCTGCTTCAGCCTCCCGAGTAGCTGGGTCTACAGGCACGCGCCACCATGCCGGACTAATTTTTGTATTTTTAGTAGAGAAGGGGTTTCACTATGTTGGCCAGGCTGGTCTCGAACTCCTGACCTTGTTATCTGCCTGCCTCCGCCTCCCAAAGTGCTGAGATTACAGGTATGAGGCATCGTGCCAGGCAATTCTCCTATTTTGATTGAAGGGAGCAAGAGCTAATTTCAGGGGGGAGTCTATGGAAAGTCCGATTCTCCCACAGGCTGCAGACTAGAAATGAATATGGCTTCTTGGGCAGTGGGGATTCAAATGAATATGGCTTTTTGGACGGAGGGAATTCCTTTGGCCTTCACGTTTTCGGGAGCTTCTCTCAAACCCTCCCTTGAGGCTAGAGAATAGATTCCCCCGACATTTCCTCAAGTGCCCGATGTATCCTGTCAAGCGACCCAAGGACGACACATTGAGTTAAAAACCCCCGTTGGTTATAACTGGAGATTTTAGATTCAGGCCACACCTCACTCTACGTCACAGAATGCGCTTTTCCAGAAGCTAAGCAGAGGAGCTGGGCTCCAGAGAGAGGAAGGGGCTGAGAAAAGCACAGGCGGAGAAAAGACGATTTTTCTTACAGGGCTAAAATGCAGGGGACTTCCTTATCCTGCCGACTTAGAGAAGCCCGGCCCCTTGTGATCCATTGCTGAAAGCCGCCTCGTGTTTGAAAAACGGATCCGCTCCCAACTTCAGTGGAAGGACATGACATGTAGCACGAGGTATTCTGTTCCTTCTGATGTGGTCTGCTCAGCGGGGCCTAAGGCTGGAGTTCGCCCACACCAATGGCTCCCTCTGCATGGGGTTCCATCATCTCTACCCTAGAACATGGTCCTTGGCGAATTCTGGCTCTTAAGTCGCTGTCCAAAACCCCATCCCATGCTCAGGCTACCCGAATGACCTTCGCTTGCACCTTTCCAGAAACGTTTCAAATCTATCCTCCATGCATGGCCACCTAAAAATGCAGAAGCACAGAACACTCGGTCGCCATTCACCTCACTGCTTTCAGGAGAGAATGCTCAAGGTCTCTTGCTGACTTTTTTTTTTTAACGGAGTTTCGCTCTTGTCGCCCAGGCTGGAGTGCAGTGGCGCGATCTCGGCTCACTGCAACCTCCGCCTCCTGGGTTCAAGTGATTCTCCTGCCTCAGCCTCCCAAGTAGCTGGGATACAGGCGCCCGCCACCACGCCCGGCTAATTTTTGTATTTTTAGTAGAGACGGGGTTTCGCCAAGTTGGTCAGGCTAGTCTCGAACTCCTGACCTCGGGTAATCCACCCGCCTCAGCCTGCCAAAGTGCTAGGATTACAGGCGTGAGCCACTGCTCCCAGTCTCTTTCTGAATCTTGACTCTGTGGGCACCGCCCGTTAGGGAGGCTCGCGTCCCTGCCCAGGGGCCTTCATTAACCGAAGGGGACGTGCCACGCTGGGGGTGTTCGAGGTGTGGGAGGCCTCCTCTGCTGGCGTCCCACCTCTCCGTTTACCGCCTTCTCCCATCACTCCGCTGGGGGCTCATCCCCTGAGACGGGGTCCGGGAGCGTGGTGGAAATGATCGAGGTGTAGAGGTTGGAGGGTCGTGGCCCAGCGGCTTCTGTCCCAGGGGGTGGCGGCGCGGGCCCGGGGGTGGCCATCTGGGTCCCAGCCCTTCCTTCCCTGTAGCAGGGGCGGACGAGGTGCATCCTGTTCCACCCCTGCACCCTTCTCCTCCCCGCCCCCCTCCGGGTGGACCAGCAGACCGCGGGCTGTGGTGGGAAGGTGGGCGGGCTTATGCCACCAGCCGCCCCCACTGCGCCGCCCACGTCTAAGGCTCCAGCTGGGCGGAACAGTCTCAGGTCTGGAGCGCCACACTTGGCTGTAGGGTGGACCCGGTGCGCCACTGCCCACGGCCACCGGCTGGCTTCTCAGTCGGGCCACTGGGTCGACCAGATGTGGGCTGCGAGCCGCGAACATTGCTCTTGGCCACTAGCTCGAAATACTAAAGGTCAACCTAAATATTTAATATCAAACATTTAAATATTTACGCACGGCAGTGCCTCCTAGGTCCAGCGGAGGGGTGTGATCAGGCCTCGCTGTGGCCTTGAACCCACGCCCCTACTCTCGGGCTCGCCCAAGTGGCCATCCCATTTCTGTCTTCAGAGGAGCCAGGATTCCAGGGATCTTCCTGTGATTTTTTTTCTAGTTCCACTTCCATTTTCTTTCCTCAGTACTTTGAGTTGTTTTTCCTTGTTCTCTGTCTCTTAACACTCCTTCCTGCACATTAAAGTTGCTGTTTTGATTTCTTTCTTTCGTCTTGTTTTTCTTTCTTTTTTCTGAGTGAAGTCTTCTCACTCTGTCACGCAGGTTAGAGTACAGTTGGGTGATCACGGCTCCCTGCAGCCTCGACCTCCCTGGGCTCAGGGGTTGCTCCTGTCTCAGCCTCCCAAGTGGCTGAAACTACAGGGATCGCTTCAGCCTGGGAGGTCGAGGCTGCAGTGAGCCATGATTGTGCCATTGCCCTACAGCCTGGGTAACAGAAGAACCCTGCCAGAAAGAGAGAGAGGGGGTAAAATTAATTGGGATCTTATTTACCTTTTGCCTTCGTTCACTCCATTTTAAAAAAAAATTAATATTGTTTGTTCTTTCTTTGTCACTTGTTATTGTTTGTTTTTATTATTTATTTTTATTTTTAGACAGGGTCTCACTTTGTCACCCAGGCTGCAGTATAATGGCGTGATCTTGACTCACAGCAGCCTCAACTTCCCAGGTTCAAGCAATCCTCTCATTTCAGCCTCCCCAACTCCCTAGTAGCTGAGACTACAAGCACACACCACCTGCTGGCTAACCTTATTTTGTGCTTTGTACATTTTATTTTTGTAGAGACAGGGTTCCACCATGTTTTCTGTGCACGAGCAATCTGCCCACCTTGGCCTCCCAAAGTGCTGGAATTACAGGCGTGAGCCACTGCGCCTGGCTTGCTCTATCATCTATCTATCTATCTATCTATCTATCTATCTATCTATCTATCTAAACTATCTATATCTATCTATCATATCTATCTATCTATCTAAACTATCTATATCTATCTTATCTATCTATCATATCTATCTATCTATCTATCTATCTATCTATCTATCTATCTACCTACCTACCTTTGTAGCAGAGATGTGTTCTCACTGTGGTGTCCAGGGTCTGCTCATATATATTTCTTTTTTAACGTTATTATTATTTCATGAGATGGAGTCTCATTGTGTTGCCCAGGCTGGAGTGCAGTGGTGGGATCTTGGCTCACTGCAACCTCTGCCTCCTGGGTCTAAGCAATTCTCCCACTTCAGCCTCCCAAGTAGCTGGGACTACAGGTGCGTACCACTATGCCTGGCTAATTTTTGTATTTTTAGTAGAGATGGGGTTTCTCCATGTTGGCCAAGCTGGTCTTGAACTCCTGACCTCAAATGATCCACTCACCTCGGCCTCCCAAAGTGCTGGGATTACAGGCATGAGCCACCGTGTCCATCCCGGTCATATTTTTTATGTGTTGATTTTTTTCGGTTTGTGTTACAGTCCAAGTGCGTAGTGATAGTACCGGGATAGAAAACAAAAATGTCGAGACAGATCAATCTCAGGAACCTGTTTTTTTTTGGTTGGTTGGTTGTTTTTAGGGGCACAAGCCCCATTGAGTGAAGTGCTCCTAATCTCTGGTGGTTTTGAATATTGTAGAAAGCATTGCAGTATTTAACTCTGTGCACTGAAGATTTTTTCTAATTCTAGAATACAGATAAATCTAGATGTATGGTTCTCGATCAATCACAAAAGTTCAATAGCCTTTTTCCTTATTCTACTTCTCTTTCTTGAAGGGAAGGACCTTGATTCAGATTTGCTGCCTACAGACAGCAATTTGTCTACATTATTTTCTCTTCTTTTTCTTATTGGGAGGGAACTGAGCCTGAGAAAACTGCAGGGCCATGAGCTGTTAGATTACTTCCAATGAGAGGAAAGGAAGTGTGTGTGACAACACATTCGGAGAGAAATCAGGGGAGGTGGCAGAGCAGGAAGCACCAGGAATCTGTCTCCCCACGTAGGCCAAAGGGAAGCTGGCAGGATCTATCTGATGGAGCGATTTGGCAACTCTGGAGTCTATGGGAGGCCTGCTGCTGCCAGGGGGAAGCCTGGAAGATACATTGTAATCAGTGCCAGTTCCCATTAGCTCTTTGTTTCCCACCCCCACCCTCTCTGTGCCCCCCTCAGGCCAGAGTCACAGCGGTGGAAAGGCTTCTAAGGAGAGGTATGTGGGAAGGTTCTCCTACAAGTCAGGTTCTTTAAGCTGAGCTTATTTTATTTCTGGTCTCATGTTCACCAGAATAAAGAAGATATTCCTTAATGACTCGATGGCCTTAGTTTATTTTCTGCTCACAGGTTTGAGCTATAAAAACCAATTTTTCTTCATATGCAATACATGAAAACTATGTATGTCAGAACATGCTTCTCTTAGTGTACTCTTGGGGATATAGTTTAAACAGCAAATAAAATTTGGCATGTATGGAAGTTTCTTTTTATATTATCAAGAGTACAAATATCTATCAAAATCTTTACCTCTTATGTCTCTAATCTGTATGAATACAAAGAGCATGATAGTTAGATCTGCACATAGATATTTATAGGTAGATAAACACAAACATAAAATTATGAGTTTGTCTATGCAAATATTTATGTATACAAAATAAGTTCAAGAGAAAATAAGTTCAAGAGACATTCTCCTCCAGCGAAAACTGATGTTGCAGACATAGACTTACGTTCACCTATATGGCTCTATACCATCTCAGGCTGGAACCCAGCTATGCAATGTTATGTATAAAAATCAACAAAGATTAGCATTGAGGGACACAGCCCAGGAAGTAAGCGTCCAGTACTGTTATGTAAGGTTTCATGGAAAGCTTGGAATTTGAAGGCCCTGCTTTTTTCTTTTCACTGTATACCTCTGTTATTTATATCCACCATTTGGGGCCTTTCTTGATGCTTCTGCTTCCCCAAATTAGCTAATTGTCTGATTATATTTGCCTGGGCTGAGCTAATTGGCTGATTAAAATCACCTGAGCTTAGCTAATTGGCTTATAGAATTCACCTGGTCTGGATGGGTAGGAAAGGAAAATGAACTTTGATCTTCTCTTCTTCTGAGGATTTTTTTTTTTTACCAGGCATAAGCACAAATGGACTCTAGCTAGATACAACTATGTGAACCATTCTGGGTGTATATGTTTCACTATTCACATATCTTATATCGATAAATACATATACAAAGCAAAGCAAAACGAAGCTAGGTAAGAGGTCATTTTTATTTTCATTCTTTCCAGACCGGGTGAATCAAATCAGCCTATTAGCTCAGTGGTGATTTACCCAATCCAAGCCACATATTGCATCACGTTCTTTTTTTTTTTTTTTTTTTTTTGACAGAGTCTTGCTCCAGGCTGGAGTGCAATGGCGTGAGCTGGGATTACAGGCGTGTGCCACAAAGCCTGGCTAATTTTTGTATTTTTAGTAGAGATGGGGTTTCACCGTGTTGGCCAGGATGGTCTTGAACTCCTGCCCTCTTGATCCACCCACCTCGGCCTCCAAAACTGCTGGGATAACAGGCGTGAGCCACTGCACCCGGCCATATTATTCTTATAAATGTGTAAATGTTCTTGTTACCTGGCACTCGAGTGTTTTTAATTCAGGATCTAATTAAATCCGCTCAGTGGAATTCTAACCATACAGCTAGGACAAGTCTGAGGTGCCTGACACCAGGAACCCTAGCCTTTCTCACATAGAAGCCTTAGCCTGGAGAATAAGAGCCAGCATTGACATTTCAGCACATGTTCACTATCACCTGGTTGAAATATGGCCAGGGTCCAGCTTTACATGATAATGAATGACTCCCCTGGCCTTAGTGCATTTTTATTTCCTAGAAGAAAGAAACTAGAAACAATGCTTTCTTCATATATGTTAAATGCAGCAGGTTGTATTTAAAAACATCCTTCTATATGTGTGATTCTGGATATAGTTTATAAGACAGTTAAGATTATGCATATGTATAAAAGTATTTTTTATACCACTATTAGAATCAATACCTATCAATACTTCCATTTTCCACATTTTTATTCTGTATGAATATACATACAAAGCTAAATATATTTGCATATAGATATACATAGGTAGAAAGGTAAACAAAAACCCATGCAGGATTATATGAGTATGTTTATGTGAACATTTATGTATACAAAGCATGTTCTGAAAAGACATTTTAAATGCTCTAGTATATACTAAGAACACAAATGTATACTAACTTCGGTACTCTATGGCACAATAACATCTCATAATGAAACAGAGCCAAGCAATGTTGTTTGTATAAGTGTAAAGAAAGCTTCAGGTTCAGGGAATAAATCTAGACAGTAAGCTGACAGTACAGCTATGTAATGCTATATTTCCAGGCTAGCATTTCAGACTATTGCTTTGTTTCTCACTGTATCAACATGCTATTTGCATTCACTATATTAGGCCTGACTTGATGAATCTGCAGTCCCTATTTAGACAATTGCATAATTGGATCTGCCTGAGTCGAGCTAACTAGCTTATTAAAGTCACCTGGACTGAGCTAATTGGCTGATTGGATTCACCTGAGCTGAGCTCATTGACTGATTGGGTTCACTGTTTCTAAAGAGAATGTGTAGAAAAATGACCTCTGATTTACTTTTATTTTGGGGCTGTTTTAGAAAAAAATACAGATTGACATCACCTAGACATATTTACATAACCCTGTGTGTTTGTATATGTTTATCTATCTATCTCATATTTATATCAAAATCTACAGAGAAATGTGTCCAATAAAACTAACTTTTTTTTCAGTATTGAAGTAAATGCTCAAGTTACAGCCCTTGGCTTTTATTCTCTTACCCAAAAAGTCACTACTTCAGCAAAGAAAACAAAAATACAAGGTTTTATTCCTATGACATATTTAAAATGATTATTTGAATTTATGAAAGCTTTAAAGACAATTATTCAGCACTTTCACATTTGAGTGAGAGCCTTTAAACTGAGGCTATTTTATTTCTGGTCCTATGTTTACCAGAAAGAGAAGGGTCACCCTTGACCTGGCAATGAATGTTTCATAACCTCAGTGCATTTTTGTTTTTCAGAAGTGAGCAACAAGGAATGATGCTTCCTTTGTGTCTGTTAAAAGCAGAAAGATGTATGTAAGAGCATAGTTCCATTTTTGCACTATTTTTTGTATAGTTTATGGGAAAGTTAAGTTTATACATCTATAATAGCATCTTTCTATGTCACTGTCATTATCAATATCTATCAATATTTCCACTTTATACAACACTATTCTTATTTTTTATTGAGACAGGTTCTCACTCTGTCACCCAGGCTGGAGAGCAGTGGAACCATGTAGGTTCACTACAACCTCTGTACCCTGGGTTCAAGTGATCCTCCCACTTCAGCCTCCCAAGTAGCTGGGACCACAGGCACATACTACCACATCTGGCTCTTTAAGACCCTTGAGCTCAAGCAATCCACCCCCCTCAACCTCCTGAAGTGCTAAAATTACAGGTGTGAACCACCGCACCTGGTCATACATCATTATTTTTTATAAATACAGATACAAAGATGGATGCATCTGAATATAGACATACGTAGATAAACATACACACACATACAGGATTATATGACTACATCTGTGTAAATATTAATGTATACACATTATGTTGGCCAAAAGACATTTTCAATACCCTAGTATATATTATAAAGATGTAGAATTAATTCTCTACTCTGACACAATAGTATTCCAGAATGAAACATAGACATACAATGTTGTTTGTTTAAATGTAAACAAAGCTTCCCCTACATGAGAGATTTGGGAAGATGATAGTACACTAATGTAATAGTTTATGTTCAGATTAGCATTTTATGGCCCTGCTTTTGTTTTCAATATATGAATGTGCTACTCTCGTCAACCATTGTAATTCTGCCTTGAGGAATTCACTGTTGATGTTTTGATAATTGACTGATTGAGTCTATCTTCGCTAACTGGCTGATTGGAATCACCTGACCTAAGCTAATTGGCTGATTTTATTCACCTGGGCTGAGCTAATTGGCTAATTGGATTACCTGGGTTGAGCTAATGAATGATTGAAATCACCTGGAGTGACCTAATCAGCTGAATGAATTAACCTGTCTTGAGGGAAATGAGTAGTAAAATAATGTCTTAGTTTTGAGGCTTCTTTATGAGACACAATCACAAATGGAAATTACATAGACGTATCTGCATAACCCTGTGATTTGTATATATTAATTCATTTACATATTTTATATCTGTATCTAAATCTACAAAAAAACTATCCAAAGAAAACTTAAATTTCCTTTCAGAATAGCAGACTAATTTTTAGTCACAGACTTTAATTTTTTTTCTCTACCTAAAAAGTTACTTCTCTAGCCAACAAAATAAAACAAAAAAATCCCCAAATTATCATGCTATGTCATATATTCATACAAAAGATCCCCTGAATTTCTGGAAGTTTAAAGAAAATTATTCGGCATTTGCAAATTTGGGGCAAAGCTGGGGCTAATGTATCTCTCGTCTCAGTTCACTAGAATGAAAAGGGTCATTCTTGACTTGGCAGTGAATGACTCTCATGGCCTTAGTACATTTTCTGTTTACAGATGTGAGCAACAAGGGCCAATTCTTTCTTCATATACATTAAATGCAGCAGAATGTATGTCAGAGAATACCTCCATTTGTGTACTCTTGCGGATGTAGTTTAAAAGGCAAATAGGATTTTATGTGTATGGAAGTTTTTTTAATTGCTATCAGTAGAAATACCTATCAATACTTTCACCTTCTCTCTCTTTATTCTGTATGAATATGTATAGAATGATAGATAAATCTGGATATAGTTATGCATAAGGAGATAAACACACATACAGAATTATATGTTTGTCTACATAAATGTTCTTGTATGCAGAAGACTTTTTTGAGAGGCATTTTTAATATCCCATTCTGTCTGGAAGATGAAGACCTAGACTTACTCTCACCTATATGGCTCCATACCATCACAGACTGAAATACAGACATATAATGTTCTGTATAAGTATCAACAAAACTTTATGTTAAGGGGCAAAGCCTGAGAAGGAAGCTTCCATTCCTGCCAAATAAGACTTTATGTTGACCTTAAAATTTTAGGGCCCTGCTTTTCTACTCGCTCTATGACTGTGTTGTAGGCCATTTTGTGCCTGCCTTGATGCTTTCGTCTTTCACATTTAGCTAATGGGCTATTCACACTATCTCCACTGAGTGGATTGGCCAACTGAATTTGCCTGGCTGAGCTAATTGGTTTCTTGAATTCACCTGGTTTGCAGGAGTTGTGAAGGGAAATGACCTCTGATATGCTTTTTTCTTGAGGCTTTTTAACCAGATATATGGATACATGGACTTTGCATGAACATACACAGGGGACCCATTCTGTGTGTGTATGTTTATTTATTCACTAATCTTATATTTTTATCTATATGTACAAAAAAAGCCCCCAAGAAAAAAATAGGTCAGGAATACTTCGAATTTTCTTTCCCTCCAGGCCAGATGAATCCAAATAGTCAATTAACTCAGTGAAGATTGATCCAATCCAAGCCACACACATCACATTATTCTTATAAATGTAAAAATGTCCTTGTCACCTGGCACCCGGTTGTTTGTAATGTAGTGTCTCATCAAACCAGCTTAGTGTGGTTGTAATCATCCATTTATGAAGAGCCAGAGATGCCTGAAAACATTGAGCCTGACCTTTCTCACAAAAAAGCTTTGACATCACCAAAAAAATTTACCTTTGGCATTTTGCACATGTTCACTATTGTCTGGTTGAAATTTGGCCAGGTACCATATACCAAGATATTTGTGTTCAATATCACAGTCTATCTTCTGAAAACAGGCCTAATTTTTTTATTACCATAAAAGTCATATTACAGCCACAAAGAAAAAAATACAAAAACGTATTTTTACAACACATGCTCAGAGTTAAGAACAAGAGCCCTTTTCGTGATGAAAGCTTTAATAGGAAGAAATAAGCATTCTCAAATTTGAGTTATAGCCTTTGAAATGGGGCTAATTTATCACTGGAATAAAAAGATCATTCTTGACCTGGCAGTGAATGACTCGCATGACTTTAGGGCTTTTCTAACTCCCAGAATGGAGCAATAAGGATCACTGCTATATATATATATATATATATATACACACACACACACACACATATATATACACATTAAATCTAACAGGAGGTATTTCACAGTCTATCTTTATTTGCATACTATTCTAGACATAATTTACAGGGCAGATAAGTCTATATATATATTGAAGTTTTTATATTACTTTCTGTATGAATACCTCCCAATACATCTATCTTCTATGTCTTTATTCTATATGAATATAGGTACCAAGATGAATACATCTGAATATAGACATACATGGGTAGATTTTAAAAAACACAGAAACAGAATTATGTGAGTATGTTAATGAGGTAACTGGCTGACTGTAACCACCTGGGCTTAGCTAAATGGCTATTTGGAACCACATTGGTTTAGATAACTGGCTGATTGTATTCACCTGGGCTGAGTTAACTGGCTTATTGGAATCACATGTTTTGAGCTAATTGGCCAAATGAATTTACATGGGCTAGGCTAATTGACTTATTGAAATCACCTTGTCTTAGCTAGTTGGCTTTTTAGAATCACCCAGGCTGAGCTAATTGACTGATTAGATTCACCTGGACTGAGCTATTTGGTTCTTTAGAATCACATAGGCTGGGCTAATTGGCTGATTGTATTCACCTGAGTTGAGGTAATTTGCTGATTGGAATCACCTGCCTTGAGCTAATTGTCTGATTGGATTCACCTGTCATGAGAGAGATTAGTAGGAAATTAATCACTGAGTCCCATTTATTTTGGGGTTTTTTTTTACAAGACATACTCACAGATGAACATTACATAGATATATTTATACAACCCTATGTGTTTTATATGTTTATTTACCTACATGTCTTATATCTGTATCTAAGTCTACAGAGAAAAACATCCAAGAAACTCTGAAATTTGCTTTAAGCATTGTAGTCTATCTTCGAGTAATAACGCCTAGATTTTCTTGCCTTACTCAAAAACTCACTTCTTCAGCCAGTAAAAGAAATACAATACAGATAATTATATTTTCAT
The DNA here is from genome assembly GCF_000001405.40 of Homo sapiens. Classification (NCBI taxonomy): domain Eukaryota; kingdom Metazoa; phylum Chordata; class Mammalia; order Primates; family Hominidae; genus Homo; species Homo sapiens. Next base: position 22,911,272 of record NC_000019.10, read on the forward strand.
TTCCCATGGGAAAAAAAATCCTCTACATTGATGGAAGCTGTAAAGAGAATATTTTAGCACTTTCAAATTTGAAGGAGGGATTTTAAGCTGAGACTACTTTATCTCTAGTCCTGTGTTCATCAGAAAAAAAGGGTCACTTTGACCTAGCAATTAATGTTTTACATGGCCTTATTGTATTTTTATCTCCTAGAAGTTAGAAACAAAGACCAAGGCTTCCTTCTTATATGCTAAATTCAGAGAGACGCACAAAGAGCATACCTACATTTGTGTACTAATTTAGATATAGGGCAGATAAGCTTATACATCTATGAAAGTATCTTTGTATATTACTATTATATTATAAATAGTATGATTAATATTAAACTATTGTATATTACTATTATCTTTGTATATTACTATCAGTATATAGTATACACTTCTACTCTCTACATATCTGTTCTTTTTTTTTTTTTTTTGAGGTGGAGTCTTGCTTTGTTGCCCAGACTGGAGTGCAGTGGTGTGATATTGGCTCACTGCAACTTCTGCCTCCTGGGTTCAAGCAATTTTTCTGCCTCAGTCTCCCAAGTAGCTGGGACTACAGGTGCACGCCACCACATGCAGCAAATTTTTGCATTTTTAGTAGAGACAGAGTTTTACCATATTGGCCAGGCTGGTCTCAAACTCCTGACCTCGTGATCTGCCCGCCTTGGCCTCCCAAAGTGCTGGGATTATAGGCGTGAGCCACCACGCCCAGCAACATATCTGTACTTTACCAATATTGAGACAAAGATAAATACATCTGGACATAAATTTGCATAGGTAGTTAGATAAATGAACACACACATACTAGATTATATGAGTAAATCTATGTAAATATTTATGTATATACAGGATGTTCACCAACAGACATTTTAGTACCCCACTACATACTAAAAATGCAGATGTGGACTTACTCCCCAATCTCTGGCACAATAGCAATTTAGAATGGAACACAGCCATACAATGTTTGTATAAACGTTTTCAAAGCTTCGTCTCTAAAGGCAAGGTCTGGAAGGTGAGCTAACCATAAAGCTATGTAAATCTTTATGTCCAGGTTAGCATTTCAGAGTCCTGCTTTGCTTCTCAGTGTATGAACGTGCTAATCTCCTTCACCATTTTGGGCCTGCCTTGAAGTATCCATTGTCACCATTTTGATAATTTGCTGATTGGGTCTAACTGGCCTATGCTAATTGGCTGATTGGAATTACCTGAACTCAGCTACTTGGACAGTTGAGTTCACCTGAGCTAAACTAACTGATTAAAAATCACCTGGGCTTAAGGCTGGGTGCAGTGATTCATGCCTGTAATCCCACCATTTTAGGAGGCCGAGGCAGATGGATCTTTTTGAGTGCAGAAGTTAGAGACAAAAAAAAGAAGTTCAAGACCAGGAGACCAGCCTAGGTAACATGGGATAACCCCATCTCTACAAGAAATACAAAAATTAGTCACACATGGTGGCACATGCCTGTGGTCTCAGCTACTCAGGAGGCTGAGGCTGGAGATTGCTAGAACCTGGGAGGCAGACATTGCAGTGAGCCAAGATCGCACAACTGCACTCCAGCCTGGGGGACAGAGTGAGACCCTGTCTCAGAAAAAGTTCACCTAGGCTGAGTTAATTGGCTGACTGAAATGACCAGGGCTTAGCTAATTGGCTAATTAGAATCAACTGGTGTGTCATAATTGACTGATAAGACTCACCCAGGCTCAGCTAATTAATAGATTGACATCACCTTTGCTGAGCTAATTAATTGACTGATTAGAATCATTTTGGCTGACCTAATCAGCTAATATGAATCACCTGGGCTGAACTAATTGGCTGATTGTATTCACGCGTGTTGAGAAGCATGAGTAGGGTAATGACTTCTGACATACTTTTATTTTTTTCCAAGACATACTCATAAATGGTCATTGCATACACATATTTATATAACCCTGCATGTTATATAACCTACAGAAGAAAGTGTCCAAGGAAAACTAAAATTCACTGTCAGTACAGCAGTGTATCTTCAAGTTACAGACCTCGACTATTCATTCCCTACCAAATAAAGTTGCTTCTCCAGCCAACAAAACAAAAGACAAGAATTTACTTTTTTTTGTCATATGTTCAAAAAAAAAAAAAAAGAATCACCTGAATTGGTGGAAGCTTTAAAGAAAAGTTTTCAGCATTTGCACATTTGGGTTAGGGCTTTTCAGCAGAGGCTAGTTTATTTTTGGTTCTGTGTTCACTAGAATAAAAAGGGTTATCCTTGATTTAGCGTGAATGACTCTCATGGCCTTAGTGAATTTTCATCTCCCAGAAGTCAGCAACAAGGACTAATGCTTACTTTGTATAAGTTAAATGCAGATGGATGGACGTTATAGCACGCCTCCATTTGTGTACTACTCTCTAGACAGAGTTTATAGGCCAGAACATTGTATACATCTATGGAATTATCTTTATATATCACTATCAGTATCAATACCTATCAACCCTTCCACCTTCTACATCTTTAATTTTTATGAATAAAAATACAAAATAAATATATCTGGATATAGATATTCATAGGTAGATAAACACACATACTGAATTATATAAGTACATCTATGTAAATATTTAGGTGTACACAGGATGTTCACAAAAAGACATTTTCAATACCTTAGTATATAATCAGGATGTGGATACGAACTTACTACCCTACTCTATGCCACAATACAAACCCAGAATTGTACATTGTCATACAATGTTGTTTATATAAACATAAAGCTTCACTTTCAAAGGTGAGGTCTTTGAAGTAAGCTGACAGCATAGCAATTTAATGCTTTATGACCAGATTAGCATTTCAGGAACCTGCCTACCTTCTCAGTGTAGGAATGTGCTGTCACGTCTACTATTTTGGGCCTGACTTGATGAATCTGCAGTCGCTATTTAGATAACTGTTTGATTGAATCCAAGTTTGCTGAGCTAATTGGCTGATTCTTTTGCCTGGGCCCTGCCTGCAGAAGTCATTTTGACGTATCTATGGTCCCATCAGAGATGTGACTGTCCTCTTATGCCCAGACCCTGTTCACAGTGAAGATTGTGACATATGGCTTGGCTTAGCACCTAAGTGATGTGACTCTCCTATTATGCTTGGGCCCTGCCTACAGGGGTTATTGTGACATAAAGCTGAGCCCAGCTCCTATGTTATGTGACTCTCTTCTTCTTCCTGAGCCCAACCTACAGGGGCAATGTTTACATATCTCTGGGCTAAACATATCTCTCTGCCAGTTAAACAGTTTTCTTCTGTTCATCTCTAATGGAAGTTTGTAAATGGCACTACTTAGTGAATGGAATAGCTTTCTAAAAGCTCAGGTGCTACTGAGAAGCTGACACAGGATTTCAGTGCACTTAATTCTAATCAAGCAACAGGACTCAACCTAGGAAGAAACAGCTGGGGAAAAGAACCTGGGCAATGTGACACTCCATCCTGGGCACTCCCATTAGGGGGGATTGTGACATATCTTTAAACCTATCAACTATTTGATGTGACTCTCCTGTCTCACCTGGGCTTTGCCCATGGGCAAGATTGTGACATATGTATTGGGCCATAACCCAGGTGTTGTGACTCATTTCTCCTGCCTGATAACTGCTCCCAGAGTGGATTGTGGCATATGGTTGGGTTCAACACCAAGTTGGTGTTGCTCTTTTGCCTTGGCCCTGCACTCAGGAGACACTGTGCCATTTCACTGGGCTCAGCACCGAGGTGATGTGAATCTCCTGCCTTGAATCTGTTCGGGGGGGACATTGTGACATATCTCAGGGCTCATCAACTTACAACATATTTGAGATGACTCTTTTATCTGATGTGGGCCTTGCCTATTAAAGTAATTGTGACATATCTCTGGGCCCAGTACCTAGGTGACATGACTCTACTCTCCTGCCTGGACTTTGTCCACAGAAGGGAGAGTGATTATCACTGAGCCCAGCACACAGGTCATTTAATACTTCTGCGTTGGCCCTGTCCACATGTTCATTGTGATATAACTCTGGGCCCATGCCCTAGGCAATGTCACTCTCCTCTTTCGCCTGGGCCCTCTCCTTAGTGGGGATTGTGACATATTACTTCTCCTAGCACCTAGGCGATGGAACTTCCTCTCATGCCCGGGCCCTGCCTATGTGAGTGATTGAATAGATGGCTAGACGCAGCCTCTATATTATGCCACTCTCTTCTTCCTGAGCTCTACCCACAAAGGTATTGTAACATCTCTGAACCCCTCTCCTAGGTGATTTGACGCTTCTTTCTGAACCCTTTCCTCAGGGGCTGTTGTGACCTATTACTAAACACAGCACCTAGGTGATCTGACTTTTCTACACTGCTTGGGTTCTGCCCACAATATAGATTTTAATTTATAGCTGAGAGCCACACCTAGGTGATGTTACTCTCCTATCCTGCCTGATCCCTGGATACATTGTGTATTGTGACATATCACTGGGTCCAACAGTTAGGTGATGTGACCCTCCTGCATGGGCCCTGACACCAGGAGTATTATGGGATATCTTTGATTCATCACCTTGGTGATGTGACCTTCCTCTTCTGCCTGGGACATGCTAAAAACGGGGATTGTGACACATCCCTGTACCAGCACCTAGGCGATGTGACCGTTCTTTTGCCCGGGCCCCATATACTTTGAGTATTTTAACATATTGCTGGGCTCAACATCCATGGGATAGTACACTCCTGCCTGGGCCTTGCCCACAGGGAGACTTGTGACATATCTCTGCATGCATCACCTAGATGTTGTGACTCTTCTTTTCTACCTGCACCCTGCCAACAGGAAGGATTGTGACATATCGCTGGGCTTAGCAACTAGGTAATGTGTCTCTCCTGCGTGGCCTTTTCCACAGGGGTCATTGTGACCTATCGCTGGGCCCAGCACCCAGGTAATGTGATTCTTATTGCCTGTGCCCTGCTCACAGAGTAAATTGGGACATATCACTGTGCCCAACACCCAGGTGACATGACTCTGCTGCTTGTGCCCTGCTTTCAGGAGAAGATTGTGACATATCTTTGGCCAAGCACCCAGGTGTTGTGACTTTTTTTTTCCTGCCTGCGTCCTGCCACAGTGAAAATTGTGACATATCACTGGACCAGCACTCGGGATTTGACATCCCTTCTCACTCTCTATGCACAGGTGGTATTGTGATGTATAGTTTGGCCTAGTTCACAGGTGTGATGATTACTCTCATACTTTGAACCAGCTAGTAGGAGAGATACTGTCTTTTGTAGCTTGACTTAGCAAAACAAGAGTCTGGGTTATTTCCTTTCACAAAAATCACAGGGGATTATCATGCTCTTGCCTATCACATAAAGCCCTTGGGTGGTACAGGGTGTCATAAAGGGGCCCAGCATAGAGGTGAGATTGTGTCTCTCATATGCAAACTTTGCCAACCGTTAAGATGGTCACCCTTGCATGTGGTCAGAGGCCACTCATGAGATCCTAAATCTCAAGAAAAGATGCAGTCCACGGTTAGAATTGTGAGAGTCACATGCGAATATCCAGATAGAATTGGGATGGTGACTCATTTCTAAACTAAGCTTATAGGTTCATTGAGCACTCTCACATCTGGACCCAGCCAATTGGAGAGATGTTGATGTGGGCTTATGGCCACAGGTAAGATCGTGGGCCCATACCAGCCTGAAGGTATCAGAGCAGATCGTGACTCTCACACATATCATAAAAAGCCCTCAACTGGTACAGAGAGTATCCTAACGTGACTCAGCACACAAGTGAGATCGTGTCTGCTGTACACATGCCCAGATGACAGTAAAGATTGTCATCCATTAACACTAACACAGCCCATTGCTGAGGTCCTGAATCTCACACCCAGAAGCAGTTGAAAGTTGGAAAATTGACTCTCATATGTGAATCCGGTCCACAGGTGGGTTGGTGACTCTCAGACCAAGACTCAGCACTCTCGTGAGGTTGTGACTCCGCTAAGGAGACAGGCTGCGGGACGGATTGAGGCTTTCACGCGTGGCTCCAGTCCACTGTTGAGACTGTGAATCACGTACTTAGACTCAACATACAGGAGGTGTTTCCTCTCATACCTGTAATTGAGAAATGTGCAGGATTGTTAATCTCATCCCTGGCCTTTCATGCAGGTGTGATTGTGCCCTCAAAAGGCATTGTGAAATATTGGCGGGCCCAGCTCAAAGGTGATATGAAATATGCCTCTCCAGCATTTGAGTTATTTTACTTTTCTGTGAGAGCCCAGTCCACAGATGGGATTGTGACATTGCTAGACCCAACAACTAGGTAATGTGACTCTATTCTCCTGCATTGGCATTGTCCAAAGAAGGCAAATAACACATTACTTGTCTTCGCACTCAGGTGATGACTCTTCTCCTGCCTTGGCACTGTGCACAGGGGGCATTGTGACATATCACTGGGCTCTACACCCAGGTTATGTAACTTCCATGCCTGGGCCCTGTGCATAGTGGCCATTGTGACATATTTCTTGCTCTACAACTCAGATTGTAACTATTCTGCCTTGCCCCCTGCCTGCAAAGGGCATTGTGACACACCTCTGTGAACATCACAAAGGTGATGTGACTCTCTTCCAAAATGGGATTGTGGCCAGGTGCAGTGGCTCATGCCTGTAATCCCAGCACTTTGGGAGGCTGAGTCGAGGGGATCATCTGAGGTCAGGAGTTCGAGGCCAGCCTGGCCAACATGGTGAAATCCCGTCTCTATTAAAAATACAAAAATTAGCCAGGTGTGGTGGTGCACACTTGTAATCCCAGCTACTTGGGAGGCTGAGGCAGGAGAATCACTTGAACCCTTGAGGCAGAGGTTGCAGTGAGCTGAGATCACGCCATTGCACTCCAGCCTGGGCAACGAGAGTGAAACTCTGTCTCAAAAAACAAAAAACAAAAAAAGCTCCAAAAAACCAAAATGAGATTGTGACATATCACTGGACCGAGCACCTTGGTGATGTGACTATCCTCTCTTGCTTGAGTTTCACATATTATTGTTACTGTGACATACCTCTGTGACAAACAGCTATGGGTAGGAAAACTTCTGCCTGGACTCAGCCCAAGGCGGCCTCATGACTTTTTTAAAAGATATGTGACTTTAAAAATGTGACTGTCATTTTCTGCCTATGCTTTGCCCTCAGGAAAGATTGTGGCATATTACTGAACTAAGCAACCTAGTGACGTGTCTCTTCTGACTGGGGCTTGCCCACAGAGACAACTGTGACATAGCACTGAGCCCAGGACCCAGGTGATGTGACTCTGCTGCCTGTTTCCAACATTCATGAGAGGATGGTAACTATCCCTTGCCAAGAACTCAGGTGATTTGACTGTCCTGCCTTGTTGCTGCCCTCAGAGAAGATTGTGATATATCTTCAGCCCCAAACCCAGGTAATGTGACTTCCCTGCTTACTCCCTATTCAGAGGAGAAATTATTACATATAACCTGGCCCAGCTCACAGGTTTGATGACAATTCTCATACCTCAAACAAGCCAATAGAAGAGATACTGTCTCTCTCAGCGAGGCTTAGGAAAACTGGTAAAATACCTGTGTCTCCTCTTTGTATGAAGGTCATAGAGAACTACCACGTGCTTTGTATATGGCATAAAGCTCTTGAGTGGTACAGTGGTACAGAGAGTGTCCACATGTCCTAAAACAAAGGGGATATTGTGTTTCTTGTATACACACCCAGACACCTGTTAGGATTGTCACCCTAACACCTGGATACAGACCATTGGTGAGGTCTTGTGTCTCACATGCAGATGCAATCCACAGTTTGATTCCTGACTGTCAAATGTAAACACCTGTCCAAAGTTGGGATGGTGACTCATTTCTAAACCCAGCTCATAGACAAGTGAGGACTCTTCTGTCTGGCCCAGTTAATCCGAGAAATATTAACTTTTCTACCTGGGCTTAGGGAGCAGCATAAAGGTCTCGGGGCAAATTGTGGCTCTCATTCCTAGTCTACAATGATCTTGGGTAGTATTAAATGTCCTAACGGGGTTCAGCGCACAGGTGAGATTGTGACAGTGATATCCACACCCAACTGACAGTAAAACTTGCCATCTTTCCTCATGGATACAGCCCACTGTTGAGGTGTTGAATCTCATAACCAAAGGCAGTTGAAAATTAAAACATTGTCTCTCATTGGTAGACCCAGTCCACAGGGGGGTTGGTGACTCTCAGACCAAAATTCAGCACAGTTATGAGGTCGTCACTCCACTAAGAAAACGGAATTCCCAGAACAAATTGAGACTGTCATGCACAAATCCAGCCCACCACTGAGATTGTGACTCATTTACTTAGACCCAACATATAGGAAGTGTTGACTCTTATACCTAGAATTGGGACATGTGTAAGATTGTTCATCTTTTCCTCAGACTTTCCTGCAGGAGTGATGCTGACATGTTCCTCTATTTGGCATCTGAGTGATATGACTCTTGCCATGGTCTAGCCCACAGATGGAATTGTGATGTGTTGCTGTACCCAGCACCTAGGTGATGTAACTCCATTTTTCTGCCTTGGCATTGCTCACAAAAGGTATTTTGACATATCTCTGGGGTATGTACCCAGGTTTCATGACTCTCTTGCCTGTGCCCTGTCCACAAATTGTCATGAAATATTGCTGGGTCCAACACCCAGGGATGTAACTCTCATGCCTAGGCCCTGCCAACAGGGGGAATTGTGACAAATCTGTGTCAATAACCCAGGTTATGTGACTCTCTTTTTTTGCCTGGTCCCTGCTCACAGAGGGCATTATGACATATTGCTGAACTCAGCACCTAACTGATGTGATTCTCCTTTCTAGTTTTTGCCCACAGGGGAGATTGTGACATATCACTGGGCCTCAAACTAAGGTGAAGTTACACTTTCATTTTCGAACTGTACTCAGAAGGCATCGTGACATATTCCTGGGCCCAGCACCAAGGTGATGTGAGTCTCCTGCCTGCACTTTGCCCACAAATGGCATTGTAACATATCTTTAGACCTATCAACTACTTGATATGACTTATTTTTTTAAAGTGAAAGCAAGTTTATTAGAGAAGTAAATAAACAAAAGAATGGCTACTCCATAGACAGAGAAGACCTCAGGGCTGCTCATTGGCTCTTTTCATGGTTATTTCTTGAGTACATACTAAACAAGGGATGGATTATTTGTGAGTTTTCCAGGGAAAGGATGGGCAATTTCCAGAACTCAGGGTGCCTTCCCTTTTTAGACCATATAGGATACCTTCCTAACATTGCCATGACATTTGTAAAGTGTCATGGTGCTGTTGGGAGTGTCTTTTAGCATACTGATGCATTACATTTAGTGTATAATGAGCAGTGAGGACTAACAGAGGTCACTTTCATTGCAGTTTTTCTTTCGGTGGGTTTTTGCTGTCTTTTGTCCTGTATCCTCTTTTATCAGCAAGGTGTTTGTGAATGGTACCTTGTGGTGACCTCTTGTCTTATCCTGTGACATAGAATGCCTGATCTTCTGAGAGCACAGGAATTGGGTTAATTCCTTTCTTTTTGAGGTCTCCAGATAACTCGGGGCTCTTGGGCCTGGCAGAAAGTGACACTCCTTACTTGCACAGGTCAGGACCCCTGCGCAGGGACTGTGTAGACAAGGAAGAAGGCCAATTTTCCCAAAGGGCTTCTACTAGCTCTACAAATCAAGTATGATTTCTCAAAGACCATGATTCCAGTCAAAGCCTTGGTAAAATAACCTGTGTCTCCCATTGTGTCCTGTTGCAAGTGAAAACATGTTTATTGTACTTATGCAAATAACTATATTGCCATAAATCAAGAATATTCACCAATATCTTTGCACATTCTGGACAAATCAGGGAAAGAGAAACAAAATACTCCAAATTATGTTTACAGGAGTATATGTTACTCAATTGTTAAAAGCTGTAAATAACTCAAAAGTGCTCTTGACTCTGAAAAACAAAGGATCCACAACATTTTAAGCAAAAAGCCAAAAAATATTACTTCCATCTTTTATTAGTTCAGTTCATGCAGTAAACTCTTGTTCTGCTTGATATTTATTAATATTTCAGCTTTCCATGAGAGTCTTGAAAGTTTTTCCCCTGTTCTAATTTTGCAGTCTTCAAAGTTATCAGAAATTTGCATTTGAAAGCACCCATCAATGTTCCAGAGCAGACTATAAATTATCTTTTGAAAAGGATTAAAACAAGACAACAATTGTCTGTGGGTGACAAAAAAAGTCCTAGGACAGCCATTATTAAAGCCACAGTTAACTAGAAATATTGGTTACTCTTGTGGAATAAACAATTTTACATAACAATTATAACTATTAACAACATACTATACACTAAGTTATATCAGACTTACAGGAGTTTTCCATAATTTCAGAACACTCACTAATGACATATTTATACAAATACAACCCCAAGAAAGCCAAATACCATTTCATATTTGACAATACATTCTGTATAATTTTATACCAAATAAATCGAATATATTATTTTTGGACTTTAGGTGACCTAATATCTAAAAGATTAATTAGGTCAGAAAAGATGAAATGTATAATTTAATTTTGGAAAGTTTTTCAAATAACAAAGGTTTAAAATATTTTACATTATAAAATCAAATCCCAGTTCACCCTATGTCATTCATTTAGCCAAAACAGTAACTTTTCTTTTTAAAATTTTTTTAAAAGCCAAAAACTTTTACTTACTAATAAAGGAAAGACATAGCTTTCCAAACAGTCTGTCTCTTGTCTTTCTTCCTGTACTTTATTCAAAAGACAAACAAAAATCTTTCATTTTTTAAATACAACATGAAAATCTGGTTCAAGAGTGGAAGCCTATATTTCACCTTTGTGTTAGTATAGTAATGATGCCAAAGTTCTTAATAAAATCTTATATACAACATATCAAAGCTTAATTAGTTTGACTATAAGGTAAGATTCTCAGAAATCTTTTACAACCCTTTAAAATTTTTGTTAAACGGCAAATCTGTGCTCTAAAAAAAACCTGTTGAGCTTTTATTCCAATGTTCAATTTATGGAAAAACTGAATATCTATTTAACTTTAGCCAGTATGTTCACACACAGAATTTTTTTATGAGATTAAATTTTTAAAAACCTTCCACAACTTGCTCAAACCTTCAGGTTTATTCTAACTTAAAACAACCCTTTAGATCTCTAACCGAGGCCCCAATATTAACATTCTTATGCCTTTTTATAATCTTATACTGAAAGCACATTCTATTTTTCTTACACACCTTGCATGTAAAGCTGTTTTTATTTCCCAAAGATTACTTATGTCACATGAACTAAAAGGCATTCACACATGGACACAGTGCACTGGTGAGGTCTTCAACCTCATATGCGGATGCAGTTCAGTTGGAATTGTGACTGTCATATGTGAACATCCAGCCACAATTGGGATGGTGACTCATTTCTAAACCCAGCACATAGACAGTTGAGAAACTTCTATCTGGACCAAATCTACTGAAGAGATGTTGACTCTCATGAATGAGCTTAGGGTCACAGGTACAATCATGGGTGCATGCTAGCACGAAGGTCTCAGAGCAGATTTTGACTCTCATGCATACCATATAAATACCTTGAATGGTAGAGAGAGTGTCCCCACAAGGCCCAACACACAGGTAACATTGTGATTATCCCATGCACAGGTGGCTAATAGTAAAGACTGTCATTCTTCCACATGAATACAGCCCACTGTTGAGGTTCTGAATCTCCCACCCAGAGGCAGTGGAAAGTTGGAGAATTAACTCTCATACATGGATCTGATCCATAGACGAGTTGGTGACTCTCAGACTAAGACTCCCAACAACAGTGAGGTTGTGACTTCACTAAGGGAACACAGTTTTCAGGAGAGATTTAGTCTCTTGTGTACAAATTCAGTCCCCTGTTGAGATTGTGACTCACATGCTTAGCCCAAACCTACAGGTGTTGACTCTCATACCTGGAACTGGAAAGTGTGTGGGATTAATCTCATCCCTGGACCTTCCTATAGGTGTGAATCTGATATATGCCTCTGCCCAGAATCTGAGTGATTCTCCTGCCTGGGTCCAGCCTTCAGCAGAGATCATGACATATCACTTGGTGCAGCACTTAGCTGATGTAACCTATTCTCCTGCCTTGGCTCTGCCCATAGAAGGCATTGTGATGTATTGCCAGGCCCTGCACCCAGGTTATGTGATTTCTGCCTGTGCCCTGACCACATTGGCTATTTTGACATATTGCACTGTCCAACACCAGGTGATGTTACTTTTCCACCTGCGCCCTTCCAACAGCGGACATTATAAACTGTCTCTGTGCCCATCACTTATGTGTTCTGACTTTCTTCTCCTGCATGGTTTCTGCTCACAGGAGGAATTGGGACATATCCCAGGGCTCAGCACCCAGTTGATGTGACTCTTCTTTTTTTTCTATGTTCTGCTCACACAAAAGATATTGACCTATTGCTGGGCCCAACACCAAGGTGATATTACTCTTTCACTTTAGCCCTACCCTCAGAAGGCATGGTGACATATTGCTGGGCCCAACGCAAAAGAGATTTGAGTCCTTTGCCTGGACCCTGCTTACAAGGGGGCATTGTGATATATCTCTGGGCCCATAGACTATTTGATCTGAGTCTCCTCTCTTTCCTGGGCTTTACCTAGAGTAGGCATTGTGATATATCTCTGGGCTCTGCACCCAGCTAATTTGACTTGCCTCTTCTGTCTGGGCCATGACTACAGGTAAGAGTGACTTATCAGGACCCAGCACACAAGTGATGTGGTTCTTCTGCCTGCTCTCTGCCCACAGGCATCATTGATACATATCTGTGGTCCCAAAATATAGATAATGTGACTCTTTTTTTGGGTGGGAAGGGACATGTCCACAGTGGGGATTTTGACATAATGCTTGGCACAGCATTTATGTTATTTGACTCTCCTCTTATGGTTAGGCTCTACCCACTGGGGTAATTGTGACATATATCTGGGTGCAGCCCCTAGGTTTTATGGCTATCCTCTTTTCCATGATCCCTACTCATAGCATACATTGTGACATATCTCTGATTTTCTCACCTAGGTTATGTGACTTTCTTGTCTTTGCCCTTCCATTAGAGGGTATTGTGACATATTGCTAGGTCCATTATGTAGGTGATGTGACTCTTCACCTGTCCCTTCACCCAAAAGGTGAAGAGAGACATTGTGAAACATCTCTGAGCCAATTTCCTACATAATGTGCCTCTTCTCTGCTGCCTGAGAAATGCCCCCAAAGGGGATTGTGACATATCTCTGGGCCCAGCACCTGAATGTTGTGACTCTCCTGCCTGGACTCTACCTAGAGAAAATATTATGATATGTCACTTGGCCCTGCACACAAATGATGTTACTCTCCTGCCTGGGCCTTACTTATAGAGGGGATTGAGATATTTTCCAGGTGAAGAATTCAGGTGATGTCACTCTCATTTCTCAGCCTTTCTCACAGGTAAGATTGTGACATATTACTCAGCCCAGCACACAGATGAAATTTTTCCTCTTGTATGCAAACCCAGCCAACAGTTGCTATTGTCACCATAACACATGAATAAAGACCACTGTTGAGGTCCTGAATCTTATATGTGAACACATCAACAGTTGGAATTGTGACTGTCTTATGTATTTCTCACCAGAAGTGGGATAGTGACTCATTTCTGGATTCAGCTCACAGGAATGGTGATAACTCTCATACCTGGACGAAGCCAGTAAGAGAGATGTTGACTCTGGTAGCTATGCTTAGGGGTCTGGGTCTTTTACTTGTAAGAAGGTAACAGAAGATTATGACACTTACACATACGGTATAAAGCTTTTGGGCAATACAGAGTGCCATTACAGGGCCCAGTCCACAGGTGAGATTGTAACTCTCCTATACACACCTAGCCAACAGTTTGAATTGCCACCCTCACACATAGACCGAGCCCATTGGTGAGGTCCTGAATCTCACACATGAACCTATTCCACCATTGAAATTATACTGTCCGGCCATGGTGGCCGCGGGTGGTGGTTGGCGCGGCTGCGCTGCGGCCCAGGGCAGTGCGGAGCCGGGACAGTCGCGGCGCTGACGCCCGCGGGCCCCAGCTGCAGATATGAAGCGGAGCTGCTGCCGCGACCGACCGCAGCAGCTGCCGCCCGACCGCCGGGAGGATGGAGTTCAGTGGGCAGCGGAGCTGTCTCAGTCTTTGCCGCCGCGCCGGCGAGCGCCGCCCGGGAGGCAGCGGCTGGAGGAGCGGACGGGCCCACGGGGCCCGAGGGCAAGGAGCAGCCGCCTGCCTTGGCCTCCCAAAGTGCCGAGATTGCAGCCTCTGTCCGGCCGCCACCCCGTCTGGGAAGTGAGGAGTGTCTCTGCCTGGCCGCCCATCGTCTGGGATGTGAGGAGCCCCTCTGCCTGGCTGCCCAGTCTGGAAAGTGAGGAGCGTCTCCGCCCGGCCGCCATCCCATCTAGGAAGTGAGGAGCGCCTCTTCCCAGCCGCCATCACATCTAGGAAGTGAGGAGCGTCTCTGCCCGGCCGCCCATCGTCTGAGATGTGGGGAGCGCCTCTGCCCCGCCGCCCCATCTGGGATGTGAGGAGCGCCTCTGCCCGGCCGAGACCCCGTCTGGGAGGTGAGGAGCGTCTCTGCCCGGCCGCCCCGTCTGAGAAGTGAGGAGACCCTCTGCCTGGCAACCACCCCGTCTGAGAAGTGAGGAGCCCCTCCGCCTGGCAGCTGCCCCGTCTGAGAAGTGAGGAGCCTCTCCGCCCGGCAGCCACCCCATCTGGGAAGTGAGGAGCGTCTCCGCCCGGCAGCCACCCCGTCCGGGAGGGAGGTGGGGGGGGGGGTCAGCCCCCGGCCCGGCCAGCCGCCCCATCCGGGAGGGAGGTGGGGGGGTCAGCCCCCTGCCTGGCCAGCCGTGCCGTCCGGGAGGGAGGTGGGGGGGTCAGCCCCCCCCCGGCCAGACGCCCCCTCCGGGAGGTGAGGGGCGCCTCTGCCCGGCCGCCCCTACTGGGAAGTGAGGAGCCCCACAGCCCGGCCAGCCACCCCGTCCGGGAGGGAGATGGGGGGGTCAGCCCCCCCACCCGGCCAGCCGCCCCGTCTGGGAGGGAGGTGGGGGGGTCAGCCCCCCGCCTGGCCAGCCGCCCCGTCCGGGAGGGAGGTGGGGGGGTCAGCCCTCCGCCCGGCCAGCCGCCCCGTCTGGGAGGTGAGGGGCGCCTCTGCCCAGCCGCCCCTACTGGGAAGTGAGGAGCCCCTCTGCCCGGCCAGCTGCCCCGTCCGGGAGGGAGGTTGGGGGGTCAGCCCCCCGCCCGGCCAGCCGCCCTGTCCGGGAGGGAGGTGGGGGTGTCGGCCCCCCGCCCGGCCAGCCGCCCCGTCCGGGAGGGAGGTGGGGGGGTCGGCCCCCCGCCCGGCCAGCCGCCCCGTCCGGGAGGGAGGTGGGGGGGGGTCAGCCCCCCCGCCCGGCCAGCCGCCCCGTCCGGGAGGTGAGGGGCGCCTCTGCCCGGCCGCCCCTACTGGGAAGTGAGGAGCCCCACACCCCGGCCAGCCACCCCGTCCAGGAGGGAGGTGGGGGTGTCAGCCCCCGCCCGGCCAGCCGCCCCGTCCGGGAAGGAGGTGGGGGGGGTCAGCCCCCCTGCCCGGCCAGCCGCCCCGTCCGGGAGGGAGGTGGGGGGTCAGCCCCCCGCCCGGCCAGCCGCCCCGTCCGGGAGGGAGGTGGAGGGGTGTCAGCCCCCCCGCCCGGCCAGCTGCCCCGTCCGGGAGGTGAGGGGCGCCTCTGCCCGGCCGCCCATACTGGGAAGTGAGGAGCCCCTCTGCCCGGCCAGCCGCCCCGTCCGGGAGGGAGGCGGGGGGGGTCAGCCCCCCTGCCCGGCCAGCCGCCCCGTCTGGGAGGTGAGGGGTGCCTCTGCCCGGCCGCCCCTACTGGGAAGTGAGGAGCCCCTCTGCCCGGCCAGCCGCCCCATCCGGGAGGGAGGTTGGGGGGTCAGCCCCCCACCCGGCCAGCCGCCCCATCCGGGAGGTGAGGGGCGCCTCTGCCCGGCCGCCCCTACTGGGAAGTGAGGAGCCCCTCTGCCCGGCCAGCCGCCCCGTCCGGGAGGGAGGTGGGGGTGTCAGCCCCCGCCCGGCCAGCCGCCCCGTCCGGGAGGGAGGTGGGGGGGTCGGCCCCCCGTCCGGCCAGCCGCCCCGTCCGGGAGGGAGGTGGGGGGGGTCAGCCCCCCTGCCCGGCCAGCCGCCCCGTCCGGGAGGTGAGGGGCGCCTCTGCCCGGCCGCCCCTACTGGGAAGTGAGGAGCCCCTCTGCCCGGCCAGCCGCCCCGTCCGGGAGGGAGGTGGGGGTGTCAGCCCCCCGCCCGGCCAGCCGCCCCGTCCGGGAGGGAGGTGGGGGGGGGTCAGCCCCCCCGCCCGGCCAGCCGCCCCGTCCGGGAGGTGAGGGGCGCCTCTGCCCGGCCGCCCCTACTGGGAAGTGAGGAGCCCCACAGCCCGGCCAGCCACCCCGTCCAGGAGGGAGGTGGGGGTGTCAGCCCCCGCCCGGCCAGCCGCCCCGTCCGGGAGGGAGGTGGGGGGGGTCAGCCCCCCTGCCCGGCCAGCCGCCCCGTCCGGGAGGGAGGTGGGGGGGTCAGCCCCCCGCCCGGCCAGCCGCCCCGTCCGGGAGGGAGGTGGAGGGGTGTCAGCCCCCGCCCGGCCAGCCGCCCCGTCCGGGAGGGAGGTGGGGGGGTGTCAGCCCCCGCCCGGCCAGCCGCCCCGTCCGGGAGGTGAGGGGCGCCTCTGCCCGGCCGCCCCTACTGGGAAGTGAGGAGCCCCTCTGCCCGGCCACGACCCCGTCTGGGAGGTGTGCCCAACAGCTCATTGAGAACGGGCCAGGATGACAATGGCGGCTTTGTGGAATAGAAAGGCGGGAAAGGTGGGGAAAAGATTGAGAAATCGGATGGTTGCTGTGTCTGTGTAGAAAGAAGTAGACATGGGAGACTTTTCATTTTGTTCTGCACTAAGAAAAATTCCTCTGCCTTGGGATCCTGTTGATCTGTGACCTTACCCCCAACCCTGTGCTCTCTGAAACATGTGCTGTGTCCACTCAGGGTTAAATGGATTAAGGGCGGTGCAAGATGTGCTTTGTTAAACAGATGCTTGAAGGCAGCATGCTCGTTAAGAGTCATCACCAATCCCTAATCTCAAGTAATCAGGGACACAAACACTGTGGAAGGCCGCAGGGTCCTCTGCCTAGGAAAACCAGAGACCTTTGTTCACTTGTTTATCTACTGACCTTCCCTCCACTATTGTCCCATGACCCTGCCAAATCCCCCTCTGTGAGATACACCCAAGAATTATCAATAAAAAAATAAATTAAAAAAAAAAAAAAAGAAATTATACTGTCATATATGGATTCAGCCACAGGTTGAATGGTGACAAATTTCTGAACTCAACTCACTTGCACAATGAACCCAGCCAATAGAAGATGTGTTGACTCTTAGGCTTAGGGCAAGAGGCAAGGTTTTGGGTTTCTCACTTGTTTGAAGGTCACAAAAAATTATCAAACTCACTCATATTGTATAATGCCCTCACATTGTACAGAGAGTGTCATTACATAACTCAGCACAAAGTGGAGATTGTGACTCTCAAATGCACGCCCAGCCAAGAATAAGAATTGTGATCCACACACACAGACAGAACCCACTGGTGAGGTCTTGAATCTCACTCTCAGATGAGTCCACAGTTTGAATTTTTAATGTCATGTGTGGATCCAGCCACAGGTAAGAGGGTGACTCATTTCTGAACCCATCTAAGAGACACAGTCATGATTTTCATACCTGGACCCAGCCAATATGAGAGGTGTTGACTCTCATACCTGGACTTAGGAAAAGAGGCAAGATCATGAGTTTATACAGCACTAATGTCTCAGAGGGGATTGTGACTCTCACCCAAACAATGTAAAGCCCTGTGGAGTTAAAGAGAGTGTCATAAGAGGACCCAGAACACAACTGAAATTGTGATTCTTATATGCACTTCCAGCCCACAGTAAAAAGTGTCACCCTCCCACATGAATACAGACCACTGTTGAGCTTCTGAATTGTACATCTGGATGCAGTTGAAAAGTGGAATTCTAATTCTCATTTGTGGATTTTGTCCACAGGTAGATGATGACACTAGGATCAGGGTTCATCACACCGGTGAGGCTTTGATTCTGATAGCAGGACATGGTCTGCAGGTGGAATTGGGACTCTTATGCATGGATTCAGTCCATCATTGAGATTGTGACTCATGTACTTGCATGCAATGCACAGGAGGTGTTGACTCTCCTACCTGAAGCTGGGACACGTGTGGAATTGTGCATCTTAGCCCTGGACCTTCCACAAGTGTTGTTGTGACATATACTTTTGCTTAGCACCTGAGTAATTTTACTCCCCTGCCTGGGCCCAGCCCTCAGAGGGGATTGTGACAGATACCTGGGTCAAACACCTAGGTGATGTGACTCTCATGCTTGAGCCCTACCCACAGAGGGTGCTGTAGAATATCACTGGGCTCAGCACTTAGGTCATGTGACTCTTATTTTCAGCCAGGGCCCTGCCCACAGAGCCATTGTGAGATATCACTGAGCTCAGCACCTCCGTGATGTGACTGTACGGCCTGTGCCCTGCCCACAGTAGGTATTGTGACTTACCTCTGAACTCATTACCTAGGTGATGTGACTTTCCTCTTTTGCCTGCATTCTGCCCCTTGAAAATGGACTGTGACATACCATTTAGGTGATATGATTCTATTCTTCTGCCTGAGCTCTGGCCATAGGGGAGATTGAATCATTTTACTGAGCCCAGATTGCAAGTGATGTGACCCTCTATCCTAGGCCCTGCCCACAGGAGGTATCGTGATTTATCTCTGTGGCCATAATTTAGGTGCTGTGACTCTTCTATTCTCTCTAGGCCATGCCAGTTGAGGGGGATTGTGACTTTTCTATTCTCTCTAGGTCATGCCAATTGAGGGGGATTTGGACCAGCACAAAGGTAATTAAAAACTCCTGCCTAGGCCATTCTCATAGAAGGCATTGTGACATATCACTGGTCACAGCACACAGGTAATTTAACTCTCCTTCCTGGGCCCTGCCCATAGGGGATACTGTAACATATCTTTAGCCCAGCACTTAAAATATGTGACTCTCAAATGGTATTTCTAGTTCTAGATCCCTGAGGAATCACCACACTGACTTCCACAATGGTTGAACTAGTTTACAGTCCCACCAACAGTGTAAAAGTGTTCCTATTTCTCCATATCCTCTCCAGCACCTGTTGTTTCCTGACTTTTTAATGATCGCCATTCTAACTGGTGTGAGATGGTATCTCATTGTGGTTTTGATTTGCATTTCTCTGATGGCCAGTAAAGGATTATAAATCATGCTGCTATAAAGACACATGCACACGTATGTTTATTGTGGCACTATTCACAATAGCAAAGACTTGGAACCAACCCAAATGTCCAACAATGATAGACTGGATTAAGAAAATGTGGCACATACACACCATGGAATACTATGCAGCCATTAAAAATGATGAGTTCATGTCCTTTGTAGGGACATGGATGAAGCTGGAAACATCATTCTCAGCAAACTATCGCAAGGACAAAAAACCAAACACTGCATGTTCTCACTCATAGGTGGGAATTGAACAATGAGAACACATGGACACAGGAAGGGGAACATCACACACCGGGGACTGTTGTGGGGTGGGAGGATGGGGGAGGGATAGCATTAGAAGATACACCTAATGCTAAATGACGAGTTAATGGGTGCAGCACACCAACATGGCACATGTATACATATGTAACAAACCTGCACATTGTGCACATGTACCCTAAAACTTAAAGTATAATAATAATAATAAAAAAAATGTGACTCTCCTAGCTGGTTTCTTTTCCACAGGTGAGAATTTCACATATAACTGCACCCAGCACACAGGTGAAATTGTGACTTTTGTATGCTCATCCAGCCAACAGTTATGAGTGTCATTGTCTCATATGGACAGAGAACACTGGTGAGGTCCTGAATCTTGTACACGGACATAGTCCACAGTTGGAATTTTGACTGTCATGTGTAGATCCAGCCACAGGTGTGATGTTGACCTGTTTATGGAGTTAGCTCACAGGCACAGTGAGAACTCTCATATCTTGACCCAACCAATAAAAGAGATGTTGACTCTTATAGCTAGGCTTAAGGAAACCAATAGGGTCCTGGGTCTCCTACCTGTATGAAAGTCACAGAAGATTATGACACTCATGCATATTGTATAAATCCCTCTGGGTGGTACAGAGATTCATTATAGGGCCCAGCACACAGGTGAGATTGTGACTTTGTTATGCAGACACCGCTGACAGTACCATCACCCTCCCATATAAACAGAGCCCACTGGTGAGGTCCTAAATTTCACAAACTGACACAGTTCACAGTTGGGATTGTGACTGTGATATTTAAATCTGATCACAGATGAGAAGATGACTCACTTCTGGATCCAGCTTAGAAAACAGTGATGGCTCTTTCACCTGGACTCAGCTAAATGGAGAGATGTTGACTCTGTTAACTAGGTTTAGGGGAGCACATAATGTTCTGGGTCTCCTGCTTGCATAAGGGTAGCAGAGGATTATGACACTATACATATTGTACAAAGTCCCCCATTGGTCCTGAGAGGGTCATTACAGGGTCTGGCACACAGGTGAGACTGTGACTCTGATATGCACACAGGCAGAGTAAGGATTGTCAGCCTCCTACATGGACACAGCCCACTGTTGAGATTCTGAATCTCACAACCAGAAGCAGTCAAAAGTTGGAATTGTGACTCTCATAGGTGGATGTGGTCCACAGCTGAGATGATGACCTCAGACCAGGAGGCAGCACACCTGGAGGCTGTGACTCCTCTACCGAGATGCAGTCTGCGGGTGTGATTGTGGCTGTCATGCACAAATCCAGTCCACCTTTGAGACTGTGACTCACTTACTGAGACCCAATTCACAGGAGGAGTTCACTCTGATACATAGAGCTGGGACATGTGTGGGATTGTAAATCTTATCACTTAACCTTTCTGCAGGTGTGATTGTGATATATAGCTTTGCCCAGCACCTGAGTAATTTAACTCTCTTGTCTGAGCCTGGCATACAGTTAGGATCTTAACATATACCTGGGCCAAGCACCTAGGTAGTGTGACTTTTTTTTGGGCCCTGCCCTCAGGGATAATTGTTACTTATCACTAAGTTCAGAACCTAGTGATGTGACATTTCTCTACTGTCTTGGCCCTACCCACAAAACAAAATTACATCACTGGGCCCAGCACCTAGGTAATGTGCCTCTACTCTTTTTCCTGGGCCCTGTTCATGGTGGGCCTTGTGTCACATACATGAGCCCTGCTGGAAAGCATGATGATGATTCTCATACATAAACCCAGCCAAAAGATGTGATTTTTTACTCACATAGTGAGGCATAGGGCAACAAATAAGGTCTTGTGTCCCTTACTTGTACAAAGGTCACAGAACATTATAAGCCCACCGATATGTCATATAGTCCTAAGAGAGTACAGAGAGTGCTGATACAAGGCCCACTTGAAGATGAGATTGTGACTCTCCTATGCACACCTCACTGACCATTAGAATCACCACATTCAAACATGGAGAGAGCCCACTGGTGACCTAAATTTTACATGCCGATGCAGTCTGCAGTTAGAGTTGTAACTGTCATATATGCATTTGGCCACAGGTAGGATGGTGATTCATTATTGGACCCAGCTCACAGGCATGATGATGAATCTTGTATCTGGAATCAGCAAAAAAAAAAAAAGATATATTAATTCACATAGCTAGGCTTAGGGCAAATGGTAAGGTCCTGGTTCCCCTACTTGTACGAAGGTCACAGAGGATTACTACACATGCTTATAATATAAAGGCCTTGGGTGGCACAGAGAGTGTCACAGCAGGACCCAGCACACAGGTGAGATTGTGGCTCTCTTAAACACACCCAGCCAGCAGTTAGGATTGTCACCCTCAAACAGGAACAGAGCCTACTGGTGAGGTCTAGAATCTAAAGTGGAAACACGGTCCACAGTTGGAATTATGAATGTCATATGTGGATCTGGCCACAAGTTAGGTGTTGACACATTTTTGAACCCAGCTCACAGTCACAGGGATGACTCTCATACCTGGACCCAGACAACAGAAGATATGTTGACTCTCAGGCTTAGGGCAATGGGTAAGATCATGAGCTTATATCAGCACTAAGGTCTTACAGGAAATTTCAATTCTTATGCATCCTGCATAAAGCCCTGGGGTGGTATAGATTGTGTCATAACAGGGCTCAGGACAAGTGGGATTGAGACCCTTGTATGCACACGCACCCAAGAGTAAGAACTGTCACCCTCTCACATGGACACAGCCCACTGTTGAGGCTCTGAATCTTACATTCAGGGGTATTCAGAAGTTGGAATTGTGATTCTCATAGGTGGATTTGATTCACAGGTAGGTTGGTGACGGGTAGGATAGTTAGGATTGTATCTTCAGGCCAAAATTTATCACACCTATGAGGCAGTGACTGACCCCACTGAAACACTGTCCAGAGTTGGGGTTGGCTTTCTCAGGCACTGATCCAGTCCATGGTTAAAAATGTGATTCACATTCTTGAACACAACTCACAGGAGTTGACTCTCATACCTCAAGCTGGGACAAGTGCGAGATTGTAAATCTTATATCTGGACCTTCCCACAGGGTGATTGTTACATGTATCTTTGTCAGAGAACTGATGAATTTTGCTGTCCTGCAGAAGCCCATTCTATAGTTGAGATTTTGACATACACCTTGGCCAAGTACCAAGAATATGTGATGCTCCTGCCTGGGCGCTGCCCTCAAGGGGGATTGTGACATATCTCCGGGCCATATGTTGTAGGTTATGTGCCTCTCCAATCCTGCTTAGGCTGTTCCCAAAAAAGGCATTGCGACATGCCTGAACCCATCACCTAGGTGATTTGACTCTTTTTTTTCCCCTGGGCCCTGCCCTCAGTGGGGATTGTGACATATCACTGGGTCCATCATTTCCGTGATATGACTTTTGTGTTCTGCTTTGACTCTGCTTGCAGGAGGATTGTGACATATAACTAGGCCCAGCACCTGGGTGATGTGACTCTCATTTCCTGCCTGTATTCTTCCACAGAATAGATTGTGACATATAGCTGGGCCAAGCACCCAGGTGATGTGACTCCTGCGTACAGTGGCCATTTTTGACACATCTTCCTGGGTCCTGTTTATGAGTGGAATTGTGACATATCTTTGGCCAAGCACCAAAGTGATGTGACTGTCTGATTTCTGCTCACAGGAGCTATTGTGACATATATCTAGGCCAAGTTTAGAGGTGTGTGTAATGATAGCCCTCCTATATGGACCCAGTCAATAGGGGAGATTTGGCTTCTGTTTTCTAGGCTTAGGGCAATGGATAAGGTTCTGGGTGAAAAAGCATAAAGTTCTGGGTGAGGAAAGGTCACAAAAGATTATGACACTCAAGCATATTCTCTAAAGCCCTTGTGTGACATTTAGAGTTTAGTTACAGGATCCAGTACCCAGGTGAAATTATTACTCTCGTAGGCAAACCCAGCTGACAATTAGGATTGTCACCCTCACACATGGACAGAGTCCACTGGTGAGGTCCTGAATCTTACAGGCACAGTCCACAATTGGATTTGTGCCTTTCATATGTGTCCTGGGATAGCTGATATGGTGACTTATTTTTGGAGGTGGCTTACAAGCACTGTGATGACTGTCATAAATATATCTGACCAATAAGAGAGATGTTGACACATACCTGGTAATAGATCATTGGTTCATACCAGCATGAAGGTCTCAAAGCAGATTGTGACTGTTACTCACACCATATAAAGCCCTTGGTTAGTACAGAGTGTGTCATAACAGGTCCCAGGACACAGGTGAAATTGTGACTTTCTTATGCACACTCAGCCAACAGTAAACATTGTCACCCTCCCACATGGAAACCGTCCACTGTTGAGGCTGTGAACCTCACATGTGCAGGTAGTTGAAAGTTGGAATTTTGACTCTCATGAATACATCTGGTCCACAGGTAAGATAGTGACTCAAAGACCAGGATTCAGCATGCCTGTGAGGCTGTGACTCATATACTGAAAAATTTGTGTTTAGAATTGTGGCTCTCATGCAGGCATACAGTCCGCTATTAAGACTGTGACTCATGAACTTATACCCAACTCACAGGAGGTCTTGACTCTCATACCTGGAGCCAGAAAATGTGTGAAAGTTTAAATTTTATATCTGGACCTTTTTGCTGGTGTGATTGTGACATATACCTTTGTCCAGCGCTTGAATTATTTGACCCTCCTGCTGGGGAAAAGCCCACAAATGGAATTGTGACATATACCTGAGCCCATCATGTAAGTTATTTTACTCTCCTGCATAGGTCTTCAGGGGAGATTGTGATACATCACTGGGCCCATCACCTAGGTTAAATGATTATCTTCTTTTGCCTGGGCCCTGCCAACACCAAGAGTTGTGGCATATAACTGGACACATCACTTAAGTAATGTGACTCTACTTTTCCACCTGGGCCCTGCCTCAGTGTGGGTTGTGATATATCACTGAGCCCTGCACTCAAATGATATGACTCTCCTGCCTTGGCCCTTCCAATATGAGGCATTGTGACATATCAGGGGCCCATCAACTAGGTATTATGACTCTCCTTTTCTGCTTGGGCCCTGTACACAGGGTGGATTGTGACATATTACTGTGCCCTGTACACAGGTAATGTAACTTTTCTGCCTGAACCCTGCCCACAGGTGGCATTGTGACATACTATTAGGCCCAGTTCCCAGGTTATGTGATTTTACTGCCATGGCCCTGCCCAGAGAGTGGATATTGACATTTTTTTGGTCCAGCATTCAGGTGATCTGATTATCTTGCCTCTTCCCTTCTCACAGGTTAAATTTCAACCTATGTTTTTTTTCCCAGCTCACAGGCATTATGACCATGCTCATATAGAAAACCAGCCACTAGGAGTGATTTTGACTCTGTTAGCTAGACTTTGAGTAGTGGGTAAAGTCCTAAGTCTCCTACATTTAGAAGGATAACAGAAGTTGATGAAATGTATGCATATTCTATAAATACTTTGAGTAATACAGACAGTATAATAAGGGCCCAGCACATAGTGAGATTGTGACTCTCATAGGCATACCAAGCCAACAATTAGGGTCATCACTTCCAAACATGAAAGTAGCACACTGGTGAGGTCCTGAACCTCACATGCAGGTGCAGTCCACAGTTAAAATTCTGATTGTCATATGTGGATCTGAGAACAGGTTGAATAGTGACTGATTTCCAGACTCAGCTCAGAGGCACAGTGATGACTCGCATACCCGGATCTAGCCAATACGAGATATGTTGACTCTCATAGGTAGCCTTAAAGCAATGGGTAAGGTTCTGGGCCTTCTACTTGTATGAAGGTCACAGAACTCACGCATATTGTACGACCCCTTGGGTGGTACAGAGAATGTCATAACAGATCCCAGCACAAACTTAAAATTGTGATTCTTATAGGCATACCCAGCCAACGGTGAGGGTTGTCCCTCTTACACATCAACAGAGACCACTGGTGAGGTCCTGCACATGGCATGTGGATGCAGTCCATGGTTCACATTGTATTGTTCACACTTGTCCGTCACTGGGTGCTGGGTTCATAGTATATGCATTTTGTAAAAACTTATAAAGCTGTTATTTTATAATATATGTGCTTTTTATGGGTGTAAAATTAAAAACATAATTTTTGATTTTTCTATTTATCTCATGTTTCTTCCACAATCAATTTTTGTCACATACTTTCCTGGAAAATAGATAATTTCATCTAAATTTTCAAGTTTAATGTCATGACATTTAAAAAAATATTATGTTTGAATCTTGAATGTATATCTAAATATCTTCTTTTATCTTTTGTAAAATTTTTACTCCTCTTGAAATAGTTTATCTACTTTATTATTGCATTCAAAGAACAGCACTAATTTTATTCACGTTATTATCCCTGAGTAACAAATGAGTCAGAGAAGTCGAGAAACTTGCCCAAGGTTACACAGGTACTCTGAGCCTGCTCTTCTAACCATTGAACACACGGTGTCATCCAGGAAACACACATGCAATACTATTTCTAAAGGTCCATAAAATCACATATACACATGCAAATATGTGTAAAGATAAAATGAACTTATACAGTGTTTACCTGCAGAAAAGTCACTGGTTGAAAGTGTAGAAGGTCACATAGAAGAAGCCTTCTCTGTTTTTATTGTTTTGTTGTTTTGTAGAGATAAGGTCTTGTTATATTGTCTAGGCTGATCTCAATTTCCTCGGCTAAAGCAGTCCTCCTGCTTCAGACTCCCAAAGTGCTCTCTGCCATATTTTTAAAAGTACTTATTGGGTCAAGTGTGCTGGCTCATGCCTGTAATCACAACATTTTGGGAGGCCAGGGGGAAAAGATTGTTTGAGTTCAGGAGTTTAAGACAAGCCTGGGCAACATAGTGAGACCTCATCTCTACTAAAAATAGAAAAATATAGCTAGGCACGGTGGCTCACACCTGTGATGTCATCACTTTGTAAGGCTTTTTCTTCCATGATTAAAAACAAATCTTGGTATCTGGCAGCCGGGCACAGCCAGGTAAGGTGAGGACAGGAGGCAGAAACTTGCAATCCATGGGCTACATTGGCTTTTTGATTTTTTTTTCTCCCCAACTACACAGAAAATTTCTTCAGTGTTTGATCTTATGCATCTTTGAATCCAAACATCTCATTCTTTGCCTTATACATATTAAAATGTATTCACAGTTCATAAACATAATCTATAAAAAATATTCTAAACAAAAACCTTCTCTTTATAGAACCTAGTAATG
The DNA here is from genome assembly GCF_000001405.40 of Homo sapiens. NCBI lineage: Eukaryota > Metazoa > Chordata > Mammalia > Primates > Hominidae > Homo > Homo sapiens. Next base: position 22,938,164 of record NC_000019.10, read on the forward strand.
CACCTTAATTCCTTACAATTTGTGTTAAGAATTACTAGTCTAATGATGTTTTCTAACATGTATTAAGTACTTTTAGATGTTTAGCACATGTGATATATTATAAAAACCTCAAAATTAACCTGGGACTCCAAAGAATATGTATGGCCCAAACAGTTGTTTTCTTCCCAACACCAAGGAATGGCATACAAGGCTGTCTTCAAGTTGAGGACAGGTCATAAAGACAAATAAAAAAAAGAGAAAAAAATGTCTGCAAACTTGTTTCTACACATGGGTCTTACATGCATTTCTCCATCAATTATATTAATTCTGAATGAACTAAATTACCTGAAGTGGTACAAATAATTCCTTCAAATTGTAGAATCCCCAGGAAACAGAAAGAAGCAAAAGCAAACTCTCCCAAAGAAAGTCACATCTATTCTGGACCTTGATGAAACTTGCAAACAATTTTCCATTATGTGCAATGACTAGCAAGCAATCAAATATGACAAAGTTCACAATAAATAACATCATGTGAAAGACACCAGAGAAAAACATAACAGAAACAAATCTGCAAAGACATCCAATATTAGAATTATCAGACACAAAGAATAAAAAACAACTATGCTTACCATATCTAAAAAAGACAAATGAAAGTATCTGCAGGAAAGAAGAAACTATATAAAGATTCTAAAAATGAGTTGTAAAATGAATAATACAGTAACTAAAAAACTCACTACATTTGAACTTATGTGTACAAGACAGAACCAGTAAACTAGATGCTAGATCAGTAGAAATTAACACATATGCTACAAATATCAGTCTCAGAAAAATGTCTGGTAAGTATTCCAAGCATTCAAAATTTAAAACTGAAAAGCATGAGGTTGATAGTACTTAACCTTTCTCAAAAATAGAATAGGTAAAAACACTGCACAACTCAATTCCTGAGTTTATGTCAAAGCTTGACAGAGACAAAACAAGGACAACTATAAACAATCTCATTCACAAAGACAAATTTTTTTTTTGAGACTGTGTCTCACTCTGTTGCCCAGGCTGGAGTGCAATGGCCCAATCTCAGCTCACTGCAACCTCCACCTCCTGGGTTCAAGCAATTCTCCTGCCTCACCCTCCTGAGTAGCTGGGATTACAGGCACATGCCAGCATGCCCGGCTAATTTTTGTATTTTTAGTAGAGACACGGTTTTACCATGTTGGTCAGTCTGGTCTCAACCTCCTGACCTCATGATCTGCCAGCCTTGGCCTCCCAAAGTGCTGGGATTACAGGCATGAACCACCGCACCCAGCCAAGACAAAAATTTTTTAAACCAATTACAAATAAAGTGACTCTTTCTCTGTATAAAATGAATAAAACCAACAATAAGTTTATCTTAAGAGTACAGGATAAGTTGAACATTGTATAATCTACATGTCTACATAAAATAGGCACACAATAAGAGCTTGGTAACATAACTAGAAAAAAAGAATGCTTTATTTTCTAAATATACAAGGTATTTGAAGTAAAGTACAGCAAATGTACATAATAAACTACTGAAATCTTGTCTTTCAATGTCATAAACAATAATTATGCTGGTATTCAAGATTTTTATTAAACATTGCATCCATGGTTTCAGCCAACAGGTTAAAATGAGAAATCAGTTACACAATTATACTGGCAAAGCGGAACTAGTCAATAAACTAATAGCTAACCTATTGGTTCTACCTAGGTAGATTGGATCCTTACAAAGCAACTAACACAAAAATTGTCCATATATATTGAGGATTTAAAACTTCTAGGAGAGGCCCGGCGGGGTGGCTCATGCCTGTAATTCTAGCACTTTGGGAAGCCGAGGTGGCAGATCATGAGGTGGGGAGTTCGAGAACAGCCTGGTCAATATGGTGAAACCCTGTCTCTACTAATAATACAAAAATTAGCCGGGAGTAGTGGTGCACGCCTTGGGAGGCTGAAGCAGAAGAATCGCTTGAACCTGGGTGGTGGAGGTTGAAGTGAGCCGAGATCACTCCACTGCATTCCAGCCTGGGTGACAGAGCGAGACTCTGTCTCAAAAACACAAAACAAAACAGAACACAAAATAAAACTTCTAGGAGAACATGAAGAAGAATATTGTTATTATAACTGTGGGGAAAAAAACTTCTTAGACATTGCACAATATAAAAATTATGCATAGGCTGGGAGTGGTGGCTTGTGCCTGTAATCCCAGCATTCTTTGAGGCCCAGGCAGGCAGATCACTTCAAGCCGGGAGTTCCAGACCAGCCAGACCAACATAGTAAAACCCCATCTCAATTTAAAACACAAAAATCAGCAGGGTGTGCTGCGCATGTTTGTTATCCCAGCTATTCAGGAGGCTGAGGCATGAGGAGCACTTGAACCCAGGAGGCAAAGATTGCAGTGAGCTGAGATTGCACCATTGCACTCCACCCTGGGTGATAGAGTGAGACTTTATCTAAAAAAAAAAAAAAAAACCATTAAAATATTTGTGAATTAGACTATACCAATTTTAAGAATTTTTGATTACCAAAAACATAAAACATGTTTTAATAAAGATGGTGAAAAGCCAAACCATAACTGGGGGAAAATAGTTTAAAAACACATAGTACAAAAAATTAGTATTTAGAAAATATATATTACAGAATGTGTATGAATAAACAAGGAAATGGAAAACATTAAAAATAGGACAGATGGCAAGTCTTAAAGCACTAACTGATGAAAAATGCTAACTTCATTAGTAACTATGGAATAAAAGTATAAATAATGTGTTTCTAATTAACCATTTTGTCAAAAAATTATGTCTAGCAATTCCAAGAGTTGGTAAAAGATATGTACTAGTAATAAGTGTAGATACATCAAATGAAAAATGGTAATTGAGAATGTCACTTTCAATGTTTGAGTATTTGGACTTTTGGTTTAAAAAAGTGTAATAAAATAGAGCTTTTGGTAAGCTTTCTGTAGCTTAACATTATCATAATTAGGAAAAAACAACTTTAAAAATGTAAATAAACAAAAAAGCCTACACCAAAATAAAACAACAACTAAGACATATTGATCCTTGTTTTGGGAGAGTATGAAACAGACCATTGTGTGAACTTTATACAGTTATTTTGCCACACTGGCATAGTAATAAAAATTATTTATATTCAATTTGAATGAACATGTCCACATCTTAAAAATACTGCTTTGTACTATGAATAATAAATGTAAAAGTCTTTATACTCAAGAGGATCCTGATTCTCAACTAAACATATATGGCAACCCGTTCCTCTGTTTCTTCAAAACTGAAGCCTGATTAAGGCTTAAACATGGAGTGAGAGGGATTCATAACAGAACATGTGAAACAAAAAAACATGAGATAGGATGGTCATTTCTAAGAATCAGCAATTGCCTGGGGGACCTCAATATAATGATATCAAATATGAATCTTACTGGATAAAAATAAACACAAAAAGCTGAAAACACCATGACTTTAATTTGGTGGAATAGAGTCTCTGGAATTATGCAGAGTTGTGCTAAAAATATTGAGCCAGAATGATATGTATCTAAGGATTATTAAAGGGAATATTTACAAACACATTAGTATTTGTTCTATATCTTGTTAGAGTAGCAGTACTCTTGTCTGTAATGTCAGCTTCCCCAAGCTACAGATGCCATTGACAAACTAAGCAAGTGTCTAAAATGTTGTTTGGAGTTAGTTTCTAAATTTAAGAAACTTCCAATAATTTTATGAATTTCATTGAACTCTGTTTCATGTATAAATCTCACCAAAAGGCACTATTCGGTACCTATTTCCATTAGTCTTTTCTGGGATTTTCTGTTGCTTGTTTCCAAACCAACCTTATTTGAATCCTAGTCATTTCTAAAGCCCCACATGTAATAATAGAAAGAGAGCAGAAATGAAGCCAAGTTATCCCAAACAGTCCATGCCTAATATATTTTGTTCCCCAAATGAACCAAAAACCACACAAGCTACACAACAGTGGATTTAAAATTCAACCTAAATTCAACAGTAGTTGTCAAAATCATATGCAAAAATTAGCAAAGTCACAATGTAGAAACCCTTAACCTGTTATTCCACAACAAATCATCAAATTCTTATTTTGGCATTTTTAGAAAAAATAATTACATTACATATGACAAAATATACCCACTCACTTATAATAAAATATTTTGAAATACATACGGTTTTATTCTTATTCTTGAATATATATTATTTAGACAAGACTTTCAGTAAAAAATACTTATAGCTACCGTGTATGAATTAAAACAGCTATGGGAAGATAGGATTTTTAGTTAATAATGAAGATTGAAGCTCCAATGATGTAAAGTATTGTTTCCTGGGCACACAGCTAATTACCCAAATCAAGCTGAAATATGCTTGATTTAAAAATTTTAATTTTCCCACTGTTGACAATATTGACATAACAGCTAAATCTTAGTCTCAGAGCTGGTAGTTTGGAATAAATTAAGACAAGTACTATTGAGGAAGGATGGGTAGTCAAGAAAGTGACTATGTCTTTGGGATGCAGCAAACATGGCCACTGTACAGTGGCTGCATATTGCCAACACAATAAGCCCCAGCATTCACATTGTATTCCAGCTTATTCAAGCAAAGCTCTCTCCAATAGAGAAAATCCCCTGTAAAGAGCATGAAGATTTTGATTTTACCTTTCCTCAAACTGACATTTTACTCATTGTAATAGTAAAAAGCAAACCTGTGAGTGGAGATTTAAGATGCTAGTGAGATGTGAAAAATGAACAAGCATGTACAGCTACTGTGTCCGTGCATCAAGAGGGCCATCCAGAACATGCTTACTAATAACACCACTTTCCACCTCTTTATAAATAATTATATAAGACTCCCATAAAAAAGTCCCTAGTTTCAGTCTTTGCTTTCTCATTCTTGTAAGCAACCCACCCTGAATCCTTTCTCTCTCAAGGTGTACTGGGTATTCTGCACCTAACTTTTAAAATAGTCTTACTCCTTTGCAATAAATTACTCTATGCTGCATCTTCTTTGTTGTTTGTCTCTTGTTTAAATTTTTTTGAAGCTAAGACAACTGAGGTTTCATAAAAGCCATTAAACACTATCATGCTTTGTTTTGTATTTTTTATTGTCAAAAATTTTTTCTCTGATATGTCAATATTCACATTTTAAACACAGTCAACACTGCTAAATTGAAAATTTAAATGACCACAAAATAATTTATCATAAAAGCATGTATATCTCTCATGTTTCACCTTCACCACACTTTCTATCTATTCAACTTTTTAAAAAATTTGACGGTCAAATACATACATCAAATTTAATATTTTATTTAATAATATGAATTCAATTCCAAAATGATTTATATGGAAGTATATTGTTATATTTACTTTTGACCAAATTTGGCTTTCCAAACTAAGGTAAAACTAAAGCATATTTTCAAAGTTTTAAGGAACTTAACCTTACTAGCATTGAGAGAAGCTAGCTAGCATGCCTTAGGTAGATAGCAAGGGAAGGGTTTATGGAGAGCTCCCAACCCACAGGTTAGTGCCTTATCCCCACATAACATAAAAATCAGCTTGGAAAAAAAAAATAAGCTCCAGGCACTATTAAGGGAACTAGCATAGGGGGTTGTGCCTAGACTCATGCCCTCGGATGCACAAGTAGGAGAACCTAAAGCCCATTTAGATAAAAATTTGCACACACCTCTGGCTTACTTAGAAGGGAACAAGGCCTGACATAGAAATGTCTTTGCTGTTTGTATAATCAGTGGGATCCCAGAAAAAAGTTTTTTCTTTTTATTGTGGGCGTGAACGCAGTGGGCTTTGATGGGTTCTGTGGACACTTTCTTTTCTGTGAGTCTGGTCTTTATAAATTATTACTTCAGCCCTTGATTGGTCATGGGCAAAGGTCTTAGGCCAAGCTCTGGCTTCAGCTTCTAATAGGTTCTGGGCCAACCTGAGCAGCCTTTATGAATCATTACTTCAGCCCCTGATTGGTCCCAGGCCAAGGCCCCAGGCCAAGCTGAGTCACACATTCTCTAAGACAGCTCATAAACTAAGCACAATTTTTTCCCATTCCAGTTTATAAAAACCCTGGATCCCAGCCTTATAGTGGGCAACCCATTGAGGCCTCCCTCTCTGCTGGAGTAGGGCTTTCTTCTCTTTGCACATTAAACTTTTGCTCCAACCTCACCCTTGTGTCCACATTCCTAAATCTTCTTGAATGTAGCACAAAGAATTCTGGGTATTATCTCAAACAACAGAGGTTGTTACACCTTGGTTCATTGGCAAAACTACAACATATTTTGGTGTGTTGGCCAGGGAGAAAGGAATTCATCAGAAGGGTGATTAGGAGTGAGGCTACTTGTCCTCAGTTACTTTCTGAGGCTTCTTGTCCTAAGTTTCTTTTTCTCAAAAACAGCTTTGAAAACATTGGCTCTGTTCTAATCCAGTTTCCTTTAATGAAGGGCCTACTCATTGTGTGGAATTGAAAGGAGGTCCTAGGGCAACTGAAGGTTCCTGGCTGAGTCTATACTTCAGTGTTACCTAAAAACCCTTGGACTAACTCCAGTCCCCAACAGCCAATGAGGGCGTTGGCATGAGAACTTCTAGTCTTTTTTTTCATTTCATTTTCTTCTTCTTTTTTTTGTGGCTATCATTTCTCCTATCCATTCTTTGTATGCAATGTTGTGAACGTTTTTACAGCCTATGGATATAATCATACTGAGTAAAGTCAGTCAGTGTCTTAGTAATCAGATATGTAACTCAGAGTTGTTGTTTTGTAATTTCCTATCAACAGGGAGATTTCAAAGTCTCTCTCTAAATTTTTACTTAGTAAGGGCCTTTCTGTCCCCCAGTAATAAACATTCATGGCACTGTATGAGAGAATATTTCACCCTGAGTAAATACCCTCCTTTGCATTTGGTTTGTTTTTTTTCTCTCCATGTGAACCTCAGCATTGTCCAAGGAATCTAAACAGTTCCTTTATGAGACAAGTTCATTTTTTGTTCTGGAGCATATGCTATAGGAACAGCCTATCAAACCACAAAAGTCTTTCTAACTTTTGCCTAAAAATATAAAGTTGGAGTTTTTACCTAGCATTTCTAATTTTACAGCACCCCTAGTTGAATGGGATTGTTCTCCATGGGAAGATTTGTCAACGCTCTGTCCAAAACTTACAGTTCCCCAATTATTTTCCCTTTTACATGCCTTTATCAGTGATAAGGCCTCATGCCCTATTTGTAAACAGAAGAACTCAACTTCTGACAGACGGAAGAAAGCCATGCTAACAAAACAAATCTTCAATTTTTACACATTTTTAAGGCACCTGTTCCTCCTCAAACTACATTTGAATTTAAACAGAAAAGGAATTTTATGTTTGAAAGTAAATTGGTCCCATTCTCTGGGATTCTGATCTTCCTGGGGCCATAGCAAAGGAAGCCAAAAATGGTATTAGGGCATTCCCTCTATAAAAGTATCTTGCCCAAATGCAACTACTGCGTAATCTCTCCCCAGCCATTGGAGTACCTTGAGAGCCTTTTGGGCTGAGTGGGCCTAGAAAACCAGCAGCATGGAAAGCTAGGTGAGAAGGTGAGCATAACGTGTCCTGCTGACAAACTCCTCCGGACCCATGGGGGAAGGTCATGCTTGCATCCATGGGTAACATCTATGATGGTTGCTGGGACCCAGAGGAAAAAAAGGAAGGTCGAGAAGTGGTATGCCCTTTTTCTATTTCCTTCCACCATAGGCCACACTGAAAAGAGAAAGGGGACTGAGGAACGCCTTGTCTCTCCTCTTTCTCTAGATAGGTAACAAACCATGTAGAGTCTGCATTCCCCTCTAGTGCATTCTGAAACACTGGAACTTCGTTAACCCTGAAACTCGAAAGAAAAAATGGCTTACATTCTATTGCACAAATCCATGGCCATCTTAGAGACAGGAGGCCTAGCTTTCTAAGGGAAACATTAATTTCAACACTATCCAACAAATAGATATTTCTTTGCCCTGTGAGACAATCCAGATCTTTGTAAGCATTGTAAAATTAAATCTGCCCTCTTGGCAGCCATATCAGACAAACCTACAAAATATAATTAACAAAAGTCTAGATACAAACCCTTGGGGAACCCTCAAATGCAACTTCTGGGTGCTCTACTGGCCTCCCATATTTTGGGCCACCAACACCCATGTATCATCAGCTCCTCTAGTTTTGCCACTCAAGAAACCCACAACATTGCTGTTGCCCCCTACAGAAAATGCCCAGTAGACATGGTGTTACTAGGATTCAAGTTCCCTTCTCATTGCAGGACCTTAAGAAAATAAAGTGAGCCCCAGGAAAGTTCTCTAATGACCCTGATACATACATAGAGGCTTTCCAAAATTTAACCCAAGTGTTTAATGTTACATGGAGAGATGCTATGCTGCTTTTAAGCCAAACCCTAACTGTTAAGAAACAAGCAGCCTAACAGGCAGCAAAAAAACTCAAAAACAAACAGTAGGTTTCCTATAGCCAGTCAGAAAAGAAACTCAGTCAAAAGGGAAAAAAAGTGACAGAATCCCCATTCGCAGTAAGAATAACAACAATGCCCCTTAAATATCCTAATTGGAGCCCTTGTGATCCTACAGAGAAGTGGAAAAGAAGACACTTTCCGATGTGCATATTAGAAAGCTTGCAAAGAACCACAATCAATCATGTTAATTACTCTAACCTGTCCCTGTTAAATCAGAAACCAGATAAAAATCCCATGGACTTTTTGAAAAGGCTGAGAAAAACTTTAGTAAAACACACCTCCCTGTGTTCTGATTCAATAAAAAAGGTTTATTACTTAGGCAGACACTAATATCAGAAAGAAGTTGCTAAAACAGGCCCTGTTCAAACATCTTTCTAGGTTTTGTCATCCACAAGTTGAAACTTTGCTGTATTTAAACAACACTGTTTTCTGTGCCCCAACTGAGGAGGTCTCAGGAGGCACTAAGGCTTTCATCAATTTTTTAGCTGAAAGGGAATATAGGCTTTCAAAATTTAAAGCTCAGCTCTGTCAAACTGCAGTAAAGTAGATAGGTCTAGTCAGAAGGTACCAGAACACCAGGTAAAGAAATAATTAAACTCATTTTCTCCTTTTCCTTTCCCAAAACTCTTAAATAGTTGGGGGGATCTTAGACATTACTGGTTTTTGAGAACTCTGGGTACCTGGGAATGGTGAAATAGCTAATCTTTTATACCATCTTATTAAAAAAACTGAAGCACCTAAAAACTTACTCGCTAACTTGGGAAGCTAAAACTAAAAGGCCTTTAACTAACTAAAGGCAGCCTTACTTAAAGTGCCAAACCTCAGTCTTCCCATAAGGAAGGCATTTAATCTCTATGTATCAAAAATGAAATGAATGACCCTGGGAGTTTTAACTAAGGTTCAAGGTCCAGCTAAACAACCAGTGGGTTACCTAAGCAAGAAACCTGATTTGATGGCTAGAGGATGGCCAGCGTGCCTCTGAGCAGTTTTGGTGGTGGCTTGCTTGTACCAAAGGCCATGAGGTTAACAATGGGAAATAACTTAACTGTCTGCATTCCCACATTGGACTGCTGTCCTCTAAGGAAAACCTCTGGCTAATAATCACCTCCTCAAATATCAAGTTTTGCTGCTAAAGTGATCTGCAGTCCAGTTGAAAATGTGCCCTTGCCTGAACCCTGACATTTTCTCCTAGGGGAAACTAAAGAGCCTAAACAGGATTGTAAACAGGTAGTGGTGTAAACTGGTAAAGGAAATAATAAGAATCACTGTTTATATTCTCTGTGAAGTTTTAATTAATTAAAAAAACCTTTTTTAAAGTGCACTCACCTTAATGAAAAGTTAATATCCAACCTACAAGTATATTCAAAAAGCCTTTCTATTTTTATCTTTATAAAACCTGTTTTCTTGGAAGAGGAATTTTTTCTCACTCAACTAAATTTATTTTCTCCACTTTTACTTGTCACTGTTGATGCAAGCATAGAAGGCCCTAAAATAACCTCTGGTGGCCTGGGACTCCTCAAGAAAACAAAAAAGCCATGACAAATTGCATTTTAAAAGAAATATCTGCTTTTTTTTTCATGAAACCCCTAGAATTAAAAGTAAATAAGTCCCTCTCAAAATATGTCTTTTTCTTCTAGGTATGCTTGCTTATTAGGCCCTGGAAACTGTATTCCTAGCCCTGTTCTTTTTTTTTGTTTTTACTGGGGACAGAGTCTCACTCTGTCACCTAGGCCAGAGGTGCAATGGTGCAATCTTGGCTCACTGCAACCTCCGCCTCCTGGGTTCAAGCAATTCTCCTGCCTCAGTCTCCCTAGTAGCTTGGATTACAGGCACCTGCCACCATGCCCAGCTAATTTTTTTGTATTTTTAGTAGAGACGGGGTTTCACCATGTTGGCCAGGCTGGTCTCAAACTCCTGACCTCAGGTGATCCACCCACCTCAGACTCCCAAAGTGCTGGGATTACAGGCATAACCACTGTGCCTGGCCCCTAGCCCTGTTCATAAAGGTCCTCAACCGGAGACCAATAATCCAATTAGAAAATTGGCAAACAAAAAATCTTATAGTTACTGAATCTTCTTCTGTTAGTCTAGATGGTTATATACATGTTTTGTGTGATGTCTATAAAAAAAAACCTCTAATTAATTGGCCTACAAATAAGCACTTAGATAAAATATTAAGACAAAATTAAAGTCTCTAGTGCTTCTTGGTTCACGCAACTTTAAGAAATAAAAACATTCTTGTAGAATACAAATATCTTACAAATGTAAATAGGTGGTCTAAATTATGCAGGCCAAATAGCAGGTTTGCTAAATGTTTTAATGTTGTAAACTGCTTCCTTGGCCTTTAAGAACTGTCAACCGGCCAGCTTCACAAATAGTAAGGCCTGGTGACATATAAAACTAACCATGCCCCTAACTATACTGGAAGAAGTCAGACTTTATCTGTTCCTAGCACATAATTAAAACAACTTACCAGGTTTTACATTAAAGTTAAAATTACATAAAGTTACCATTATAACATGTATTGAGACTACTAAAAATGGATTTGCAGGCAATGTGTGTAAAAACGGTAAAATTTTTTAATAAAAAATTACAAGAAGGCATAAAAATCTACATTTTTCCTAGGAATAAAAGATTGTCTTAAATTAAATAAAGTGAAAGTTTTAAGCAAATTTTTAAAATACCATAAAAATTAATTTTGCAAAAGAAAACCTCTGTGTAAACATATTAGCTAAATTCAAAGGAATACCATATGGTTTTTCTTTCAATTAAGCATTTAAATGAAAGCACAGCAAAGTTTTCTAAAGATGCTAATCTGCTCTATATCAAAATTTCTAAAAGATTATATAAAAGATTTGTAAAAAATCAGAGATCCATTCCAAGATGGCTGAATAGGAAGAGATCTGGTCTGCAGCTCCCAGCGTGATCGAGGCAGAAGACGGGTGATTTCTGCATTTCCAACTGAGGTACATGGCTCATCTCATTGGGACTTGTTGGACAGTGGGTGCAGCCCACAGAGGGCGAGCCAAAGCAGGGCAAGGCATTGCCTCACCCAGGAAGCACAAGAGATTGGGGAATTTTCCTTTCCTAGCTAGGGGAAGCCGGGACAGACTGTACTTGGAAAAATGGGACACTCTCGCCCAAATACTATGCTTTTCCCAAGGTCTTAGCAACCAGCAGACAAGGAGATTCTCTCCCGTGCCTGGCTCAGTGGGTCCCACGCCCAAAGAGCCTTGCCCGCTGCTAGCACAGCAGTCTGAGATCAAACAATGAGGTGGCAGCCTGGTTGGGGGAGGTGTGTCTGCCACTACTGAGGCTTGAGTAGCTAAACAAAGTGGCCAGGAAGCTCGAACTGGGCAGAGCCCACTACAGCTCAGCAAGGCCTACTGCCTCTGTAGACTCCACTTTTGTGGGCAGGGCATAGTTGAACAAAAGGCAGCAGACAGCTTCTGCAGACTTAAACATCCCTGTCTGACAGCTCTGAAGACAGCAGTGGTTCTCCAAGCATGGCATTTGAGCTCTGAGAATGGACAGACTGCCTCTTCAAGTTGATCCCTGACACCTGTATAGCCTAACTGGGAGACACTTCCTAGTAGGGGCTGACAGACACCACATATAGGTGGGTGCCCCTCTGGGATGAAGCTTCCAGAGGAAAGATCAAGCAGCAGTATTTGCTCTTCTGCAATAATTGCCATTCTGCAGCCTCCACTGGTGATACCCAGGAAAATAGTGTCTGGAGTGGACCTCCAGCAACTTGCAACAGGCCTGCAGCTGAGGGACCTGACTGTTAGAAAGAAAACTAACAAACAGAAAGAAATAGAAGCAACATCAACAAAAAGGACATCCACACCAAAACCCCACCTGTAGGTCACCAACATCAAAGACCAAAGGTAGATAAAACCACAAAGATGGGGAGAAACCAGAGCAGAAAAGCTGAAAATTCTAAAAACCGGGGCATCTTTTCTCCTCCAAAGGATCACAGCTCCTCACCAGCAATGGAACAAAGTTGAATGGAGAATGACTTTGATGAGTTGACAGAAGTTAGGCTTCTGAAGGTCGGTAGTAACAAACTTCTCTGAGCTAAAGGAGCATGTTCAAACCCATTGCAAAGAAGCTAAAAACCTTGAAAAAAGGGGAGATGAATGGCTAACTAGAATAAACGGTGAAGAGAAGATCTTAAATGACCTGATGGAGCTGAAAACCATGGCACGACAACTTCGTGATGCATGCACAAGCTTCAATAGCCAATTTGATCAAGTGGAAGAAAGGGTATCAGTGATTGAAGATCAAATTAATGACATAAAGTGAGAAGACAAAGTTAGAGAAAAAAAGAGTAAAAAGAAATGAACAAAGCCTCCAAGAAATATGGGACTATGTGAAAAGACCAAATCTACATTTGATAGATGTACCTAAAAGTGATGGGGAGAATGGAACCAAGTTGGAAAGCACTCTTCAGGATATTATCCAGGAGAACTTCCCCAACCTACCAAGGCAGGCCAACATTCAAATTCAGGAAATATAGAGAACACCACAAAGATACTCCTTGAGAAGAGCAACCCCAAGACACATAATAGTCAGATTCACCAAGGTTGAAATGAGGAAAAAATGTAAAGGGTAGCCAAAGAGAAAGGTCAGGTTACCTACAAAGGGAAGCACATCAGACTAACAGTGGATTTCTCGGCAGAAATCCTACAAGCCAGAAGAGAGTGGGGGCCAATATTCAACAATCTTAAAGGAAAGATTTTTCAACCCAGAATTTCATATCCAGCCAAACTAAGCTTCATAAGTGAAGGAGAAATAAAATCCTTTACAGACAAGCAAATGCTGAGAGATTTTGTCACCACCAGGCCTGCCCTAAAAGAGCTCCTGAAGGAAGCACTAAAAATGGAAAGAAACAACTGGTATCAGCCACTGCAAAAACATGTCAAATTGTAAAGACCACCAATGCTATGAAGAAACCCTCAATTAACAGGCAAAATAACCAGCTAACATCATAATGACAGGATCAAATTCACACATAATAATATTAACCTTAAATGTAAATGGGCTAAATGCTCCAATTAAAAGACACAGACTGGCAAACTGGATACAGAGTCAAGACCCATCTGTGTGCTGTATTCAGGAGACCCATCTTACATGCAAAGACACAGACAGGCTCAGAATAAAGGGATGGAGGAAGATCTACCAAGCAAATGGAAAGGAAAAAAAGCAGGGGTTGCAATCCTAGTCTCTGATAAAACAGACTTTAAACCAACAAAGATCAAAAGAGACAAAGAAAGCCATTACATAATGGTAAAGGGATCAATGCAACAAGAAGAGCTAACTATCCTAAATATATATGCACCCAATACAGGAGCACCCAGATTCATAAAGCAAGTCACCAGAGACCTACAAAGAGACTTAGACTCCCACACAATAATAATGGGAGACTTTAACACCGTACTGTCAATATCAGACAGATCAACGAGACAGAAAGCTAACAAGTATATCCAGGACTTGAACTTAGCTCTGCAGCAAGCAGACCTAATAGACATCTACAGAACTATCCACCCCAAATCAACAGAATATACATTCTTCTCAGCACCACCTTGCACTTATTCTAAAATTGACCACATAATTGGAAATAAAGCACTCCTCAGCAAATGTAAAAGAACAGAAATCACAACAAACTATCTCTCAGACCACAGTGCAATCAAATTAGACCTCAGGATTAAGAAACTCACTCAAAACCACACAACATGGAAACTGAACAACCTGCTCCTGAATGACTACTAGGTAAATAACAAAACAAAGCCAGAAATAAAGATTTTCTTTGAAACCAATGAGAACAAAGACACAACATACCAGAATCTCTGGGACATATTTAAAGCAGTGTGTAGAGGGAAATTTATAGCACTATATGCCCACAGAGAAAGCAGGAAAGATCTAAAATTGACATCCTACAATCAAAATTAAAAGAACTAGAGAAGCAAGAGCAAGCAAATTCAAAAACTAGCAGAAGGCAAGAAATAACTAAGATCAGAGCAGAACAGAAAGAGATAGAGACACAAAAAACCCTTCAAAAAATCAGTGAATCCAGGAGCTGTGTTTTGAAGACATCAATAAAATTGATAAACCACTAGCAAGACTAATAAAGAAAAAAAGAGAGAAGAATCAAATAGACGCAATAAAAAATGATTAAGGGGATATCACCACCTATCCCACAGAAATATAAACTACCATCAGAGAATATTATAAATGCCTCTAAGCAAATAAACTAGAAATATAGAAGAAATGGATGAATTCCTGGACACATACACCCTCCCAAGACTAAACCAGGAAGAAGTTGAATCTCTGAATAGACCAATAACAGGATCTGAAATTGAGGCAATAATTAACAGCCTATCAACCAAAAAAAGTCCAGGACCAGATGGATTCACAGCAGAATTCTACCAGAGGTACAAAGAGGAGATGATACCATTCCTTCTGAAACTATTCCAATCAATAGAAAAAGAGGGAAGCCTCCCTAACTCATTGTATGAGGCCAGCATCATCCTGATACCAAAGCTTGGCAGAGACACAACAAAAAAAGAGAATTTTAGAACAATATCTGTGATAAACATTGATGTGAAAATCCTCAATAAAATACTGGCAAACCCAATCCAGCAGCACATTGAAAAGCTTATCCACCATAATCAAGTCAGCTTCATCCCTGGGATGCAAGGCTGGTTCAATATACACAAATCAATAAATGTAATCCATCACATAAACAGAAACAATGACAAAAACCACATGATTATGTCAACAGATGCAGCAAAGGCCTCCAACAAAATTCAACAGCCCCTCATGCTAAAAACTCTCAATAAAGTAGGTATTGATGGAATGTTTCTCAAAATAATAAGAGCTATTTATGACAAACCCACAGCCAGTATCATACTGAATGGGCAAAAACTGGAAGCATTCCCTTTGAAAACTGGCACAAGGCAGGAATGCCCTCTCTCACCACTCCTATTCAATAAAGTGTTGAACGTTCTGGCCAGGTCAATCAGGCAAGAGAAAGAAATAAAGTGTATTCAATTAGGAAAAGAGGAAGTCAAATTGCCCCTGTTTGCAGATGACATGATTGTATATTTAGAAAACCCCATTGTCTCAGCCCAAAATCTCCTTAAGCTGATAAGCAACTTCAGCAAATTCTCAGGATACAAAATCAATGTGCAAAAATCACAAGCATTCCTATACACCACCAACAAACAAACAGAAAGCCAAATCATCAGTGAACTCCCATTCACAATTGCTACAAACAGAATAAAATATTGAGGAATACAACTGCGAGGGAATGTGAAGGACCTCTTCAAGGAGAACTACAAACCACTGCTCAATGAAATAAAAGAAGACACAAACAAATGGAATAACATTCCATGCTCATGGATAGGAAGAATCAATATCGTGAAAATGGCCATACTGCCCAAGGTAATTTATAGATTCAATGCCATCCCAATCAAGCTACCATTGACTTTCTTCACAGAATTGAAAAAAACTACTTCAAAGTTCACATGGAACCAAAAAAGAGCCCATATTGCCAAGACAATCCTAACCAAAAAGAACAAAGCTGGAGGCATCACACTACCTGACTTCAAACTATACTTCAAGGCTACAATAACCAAAACAGCATGGTACTGGTATCAGACAGATATATTGACCAATGGACCAGAACAGAGGCCTCAGAAATAACGCCACACATCTACAATCATCTGATCTTTGACAAACCTGACAAAAACAAGAAATGGGGAAAGGATTCCTTATTTAATAAATGGTGCTGGGAAAACTGGCTAGCCATATGTAGACAGCTGAAACTGGATCCCTTCCTTATACTTTATACAAAAATTAATTCAAGATGGATTAAAGACTTAAATGTTAGAAATAAAACCATAAAAACCCTAGAGGAAAACCAAGGCAATACCATTCAGGACATAGGCATGGCCAAGGACTTCACGACTAAAACACCAAAAGCAATGGCAGCAAAAGCCAAAATAGACAAATGGGATCTAATAAACTAAAGAGCTTCTGCACAGCAAAAGAAACTGTCATCAGAGTGAAAAGGCAACCTACAGAATGGGAGAAAATTTTCGCAATCTACCCATCTGACAAAGGGCTAACATCTAGAATCTACAAAGAACTCAAACAAATTTACAAGAAAAAAGCAAACAACCCCATCTGAAAGTGGGCAAAGGATATGAACAGACACCTCTCAAAAGAAGACATTTATGCAGCCAACAGACACATGAAAAAATGCTCATCATCACTTGTCATCAGAGAAATGCAAATCGAAACCACAATGAGATACCATCTCATGCCAATTAGAATGGTGATCATTAAAAAGTCAGGAAACAACAGGTGCTGGAGAGGATGTGGAGAAATAGGAACACTTTTACATTGTTGGGGGGACTGTAAACTAGTTCAACCATTGTGGAAGTCAGTGTGGCGATTCCTCAGGGATCTAGAACTAGAAATACCTTTTGACCCAGCCATCCCATTACTGGGTATACACCCAAAGGATTATAAATCATGCTACTATAAAGACACGTGCATACATATGTTTATTGCAGCACTATTCACAATAGCAAAGACTTGGAAGCAACCTAAATGTCCATCAATGATAGACTGGATTAAGAAAATGTGGCACATAACACACCATGGAACACTATGCAGCCGTAAAAAAGGATGAGTCCATGTCCTTTGCAGGGACATGGATGAAGCTGGAAACCATAATTCTCAGCAAACTATCACAAAGACAGAAAACCAAACACAGCATGTTCTCACTCATAGGTGGGAATTTAACAATGAGAACACTTGGACACAGGGTGGGGAACATCACACACTGGGGCCTGTTGGGGGGTAGGGCCCTGGGGGAGAGAGAGCATTAGGAGAAATAGCTAATGTAAATGATTAGTTGATAGGTGCAGCAAACCAACATGGCACATGTACATCTATGTATCAAACCTGCATGTTGTGTACATGTACCCTAAAGTATAATAATAATAATTAAAAAGATTTGTAAAAATCTCATTTCATGGTCAAACTGGTTAAGATTAAATAGAATTGTCTATAATTTCATTAAAATTGCAGTTAACATTAATAGTCAACTAATGCAAGGGTAAAATTTGGCTTTCTCTTTTTAACAGGATTTTTATGTAATAGTAAGGGCTAATAAAAGGTTTTTGCTTTTTCAAATTTTTAATTCTTCATGTTGGTTAAACAAATAACTTATGATAATCTAAAATTCTATTCTGTAAGATTAACTGTTTTATACCTGTAACATATTTAACGAGCTCCCCAAAATCAAACTTCTGTTTCAAGGTTGTCTTTTCTGAGTCCTGGCTTTTTGGTGCTACAAAGAGTCCCTAAAGCATTCAAAAGAATGGCAAACAGAATTATTTAATATGTTTAGGAACATGGGATTGTCAAAATGATGTCTAATTTTTTTCAGTTTATATTTGAGTATATAATATTAACATATGTTCCAAAACCAGCTACGCATGGTGGCTCACGCCTGTAATCCCAGCACTTTGGGAGGCTGAGGCGGGCAGATCACCTGAGGTCAGGAGTTCGAGACCAGCCTGACCAACATGGAGAAACCCTGTCTCTACTAAAAATAAAGAATTAGCTGGGTGTGGTGACACATGCCTGTAATCCCAGCTACTCGGGAAGCTGAGGCAGGAGAATCGCTTGAACCCAGGAGGCGGAGATTGCGGTGAGCCAAGATCACGCCATTGCACTCCAGCCTGGGCAACAAGAGTGAAACTCCCTCTAAAAAAAAAAAAAAAAAAATGTTCCAAAACCATATGGGGTGTCTAAGGTTCTAATGTCTAAATATGTGCTATCAATCAAAATTAAGTTTGTTATGTTGGGTTATTGTAAACTACAAAGATAACCAAATTTTTTTGTCCATCATGTTTCTAACTGTAACCCTGGACATTTTGTCATTGGCAGACAATTTTCTTGTTTTAATCCTCTTAAAAAATGATTTATAATCAGCTGTGGAACTTTAACAGGTGCTCTCAAACACAGATTTCTGATAACATAAAAGTACAGAACTCATAAAAAGCTAAAATGTTTATGGATATCAAGCAGAACCAAGTTAATAGAATGGATTTAGCTAATAGAAAACTAAAGCAATGTTTTTAACTTTCACTTAAAACATTGCTAATTTTTATTTTGTTTTTCAGAGTCAGAAAAACTTTCTTAAAAGTTTTAAAAACCGAGCAAGGTGTACTGCTGTAAACATAATTTGGACCATGTCTGTTTCTCTTTGCCTTGTTCTCCTAAAAATCAAAAACTAGTTATAAGTATTCTTAACTTAAAACAATATAGTTGTTTGCATCAGTGAAACAAAAATTCATTTTCTTTTTTTCTGAGACATAGTCTCATTCTGTCTGTGGCTGATGTGCAGTGCCACAATCTCAGCTCACTGCAACCTTGCCTCCCGGGTTCAAGTGAGTCTCCTGCCTCAGCCTCCTGAGTAGCTGGGACTACAGGCATGCAACACCACAGCCAGCTAATTTTTGTATTTTTAGTAGAGATGGGATTTCACCATGGTGGCCAGGATGGTCTCAATCTCTTGACCTCGTGATCTTCCCACCTCAGCACAGCCAGCTAATTTTTGTATTTTTAGTAGAGATGGGGTTTCACCATGTTGGCCAGGATGGTCTCAATCTCTTGACCTCGTGATCTTCCCACCTCAACCTCCCAGAGTGCTGGGATTACAGGCATGAGCCACCGTGCCCAGCTGAAAAATCCACTTTCTTATGCAATGAAACACAATAGAAAAATGCTAGTTGTTTTACCAAGGCTTTAATGGAAGGGTATGTTTTTTTTGTTTTTTTGTTTTTTTAAGAAATCAAGTTTAAGTTGCAAAGCCAAACCTCTTGGGAAAGCTGGTCTCATACCTGTAGTCTACACAGTCTTCATACAGAATTCCTGGCCTGTGGTGAGTAAAAAATGTCACTTTCTAACAGGCTCAGAAACACTATGATCTTGGAACCTCAAAAATACAGGAGTTTACTCAACTCACAGGTATTTAAGGGTACAAATCCATGGCTTGGCCCAGCTTTAAAAAGTCTTATCTAAGATTTCTTTTGGAACAGAGTTTCATCAAAGCCTATCAAAAAGGCCTATGTAGAGGTAGTTATTCTTGCTGCACTGTGATCAGTCAGGCCAAGTATAATACTAAAGTTTATTTTGCAAACAATTCAGTCTATTTTGAGTTGTTTTTAACAAAATAAAATCTAAAAAAAAAAATTATCTTTCAAAACTTACCATACATTTCTCATGAACTTCTAGTCTCATTGATTGTTTTAGAGTTTTTGATGACGTTTTAAACTAACACTGCTTATTCCTGTAAACCAACCAGCAATCTCTGCCTGCAGCTCAGAAAACAGAAAGGGATGGGTCATGTAAAAATCTAAATCAATATTCTAGTTCTAAGCAATTATTCTGCAAATCCTGCTGGGTGATGAAAATAAATAAGGTGCCAATAACCCAGATGCTTCTTTTATCAGAAAGTAAGATCAAGGGAGCTAACCAAAGCCAAACCTCATGCACCCAAATCTTAGCAAACATAACTATAGCTACCAGGTATCAGGGTGTGTCAGCAGCCTCAACATTTTTAGGCTTTTCCTACTCCCCTTGTTTCATTTCAATGCATGTTCTCTACTAAACCAGATTGTTTCTTTTTTCCTAAAAACTGTCGAGCTCCAAGTGGTAATGCAAATGGAATGATGCATATACACACGTTTCTTCCAAGGACCCTTAAACCAACCCTGGAAGAAATCCTAGCTGCTGTTTTCTACACAGCACCCCTCTCCAGTGAGGAATAGCCAAAAATATCAATGCCTATTTTCCCTAACAGCAGTTAGGGTCTCCACTCCTGAGGGGGGACTGAGAGGGATTAGCTAGCTAGCCTAAGGTAGATAGCAAGGGAAGGGTCTCCAGAGAGTCCCCAACCCATGAGTCAGTAACCACATACCCACCAAGCCGGGCATTATGGCACACTCCTGTAATCCCAGTGACTCAGGAGGCTGAGGCATGAGAATTGCTTGAACCTGGGAGGTGGAGGTTGCAGTGAACTGAGATCATACCATTTCATTCCAGCCTGGGCAACAGAGGGAGACTCAGTCTCAAGAAAAAAAAAAAAAACCTCATCTTTTATCAATATTTTAATAGTTTTATGTCTGAGCACTTAAGCTTCAAGGACAGGACACTGAATGATGATAAGTGCATATTTAAATTTATAAAGTAAAAGATGACCATCAGAGTCTAATAAGTGATGAATACAGCAACATCATACTTCACAAAATCATTCCGGGTATGTTTGACAAACAAGAAGGTTGCATAGGACCTTCTTGTGCTATTCATGTGAAGTGCTCTTCTCTCTCACTTTAGTCTCAATTCCCAACCTTACAGCTACCACATACTCACATACACAGAATAAGAAAAATTAACTTATTTTCTTAGAAAGCTGTGATTCACATTTTATTCTATTACATCTTTTCCACATTGCTGTTACAATACTGTTGAAGTGCACCTTCTTTCACCAGAAGAATACTTTTGTGAACGTGAATAGACTGACACTGGAGAAGACCAGCTCAGCAAACTCACTTGAACGATCCCTTTGCTTTTCAGGCAGTAAAAATGCCTTCGAGGAGTGAAAATAAAGTGACTGCGGATTAAGCAGACAGTTATACATGGAAAAACATTTGTCAATTGTTTGAAGATTACATTGCATGGTCTACAACTTTTAAAATATAAAATGCATAACATAAATACTGCAAAAGAAAATAGAATAAAAATGATGTAGTTGACCACAAAGGACAGCAAAGCTGTATTATAGCAATATAGAAAAATATATATCTGGCCGGGCGCAGTGGCTCACGCCTGTAATCCCAGCACTTTGGGAGGCCGAGGCGGGCGGATCACAAGGTCAGGAGATTGAGACCATCCTGGCTAACACAGTGAAACCCCATCTCTACTAAAAATACAAAAAATTAGCCGGCGAGGTGGCGGGCGCCTGTAGTCCCAGCTACTCAGGAGGGTGAGGCAGGAGAATGGCGTGAACCCCGGGGGCGGAGCCTGCAGTGAGCCGAGATCGCGGCACTGCACTCCAGCCTGGGCGACAGCGAGACTCCGTCTCAAAGAAAAAAAAAAAAAAGAAAAGAAAAATATATATCTACTGCCAGAAGGTAACTTGAAGTATTTGAGAGATGTTCTCTAAGAATCTAACAATATTTTTAGTTTTAGATTCTGTAAAAAATTTAAGCATTTTTAATTTTCAAAAAAATTTGAGTGCATTTTTTGTCAGCTTAGTTTTCCTGAAGAATTTAAATATAATAGAGTAAAATAATACATATTAAAAATGATTTTTCTGGTAATAGAGCAGTTTAATTTTTAGATTAAAAAAGTAAAATTTTACAAAATTATATGCTGACCAGTTTAATCAGAAGCTTCTTTCTTACAACTGGGAGAAATGACACAAAGACTCAACTTTTATGTCAGGTGGGAGAGAAAATGATTACTAGGGGCTAGAAAATTGTTGTTTCACTAATCAATGTTGATTTTTATTGCTATTTTGTCTCAAATTATGTTAATAATAAAGTAATGGCCTTGATCCAAAAAAATTTTTTAAAACTTATTTTTTCAATCAGCCAAAATATTAACCAAAAGGATAAAGGTATTTAAGTCATAATTTATAGTATAAAATTAAAATGTTTCTAGAAATATAAAAGGAAAAAAGATATATAAAAAATAAGAAAAGGAAAAAAGTGGATTACTCACAATAGCTAAGGTATGAAATCAACCTAAGTGTCCATCAACAGGTGAATAATTTTTAAAAAGTGGTATATTTACACAATGGAATGCTCTTTATTCCTTAAAAAGAAAGAAGTCTTGGAGGTGGGCTCAGCAGTCTGTGTCTTAGCAAGCCTTGCAGAAATTCTGATGCACACTGAAGTTTGAGCGTCACTGGAATGGATAGTGTCCAAATGATTGCTGGGTCACCCCACCTATCCTGAATGTCAGGAACATCCTGAGTGAGACCAGTCAGTACATTGTAGCTCTTTCTCCAGCCACAACCAGAAAGTCTTTGCTTCCCCTTTGCCTTCCATGATTGTTAGTTTCCTGAAGCCTCTGCAGCTGTGCGAAACTAGAAAAAGATGCACACCCAAAAGCCCCATTTGAAACTTCTAGACAGAAAGCCAAGCATTTGGAGAGTCTCTTTGAACAGTTTTAAACACAATTGCGGAAAAGAAAGCAACTCTACTCAGTGTGAAGATGATGAGAATGAAGACCTTTATGATGATCTACTTCCACTTAATAAATAGTGACTTTAGAATCCTTAACACAGCACTCAGCTACCAAGCCAATGAATAAGATTTTGCATCACAGTTGAAATCTGTTCTCCACTCCTTTTGTAGATGTTCTGAATTGGTTACCAGAAGCCAATTGTCTCATTATTAAGATGGCTTCTAAACTGATTCATTTTTGTGATACATAATGACTGTTAGTTGAGGTCTAGTTGTATGGTAAAAAATGCTGATGAAGAATGTTGTCTACAGAGAGGATAGTCAACTAAAATTAACTGTGAGCTATGCTAAGGAGCTATACTTAATTCGTTCAGACTTTATTTGGCCAGGTTTTTTTTTATATTTCAAAGAAGAAAATTTTTTTAAAAAAGTCTTTATTTGCAACAACATTGATGAACCTGGAAAATAAGCCAGCAATAAGCCAGCACACACACAAAACAATAGCAAATTATCTCACTTCTATGTAGAGTATTAAAAAATTCAAACTCACTCCAGGTGTGAAGTGGCGGCCTTGTGTGTGATCTTTCTGCCCTCCCCAAGTTTGCATTTTCGACATTAAAGTCTACTTTTTAATTAAAAGTTTTAAATTGGAGAATAAAAAAAATTGATACTCATAAAAGCAAAGAGTAGAATGATGATTGCCTGAAGCTGGAGGTGGAGGAGATGTTGGTCAAAAGTAATGAGTCTTTCCTACATCTCTTACCTTAACAAATAAGTTATTCTTCTCTTTTTTTAAATCACCAGGGAATTGAATATTTCCTGAAGAATTAAAACTGAAAGAATAATATATATTTATTAAAGCAATGCAGGTTGTATACTGAAATTTCAGAGGCTTAGTAAAATAATATATATTCTGCTAAAATCACCATTTCCTTTTTTTCTGATTAAGAGGACTTTTTTATGACCTTTCAGGGATTATGTTTTCTTTCACTTTCTATCTGCATTCTCTTTCTTCAGCCAACTGATTAAAAAAAGATGCAGAGAAGATACATTTTCTTCTCATCCACACATCACTTCCACTTTCTATTAGTCAATGTGAGTAGAGCTGAGAATAGCTGTTTTCTAGCATGACAGCAATTTCTCAGAAATAAAAACACTCTGAAACAAAACTATAAATCTTTCATCAAAAGTTAATGTATTTTAAGCAAAATAAGCATATGCATCAATAATAAAATGCTTGTGGTAGAATCGATTTATTTTGTTGATTTCTATTGAGTTCAGATAAGATTTGACCAAAAGCTAGCAAATATAGAGCAGAAAAAAGAATATTATCTGAAATCAGAATATGGTAAATGAAGTTAATTTGTCAATAGAAATAAGAATATTATGACCTCATGCTAATAGTCTCATCTAAAGTTGTACAACACCAAATGCTACGTTTTATTATAGACTGTATTTTACATAAGTATTCAATTTATATCATCCTCTTTCACTATTTCAATGCCTTCTCCACTTTGTATCAGTGGAAAACAGGCCAGCTACTTCCAAGAAAGCAGGCAATGCTCTTCTTACTTTAACAATGATGATGAAGAGCACTTGTTTCAGTGATGCTCCCATGCCAAAAACTGTTATTTTGGCGGAAGTACTAGTTTTCTATTTTTCTCTATATTTATTAATAATAAAATTCTTAACCAAGAGGAATTTATCTCATTCAAGTTTTAAGGAATTTTGTTTACATTTAAGTGTCTCTGACTTTCCTGGAATATTGAAATTTTTATGAATCTAAGTTGAGTACTATAAATAAACAATCTTTTACTAAAATACTTTTTGAAGTGGGGTGATATTTATAAAAACTTTTCATAACATTGAAGATATGTTTTAACCATGTTCCCAGTAATCACTCTGAACATAGAATTTTCAATTTTCACTGAGTCACTCAGGGGAAATTGATATCTTTACAAATGGGCAAAAAAAAAAGGTGCTGAGTGGAGGTGCAACACATTGCACATCAATGCTTTTCACATGCAACTATTAGGGTCTTAATTTAATTGAACTGTCATTTGCATAGCTAGACACTTACTGAATCTAGTCATACTATTTTTTGGCAACTAGTGCCATGTTTGTCACCTATTAGTTTTATACACTTATTTGCTTGACTGAAAAAAATAAATCTTCTTTTAACTTACTCTAAATTGAGAGACTAGATTTACATTCTGGAGCTATAATAGAAGTTGAATGTTTTTAATACTATTTTTGGCAAATTCTCATATATTCACATATAAATTTTATGAAAAGATAGGGAGTTGACAAAAAGTAAAAAAATTCAAATACGTTAAGCAATTTTGAGATCTATTGCACAGCAGGGTAACTATAGTAAACTATAAAATATTGTATATTTCAAAATAGTAAATTTTAAATGTACTACCACAAAAATGATAGGTAAGCAAGTTCACAGATATGTTATTAAACTAATTATTCCATATTTTATAAATATACTAAAACATCACATCGTAGCCCATAAATTTATGCATCTGTGATTTGTCAATCAAAAATACTACTACTTTTTTTATGAGAGTGAAATAAGCTTTAAGATATTGCACCAGAGAAAAATGTGTTTGTTCATCTTAAAATTTTAGAAAGCGTATACATACATATTTTTTATTTCAAATGGCTTGCTCATTTACTGATGTACGTAAACTTTTAATATCATGAACAGTCAGAACCCAGCACTCAGAAATAGACTGTTGATTTTTAGTGTTCAAAATAATATAATACTTTAAAAGACAGACTCTAAAGCAACTGTTTAGAGTAAAATTCTCTTTAAATTTTTAAATAAAAGATTTCCTTCACTTGTTAGAAAAAAATTTTAATGTTTTTAAACTACATTGAAATTTATCAAATTAACATAAATTTATTAGACAATAAAAAACAATATGCCTTCTTCTAATTATAAAACTGACAGACACTCTGCATTTAACCAAATACTTTGGTACATGGATTTTAACGATATCTCTAATGACTTAAAAGAGCCACTAGTTTTAATTTAGAAGTATATTAAATTTTTATATTAAAATCTAGGATTAGCCTATTATTACATAGAAAATTTGTGGTCTGCATGTACATCATCAGTTGAGTGGTCTACAGTTTTGGAGTTTCAGAAACACTAATATAAGAATACTTCTTCCGATTGAGTAATTTAAGTTTTCTCAGTGACTAAAAAAGATTAGAATTACTGATCACTCACTTACGATGTGGTTTTAAATGTTATTTAATGAAGATATATAAAGTTTCTTTTAAAATCATTTTAACAACTTATTTCTTTTGCTTTTTCACTTTTATTAGAAAATAAGTATGAAAATTTATGTTACTACAAACCCATAAATTTTATTTAAATCTAGACATAGTGTTAATCTTCAAAGATCTGATATTTAAAATTTTGGATAACCTATTTATACTTAGAAGATAAATAACTGCTTTCCAGTAAATCTAATGGGGCAATTTTGACTCTCAATTATAAGCTATTAAAATATTAATACTATCATCTAGGTGGAAATTTTAGGTATCTGCATGCTCAGGTTGTTTAGCATATAAATCAGAAACTATAAATGTTTATAAACTATAAATAATAAACTAAAAATATAAAGTATCATTTTTTCTCAGTTTTGAAATACTGTCATTATTTCTAGGTGACATTAACACTCAATTACAGAGGCTGTGACTGTTGAAATTAGAAATGTCATGGTTGATTCTTCTTTACTTGCTGCCTTTTTATTTCACACAAACACAGCAGCACAAGTAAGGCAAGAAAGGCCACGCTTTGACTGCAAACACATCAGTGCCCTTCTAGGGAGAATAAATGTGTGAGCATATTCACTTGAAATTCATGGCATCTTTTGTTCAAGTACAGACTTTCATATGGAAAGTAAAAAAGACAATAATTTCACAGCAATAGCATAAGAAAAGTACTCTAAAAATACCTTCTGACCCATTATTTCTATTTTTCACAAGAATGATTGTGATGGAATGAGCATTTGCAGCACTGTGGTCTTAACCTCCACTTTCTGTTTAATTATTTTTGGAATACGACCATAAGACTTTTGTGCTTTTTTTTTTTTTTAGAAAAAATGTTTTATATTTCTAATTCAGTAATTTAGCATAATTTTTTGTCTCACACTTTCAAAAATAGTTCATTCTGAAAAAAATGATTAAACCACTACTTACCACTTTTTCCCCAAAAAGAGTAGAGTAACAAATGAAGTCTATAAGTCTAGAGTACATTTAATTCATAAATAATAAAGGTGTAATGTGTTTTAGCTGCACACTTGAAAATGAAACACTTTTTGGACTATAGCCCAAGAGTTTTCAGAGAGGTTAGCTTATAACATGTGAGGAGACCTGGTATAGAAACATTCACCCCACGCCTTAAGAGGTGAAAATTTGTCTTTCACTCTTAATTTCAACTATTAACCCAGAGCTGGAAAAATAGAACATTTCATTATACCAAAAACATTTTGTTTTTATTTTATATCTAAGGGGTACATGTGCAGATTTGTAAAACATGTATACTATATGATGTTGAGGTTTGGACACTTAATTATTCCATTGCCCAAGTAGTATACATCATACCTAACCAGATTTTCAATGCTTGTCTCCCTTCCTTCCTCCTTCTCTTTAGAATTCCCAGTGTTTCTTGTTTTCATCTTTGTTTCCATGTGCACCCAATTTTTAGCGTCCATGTATGAGTGAGAACATGTGGCATTTGTTTTTCTGATGCATTAATTTGCTTAGAATGGCCTTCTGCTGCATTCATGTTGCTGCAAAAGATGTTACTTCATGCTCTTCTGTTGCTGCATAGTATTGGAGGTTGTATAAGTACATCATTTTTTCTTAACCAATAAAAGATTCATGGGTAACTGGTTTAATTCTGTTTTTACTATTGTGAATAGTGTTGCAATTAACATGTGAGTGCTGGTGTCTCTTTGGGAAAATTATTTTTTCGGGGCAGATCCCCAGTAATGGGGTTAATTGGTCAAATGGCAATTGTATTTTTAGTTCTTTGAGAAGTTTCCAAACTGCTTTGCACAGGGCTGAATCAATTTGCATTCCCATCAACAGTGTAGAAAGATTTCCTTTTCTCCACAACTTCAAATCTTATCTTGCTTTTAATAACAGTCATTCTTACTGGTGTGAAATGGTATTGCACTGTCACCCTGATTTACATCTTTCTGATAATTAGGAATGTTGAGCAATTTTTATGTTTATTGGTAGCTCTGTCTTCCTTTGAGAAGCTAGCTATTTATATCATTTGCTTTTTTATTAAATGTTTTATAGATTCATATATTAATCCTTTATTTTCTGCAGTTTGCAAATATTTTATTTCATACTGTAGGTCATCTGTTTACTTTGTTGGTAGTTTCTTTTACTGTGCAGAAGCTCTTTGGCTGAATTAGATGCCATTTTCAATTTTTATTTTTGTTGCACTCATGTTAGATGTTAGTCATAAATTCTTTCCAGAGGCCAATATTTTCTAAGTGTTCTCCCAAGATTTTTGTAGCTTGAAGACCCACAGATAAAGTCTTTAATCTGTTATTTTTTTATATAGAAAAAGGTAGTTCAGTTTTCTTCCACATACAACTAACCAGTTTTCCCAGTATTATTTACTGAATAGGGAGTTAATTCCCCTTTTATTTCTGTTGGCTTTGTAAAAATAACCTGGTTGTAAAGTGTAGCTTAGCTCAGGACTCTCTCCTATTTCATTGGTCTATATGTATATTTTTGTACCAGAACCATGTTATACTGGCTACTCTGCTGCAATCTTGGCTCACTGCAACCTCCACCTCCCAGGTTCAAGTAGTTCTCTTGCCTCAGCCTCCCAAGCAGCTGAGATTACAGGCACGCACCACCACACCTGGCTAATTTTTTGTATTTAGTAGACACTGGTTTCACCGTGTTGGCCAGGCTGGTGTCAAACTTCTGACCTCAGGTGATCCATCCACCTTAGCCTCCCAAAGATGACAGGTGTGAGCCATCACGCTCGACACAGATTTATTCTTTTAGTCTGAAGCAGTCTTGGCTATTTGAGCTCTTTAATTCTCTTGTATATATTTTGGAATATTTTCTTTTTCTAATTCTATAAAAAAGCATCATAGATAGTCTGATAAAAATAGCACTTAATCCGTAGGTTGCTTTAGGCAGAATGACCATTTTAACTATATTATTTGAATCCATGAGCATCCAGTATTTTTCCATTTATTTGCATTCTCTCTCATTTCTTTCAGCAATGTTTTGTAGTTCTCTGTAGAGATATTTTACCCCCTTGATTTAATGTATTTCTAGGTATTTTTTTTTGTGGCTATTGTAAATAGAGCTGTTTTTTATTTTGTTCTCAGTTTATTGGTGTACAGAAATTCTATGCATTTGGGTTGATTTTGTATTCTGAGATTTTTTTGAAGTCTTTAGGCTTAGGAGTCTTTCGGTGAAATCTTTAAAGTATTCTTGGTAGAGAATTATATCATCAGTAAAGATAATTTGACTTCGTTTTCTATTCAGATTCCTTTTATTTCTCTGGCTACGACTCCATAACTATGTTCAGTAGGACTGTTTAGAATGGATATTCTTATTTTTATTCTTATGGAGAATGCATCCAGTTTTTGTTTTAGTATCATGTTGGCTAAGGATTTGTCACAGATGACATTATTTTGAGGTATGTTTCATCAGTGTCTAGTGTATTGATAATATTTTTGTCAATATTGCATTTTCTTGGATGCTTTTTCTGCACCTATTGTGTTAAATATTTTTTTCTTTTAATTATCTTTACATGGTGAATCACACTAATTGACTTGCCTATGATGAAACACCTTTGTTTTTATGGAATAAAGCTCACGTGATTGTAGCAAAATAACTTGGATTTGCTTTTGAATTCAGTTTGCTAGAATTTCATGGATTATTGTTCCAATGTTCACCCAGAATATTGACCTGTAGTTTCCTTTTTTTGTTATGTCTTCACTAGATTTTAGTTTCATATATTTCACTGATTTCATATAATTAGTTAGATTGAAATGCCACCTTGATTTTTTGGAATACATTCAGTAGGATTAGGACCAGCTTATCTTTGTATATGTAGTAAAACTTGGCTGTGATTTCATATGATCCAGGGCTTTTTATGGTTAGTAGTTTTATTATTACTTGTTCAAGGTCACTATACATTTTACATTTTTGCTCTGTTAAAGACTTCTGTTATTTTCTGTCAATATTGGGAAGTTTTGTGTATCTGGGAGTTTGTTTTCTCTAAATTTTCTACTTTGCATGCATGTTCATAGAAGTCTCTGAGGATATTTTTAAATCTATGTAGAATTAGATGTGATTTCTCATCTCTAACATTTAAATAAATGCAGAATAAGAGTTTAACAAAATTCAACATTTCTTCATAAATTTCTGAAAAAAGTAGGTATAGGACAAATAAACCTCAAGCCAATAAATGTCACATATAACACACATATAAAAAGCACAGCTAATAACATACTAAACAGGGAAATCTTGTAAGCTTTTACTCTAAGAGCAAGAAGACAAAAATGCCCACTTTTTTCAGTCTTATTAGACATAGTATGAACTATCCAAGACAGAAAAATTAGTAAGTAAAATCAAAGCACTGAGATTAGAAAAAATGTTAAATTATTCCTGTGTAATTTTTCATTTCTATACACAATTTTAAGTAAACAAAAGCCTATTACTAAAAATTAGTAGGACTAATAAACAAATTTATTAAACTTGCAGAATACAAAAGCAACATCCAAGTGTCCATAGAATTTCTATACATTGACAACTATCTTTAAATGAAATTAAAGAAATACACAATTGGAAAAATATTACTTTCATAAGTTGGCATTAATATTGTTAAACATCTGTATTATACAAAATTATGTACAGCTATAATGCAACCTCTACCAAAATACCAGAGACATAACTGACAAATTTTTAAAAATATATCTAAAATTTACAGGATACCAGAAAAGGCCCTGAATAGCCAAAGCAACCAAGCAATAGAAAAAGTGAAGGTATCACTCTACCGGACTGAACTGAAATATACTAAAAAGCTATAGTAAACAAACAAACAAACAAAAAAGTATGGTACTTGAATAAAAACAGACACACAGGCAAGTAGAGAAGAAAAAGGAGACCAGAAATATCTTGATGTTTATATTGATGTATTTACAGCCATCTGATTTTTAAATAAAGGTGGCAATTTCTTAGGGAAAAGGCAGTATCTTCAATAAATGGTGTTGAGAAAACTTTATATCCACATGTAGAGGAATATAATAAGACCCTCAACTCACACCATATATAAACAAATTAGATACTTAAAATAAAAACACAAAATAAATTAGATACTTAAATGTAAGGTCTAAAACTCTGAAACTACTATAAAAAACATAGACTGAAAGCCCTGTAACATTGGTTGGGCAGTCACTTTTAGAATTTGACCTCAAATCCCAAGGAGCAAATTGAAAAAATAGATGAATCAGATTATTTTAAATTTAAAAACTGCTGCACGGAATATAATACAATCAACAGGATGAGGCAACTAAAAAATGGAAGAAAATATTTGCAAATCATAAATGTGACAAGGGATTAATATCAAAACCATATAACAAACTCAAATGACTATACAATAAAAAACAAATATTAAAAATGAGAAAAAGGCTTAAATATTTTTCAGAAAAACACATACATATGACCAACAGATATATTTTAAAAATGCTCAATGTAAATTATTATCAGGAAAGGCAAGCAAAAAAAGAACTATGAGATATCAACTCACTTCTGTTAGAATGACTCTAATTAAGAAGAAAAAGTGTTGGTAGAATTCTGAAGAAAAGAAAATGCTTGCACACTATTTGTTTGAATGTAAGTGAGGACAGCCATTATGAAAAATAGAGTTTTCTTAAAAAACTTAAAAATAGAACTACCATATGACAATTGCACCACTGTATATCCAAAACAAAGGAAATTAGAATGAAGAAACATTTGCACTTCTAGGTTGTTCGCAGCACTCTTCACACGTAAAATACATAAAATCAACAGTTCAACATCTAATGAGTAAATAAAGACAATGTGGTAGATATACACAATGGAATAATATTCATCTTTAAACAACAAAAATTCTATTATTTTCAATCACATGGATTACCCTAGAGGACATTTTATTAGTTGAAATAAGCAAGGCACAGAAAGATTAAATGTCTCATGAGTTCACTTACACATGGATTCTGAAAAAGTTAATCTCATCGATGTAGAGAGTAAAATGGTGACCACCAAATGCCAAGGTATTTAGAAGAAATGGGGGCATTGAAAGATGTCTGTCAAGGAATACATAATTATACTTGGATAAAAGAAATAATTTCAAGAGATTTATTGTACAGCATGGTGACTATAGTTCATAATGTATTTGTATTTTTGAAAAATGCTTACAATTTCATGTGGTCTAACCACAAAAATGTTAACAAGATAAAGCATTAATTACCTAGAACTAAGCATTTGATAATGTATATATACTTCAAAATGTTAACAAAAGAAATACACATTTTATTTGTCAAGTTAAAAATATATTTTTAAGACACTATAGAAGGATAACAATGTTTCAAATACTGTCTGTCTCTTTGCTGTTTTCTCATTTGTCAGTCATAACCATAGGAACTTTGATGTTTAACAGCATGTTCTGAACCCAGCACAGTGCATGGGAGAAGCCAATAACTTTAGGGCTTTTATTTTAAGCTTGGGGCACTTGGAGTTACTGGTGCTTATGGTGATAGTATGAAAGACACGAAAACGGAAGGCTTGCTTATGCTCCCATGACTGGCCACTGTGTGATCACAGTAAACTGGTTTGCATGCAAACTAACAGGAAATGTTTTAATCCAAAAGCTGCCATTATCTCCAAAAGTTTTCAGAGAAAACCTAGGAGATCGCTAGTTAGGTGACTAAGAATATAAACTGTAGACTAAACTTCAACCACTAAAACATTAAAAAAAGAGTGATAAATGTCTCCAAATCGTAATATCAATATGGAAAATAAATATTATTCCAAATGTACAGAGGTCATTTTATTGCTTTGCAACCTTTAACATTCACACTTTAAAACAGAGGATTTTGCATGGAAATGTAAGTTGTGCTGTAAGTACATCCTAAATAAATTTTAAATTGCTCACTTACTATTCTCTTAAAAATTTAATTTTTATGTTTGTTCTAGCAAATTACATATTTGCCACACTTTGTATAAAAACCTAACATTTTTCTTTTACAAAGAAACACCATGCTGATTTAATCCTCTCTTCGGTAGGCAGTGTATGTCTTTTATGTTAATTAGCCAATCTTAAAGTTGTATTCGTATGCAAACCTTCCAGTTAAAACCAATGTTTCAGTACATGAAAAAATACCAATGCTCTCCTTAAAACCTACAACATACCTTGTGAATCACATGGCATGAAAACAACAGTGAGAAAACTGTAGCCATACCACAGAAAAAGAAGGACTGTGATGCATATATGGTTTGAATGCACATAAAAAGACAAAACTTAGATAATTAGGACATGAATGAAGCATTTCTCTTTAAATTCAGCAAGATTCAGCTTTGCAGCCTGGAAAAAATGTTCTCTTCACATGAAGAATCAATGTTATGTCTTTGCAATTGATATTTTCCATCTCTGACTTGAAGTTATAAACTAACTTTAGCAGGAATGTTTATGACAAAATATGGAGCATCTGTTACACACTGAGCACTGTCATGTTTGTTTGCTATATTTATATATAAAAGCATCCACATGACTTATGAAGCTTCCCTAGTACTTACTGAAACAAATTGACTCAATAAATAAAATTTACTTATGTCACTTATAAAAAGGGAACAATAACTTAAGAAAAGTAAGCTTATATAGGGTTCTCCCATAGAAGCTAATGGAATGTTTTAACTAAATAAAATGTAACAATACACAAATTGTGGAATTATATCTAAAAATAATTTTGTGTGCATGATGAAATTTTATAAAAAATATTCTTATAACTCAAATCAGCTCAGATAAATATTTCATAAACTATAAAACAAAAAAATAAGAAACAAAAAGATTGTGGGTCTAGGCCGGGTGTGGTGGCTCACGCCTGTAATCCCAGCACTTTGGGAGGCTGAGATGGGTGGATCACCTGAGGTCAGGAGTTTGAGACCAACCTGGCCAACATAGTGAAACCCCATCTCTACTAAAAATGCAAAAATTAGCTGGGTGTGGTGGCACATGCCTGTAATCCCAGTTACTCAGGAGGCTGAGGCAGGAGAATTGCTTGAGCCCAGGAGGCGGAGGTTGCAGTGAGCCGAGACCACGCTATTGCACTTGAGCCTGGGCAACAAGAACGAAACTTGGTCTAAAAAAAAAAAAAGATTATGGGTCTAGCATGAGTATCATGCAAGTAAAAAAAGAAAATTTTCATGGAAAGATTCTAAATGATAAGCTGTTAGATAGTGTAATAAACTGAATACAAAGCAGAGTATATACATTTGCTTTTAGCATTTTTGAGGATTTTTGTTTTCTAGTAAATTAGACATCTTATTAAAATGCTTTGTTTTGTTTCAATATTGCTCTTTTCTTCTGAAAACAGTTACAAACTTATATTCAAACACCCTTACTCCTTAAACCTGTTATATCTTTAGACTAATAGATGTGTATATTTAACTCTATGTAAGTCAAAACTAAAACTCTATTGTGTGCTCTCAGGCAGAGGCCACGTGTTCAAAAAATACATAAAAAATTTTTGAAAATTATTCAGGACTCAGAAATATATGATTTTATTTACGCTTGTATATAATTTTTATGATGACCATAAAAATAACCATGTAGCCAATAATAATTTAACTGTACAACTTAGAATAACTAAGACTGTAGAATTGAATTGTTTGTAATACAAAACATAAAAGCCAGAGGTTATAGCTACCTTATTTATCACAATGTGATCATTATATAATGTATGACTGTATTAAAATACGCCATATATGACATAAATATATACACATATTATGTAAACACAAAAACTAAGAAAAATAAATTTAAATGTAAAAAAATTTAACCTACAGGAACCATATTCTTTAACTTATTTGTAGTTTAAAGCCACTAAAAAAGAAGAATACTAGAGATGTTAGTCTATTATGTTACCAAATAGTGTATTGTAACCATCTTTTAAATATACCCTTGAGTAAGGTGGAATAGGTTAAAACTAGTGGCATAATAACACTTTATTGAATGTATAACAGTATTTAACATTATAAATGTTGAATTGAAAAATTAACACAATCCAAAACTTTAAAAAAAAGTGGTTTTATCACATAAAAGTACAATTAGTAAAATGACATACTAATTATTTTGATTTAATTTTAACTATAAGAATGATTTTCTCTCATAATAACGCATTAGAATATTACTTAGGGCTGGGCACAGTAGCTCACACCTATAATCACAGCACTTTGAGAAGCCAAGGCAGGCAGATCACTTGAGGTCAAGAGTTCAAGAACAGCCTGGCCAACATGGTGAAACCTTGTTTTACTAAAATAGAAATATTAGCTGGATGTGGTCAGGGGCAACTGTAATCTCAGCTACTTGGGAGGTGGAGACAGGAGCATAGCTTGAACCTGGGAGGAGGAGC
Source organism: Homo sapiens (assembly GCF_000001405.40). NCBI lineage: Eukaryota > Metazoa > Chordata > Mammalia > Primates > Hominidae > Homo > Homo sapiens. The sequence continues at coordinate 22,973,601 of NC_000019.10, forward strand.
TTATAGTGAGCCGAGATTATGCCACTGCACTCCAGCCTGGGCAACAGAGTGAGATTCCCTCTCAAAAAAAAAAAAAAAAAAAAAAAAAAAAGAATATTACTCGGAATGCCCTACATCACTCAATTCTGTAAGTTAACCACAAACAGCCTTTCCACTTAAATTTTCATCATGCATCTTACATTTCAATGTCCTTAGTCATCCATAAGGTAATAAATAACGACCGCCTAATAAAGTCTCCCAAATCTTTGATGCAGAATTGATCACATTTTTTTTACATGTGAATACAACAGAAATGAAAAAAAGGCGTGAAGTAATTTAAGAGTTGAATTCCATCATTATTCAGTTTCCAAATAAGCTGTTTTTTTTTTCTTTTGAGACAGAGTCTTGCTCTGTCACCCAGGCTGCAATGCAGTAGCAGCATCTCAGCTTACTGCAACCTCTGGCTCCCAGGTTCAAGTGATTCTCATGCCTCAGCCTCCCAAGTAGCCGGGACTACAGATGTACACCACCATGCTTCGCTAATTTTTTTTATTTCCTTTTAGTAGACATGGGGTTTCACCAAGTTGGCCAGGCTGGTCTTGAACTCAGGTGATCTACCCACCTCGGCATCCCAAAGTGTTGGCCTTACAGATGTAAGCCACTGTGTCTGACAAAAAAAAATCTGTATTTTCAAGACAAAAGTGTACTTTAAATGAAATTATAACTCTTCAAAGATCTACTTCTTTTAAAGTTACATACAAATAATTTTTCTTTTTACCAACTTTAGTTTTGGATTTTTTCCTATACTCAGCAATCTGATTAAGTGTAATGTCTGAAGTTTGAGACAGATATTTCTACTGTGAATTCTCTGATATTTACTTAATTTTGGATTAAAATTTTTTAATATTTACTTCATCTGCAAACATATATTTTAGTATAAACTTTCGTGTTTTATAATCTGTAGTTTTTGAAAAAATGTTTTTCCAAATTCATTAAATTTGCAGGGTTATTCTTCAATATAAATTCCCTGATGTTGAGCAAAGTTGGAACAACTACCTCAGGGTTTTCCTGTAGTACAAAATGTGTACAATAAAACCTGTGATACACGTAAAGGTACTACAACTCTCTTTATATTTATAATGTGTTTCCTCAAAATAAATATTCTTCTGTACTTTAAGGGCTTATATTTTCTGAAAGATCTATTGACAGCAACTGCACTTTTAATGCTTTTATTTAGTATGAACTCTCTGATGCTGAATAAGATGTGAGAAGATATTAATGACATTCACATTTTTTCCCCTAGACAGTCTCCCTCTGTTGCCCAGGCTAGTGTAAATGCTTTCCTTTGCAATTAGGCATGAGCATTGGTTAAATGTTTTGCCACATTGTTTATTCTAGTAGTTTTCTCCAGTATGAGATATCTTACCTACAATCAAGTGTGACAGCCATTTAAAGGCTTTGTCACATTCTTCACATTTCTAGGATTTCTCACCAGTATGATTTCTTTTATATTCAGAAAAGTTTCAGGTGTTGCCAAAAGCCTTGTCACATCTTTCAGGTTTGCAGTTTCTCTCTAGTATGAATTAGCTTATGTCTGTTAAGAATTGAGGATCTGTTAGAGGCTTTCCCACATTCTTCACACGTGTATGGTTTCTCTCCAGTATGAGTTGTCTTGTACGTAGTAAGCCTTAAGGACTGATTAAAGGCTTTGCCACATTCCACACAATTGTAGGAATTCCCTCCAGTATGAATTACCTTATGTTTAGTAAGGATTGAGGAACAGTTAAAAAATTTGCCACATTCTTCACATTTGTAGGGTTTCCCTCCTGTATAAATACCCTTATGTTCAGTAAGGGTTAAGAACTAATTGAAAGCTTTGCCACATTTTTCACATTTGTAGGGTTTTTCCTCCAGTATGAATTCTCTTATGAGTAGTAAGGTGTGAGGATTGGTTGAAGTCTTTACCACATTCTTCACATTTGTAGAATTTCTTTCCAGCATGAATTTTCTTATGTTTGTTAAGGACTGAGACCCAGCTAAAGGCTTTGCCACATTCTTCACATTTGTAGGGTTTCTCTCCAGTATGAATTCTCTTATGTTCACTAAGTCTTGAGGACCAGATGAAGGCTTTGCCACATTCTTCACATTTGTATTGTTTCTCTCCAGTATGAATTACCTTATGTTTAGTAAGGTTTGCAACCTTACTGAAGGCTTTGCCACATTCTTCACATTTGTAGGGTTTCTCTCCAGTATGAATTCTCTTATGTTCCATAAGGTTTGAGGACCACTTAAAGGCTTTGCCACATTCTTCACATTTGTAGAGTTTCTCTCCAGCATGAATTGCCTTATGTGTAGTAAGGCTTGAGGACCAGCTGAAGACTTTGCCACATTCTTCACATTTGTAGTGTTTCTCTCCAGTATGAATTACTTTATGTTTAGTAAGGCTCGAAAATGTAGTAAAGGCTTTGCCACATTCTTCACATTTGTAGGGTTTCTCTCCAGTATGAATTATCTTATGTTTAGTAAGTGTTGAGGACCACTTAAAGGTTTTGCCACATTCTTCACATTTGTAAGGTTTGTCTCCAGCATGAATTCTCTTGTGTTCAGTAAGGCTTGAGGGCCAGCTGAAGGCTTTGCCACATTCTTCACATTTGTAGGGTTTCTCTCCAGTATGAATTACCTTATGTTTAGTAAGGGTTGAGAAGTTACCAAAGGCTTTGCCACATTCTTCACATTTGCAGGGCTTCTCTCCAGTATGAATTCTCTTATGTTCCATAAGGTTTGAGGACCGGTTGAAAGCTTTGCCACATTCTTCACATTTGTAGGGTTTCTCTCCAGCATGAATTGTCTTATGTGCAGTAAGGGTTGAGGCCTTACTAAAGGCTTTGCCACATTCTTCACATTTGTAGGGTTTCTCTCCAGCATGACTTCTCTTATGTTCAATAAGGCTTGAGGACCGGGTGAAGGCTTTGCCACATTCTTCACATTTGTAATGTTTCTCTCCAGTATGAATTACCTTATGCTTAGTAAGGATTGAGAACTTACTAAAGGCTTTGCCACATTCTTCACATTTGCAGGGTTTCTCTCCAGTATGAATTCTCTTATAAGTAAGGGCTGAGGACCAGTTAAAGGCTTTGCCATGTTCTTCACTTTTGTAGGAATTCTCTCTAGTATAAATTCTTTTATGTTGAGATAGGTGTGAAAGCATGCAAAATGATCTGACATATTCTTTACATTTCAAAAGTTTCTTTCCAGTATGCCTTATCTTATGTCTTTTTGAATTTGAACATTTATGAAAGATGTTTGCATATTTGCCACATTGAAATACTTTGCTTTGTGTAGTTGTCAAACTCTGGTTAAGCTTATTATAACCTTTTTTGTGCACCTTACACTCATCCACATTGGTACAACCAATTTTTAACTGTAAATTCTCATGTCCACATTTTTCATATCTTCTCAATATCACTTTTTGGAAAGAATCTTCTCTGCCCTGCTCTGGCCAAAGGTCTTGAGCAAAATGAGAACATATAACTGAAAAGAAATAAAAATAACAAATTAGTCCACTTATTAGATAAATATAGTTTCCAAATTTAACCTATAAAATTATTCAAACTACATAAGCAAGATGACACTGCAGTATGACACAGGCCCTAATTCTTCACAGACATATAAATGTAATAAAAGCATACAGACCAAAATACATATGTAGATAATTTATACATGAGTTAAGTGTGTACAGTGTCTGAATTAAGCCCAATGCAAAGAGCCACATAGAAAAAAAGAAAAGTTTGTTAAATTTACCCAATCAACTCTTTCTGCTCCTCAATATTACCTAGTCCCTTCAGAAGTAAATTGTCAACTTCTGTTTTTTTTTCTAAAGGCAAGTAAAATATTGGCACATACAATTTAATTTCTGTCTTCTATGGGCCTTTCCACACACTGGTTTCTGTCTCCCATGACATAAAGTGCTGAAAGATATGGTGGTATACTTAGAAATGACAGTTTGAGTCTGTTGAGACCAAAGATAAATACAATGCAGCAGAGCACTGCAGTGCTGCAAAGAGAGAAAAGGTGTAACAAGTAACTACTTTTCAGAAGAAACATAAATAATCTCTTTTAACTAAAGGTAAGCACAAAATTTCAGACAAGACAAATCTGAAGATGTTTGAGAGACCCACATAATCTCTAGCCAAGACCATTGTTTTCTGACTACACCAGGACAAAGCTATATTATAAATTTTTAAATGTCCAAATCTCAAAGATTACAATCTATACAAAATAGGGCAATATAATCCCATCAAAAATATTATAAAATTTTCAGAAAGAAACCATTAAAAATGTATATACTAATTTTAAAGATTGAATAATACTCTGAGTGAAATAGGAACACAAAAGACTATAGAAAATCAGAAAAATGAGGATAAGAACAAAAATATCTACATTGTGGTGATAAAAAATACAAAAAGAAATAACTGATTCTAAAATTAAGATAAAATAATGTAAAAATAAAAAACAAGATCAAAAAGCAAATTAGGATACACACAAATACATTTATAACAAAAACATATTTATAATCACAATTTGAACAGTTACAGACAAAAAGAGAATCTTAGGAGCTGCAAGATAAAAGTGATTTGCAAACATAGTCTTATGAGATAACCAGTGAATTGTCAACAAAAGATTTACAGGCCAGAAGAGAACTGTGTGAGATAGTCAAAGTCCTAAAAAAAAAAAAAAAATAGCTATCAAGTGAGAATAATACCAAATCAGCAAATCTGTCCTAATAGAAAAAAAACCTTTCAAAATAATCAAATTCACAAAAAGTATATCGGCACTGCATATGTCTTCCATAGGAAAGATGCTGAAAGCAGTTCTTACCACTGAAAATAACGTAACATAAAAAAACAACACCTAGCGTTTGAGCTCTGCTAAGGGTCAGACTGCCACCTCAAGTGGGTCCCTGACACCCATGTCTCCTAATTGGGAGGCACCTCCCAGTAGAAGCTGACAGACACCTCATACAGGAGAGCTCTGGCTGGCATCTGGCGGGTGGCCTGTGGGACGAAGCTTCCAGAGGAATGAATGGGCAGCAATCTTTGCTGTTCTGTAGCCTCAGCTGGTGATACCCAGGAAAACAGGGTCTGGAGTGGACCTCCAGCAAGCTCCAGCACATCTGCAGCAGAGGGGCCTGACTGTTAAAAGAAAAACTAACAAACAGAAAGGAACAGAAGCAACATCTACAAAAAGGATGTTTACTCAGAACCCCATCTGAAGGTCATCAACATCAAAGACCAAAGGTAGATAAATCCATAAAGATGGGGAGAAGCCAGTGTAAAAAGGCTGAAAATTCCAAAAACCAGAATGCCTTTTCTCCTACAAAGGATCACAACTCCTCACCAGCAAACAAACAAAACTGAACAGAGAATGAGTTTGACAAATTGACAGAAGTAGTCTTCAGAGGTGGGTGGGTAATAACAAACTCCTCCGAGCTAAAGGAGCATGCTCTAACCCAATGCCAGGAAGCTAAGAACCTTGAAAAGAGGTTAGACGAATTGCTAACAGGAAGAACCAGTTTAGAGAAGAACATAAATCACCTGATGGAGATGAAAAACACAGCATGAGAACTTCGTGATACATGCAAAAGTATCAATAGCTGAATCGATAAAGTGGAAGAAAGGATATCAGAGACTGAAGATCAACTTAATGAAATAAAGCAAGAAGACAAGATTAGAGAAAAAAAGAATAAAAAGAAATGAACAAAGCCTCCAAGAAATATGGGACTATGTGAAAAGACCAAATCTACATTTGATCGGGGTACCTGAAAGTGATGGGGAGAATGGAACCAAGTTGGAAAACACTCTTCAGGATATCATCCAGGAGAACATCCCCAACCTAGCAAGACAGGCCAACATTCAAAGTCAGGAAATACAGAGAACACCACAAAGATACTACTCGAGAAGAGCAACCCCAAGACACATAATTGTCAGATTCACCAAGGTTGAAATGAAGAAAAAATGTTGAGGGCAGCCAGAGAGAAAGGTCGAGATACCCAAATGGAAGCCCATCAGACTAAAAGTGGATCTCTCTGCAGAAACCCTACAAGCCAGAAGAGACTGGGAGCCAATATTCAACATTCTTAAAGAAAGGAATTTCAACCCAGAATTTAATATCCAGCCAAACTAAGCTTCATAAGTGAAGGAGAAATAAAATCCTTTACAGACAAGCAAATGCTGAGATTTTGTCACCAGCAGGCCTGCCTTACAAGAGCTCCTGAAGGAAGCACTAAACATACAAAGGAACGACTGGTACCAGCCACTGCAAAAACATACCAAATTGTAAAGACCATCAACACTATGAAGAAACTGCATCAACTAATGGGCAAAATAACCAGCTAGCATCATAATGACAGGATGAAATTCACACATAACAACATTAACCTTAAATGTAAATGGGCTAAATGCCCCCAATTAAAAGACACAGACTAGCAAATTGAATAGAGTCAAGATCCATCTAAGTGCTGTATTCAAGAGACCCATCTCATGTGCAAAGACATACATAGACTCAAAATAAATGGATAGAGGAATAGTTACCAAGCAAATGGAAAGCAAAAAAAAAAAAGAAACAAAAAAAAAAAAAACAGGGGTTGCAATCCTAGTCTCTGATAAAACAGACTTTAAACCAACAAAGATCAAAAGAGACAAAGATGGGCATTACATAATGGTAAAGGGGTCAATGCAACAAGAAGAGCTAACTATCCTAAATATGTATGCACCCAATACAGGAGCACCTAGAATCATAAAGCAAGTTCTTAGGGATCTACAAAGAGACTTAGATTCCCACACTATAATAGTGGGAGACTTTAACACCCCACTGTCAATATTAGCCCCATCAATGAGACAGAACACTAACAAGGATATTCAGGATGTGAACTCAGCTCTGGACCAAGCAGACCTAACAGACATCTACAGAACTCTTTACCCCAAATCAACAGAATATACATTCTTCTCAACACCACATCACACTTATTCTAAAACTGACCACATAATTGGAAGTAAAACACTCCTCAGCAAATGTAAAAGAATGGAAATCGTAACAGTCTCTCAGACCACAGTGCAATCAAATTAGAACTCAGGATTAAGAAACTCACCCAAAACCACACAACATGGAAACGGAACAACCTGCTCCTGAATGACTACAGGGTAAATAACAAAATGAAAGCAGAAATAAAAAAGTTCTTTGAAACCAATGAGAACAAAGACACAACATACCAGAATCTCTGGGACACAGACAAAGCAGTGCCTAGAGGAAAATTCACAGCACTAAATGCCCACGAGAGAAAGCAGGAAAGATCTAAAATAGACATGCTAAAATCACAATTAAAAGAACTGGAGAAGCAAGAACAAATAAATTCAAACCCTAGCAGAAGATAACAAATAACTAAGAACAGAGCAGAACAGAAGGAGAGACAGACACAAAATACCCTTCAAAAAAAAAAAAATTCAATGAATCCAGGGGCTGATTTTTTGAAAAGATCAACAAATAGATAAGACTGCTAGCCAGTCTAATAAAGAAGAAAGGAGAGAATCAAATAGATGCAATCAAAAATAATAAAGGGGACATCAGCACTGATTCCACAGAAATACAAACTACCATCAGAGAATACTATAAACATCTCTAAGCAAATAAACTAGAAAATCTAGAAGAAATGAATAAATTCCTGGACACATGCACCCTTCCAAGTCTAAATCAGGAAGAAGTCAGATCCCTGAATAGGCCAATAACAAGTTCTAAAATTTAGGCAGTAATTATTAGCCCATCAATAAAAAATGTCCAGGACCTGATGGATTCACAGCTGAATTCTACCAGAGGTACAAAGAAGAGCTGATCCTATTCTTTCTGAAACTATTCCAAACAATACAAAAGGAGGGAAGCCTCCCTAACTTTGTATCAGGCCAGCATCATCCTGATACAAAAACCTGGCAGAGACACAACAACAACAGAAAAATTTCAGTCCAATATCCCTGATGAACATGGATGCAAAAATCCTCAATAAAATACTTGCAAACTGAATCCAGCAGCACATCAAAAAGCTTATCCACCACGATCAAGTTGGCTTCATCCCTGGGATGCAAGGCTGGTTCAACATATGCAAATCAATAAACGTAATCCATCACATAAACAGGAACCAATGATAAAAACCACATGATTATCTCAATAGATGCAGAAAAGGCCTTCGACAAAATTCAATACCCCTTCATGCTAAAAACTCTCAATAAACTAGGTATTGATGGAACGTATCTCAAAATAATAAGAGCTATTTATGACAAACCCACAGACAATGTCATACTGAATGGCCAAAAACCAGAAGCACTCCCTTTGAAAACCGGCACAAGACAAGGATGCCCTCCCTCACCACTCCCATTCAACATAGTATTGGAAGTTCTGGTGAGGGCAATCAGGCAAGAAAAAGAAATAAAAGGTATTCAAATAGGAAAAGAGGAAGTCACACTTTCTCTATCTGCAGATGACATGATTTAGAAAACCCCATTGTCTCAGCCCAAAATCTCTTTAAGCTGATAAGCAACTTCAGCAAAGTCTCAGGACACAAAATCAATGTGCAAAAATCACAAGCATTCCTATACACCAATAATAGAGAGCCAAATCATGACTGAGCTCCCATTCACAATTGCTACAAAGAGAATAAAATACCTAGGAATACAACTTCCAAGGGATGTGAAGGACCTCTTCAAGGAGAACTACAAACCACTGCTCAAGAAAATAAGAGAGGACACAAACAAATGGAAGAACATTACATGCTCATGGATAGGAAGAATCAATATTGTGAAAATGGCCATACGGCCCAAAGTAATTTATAGATTCAACACTATTCCATCAAGCTACCATTAACTTTCTTTACAGATTTTGAAAAAACTAAATTTAATATGGAACCAAAAAAAAGCTCATATAGCCAATCCTAAGCAAAAAGAACAAAGCTGGAGGCATCATGCTACCTGACTTGTAGTATCGAACTACACTACAAGGCTACAGTAACAAAAACAGTACGGTACTGGTATCAAAACAGATATATAGACCAATGGAACAGAACAGAGGCCTCAGAAATAACAACACAGATCTACAGCCATCTGATCTTTGAGAAATCTGAAAAAAACAAGCAATGGGGAAACGATTCCCTATTTAATAAATGGTGTTGAAAAAACTGGCTAGCCATACTCAGAAAACTGAACTGGACCCCTTCCTTATACCTTATATAAAAATTAACTCAAGATGGATTACAGACTTAAATGTAACACCCCAAACCATAAAAACCCTAGAAGAAAACCTAGACAATGCCATTCAGGACACAGGCATGGGCAAAGACTTCATGACTAAATCACCAACAGCAATGGCAGCAAAAGCCAAATTGACAAACGGGACCTAATTAAACTAAAGAGCTTCTGCACAGCAAAACAAACTATCATCAGAGTGAACAGGCAACCTACAGGATGGGAGAAAAATTTTGCAATCTAGCCATCTGACAAAGGGCTAATATCCAGGATCTATAAAGAACTTAAACAAATTTACAAGAAAAAAAAAACACCCCATCAAAAAGTGGGCAAAGGATATGAACAGATACTTCTCAAAAAAAGACATTTATGTGGCCAACAAACATGAAAAAAAGCTCATCATCACTGGTCATTAGAGAAATGCAAATGAAAACCACAATGAGTACCATTTCATGCCAGTTAGAATGGTGATCATTAAAAAGTCAGGTAACAACAGATGCTGGAGAAGATGTGGAGAAGTAGGAATGCTTTTACACTGTTGGTGGGAGTGTAAATTAGTTCAGCCATTGTGGAAGACAATGTGGTGATTCCTCAAGGATCTAGAACTAGAAATACCATTTGATCCAGCAATCCCATTGCTGGGTATATACGCTCAAAATTATAAATCATTCTACTATAAAGACACATGCATGCATACGTTTATTGCAGCACTATTCACAATAGCAAAGATTTGGAACCAACCCAAATGCCCATCAGTAATAGACTGGATAAAGAAAATGTGGCACATATATACCACGGAATACTATGCAGCCATAAAAAAGGATGAGTCCATGTCCTTTGCAGAGACATGGATAAAGCTGGAAACCATCATTCTCAGCAAAGTAACACAAGAACAGAAAATCAAACTAGCATGTTGTCACTCATAAGTGGGAGTTGAACAACGACAACACAGGGACACAGGAAGGGGAACATCACACACCAGGGCCTGTCGGGGAGTGGGAGGCTAGGGGATGAATAACATTAGGAGAAATACCTAATGTAGATAACGGGTTGATGGGTACAGCAAACCACCATGGCACGTGCATACCTACGTAACAAACCTGCACGTTCTGCACATGTGCCCCAGAATTTAAAGTATAATAAAAAAAATCAAAACAGAATATTAACAAGGAAACGGACTACTTAAAGGTGGTATAAAACAACTATTTCTGACAGAGGTATAGACAGCACTCCTCAACATCGGGATATACACCCTTCTCAATAGCTCATACAACATATTTCTTGATAGACCACCTCTTAGGCCAAAAAAGAAGTCTTACCAAATTTTTTAAAACTGAAATTTTATGAATTATTTTCTATGACTAAACTCAAATGCAAGTATACAATAATAGAAAAAAATTGAAAAAAAAATATGCCAGGCATGGGTGGCTCACGCCTGTAATCCCAGCACTTTGGGAGGCCGAGGTGGGTGGATCACCTGAGGTCAGGAGATAGAGACCATTCTGGCCAACATAGTGAAACCCTGTCTCTACTAAAATGTGAAAAACTAGCCAGGCTTGGTGGCATGCACCTGTAGTCCCAGCTACTCAGGAGGCTGAGGCAAAGGAATCGCTTGAACCCGGGAGGCAGAGGTTGCAGTGAGCCAAGATTGTGCCGCTACACTCCAGCCTGGAGATAGAGCGAGACTCCATCTCAAAAAAAAAAAAAAAAAAATACACACACACACACACACACACACACACACACACACACATATACACACACATAGGAATTTAACAAAACACTCAAGCATGCTCTTATGCAAATGTTGTAATAGTTAACATTGTAAAGATGTTCATCCTGGTCAATGTAATCTACAAATTTAATGAAATGTTTTTCAAATTTCTCATTGCATTTTTGAAGAAATAGAAACAGTAACCCCAAAAGTATATAGAATTTCAAAAGACAATAAAGTTCCCAACAATCTTAAAATAATAATAATAATAATAAAGCAATATTGCAGGCATTAAAGTTCCTGATTTCAAAAGACATTCCAAGCTACAGAATTAAAACAATCTGGTATAAGGATGAAAAATTAGACTAATGAAATAGAATGCAACACATATATATACTTTAACATGTATGGTCATATGAGGAGTCATTTACATAGCAATAATTATTACTGTAAGCTAATAGGTAAAGGCAATGCAAATTTCTGTCACCAAATCATTCAGTAAATATAATCTGAAATATAAAAATACTGGAATATCACTCAGTTTTCAAAAAGCAGAAAATGTTCTACCAATTATAAAGATAAATCTTGATAACATTATGCAAAATGAAATGAGTCAGCTGCAAAAAGACAAAGATTATATGAGATATATAGCTATAAAGCATTTACACTCTTAGAAGCAGATAAAAAGAAAAAGGTGCCCTATTTGCTTAACCCCCAACAGCAAGAAAGTCTGTCAGTCATCCATGACAAAAATGTCTTAATGAGAGAACCAGGCAGCATGGTTAATATCTGTAATGACAGCTACATGGTACAGTAAGGTTGAAGAATTGCTTCAGGCCAAAATTTTAAGACCAACCTGGGTTATGCAGTGAGACCCCATCTCAAAAATAAGTGCCTTTAAGAGAGCTTTGAGATCCAGGGAGGCAATTGTGAAACTTTGCTAAAGCCCAAGATTGAGGAGCACCCTTTTCAGAAGGCAAGCTTTCATTCAGGTGGCAAACTACAGGACCCCTGCTCTTGACTACAGACCAGAAAATGTCCCACCCAACTTGGTCCCACTGAAAATTTTGAACTTACTCTGTAATCATCCCAAACTCCTCCCAGCCACAGTCTGTGAGAGGTCTTGGGTCTTCCAGAGGCCTGGAGAGTGATACCCATTTAGAGCAATGCTGGCAGGCCTGCAGACCTTGGTCCCAATAGCAGTTCCAAGACTCAGTTCCAGCTTCCTAAGCCACAGTTCATGGCCAGTTCTGCCTATGTAGAAATCCACAGTGACCTCAGAAATCCTCTCTGGTACTCAGTGAAAGCCATACTAATCCACATCCTAATATAAAGCCCACCATATGCAGACCTGACTGCAGAAACCTGCCCTAGCATCTACCCTACTGAGCAAAGTCCTGAAGGATATT